>NC_000001.11:161934587-163184587 GCF_000001405.40 Homo sapiens
TAGTTACCATTTGGGTGTTTCTGCTTCTTCTAAACTCCCTTCTAATTGTTTTTCCTCTTGTTTTTAAGCTAGTGATTTTTTCCCCTGTATTTTACATATGCTTATGGAAAGAACAGATATGTTTTCATGGCACTTAGCATGTTATAAATGCATTGTTTTCCATGGAGTAAGATCATTCTACCACTGAGAGCATTAAATCCATGTTCCTAAGGTAACCCATGTTTTCCTAGAAACAGGGGAAGAGTCATGACCAACTTTCACATTGTCTGCTTTGTTCTTGGGGTATCATCCATTGTGATAACCATTCCCAAGAAGTTTCCTCCCCAAAACAGAATTACTTCTCTGCCTACCCTTGATTCAAGTGACCTTTCATTACAGATAATCTGGTTTTATAGGGAAATCTAGTAGGTTCTGCACTCAGTTGTAAAGAAAGACAGATGCAAATGGGTTTCAGTAATTGGTACAACATTGTCACAAAGCTCTTTAGATTAGCAAGTACTTATAAACTAGGTGGAATATTTTTTATTCCATGTTGTTAATAAGAATGCCCTAATCCTCTTTACACACTTGAAAATATCCAGGGAATGCAGAGAGAGACAGACAGAGAGATAGACTCGTATGTAATCATGGACTTTTGAGATAGGTAGGTATAGATGTTCCTGTAAACTAAGCGTTTGTAGCCTCCCAAAATTTATATGTTGAAATCCCTACCATACTGTGATATGGAGCCTTTGGTATGAGGTCAGAGGCTTCATGCATGGGATTAGTGCTCTCATAAAATAGGCCCTGGAGAGCTTCCTCACCCCTTCTGCCATTTGAAGACACAGTGAGAAGATGAATATCTGTGAACCAGGAAGCAAACCCTCACCAGACATTAAATCTGCCAGTGCTTTGATCTAGTTCTTCTCAGCCTCCAGACTGTGAGGAATAAATTTCTGGTTTTTATAAGCCATCCTGTCTATACAGTTTGTCACAGCAGCCTGAACAGACAGAGACAAGTGTAATCCCATCTTTTCCTTAGCTGTATTATTAGGTTAGTGCAAATGTAATTGCTGTTTTCGCCATTTTAATGGCAAAAATCACAGCTACTTTTGCACCAACATAATATTTGCTCACTTTTCTCTGTTGTAATTTTCTCATATGAGACTGTAGGAAAGAATGATTTAATATATTCTATAAAGTGCCTAGTAATATAATAGGTCCAGCATATGAAAGCATTCATAATAGGTTCTCAGTAAAGAGTGGCAATGCTCGAGCATTTCTAAAGAAACGGAATTGATTATATTCCATTCCTTTTTCAGACAGTTATAAATGTTAGAAATTTCTTTCTGTTACTGCTCCAGAATCTGTGCTTTTCAATTATTGGTTCTAATTCAGTATTTTTAGGCCTCAGAGAAAAAGCCTTAATGCCGTCTTCACGTGGTAGGCTACCAGGTCTTTGAAGATGGCCATTTTGTATCCCACATCTTCTCCACATCTGCTCATAGAAATACAGTTTCTTCATTTGCTCCCTTATGGTTTAGGTTCGAAGCAACTCAGAATGGAACACAACGCTACTGGTGTGTTAATTAGCAGGTGAGAATGGAACTATCACCTTTTTTGTTGTGTTCTTAACACAACCTTAGTTGGCATGAATTTGAGGAGCAGTTATATTTCACCTTTGACTTGTCAAACTTACACTTGACTAAAACCTACAGATGTTTTTCTTTTTAATTTTTTTTAATTTTTAATTTTTGTGGGTACATAGTAGGTGTATATATTTATGGGGTATGTGACATGTTTTGATACAGGTGTGCAACATGAAATAATTACATCATGAAGAATGCAGTATCCATCCCTTCAAGGATTTATCCATTGAGTTGCAAACAATCCAATTATTACACTCTTTAAGTTATTTTAAAATGTTACAGATGTTTTTCAAACATGTCTCTGTTCTACCCTATCTCTCTCATCATATATTTGTATGGGATTTTACATTTTGACATATTAAATTTCATCTTGTTGGAGTTTGCTCGTTTTCTTCTTACCTATGAAGCTGTTTTGGGACCCTAACTATGACAGTAAGTCACTTGGCTATGCACTTAATCAGCATGTGTTTAATATCCACACTCACATTTTTATAAATATTTAACAGGAAGGGAAATTTATACCTCCAAACCCACTCTAATCCCTGAACTCCAAATGCATGTAACCAACTGCCTGTTAAATATCTTCACTTAGATGATTCCTGTCAGTTCACACTTAACCAAACTGATTTCCACCCTCAACCTTCTCCTGTAGTCTTCTCATCCTAGTCACAGTGAAGCATATCCGTCCTTCACATTGCACAGCCAAAAACCTTCCTTGCAGTCATCCTTGACCCATTTTGTTTCCTCCCACATCCCATATCTAATCCCTCAGCAAACTCTACTTCACAATGCATCCTGAGTCATACCTTTCTTACTTCTTACCTTCTTGCACTACCACTTTGGACCAAATCATCAGAAATAGATTCCTAACATTTTCTGTATTTACCCTTACATTCTTTAGTCTTTTTAAAATATTGACGCTAGAATGAACCTGTTAAGACTTAAATTATGTCACTCCTACTAAAAATACAAAAATTGGCCAGGTGTGGTGAGGCATGCCTGTAGTCAGTCCCTGCTACTCGGGAGGCTGAGTTGGGAGAATCACGTGAACCCAGGCAGCGGAGGTTGCAGTAAGCAGAGATTGTGCCACTGCACTCCAGCCTGGGCGACAGAGTGAGACTCCCTCTCAGTTAAAAAAAAAAAAAAAAAAAAAAATCACCTTAATGCCTTTTATCTCTGGTTACTTCAACACCATAATTACCATAAATAATTCATCTCTGTTGGAATATTTGTGTCCCATTAAAATTCGTATGTTGAAATCTCTTCACTAATGTAATGATATGAAAATCAGCCTTTATGGGGGTGATTAGGTCATGAAGGCAGAGCCCTCATGAATGGAATTACTGCTCTTATAAAAAGACAAAGGACTTTGCAGGGACGTGGATGAAGCTGGAAACCATCATTCTCAGCAAACTAACCCAGGAACAGAAAACCGAACACTGCATGTTCTCACTCATAAGTGGGAGTTGAACAATGAGAACACACGGACACAGGGAGGGGAACATCACACATCGGGGCCTTTCGGGGGGTGGGGGACAAGGTGAGGGATAGCATTAGGAGAAATACCTAATGTAGATGACAGGTTGATGGGTGCAGCAAACCACCATGGCACATGTATACCTATGTAACAAACCTGCACGTTCTGCACATGTATCCCAGAACTGAAAAGATAATAAAAAAAAAAATCACGCCACTCCTCTGTTCAGAACTTACCAGTAGCTTTCCATCTCACTCAGAGTCAAAGCTAAAGCCCTGACAATTGCCTGCACAACTCTACATGGTTCTGCCTCCCCTTCCCACACATGTACACAAACACATTTGCTTTTCTGACCTCATTTTCTAGCCTTCTACCCTTGCTTCCTCCTCTGCATGCACAGAGTCCTCTTTGCTGTCCCCTGAACATGCCAGGCATACTCCCACCTTAGGGCCTTTGCATCTACTGTTCGCCTGTCTGGAGTGCACTTTCTTCATCCCATGCACTATGAATCTTCCTTCTGCTCTCATTTTTGTTTAAGGTATTATATGAGACTGTGCTACTAATAGAAATTATAGGGCTCTTTTGGCTAGTGTCAAGTATAGATTTGCGTTTTGGACTCACATAACTGAATATGTTAGAATTACATCTAAAGAAATAATTGCCTATAAATGGAGTATTGTGTGTGAAGAGTTAGAGTCCTGCCCCATCTCCTTTCCTATTAAATGATAGTGATTTTCACAGTATCTGAGATAGCCCTTTGAATATCAGAGAAACATAAGAGTGTAAAGATTTCAAGGAAATGGTCATATTTTTCAGATGAGAAAAGTTCACCAAAGATTTTACCCATTGGTGCCAGAAATGTAAGGCAGGCAAGAAGTTAGTAGAAGAAAGTCATCACACTGTAACAATTATTTTTTTTAAGTTGTAGGCACTGATTTCCAAATGAGTTCCATAAACCACTGCTATTTCCATTTGTAGTATAGCAATAGGTTGTGATACTAACCTTAAAGGTCTCAAGTTCAACAGCTTATTATGAGGAAAGCTGCCATTCCTTTAAGAAGGTGAGTTTCTATTATCTTTTTAAAGAGAGAATTACTCCTTTATAAAAATGTAACTTCTTCATACTGTATTTCAGATCTCTTGCTTTTTAGTAAAACTTTTCATTGCAGTGGGTTTGATAATAATAGTGCTCACTTTTAAAAAATTCCCTAAATTTTAGTTTCCCCTCCAGTCACCAGCTCACTTTTCTGTGATCCTCTTTAGCAGAACTCCTTAAAAGACTCATCTATACTTGCTGTTTCCTCCTTCTCTCCTGCTGTTCTCTCTATAACCCACTCCAAATAGGCTTTCATCTCGTCGCTCCACTGAAACTACTTATCAAAGTTTCCATCACCGTCATGCTACCATATTATCTTCTCCATCCTCATCTTATTCCCAGCAACATTTGACATCACCTTGGAACACTTTATTTACGTGATTTCACTGAGACCTCCTGTCTGGTTTTGTTTTTCATCTTATTTCATTAGATGCTAGTTCTCAGTCTCATTTGACTCTTTCTCTTCTCCCAAACCCTATACATTGAAATATCCCAAGGCCTAGACCCTCTAGTCTTTGGCCTAGGTGATCTTTTTTTATATATGTATTTTAAGTTCTAGGGTACATGTGCACAACGTGCAGGTTTGTTACATATGTATACATGTGCCATGTTGGTTTGCTGCACCCATTAACTCGTCATTTATATTAGGTGATCTTATTCAATCACATGGTATATAAATTACAATATAGGCTACTATGACAGAGGCCCCAGAATGAAGGTGCCTAAACAAGATGAAAGTTGATTTCTTTTTCCTATAAAAGTGTGGGAGCTTGTCCAAGACTGATAGGATAGCTTGTTAGTACTGGAGACCCACGCTCTTTCTTTCCTGCACTCTGCTGTTCTCAACATGCTGTCTCCATCTTCTGGTCCCAGATGGCTGCTTCAGCCCCTGCATCCTGTCAGTATTCTAACCAGCAGGAAGAAGAAGATAGGAAGTGAGAACGTATCCCTTCCCTTTAGGACTCAGAAGTTAAACATGTTTCATCTGCTCTCATTTCATTGGCCAGAACTGAGTCACATGATGATAACTTGCTGAAGAGAATTTAGGAAATATAGTCTTTAGGTAGGTAGCTATGGCTTCCAGCTAAAATGGAGCAGTTCTTTTACTAGAGGAAAAAGAGCGTGATGGATTTTGGAGGACAGGGAGCAGTTTCTGCTGCACATGGCTTTAAATACTATCTATGAGCTAATGTCTCCCAGATTTGTAGCTATTTCCTGAGTTCAGGACTCTTTCCTCAGCTGCCTCCCTAACATTCTCGAACACCTGCCTGTTCAAAATTGAACTCTTCACTTTTCTCCCCAAACTCCTACCCATCTTAGGTCTCCCAGGTGCTCATGCCAGAAACTTAGAACAGTCTTGATTCCTTGCCTTCTCTTTCATCCACTTTTGATCCATCTGCCAATCCTATTAACTTTACCTTCAAAATGGACTCCAAATCCAACCACTTCTCATCAGATCTATCTTCCACATTACCACCAATGACTTATTTTAATAAAATACATATCCCCATCCTGTTTCTTACTTCCTTAAAACCTTCCTCTGTCTCCTTATTGCCTTTGGGATAAATTCTAAACCCTGTGTGAACCAACTCTTTCTATCTCTCTGGCCTCATTTTCCCATTTTCCACTTATATTTTGTATTTCAGTACTACCTAGCACAACACACCTCATGACTTGATGTATTTACTAATGCTTATCCCTCTGTAGAATTTCCCCCACCTCAGACCTGGCTGAAGAATCCCTTAGTCTCAAGTGTCACCTCCTTCAGATCTTTTTTTTTTTTTTTTTGAGACAGAGTCTTGCTCTGTTGCCCAGGCTGAAGTGCAGTGGCACAATCTTGGCTCACTGCAACCTCCGCCTCCCGGGTTCAAGCGATTCTTCTGCCTCAGCCTCCTGAGTAGCTGGGACTACAGGCATGTGCCACCACACCCAGCTAATTTTTTTTGTTTTTTTTTAGTAGAGACAGGGTTTCACCATGTTGGCCAGGATGGCCTCGATCTCTTGACCTTGTGATCCGCCCACCTCGGCCTCCCAAAGTGCTGGGATTACAGGCGTGAGCCACCGTGCCTGGCCAGAAAATGTTCTTTGTCATCTCTCCACCTCCCCAGGCTAGGTAGGCACCTTCCTCTTTATTCTTGTTGTACCATATGCATACCCGTATCACACCTATCCTGGATGATACCAGTTTACATAGCTGCCTCTTTTCCTAGATGCAAGTGCCTTGGTCAGGGGCAAGGGCTTACTCATCTCTCAGTGCCCAACACATAATAGCTGCTAAGTAAATATTTATGTAATTGAATCATATTGATCATGGGAACAAACTCCCATTGGGAGAGCATCACCTCTGCCTTACATATCTGAGAAAAGCCCTTGTTTATTGTACCCTATCAACTGAATCTGCTGGGCTATATATTAAAGTGGGTATTTTAGGCCCTGCTTAAAAAATAAAGGTTAAATTGAGCATATTCATTGCTCTGTTAGGATTACATAATGCCTGATAGTGCAAAAACATGGTTGTTGACTGAACTTTACAGTTGTCTGGGGTTTGTGAGGCCCAGCTATAGTCTAGGTAGCTTTGTGTGTTTGAAGGTATTCTGACTAGATGAGTCAGTAGTTTAAAAGTAACAAGTCACTGTTGGTCTGTGGGAGAAGTTGTGTGGACTTAGACTTGCCTTCACTGCTTTAAAATCTTGCTTTTTAAAAAATCCCAAGAAAGGTAGGTTCTCTTTAAAAAGTTTATGGCCTGTATTTGCTGTCATAAACCAACCCAGTTTTCAGCCTTTAGCCGGGCTCCGCTCCCTTAGAGATGAATGGTAACCCATATAAACTACATGGCGATTCTAGTTGTTTTTAGTCAGGAAAAGCCCCAAGGTTTTTATTAAGAAGCCCAGAAAGAAGAGATGTCAAGGATTCCGGTGAGAAGTACTATGTTATAAGAAGCAGATTAGGATAACTTGTCTTAAAAATGAAAAAGGGATGAGAAACTTGACAAGTTTTTAGTGCTTTCTTAGCACTAAATGATGACTTAAAGAAAGTTTAGTCCTTGCCAAATTTTCCCCTTTGGAACTGTTTCCACTGTGTGATAGAGATCTGCCGCTACGAGCTTGTCATCATTCTCATCCACTGTCTTCTTTGTCTTCTTCGAAGTCACGTCCTACTCCTCTTCCTCTTATCTTCTTTTTTTCGGCGGGGTGGGGGGGTTTTGTTTGTTTGTTTTTTGCACTAAGTCATAGAACTGAAAAGACTCTGGGTAATGTTTTCAAAATAAAGCCACATTGTTTCCAATACAACAGCTTTCTCTGGGTTCTTTCACTGCCTCCTTAATGTAAGTCTTAATCACACTTGTATTAACAGTAGAAACACTCTGCAGTATCTCGTTTCATACAGTGGTGTTAGAAGCATTAACTCCTCAGCCCTCATACCATCACAGGAAAACAGCAATCATTGTTAACCCCCATCCATTGGGGAGATGAAGAAAATGAGCAAACTATGAAGAATGCAGTTTATTTCGTCTCCATAAGACTGTGAGGCAGTGGAAGGTAAGGGCTAGACCCCAGGATGGCTGATTCCTAGGGCTCTTTTCCTGTGCTCCAGAATGCAGTGACACCTTTCAGTTGTTGCTGTATTCAGAGGTGTGTGTTGCATGTGATAGGTACAGTACTTGACATTATTAACTCTTGCAACCACCCTATGGGTTAGGTATTAATATCCCCATGTTATAGATGAAGTCTGTGATTCCAAAGCCTGATGTCTCTCCACTGTGCCACACACACTGACTCCACACAATAACAATTACTCCCATTTCATATCACTTGACATCCTGAAAGTCCTCCACAAACATCATCATATTTAATCCTTAAGAACTTTGGAAATATCAGTGATTATCACACACTTTGAAATAAGCAAGTCACTAATCAATGTGATCTTATTAAAATTTAAGTCAGTTCATGATGCTACTACTCCGACCTTCCAATCATGTCACATCTGTCTAGAATCAAGGCCCAAATCTGTGTGACCTGTGATATGGTTTGGCTATGTCCTCACCCACAGCCTCATCTTTTTTTGTTTGTTTGTTTGTTTGTTTTGAGACAGAGCCTCACTCTGTCACCCAGGCTGGAGTGCAGTGGCGCAATCTTGGTTCACTGCAACCTCCGCCTCCAGGGTTCAAGTGATTATCCTGCCTCAGCCTCCCAAGTAGCTGGGATTACAGGCATGCGCCGTGACACCCGGCTAATTTTTGTATTTTTAGTAGAGACGTGGTTTCACCATGTTGGCCATGCTGGTCATGATTTCCTGACCTCGTGATCCGCCCACCTCGGCCTCCCAAAATGTGGGAATTACAGGCATGAGCTACCACACCCAGCCCCAAAACCTCATCTTGAATTATAATTCCCACATGTCAAGATTGAGACCAGGTGGAGGTAATTCGATCATGGGGGCTGTTTCCCCCATGCGGTTCTCATGATAGTGAGTCTCACGAGATCTGATGGTTTTATAAGCATCTGGCATTTCCCCTGCTTGTACTAACTCAGTCCTGCCCCCTTGTGAAAAGGGTGCCTGCTTCCACTTTGCCTTCTGCCATGATTGTAAGTTTCCTGAGGCCTCCCCAGCAATGTGGAACTGTGAGTCAATTAAACCTCTTTCCTTTATAAATTACCCAGTCTCAGGTATTTCTTCATAGCAGTGTGAGAACGGACTAATACAACCTGTAAGGAGAGTGGTCCGCTGGTTTCCTCTCCAGCCTCATCGCCTCCTACTCTTCCCTTGATTCTCTCTGCTTCAGTCACACTGGTCACCTTACTATTCCTCAGATACTCAGGGCACGCTCCTGCCTCAGGGCCTCTATACCTGCTCTTCCCTCTATATGTAATGCCCTCTCCCCAGACACCTGCTTGACTAGCTCCCCCAGTTCTGCCAGGTCTCGAACAAAAAATCACCTTTTCACACGCACACAAAAAGCCATCTTGCTGGTCAGGACTTGCCAGACCACTCTTTGCAAAATTCCAGTCTAGCCCCTAACATGTCATATCCACCTTCCATGCTTTAGTTTTATCCTTAGTCTTTATCATTTTCAAACATACTGTGTATTTACTTACTTCTCTCGCTTACCATCTGCTCACTAGAATGTGAATGCTGTGAGGGTAGGGCTTTCATCTGTTTTGTTGTTCACTTCTCCACTCCAGCACCTGTAACATACTGGGCACATAGCAGGCACTCAATAAATATTTGATGAATGAAAACAGATTAGAAAATAGAAAGTCAAAGAAGCTAAGTGAGTTTCCCCAAAATGATATGGTATAGCAGCATCAAAGCTAAAACCAAGACTGGTCTTCTGATCCACATGCAGTTTGGTGCTCAGTTAGGCCAGAATCCGAAAAAGTTGTAAGTTAAGTTCTGAAATAAAACTCAGCCAAATAAAGTAGTTTGGTGTAATTTGCACTTTTAAAATAATTTTTCATCAGTTACTATATCATAGAGGATGAAGAGCAGTCCTTCCCTTGGACTGTCTCCAAGCAGCAGGAATAATGAGAATAAGTTACAGAACTTAAAATAAACCCAGGTGTTTCTGGGCCTGAGATTCTTAATGTCCACAATGAAGGGACCATGTCAGTTCAGAGCTCTTCACAGCTCTAATCTTGAATCCATCTCATGGATGAATGAAATGCCTGGTTTTCTTTGTAATTTGTTCAGTTCTATGCATACAAGGTATGCAGTTTGTTCTGTAGATAAACTACACATGGGTATTTCTGTAACTCTCCTTTTATCATCATTACCGTCTGTTTGATTCTTTCCCCTACATTTGTGCAAAATGTAGGCTTGTCATCTCACTGTGTTGTATTGCAGGATCAGCAAGCATGTCAAGGATCTCATGTGTCTTCTAATCTCATGCAGCCTCTGCTGCAAGGAAGCTCTCACCACTGCCTCCTCAGAGTTATCCAATGGGCAAAGAAACCAGAAGGCAGGACGACTTAAGGCCAGGGAACTAAATATGCAATAATGGTGTCTGGGGGTCAGGAAAGCAAGTGTTTGTACAACATGGCCTGGCATTCTTTGTCACTCTGAATTAAATCTGCACATGGTAATCAGACCTAAAAGAAGTGCACCAATAAGTCAGGCCATTGGTTATCCAGCTCTATACAAGTTTTGGCAAAGAAGGTTAAATGCAGTGTTTGGCATTGTATCTCATCCTGGTTCATTTCTTCATTAAAAATTCCCTCTGTAGAGAGTAAAATACAGTTATTTTGAGGTGGTGTCCATATCCTTAGGAACAGGAGGCACCGTCCTAAGCTCCTTTACACATACCAGCTCTTAAATACACAACTTGAGTAAGGTTTATAATTCTCATTTCTATTATATGCTGCACATGGCTTATGATAAAGTGAACCTGCAAATGATAGCAAGATAGAACAAGTCTGCAAAAGTAAGAATGGCACGTTAATTACAGAAGTTGGATCCTATCAGTAATTTAAACCAAAGCATTTATTTGAAAACAAAATGAAACAAAACACCAATGCCCTCAGTCACCTTCTTATTCCATTCCCATTTGCTCCAGTAGGAATTAATCTCTTTATTTCTCCTTACCCTTGAGCACTTTTATATATCTGCACTTGGGTTAAAGGCAGTTCTATTAATTTCTTTGTTTGGACAGAAGTTTCCTTAATTTACCATAATCATCACTGTTGTCACTATGCCAGTCCAGTATGTTTGGACTTCACAGATAAGTCTTGCAGTTTCCAAAACACCATCCCATCCTTACTGCGTTTATTCTTGAATGACTTTTCACTGGGAGATAGTATACTTATCTTTTTCAACAAAACTACAAATGGGATCCTAATAACAAGTTTACTGTTTGTTAATTTGTGTTAGATATAGGCATACTGTCATATTTTCCTGTAATTTTTCATATCTGGTCTTGTGAACTGTTACTAGTATTTTTCTTCCATATGTATTTTACCTACCAACTTGATTGTAAACTGCTTAAAGATAGAAGCTATGTTATATAAGCATTTCACGCATGCTGGCTCAATGAATCACAAATAATTGGGAATTTGGTTAGACATCTCATCTGAACAGTCCCTGCCCTGATACCACCCTGGGACATTCAGCCCTTGGCCACCTGCTTTGATGAGCACATTTCTATGTCTCCTGCTTAAGTACTTACGTAAGATGCTACTGAGTACCTGACTTCAGACCTACAGAGTCTGTTTTTGTTTTGTTTTGTTTTCTTTTGTTTTGAGACAGGGTGTCAGTCTGTCACCCAGGCTGTAGTGCGGTGGCTAGATCTCAGCTTTCTGCAGCCTCAACCTCCCAAGCTCAGGTGTTAGCCTCCTGAGTAGCTGGGACTACAGACACAAACCATCATGCCCAGCTAATTTTTGTATTTTTCATAGAGACAGGAGTACTCCATGTTGCCCCAGCTGCTCTCGAACTCCTGGGCTCAAGCAGTCTGCCTGCTTTGGCCTCCCGAAGTGCTGGGATTGCAGGCGTCAGCCACTACACCTGGCCCCTGCAGAGTCTTTATCAAACAGAAGTGAATATTAGGAGGAGCCTGGGGAAGAATTCTCTTTGATTTACCTTGGTGTTAACACTCCAGCGATACAACTATGGATCCTCCAGAAAGACTATGTTTTTGCTGTATCAGTGCCACCTATTAGGAATTGTTCCATAAAAGAGCATGAGAAACTCTCTGGAGTTCAAAAAGTCAAAATGACATCCTTGCTAAAAAATCTCTTTATGGTTTGAGTTCCATAGTTACAACCAGGAATCTCTGGGAATTTGGTCTCCAAGCTCTTCTCAGAGCATGTGTTGCATACATTCTGCAAAGCCCTTGGGGGATGGAGCAGGCCTAGTTTTTGGTTTTCAGCAGTGTTTGTTATCTTCACAGTTAAATGGAACACTGGAATGTGATATTTACTCAATTTTGCCCATTTTTCATTCAGTATTTATAATTTTTAATGTGGCAGGTCTTCTAAAAAACCAACAAAAAATTGCTGATTTTGTGATTTTAGTTTCTAAAACAAATGAAAGCAAAAAACTTCTCGCCCCTGAACTCCATCCCTGGCTGTTACCCTTCATTCTCTGTTCTTACTCTTTCCTAAGCAAGTAAGATATGACATTTATTCATCAGAGCATTTTATGGTTAATTCACTGTTCAATTTTCTAAAATACCATTTGGCTTCTTACCTACAGAGCTATAGCACCAGAATTCACTCGGTATATGTGTAAGAATGACTGCTTCCATTTTCCGAGAGAAATAGAAATAGAACTAAGAGCAGTGATTTCCTTGTGTTAAAGAAAAATTATTCATGACCCTTGTTGAAAACAATAGAGAAGACTTTATTCAAGGGAGGCTATGGGAACGATACAAGGATTACGGCAGTGGAGTCTTGCAGTGTGGGAGAGAGATTGGGCTGGAGTCTGACTCTGACAAGGACAAGTAGGGATTTGTAGCCAAGGAGCAAGGTGTGGGGGTCAGTAGATGGAAAATTACTAAGTGGAAACACCAATGTAAGGGAGATTCTTGCTAGATGGACTCAACAGAATTCTTGCTGAAGGCAGGCCAGGGTGATTAGATGTCGAGGGTAATCAGATAACAAGGGTGGAGGATTTTTGTTAAACTTTAGCCGGATTCTTGCTCAAACTGGATTCTGTAAGGACAGAGAGGGAAGCCCAGGGTCAGGCCCATTTGAGCAGGGGGCTTATGGAGATCTGATTAGAGTTAGTTTAATGAGAGTCTTTGTCACCTGCTGAAAAGAATTCGTTTTTATGGCTCAGAATAATAGTGTAATCATAGCAAGAGATGACTTGTCTATGTCCATTTTATAATAATTCAAAAATCTCAATAATTTCTGAAAAAAAGAAGCATTTGTTATCAGAGTCATAAATGTTGCTATTTATATGCTTAAGTAGTAGTATATCAGAATTCACAGAAAGGAACAATTATTTAGTGTGCAAGATAGTATATTCCAAATTATTTCATATTATAGAAATAAAAAATATTCCATAGTCCTTAAGCCACGCCTTTTTTTTTTTTTTTTTTTTTTTTTTTTTTTGAGATGGAGTGTTGCTCTTCTTGCCGAGGCTGGAGTGCAATGGCATGATCTCAGCTCACTACAACCTCTGCCTCCCAAGTTCAAGTGATTCTCCTGTCTCAGCCTCCCGAGTAGCTGGGATTATAGGTGTGCGCCACCACATCTGGCTAATTTTGTATTTTTAGTAGAGACAGGGCTTCGCCACATTGGTCAGGCTGGTCTCGAACTCCTGACCTCAAGTGATCCACCCCCCCGTCAGCCTCCCAAAGTACCTTAAGCCATTCCTTTTGAGACTCTGAAGAAAGGGTACGTTCCTAATGTTTTTGGTTTGGATTATCAGTTCATGGCAGAGCAGTGCCTTAATTGTACTTGGTAGTGACCACTACTAGTTGTTCAATCATGAATCCTCCAGTACTTTTTATCTGAATAATATGGAGATCCTTTCTTAGTACTTTGTTAGACAGCTTTTCTAGATCGGTTTCCAATAGTAGCGAAAGAGAAAATCCTTTATCCCATCTTTTCCAGAATTAATATTTTCTGATCACTTCATTTGCAAGAGTAAAGTAAATATTGAAAATACCAAAGTGAGCTTCAGTCATTTATAAGAATTGTTTAAAGAAGGCAGTCATCAGTTACTTTTTTCACATGATTGTATTGCTGAGAGTAGTATCTGCATTAGTCTCTTAAGCAAGACTTTAAAAAAATCCTACTGTTGTCCCCACCTTTATTTTTGAAAGATAAACTTAAAATTTACATTTTTAAAAATTTTTAAAAAGTAAAATTTTAAATGACTCAACAGGTGATTAGATTCCATCTAAGGATGAGATTGAATTCACGATCTCAGATTCTCAACATATATTTGGCCTTACCTATTGTTAATGAAACTTGCCTGCAAGGAGGGCTGCATGTTGCAGAACTTAAACGGAGCAATAAAACTATTTATAAATCCAGACACCTTTATGAGGATGTTTCCTTGGTTTCACTTATGTAAGCCGACAAAACGATCAGTTGTAAGGAACTGAAGGAAGTAAACACTTGAATGTACTCAAATGTCTAGGCTTTGCTGAACATTATATGATTAAAAAGCAGCCAAGTTCAGCGTGGACTGAGAACTGCTGACAATGGAGAACATGAGACCCAGAATGGCAAATAATGTTTCAGACATTGACTTCTCAGACTGGTCTCCACCCTGTACTTAACCCCATTCTCACCCTTTTTTGGAGGGGAAAGGAATTATCTAGTTAAAAACTGAATCTATAGGACAACCTGTCTCTCCTGAGGCAGCTGACTTATGCTAATTCTTGCTTAGCTCAGTTTCTTGAGTTTAGCAGAGGAGATCACTGTCACCCACACCCTCTTTAAATCAGCCTCCTGTGGGGCCATGTCTACACAACCAAGGCCTCATTCATTCGTTTATTCCAAAATATATTTATTGAGTGCCTTCTGTGTGCCAAGGACTGGGGATTCAGTGGTGAATAAACAGATAAAAACACCTGTCCATAGGGAACTGATATTCTAGTGTGATTACTGCTAGGAGTGTGTCTGAGTTGAATTGAGGCTCAGAAGTAGATGTGTCTGAGAGGCCTCAGGAGTTTGGAAATGGGGGTGTCCAACCTGTTTCTTTGTCCTCCAACAGGCTTTATTACCTGTGCAGGTATGGTAGTAAGTCTGTTTTGCATTTCTTTAAGGAATACCTGAGGCTGGGTAATATATAAAGAAAAGAGGTTTATTTAGCTCACGGTTCTGCAGGCTGTACAAGAAGCATAGTGCCAGCATCTGCTTCTGGTGAGGGCCTCAGGCTGCCTCTACTCACAGCAGAAGGTGAAGGGGAGCCTGTGTGTGCAGAAATCACATGATGAGAGAAGCAGCAAGAGAAAGAGGGAAGATGCCAGACTCTTTTTAACAACCAGCTCCCATGGGAACTAATAAATCAAGAACTCGCTCACCCCTGAGGGAGAACATTAATCTCTTCATGAGAGATCTGCCCCATGACCCAAATACCTCCCATTAAGCCCCACCTCCAACATTAGAGATCAGATTCCAACATGAGATTTGGAGGGGACAAATATCCAAATCATAGCAGGAAGAGACACTCCCTCCTATGAAAACACAAATTTGAAGAACAGTTGTCTTCAGTGTTATACAAACTGCTTTCTGACTGCATATAAGAGAATTCCGTTTATGGGGTTTTGGTCTAAAATTATAGTGTCATGTCAGATCTCAATCATTTTAACTTAAGGCAGTTATTCTAGCCTTTGAATACATTTTTCCCCTGAATATTCGTGGTGTTGTGTGACAACTATCCAAAATATTTTAAGATTCCATTTTATCAGTAAAACATATGCCAGGCTTTTTAATAGGCAGAGAGTAATTTGGTAGTATCATTCCTCTTATCCTTTAAAGTTCCTTCATGCTCTAGAATTTAATTCAGTGATTCCTTGTAGAAGCTAGCCTGCCCAACACCATGGGCAGAGATATTGCAGAGAATGCCATTTTGATACTCTGAGAAGAACATGTAATTCCCATGCCTTGATTTTAAATGCAATTAAAGAGCCATAGTTTTTCAGAAGAAAGAGTACTCTTTGGCAAACAGTAGTCATTGCAGAGGTTTGGTCCTTAATCTGTTTTCAGGGTAGTTATTTCATGGTTACTGGATGTTATAGGGACGTGCTTCTGAACATTGGTTTAGTTTTTATGGGTCTTGAATTTCAGATTGTGACATAAAACAGTTTTCTAGTACATGGTGCCAGTGTTTTAATCATTAGAAGCCAGAAAGTAATAGGCCATTCCTCATGTTGGCTGATGACCCCAGGCTAAACCTCCAAGCTGTGTTTAGGACAGTGAATCAGGTTCCAGGGCTAGTTCACTCAGCCTTCAAAATGATTTTTTACCCCAACCCAGTCTTCTCATGGGCCCCTTTGTACACACACCTGAAGTTCACTTGTTTTCTGTTTTTGAGGCACTAATTGTAACTACATAATCAGATGTCAGTTTGGTAGTCTAGAAACTCTATTTGAAGAAAATACGTAATAATTTTGTTAGTCATTTTCTTTTTAATGGTGTTTCAAGAAGTGTTTGAGATCGATGAAATGATATTCTTTTCTATGATCTAATGAAGAAACCTCCCACAGTTGTGGGCAGCATTTTTGGAAAAGAGTAGCCAGGTCCAGTGAAAAGCAAATCTAATACCATTAGTCTTTGAACTTTAATGGAATTAGCCAGATTTCCTGAAATAGTCCTAGAAGACTATCAAAAGCCCTAGGGGAGCTAAACTTGATTGAAAATATTATAGGAACTTGACCATATATAGCTTAGACCTCTGTGGCATAGGCTGCTAAATTTCCCAAGGGAGAAATGTCATTGGGTCACCTTTCAAAGAGTCATTGTTGATGGTTATGAATTCAACAGATAAGCTTGAGGTTGAAGAGAAGTGACTTTGATTGTGTTTTAGGGACAAGGTCTTAACAAAGTATTGTCTAAATTTGTATTTGAGGATATTAGAAATCCAGAAACCACCATTTCTGGAACTATTCTGCGATGGCACTTTCTCAAGTTGGAGCCAAGAATGGTTGAATTTTCAGAAAGCAAAGGATTTCTTGATGACTTGACCAGCAAGTATTAGAGGACAGCCTTCTCATTGCTGAAGGTTGTGTTCTATATTTTCATCATCTGCTGGGTGCCAGGCACTGTGCTAGCTTTGGGCATGTAGTGGTGAACAAAACAGATGTTCTCTCTGAATTTATGGAGTGGATAGTCTAGTAGGGGTGACACACATTATTAAATAAGCAAATAAGCCAAAGTTTAATTACACTTTGTAACAGATACTATGAAGGAAAAGAACAGATATGATTTGGGAGTGCTATTAGAGTTTTGGTCATAGGAGAAGACCTGAGGAAATGCATTTGTTTGATGATTTACCAGTATTTTAAATGTAATTTCTGGTTTCACAGAACTTGAGTAAGCTGCACAAGGGAAAAAAACTCATCTTCTGTAATTCCTCCCAGTTTCTTAAGCCACTCAGTAAATGCTGACTACGGTTTTGTGGATCCATTTTGTGGTGTCTGTTTTCCTTTAGGCAATCCTCCCTCTGTCTAATTTGGATACAGAATCTAAATCTTTATGAGTCTGTAATAGTACCTGGCCATTACTGGTCTATAATCAGTGCTCATATAATTGTTGAATGAATTAGTGAAGGTTACAAATTGAGTGTGGTTTATCAGTTAAAAGTGCTCTCCCAATTATCTGATGGAACCACAAACCTTCTCTTTTCCCATTATGCCCCTCCTTCTTAACACAGGTGTTCCCAGCATTCTCTCCCCAAGAGTAATACCCTATGGCCCCAGGGCTCCATCTATCTCTTTTCTACATATAAGTCCCAAGCCTACAGGTTCTAGCCCTGTTTTCTCCTGCAGAGTATCAGTCCCCACCCCAGTTTCTTACTGCTTGCCAGTCCTCTCCACTAAAATGTCCTCCTGGAAACTCAGACGTGTGTGCAACTCTTCCCCCTTTGCCTCCTTAAGTCTTTAGAGGTCACCTTCTCAGAGAGTCCTCCTCTGGGCCCTGCACTTAAAACTGCAAGCTACTCTCCCATCCCACCTCACCCCACACTCAATCCCTAATCAACTTCCATGCTTTTTCCCCCCATAGCACTTATTCATCATTCTCTATAACTTATTTTCTTTATTTTCTGTATCCACCCTCTCACTCTCTTTTTTTATAAGAATTAAGCTCCATGAGGACAGGATTTTTTTTTCCGTTTTGTTTACTACTGTGTCCCCCTGTGCCTGTCATGTGGTAGGAATTCACTAAATGTTTGTTGAATAAATGAATATTTAATGTTCAGGCATTATATATATATAATATATCATAATGCTTCTATTGCATTAGGAGACAGTGAACAAGTCAGACGCTTGCACTGATCTGTACTGTCACTGTGAATGTAACAAATACAGACTGATCCAAGTGTTCCTGGTGGTGACTCAGATATCAGGAGTGTCTTTGACCATAGATGATGTGATTTTCTGAAATGATAGACAATTCTTGATTGAATTCAGACAAAAACAATGCTCCCAGCAAAGTGGAATGGTGGTGAGAAAGGATTCTGAAGCCATACTGCTTAGGTTTGAATCTCTCCTGCCATTTGCCAGCTGAGTGGCTAGTCACGTGATGTCTCCATGTTTCATTTCCTCATCTACAACATAGGAATAATAATAATTCTTCCTCATTTAGGAGCTTGTTACAAGAATTAGATGAGCAGTGTTTAGCACACAGAAACACTAAGTGTTTCTTAAGTAAATTATTATTCAGTAGCTTCGTTCCTGGAAATTTAGGGTATATTAAACTCATGTAAAAGTACTTTATATTTAAATTTAAAACAGTGAGCTTCTAGACTAATTTAGTAATAATCAAGTTTCTTTTTAACCTACGTGAATTATATGAGATATAAGACAGTTGTCATATGGGACTGTCCTGTGTGTCACAGAACGGCCAGCATCCCTGACCCCTGCTCACTAAATTTTAGTAATACCCTTCAATCATCATGACCACTTAGAGTGCCTGGAAGGTTGGTGGTTTTTACATACACTGTTCTAGCGAGGCCTATACATTTGTTTTGTGACATCATTATAGATCATCTAACTAGACAAGCTCTCCCTATCTGAATCCTCATTGCCCAGTGTCCACAATACCCTTATCACAGTGAACAAATTCTGCTATGTCACAGCTGAATGTGTGCTGTCTCTTTTTTTCCCTCCCTGCCTTTGGACACTTCCCATCCTGAATCTCTCCTGTCAGAGGAACTGTTTTTAATTTATTTCAGCAAAAGGAATACGTGGTGGTGGCCAGAAGCTCTTTGCCCCATGCATGTGTTCTCCCTTAAGCCTCCAGAAAGATTCTTGAGTTTGGAAGCACTTACCCCATCTGCAGTTTTACTGTTACTCACTCAGCGTTCTTCCCACTTATAACTGAGGGGCTCTAGTTTTACCACGCTCCCTGACCAGCTTCAATTTCACCCCACCTCAATTTTTGCCAGGCACTTCTTAAGGGAGCCAAACTTCATTTCTAAAAGTATTTTAACATTATTCAATTAAATGGAACATTTATAAATTGGTTATAAGGGAAAAGATCAATATTGGAGTTCCCATGGAAGGTTTATAAGAAGAAGTGGGCCTCAAAGAATTAATAGAATTGGACTAAGTAGAAAATTAGACTGGGCAGAAAAGAGCAGGAAAGGAGGGGGTTTGTTTGTTTGCCAAGCAGAGGGAAAAAATACTAACAGAAATGCAGTGCATGGTGTGTAGGGATGGTCAAAACCAGGACTCAGATTGAAAATTATAAGTAAGAATGGCACAGTAGAGTTAACTTAGGGAAGTTCTTGGAAACCACAGTAAAAACATGACATTCTACCACTTCCTTGTTCATTGTGTTCCCGCCTCCCTTGTTTTTCTGTTTGTTTTTGTTGAAGAGGTCTCTCGTGGTCCATGAGTGAGTGGATATTTATTTACCTTCCATGCCTCCACACTTGTGTACCCCACACCCCAGGGGATTCAGGCACATATACAGCAGCACTACCTGTCACCAGCCTAGTTTACACAGAGAAAGCTACCTCTTTTTAGGGTTAGTGTTTGATTCTGAATAGAAATCTCATTATTTATGCTTCTTTGCAAAGTACTGGTGAAGTCTTATCACTTTTTAATATTAAACTTCATGTAAATGTTTTGGATATTTAATTGTTTATGATCAAGGTGTCTGGCTAGTGTGTTAGTCATCTCCCAGCTAACAGTCTCTTGGCAGGCCATGCTTAATTCAGTTATTGCATGTTAACAGGCTGTTCAAAATTCCACATTGCCTAGAGTTTTTCCACCTCCAATGTCCAGACACTTTTTCTGGCTTCTCCAACCCTCTGGGCATTCAGAATCATAGTTTAGTGCTCATATTTGAAGCCATTTAGCTCTTTCCTTTTTATTTGCCTGATTAATTTTGAATTTGAATTAATCATACTTTATACCCTTTTCCTGACTCAGTTCAGTGTTCATCTCATTCTGTTTACTCAGAAAGCCCAGAACATAAGATTTGAACCATTTGTGCAGTGCCCAAATGTGTGCTGATGGAAGAGTGAACCTTTAATGTTTTGACTCCCGTACTATTTGGTTCTATTTTTCCTAAATAAGTCATGGTCTTTTTTCATTAAGTATACATTTACAAAAATGGTTCAGTCTTTGCACATAACTCAGCTCTCACAATTCCCTAATCTAATGTTGACCATGTTCTATTTTGTCATAAAACCCATGATTTTACTGCTTTCTCTTTACTAGAGCCCTGCATATTAGCAGTGAAGACCTGGTCCTTAATGAAAGTGTGGGGTCCATCCTCAGTGTCTCATATCCCTGCCTGTGTTTTCCTTCAGGAGACCTTCCTTTCCTTCCTATCTAAGCCAGAGTCTTCTCTGTTTCCCCAGTTAAAACTCGATCTGATAGTTTTTATTCAGACTGACAGGCAAGTTGTAGGCAACGATTGAAGGTGGCTTTCTTCCCAGGGGTGGCCAGAACTCAAAGTCTTAAAGTAAAGGGTAGCAGGAGCTTCATCTGCCATGATTAAGAGGAGTTCTGGGGGCTCTCTGCTGCTCCTGGGTGCATACTATATAAACAGATGCCCAGCCACCCAGGGGAGGGACCTACAAAGATCATGAGTTACCACGAGCTGTTTCCAGTTTGTCCTCCTTTAATTAAAATAATTAGAGCCTCGTCAGTAATGACGAGATTGCCTCACTAACTGTCCAAGGGTGTTAGTACTAAGCCACCCAAAGAACCTTTTTATAATGTCTCATACAGTAGACCAGAGAATGTTGCTGTGACTCCTTTATCATTTATAGAGATGTGGCTATGTTGGGACTCCTAATGGCATGTTACCCCAAATGCTGAACTATCCAGCTTGTCACTCAGAAGGAGCTTCCTGACTTCAGCTTCAGGCATTCACATGCTATCTGGTAGAGTCGTCTTCTAGCAATGCTGATAGTTTCCTTGGTCCAGAATTTGTTACCTTCAGAAGAAGAGTGTGAGGAAGAGATCCCGTTCTAAAGCCACCTAGACCAAACCTAGCCTGAGTCTCCTTCTGGTTGGGCTTAAGATGACAATGCCATTCCAACCATGGCTAGGAACTCCTGAGTCTTGGAATCAGATCATAGCTTTACATTTCCCTCAAAGCATCTGAGCTTACATTCCCAGGTTTTCCATCTCTTCTTGATATTTAAAGCTTTAAAAAACCGCAGTTATCAGTTTAAACCATAACAGGCACGTGGGCTCTAATGACTTCTGCAGGTGGTTTGGGCTGTATTAGAGAACCTAGTCTTGATCTTAAACTGTCATCTGGATTCTGAGTTAATCCAGGAAACCAGTAAGAATTAGTAATGTGTATTGCATGTCTCTGATACATGTGTTTTCCATTATTTGGTCTTCCACAGTGCATGCGCATACACACACACACACGCACACACAGCCCTTCAGTTTTTCTAAAATGGGGAGAGAGGGACTATGGTTCCAAAAGGAAATGACTGGTGTGGTGCCTTGAAATCTGAACTTAGTCACGTGTTGTAAATGAAATGACTCCAGGCACATTAACAAGATTTCTTTCTTTCATCTCCTACTTTTTGGAAAACCCTTTGATGAGAAACATTGGCTAACTTATAGACTTTCAGATTTATTTCTGTAAAGATAAGTAATAGCCATTGCAAAGCAGCCGTACTTGTGAAATTGGAGTTAAGCTTCCATAACAGCGGTCTTAAAGAATAGGTAGGGTTAGTTAATACACAGCAGCAACCAGCTGTTCTTCCTCCCTGCTGAGACTGGGAAAGAAGGAAATTAACTTCAACTATAATGGAAGAGATTTTCAAAACTGGTAATGGGAAATTTATCATCAATGAAGACTATTTTAAACATTGGAACAAATGAGTGACCAACAGAAGTGGAGGAATTATGTATTCTATTGGATTTAAAATAGAATATATCATCTGCTCAAGACACTTAGAATTGATAGATTAGATCTGTCTAATAATTTTTAACTCTTGGGGGTCACAGACCCCATTCAGAATCTGATGGCCCCTCTCTCCAAAAACATGCACACACAAAACTTTGCGTATGATTTCAGGGAACTTACAGACTCCCTGAAGTCTATAAATTAGACCTGAATTTAGGACACCCTGGACTAGATGATCTCCAAAAGTCTGTTTTAGCTCTCTAAGTGACAAGCTCCACAGCATAGTTGTCCCATACATAACAATGGAATCTGAAGACCAAATGTCAGACTTTGCATTTTCTTCCTCCAGATTTGTAATGCTTGGCATGCTCAGTGTCAAAGTTAAAAAAAAAAAAAGTAGAATAGAAAGAATTCTACGTTTAAATTCAATTCTTTGTCTTGGAAAAGCCAAACATTTAATTTTAAAAATCACTGGTTGGCTCTGTGTCATCTTTGTAGAAAGGCAGTACAGAACTAGGTTGTTGCCGGCAGTTCTTCCCCAGCCCCACACCCCGCTCTGGATTCATGGATGAAAATGCAAACTCAGATGCCATATTAAGTACTCAGAATTCTCCCATGTTCACACATCTTTTTACTGTATTGCTGTGATTGTTCAGTTGGGCTTGAAAAATATTATTTATTTTCTCATCAGTTTTATGTCTAAGTTTCATTGACTACAAGTTGGAAGATGACCACCCAGAATTACAAATCAGGGAGTAATTTGGTCCTCTCCCTAAAATAAAGAGCTTTTATCCTCTTAAGAAGTAGGAATGGAGTATAGTCTGTGTCTGTGTATTTTAAACTCATGATAATGAGTTGCCCCATATGTAGAAAGCATGACTCTATATGGTTTTCCCATTCCCTTCTGTAAATATTCTCTAGCT
This sequence comes from Homo sapiens, assembly GCF_000001405.40. Taxonomy (NCBI): domain Eukaryota; kingdom Metazoa; phylum Chordata; class Mammalia; order Primates; family Hominidae; genus Homo; species Homo sapiens. Next base: position 161,957,714 of record NC_000001.11, read on the forward strand.
TACCTGCAAGTTCTGTAGACTCCCTTTAATTCCATGTTGGAATTGTACTTGACACTTTGTGCCTGGAATCAGGAACTCTGGAAATAAAGATCGCCTCAATATGGAAGGGAAGTGATCTCTGGAAAAGAGCATAATTGTCAGATGTCTATAACTTGTCAGTTTTCACTGTACCTCACACTCCTAATGGCAAACCTTTAAATTCATAGTTGGAAGTGTCTTAATGAAGTCAGAAATATTACTGATGAATAGGAGCTAAGCGTACTTGGCCAGGGTCTCCTTACCATTCACATGGAATGCTGGTCCTTTTGACAGTTGTTTCTTCCCATTGTTGAAGGCAGGGAGGAGGACTTAGGGATTCTTCTCTGTATTCCCCACTAAAAAGCCCTTCTGTTCCAGTTGCTCCAATCAGAGTAATACACTGCACAGAAAGCATACAAGATATACGATGTCTGTGGACAGATGCTCTGTGGCATTATTAACCCTGGCAGTTGCTTTAGCCGTTGTTTAGTCAATGGAGGTTGTTTGGGAGCTAGAATTGGGAGAGAACAGGTGATCCTGGCACCCAGCCCACTTGTAGCTCTGCTTACTGACTGAGAGTCCCTCTGCACCCCTTGAAAGTTTACTGACAGTTCACACCCTTAAAGCACATTTCTGTATTTCTGGGGCTGAAGCTTATGGCAGAGATGCACATTCTGTTGAATATTTATTCTTTGTGTATATTCCTGTCTGCAGAGAATGTGATCAATGGGCAGGACTACGAAGTGATGATGCAGATTGACTGTCAGGTGATGGACACCAGGATCCTCCATATCAAAAGTTCGTCAGTTCCTCCTTACCTCCGAGATCAGCAGAGGAATCAAACCAACACCTTCTTTGGCTCCCCTCCCGCAGCCACAGAGGCAACCCACGTTGTCAGCACCATCCCTGAGTCATTACAATAGCACCCTGCAGCTATGCTGGAAAACTGAGCGTGGGACCCTGCCAGACTGAAGAGCAGGTGAGCAAAATGCTGCTTTCTGCCTTGGTGGCAGGCAGAGAACTGTCTCGTACTAGAATTCAAGGAGGAAAGAAGAAGAAATAAAAGAAGCTGCTCCATTTTTCATCATCTACCCATCTATTTGGAAAGCACTGGAATTCAGATGCAAGAGAACAATGTTTCTTCAGTGGCAAATGTAGCCCTGCATCCTCCAGTGTTACCTGGTGTAGATTTTTTTTTCTGTACCTTTCTAAACCTCTCTTCCCTCTGTGATGGTTTTGTGTTTAAACAGTCATCTTCTTTTAAATAATATCCACCTCTCCTTTTTGCCATTTCACTTATTGATTCATAAAGTGAATTTTATTTAAAGCTATGCCACACATGCATGTTCAAATGGTTTCCACTGATTCGATTTTTCATTCATTTAATGCAAACCCATTCTGGATATTGTGCTTATTTGAGAAAACACATTTCAAAACCAGAAAAGCCAAAAACACTCCAAAAACAAGCAAAACAATTTGGAGCTTTAGATAAAAGGAAAAACTCCCAGTTGGTAAAGTTTATCTTTACTTAGGATTTGTGGCTCACACCTAAACAAAGGGGGTCAGGGAGTGGGTACAAATTTGAGAAAATAGAAGGGTAAGGGAAGGGCCAGTGGTGGGGTTTGGAGAGAGGAGATAGCTCCATTAATACACATGTTTAAAAGATGGAAAGTTCACGCCTGTAATCCCAGCACTTTGGGAGGCCGAGGCGGGTGGATCACGAGGTCAGGAGATCAAGACCATCCCGGCTAAAACGGTGAAACCCCGTCTCTACTAAAAATACAAAAAATTAGCCGGGCGTAGTGACGGGCGCCTGTAGTCCCAGCTACTTGGGAGGCTGAGGCAGGAGAATGGCGTGAACCCGGGAGGCGGAGCTTGCAGTGAGCCGAGATCCCGCCACTGCACTCCAGCCTGGGCGACAGAGCGAGACTCCGTCTCAAAAAAAAAAAAAAAAAAAAAAAAAGATGGAAAGTTCGATGTGACTGCAGTATGAGATTAAAGCCACAACTATTGTTTATTTTGGGGACTCTAGGCCACCAAGTATTAGCACACATACTTATGTTTTCTCTACTAATCTGGTCCAGGTCCTCATGGACCACAGGACAAAGCTTTCATTTTCATTCATTCTTCTATTGAAATTATACCAAATTCAGCTGAGGAATATGGAAGTAACTTTAGACTTAAACAAGACAAAAGTTTTTTCACTGAAGAATTGACAAGTATTTGCTCCTTAAAACAACGCAGATTAGTGAACGTGGATTCCTGCTGAGGGAGTGCATCCCATAATATGGCAATAATTTTCAGTTTCTCCAACGAAAAGATAGTGAAGGAATTAAATCTTTTGTCCTCCCATGGTTAAAAAAAAAAAAAAAGCTGTGTTCATTTTTACTGTACTATGCCTCTTTTTTCACCATAGTAGACAATTATGTTTCATTTGATGAATTCATAGAACTGGATCTCATACAGCGATGTCCTCTCTAATGTTCTACCTTTCAGTTTCTAAAGTGAGTCTTCCTCCCTCTCCTACAAAACTTTTCAATTTTTTGATGTAACTCATCTACAAATACTGTTTCTTACCCCAGTTGACTTGCCTTTGTCAGATTTCTTCTTGTTCCACACTATAGCAATCAATTTCTCTTCTTCCTTACAAGAAAGGGAACGAGAAATTGTAGCAACCTCTCAAGGATTATATGCAGCTAGTTAGTTTTCTGCCTGTGAAATTAGGTCTGGCTCCTAAATAATTTTAAAGAACCATCAGCACTTCTAACTCTCTGGACAGGTGCCTCTTTGTCCAAGCTAGTTAAATGCTTTCCAAGGAAATCAGTTCAACTTTTGTGAGCGGGGAAAAGCAGGGCTTTATTGTTGTGTTACCTGGGAGTCTGGAGTTTGAAAAGTGCTAATTAACCTTCCTCTTTTTCCACATTACAAACCTTTTTAAGCAGCGCAGCACTCCCCTTAGATTTGGCTATCCTGGGTGATTTTCAGACAAGAACCATTTTCTCTGGGGACCATTCTTCTGCTGGGTGCCAAGGAATATAAGGCAAATGCCCAGAAGACCTTCAGGTGACTGGGCAGTCTTATCATGGGATATTTCTTCTGGCCCTGCCCCTTCCCATTCTGTAATGTGAATTAGCCACACCAGAGGCTGTGACCATGGCTAGTAGACAGTGGCAACATAGTCATCCCCAAGATGCTAATCTTCTGCTGGAACTGTCATACGTTATCATGGTCAATGTAAACCTGGTTTGTGTGGGGTGATTATAAATAGAGTTTCCCTCCTCTCTGTGACAGAATCACAGGAGAAGGACCCATCTCGTGGCCTTCTTGTTCTTAGCGCTTCACTTTTACTTCATCCCTCGATTCCCAGCTTTTTCTATCATCATTTTGCCAACTCCTCAGATGCAAGACTTTGGTTATGTCATACTCACCAACGTTAGTCCCTCTCTTCCAGGTGAAAAGGTGGGTAGCGGTTGGGAGGGAGTCTCCACTGAAGAGCAGGAAGGTGGTAGCAGGGCCGGCAGCTCTGCCACAGAGCTAGGGGTGCCTGTAAGGTGCCGCCTAGAGCAGCCTGGGAGCTTTGCCTTCTTTTGTCTCTCACTAGCCCTTCTACTCTTTGTCATTGCCTGTTCTTGAGTGGATCTTTGAAATGAGGGGACAGGATTCTCCTAAGGGTAGAGTTTCAGGAAATGAGTGAAAGGCAATTGACAAATGCAAAGAAGTAGTCACTTTTTAAATTGCTGGCAAAGCTATAATTAATCCCTAGGCACAATTGTAGTTTTTATTTTAATGTTTGTATGCACAAGGCCCTTTAGGAAATGAGAAGTTGCCATGCCAGATTAATTTTTTTTTTTTTTTTTGGTGGGATTGCCTTTTGGGGGTTGCAGCCAGAAATTGTGGGTAATGTGTGTATTTTTTTATTTATTAAATTTTAAACAGGATTGTGCAAGCTTATGAGACAATTAGATAAACTCATGGAGGAGGCAGGTCCTCCTGTTATTAGATGATTTTGTGCTCTTGGGGCTGACAATAATACACTCTTGGGAAGTGATGGTAGAGACTGATGGGAATAGTCTTTCTGCCTGGTTGCAAGTCCCAAATTTTTAAGGGTTAATGGAAGTAAGTGGATGTTTCCTCATGTTAACTACTGAATCAGATGTTAGGAGCTTGTCCCTTTGGGGTTGACTTATGCCCAGCAGTACAGGGACACAGCTTCATTAGAGTGTTAGTGTAAACTAACTCCAAAGTTAGGAGTTAATGTGAAAGGATCATCCTTGAAACAAATCTGCTGTTTGCCATGCTTGTAGTACAGAAACTTCACATGGAGTTTTGGGTGGGATTTGTGTTTTCACAAGTAAAAAATCCCTCACGATTATAAAACTCAGAGCATCATCTAATTTTTTTTTTTAATGACTACAAGTTCCAGCACAAAACTGGCATTTCTTTGCCATTTCTTGCCAGTAAGAAGTTGACACGGAGGTATTTGAAAGCAATGTTATGTGAGTCATTCTTAAGTGTTCCAAGTAAGTTTAGAAACAGAAAAGGAACTTGGGATTCAAATTGATTTTTCAAATCATTTTTAAAGAGACATCATCCTGACTAAATCTTAGCCTGAACCTTCCTCCCCTGTGTGTATTCCCCGGTAGTCACCGCAGCGAGATGCTGGTGAGACTGCCGTGGTGGCATTTAGCATCGTTAAAACTGGAAAACTCTCAAGCTCTTTGCCACTTTCCTACTATTTTTTGATTCTTGCCATTTTACCAAGCTTAGGTTGTGAAACTTGACAGAAATGTATTACAGGAAAAACTTATAATTGTATTTGACTTTCTAACACATTGCAAAGTTTCAAAGTGACTTTCACTTTCAACAACATATTAGAAGTAACCACTTTTGCTTTCACAGCCTGAAGAGTTAGAGCCTGATCTGATGCCCCCTTTCACTCTGAAGTCATGGGAAATTTTCCAGCCATGAAAGCCCTCTTTCCACTGCATACTGATGGGCTGACTCAGCTTCCTTCAGCCGACTGAGATCTTTTCATACTATTGGCTATTTCATACCAATTAACCTCTTAAATAAGATTGTGAATTGCCAAAATTGATAGACACTTATTACCACCTGTGGACTCCATATTCCTTACCACAAATGTTATTTTCATCAGTCCTGAGTCATTTTAACTTACAGAAATTAGGATTGTTGCTGCTAATATGAATACCAATTATAACTTTTAGAAACAAGAATAAAGCCTAAAAGAGAATGAAATATAAGAAATGTTCGTTCCCACCCCTAATAACATTTGGAAGTGAATATTCCCATTTTCTTCCACCCACAGGGATTGGGATTGATTTTTAATTTCCTAGGAAACAATACTAGACTACCCAAAAAGATGTTGCCAGAATCCAAAAGGAACTATGCTCGTAAAAGAAATGCAGTTTTCTCCTACCTAAAAAAAAGAAAGTAAAGTGTGTTCTGTTCTTATCTTTTTAATGACTAAGCTTTAAACAGTTTATTTTGGGTAAGACTAGAACTTTCGGCCATTTGTTCTAATATGTGTGTTATTAGATGCAATAGAATTTATGAAAAGAAGAATGACAAAGGTATCTGATTAGAAAATTTGATCTTACGCATGAATCCATGTCATGGCCAGCCACTGTCACATAGTGGGTGCCATTCTCAACATATTGGTTTGCTAACTTTAAGCATTAGGGATTTAGCACACTAAAATACTTTTAATTATATTAGGTTTGGTAACTAAGGAGTAAATAAATCATAATTTATCATTTGCCAAGGCCAACAAACAACACTATTGTGCTGTTTGCTCTCAATGAAGTTGAATAAACCAGGAGGCTTGGCATATCCCCTTTATGTTAATCCCAGCTAGAGATTAGTAGGTTGACTTTCACAGCAATTGTATATTGATCCATTTTAACTCATCCTTGCCATAATTTCCAGGCCAGTCACCAGGACAGAGGAGATGATGGGGAAACAGAGCTTTAGATGAAAACTACTATGCACTACTAGCCTTAGAGGCACTGGTTTCCTGTTACCACTTTGGCAAGTATGGATGGTCTAAGTCCAGTAGGGCTTCATCCATGGAGCCATTAGAACTGAGGGGGGAGTGTTAGAGATGCCATTTCACCAGGATCTTTTTGCTCAGGTTGTACCCATGCCAATTGAAGAACGTGTTAAAGATGAGGAGGAGAGATGTACCATTCTCTCCCTTAATAATGATGTTGGTTTGCAAAACCTAAAGAAATAATAACAACAGACTATTTCATACTTTCAAGCAAGTCTTTATACTACCTGTTATTTCTCTAAAATTCAAATAAAGAATTTTTAAACTTACCTTGTTTATTCTGTATGTAGAAAGAGAGAAAAAAGCCCCCAAATGAATCTTCAGTGTTGGGGGGTTAGTAATGGGAAAGGAAGCCTGAAAAGGCTTTGTGGCTTGTGTTACTGTTCAGATGAAACTGTTGAACTATTTTCCACTCTTCTCCCAAGCCTAATTAAGTAAAAATTTCCTTTATTTAAGTGTCCAGATATTTAAACTACAATCTTATCAAGGAAAAAAAAATCTAAAAACCCATATTTTATCTATGTCTTCAGGAAAGTGGGTTACTCGGTCACGCATCTTGTCCTCACCAAAGGCCTCTTCCCAGCTTGCAATGGCAAATGCCACCACACCTGAAGCTAGTCACTGCAGACTGACAGCAAGGGATCCATCCAGGAGTAATTAATGCAGGCATTTACTGAGCACCCAATGATTACCTCTGACACTGGTTTATTAACTATATTATCTTATTTCAATCGTCTCTACATCCTATTTTGTAAGATGGTTATTAATAAGTAGTGGAGCTGGCTGGGTGCAGTGGCTCACGCCTGTAATCCTAGCACTCTGGGAGGCCAAGGCAGGTGGATCACCTGAGCTCAGGAGTTTGAGACCAGCCTAAGCAAAATGGTGAAACCCTGTCTCTACAAAAAATACAAAAATTAGCCAGGCATGGTGGCAGGTGCCTGTAATCCCAGCTACAAGCTACATGGGGAGCTGAAGTGGGAGGATCACTTGAACCCAGGAGGCGGAGGTTGCAATGAGCCAAGATCACATCACTGCACTCCTGCCTGGGTGACAGAGTGAGACCCTGTCTCAAAAATAAAAATTAAAAAATAGTGGCCCAATATTTGGGCCCAGGCAATTATGTGAATTATTCACCATTATATTATTCCACCTGCTGATACATAGATCTGGCATAAGTTCATGCCCTAAAAGAGCTCACAGTCAGCCCATGGAGCCATATACATAAATTACAAAACTACAATAACATCAGGGTTCTCTGAGAGGCAAAACTACATTTGTTTCAGAAGATACTTTAATGGACTTATTTAGAAAATGAGACCCCCCCCCCGCCCCCTCATCTAGGAGACCAACCTCAAATCACCTCTACTGCAGACAAAGTTAGCAGAGATTGGAGGGTAGAGGGTTGAACAGCAGAAAAGAGAAATGGGACCAAGGAATAGGGCTGGAGACTAAAGCCCCCAAGGGGAGTGTCATGAAAAGACCCCCTGGTGGCAGGAGGGCAAAGGACTTTTACAAACTGTGATGCTGAAATGCAAATCCTCTTCATTGCCCCAACTCTTCAGTAAAAGCAGATACACAGTTTTGTATCAATGTTGCCTTGGGAGTGAGAGACTGAAGGTAGGACTCAACATGATATTACTAGTGAAGAAGAAGACAGCACAGCAAGATAATTCATACACTGAAGTGTCAGTGGACGTCAGGTGAAACAGGGAAATAAAAACTTCCAACCCCCCACCCCGCCCCCACAATCTTTATGGCATTGTCCCCTGGGACTTCTCACTCTATGTGGGATATGGTTCAAGCCAATTTTTGAATCTCAAAGGGTAACCACAAATGACATTTGGGTTATATAATACATGGTATCATAGATAGAGGGCCTCTTTAGCATTTACCCTGTAATTTACCTAACTGGTCCAATTTTGGTAGAGATTTAAATCACTTCCAATGTTTTGCTCACCATAGGAAACCTATCGCATATTTCACTCCGTCGTATTCATTCGGCATGATCTGTGCAAATGCCTGAAGAGAATCGTTCTCTTAGTTCAGTTCAGAGTAGGAGCTGATGCTTATTGAGGACTTAACCTTCCAGACATCATGCTAAGCCTTTACAAGCATTAGCTCATTTGAACTTTGCAGCAAGCCTTCATCATCGACATAATAATACCTATGTCTGTGAATTACAGATGAAGAAATAGTCACAAGAGATTAAGTAACTTGCCCAGGATCTCACAACTAGTACATAGCAGAGTTGAGATTTGAAATGAAGTCTGTCATGATTTTAAAGCCACATTCCTTCTACTATGCTACATTGTCATTCATCCTTTGAAGTCATAAAGAGACAAATGAGTGAGGAAGAAACCAAGCCACACAACACAGGCAACCAGGGTATTGAGGCATGTTCAGGAAAGAGGGAGAGTCGCTAAGAGGCAAGGTCCAGCAGTACTCGAGGGTTTTCTATGAGTGACTCAGAAGGCATACACTCGATGCTGGCTGCATGCAGAGCCCATGCTGGGCTGCTGCACCAATTCTTCTAGACCTCAGTCCTTGTAGTCCCCATCTTGGACGAGTTACCCAGTGGGGTGGATACAAGCTGGCTCCTCCATAATTGAAGATCCTAGGCTCTCCTAACTCTCCTACTCTACTCATATCCAAAAGCCCACCCAAGTGTGGCATCCAGCTCCATCCCAGGATGTATCCACTGTTTTCCCTGTGATCACAAGTTCTATAGAAAGTTTTCACTGCAGAATTAACTGCTGATGTGGATGCTGGACTATGAAATAGAGATGCTTGTGTAAGAGATCACTAATCTGCAGACCCAAAATTGAAATGGTTTGTTTCAGAAGTGAAGGATATATCTTTAAAATAAATACAACACACCATATTAATAAATGGATCATCTTGTAAGATTGAGTGCAGCAGTGTCAGTCCTAAAAGCTGTATCCATTTGGAAGGCGGACCTTGCAAGGCTAACAGAAAATACTGTTGCCAATTGTTTACAGTACAGCCCATATTTCTGCAAACATCAACTGGGTACAAAGGAAGAACTGAGAACCTCAAAAGCCATCTCAGATGCTCCTTCCCTAGGTGTCCTGCTTGACTTCTGAAGCCTCCGAGTTATCTCCATTTCCTGAGCACCCAATGGAGCTTCGATTCTTGGGCTGCATTTCTTCATAGTGGGCTAGAGGCAATGGCCCTGGAATTTAAACATTTGCCACTAGTTCTAAGTGTTGTGCGAAGCTCCAACATCTACCATGGAGCTGTAGGAAACCATACAGATGAACTAGACAACATCCTTGACATGTCCTTTACATGTCTAGACACATGAGTTATGTCTCTTCCATGGGACTATGTGGTCACCCTTCTGTCCCCACAGAAGAGTAAAGATCATTTCCAGGTGAGGGTAAGATTTCTGGTCAGCCTGAAAAAGAAAGTTCAGTTGGACACAAGCTACTCTCAGGAGAGTTTGGGGGTGGGAGGTTCATGGCCAGCATCTTTGCCATGGGCACAGATCTCACCCACTCACTTGGCTGCTGGCCCCAGGACATCAAATGATCCATTTCGCCATATTGTCTCTGGTTTCCTGGAGTTGCTGGAATTCTTCTCTGCTAAGCCATTCGTTCACATGAGATCGACATGTTGTCCCCTTCCGCCTGGCAACCTTTAGGAAGACGGAATTACAGCAACCCCCACACATCCAACTAGGCTGTCTCCATCAAATCACCAGCTAGGGGGAACAGGAAATTCGTCTTAATTTAGACAATATGAGCAGGAAAGATGCTGAAACACTTAATCTCTTGTTTTAAATGACTCTACAGGTCACCACCCAGGGGAGCACAACTAGAAGCACATTGCAAGTAGCAGCACGGTTGGGGCCGATTCCATCTTCCCAGGATTTATCATCTGGTACAAGGCAGCAGGGCTCAAATAGTCCAAGGAAGGAAAAGGCCACTCATAGAAAGATTGTTTTTGTTGCCATAGCAGCATCTTGTACTTATCCCTTCCTAACTCCCATCGCCTTTGCAATTACCAGGTAAACATTTATCATCCCTGTGGGACAGTGAGCTCCAGAAGAGCAGGAACCCTACTAATGTCTTGAATTCGATTTTTTTCCTCCAAAAGTGCTGTGGATATAGTGTGCTTGGGACATGGTGGTTTGGGCATTTTAGGCTAAATCAGGATTTCGTTGAATTATTGAGCATTTAGAAAGCCACAAATATACACTGTCCTTCCAGGAGTCTGCATGATAGACTGGCATTTGTCACACTGCACTAGCTACCGCACCCTATTCAGATATTCACAGGGCACAGAAGTTGCAGTATGTGCGATGCCCAGTGCTGAGGCAGGACTGCAAGGGAAAACAGCAGAGATCCCTGCCTTCCCTTAAAAGATGAGGCATCATTTGTTTTCCTCTTCCCCTTTTCTTTTCTTTTTTTTTTTTTTTTGAGATGAGGTCTCGCTCTGTTGCCCAGGCTGGAGTGCAGTGGCGCGATCTCGGCTCACTGCAAGCTCTGCGTCTGGGGTTCACACCATTCTCCTGCCTCAGCCTCCCAAGCAGCTGGGACTACAGGCGCCCGCCACCACGCCCTGCTAATTTTTTGTATTTTTAGTAGCAACGGGGTTTCACCATGTTAGCCAAGATGGTCTCGATCTCCTGACCTCATGATCCATCCGCCTTGGCCTCCCAAAGTGCTGGGATTACAGGTGTGAGCCACCGGGCCCAGCCTTCCCCTTTTCTTTTCATCCTATTGCTTTTTCCTCTGGCTTCAGTCTGTGGCATATTAGAAATGGGCCTGGAAAGAGGATGTAAACCAGCGAGTCTGCAAGCGGGGCCCTGAGACTGCAGCAGCACCTCAAAACTTGTTAGAAATGCAACTTTTCTGGTCCCAACCCAGACCCATTGAGTCAGACTCCAAGGCCGGGCCTAGCACCCTGTGTTTCAACAAGTTCCCCAGATGACTCTGAGAGGGGACTGAGAAACACCCGTGTAGTTCCCTGTCAGCAAGACTGGAGAATGGGAAGATGCAGACTCCTGCCAGAGATGAACCTTCCCCTGGCTGCTGATGTTGGGGTGGGTGGTAATATCAGGATCACCTGATGTCAGGAGTTCAAGACCAGCCTGGCCAACATGGTGGAACCCCGTCTCTACTAAAATACTAAAATTAGCCAGGCTTGGTGGTGCGCGCCTGTAATCCCAGCCACTTGGTAGGCTGAGGCAAGAGAATTGCTTGAGCCTGGGAGGCGGAGGTTGCAGTGAGTGGAGATCGTGCCACTGCACTCCAGCCTGGGCGACAGAGCTAGCCAGACTCTGTCTCCATTAAAAGAAAAAAAAAGCAAAGAAAGAAAAAGAAAGAATTGTGTGTGTGTGCTGCATTTTTGGAAGTCCACAGGGGTTACATCTTCAGCATCCACAGCCTCCATCCCTGCTGCTGCCACCCTGGGTGGCTGCACTCCCAGCTGAGAGGCCTGAATCAGGCCTGTGGATATAGTGTGCTTGGGACATGGTGGTTTGGGCATTTTAGGTGAAATCCAGGTTTTGTTGAATTATTGAGCATTTAGAAAGCCACAAATATACACTGTCCTTCCAGGAATGTGCATGATAGACTGGCATTTGTCACACTGCACTAGCTACCACACCCTATGGAAAAAGAAAAAGAAAAAAAGAATTGATTAAGGAATCAGATGCATGCACTCAGCCAAGTCAGCCACCATCCAGGCTCGGGGGATGCATCCAGGACGAGAGGCGGAACCGGCTGCTTGCTCCCCAACAGGTCCACAGCTCTCCTGGGCACTGAACTCCTGGGAGCCCCTGCTTCGAACCAGCACCCTTTGCTGTGGGAGGGGGCCGTCAGCCTCCCTGGAGCAGGTCTTCACTAGGTGGCTGGGAGAACCCCCAGCGCTGGGCAGGGGCACCCCAGAGAGAATGCTCGTGGCCCCTCCTTCGCAGCTCTGAAGGCAAGGTGTGTGCCCCAGGCTCCATGGGCAGAGTTGGCTAAAGGCTGGAATCCCCTTCACTTCAGCCCTAGCTTGGTGGTTCTCAAACTTTGCTGCACTTTGGAACCACTGGGGACCTTTAACAAATACTGGTGCGTGGCTCCCACCCCCAGACATTCTGACTGAATTGGTAGAGGGTGTGACCTGGGCATAGGAGTGTGAACATTTCCCCAGGTGATTCTAATGTGCAGAAAAGCTTGGGAACCAATGGACGCTGTCTTTTGAGGTCTAGTTCTGATGTTTATGGAGCAACACCATCCTAGAGGTTGAGGGTGGAGTAGGGTCCCTGGAACAAGAAAAAAAAATGCTTTTGGATAATCAAAGTCCAAACCTAGCAAACAGCTGGTAAAGAAAGGAGGGGAGAGAGGTAGGGGTGGGGGCTGGAAAGTGCTGGATTCACTTGTGGAGATGATGTCAGACATTCCTCTGCGATGTTAGAACGGGGAAATGCATGAAAATAACCATGGCTGTGAAAATGGAACTTTTTGGGAAATGGCATATTCTTGGAGGGAGAGGGAGCCGGGAGAAGGAGAGAGGGGGAGACGGAGAAAAGGGAGAGAGGAGAGGAGTGGTGGGGGGAGGCCCCGGCGCAGAGAGAATAAGATGGAGAGTCTGCTCCCAGACCTCAGGAAACTGGAAAAACAAAAACAAAAACAGAAAGATGTGAAAAGAACTGCAAAGGAAAGGAGAGAAGGTTTGGGTTGGGCAAGGAATGGGGAAAGAGGATAACTGCTGACACAGAAGAAGCCTGAAGCAACAGAAGAAACGGTAAACCAGGAGGGAGAGAATAGTACACAAACCACAAACAGCGGGCCAGCCAAAGCCACCCCACTTCGGGCTTTCAGGCCAGTGGGAGGCTGAGTGCACCCCTTCTCACAGCAGCCCTCAGGCAAGGGAGAAGACACTGCAATTTGCCTGTGTGTTCATTCCCTTCTGTCCTGAAGGTTCTCTCCCCTCCAAACTTTGCAGAGCTCCTAGAGGAAGGAGCTCTGGGTCTGTGGCTAGAAAGCCAGACCCTCCCTCTTTGAAATCTCCCTGCTGGGGAGCCGGCTTGTGCTGCCATGGCAGCCAAGGGGCGGTGCCCCAGGGACAGGCAGGTGAGTTGTGGGTGCAGGCCTCTGTCTCCGTGACTGTTGGGGTGGAGGCAGCTCCCCCTCTCTAAGGTTGGCACCAGCCTGATTCTTAGATCTTACCCTAATGGCTTCTCTCAGGGAGAGACATCCAAATATTGAGTCACAGGGGGAAAAAAAAAAAAAACTTTGAAGACAAAACCAAGAAAAATTATACAGGTTCTTAAATTCCTAGAGGAAAGATTTGACTCCAACTTTGTACAAAATCAGGAGACGCCTCACAAGTGGGTGTGATTGTAACCCACCTGCTATGACAAGCCATCAGCAAAGTCAAAATACCAGCCCATGACACGGCCCCTCGGTTCTCAGTGTGCCCTGGGAGTGGGCGGGCAGGTCCCATCTTTGCTAGTGGGACAGCACAGGGTGGAGCAGGTATGAAGACCCTCACCAGCCCAGCCTGCAATCAGTGCTCCCCACCAGTGGAACTGTTTTCCTGACAGTGTCAAGATAGGTGAACCATTTGGGTTTATTCAAAGCTAATGTCAACATCAAGTGCTTCATGATGCTGAGTGTATCTACCAGCCAGTTTCACTCTTCCGTAGCATGGCAGGCCCCTCAGCACCTGGGCTCAGGCTGTCCTTTCGCCCTGGACTGTCCTCTCCCCCAGACTGTCCTATCCCCCAGACTGTCCTCTCCCCTGGACTGTCCTCTTCCCCAAGACTGCCCTCTCCCCCCCACGACTGCCCTCCCCCCTAGACTGTCCTCTCCCTCAGACTGTCCTCTCCCCTCCCCTGGACTGTCCTCTCCCCCTGGACTGTCGTCCCCCTACACCTGCCCTCCCCCCAAGACTGTCCTCCCCCCCGAACTGTCCTCTCCCCTGGACTGTCCTGTCCCCTGGACTGTCCTCTTTCTCAGATTGTCCTCTCCCCCCCAGACTGTCCTCTCCCTCAGGCTGTCCTCTCCCTCAGACTGTCCTCTCCCCCAGACTGTCCTCTCCCCCTGGAATGTCCTCCTACACTGGACTGTCCTCTCCCTCAGACTGTCCTCTCCCCCTGGAGTGTCCTCCTACACTGTCCTGTCCCTCAGACTGTCCTGTCCTCTCCTTCTGGACTGTCCTCTTCCCCCAGACTGTCTTGTCCCTCAGACTGTCCTCTCCCCATGAACTTTCCTCTCCCCCCGGACTGTCCTCTTACACTGGACTGTCCTCTCCCCCAAGACTGTCCTCTCCCTCAGACTGTCCTGTCTTCTCCCTCAGACTATCCTCTCCCTCAGACTGTCCTGTCCCTCAGACTATCCTGTCCTCTCCACCTGGACTGTCCTCTTCCCCCAGACTGTCCTCTCCCTCAGACTGTCCTGTCCCTCAGACTGTCATCTCCCCCCAGACTGTCCTCTCTCCCTGACTGTCATCTCCCCTGGACTATCCTGCCAGCTAGGTTTGAGGTGCTCTGGGGATTCACAGGACAGTGGTTTGTGCCCCACAGTGGAAAGCCGCCTTGCATGCCTCCAGACAGCAGTTTCCTGCAGAAGAGCCGCCTGGGGCCTCCGCTCCTCACCGCCTGACTGAACTCCCTTCTCTCTGCGCGGCTTCATGTCCATCCTGACCAATGGCCTGGCCTCACAGAAGAACAAAATGTGGACTGGCTTTCCTCAGAGTAAGAAATGCAGCAGAGCCTGGGGTCAGTGCCAGCTACTGGCCCTTCTTTTTCAAGAGAGAGGAGAGAAGTTAGGGGTGGGGTTCACCCTGGGTACCCAGGGGCCTGTCTCCTGCAGATCTGCAGAGAATAGGCCAGTGCGTTCTGCAGGAATGCCGTAACCCCAAGGGTGTTCCAGTGAAGGCCCTTTCTGTTCTGAAAATGTGCCACAGCAGGGTATGGCCACTCCATAACAGAAGTGGCCATTGTGAGGTGAGGGAGTCAGCACAGGGCTAGGGTCTTTCGGGGGCAGAGGGGAATTCCACTGCTGGAAGAGAGGGCTAGAGGGGCAGGGTGAACTAGGGGCCACTGGGCCCTGGTGGGTTCTAGGGGCTGTTGAAGGGTCAGAAGTCCTTCTGTGTGACCAGAACTGGAGCTCTCTGATGGCAGCCGACATCAGCCCATCAGCCCCTCTACTCTCCTGGCCGCGCTCTGACAGGACACAGAGACGTCCTCCAGCAACCAGGCTAGGGAGGAAAGCACACACAGGCGTGAGTAGCTGGGAGGCGGCCAGATGCCAGGCAGGCTAAGACAAAGGTGCGGAAGCCCAAGGGAGAGGGGAGGAGAGGATGGGGCTGGGGCCTTCCTGTGGGAGGTGGGCTTTGGCTAAGGCCTAAGGGAGTGGGAGAGGTCAGTCAGGTCGTGACTGGGGAAGGACGCCTGTCCAGGCATGGCAGGGGTGAGAACAGCTTGAGCACAGGCAGGGAAGAGATACTCAGGAGCCATTGCAGCCTCCTGGCAAAGGCCTGTTTGGCCCCGGCAGAAGTGAAGCTGGTGGGTAGACAACTTTCTGCATTCAAATACCACTTCGATGTGAAATCGGTGTTGAACAACCCTCCGAGGGCTCACATGGTTCCTCGAACTTGGGTAGCTCTGTCTCAAGAGAGTCATGCTGGAAGAGGTCCCCAGCAGGAGCTATGCAGGTGTCAGCCTGCAAAGTTGAGTCTGTTTCTTCGGAAGTCACAGAGCATTGCTCTTCTTCAGTGACCAAACACACCTCGTGTCCTCAGAGTCCTTGAGCCCAGTAGCCCTGGGGTGCAGGAATCCCTCCCACAGTGCTCTTGACAGGAGTCAATCTGGACCCTGAAGCTCTCAGTGGCCCTTCCACTAGAGGAAGAACGAGTGTTGACCCTTCCCAATGGAATCCACATGTATTGAGCCCTCCTATGAGCCTAGGGGTCTACACGGCCTGTTCCTCCTTATACGGCTGACTGGACAAGGGGTGGATATGGTCAGTCCACATGCTCAGCATGGACAGATGAGCTGAGCCCCTCAGGAGTCTGAAGAGGATGGGGAGTCGTGGATGCTCGAGCTCGGGCGGCTTGGGGAGGCTCCTTGTGCTGCTGCTGAGCAGAAGTGAGAGAGCTCTGAGGGCTCAGAGGAGTATAATCCCAGCACTTTGGGAGGACTGACACAGTTCCAGAATTTCCTGTCCCGGTCCCTGAGAGGAGCATGAAGCTTCACTGAGTATCTGTGGGACTGCCTGGGGCGCTCTCACAGCTAGCTTCTCTTTGAACCAGGCTGAGTGGGTTTCTGATCTCCACAACCAAGACATCCTTGCTAAGCGCACAGCCCTCGGGCCTCTCCTAACCTCTGGGCTCAGGGGGGAAAAGCCAGCTTATCACAGAGGTTGGAGGGTGGAGCTGGGGTTCTTCTGAGGGCAGCTGGCAGACCTCCCACTTTTCTGTCCAACCCCAGACTTTCCTCTCCAACTCCAGACTTTCCTCTCCAAACCATAACTGAAGTTGCTGTGTGACTCTGGGAAGTTCACCAGCGTTTTCCAGCCCTTTCCTGGCACCTGCTGCTGCTGGCCGCACTTTAACTCCCTCAGGCACTGCCAAATTTTCCTTGGTGCTCCAGAGCCAGGCAGGCTCCTCCAGAAAGAGAGAGCTCAGCTGAGGTCACATGGAAAATAACCCCAGAGCAGGGCCTGGCCCCAGGTTGCCTCAGCCAACCTCCCTTTGTTCTTGTTCTTTCTCTCTCTCTCTCTCTCTCTCTCTCAACTGGCCTGTCTTACCATGTGTCAAATTGCATTCCCCTAACCATAGGAATACTATGCAGTAAAAGTTTGATGCAACTTGTCTGCATCTAATTGCTCTGGGAAAGCTTTAAAAATAGAGAACTCCAGGGATTCCGTGCCACGATGACATCTTTGTCACTGTTGGCTTCCAGACTACAAGCCCTTCCAGTGGGAAAACTCGCAGCACAGACAAACCTTGCTTTACACCATAATACATTTCTGAAGAGTCACAGATAATCTGCTCATTTATATTCTGCCTTATTCCAGAAAAAAAAAGTCACAGCATACACCAAGGCAGCAAACTAGAGATAAAGGAACATTAAAAAAACAAAAACAAAACAAAACAAACAAGCAAACAAACAAAAAACATAAAATAGAACCAGGAGAGACACAAAGGCAACGTGGACACCATCAAAATCCTACATGCTTGCTATGAACTTTAAACTTTCCAGCAGGTAGTAGGAAAAGAGAAATTCAGTTGAACAAAGAGTTGTGTATACACTGAACTTTGGAAAATTGAATCATATTTCAAATATATTAGTGGAATTGTTTTCAGTAGACATCTGGTTTTGTTTTTTGGTTTTTATTTGTTTGTTTTTGTCTGCTCAACAGCCCTTCACTGGGGGAACTGGCCCTTCCCGACTTGGTGTGATTAGGGTGGAGCTGTCAACCACAGAATCCGACCCTGGTGACAAGGTGGTCTTTGGACCCAAGCTCACTAACCAGACTCTCTCCTAAAAATTTGTGTCTTGAATGGAGACAACTGGGTTCTATGCATGGCTGAAACAGAAGCTCCCATGAAGGTATCTTCAAAGAGAATGTCCTGCTGCCCAGAGCCAGCCTGCTTCTTGCCTTCCCATGGCCTGATTTTCCAGGTTTTCTTTTGAGTCTGTGAACTTCCAAGTATCCTCCTAATAAATTCCTCTTTGCCTAAGCTAGAAAAACTCTATTTCTATTGCTTAAAACCAAGGATTCCTAAAGTCCATAAGGAATATTAGAATGCTCTCAAAAAGCAAATATTCCTTCTGTGTTGTCTTCTTGGAAAGTCATAGTCCCAGACATTTTCTTGGTGCCCATTTGTGATTTCATGATGGTTGGGGACACACTGAGAAAGTCAAGCATTGATGGAGGAGGTAGGGAAGACGACCTGGCTGTTGAGGGTACATGGGCAGCCACATGAAGCTCCCTGGTCAGGAGGGCTGAAGTCACCCACCAAACCCCCCCAGGATCAAGGCCTCAGACACTGAATATTGCTTGTCTGTGCTCAACAAAAACCCCAAGTTGTCATATTTCCTGTTAATTGTATAACTGGTTGAGAAACTAGGCATAATTCTGTGTCTCTTCCTTTCAAGTGGGGAAACAGCCCATTATCCTCACTGAGACCTTGGCGACGTAAGATGAACAGGACACGTCTTGGGCTCACAGATGACCGCAGGGTGGAGATTGTTGGCCCTTGCAGCGATTCTCTCTTAAGAGTGGCCTGCACTTCTCAAGCTTCAACTTCCTGAGTTCCAGCAACCAGATCCACCTGGTCTGTGGGCATTGCACTGTGAGTCTGTGGGCAGGATAGCCTTGAGAAAAGCACTGTTTGAGAATGGCTCCCCAAATACAGATTGCAGGAAGGCCTGTGACTTTGGTCACGTTCCTGTTTGGGAAGGCACTGATGTGACCTTGAATTTTGTATGGCCAAGATTAATTCCTTGTTCATTCATTTATTCATTTAGCACATCCCTAATGAGCAGGTATTGTGAGTCAGGCTCTGTGCTAAGTGCTGCGGAGAATCCTGGGTGAATAAGGAACAGCCTCTGCTTTTCCAGAGAGAGAAACTTCACTGAACTGATCAGATTTGTTCTAATACATGCAAAATACAAATACATGCAAAAAAAGACACATGTAGTCAGTGCCATGCATGGTAGTAAGGGCTACTGTTGCTCCAGTTAAGGAATCGGACAAGACTTTACTTGAGCTGGATCTTGAGGACAGTCTAAGGTGTCAAGAAGGGCAGGGTGGCTGGGAAGGCATCCTTGGAGGAGGGAACTGCCAAAGCATTATGGGGTATAAGAGTGGGAGTTTTCAGCCAAGGCCCCAGGAGATGCCAGATCTCACATTCCAAAGGATGGGCCAGACCGCAGGCAACATTCACCAAAGAGGTGTCCGGAAACTGGTTAGAGACTTTTAAACTCTTCAACCACATTAAGAGTGTAAAAGAATTGAGAATTGGAAACTTTGAAAGAGGATGTTAGAAGAGGATTCCTCTGGAGAGAGCTTTCTGGAGTCCCACCCCTTCCACCCTGGGGCGAGACGTGCCTGCCCTTTATCTTAGGGCTAAGGGAAGAGAGTTTTAAGTGAACTTCTTGGGGCACATAGTCCATGTTCTTTGCAGTTTGGGGCTAACAGTGGACCAGTGATGCACTCCCATTTGGGAGACCTAACGAGAGAAGGTGGGCTGGCTAGCTACTCTTCAGCAAAGACGACTTAGCTGAGGACCAACCTGCACTCCAGCTTTGTCAGGATACATCATGTACGGGAATTTTCTGTGCACCAGATATGTCCATGAATGGGGTCATCTTAAGTCCTATCCAAGTGGACCATTTAGAGTGGCAGAGATACCAGTAGAATCAGCCAGATGTACCCCTAGATTTCTAAGGGCTGGGGAAGGGGAGGACAACCAGCCGGAATGGAGAAGCTTTAGTCCATGTGAAGAGACAGTGACAAGGCATCCCTAGCAAAAAGGGGGAGTTCTTCAAAGAACCCACAAAAGTGCTCAGGAGACTTTAAGCACCTCTCAGGAGTGCTAGACCCTATGACTTTACCCACAGAGTAACACCTTTCCTGCCCCCTTTGTCCTCCCCTCTTTCTCCTGCTCAACTCTGGAAGGGCAGGTACCAAAGTTAGCCATGGGGGAAGTGGATGACCCCTCACCAGTGGCCTCAGCAAGGACGAGGCTGGGAGCAGCAACCTGAAGTCAAGTTCAACATTCTGATGATTAAAATGGACTGGCTGTTTCAATTACCCAACAGAGTCTGTGTTGTTCTTGTTTTAATTTAAAATGACCACAGGACTTTTTATTACCTGAGAGTTGCCAGAGAAATCAAGGGGTCTGTCCAAGTTTTCGTCCAGGAGAAGGAAAAGAACTAGACCCACCAAATAAATTCATGGGGATATTGACAGGAAAAAACCAAACCTGCTTGATGACTACTGCCCAGGAGGCACTCTTATTTAACCTGACAGTGGTTACAGGGACAGGACCAAAGCAAGATTCATCTGTCAGCATGGGAACTGCAGATGTGTGGGGGTGGGAGGGGACCAAGGAGGCAGGCAGAACATGTATGGGGTGTTTGCAATGCATCATCCTAGGGTGGTGAGGTTGACAAAAGGCACTGAAAAGAGTAGGACAAATACGGAAAATATGGAGCACCAAGTTCACAGCATCACAATGAAGTCTTTTGTCAAAAATGTCTCTCCTAAATCTAATCAAGCTTTTAGATCTAACCTCCACTTTAAGGCAAAAGCTGGAAAGAGGATGTTTTAGGCCCTTCAGACTACTATTGAAAAGGGAGAGTTCCCTGATTCCCCTGGCAGCAGGCGAGACAGGGGTGTGGTTCGCCTGCTCAGTCGCCCAGCAACCCCTAGGGACACGTGCAGAGGCCGGCGCATCTGCTTTTGGGCTTTGGCTCCACAGCAGCGTCTAGGGGCGGATGTCTGCGACTCCGGAAGCCCAGGTAGACGTGTGTCACAAGGCTCTTTCAGATTTGCTGTCTGAAGACGGCTTGTGTGTTAATCAGCTCAATGGACCCTCTGCCTTCTGTATCCCCAGCTCTTGCCCAGTGTCCCGAAAGAATCGGATCACACGCAAGCTCGAAGTATGAGTGCAGGGTTTTATTGAGTGACAGAGGTGGCTCTCCGAGAGATGGATGGGGAACCAGAACGGGGGGATGCAGTGGGAAGGTGGTCTTCCCCTGGAGTCGGGCTGCCCAGTGGCTGGACTCTTCTCCGACCGTCCCCGGGCGAACTCCCGTCGGTATCCAGGCGTCCCTCCTGGTCTCTCTTTCTCTGCCGCATTGTTCCGCCGTTGCTGGTCTGCTAGTCCCAATGTTCCCTATTGGGGGAACTGCCAAGCTACTTGTGTGTTCCCGCTAAGGTCTTGGGTTTATATGGGGGCAGGATGCAGGGTGCGTGGGGGATCAAAAGGCAACTTTTTGGGCTCAAAAACAGAAATGTCTGTCCTCAATTAGGGCTGTGTGTCTTCAGGCTTGAGGGTGGGGCCTTTGCTGGGGAACTGCCCTCTTCTACCCAGTATTTCCCTGTCTCCTGTCTGTATCACTATAACAAAAATACCCTAGACTGGGTAATTTATAAACAACAGAAACTTATAGCTTACAGTTCTGGAGGCTGGTAATTCCAGGATCAAGGCACCGGCAGGTTTAGTGTCCGGTGAGGGCACTTCTGCTTCCTAGATGACTCCTTGCTGCTGTGCCCTCACATGGCCAAAGGGGCAAGGGGCCTCCTTGGAGCTTCTGTTTTTGTTTTTGTTTTTGTTTTTTTTGAGACCGAATTTTGCTCTTGTTGCCCAGGCTGGGGTGCAGTGCTGCGATCTCGGCTCTCTGCAACCTCCACCTCCTGGGTTCAAGCAATTCTCCTGCCTCAGCCTCCCAAGTAGCTAGGATTGCAGGCACCCATGACCACACCTGGCTAATTTTTGTATTTTTAGTAGAGATGGGGTTTCACCATGTTGGCCAGGCTAGTCTTGAACACCTGACCTCAGGTGATCTACCGGCCTTGGCCTCCCAAAGTGCTGGGATTACAGGTGTGAGCCACTACATCCCGCCCTTGGAGCTTCTTTTAATTCCATCATGAGGGCTCTGTCCTCATGGCCTAATCCTCCCAACAGCGTCACACTGGGGAGTAAGTTTTAAAATAAGAATTTGGGGGTGGGGGGAACAAACATTCAGACCATGGCAGAGGAATAAACTAAATGACACCTGAAGGAGGTAATCAGATAAATCCAGAAAGTGATGTGTCACCAAAAACCCAACACAGTTTCTTCAGCAAATCAAAGACATGAAAGAAAGATGTCGGGCAGGGAGAATCATGCTAGATGAAAAGAGGCTTAACTGGAGCTGACAATAATTCACTAATATGGGTTTCTTGAGCTTTGAC
Organism: Homo sapiens; assembly: GCF_000001405.40. Classification (NCBI taxonomy): domain Eukaryota; kingdom Metazoa; phylum Chordata; class Mammalia; order Primates; family Hominidae; genus Homo; species Homo sapiens. The sequence goes on from NC_000001.11 coordinate 161,979,734, forward strand.
AAATACTATGTTATGCAAGATGTTAATATTAGGGGGAACTACTTGAAGGGTGTGCAGGAACTCTCTTTCCTACTTTGCAACTTTTCTGTAAATTTAAAATTATTCCAAAATGAAAAGTTGACAGGAGAGGAGGGGAGAGGAAAGGAGAGGAGGTAGAGGGAGATTTCAGATACAAAAACATAATTCAGTGTGTGGATACTGATTGATCCTGGTTCAAAGTCCCAGCTATACAAGACACTTTTGGGAACATTGGGGAAATTAAATTTGGGTTGTATGTTATTGATTTTAAGGAATCATAATTAATCTTGTTAGGTTAAGTTTATATTAAAAATTTCCTTAAGAGATACTTACGAAAGTGTTTGGGTAAAATGTCATGCTGTCCTTAATTTAAAATATTTGCACAAAAAAGTTTGTAAAAGATGAAAGGCTGGGTGCAGGGGTTTATGCCTATAGTCTCAGCTACTGGGAAGACCAAGGCAGGAGGATCACTTGAGGCCAGAAGTTCAAGACCAGCCTGGGCAACATAGGGAGCCTCTATTGCTACAGAAAGTAAACAATAACAAAGTTAGCTGGGTTTAGTGGCACGTGCCTATAGTCCTAGCTACTCGGGAGGCTGAGGCACGAGGATGGCTTGAGCCCAGGAGTTCAAGCCTACAATGAGCTATGATCACACCACTGTACTCCAGCCTGGGCAACAGAGTGAGACCCTGTCTTAAAAAGAAAGAAAGAAAGAAAGAAAAGATGAAGCAAATATAACAAAATATTGATGATTGTCATATCTTAGTGATGGGAATGTGGAGTTTGTTACACTTTCCTCTCTATTTTTTTGTATGATTGAAGGTTTTCATAATAAAAAGCTATATAATTATGTGTCAATTAAAAAACAAAGAGTATTGAATGCCTGTTACTTGCCTTGTGTTTCATAACGTTGTTTCATTATGTCCCCAAACAGCCCTGTAAAAAAGATTCATTACTCGCTTTTTAAAGAGGAGGAAAATGAGGCTCAGAGAAGTCCGATGTCTTATCCAAGATCATAAGCCAGACTGGGCAGAGCTGGGATTTGGCCATGAGAGCCCACTGTGTCCCACCATGCCTCTGTGGGAGGAAAGGACCTGAGGTCCGGGTAATTAAGTTGTTATGGAGACCCCGGGAGCAGGGAGTAAACAGAGGGCCCCTAAGCTTATATCCCAGGGGACCAGGAGATCGTCAGGGAATGCCAAAGGCGGAGCTGGTTTGGGAAATCAAGTTAAGGAATTTCACTTTAGACCGTGATAACGGCCAGTGTTTTACACTCTTTTACTTGCCTTGCTTTACTTGAATCTTCATGAATCTACCCTTCTTGCAGACAGAATGTGGTCCTTTTTACAGACGGCAGACAGGCTCAGAGAGGTCTTATCCAAGGTTTCACAAATGCCAAGTTGGAGAGCTGGGACTAAGACCCAGCCCCTGGAGATGGTCTTCTCCATCAAACACCCATCTTCACGGTGGGGAAGGAAGCAGGCAGGAAGAAGGCCTGCGCACCATCACCCAGCTGTGCTCAACTGTGTTGGATGCCGAGCGACAGCAGAATGCACCTTGTTCCTGCCCAGGGTGCTGGGTTGGTTGCAGGTGCTTCCACCAGCCTCACTTGGGGTGCCCGTGGGGCCCCTTCAGGCCTCTAGCTCCCTACTGTCTGCTTGCCCACAGCCTTCAGGTCTGAGATTCGCTCAACCCCTCTGCCTTCCGTTTCTGCTCCATATCCCCTGATCAGATGGCTTTCTCGGACCTGTTCTTGTAAACTTCAACCCCCTCCCTTCCCATCTTTCCCTGCTTTATTTTATTGTCACCTGTCACATTACACGTAATGTATTTCTTTTTCTCTCTCCCTGTCTAGAATATAAGCTTCAGGAGGGCAGGGACTTTGTGTTATTTACTCCCATCCCCAGTCAGGGCTCCATAAATATTTACTGAATGAATAAATGTACACATAAATCAATGAATGTAAAAAGAATGAAAGGATAAATTGTTAGGAATTTTTTCTCTACTTTTGAAATATACTGTTGGGAAGTCTTTTAACAGGAAAAAAAATAAATATATTTCCCATCAGTATCAAGCAATTAAAATGCTCTAAGTTTGACGAGGTATTATAGAGCTGGAGAAGACTCAGCCAGCAAGTCTGAGGGCTGGGAAACACCCCCTCATTTTACAGGTGAGGGCAGAGGCCCAGAAGGGTGGGGCTGCGGGTCTCAGGTCTTGCCCTAGGCGGCAGCAGGTGGAGCATAGCCTGGTCATGATTCTGCTCTTTAGGCTTTGGAGAAACTCATTCTTTGTTTAAATCTTGGTGTTTAAGTCTTGGTGTTTCCAAAGTTTAACCCCACAAAAGAAAGCTGCTTGAAGAAGTCCTGGATGTTGTGCTCAGGGAAAACATTAACGACCACCCAGCTTCAGGCCTGCGGTTACCCCTGCCTCTGCTTCCTCCTTCCGGCATGTGGGAGGAACCTGAGAAGTGTCCTCACCTGGCCTGAGTGGGCAGTTTGGCTCTAAAACCAATTGATTCACCCAGACAAGCTGCAGCCGGCCTCCCTGGAGGGCTGTTCCTCATGGCCCCCCACCTTGTTCTCTACACAGCGGGGGTGCTCCCTGGTGTGACCCTCTAACTTGGGGTCAGGAAGTGAGGCCGCCTACAGAGGGGTCGGGAGGAGGCTGAGGGGAGCTGCAACAGGAGAGCTGTGCTGATCTCCCTGCGGCATCCCTGGGTCCTGCCCTCCTTCATAACCTCAGGAGATGCCTGTTCAGGCTTTTTCAGATGTTCTATCTCCTGTTTTGTGTAATGTGGAGGAAAAAAATCACACTTGTGGACAGCAGGCACTGCACAGGGCTCAGCCCTGCACCGGGAGGGGCTGCAGTTCTTCCCCATCCCTCAAGTGCTTCCCTCAAGGACCTTGTTTCAGAAAGGGGCCCCTTTCCTGGAAGGGAAGGTGGGAGGGAAAGCCTGGCCGAATGAGCTTGTTCAGGAAAAGGCAGACAGGGTTATGGGCAGAAGGAGAGAAGGGGAGAGAGATGGATTGATTGAGAACTTCTTAAGGAAGTGTGGGAACAAGGTCGCACTCACTCAGTTTTGTATTTTCAACAGTGCCTAAGACCAGACCTCGAGAAGCAGGGCTAATGAATGAACGGGTTCCCCAACCTTGGGTGAAGTGATCAGAGGAGTAGCAGAACAGAGCAAGGAAGCCAGTGTGACAGAAAAATGAAGAGATCAATGCCACAAAATTAAAGAGAACACGGGGGTCGCTCATTCCAAATCCCCCACCAGGAAGCCCCTATCAGGAGGGGAGGAGGAGCTCCTAGGAACTGAACTTGGACGCAGGCCACTTCAGCTAGAGAACATTTCTGAGGAACACCAGACCTCGTCTCCTTCCGGGAGCGGGATCCAACACCTGGCCAGACATATCGGTGCTGAACAAAAGTGCACTGGGGGATGATTTTAAATTTCTTCTTTATTAAAAAAAAAAAGCGTTTTTCTGGGTTTTTTAAAACTTCTCCAATACATTAAAACTTTTTTTCTCGCCACATAGCACTTCTTTCTTGCCTCTTTCATTTCTGCTCCTGGTGTTGCCTGCCTCCTGCAAGACCCAGATGAAGAAACCTTTTCAATGGTCGAGATCTGAGACTTGGAGCTGGAGGGGCTGAAGGCTTGAAGGAAGGTGGTTACTGGTCAAAAGGAGAAGTTCATTTGCACAAAAATATAAACTGGGGAGGATGAGACCAGCACATACACGTATGGATTGATCTACAATCCATATAAAAAAATAGACCCAAATTGTCATTTTACATTTGCAATATTATACAAAATAATATATATTTTTAAACAACACATACCCACCTACACACACGTGCGCGCACACACATACACACAAGGTGCTAGTGACCCCTCTGTGCTTCTGCTTGTGGGGACAAGGGTGTCAGTAGGCAAAGATGACATGGTAAGTGACCTGGTGGCCATTGTCCCAGGCATAGAGCAGGCGGTCCTTGGGGTTGTAGTCTATCTGGGTCGTATAGGAATACTCATTCTCGAACAGCAGCCTGGGGACGATCTGTGTGTTGGTGTGGGTGTCGAAAGCGTAGGAGATGTTGGCATTCCGCTGGTTGTAGCTATCCACGGCATACAGCACCCCACAGATGACGAAGCAGTTGCCGTAGAAATTCCTCCGGAGCCCCGTGCGCCATGTGGTCTCCTTCTGTGTGCTCAGGTCCGCGGCATTGAGCTTGCTCAGGACAATGACCTCCTGGCTGAAGCCCTCATCGTCCAGGGCCGGGTAGATGAGCCATAGGCCATTCTCGTCCACAGCAAAGTCCACGTCTGAGTGGCCCTGCCATCGCCAGGGGGTGGCCTCCTCGTAGGCCACGTCATGCAGCATGGCCCAGGCAGCCACGTAGCGCTGCTTCAGGTCGTACTTGATGATGTTGCGGGTGAAGGCGCGATTGTAGTAGAAGGCGCCATTGTATACCACGTGGCCTGTGCCGATCCAGCTGTACGGGAGCTTGTAGGAATTGCTCCAGCGACCTGCAGGTGGGGAGAAAACAGGAGGCTTCAGAGTGGCATGGCAGAGGGTGGGCAGCCCATGTGGTTAAGTGAGTGATGATCAACGAGGGGTCTGGAAACCCAGGTTTGTGTCTTGGCTCTGCCACTTTCTAGCATCCTGTAGCACATCACTCAACCTGTCCGTGCCTCAGTGTCCTTATCTGTCATAGGGAAGTGACAATTCCCATCTGCCTGTTTCAAGGATCCGGGGAGCTAATATACATGAATGTGGTTCATAAATTGTCAAGGGCTATGGGAAAGGGAGCCTGTCTTCTGGACTCGGAGGTTTTTCCATGTCCCAGGAGCTCAGGAGGAGGGGCAGAGCTGAGAGGCAGAGAATGTGAGGGAGTGGGGAAGGGGGACCGCTCTCCAAGGAAAGGTCCTTTAGCCATCAGAAGAAGGTGTCATCCTTCCTATCCGTCATTACCACCCAAAGAGGCCTGGCTGTGATAAAAACAGAGGACGTGGGGAAGGGAAGGAGCAGTCTGGGTTGGATCTTTATCATGTACCTTGTTTGAAGTTCTCCAGGTTCCGGAACTCTACCAGGGTGTTGCCGTAGTAATAGTTGGTTACGTAAATCCGCTCATCCTTGGCCAGGGGGTCCTTCATCCAGGCCCCTTCATTCCGCCCATATGTGTTCTGGGTGGTCGGCCCCGTGATTGTGGAGAGAGTGTCCTTGCACCTTCCTGGTGGAGAAGAGGTGGATGGAGGTTTTGGGCTGATCTAGTGATGCCTCACCCCTTAAACCTTTGCTGTTCATCCATTTAGAGTCTGGACTCCTCGGCAGGCTTTAACAGCCCTGTATAACCTGACCCCAAACATTTTTCCACACCATCTCCTGCTACTCCCCTGATCCACCCTACACTTGACCCTACACTTGAGCCTCCACCATGCCCATCTTTGGCAACTTTCACACCACTATGCTTTGCTCCTGTTCTGACTTCTCAGTCCTATCCTTCAAAGACCTAAGATCCAGAGTCCTTTTATGACATCATGCCCTCCTCTGGAGAACTATTCTATTCTATTCCATTCAGCTCTCAGGGTACCATGAATGCTGCTCTCTTACAGAGCATGTCATCCTGCATCTCCACAATGTTTGTGCTTCTCTCTCCTCCCTCCACGCCTGCCCCCAACCGGAGCGTAAGCACCAAGGGATGAGGGAATGTGGCTTTTCCTCATTGCATTCTCAGTGCTCAGAACACGGTGTCTGGCTTGCTGCAGGCACCCAAATGTCTGATCCCAGGGTGAACACACAGCATGAGAAGTGTGGCCAGAGGAGAGGCCTCTGCTGGGTGTAACCAGGAACTCGGCTCTGCCAGCTGCTGAGCTGCCCCAGGCTGTGGGACCAGCCCTAGTGGAGCAATGGCTATTCATGTCCCTGAGGCCCACCTGCTGTCCTAGAGAGCTGTCCCCAAGCCTAAGCCCCTGTCACTACTGGGAGCAGGATGCCAGGGCCCTCTGCTGGGTAACTGGGGGGCAAGATACCAAGTTCTTGAATAAGGAGCTGACTCTGGGTATAGAAGCCTCCTTCAGAGATCAAGTCGGCCACGATGGGACAGGAACTCAGCAACGTCCTTCTGAGTGGCTCTGGATCCGGTGCCCAGGAGAGGCCCTAAAAAGCCACTGGAACTATACTGGGTTCTAGATGAAGTTGAGAGCCTGCAATGCTTATATGCAGTATTATTATTGAGCATAGCCTTGAATGATAGTGAAGTCACACGTGACTAAGGGCATGTGCTCTTCCTGTCCTCACACTTGTGGATTATGGAGGAGGTGGGAAGAGGGCAGTGGAAGGGGGCAGTGAGAGAGCCACATGAATGCTGCCCTCACAGCTTCCTTACCCCCTGCTGGCAGCTGGGGCCAGCAGAACCCCTGCCCCACCTGCCATCATGACGACACTGATGGGTGATGAGAATAATTGGTCCTTGACACTCACCTGGGACAAAAGTAACAAAAGACCCTACAGTTTGGCTTCCAGAGTTCTCTAAATTCTAGGTCACCCTCATTTCCAAACTGTTCCAATCCGTTCCATCTACTCTGCTCCCCGCAGTGGTTTGAGGAAGGAGTCCAAGCCCTGCAGCTGACAGGACAGGAGCAAGCAGCTGGGCCCTTGGCCCTGGGTCTGGGGCAGCTGGGGATGGAAGAGGCATGAACACTGTTTTGCAGGCAGGCCCCATAGCTGGGTGCAGTTGGCAGGGTTTAGGCAGCTCAGTGTGGGGTTTATTAGGTCCTGGTCTGACGGAGCGGGGAGAGATTCAGTCTCCATAAGACAAACAAAAGAACCTCCCTGCCAATGCCTCATTCCCCCAGAGCTGAGCTCATCTGTTCAAGACAATAAAACAGAAAACTCTGACTGAGCCCTGGCAGCAGAGATTTGATGGAAAAGCTCTCATTCCCTGGAGCTAAGCAGGGCCCTGGCTGCCAATGAGGACGCCACGCTCCTTCTGCACTGAGGTGAGCCCTAGCTCACCATGAGGATTGCCATCACCGGGCAATCCTCTGCCCTGGCAAAGCTCAGAAAGGGCACCAATTCCCTGTCCAGCGGCATCCCTGGCTCATGCCCTCAAGCCCCACAGATGGCCATGAGGTGAGGTGTTTTCTGTCTGGGGATTACCATGGCCATGCCACCTCTCTGACCAAACACAGAAATTGCAGATGGACTCTTGAAAGCCAGGACTCGTCTGTGCAGCTCCAGCAGCCCTGAAAATCCCTGCAGGGTTCCGTCTCACACCAAGGCTCTGCAGTGGCAGGGCCCTAATGCTGGGCTATAGATGTGCCCCAGGCTGGGGCCAGAGGCCTGGCTCTGCTCTTGGCCCAGCCACCAACTCCAAAGTCTGTTGCAACTGTAATGTCAAAAAGTTTTAATCTCTTCAGAAGTAAAATGATTGTAATGCATGCCCTGCCTCCTTCACCAGAGTGCATGGAGAGTCCCCTCTGAAGATGATGTGGTAGACTGAGTAATATACCCCTGAGATATCCAGGTCCAAATCCCTGGAGCCTGTGATTGGGACAAAAGGAAACAAAGGGGACTTTGCAAATGTGATTACATAAAAAAAATCCTGAGATGGGGAGACTATACTGGACTATCTGGGTGGTCCTATTGAATAAATACAGTCACAAGTATCCTTATGACACAGAGGCAAAGGGAGATTTGACCACAAGAGAGGAGGAAGCAATGTGATGAAAAAAGCAAAGACTGAAGTGATGTGGCCACAAGCCAAAGAATGCTGGCAGCCATGAGAAGCTGGAAAAGGCAAGAAACGGATTCTCCCCTCAAGCCTCTGGAAAGAACCAGCCCTTCTGATACCTTGATTTTAGCCCTGCAAGACTCATTTTGAATTTCTGGCCTCCAGAACTGTTAGAGAGTACATTTCTGTTTTTAGCAACTAAGCTTGTGGCAATTTGGAGGCATAGGAAATGGATACAGATGGAGTCAGCTTCTTGGGTTAGGGCACCCTTATTTCTGCAGGAAGAGGGGAGTCCCCGCTTGCATTTTCATAGTCCTAGTACTAGGACCTCAGGCTGCATTTTCACATGCCCTCAGAGAGAGCAAACACTGCTGCCCTGCGGATGAGCCCAGGCAGGACAAATGCAAATGATTTCAGAGCATTTGAAGACAGGATCAAGGGAAGAGATCAGTAAACCATGAGACCCAGACGCATCACTGTGCTCTGAGAATCTGGGGCAGCTCAGATGCTCCCACACTTGGCAGCAAACCATCAGCTTTGGAGAGAAGGTACTGTATGTTGACTCCTCTTCAAGGGGGATGACAGAAAGATGGGAGAAAGTTCAAAGGAACTGCAGACAGGAGAGTGCAGTCTGCATCTCATCTTAGGTTTTCCCAGAGCAGGGCTGCCAAGGATGCCGGTGACACTGACATTTACTACGCACTTTCTATGTATTCTGTCGTTTAACCAACAGTCCTGGGAGACAGCTGGTCCTGTTTCAAACGTTACCAGGGTCTGAAAAGAAGGGGCCCTTCCCCTCAGCATATAAACCTCCTCAAATCTCAGCATTCTAAAAGAAATAAATCAGCAAGCAAGAGCCTTCCTGGCTCTCCCCAGCTCTCAGCTCTGGTGCTTACTTGGCAAGCTTCCCCAGTAGGGTCCTTGGGCGTCTGCTCCCCAACTAACCTCGTCAGCAATGCCTCTCAGCCCCTCAACCCGACTGCTGCCCCTTGGGGTGTTCTCCAGTCCTCTTATTCTAGTCAAGCCTCTGTTTTTTGCTTGGAAACTGAGGTAGCCACCCCCCACCCCCGCTGACACCCACCCACCCACCTCAGAAGGCATTTCCTTCCTCCCCCAGCTTCCACCACCACTCTCTCCTGGTCCCGCCCACCTGCCTGGTCTGGCCTTCTCCAGCTCTTTGGCTAGTGCTTCCTCTTCTGCCTGCTTTCAAATGCCACCCTCTGGAGTTCCACCTTCAGCCTCCTCCCTCCTCATTCTTCCTGCAGACTCAGCTCCTGCCAACAACTCAGCCCAGGTCCTGATTCTGAGCACCGTGAATCCATCCAACTACCTACAAGGCACTTTCTTTCTGGATGTCCTCATGGCTCCTCAAACTTAAAGGACTGAAAATGGAAATCATTTGCTTCAGTTCACAGCCTGCTCCTCCTGTATTTACTGTCCCAGAGAAAGCCATGGCACACCATCCACCAACTGAGCCAGAAACCTAGGTCATCCCTGATGTCCCCTTTCCCTTCACCCACATTCCAACTCAGCACTGAGTAACATCTTGACCCTGATCCTCCACCTCTATGGCGTAGTTCAGATCTCACCAACTCTTGCCTGGATCACTCCAATTGCGCCAGTTTGTCTCTCTGGCTCATCTCTGCCCACTTCTAACTTATCCTCCCCAGTATTCCCTGTGCTGCTTTTCCAAGATGCACATCTTCTTAAACCCTTAATGACTCACCATCTCCAACCACCAAGTGCAGCCCAGAGTCCCCATCCTAGCACATCAGCCCTTCCTGCATCACCATTCTTACTGTTGTCATCTGCCTTCATTCAGAGGTCTCAAACTCAGATGCCTACAGGGGTCAGGCAGGAGCTGAAATGATGAGTCAGGCTGAGTGTGAGACAAAAGGTGGCAGAAGACACTGTGGTGAACTGGAAGAGCTGACCTGAAGGCATTCAGATTCAAGAACATAAAAACACATCTTAGGATGAATTTGGCCCTCAGGCTGCCAGCTTGAGATCTCTTGCCCACACCTAGCTGCTTGTATTCACCATAGTTGCCAGGGCTATGGTATTCACCGTAAACCCAGGGCTGGCTTTTTGGGCATATGATCTGTGCAATCACACAGGACCCTTGCTTTGAAGGGCTGCCCTTCATTTAATGATCTGCTGTCACCATCTTGAATATCTTAATATTTTCACCCTCGAACTTGTATTTTATGTGAAGTCTAACAGTGCAGCCTGTTTGTGAGCAGAGGAGAATGCAAGATATGTGTGGCCACATTCTTTGTCCCCCACTTGCATATAGGGTTTGCTATGCCCAATGAGCACAGAATTGCAGGTAGACCCACTACGTGCCTGAGTTCAGTGAGATTCAAAGTGAGCACAAGGTAGGTGTGTTGCCCCAGAGGCCACATTTTACATTTGAACCAGATCGTGCTCCGAAAGCAGGAAGAAGGCAGTGGTGTTCTAAGAAACACAAATGGTCAAGGAACCCTATCATATTCTTTCTTGTGTTACTTCCCTGTATTAGACAACAACCTATGTTGAAATTGATACGAAAGAAGAGGGAAGGATAGGGCAACTCATAGTTCCGTTTCTTTTTAGTCCTTCCTCACTCAGTAAGCTGAAGGCAGGGAGTGTTGTTAAAATGTTCATATATCAAGTAAAACAAAAACAGATGAATTAGTTTTGTGCAGTATTTCCACTATTCTAATAAGAACATACATACACAGGTATGAAGGAGTTACAAAATATGAAATGAGTCATTTTGGTGGATTCTGCATAAAAGTTGAAAGATCTTATATTTGCATTTAAAACTAACATTGCACAATATAAAGATGAATTGTATAATTCATGCTAGTAAATTAAATTTTTAATACAGGCATACCTCAAAGATATTGTGGATTTGGTTCCAGACCACTGTAATAAAGCGAATATCATAATAAAGTGAGTTTCACAACTTTTTTGTTTCCCAGTGAGTATAAAAGTTATGTTTACACTATACTGCAGTCTATTAAGGGTTCAATAACATTATGTCTAAAAAATGTATACACCTTAATTTAAAAATACTTTATTACTAAAAAATACTAATGATCATCTAAGCCTTCAGTGGGTCGTCATCTTTTTGCTGGTGGAGGGTCTTGCCTCGATGTTGATGGCTGCTGATTGATCAGAGGAGTGGATGCTGAAGGCTAGGGGGCTGTGGCAATTTCTTAAAATAAGACAACAATGAAGTTTGCTGCATCAATTGACTCTTCCTTTCATGAAAGATTTCTCTGTAGTGTGTGATGCTGTTTGATAGCATTTTACCCCATAGTAGAACTTCTTTCAAAATTTGAGTCAAGCCTCTCAAACCATGCCACTGTTTTATCAACTAAGTTTATGTAATATTCAAAATCCTTTGTTGCCATTTCAACAGTGATCACACTGTCTTCACCAGGAGTAGGTTCCATATCAAGAAACCACTTTCTTTGTTCATCAATAAGAAACAACTCCTCATCCATTCAAGTTTGATCATCAGATTGCAGCAATTCAGTCCCATCTTCAGGCTCCACTTCTAATTGTAGTTTTCTTGATACTTCCACATCTGCAGTGACTTCCTCCACTGAAGACTTGAACCCCTCAAGGTTATCCATGAGGGTTGGAATCAACTTATTCCAAACTCCTGTTAATGTTGATATTTTGACCTCTTCCCATGAATCATGAATGTTCTTAATGATGAATCCTTTCCAGAAGGTTTTCAATTTACTTTGCCCAGATCCATCAGAGGAATCATTATCTATGGCAGCTATAGCCTTACAAAATGTATTTCTTAAATAATAAGACTTGAAAGTCAAAAAGACTCCTTAATCCATGGGCTTCAGAATGAATGCTGTGTTGGCAGGCATGACAGCATTCATCTCCTTGCACATCTCCATGAGAGCTTTTGGGTGATTAGGTGCATTGTCAAAGAGCAGTCATATTTTTAAAATAATCTCCTGGCCAGGCGCGGTGGCTCACACCTGTAATCCCAGCACTTTGGGAGGCCGAGGCAGGCGGATCACTTGAGTTTGGGAGTTTGAGACCAGCCTGGCCAACATGGTGAAACTCCATCTCTACTAAAAATACAAACAATTAGCTGGGCGTGGTAGCATGTGCCTATAATCCCAGCTACTTGGGAGGCTGAGGCAGGAGAATCACTTGAACCTGAGAGGCAGAGGTTGCAGTGAGCTGAAATCGTGCCACTGCATTCCAGCCTTGGTGACAGAGCAAGATTCTGTCTCAAATAATAATTTCTTTTTCTGAGCAGTAGGTCTCAACAAAGGGCTTAAATTATTCAGTAAACCATGCTGTAAAAAGATGTGCTATTATCCAAGCTTTGTTGTTCCATGTATAGAGCACCAGGAGAGTAGATTTGCATAATTCTTAAGGGCCCTAGGATTTTTAGAATGGTAAATGAGCACTGGCTTTGATTTAAAGTCACCAGCTGCATTAGCCCCTAACAGAAGAGTCACCTTGTCCTTTGAAGCTTTGAAGCCAGGCACTGACCTCTCCTCTTTAATTATGAAGGTCCTAGATGGCACCTTCTTCCAATGGATGGCTGTTTTGCCTACACTGAAAATCTGTTGTTTAGTGTAGCCACCTTCATCAACAATCTTAGCTAGATCTTCTAGATAACTTGCTACAGCTTCTGCATTAGCACTTGCTATTTCACTTGCATTTTTACATTATGGAGACAACTTCTTTCTCTAAATCTCACGAACCAGCCTCTGTTAGCTTCAGACTTTTTTCTGCAGCTTCTTCACCTCTGTCAGCCATCATAGAATTGAAGAGAGTTAGGGCCTTGCTCTGGATTAGGGAATTTTGCTTAAGGGAATGTCGTGGTTGGACTGTCTTTTTATCCAGACCACTACAACTTTCTCCATATCAGCAATAAGGCTGTTTCATTTGCTTATCATTCATGTGTTTACTGGAGTAGCACTTTTAATTTCCTTCAAGAACTTTTCCTTTGCATTCACAACTTGGTTAACTGTTTGGCACAAGAGGGCTTTTGGCCTATCTCGGCTTTTGACATGCCATCCTCGCTCAGCTCTGACATTTCCAGCTTTTGATTTAAAGTGAGAAGTGTGGAATTCTTCCTTTCACCTAAACACCTAGAGGCCATTGTAGGGTTATTAATTGGCCTAATTTCAATATTGTTGTGTGTCACAGAACAGGGAGGCCCAAGGAGTGGGAGAGAGACCAGGGAATGCCAGTTGGGGGAGCAGCAGATCACACACAGCATTTATGGATTGAGTTCACTGCTTTGTATCGGTGTGGGTGGGTGATGCCCCAAAACAATGAAAATAGTAATTGTCAAAGATCACTGATCACAGATCATCATAACAGATATAAAGAAAAAGTTTGAGATATTGCAAGAATTACCAAAATGTGACACAAAGTGAGCACATAGGGTTGGAAAATGGTGCTGGTAGACTGGCTTGACACAGCGTTGCCACAAAGCTTCAGTCTGTAAAAAAATGCACTCTCTGTGAAGTACAACAAAGCAAAGTGCAATAAGATGGGGCATGCCTGTATGTCTTTACTTACAATAGCATGGAACAGCAAATAAAAAACACCATAAGGAGAGAGAGACAGAGAGAGAGGCACATACACACCATGAATGGAAGAAGAGGAGCTTTATATTTACTACTCGGCATGGCACTTTTCCCCTGCCTTTTGAGCACGGGCCCCACATTGTCATTTTGCACTGGGCCCCGATGCTCTTGTTGGCTCTGGTTCTTCTCACTGCAGTGCTACCTTCCTTCTTTGCCTAGCTAATTTCCCCTGATGCTACAAAACAGCTAGGCCAGCACCTCTTTCTGGAAGAGGGTCCTGGGCTGCCTCAGTCTCCCTCTGTGACCCACTGTGGCCTGTGCCCCCCAGTGCTCACCACCCTGCGTTGAAGTCATGTGTCTGTGTTGGTCTCAATACAAGCTGTGCAACTCCAGGGCAGGGCCCCTGCCGTATCTGTCTTTGCATCCCTGACACCCACGGCACTCACACATCCTGAGTGTGTGATGGTCCACTTAATACTGGAGCAAATCTGAATATTGTTTCCATGCTTAGAGCCCTCTCTATCTCTTTTAGCATCGAGTCCCTACTTCTCATTCCCTTCATCATCAGGCCCCGGCTCCCTACCCTGGAATTCCATCACTCTCCCTCACTCGACCCCATCTGTGCTGGCGTACCTGGGCTGCCTTCCATTCCCTGCCCAACCTGGCGCATGCTCTTGGCTCTGCCTGGAGAGTTCTTCTCTGCCCTCTGAGCCTGGTGAGCTGGAGAACACCCTCAGAGAGGAGCCCCATGGCAGAAGTGATACGACGCCCCTGGACAGCATGCATCCGTTGCCAGCCACACTTCCCATGTGCTCGGCCACTTCAGTCACTGCTGCCTCCCTGCACCTTTGGGAAAGTGACCACTTCTTGCTCACTTTGGATCTTTGCAGCCGAGCACGCTGTAGTGGTAGATGAATTATTAATACTAGATGACTCTTTATCCTCATCAAAAGGCTTAGACTTCAGTCCTTTACCACCTGCAAGGGTATATTTTATCCATTTTATATCCTTATTTCTAGGGCCAGAGGCCCCTGTGTTATACGATGACTGGATTTCCAGTTTTCTGAGCAAGTTGGGTTAGGAGCATCAGCAAAGAGACTGAGACCAGTGGAGCTGGGGCTGTGGAGCTGGGGCTGGGGGAGCTGCCTGTCTAGTGACTTAGAGTCTGGGCTCTGCAGAGGCTCTGGAAGCTGTCCCAGCCCACGTCAGCATCGCCTTCCTTGGGCTGCCCCAGACCAGCCTCCCTGACACGAGACAGGCAGGACTGGCCATCACGCCCCATGGTCGGCACAGCTGGCCAAGCCTCGGGGTGGTTACAGTCATCTGCTTTGTGGGGGAGACATTCTTCATAGTTCATGGTATTTTCTAGATTCAAATAGGAGCCAGGCTCTCTCTGGTATTGTTATAAACTGACTGTCCTCTTTGTCTGCTCCTGCCACCTGCCCTCCCCCACTCCAAACCAGCCCCTTCTACAAAATGCATCAGGAATTGTAGTTGCTAAAGTCTGGGAATCTGCAGAGCCTTGGCCATGTGGCAGTTTCATTTCTCTGCAGTAGCCTGAGCTATTCCCAAAGCCAGGGCTGTCCCGAGCAGAAGCGCCTTCTCGGATGGTACCAATCCTACCCAAACCCCAGCTCCAATTACTGACAATATTTTTCCTCTCCCTGTCCTAGAGCTACACTACGGCCAAATGTTTCGTTTGCACAGCCAAAAATGAATTCTAATTTACTTGTTTTTGGATTTTTTTTGAACATTTTATAACTCTCCTGAGGATAATGGTAGACATTTTAGGGCATCACAAAATCAGGATTGGAAACCATGGGATAAAAATCTTTCTTTTAAAATTAGTGCTGTTTACAACCACATCTTAAATAGCTCAAAAATCAAAATTGCTGGATTCATCAAACAGCAAACAAGCTTTCCCAGGTAGCAAATCAGTGGCCCATGTCTATTTCAGCCAAAAGCTTTTTAATTTTACTGATGACTGGGAGATGTCATCACATCACGGTCTTTCTTGGCCAGACACAGGCAAGTCAGGGGTCTGCAGAGAATGTTAGGGTATGAAAATCTCATCCACACCAACAGCAGCCAGAGGGAGGCATTTGGCAGTGATAAACTATTGAAAATAATTCCCAGAAACAAACTTGTTGAAGCTAGACAATGCCTAGACAGCCAAAGCTTTCTTCTCTGGGCCACCCCTCCTCTCACCCCTTGGCATTTGAAGAACACACTACATCTGTGTCCATGTCTATTTCTTCTGCAGTCGACATAAGAGGTGAGAACCCCAGCTCCTCTGAAAAATGCCACGGGCTAGTCTTTAAGCAAACCTTACATCGTCAGCATGATGATGCTATTCTAGTTAAACAGAATATTGAACAAGAGAAAATGTCATTCCTACCACCAGGTAAATGGCTGCTGGGACACATGGCTTCTCTGGGCATCAGCATCTCAATTAGGCTACTGGAGGGGGAAAGAGTTATAAGTGTCCCTGAAAACACCAGAAAAGCCTGCTGATGGCAAAGTCCTGGGGAGGCAGTTGGGGAGAGGCTGGGTTCTGGGACCCAGGTTGGTAGGTTATGGAGAGAGTGAACAACTCACTCCTGGCTAGCAAGTCACCGACGGAAGAGGCTCCCAGGCTGGCAGACACCATTGCCTGATGGCTTGCAAGGTGTGTGGGTCCTACCTGCAGCCTGTCTTCACTGTTAGCATTCTGGAAAACTGTGGTAGGGGTGACAGGGGCCAGATTCCTAAATATTTGGAGGGATGTTCCCTCTCACCCAAGGGTGACAGGAAGCTGAAATGGTAGAAGTATGGGGGCCCAGGGAAGTTCACTTCCATGGCAAAGGGAGAGATGGAGTGTTGGGCTCAGGGCCTGTTCTCAAGAGCACAAAGGCCAGGCTGCCCAGAGCTGGTGCACAAGTGGTAGCCTCTTCTCTGACCCCAAGGCAGTCTGCAGAAACACAGCAGGACCCCTGCTTCAGAAACTTAAACATTCTCTCCTGCTCCCACCCTCACCTCTAAGGCCCAAGAACTGCCTTCTCGCTTAGCTTCCTCCAGGCCAGCGTTCATGAGATTTTGCCCTGGGGTCCATTTCTATGGGCTATTTCACTGCTGTCATTCTGCCATTATTCTGAAACTTTCACCCAACAAGAATCTTTATTTACAATAGCATGGAACAGCAAATAAAAAACACCATAAGGAGAGAGAGACAGAGAGAGAGGCACATACACACCATGAATGGAAGAAGAGGAGCAGAATCATGACCTGGTAAACTTCCTGCGGAAAACCATAGCATATACTGAGACCCAGAGAAGGCAGAGATTTGGCCAAAGTCACACAGCTATCAATGGCAGAGAGCAGTGTCTGACTCCTGGCAGGTACTCCTTCACCGCTCTGTCTCTGGCAGCAGCTGGTACCTTATGCTGAGGAAGGATTGGGAATGAGGCTGCCAAGGGCAAGAAAAATGGGAGAAGGGAAAGATATGTATAAGGCAGGCCAAATCTTCTGTCAAATCAAGTGTATTTTTCAACAAATATTTTGATGAAATTATTACTCAATAGTGTTATTTTTCAGTCATGATCAGTGGTGATTTAATGAATGTTTGGTTTAGTTCTTTTTGGAAAAGACATTTGTAACTGGCTCCCATTTTTCCTTTTATAGTTCCTTTTTTCTCTACTTTCCTATTTCACTGCTCTGCGTTCTCTTGGGCCACGGAGCTCCCAGGCACAGAATAGGGCTGCATTCTCCATGCTTCTGGAACATACCTTGTTTTTTTAGACCTAACAGTCAGGAGGCTTCCCTTCTCTGCTTAGAAAACTCCTATTCAGGCCCAGCGCAGTGGCTCACGCCTGTAATCCCAACACTTTGGGAGGCCGAGGTGGGGGGATCACAAGGTCAGGAGATTGAGACCATCCTGGCTGACATGGTGAAAACCCGTCTCTACTAAAAGTACAAAAAATTAGCTGGGCATGGTGGCGGGCACCTGCAGTCCCAGCTACTTGGGAGGCTGAGGCAGGAGAATGGCATGAACCCAGGAGGCGGAGCTTGCAGTGAGCCAAGATTGCACCACTGCACTCCAGCCTGGGCGACAGAGCGAGACTCTGTCTCAAAAAAGAAAAAAAAAGAAAACTCTTATTCATCCTTCAAATCCCAGCTCAAATGACACCTCCTTAGAAAAGTTTCCCCAGCCTTCCTGGCAGCCAGGCCAAGCTAATATTCCTTCTTTCTTTTCTCTGTTTTTCCATTCCTCTGGTACAGCACTTGTCACATGGTGCCATGATGTTTCTATGCTCTCCATGGGTGGGGCTCATGATTTTGCACGGAGGCCCATTGCCCCAGCTATTCCCCTGCTCTCACTCTACTACAAATCTGAGACTTTCCCCCCAGTAAAAACCCTTTGTTCTTTTATGGCTTGGTAAACTTACCACAGAAAAATTCATTTATTCATCACTGGATACCTCAATAGCCATCACAAAGCCTAGTGTATGGATAGCCCTCAACAAATATTTATAAAACTAACTCCTGAAGCCAAATCTTGACTCCATTAATTTATATGTCTATTTTAGGAAAAAAGAGTCCCACCCTTGCCACTGGCACATTTTCAATAAATAAACCCTAGATGTTAAAACTAATCGTTGGTCAAAGGCTTAACTCCACTTGCCATTCCCATAAAGAACTTTGACCATCTGGTGCCTCCCTCTCCTCTCAAGATATTTCCAGGCTCAGCCTTTTACCTGAGCTGATCAGGAGACCAAGGCCAGGTACAATGAACTTACCTATGACATTCCGGATGTCATCTTCTTCTTCGGGGCTCAGCGTGGGGCTGGCAGGGGTTGTTCCCCACCCAGCAGGAGCATCTTTCCCCAGCGAGTCTGTTCTGACTGTGGTGGGAGGCACTGGGACTGTGTGCATAGCTTCCATCAATGCCTCCCTGGGAGACACTGCCGGAGGAGCTGGGGCTGCTGGTTGCTGGGTGGCTGTGTGGGCCACAGTGGTGGCTGGTACCTGAGGAGAAGGCTGCAGGACTGACTCCCTTGTGGGATCTGGAGACACCGAGGTTGTTTGGAGTGTTGGTCCCACTGAGGCATGGTTGGCGATGCTGGGATCTGAGGTCGAGGGCTGTGGCAGTGCTGAGGACCAGGGTGCGGTCCGAGCGTTCAGGTCGCTTGTCACAGCAGTGCTGTGTCCCTGACGGGTGGCTGCAGGCCTCCGGGTGACACTGGTCATCAGGCCGTTGTGTCTCAGGAGCTGATCTTCAATCAGCAAATCCACTCCATTGTCACCGCTGAAAAACTCATCTTCTGTGAAACAAACACAAGGTTCACTGTGGCACGGGAAAGAAACAACCTACAGATGACAAGAGCACATGGCAATGAGCAGGTGAATTAGAGGGTGCCTTTCCTTAACACGACGGCTTGAGTTACAGAGGGGGCCTGGCTGGGATTTTGGAAGAAGGTGTACAGGAGCGCAGGTGGAAGGACATTGAATTTCCAGGGGGTTTCTCTGAATAGACTGCAGCCATGCTCCCCCCAGGACTCAGGGGTCACTGGCAGGACGCATAGTCATGGGTCCTGAACCCCGATGGCTGGGAGTAAGTGAGTCATCCAATCCATCCTTCCAGCACATGTTTATGGAGTATGGATAACAACAGCAAGCAAAACAAGGATCCTTGACCTCACAGAGCTTCTATATAGTGGTGGAGACGCTTGATAATAGACAGGATTGTGCACCTGAAGGTGCTATGGGGAACAAAATGTAGGGTAAAGAGGGTCAAACAAGCTAGAAGGGAAGGGAAACTTGCAGAGAAGAATAAAGTGGTGAGGATGAGACTCATTGAGCTGGGGAGATGAGCAGCTGCCTGGAGGAGGTGAAGGAGTCAGCTGAGCAGCCATCGGGCACAAAGATTCCATGGGTGAATAACCACAGAGAAAAGGCCCTGAGGCAGGACATGCGTGCAGCGGCCCAGGAGCAGCGAGGTGGCCAGCATGACTGAAGCAGAGGCAAGGTCACAGTGAGGACAGGCGCTGGGCATGCATGACTTAGAGGCTGTGTATGGAGTTCAGTTTTTATTCTGAAAGAAATGGGGGAGGCTGCAGGATTTTGAGCAGAGATGGAATATGGAGAGGCAAACATTTCTTAGAGAGGACACAAAGAGCTCTAACCACAAAAGAAATAATTGGTAAAGTAGACTTCATGTGCTCATCAAAAACACCATTAAGGAACTAAAAATGCATGCCATAGGTAGGGAGAAAATACTTGCAATACATATGATGGCAAAGAACTTGTATCCAGAATATGTAAAAAACTACCACAAATCAATGACACAAAAAAAATGACCAAAAAAAACACATGGGCAAAATGATGACGCCAGCTACTGGGTGGAGAATAAACATGGTGGAGGCAAAGGCAGAAGCAAGGAGACAGACAGGAAGCTGCTGCATCAGCCCTGATGGGGAAGGACTCGCTCAGACATACTGGGGAGAGGGGAAGAGTCGGGGCCTGCTGGGAGTGCTGGGCAAGGAAAAGAAAGAAGACAAGAGGAGGAGGAGGAGGCGAGGAGGAGCACAGGAAGAGGAAGAAGCCTAAGGAAACAAGGTAAACGTGATGTGAAAAGGGATCGTCTCTCTTCCATGAAAAATGAAGAAGGACAGAGATCAAAGGGGAGGTGCTGGAGACTCAGACAGGAAGCTCAGGGCCCCCGGAGGGAGGAGCAAGTATTGGAGAAGCCCACCTTGTGGCTCTAAGCAAGTCAGTCTCCCCAAACCTCAGTTTTCTCATCTGCAAATGGGGAGGACTGTACTGGAGGGCACTGAAGTCCCTTCCAGCCCAGCCACACTCTGCCATATGGTCTTCTGCAAGCTCAGAGAAGTTAAGTGACTTGCCCAAGGCCACTCAGCGAGCTGTGAGGAAATGCAGTGAGAGCTCTGGATAACAGGGCCACAGCAGTAATTGGAATGCTGTGTATGGAGGGGTGTATGGCTCCCAGGAATCCAGCCCACTATGGTCCAAATGGTGACTTCCTCCCTACCCTGCCTCTGGGGCGGCCCTGTTGACCCCAACTCACGCTGCTCTTCAATGTCATTCTCTTCTTCAGAGACCTTGGCTTTATAGTAGGTGATGCCCCGGATGACAGTGGGCTGGGAGGCCGGCCGGCCTCTCAGGTGGACCTGCCTCTGCAGGGGCCGCTGTGACTTCACCACCTCAGGCAGAGCCAGGGGTCGCGTCTGCAGAAGTTCGATGGAGTTGATCTGCTGGGACACGGTTTCTTCCTGCAGAAACCGCTCTTCATACTGCTCCTCAGAGGGGACACAAGGGAAGGTCAGGTCACTGGTCAGAGAGGCAGTGGGCAGGTGGGGGCAAGGCTGGAGCCAAGGCTGTGCTAATAACAGCAGCACTTCCGAAGAGCCAGGCACTGTTCTAAGTGCTTTATACATTTACATATGTTAACTAATTTAATCTTCTCATCAGTTCTATGAGGTAGGACATATTTTTATCATGATCATTTACAGTTCAGGAAACTGAGGCACAGAGAGGTTACATAAATTTCCCAAGGTCCCACAACAGGTAAGTGGTAAGGCAGATTGAAGCCAGGATGTCTGGTTCCAGAATCAGTGTCGCTATGCTTGACGTATACTGCCCAGAGAATGCAGTCCTCCTCTTGGATCTGGCCTAGGGATGCTGGGTGACTTAGATCTGGTGTAAGTTGTTTTGGGTGAGATCCATGTGAGGGGAAGGATGCCTGGGCTGGGACATGAAGCCCAAGGACCAGGATGCACACCGCCTCAGGATGAAGCTTGTTACAGCAATCAAAATGGGCTTCCTAAAACACATATCACCCCCAGCCCCCAAACCCTTCCTCCTACATACAGAATAAAGTCCAAAGTAAAACTGATCTTGATCTAGCTCAGCATTCTTCTCTCTTGTTGCGTGCCCTGCACCCCACGCCCTAGGCACTCCAGTCACTTGGCTGACTACTGAAACTCTTGGCTCTCCTGAGCCACTGGATCTATGTTCAGCCTGTTTTCTCTGCCTGGATAGCCATTATACCTCCTTCCCCCATATATCTACTTATTTATCTACTTCTCAAGGCCCAGCTAAAATTTCAGGTCCCCAAGGAAATACTCCTGGACCTTCTAATTCAGAATTAATCAATCTTCCCCAAGCCTCATTTTGTGCTTTATGGCAGAGATTTCTCACTGATTACCCAAATTCCCTGCCCTCTTGTTCCTTACTAATGAAGACCTGGTTTTACGGGAGTGGGCATGGGACTGAATTCTGGCCAGTGGGGTATAGGAAGAAGTTGATGGGATGTGCATTTGGAAAAGTTCTGCATAAGGGGGGCTGATTCAGCTTGGAGGCATCTTTTGCTCTCTTCCTCATTTCTCTGGACTGAAATGTGGACAGAATGGCTGGAGCTGAGCAGCCATCTTGTGATCATGAGGGGATTTTGAGGATGAAAGTCACTAACGACATCTTGGAGCTGATCATGCCAGCCCTGGACTGCCTGCCTCCAGAGCTTGTTTTACGTGAAAGAACAACAAACATTTCTATTGTTTAAGGCACTGTATTTGGGTCTCTTACCCAAGCTGAACACAAGTCCTAATGAATATAAGTCTGTGCTTCTGCTGTAGCACCTCTCCTAGCCTGCTTTCCACAGGCACTATTTAGGGATGTTGCTATCTCTGTAGACTATGGGAATCTGAAAGAAGAGAGACCATTTCTTGTTCATCTTTGATTCCCCTGGATTGAGGCTCCCTAATATTTGTTAAATTGAATTTCTGAATCATAACAAATCCCAAGGAATCATCTACATTGGTAACTAACCAGCATTTAATTTTGTCAAAACAAATGATGCTCATATGGCCCGGTGACTGGGCATCTGGATGGCGCTGTGAGAGTGCCCTGTGACAGCTCTGATCATGTAGATGGACCACTCTGTCCTCCACAGAGCTGCTGCCCAAGGAGGAGCCCCTGTGTCCACAGTGTGGCGGGATCTCTGGTCCTGTGTTGGTCTGTTCAGCCAGACTCCCTGTCCAGGATTATAATCACCCACCTTTGAAAGCAAAGGACCTTGGGCATACAACCTGTGAACTGACTGTGCTCAAAGTCAGGGCCACCCCACAGGTGGGTCCAGCTGCTTTGGTGGCTCCATCAGAGAAGTGTGGGAGCCTGAGAGGAGCGTGGCCCAGCCCTGCTCTCCCCAGGACTCCAGTGGCTGGATAATGAAGAGGCGGCTTCCTGCAGCCCCCTGAACCATGAGGCCCCTTCTCAACCAGGGGGAGGTGAGTGAGCTCCCTTTAATCTTGTAATTCTAGGCCTTGGTGGAAGCCACCCAGAGAGCAGAGCCCATGTGGAAACAAAACCTGTGTTCCTAGATGCCCAGTGCCCGGAGGCAGGGCAGGGCCTTTAGCTACTCCATGTTGGCTGTAGGAACCTGGCCACCACGGCCAATGTGCTCCTTTCGCACAGGAAGAAGCAAACCAGGCTCTTGCTTTGATCTTTACAATTTGGCCTGGAAAAAGCCCTGAGTCCTCATTACCCCCAAGGACACCCCCAAGCGTGTGCCTGTTTTCTCATGACAAGAGAGTTCTTCTGGATGGCACAACCAATGGGGTTGTGTATCTCTCTCTCCCCAGCACACAGTGGTGACCGACTCCTGAAAGGTAGGGGACATCCTTCTGCCAGCCTCCCCTGTCTGCCCAGGGGAAACAGGCCGACATGCTCGGCTGTGCCTGGGGCAGCCCCAACTCCTGCTCCTTGCCCCTCCCTCAATTCCCTGTTCTTGCTGGTGATGTAACCTCCACCTGAGCTGTAGGGGATATCTGGTTGGTGGAGATGATATTTTAATGAACACCTATTATGGCCATGTCCCTTTGTATTAT
The DNA here is from genome assembly GCF_000001405.40 of Homo sapiens. Lineage (NCBI taxonomy): Eukaryota > Metazoa > Chordata > Mammalia > Primates > Hominidae > Homo > Homo sapiens. Next base: position 162,002,931 of record NC_000001.11, read on the forward strand.
TTTTAACCCTTACAACAATGGGGAAGGTAGATACCATTATCCACACGTCACAGATGAGGAAACAGAGGCTCAGAGTCGTTCAGCAATTTGGTTGAAAGTCAATCAGTTAAGTGGCTGAGAGGGGCAGTTCTTAAGTCACACAACTCAGGTCAGCCCCAGGCTGCCTGCCCTCAGAGCCTGCCTCTTCCTTCCATTAAGCCTCTGCCTGCAGCTGTGACCACAGGACTAACTTGCCTGCCATCCAAAAACTCGCCTGCCTGCCCTAGTCCTCCGGGTCATGGTCTGGCTCCTACCCAGCAGACTTGGGAGATCCCTCATTTCCCACTGGGAAGAGCTGCTCGGCAGGCTGTCAGGAGACCCTGGCCACAGCCCGTGACTCAGACGCTGAACGGCATCTAATTACCGGACCCTGGTCTCCCTCTGCATTGCAAAAGCAGGTTGTCATTTCTTCGCCGCAAACCCCAGTAACTGTCTTTAATTCCAGGCTCTCAGGGAAGGGTGGGAACTGCAGTGCTTTCTCCCAGCCAAGGAGATGGAGCAAGACCATGGACAGCCCTTGCCAGAGAACATATAATTTCCACGGATCCACTGGCGACAGGCTGCACTGGGCGGCAGCGGCCCCCTCCAAGCTTCAATTTCCTTTCTCTATGAATCCAAGTGTCTGCTGTATGACTTCAGCTCCTGGAGTCGAATGTTCCTACTTCCACCTTGCTCTCTCCACTCTCACCCTGCTCTCTCCACTCCCAACCCAGCCCCCAGAGCCCCATGCCAACCCCTCAGGCAAGGACCATCTTAGAGAGAAGCCCTCAACAAATTAACACTCACCATTCCAAGAAAGCTCTGACATTATCTACAGGAACCCTGAAAATGAACAACTAAACCCAGCGCCCCTTCCACCCGCTTTTTGGCATGGGGTTCACAAAAGAGAGGGATGGCAAGATCCTGCCTTGGGGCCTCCGGCACCACTTCCCCTTTCTGCCCCACCACCCTGGTGGGGAAGGATTGTGCTAACTTCAGCAGCCTGATGAATGGGGACTGGAGGAGGGGAAGGGACTTTGCTGAGCAAGGAGAAAAAGGGTTTGGTGTTTTTTATTTGGTTTGCTGTTTGCCCTCAGGAAATCTGAGCTGGGTTCCCGAACATACCACATAATGTGTCATCAAGACAACAGATGCACTCTTAAGCTCAGCCGACTGGGAAACTGGAAGCCAGAGCAGGAAAGGGGCGCCTGGCTCCACTGGGCAGCTGAGCCACCGATGCCAGGTGGGCTGAAATAAGAGACACTGAGCCCAGGTGTAATGAGTGGGAGCCTTCAAGTTCCCTTCCAGCCCAAATGTCTTCTGGCTCCTTGGTTTATGAGCTCATACCCACTCAGAGATGATCCACCAAGCAGACTAAACACTTGCTCAGTAGCCAGCCTGTCAGGGACACCCAAAAATGAGAATCAAAATAATTTCTGAAGAAATATGATATTTCCAAAAAAGCACCAAAGTAGTCATCATGGGCAAAGCCAGAAAATTATTGGCCTTTCTTATATCTATTTTATGGTTTGGAATTTTTATTTTGAGTTACATATTGGGGAGGGTGGAGGCACCATATTCTTCTCAGGGCTTGTTACCTCAAAAGCCCCAATCTGCCTGCAGTCCTGCCTTTGGAACATGTGTGCCCAAGATCCCCAAACCCAGCTGCTGCCTGCCTGGCACCCTTTGATGAACTGCCCTACCCAAGAGTTTCAAGCCCACACACCCAGACTTCCTGCCTCTCTTATCTCAATTCTTAATGGCCCAGGCAACACAGTCCTGCACAGCAATGCTTCCCAAAAGTTCTTCATGTCACAGCATACAGACAGACCAGCTCAGGGACTCTAGCTGTCCCAGGCCCTGCTCAATCCACACTCAGAACGACTCCCCGAAGCCGAGGGGATCCCTCAATGGCCCAACTGGAACCCACTCCCTGGGCACCAGTGTGCCACAACTCTGCCATCTACCATCAACCCCTGGTAACCAGTTAAAATGAGCAAAGTCTCTCTTAAATGCTGCCATCCCCTGGCTGCCCAGTGACCCCTTTTATAACACTTGATCCAGACCCATCTTGCTAATAATGTGTCTTGCTAATAGGACTCTTCAAGTCCTGCCACCAAAACTTACCTGTTTCCTCTTCCTTTTGGATTATCTCCCAAATTAATGCCTATTTCTTGGACAACAATTCAGTAAATAACCCAATACATTAAATGGTAGCACTTAACCATTAGTACATAAACATAACTTAGTAGTAATTGGAGCCAAAAGAAACAGGCACCAAATGGGGAGGCATTTTTAAGCAAGGAGGTCTTTTGGTATCACTCAAATCACATTAGGCAGCAATCCATTCATGGGTAACTTCGTGCTAGGGACACAACTGGGTAGGAAGAAACAGAGGTTTGAGACCCTCTGCCACCACTTCCCAACTGAGAGAGGGAGACCATGCTCATAGCTGGATCTGTTTCCTTATCTGTAAAATGAGGCTATTGATCTCCGTCTGGCCTGCTTTTCTAGAGCTGTGACGACAGCCACATGGTATAGTTATGAAAATATGTAGTAAATTACAAAGTCCCCTATAAATGAGGAGGGATGGAATATAATTTGTTTCCAAACTGGGGCATTTTTTAGAGTAAAAGAGGGTGCTACTAATAACCATGCCAGGGCCAGGTACAGTGGCCCACGCCTGTCATCCCAGTGATTTGGGAGGCTGACGCAGAAGGATTGCTTGTGGCCAGGAGTTCCAGACCAGCCGCATTTACAGAAAATACATAACAAGACCCTGTATTTACAAAAAATAAAAAAATTTTATTACCAGGCATGGTAGCATGTGCCTGTAGTCCTAGCTAATCAGGAGGCTGAGGCAGGAGGATCACTTGAGCCCAGGAATTTGAGGCTGCAGTGAGCTATGATCACAACACTGCACTCCAGCCTTGGTGGCAGAGCTGGAACCTATCAAAAAAAAAAAAAAAAAAAAAAAAAATCATGCCAGGACAGCAGGAGTAAACCAGGATGGTCCCAGACAAGCCAGCATGCATATCTTCCCTATTTACAAACACAAGAGATGTTCACAAAGGTGGGATATCAGATCTTGAAAAAAATGGGGGCTGGGACTCAGACTCAGATTTCAGTCCTGGCTTCAACACTCACTGATCCTCTCTGGGCTTCAGTGTGAAGTAAAATGGAGTCAACTGCTCATCAAATCTACAGAACCTGCAGAACAATTGTATGGATGAAGCGAGCTCATCTCTGTGAAAGGACTGAAGCCTGAAAAGTTCTATGCAGAGGAGAGATGCTGATATCACACTTCCAGGGCTTGTGATCAGAGGCCCTTGGAGGCTGGGGCTATACCTCTGGGTGGGCGTAGGCTGCTGCTGCATCCCTCTGCAGGGCTGAGCGGATGTCTGGCATGCTATCTAGGATGTTTTCAGAGCAATTTTCTTTGCCTCGCTTATTCATCTCGGTTCGAATTTCTTCCATGTCCTCTTTGATTTGTTCATTTTCCTTGGTGAGGTTTTTAGACACTTCCTGAGAAGGAAAAAAAAAAGATGATCCATTAAAGCACCCTGAAGACAAGCAGGAGGCAGCTAGCAGCCATCTTCGCTCAGAGCACACAGACACAACAGACAGGCTGAGAAATCATCCAACAAGTGATTGGGGCTAGAGAGTGTGCCCAGCCCTGGGCTGAGCACCGGTACCAGGTCTCCTGGCAGTATTTCCAGGGCAGCTCAGCGCTTGGATATCCAACTACAGAAAATACTGCCCAAACTACCATAGCTTTTCTATTAATAACATTGACAAGTCTCTGGGCCACCAGGACACCAGGTTCTTTTTCTGTCCTTTGTATATAGTCCACTCTTATCCAGTGTTGAAGAACATTAAAGAATTCCATTCACTCGCATCCCATACATCTGAACCAGTAGCTCAGTTAATGAAAGAGGGGCTTTCTAAGCAATTTTGGAAGAGGTGGCCAAACAAACAAAACAAACAACAACAACAACAACAAAAAACTACTCTGCCTTTTTAGTGAGCACAAACCATTCCCTGGTACTTTAAAAGCATCATTTACATAGAAAATTGATAGGCTGGCTTCAAACTTTCCTATTTACCCATAAAAACAGTTTCACTAAATGACCCCTCACTTGGCAAATTAGCCATGTTCCAGACCTGGTTCATACCAGAGAAGATCAAGGCTACATTTCATTCAACCAACACTGGTGAGTACCTCTTGAGTGTCTAAGTGTAGTGCTACAGAAAGAAAGGCTGTAAGTATCCTTGGGGTTCTGGATCTGGGTGGGGTGGGAGAGATGGCAACTATAACTGGAGACAGACAAACCATGTCAGGTTCTGTAAATACCAAATGTGAGGTTTCCTGAGTTCAGAGCAGGAGGAAAGTGGAGGCGTCCCAGGTAGCTTCCTAGAGAAGTTGAACACTGAATGGGATTTAAATCAAGGAAAGTTGTCGACAGCCTTAGAGGTGCCCCTTTTCCTCTAGTTATTTTTAAAGAGATTTGACTATATTGAGATCCAACTTTGGCCCTCATTCTAAAGTTTCCATGAGCATCTACATTCTTAAATGTGATGTTCTCCTTTGGGCCCTGTTTATGAGGTTGAGGAAGCAATGATGTAAAATAGAGGATGTGTTTGCTTTCCATCTTTCTTTAACAAACAGACACAGGAAGTGTAAAAGCTGACATTGCCAGGCACAGCTCTGCAGCCTGGTGGGATGCTACTAACATCCTAGAGGGAAGTCCCAGTAGTGCAGAGCCAGAGGAGGTGGGCATATCCAGGCTGTGACACCCAGACACCGCGGCTCCAGAGTCTCCTACAGGGGCTGCCCAGAGAAGCCCCATAGGTGCTTGTTAAATGAACCTGGCTCCCGAACCATCAGCCATGCCATTCTTATGGCATTTCATCACATGCCAGATCCTGAGTGCTGGAAGGGCTCAGTGTGTTCCATGGCACTTAGGCTAAGCCAGCCTCTCTAAATTGCACAGAATTAACTGTGAGAGCTAAGTTCCATGAGAAAGAGATCTTGTTTTAAGAATGCTCAGAATGAGTGATCTTCCCGGGTGCGCAGTCACTCCTAGGTGTTATCTATCAGGCCGTCAAGTGTAATGGGTAAGAGCATGGATTTTGAAGGAAACCGGTTCATCCTCCATGCTGCTATTGCTAGATCTGAGATCTCAGGCACATTACTGAAACACCTCTGCTTCAGGTTCCCATCTGTAAAGTGGGGATAATACTAGCACTTTTCCTATGGGTTGTTAGGAGGATTAAGTGAGTTAATATATATGGATGTGCATGAAACATACCGGACTAAGTGGCTGCTATTTTTCATATAATGTTACAGCTGGAATGGACCCAAGAACTCATGACTAACCTCTCATTTCACAGAGAGGAAACTGAGGCCCAGAGCAAGAATGTGACTTGCTCAAGGTCACTACAAAAAAGTGGCAGAGTGGAACCAGCACCCAGCCTCCTGGCCCTTGCTTCTTCAGCTCACCTGCTGGATCACTAAGAACACCAGGAGAGGATCCCGGCACACAGACAGCTCTCAGCAGCACCAAGCATGTCAAAAAGCCGGAGAATACTTACAGTTTGGGTTCAGGATACATGACAGGATATGCATAGATGCTGAGAAATACAGAAATGTTGGACTCTCATAAATCCTCACTATTCAAAGTGTGGTGCAGAGTTCAGCAGCATCAGCATCACACAGGAGCTTGTTAAAACTGCAGATTCCCAGGCCCACTCAGACCTGCTGAATCAGTATCTGTATTTTAACAAGATCCCCAGATACTCTGTGTACACATTAAAGTTTGAGAAGCACCGCCCTAAGTGGAGAAAGCTTGGGGCACAGCTGCTTGAAAAACGGACAGAAATGTGTGAGAAGGGCTGTTTTATAGGAGCTGAGTTCTTTCTGGGACTGACGGGAAAAGTTCCTGGCCCCTTAGTGGGATTCAAGCATTTCTGTAATCCATCAGCACCTGCTGAGAGCAACACCTGTGGATGCCCCTCCTGTAGCTCTCACAGCCTAAGACAGATCACCAAGCCCAGCAGGTGCAGGGATTCAATGTGTTACCTTTTTATTAAGGCGTTCACGTGCTCAGTGCTGCACTGAGGGTTCAAGCGTGAGCAAGGCCACTGGGATCCTGCCCTGGTGAAGGGCACCCTCCATGAGGGGGAAGTAGGCAATAGACAAAGAAATAGACAAGAAAATATCAACTAGTGAAAAGTGCTCTGCAGAAACTCTGCCAGGGTGATGTGACAGATGCACGCACTGACTCCTCAGCCAGGTCGATAGGCTTCTCTGAGGAGCGGACTGAGGAGTGTCCACACCTGCGGCCCAGCTCTGGCCCTAGGACTCTACTAAAGGTGGTGACACCTCTGGGTGGACTGACTGGCTGGGCCTAAGTATCCTTATTATTTGACGGAAGATCTCACTAGATTCCTAAACACTGTGCATCAGTGGGTGTGGCACACTCACTGTGAGGCAAAGGGTGCCCCCCCAACCCCGGTCTTAGGGTTTCTAGGGCCCTAGGGAGTCCCCCTTCACATTGATTTATAGTCTCCCATCCCCTTTTGGGTGTCAGTGAGGAGCCATTATTCTGCATTTCCACAGATGAGGGTTTTAGGCAAGCCTGCCCCTGAGAACCCAGAGAAGCAGTACAGTTTATTCCCCTCACGGGAATGGCAAAGCCTGCCAGCCGCCTGAATAAACAAGAGGCTGGCGGTGGCATCACCCCATTGGCCTGCAGGGCTCAGCCAGCTGGTGTCCCCCAGGGCAGCAGCCACAGCTGCCCCTCCTTGGCCACCCCCAGTCAGCCACCTCCAACCTGGGGGTGCTGGCCCTCAAGAGCTCCCCACCTCTCCCTGGGACTCTGCGCTTCTCACACCAAAGGCCTTTGGTGAGGCGATTCTCAGGAGATGCAGGGGATGCCACCTGCACAGGGTACCCTCGATTCTGCCCTGGGAAATAGGTGAACCCCATGACCTCATGCCTCAGGCTCTTCCCCCTGGGACAGCTGCAACCATGACATTTCTGGTGTGTGCAACTTGGCTCGTGGGCAGTGCTGGCAATGTGGCGGCAGAGGTGGGAATCGTGCCTATCTGGCAGAAGCAAGTGTACCCATGGCCCCTGCCAAGGATCCTGGCACACTGAAGAAGAGGGAAGGGAAGAGGGAGAAAGAGCAGACAGATAGAGGGCTCAGACAGAAGGCTGGACACAGCCAACTGTGGCAATGAAAGATTTGGGAACGTTGTCATCATGATTCCTTGGGCCAGGCAGAGCCAAGGAACTCAGAGGTGTTCATAGAACAAGTGCCATGTGCAGGAGAGGTATGCAGTTGGGCACTGGAGGGTGCCTGATGGGAACAGGTGTCCACTGGTGCCACACTGCCAGATGGGAACAGGTGTCCACTGCTAACTTCAGCCAGATGCACACACACCAGAGGGAAGAGAACGTGCAAACAAGGCAGGGACCCTTGGCAAAGGGGAACCGGATGCAGGTGGAGTTAGGGGTACAGCCATCAGTCAGCCCTAGTCAGCATGGCTGGTGTTTTGACAAGCCATGTAGGGCCAGCACAACCAGATGTGTAGACCGATGGAATGGGTATGAAGGACACAGACCGTATCCTGACCTTGTCCAGCTCTTAGACACGTGTGCGTGTGCCCGGGTGAGACCGTGTAGTATCTTAAGCCAAAACCTTGGGACCAGGGGAAAGATGACCATGGGGCAGAATTCTGGCAGTTCTCTGTGGTCTCGTTTTTACAAATAGAACCAGGGACAGGGGTGTGGTCGGGGGAGGGTGCTGGCTCTGGAGATCAGGTGTAAACCCACACCACAGTCATGGCCTACTTATATAACCACATAGGGCAAGGGATGAAACCTCTCTAGGCCCCAGGCAGGAAAAGAAGGAATGATGACACCTACCTCACCCAAGCTTGGCACAGAGATGGATAAGGGGCTGCATGTGGTACAGTGCTGGGCAAGGAAATCAGGCTTGAGGCATGTGGGTGAAGCTGGAGTGGGAGGGACCCTTGGGGTCTCCATAGCAGACATGCAGGTGGAAAAGGAAAGGGAAGCCAGGGTTTGGTATGGCTGGCATGGGGAGGAAGGTAAGAACCCAAGGCTGGTGTGCTGTAGAGAGACACACTAGACACCTGTGGGAGTAGACAAAGCCAGACTGCAGGTGAGGCAAACCCTGGCCCCAAGTCACACAGCAGGTGCACACAGCCATATCTAAGGAGGCTGCCTGGGAGGCTGCCTGGTAGGTCCTGTGGGCATCAGGATTCCCTGGCAGATAGCTGGATGCGCACAGGGCTAAGATACAGATGGCAAGCCCAAGGGCAGATGGGACATAGTTTCTCATGGGAGTGACCTGAGCAAGTGTGAGGGTAACTGGACCCAAGGGGGGAGGGCTCGTAGTTCCCATCAGCTCACCGTGCTCAACCTTTGCACCCTCCAGGAGACAGCTACGACCAGATGGCCTGGGACAGCAACCCCAGCTGACAGCTGTCTCCTAGCCCCTGGTAAGAGAGCTGGGGAAGAGAACAGCTGGAAACAGCCGGTGCTCCTGATGGCAGGACAGGCAGGCCATGGCCTAATCCCTCCGACCACAGCTGATGGGAGAGACAGGCAGGCCTGGGTTCAGGGAGCCACCAGCTGCCCCATTGAACATTCATCCAACCAAACAGCTGTGGAGCATCTGTCCCACATCAGGTGCTGGACCAGGGCCTGGGAAACAAAGATGACTTGACCCAGCTTGCCCTTAAGAAGTCCAGGGCCTGGCAGGAAAGTCAAACAAGGCAACAGCAAGAAGACCCAGGCCTCTGGTGATGAATTTCTATATTAGGGTAATCTTACCCCTTAAAATAGAGCCACTCGAGCCATGCACACTTGCACATCCTGGCAGCTCTAAACTGTTCCTAGGCCGACGGATGGAGGGCTGACACTCGCACTGTAAGTCTCTTCAGCCAAGAAGAAAACTTTATATCCCACAATTGCAAATTAGATTTGAAGTATATACAACCCTGGGAGAGGTAATATATTGGCTTTAACTCATATTAAGATGTAAATTGAATTAAATAGTGTTAGGCTGAAATATATTTTAGAAACACTAACTTCGACCCTCTGCCTTTTCACGTATAAGGACACTGAAGTCAGGCCGGGTAAGCAGTGCCCCTCTCCAAGCCTTCACTTGAGGAAGAAGAGTGAAATGACTTACAGCAAACCCCTCGGAAAGAGCAGATTTGATCAGGAGAGTGAGCCCTGGGGGTGTCTCGACAGGGGTGGAGGGTGGAAGGAAAGGTAGGGCTTGGAAAGAGACAGCTCCCCCAACTCACAGCCAAGTCTGCACAGATGAAAATTACGTTTTCCTATTAGCTGGTGAAACGATATATCCCCCAGGGTCAGGAATGCTTCTTTGATCATGCCTTTCAGTCCAGAAACACAAAAGCCACCAAAGCTTTAGGTGTGGGGGAGAAGCCCTCAGCAATGCCTGTGCCAGTACATTCTGGGGAGCGGACCAGTTCTGGGTCTGGTAAATCCATCGTGGACTTAAATCTTCCTCGGAGGCAACATTATCAGGAGAAAAGTCTTCAGCTGGGACACAAGGTTCCCTCGTGCCATCTATGCTCATGGGTGTGGTTTGCAAATTCCAGCAGGTAGATTCGTGAAAAAGGAAAGAGATACACACACCAGAAGGGACAAAGCAGAAACCACGCTATGGAAAGCTTGCAGGCATGCATCTATTTTAAGAGCATGGGCTATGCACCCACACATATACAAAGGCACATGTGTACATAAGCATTTCAAGCACTTATAAACACTTACAGGTATCCTGCAGCAAGGTGGGGGTGGGACATTTCTTCATAAAATTTGCAAATTTTACAGAAATGACTGAAACCAACTAAAGCCTTGATGCTAGAAGATTATTATAATGATCTGTCCCTCTGTTTGTCTTTTTCTCCACTTTAGTAATAAATCTGCCCCTGGAAGCAGTATGTGCTGCTAGGGGTTGAACACCATGCCTCTAGTCCTGCTGCCTTCAGAATCCACCTTTAGGCCTGGCAGCCTACAAGTCTATGGGTCTCTGAGTGCACTCAGAGCCCGGATGAAGTCTTTTCTTGAGCTGAGTGAGTGCCACTGCCAGCTCTGTATGCAATGAACAGGGCTTGCCTTTGCCTTTGGAAGTTACAGGTTTTCTTTCTAGACTTTTAACTCCTATCTCTTCAGATACTTATGTTCTGTGCCCACCCACCCCTCAACTCCAACATGTACCTACACTTCCTGCATGCCCTTCCCCTTCCCAGCCACTCACAGGAAGGAGAGGTCAGCTGGGGTCTATGTTGGACTGCTGACCACCTTGAGTGTTTCTTATTCCTGGAGCAGTTTTAAAACTGGTTTATGAGGTTTCAGACCTCCCCCAGTGAACTGGAAAGATATTTTTGGAGTTAAGTTTCTAGAACACAGTGAAATGACCCTACTAAGTTATAGCCTCCAAATTGACAAAAACTAGAAAGTCTGACAATACCAAGTGTTGGTGAGGATGTGTGCAGAACTTTTATACCCTGCTGGAGGCAATGTAAACTTATACTACCACTTTGGAAAACAGTTTGGCAATATCTCCTGAAGTTGAAGATAAGCATAACTAATGCTTATCTTCTAGTTCCACTTATCTAATGTACCATAGAGAAATGCAGGCACACATGCACCAGGGTACATGCACAGGGATGTTCATGTATAGGAATGTCCATAGGGCTATTCTGATTTACGCATTCAGAAACTGGAAACAATCCACATACCCATCATCAGGAGAACAGATAAATTGTAGTATATTCATACAATAGAATACTACACAGCAATAAAAATGAATGAACCACAAGACACAAAAACAACATAGGTAAATATTAAAAATATAAAGTTGAGTGAAAAAAGCCCAACACACACACACACACACACACACACACACACACACACACACACACACTTCTGTAGGATTCTATGTATTTAACATTCAAAAAAGGCAAAACTATTACATTTAGGGATGCGTCCTTAAACGATGAAACTATAAAGAAAAACAAGGAAAATGATTAACATAAAAGTAAGGATAAAGGTTCCCCTGAGGGAAGGGTATGAGTAGGAGAGAGCATATGGGGGCCTTTTGGGGTATTAAAATTGGTCTGTTTCTTGAGCTGGTTGGTGGTTACACAGGCATTTTGTTCATGGTAATTTGTTAAACTATATTCATTGTTTATACACTTTTCTATGCATGTGTCGTTTTTCAGTATTTAAAACAAAAGCTTACCCAAAATCATTCCACTAAGCAGAGCTGCTCCCAGAGCTGATTTTACCAAAAGGTAAACTCAAAATAGTTCAGATTCCATTTCTCTCTCCTTCCTTCCTCTTTCATCTGCAAATGAAGTTTCCATTCCTACCTCCTCCTATATACCCAAGGTGGAACTGTGGCTATATCCCATAAATGTGTGCTTGCTTATACTGCCAACCATTGATCTTACTCTGGGCAAAATGCCTCTCCAATCTGACCCCTTTTTTGTCTTGTCTGACCTCCAAAGAGCTCCCATTGGGATTCAAGAATATTCAAGGACCAGGAGCAGAATTTAACTTCCATTCCTCCTGCAGAACCGAGCTGGAGAGGGAGTGTTTTTTCAATTTACCCAACATTCTGCCTTTTCAATTACTGCAGACTCCAGACAGTCAGCTGGCATGAGCCTTGAGACAAACTCAAACAAATACAGTGCTCCACTATTTGGGCACAGGGGCCCAGACCCATCTGAAGACTACTGTCACACTTCAGCACCCTATCACCTTAGGCTGTCTGGTTTGGGGAAACCTCCTTCCCGAACTCAACTTTAATCCTATTTAATGGGTCTATGGGATAGAGTCACAGTTCTGCCTAGAAATTCCCCTGGAAGAGCTATTGTTTGAAGTTCCTGTTAAGAAAAACTGATGCTTGCAGGACAGATGGCAATGATTTGAAGAAACTTACGGGGTTGATTAGAAAGAGCCCTGGACCAGGAACCAGAAGGCCCTGTACTTCCTAGCACTGTGATCTTGGTCAAGTCATCTAATTTCCTTGGCTCTCACATTACCCAGGAACAAATGGGCTAAATGTATACAGAATGCTTTACAAAACGTAATATGCTATACAAATGTAAGGGATTATTATTATTAAGGTCCAATCTTTGCTACTAAACATATCACAGCTTTGGCAAGCAGATACTCTCATTGATGTAACTAAAACTGTTTTTTGCAAAAACGAGGTTACTGTGTGACTGTATAGACGATACCACCCTGCTGGGGCACTGGTATTGCATCAAATTCACCCATACTCCCTCCTGAGCAGGGAGGGCTCAGCTGCTAGACAAGGCTGTAACAAGACTGTGGTCCTTGGACAAGCCCAGCCCACTGGCCTTCTCAGAGGCTGAGTACCTGACCTTGGCCTCCAGAGCACTGTACTCTCCCTCCAGATCTATCTTTCTCAAGCTGTGTTCTCCAGGCAGAATGGCAACTGTTTGGCTGCCAAGGTCAGGTAAAAGCAGAAGAGGTTGCTGTCGCTCCTGTTCCTATAGAAGAGCAATCCTTTTCTTAAAGGGGCATTGCACATTTGGATGGTTCTGGGGGCCTAGGAAAACAGAGGCACTTCCCAATATTGGACCTTGGTTTAATTCCTTTTGAATGTATCTGAAAGAACCAGAAAGTGGTTTTAACTAGGAGGAAGAGTCCGAAGCCTGCATGAAGTCCATTAGTAGTGGGATGGTGCTGACCATCCACAATGTCATCATTTTGGCTGTTAACATTGAGGAAGGAGAGACTCAAGATGCCCAGGGTCCTAGTTCTTTGAGAGAACCCCTTGAAGAGAGTGGCAGACAGCGAGGAGGAGGCTGATGCGGTTCTGTTGGCCACTCTGATCTGTGTACAAATCTCAGGATCCAAAACCCTGACCCCTCTCATCAGACCTCATATCTGATGTGATTAAGGACCTACCAACCCTCCCAGAGCCAACAGCCTTATTCAGAAAACATCTCATCATAGCATTGGAGGAGCTAAGCCCAAGGGCGGGTGGAAAAGGAACTAGTGTTCACTTTCCGGGAAAATTTTAAGGGGTGGAAGGAGTGTGTTGAAACTAATCCTTGTAACTTCAGTGTTTCATCATCTTTGTGCCAGCTATCCTGGCAAAGTAATGTAGGAATGTTTGTCCTCAATCTCTCCATGGTCAGAGCCTTGTTTAATTTAACCATTTCAAAGCATTTTCATACTGATTAGCATACTTTGTATCCTCTCAGCAATCATATGGAGTAGGCAGGGTACTATTCTCACTGTCCAGATGGAGAAGGTAGGACATGGCTGCTTGGCAGCACAAACAAAGAGTAAGGAACTCATTCTGTCCTGACTCCAAGCCTGCTGCTCTTTCTGCCACAAACCGCTACATCTACTAATCATAGATCGAAGAACCTTAGCTCTTTCATGATAGCCCCCCAAAAGTCCACTTTTTCATAAGGAATATTGATATGTTTACAGTCATTGTGTTATTAAATTTGCCACTTACAGTAATGCTGTAAACATTAAAGAAATAGATTTCCACTCAGAGCAGCAGCTCTTTGAGTCACTGTTTCAAGTTATCAGTCCAAGAACCAGGTGCGAGTCAATGAAACATATCCATAAAGTTCCTTACCAATAAGATTGAATAATGATCGTTAGTTACTTTTTGGGTGACTACATGATTTCTCATCTATATGTTAAGGCATCACAGCAACAAGCACTGTCAACATTATTACAGTATCTGTAACAACTCCCAGCTCCCTTCACACACCACTAGATGAAAACCACAGCACCACCTGTACCACTCCCAGAGCCCAGTCAGAATAGTATGGTGTCTTTGTCTATGAAAATTGCATGACTCGTCCATTCATTCTGGGCATGACCAGCCTGAATGCTGAGTAGGGAACATTACTTATTAGTAATCATTTTTATGTCTTCTTCCTCTAAAATGAATTTCAGATGGATTCACACACATAAATACAGGGGTATGCACCAGAACAGTTAAGAGAAATTAGGAACCATATACAAAGGAAGGAGATGACTCCACCTTAAAACTGGAGGTAAGATGCTTATTGTACCTTTACATTTCATTGAGTTCTGAGGTCCCTGGAAGTCAAGGTAAAAATGGAAAGACATTGGTTATATGATTAAGGGGATTTTATGAAAAAAAGAAGGTACAGTATTGGCATTTCTACTTAACTGATTTTCTTTGTCACCAACAATTTGGCATAATTTTGAATGAATCTTTTATGTATATTTTCCCTTTCATAGAATAGGATGGGTTAAGTCTAGTCAGCACATGTGCTAGCTGAAAATTTACTGTGGGACGTTTGATATGCTTTTGGGCTCAATCAAGAAAAAGATATAGAAACCAGAATCTTCCTTACCTCCTCCAGTTTATCCACTCGCCCCACCAGTTTGGTGGTGACTGAATGTAGCTTCAGGAGATCCAGGCCATAGAACGCTCCTTCCAACATGTCTATGATTGTGGAGAGCTATGAAACAAGGCAAGGGGTTAGTCCAGGGCTGGGGCACACAGACACAGGGCAGAGTTTCCTTTCAGATCTGCATACTGGGGGCTCGACAGGAAAGCCACTAGCCAGGAATTGAGAGGTTGCCGTGAGAAACACATTTGTGTAGACAGGGATGTAGGCAAGCACAATGGTGTATGTGCATTCTGCCTTCCGAAATGTTTGGGTAAGAAAATGGGAGAGTCCTACAAGAACAAGTAAACCTGAGGTCTAGACCTCTTCACAAACTGTTTATACCTCTTTTATGAAATCTGTCAGTTGCATTGACATCTGTCTTTCCTACTAGACTGTGAGCTCCTTGAAAGTAGTGTCTCAATAGCAAAGACATGGAATCAGCCTAAATGCACATCAATGACAGGCTGGGTAAAGAAAATGCAGTATGTATATACCATGGAATACTATGCAGCCATGAAAAAAATGAGATCATGTCTTTTATGGGAACATGGATGGAGCTGGAGGCCATTATCCTTAGCAAACTAACACAGGAACAGAAAACCAAATACCACATGTTCTCACTTATAGGTGGGAGCTAAACAATGAGAACTCAAAGACACAAAGAAGGGAATAACAGATGCTAAGGGCTGCCTGATGGTGGAGGGTAGGAAGAGGGAGAGGAGCAGAAAAAATAACTATTAGGTACTAGGCTTAGTAGCTGGGTGACAAAATAATCTGTACAACAAACTCCCATGACGTGAGTTTACCTCTATAACAAACCTGCACATGTACCCCTGAACCTAAAATACAAGTTAAAAAAAGAAAACAAGCAAGCAGTGTCTCTGTATCCTTCATCTCTGTTTCCCCAAGATAGCTGGCTCATAACAGGTATTTTTATTCTATAAATACTCAACAAGGTGGCTCTACATGTCAATACCCTGAGGATGTGCTTCTGAAACACTCAATTTCATTGTCTACTAAAGGCTCTGAAAGACATCGACAGGTTCTCCTTAGCACAAAGTGCTAAACTGACCCTGGGCTAAAAGAGGACTCAGCGTCCCATCTTTGAGACTCTTGCTCTATGGCAAGCTGCCACAGTGCACCCAGCCTTCTCAGTTTTTATCAATACCATCCTGCCTGCCAGTACAGAGGCCCTGGCAGGAAGGTGGCCGAGGCTCTGGCGGCACTGAGGGCATGCAGACTGCAGGGTAAGAGGGAAGATGATGAGGGCCAGTTCTTGGAAGTTTACTGGGCCACACTTTTGCAATCTACACTCCCCATTTATCTCAGAGCCTAGCTTCTACATGAAGAAGTCCAAGTATGAAATACTCATGTTTAGAAGGTAAACTCCTTTCTCCCTACCAGAGGAAGAGAGCTGAATCCTGGATAGAAGCCATAAAAAGATAGCTGGCTCTTAGTATGTACTGTGATAATTTCCTGATTTCTAATAGACATTTTGCCTTATAGTGTTCCAGAATTCCCCCAGAGTCTAATCCTACAACTGAGTGAGTGTGGCACTTGGTTCAGAAAGTTGTTCCATGGCAGAGCTGCGGCTCTGGCCAAATCCTGAGATACTCCTGATATTGGTAAACACTACTCTGCTGAAAGAGACACTAATGATTACTAGTCACTGAGTGAGTGCCAGATGCCAGCAGCGCTTTACATAGTCATCCATTCATTCATTTACATGGTCATGCCTAGCTGAATGTCTGGTATCGTGCCAAGTACCTCCTAGTTGTTATCTCATTACTCCACCAAGTAGATGTTATTATTACCACATGTTATTCAAGGAGCTGGAAGGCAGACAAGTTAAATAACTTAAGTGGGATCACACTGCTATGATTTGAACCCAAGTCTGTCTGACTCCAAAACCCAGCTTGTTCCACTACCCCACGCTGCAAGGGAAGAGGGGGTGCAGGATCAGAAGCCCTCAGCCAACCCATGGGGCTGCCTAAGTGGGGCCTGAGCTTCCCTACCCTAAGGACCATTATAGGATCACAGTTTGATGACCCAATCTAGAGCAGGCCCCCGGCCTCTCCTTCCCTAGGCCAACCCAGCCCTTGTGCTAAGGGCCAAAGCCTTACTCGCATTTTTCTTTTGCCTCTTTGGGGTGTGTGCTAGGCTGATAGTAAATTGTGGCAGCAATTTTCTTGAAGAACGCTGAGTTCTTTTGGCCAGCTGGGCCTGGCAGCTGCTCCCAGGCCCAGCCTCTCTGGCTCCATAAGGAGGGGTAGGCACACTTTGCTTTAAGCATCTCCCTTATACACCAGAGCTGAAAAGGACAAGTTTGCTAGGACATCAACCTTGATCCACACACAGCACTCTAGGGAACAGGCCTGACCTTCTTCAAAGGGCTTAGAATCTTCAACCATGGCCTTACCAGACTTGTGGATCTCAAAAGTGCCCTCTCGTCCAAGGCATTGCCCCATACCAGGTCCTACCTTCAAGTCCTGGCTGTCTGCCTCCCGCAGCTTCTGGAGCCTGAAGTCTCCCTCGCAGGGATTGAGGGCCGATGGGGGTGCTACACAGGCACACTTGCACGACGAGCCTGAGGTGATGGTTTCCACGGTATAGAAGTCTTCCTTCCTGGAGGCCCCCGCATTGATCCTCTGGCAGGCATCCCGGCCCAGGGGTCTCACCACACACTTGCACTGACAGTCCGAGCCCTCAGACATAGCCTTGACCTTGTCATAGTCCCCCAGCAACTAGACACACAGAAAACGGGTTAGGGGCATGCAAACACAGGTGTCAGTCAGCCTCCAGAAGGAGGCTCTCCATTTACTTAGTCAAATGTCCTGCACTAGTCAGAGACCTCAGAAAACTCTGAACCACAGAGCCAATAGGTCACTGAGATGCAGTTTGCTGACTCTGACATTTCCTTGAAGGCATTCAGAGTTCAGCTCTCTTCGTTTGTCTTGGAAAGCTGTGCCTTTCTCATGGGGCCTTAGCCTTTCATTATTTAAAGGAAAAACCAGATGAGCCAAGTCATTTGTCCAATAGCCTTTGCCTTCTGCTACAATCCAGGTTTAGGCTTTCTTTTCTTTCTTTCTTTTTCTTTTTTTTTTTTGAGACAGAGTCTCACTCTGTTGCCCAGACTGGAGTGCAGTGGCATGATCTCAGCTCACTGCAACCTCCACCTCCCAGGTTCAAGTGATTCTCCTGCCTCAGCCTTCCAAGTAGCTGGGATTATAGGCACATGCTACCATGCCCAGCTAATTTTGTATT
This sequence comes from Homo sapiens, assembly GCF_000001405.40. Taxonomy (NCBI): domain Eukaryota; kingdom Metazoa; phylum Chordata; class Mammalia; order Primates; family Hominidae; genus Homo; species Homo sapiens. The sequence continues at coordinate 162,020,703 of NC_000001.11, forward strand.
TTCAGTTTCACCATGTTTGCCAGGCTGGTCTTGAACTCCTGACCCTAAGTGATCCACCTGCCCCGGCCTCCCAAAGTGCTGGGATTACAGGCGTGAGACACCGCACCCAATCAGAATCCAGGTTTAAGTGTAAAAAGGAAAAGAAGAAATTGGAGAGATTGAAAAGTTGGTATTCAAGTTTGAAGACTACTGGCATCTCTCATTCATTTATTCAACATTTATGGAGTGCCTACTAAGGACTGTGAGGTGCTGTGAAGGATAAAGAGATGGGCCAGATGGAGAGCCTGCTCTCAAGAAGCCTACAGTGCAGGAGGCATAGAAATAGCAGTCACACAGAGTACAGAGTGATAAGTGCCCCCGAAGAGGCAGAGGGAAAGGGCAGTGGGAGCTAAGAGCGGCTCCAACTGGAAGCCAGGGAAGACTTCTTCGAGGAGTGGCATTTAATCTGGGCCTTGAAGGATGGGTTAGATGTGGAGAAAGGGAATTGAGAGGAAAGAGGCAGGTCCAGAAGTTAGTAAGGTTTACTCAGTCTAAGAGTTCATGCTTCTGAACCTAAACCCCAGGCCAAACCCAGGAAAGCAAACTGGCAGCACTTGCTGCTTTTGCAATGCTAAACATTTCCTTCTGGGCACTTGCCCCTGCCAGCCTCCCCAGGCAGGAAAACACGCGACAGTAGGCTTTCTGGAGCCCCAACTCTGGGCGCTTGCTGGGAAAAGGCTCTTCTCTCCCAATCCTCTCCAAAAGGCCCTACATCCCCAAAGCCAGGGCTCCCTTCCTAGGCAGGCAGAAGGGTTCCCTTCATTTGATTAATGATTTCAGTGGGCAAGCATTGAGCTTGTTTGAGTAGAAATGTTCCTTGGGATGCTGTCTGGGGGAAGAAGACTTGTAATGTTTTCCTTGCAAAGATTGGGTTTCTTCTAATACTAATATTTGCTTTAGGGCTGTTGTCAAACACAGAATGGATCAGTGGAAGAAGGTGGTGTAGTTAAGGGTGACTTAAGCGGCTGTTCTTTACGGGCTGATAGTAAATTGTGGCTGTCTGCTCTCTGAAACTCTGCCTGGATTCCTACATAACCCTGCTCTGAGAACCCTGGGTGGATTCCTTCCTTACAGGAGGCTCGGGTTTCAGGAAAGTTTTTGTTGATAGTGTTCCAGAGCCCCAGTGTGAGAGATTTTTATGTCTTTTCGATTTAGGGGTCAGTGGGAGGTAATGGGGGGGCAGAGGGCATACATTAGCATCATTATTAAAGGAAGAGTGAGGAGGCTAGTGTTTGATAAATCCCAAAGTGCAGCTGATTATTCTCTCTACAGGAAGGAGACAAGGCCCAGTCCTAGGGCTTGGTGGAGGTGAAGGTACAGGCAGCCCTGGAGGATCCTTTTTCAGACATCCCCCATTCTGAGGATTCTGGTGACACCCACCACACGTCATCATGCCGGCTCTGGAGAGCACAAAATAAACACTCCAGAGAGAACTACCCCTTACAGACATGAGATCTGGGCTGAAGACTGTCAGACGCCCTGGCTCTACCCATGTATCTCTTCTTTTTTTTTTTTTTTTTTTTTTTTGAGACGGAGTCTCACTCTGTCACTCAGGATGGAGTGCAGTGGCGCGATCTCCGCTTACTGCAACCTCCACCTCCCGGGTTCAAGCGATTCTCCTGCCTCAGCCTCCTGAGTAGCTGGGACTACAGGTGCCTGCCACCACGCCTGGCTAATTTTGGTATTTTTAGTAGAGATGGGGTTTCATCATATTGGCCAGGCTGCTCTTGAACTCCTGACCTCGTGATCTGCCCGCCTCGGCCTCCCAAAGTGCTGGGATTACAGGCGTGAGCCACCGCGCCCGGCCTACCCATGTATCTCTTATGGTCTTTATCTATAAATGGGTATTAGGGTGTTTTGAAGATTGAGTCAGAAAAAACAAGTTTAAGTACTTGGTAAACGGACACTTTACGAAGCCCATCACTATCATGGGTTACTCGGGCCCCCACTGACAGTCTGCCCTAGCTGCCTGCATCTGCATTCCCACTCTCCCCTCCCAGTACACTCCGTCATGTTCTCAGTCTCTCTGTTTGGGGGTCACCTCACATTCATCACACATGCTTCTGTTCTGACTTCACCCCATGCTCCCGCCTGGTGTCCCACCCTCTGCCATAAAGTATCTCCCGATGGGATATGCCATCTGCCTCCTGGTCAACATATCCGGCTGTTTTCACATTCCAATTCTGACAGACAGCCACATAGACAAGAGATACTTTTTACAACCCTGAAACCAAAAACAACTTTGTTTTCTTTCTTCTCAAGAAGTCGAGCGGCATCTTCCCTTCCTTCACCTCTCCTTTCTCCTGATTTGATGACCTTTAAGCACCCTATGATTTTGCGAGGAGAACCTATATCCTTCCATTAAGAAAATATTCCGATACATGAAAAATCAAAAGCCCTTTCCATTGGTAATGGAAGGAAAAACAGCTGCCCTCAAACACTTCAGCAAGGACCAGCTTCTGGCTCTCACCACCATCCAGGGCAAGAAGGGCGGTCGTGGCACTCTGCATCCTACCTGAGATAAAACGTTCTCCTGGTTGTCCGCCTCGTTTTGCAGAGTCTCGTCCTCCGCAGGCGCCACTGTCTGCGCATCTGGGGGCTCGCTTGTCCCTGTGAGGACAATGCTGGACACCCAGGCCGGAACCACAATCAGAGCGAAGTAGAGAACTAGCAGCCGAGGCTTGGCCATGAGGGGCGCGATAAGAGTGTCCTCAGCCCCTTCAGAGAATGGCTGGGGCGGGGGGTCTCGGCAAGGACTTCTGCGAGAGGGTGTCCTCGCTAGAGCCCGAAAGTGGCTGCTGAGAGCACCTTCTAAAGCTGGGTGCGGCTGAGCGGGACGGGAGGGTGCGCCCCAGAGACTCTGGGCATCTCCTTCCCGACGCGAGCAGCCCTCGACTGTGCAGCCCCAGTGGAGAGCCGGACGCAAGGAAGAGGGGATGACGGAGAAGGTGGAGGCGGGCACGGGCTAGCTGAGCGAGTCGCCCGCAGGAGGGCTCAGGTGGCTGGAAGGCGTTCGGACAGACGCCCGCGGTGCGCGCCGGGACGGGCGGCGGGGAGCCTCGGGACGCACGGGGACCGGACACGGGGAGGGAAGAGGCGGTGGCGGCGCGGGCTGCTGGGCGAGGGCTGCTGGGCTAGGGAGCCGCGGAGAGCTCGCGCGGAAGGAGGGCGGAGCCTCTATTGTGCCGGGGCGGCGGAGATGCAGCCAGTGACCGCGCGGAGGAGGAGGACCTGGAAGCGCACAGGGCTCGGGCGGAGGGGTACCCGGCGGACCCCGTCCCCGCTGGGACTCAGCTGCCGCGCGCCGGCTGAGGGTGACGTTGGAAGGGCTTTACTTTCTTCTCATCTGATCGCAAGTGAGTGAAGAGAAGTTACTCCGAGCGGCGTCCCTGAAGTTTTGGGGTTCGACCATTCTTGGCGAGAAGAGCGACTTTCCATCGCAGGCACCCAGCGCTCGCTCCAAGGCTGAGCTAGTTAGGGATCTGCGGCATCGTCCTTTAGCACACCTGGGGCAGGGGAGAAGGCGCGTTTGTTCCCAGGCGTTTCTTTTCCCTGACTTAACTCTGGGCGAGTTCTCGGGCAGCTTTGAACTTAGCGCCGTTGGTAGCTGCTTGCCTGCCACGGCTTTAGAACCTAGTAATACCTCCACCCAGAGGAAAATCATTGAATTCCTTCCTAGAGTGTGTCCTGAGTTGTGTAAACGTTGAAAGTTAGGGGAATGACTGTACATCTCCGACACTCTCCGCGAGTCCCCATGGGGAAAGCTACTGCCTGATAAATGATTACCAAAGGGAACAGCTCTTCCTGTCTTCCTGGTTTGGGACAAATCTCCGGGTCTCTGTTACCAGATTATCTCTAAGAGGGAGTCCACTTTCAATAGTGTGCAATTATGTTACTATGTCCCTCAATTACTGAGGACAACCTTTTATAAACCTACAGTGAAGATTACCAATATGTGAATTTAAGGAAGGGCACTGTGCCATCCTGGACAACTGTCACTCGGAATATTGAACAGAGCCAGGCCCCTTCAAAGGATATTATGCACCCTTGGGAAATTCAAACACCTTGCTTCTTATGCTGAGGAATAAGGGTTGTAATAAACTAAGGAAACTAGCGCATATAAGTAATAGTTGACATAAGTATAATAATAACCCTTATTAGTATATTTTAATCTTCAAAAAATTCAGTTTATGGACAAAAATTCAATGCTCTGGGTGTCTAGGTTTGTGGGGACATCATGCACACACCCTCCTCTGTGTAAGCTATCAAATCTTTTCTGAAACTATATGGGGGTAAACATTGATAAAATGTGGTGTATTTGATTGTTTGTTTGAGACAGAGTCTTGCTCTGCCACCCAGGCTGGAGTGCAGTGGCGGGATGATCTTGGCTCACTGCAACCTCCGCCTCCTGGGTTCAAGTGATTCTCGTGCCTCGACCTTCAGAGTACCTGGGATTACAGGCGCACGCCACCATGCCCGTTTAATTTTTTGTATTTTTACTAGAGTTGGGGTTTCGCCGTGTTGCCAGGCTGGTCTCGACCTCCTGGCCTCAAGCCATCCATCCGCCTTGCCCTCCCAAAGCACTGGGATTACAGGGGTGAGCCACTGTGCCCCACCGATAAAGTGTAGTTTTAAAATTCAGTTAAGGGGCGGAGTGTGGTGGCTCACCCCTGTAATCTCTACTGAAAATACAAAAATTAGCCTAGCCTGGTGGCATGCACCTGTAATCCCAGCTACTCTAGAGGCTGAGGCAGAAGAATCGCTTGAACCCTGGAGGCAGAGGTTACAGTGAGCCGAGATCCGCCACTGCACTATAGCCTGGGCTACAGAGCAATACTTGGTCTCAAAAAAAAAAAAAAAATCAATTACAGTAAGCATTGAATGTTGATTAAGTGCAAGACAACAAGCTAGGTTGCTAGACATTTAATGGGAAGATGAGATAGTCCACATCTTACAAAGTGGGCGTGGGAGTCAGGAGGTAAGCAGAACAAGCACTGAAATTGTGAGGCAGAGTAAGAACATATCTCATGGGGTTTAAATAAGGAATAGGTCACTTCTAGTGGAAAGGTCAGTGTGGATTTCATGAAAGCATGATACTGAAGATGACTGGGATGATGGGAGGTTTCAACAAAACAGTGGATAAGGCAACATGATGGGAGGGGGGGCCATGGCAGGGGAGAGAAAGAGAGCATTCTGGGCAAAGACATAATCCTGAATGTGCATATTCATATTTCAGATGGCTGCTCACTTCTCAGGGCAGCCTTCCTTGACTCCACCACCAGCATAATTTCTCTATTAAATGCTCCCATAATACCATGTACCTCTTTTTCATAGAAGCAGGAGAGATGGATATTTATATTCCTCCTTTGTGGGTTGTTTTGGGGGTGCCTGTCTTCCCCACCAGACTATAAATTCAAGAGGGCAAGGACCTTGTTAGTTTTGCTCACCATTACATCTTCAGAGTTTAACCAGTGCCTAGAACAAAGTGGACACTAAATAAATATTGGTTGAATGAATGGAAATTACGAATTGTCCAACTGGGTGTAGGCTCAGTTACCTTTATAAATACCATCTCTGTATCCATTAGGGTGCATTTGACTGCAAGTGATAGAAAATCCTTCTAGGAATGTCTCAGTCAAATATACATTTATTATCCCACTCTAAGAAGACAAGCTTGGCTGTTTAAAATTTAATTCAGCAACTCAGTGATGTCAGCGAGGACCCAAGCTCTTTCCATTTTCCACTCCATTATTCTTACAGCATTGGCTTTTTGACCTAGTCATAATTGATTTAAGCAAGTCCCAGCTACCCCTGTGCCAGACATTCAATTTCCCAGTCTCCTTTACAGCTAGGGGTAACCACCCGGACAAGATATTTTGCTTCCTGATAAAAGAAACAAATAGGAGAGAGGACCTTTCTGGTGCTACTCTTCCCTCACTTCTTGTCTTTGATTGTGTCTTTGACCACAGTCAAAGTGTTATAGGACCAACAGGTTCTTATGCCCGCTGTGCAGTAACAGACCAATTACACTATGTCAGCAGGGTTTGCAGCAGAGAAAGAATTTGATGATTGCAGGGCACCACGTCAGGAGATGGGAGGAGACCCTTGAATCCATCTCTCCAAGGAGCTCTGGGCTGGCGTTTTAATTTAAGGGGATTGTGGAGAGTGAGTGGCTAAAAAATTGAGGTTATTAATTGGTTGGGCCAAGACGATGGAACAAAGTTCTATCATCAGGATGTGGAAACTGCCTTCTTTGGTGAGTCAGGATCTCATGGGGTCCTTCAAACTAGCTGAGTCAGTAGCTTCATCAGTATGCAGGACCCAAAAGAGTATCTCAAAGGGAAAACATAATGTTTCATAATGTTCAAGTTGTTTTCTATAGAACAGTTAAGGGGCTTTATAATCTTTTAACAGGATCTATGTGATTCTGAGGCAATAGGCACAGAGTAACTATGAGGAAACAGGTCAGAGAGCAAGTAGACCTCACGATTACTGCTGAATGTGCTGTGAACTTGGTTTATTTTCATTTCTTCCCTTTCCTTCTTCCCTGGTTAATTTTATAAAGTTTATAGGGGCTGTTTCAAAAGTGCCAGGAGCTGTGGCAGCCATCTTATGACCATGAGTCCTTTCTCTTATCTAACTAAAATATATTTCCTTTAGGGTCTACTTTTAAAGTCACCTTTTAATGTCCAGTCCTACAGTCCTACACAGAATATGTCTAAGGACTTTCTCACGGAGAGTTTCATTCCTTTCACTTAAAGATAAATAGTTAAGTACTGGCCGGGCATGGTGGCTCACGCCTGCAATCCCAACACTTTGGGAGGCCGAGGCAAGTGGATTACTTGAGGTCAGGAGTTCAAGACTAGCCTGGCCAACATGGCAAAACCCTGTCTCTGTTAAAAATACAAAAATTAGCTGGGCCTGGTGGCACACGCCTGTAATCCCAGTTACTTGGAAAGATAAGGCAGAAGAATCACTTGAACCGGGGAGGCAGAGGTTGCAGTGAGCCGAGATCACACCAATGCACTCCAGCCTGGGCAACAGAGAAAGACTCTGTCAAAAAAAAAAAAAAAAAAAAAAAGGTTAAGTACCTTCTAAATATCCTCTTTCTCAACATCACTAGCCCACTTTCTTCATCTTTTATCTCCATTATATTCAACTGTTTCTCAAACCACATGGCCTTCCAAACTCTTCATTATTTTGGTTATTTTCTCTCTAGAAAGACTCCAGTTTGAGTAGATATTAGAACCTATTGAAACAATTTGTTCTTTTTTTTTCTGGGCACTGTGCTTTTATTAATGCAGCCTAAGATTACCTTAGTTTTGGCAGCCAGATTGCACCAACGACTCACACTGATTTATCTTTTAAGTGTAGTTTTTAAATTTATTTTTGTGTGAATTTTTTACTGGTTTCCTCCATTCTGTGCTTTCCAGCTATGTTCTCTCTTTTTTTTTAATCCAAGTATAGGTGTTTACATTTTTACTGTAACAGTGTGATGATTTTGGTCCATTTTTTCATCCTGTTGAAATATTGCTATTTTTGCTTTTGTCCTGGTTTTGCATAATTTCCAAATTCACTAAGCATAGTTTCTGTCTTAGTTCAAATGATTAATTTTAAAAAGCCATCTTCCTTCAGATAGGGCCATATTCTAGAGCTCTACCTCCATAATAGGAAAAGTCTCTCCTTATTGATGTTAACCGTTTTGGTGTATGACTGTTCAGGCAGTCATGGGTGTTGGTGCCTAGTCCACATGTCTTCATCATGTCTACAAGCATTTCTTGAGAGACTTTTATCACTGTCTTTCAGAAATCAAGATACACTGCTCATGGCATTGCTTCTACCTGCCTGCCTGGCAACCTGAACTGATGATTCTGTGATGAGCTTGGTTTGGCTTTAGCAAATTGGGTTAAGTGCTTTTTACTTGTGTTAAAAAAAAAAAAAACATAGCTGGAAAGCACAGGATAGAGGAAACCGGCATAAAATTCACATAAAAATCCCTGCATCTTTTGCTCAGAGCCTATGAATTCCACGTCACTGGATCCTCGCATCATGGTGTAAAATAAGTCTTGCCCTCCCTGGTTAACAGATGAAGTCATTGAAGCACCAACACAGTGATATGTATGATGGCGACTCTGTACTGAGTGCTTCCCATGTGCCAGGCATCATTTGACGGTCAGAAATCCCCTGAGTCAGTATCATTTCCTCTTACAAATGAGGAAACAGGTTTAGAGACGGACAGACTGTGGAAATGTTCCAAGAACTGGGTCTCAGAAAGCCGTAAGTGTGCCACTTCATCTATCTTAGACCCTGGACCTCACCAGTTGTGGCTGGCTAGCAGGTTGTTGAATTCTGGGGATCCCTCAGCAACCACAACCACCATCCCTCACGAGCCAGTTTGCATCTGGCAAGAGCATCTGTTTTCCCGTTTACCTAGGAGCCTCCTGACTTTGCTCTGAAATGTCTGTCTGTTGAAAATTAAGGCTTCATTTGCCAGGTGGGGCCAAGGTGGCTAGAAATGGCCTGCCACCTTTGTGTGTAATTGAGAAAATGCACCTGCCCCACGGCAGCAGAATCAAAGAGCAAGGCAAAGTCCCACGAGCAACATCATTCTGCCATCTCCTTTCCCTGGCTCGCTGCAGAGTGGGAGCTGTGCCAGGGAACTGCCATAAAAATGCTGGAAAGGAATGATGGAAAGCACAACTGAAAATGAGGTCTTTTTTCCCCTGGTCACCCTGCTTTGCTGCTTTCCTGGCTTCTTATTTTGCCTCTGATCTTCTACATTCTCTCTCTCCTTTAATTCAGTTTAATTCATTTATTGAATATATATATTATGAGCCAGGCACTCTGTGAACTGCTGAATACACAAAGATGAAGATGACAAAAAACCTTTGCCTTCAGGAACTCATGTTATAAAGATTATAAATGTTTGATCCTGGGAAAGGGTACAGAAGAGTATGTTTTTCCTCAAGATATTTTAGCAAAGAAAATAAGTTTTTCCTTCTCTGAATTTCCCCAGTTTTAAGAACAATTTGCATTTCCTCATACGCCAAGCATGGTAATTTCTTTTTATTAAACTAAGCTTTACATAATAAAATTTAAGTTTAAAGCTAATTGAAGTGAAATCCACTCAGGTATTGAGTATAATATCTATGTGCCAGGTCCTGAGTTAGACACTAAAGAAACATGAATGAATAAGACATTAATAATAATTAATTCAAGATAATATTTCAAGGATCTCACAGTCTCCTGAGAGAGACACATAAATGGACAAGTGCCAGACACTGTGGAGGCCCACTGACAGGATGGCCAAGGTAATGGCCACCCAATCCAACTGTCTATGGGAGGAGAGTGGTGTCAGGGTGCTCTGGGGGACCTTCCAGGAGGAGCAGGAGTTTGCCAGGTAAAGGACAATGGTGCCTGAGGGACAGAAGTAGGGAAGTGGGGTCAGGGAAAGAAGGTGTGGAGGAGGAGAGAAGGGCATTCCAGGCCAAGGGGACCACAAGGACTGGGATTTCAAGATATGAAGGTTGTGATGTAGGCAGAGGCTGGAGTGTAAAATACAAGACGAAGAGTGAGAGGAAATGAAGTTAGTGAAAGAGTGAGAGGCCAGGTTGTGGAGGCCTTTACGTGCCATCCCAGAGAGCTAGGAGTATGTCTCACAGGCACTGAGGGGCCATTGACAGATTGGGGGCAAGAGAGTGCCATTGTCAGACTTGCAGATTAGATGAATGACTCAGGTGGTGAAGAGTGGACAGAAGAGAGAAAGGCAGAGCAATGACTGCAATTCCCTGCCTGCAGACCACTTGGCCTCCTGGAATGGCTCTGCCTGAGCCAGAGTCCTGTGCTGAGTGGGTCATTGCTCTGACTCAAAGGGAAGCTCCCTTGCCCTCTATAATTGGTGGTGACTAAAGGAGGGATAGGTAGGCAGAGATTCTGCCTTTCCAAGGAATTTTCCAGGGCTGCTACATGGCACAACTCTAGGGGATACCATTCATATCATAGTCCCTGTGAATGGGGCCCCTGAGAATCATGCAAGGCATGTCTGGCAACCACTGAACACTGTCCTGGGACAGGTCAGGAACATTGCATACAGCCCATTGCTTTCTACACACCATGATCTCTCTCTCTCTCCCTCTCTCCTGGTTCTAAGAGACCGCCGTGCTCAGGGCAGCTCCTACACATGATGTAGTGTCCGTGTGGTGTGCTTTTTCAGGGCACTCACACACCTCCCCTGCATTCTCACAGAAGCCTGATAGCCCTTTACTAGGGCTAATGAGTTCTGCCTTCAGTGATGAATCTCCACATGCAGATACTCCTGGAAGAGGTGATTCATTGCCTTAAATCTATACCAGAGAGTAAATAACAGGCCCCTTCCTGAGAGCTGGTTTTGCTAGAAAAGTAGCAGTGGAAGACACTGAGAAGTCAAAAGGCCTTGTTTATGGGACAACCCCAGAGAGGCAGAAGTAGAGAAAAGGAAGACCTGGCCCATGCATTACCACCTCTTAGACTTAGAATTGATGTCTAAGGGCTCATATTTATTCCTGATCAGCAGGGATGAATAGAAGCTGGTTGAGAAAAGGCTGGGAGAGGAGTGTGCCAAGTAGAAGTCTAGAGACTAGAAAACGGTGATGAGTTACTGGGAAATGCAAGCTCAGGTGGAACACAGGGGTCACAGCAGAGGGAGAGAGGGGATGCAGCGAGCAGTTAGAGTGGAGGGCCAGATCACACGAGGCTTGTGTATGTGCTGTGGAGTTTGGAGTTCAAGCCAAAGGCTATGAGAATTCTGGTAAGCAAGGGAGTGAACTCTAGTAGGTGGCCCTGGCAGTGGCACAGAGAATGAATGGGAGAGTCAGGCTGAAGTAGGGAGAGCTATTTGGAGGCTGTTGTAGAAATCCAGGCACGGATGGGGAGGCTTTGATAAAGGCAGTAGCATGGAGGTGAAGAGAAAGGGGTGGGTATGAGATATACCAAAAAGGTGGAATTAGTGGGACTTGGTGACTTTCTGGATATGGAGGTGAGAGAGGGGAAGGATGTTAGTTTAGATTCCTGCTTGTAAGTTACAAGCAACTTTATATAGATTAAAGGAAAAAAGGTGTTGGGGGTAAAGGAGACTTTATTATAAGGATGTAGGAGTGTCTCACAAAACCCAAGGGCTCTAATGTCACTGGGGTCATCAGAGGCTCATTTGAACCTAGGACATCTCTGGTCCACACAGTAGACTGAAGGTGCCCGGTCAGAGTTACTTGAATATTGAGTGTGGTTAGTTTTCCTTCTCAGGCCCAATTCCAAATGCCCAGGGAAGGCCTTGCTCTAAAATGGGTCAGATGCCCAATCCTGAACTAATCAACTAAGGCGGGGGGCAGGGGGACAGGTCACTTGGTAGAAACAAAGTGGAAAGAGGGGCAGTTTCTAGGGAGGAGCTGCTAGACCAGACAAATCAATGGATGTCCACTCTCTCCTATTCCATTGCTGGCTGGCTCTCTGCCTCCTTCTACTTCTGAAGATGTACTTATTTAGCATAAATTAATCATCTTATAGAAAAGTATCTCCCCGTAAGAGACAACCCAACTTAGTATCCAGGAATGGCAGAAGCAACTCCTCTGTGTGCCTCTCTCTCCAGGTGATATTTTTTTCCTCCTCCTGCTTGGCTTGTTCTAATCCAGATGTGATGTCTCACCATCCTACAGCCAACAGACTAAATGGTAAATTTAACCTGGTGTGTATACATGCAGACCTCAGCTTGCTATAGATATTTCACTTGGTAGATTAATCACTGAAAATATTTAGTCAATACACTTGCTCATCCATACATTCATACATTTGAATATGAAATTAAATTACATTCATGCACCCCTCCATTCTTTGGGGTACATGAATGTAACAATTTTAGCCTTGTCAGGCAGCCTAGAGCCATGACAGAGTCTGGGATGTAGGGTTAGACAGACTGGCTGTGGAATTCTGGCTCCACCATAACTGCTGTTGACCTTGGGCAAGTCACTTCATCTCTGTGAGCCTCAGTTTCTTAATACTAAGGTGGGGATCATAAAAATATTCACCTCTGCTTACTGGTGCTTACTGCTAACCACATGTTCCTTTCTTTATCCCTTTAGAAATGAAACCCCAACCCTCAATTGGAAGGCTGAAAATAACAAAGAATGTAAAGATCACAGAAGGCTTAACAAAGGGTAAATCTTAGATTTAGCATCGAGGGGAAACTTGGACGCTAATATGAAGGTGAAGTCTTACTTGGGAGCAAGAGAGATGAGTCTAGTCTCAGCTTTATGGGGGCTTCAAAACCACAGACCCAGGTTCAAATCTCAATGCTGCAACTCATATGGTGGGGAATCTTGGGCAAGTTGTTTTTTTCTAAGCCGTAGTATTCTAACAGTACTAGGTTGTTGTGGAGATAAGAGATGTATGTAAAAATGTCCAACCCGTTGCTTGCCCCATTCACAAATACATGTTGAATGTTGAATGAATTTTAAAATAGTAATCGTTTATTAGATAGAGATAATTATAATCATGCCCATTTCAGACTCACCAGGTGAACTGATTAGGACCTCTGTCTGCACCTCTGTTTTCGTATTTGAAAAAGGAAACTTTATTATTTTTGACTCTCTGTTCCTTCCATCTAGTGATTGTGATTTAAGTAGCTGAGGTTCTCCCCACCCCACCCTTTTTGGGGGTTTGCTTTGTTGCAGGGACTGAACTTTAAGCAGATAACTTGCTGAAGCTTGGGTGATTCCTGAGGTGTTCTCAGAGATGGGTCTGTGGAGCCAACTGCCAGCCCCTTCCTTGCTTTTGTTGGCAGGGCAGCCAGGCATATCTGGTGGCTGCAGCTGCCCAGGGAGTTGCTGCCTGGAAACCCAGAGAGTGGGGAGGACTTTCTCTGGAGGACAGACAGCACCGCCTGACGCAAGGCAGTGAGCAGAGCGAGGCTGGCACAGGCATCCCTGGCCTGATGCTGAGTCCTGAGTAGAGACCCAAGGGACGCCTCACTTTAGACAGGAGGAAACCTGGTTATGTGCTCTGAGAGCCAACGCTGCCATCCAAAGAGACTCCTAAAATAGCAGCAACACGATTGAGAGAGGGCGGCACCGCCCCAGAGTTCCAACTCCTGCTGACATTTCTTATTCTCCTTTCTCTAAAAAATTACTTTCTTCCTTCTGAAAACCCAACTCAAGCTGTTCCAGTGAATCTTGGGAGCCCCCCTCAACTCTCATCTTCCTTCAACACTTTGATTTCACCCTCCTTTCCTCTTATTCTCTCTTCCTTACTTCTCTCACAATTTAGGGCTGTGTTACATGAAGTGATGTATGTGGTTCCCGAAAAAGCATGTGCTATTCAAGCTCTCCATTTCTTCCCAGGAGCTTTTTGGTGTTTTAGCTCCACTTCTTATTGACCTTGAAATGTATGCCCAGAACCACACGGCTTTTGCTTAACTCCAGGGAACCCTACAATATGATTTGTATCCCTTAGGATTAATGAGGATTTGAACACTGCTATGGTTTGAATGTCAGTCCCCAAAACTTCATGTGGAAAGTTAATCCCTCTGTCCTCATGAATGGATTAATGTAGCTATCGCTGGAGTGGGTTCATTATCAAGGGAGTGGCTCTGTTATAAAAGTGAGCTTCCTCTGGCTCTCTTTTCCTGTGCTCTCTCTGTCTCTTGCACTGACTTCCACTTTCTGCCTTTCTACCATGGGATGACCATCACTAGATGTTGGTGCCATGCTCTTGGACTTCCCAACTTCCAGAATAGCAAGGCAAATAAACTCCTTTTCTTTTTAAATTGCCTAGTCTGTTGTATTCTGTCACAGCAACAGAAAATGGACCAACACAAGTACTTTGTATAGCCCTGTACAAGCATGTAATGTCATCCTCATAACCATCCTGCAGTGTAGATGTTGTTACCCTTAGCTCGTAGATAAGGAAATGGAGGCAGACAGCTGGACTAACTTGCTCAAGGACAAGAATGTACAGCTAGTAAGTAGCAAGGTAGCTTTGGTCCCAGGTCTGTGTGATTGCAAGTTCATGCCATCCATCACACTCTATCCTGGAACATTTAGCTTTTTAAAATCTGACTTCAGCCCTTCACCCACATGCCTTATCTCATTATAGAATTCCATGCTTAAGGCTCTCCAACCACTTACATGCAAAGTGGAACGAACAGCTTTAACCAACCAATCACAGATGCAGTCACGGAGTGAGGTGTCCCAGAGCTACCACACCAGCTCTGTGTACTTGGGAAGTAATTGACCTCTCTAGGAAGTCATGAGCCCCAGTTTTGTCTATTTGCCGAAACAACTGGTTGGACTGAGTGATTTTCAGGGTGGTCCCTTTTAGCCCTAAAATTCTGAATTCTTGGGTAAAGCCAAGCAGCTTGATTTATTGGTCCTTTGTAGTGTGTTCTAGAACACAGCTGTCTTAAATGTAGCTATCCACAGAAAATGGCTGTTCTGTATGTTTTCATAAGGCCATCAGTCGCTGTAGAAAATGTTGAACATTTGAGGTGTAAGAAGGATAGACATTTGGTGCTTTTCATGCCACATTTCTCAACACCTGTACATCTTGTGTTTGCATAAATTATAACATGGTAATTGCATAGCCATTGTGGGCAGCCTATACCTCAAAGGTGAGTGGGAGAGGAGTGGGAAGCAGGAGGGCTGCCCCAGGGCTCACTGCCAAGAGAATCTGGCTGGTCCGTTCTGAAGTGGTGAATCACTTCCTGTGGAGCACGTGTCCTGGCCCAGGTGGCAGGAGAAACAGTCCTGGTTCCAGACCTGCCCCTGGCTCACTCTGGGATGGGAACAAGCTCAGTAGTGATAGAACATTCACCACAGCTCCACTTCTTGAGTGCTTTCCATGCAATCTCACTAATTCTCCAAGCATTGCTGGGAGACAGGTGCAGTTTCCCCTATGTTAGAGATGAGAAAACAGAAACTCGGAAAGTGTAAGCAGTTAGACAAAGCCACAGAGTCTGGATTGGAACCGAGGGCTTATTTATTCAGAGCCAGTGCTTTCGAACACCAAACTATATTCAGGTTCCCTTAACCTTTCCATCTGTGAAGTGAGGGACTTGAACCAGTGCTTTCCAGCATATGACATGCATACTTCTGGGGGTACTTGAGACTATTTTAGGTGGTGTCCAGATATTCACTTTTAATTTTAATGACTATGTTTTTCATTTTAAAGGGTGTTAAGAAAAACGTAACTCAAACTCACACATTTAGGATGCATACAAATATAAAGGGGAATTGATTTAGGCTCTATTTATAGAAAAGTCAGTCCAGATGATAAGGCAAACATGGTGAGGGTGAGGACCTTCACAAATGCCTAAAGTTTGGGGATTACTGAGTCAGATAATATGCTCCAATGTTTTCTGGTTCCTGCAGGACACAGCAGGACCATGGCCTCCCTGAGCCTCCAGCACAGTGTCCTAGCTCTAGGGCATTTGGGACACAAACAGGGAGAGAAACAAACTGTCTTCAGGAGAGTTAATTGGTCAAGGCTCAATTTATCCTCTTTCTAATATCTCCCCCTTCCTTTTACATCTCCTAAGCATTCAAGGCTTTGATGTCAACATATTCCTTGAGTGAGTAGTTTGGCATAAATTGCAAAGTGGTTGGATGCAGATGTATTTAGTTAGGCCAGCACAGTGATCTCTTTGTTTTTAATTTGTGAATTTGAATGTCTTTAGGTTGGGCATGCACTCTAGTTTGCACAGACTTCCCCTCTCCTGATAATATTACCTACGATAACTACCAGAAGGCATATGAGTTTGTGACTCTTGGCTTAAGACCTTATTTCCCCAAGGTCAAAATCCTTAAAGGCCTGAAGAAGTAGTCCTTCAGGGCATTGAGCTCCTAGGGAGCCATCAGCACTGTGGGATTTCTAACACACCTAGAGTCTCTAATTCATGTGGAGTTTCTGTGCCAGCCCTGCAGATGAGAGGAAGTCAGGACAGGAGCCTTGCCTAGAGATTGCCATCTGCACAGCCTTTTAAGATTCTTTGATAGGCCAGGCACAGTGGCTCACACCTGTGATCCCAGCACTTTGGGAGGCTGAGGTGGGTGGATCACCTGAGTTCAGGAGTTCGAGACCAGCCTGGCCAACCTGGTGAAACCCTGTCCTTATTAAAATACAAAAATTAGCTGGACGTGGTGGCACGCACATAATCCCAGCTACTTGGGAGGGTGAGGCAGAAGAATCGCTTGAACCCAGGAGGCGGAGGTTGCAGTGAGCCGAGATCGCACCACTGCACTCCAGCCTGGGAGACAGAGCGAGACTCTGTCAAAAAAAAAAAAAAAAAAGAAAAGAAAAAAAAAAAGATTGGTAGCGCAGTGGCTGCTTTGCAATTTTCAGACTGGGAGTATAGTGACACCTGGTGTCTGGTGTCATTCTTCAAACCCAGCAAGTCCCAGTCTGAGCTCATCATTTCCATCCCCAAACTAGCTTCTCCTCCTCCCTCTCACTCCCCTGTCTGAATGAAGGCAGCCACCAGGCTGGAAACCTCACACTCATCATGATTTCTTCTGTCTCTTTTCCCATACCTCATCCCTCGCCAAGGACTCTCAGTTCGATTAGTGTTGATTTTATGTATTTCACCCCTTTATAGCTCGTAAGTTCACCTTTCCCAGTGCAACAATTTTCTAAGAGCTCTTACCTACACATCGCTACCAGGTTAATATTCTTAAAGAACAGTTCTGACTGCACCACTTCTTTGCCAGAAGTCAACAGCTCGGCACGGCCTTCTGGATAAAGTCCAACACCTCAGCTTGCCCGTGACTTGGACCTGGGCTACCCACTTTCCACTATCCCTGTGCTCTCCAATCATGCTCCAGGCTTTCTTGAAACTCAGGTTACAGCTTCCATCTGCATGGACCATTCTTTCAAGAGTTTTGGTTATGAAGAGAAGTGGAACGAAAGAGCCCATAAGAGAAGTGGAGAGGAAGAACAAATGGTAGAGGAGATAATCCAGAGAGGGATTTTTATTTCCATAGACAGATGTGATTTGAGCATGATTAGAGGCAGAGATTAAAGGGCCCACTGACGAGAGGTGAAAGATAAATACTGGCACCTACTGAACACCTTCTATGGGCCAGAGATTCAACTCTGTTTTACAGGAATAGCTCATTTGATCCTCTCAACAACCTTACAAAGTAGATGCCATTTTACAGATAGGGAAACCAAGGCCCAGAGAGAAAATTTATTCATGTAATAGCTAGAGAGAAGTAGAACTAAGATGGGAACCCAAGCCATTCCACTTCGAACCTGCTCTCTTCACCATTTCATATAAGAAAGAGGGAATGACAAGCAGAGCAAAGTCCCTTACAAGGGGGGAGGAGGAGTAATTCCAAGCATGGGTGGGATGGTCATCCACCCACCTCACACAGGAAGAGGAACACCTCTTCCCTGAGCCAGGGGAGAAGTAGGGTGGGATGTAGATGATGCAGTTTGACTCACAGATGTATGAAAGCTGTTGAAAATGTTCTTGCTAACGGTTTTCTGTTGATAATTAGAAAGAAGTGGTGGGGTAGAGCTTGAGGAGAGTGAGGGAGTTCTAAAATAGTTGCTCTGGGGGAATGAAAGAGAAATTGTAAGGACCTGGAGTCGGCATGCCCTGTGCTGAAAGCTTGCTCAGCTGAAGTTACAGACCATGGATTTGTACAGGACTCAGGCACAGAGTTGTGTGAGTTCTTATCTTCCTTCTGCTACTAGTTCTAGGTGTCACTCACACACTGTCTCCTTTGTGAAACCTTCCGTGATCTCTTAAGCTGGCTGTGGACTTCCTTTAAGTTCCCACAGCAGCCAGGTGTGGTAGTGCATGCCTGTTGTCCTAGCCACTCAGGAGGCTGAGGCAGGAGGACTGCTTGAGCCCAGGAGTTTGAATCTAGTCTGAGCAACATAGCAAGACCCCACTTTCTAAAAAAATAAATTTCCACATCATTTTGACCCTTTTGCATGATCCTTGTATTAATATATCTTGTATTATAGTTAGATGTGTATACTTCTGTCTTACTACATTAAAGGCTCTCTGACGGCAAGGATGATGTCATACTTATTTTCTTTCTTTCTGCTCTAGTACATTATATTGTATTATAGTTGCTCATTAAATGTATAGTCATTTATTGGTTAACTGTTCCCCTCCAGATGGAGCTATTTCTTTTATTTTTCCTCTTTTATTATTTTTTCATCTCTTACTATCTATCTGTGCCCCAGAATCTCTCTTTTTGCTTTTTTAATTTTTCTTCCTCACTGAAACTCTCAGGTGACTAATGGTGGCTGTGGGCACTGCCTTGCTGATCTGGGTTCTCTTGAGGCTAACTGTGCAGAACACTTCTAGAATAAATGAAGATCATGTAACAAATAGAGATGGTAGTGCTGTCTGAAGAGTCTCTGGAGTATGTCACTGTGCTTCTTACCAACATAGGGATGCCTTGACTAAAGTGGGCCTGAAATGGCTGAAAAGAAAAACCCTTAGTTTCTACAGACAGAAATGGTATGTAATTTAACAGTGTTACACAGGGACCTACACGGGGGCTCCATAGCACCCACATTTCTACACAGTTCATTTTTTTCTGGATTTTTCTTTCTTTAGTTGCTACCCTCAAAGTGCCACAGCATGAACAGAAGACTTGTCTCACAGAAGTCAACAGTCATTGAGGAG
This sequence comes from Homo sapiens, assembly GCF_000001405.40. Taxonomy (NCBI): domain Eukaryota; kingdom Metazoa; phylum Chordata; class Mammalia; order Primates; family Hominidae; genus Homo; species Homo sapiens. The sequence continues at coordinate 162,039,412 of NC_000001.11, forward strand.
ATGCATGTAGACATGGAGCAGAACCCCTGTGTGGTGGGCTGCAGACTGCTTCCTCCAACCTCCCTGCCCCATCCCCACACAAAAAGATAACCAAATCCTAATCTCTGGAACCTGTAAATGTTTCCTTATTTTGAAAAAGAGTCATTGCAGATGTGATTAAGGATCTTGAAATGAGGAGCTTATTCTGGCTTGTGTAGGTGGACCCTAATTGTCATCACAAATGTCCTTATAGGAGAGAGTTAGAGGGACATTTGATACACACAAAAGAGAAAGCAACATGAAGAAGGAGCAGACAGAGGTTTGAAGATGCTGGCCTTGAAAACAGGAGTAATACGTCCCCAAGGCAAGGAACAGATTTTCTCCTAGAGCCTCTAAAAGGACTGCAGCCCCTTTAACACCTTGATTTTGGTCCAGTGAAACTGATTTTGCACTTGTGTCCTCCAAGATTGTGAGAGAATAAGTTTCTGATGTTTTAAGCCACTAAATGTGCAGTAATTTGTTATAGCGGCCACAAGAAATGATATATACCATAATACCACCAGAAAGACAAGCCATTCCCTAATGGTAAGTAACAGACAGGAGGCATTTTGCAGAGTATATTGTAAGAAAGAAAAATCTTATTATCATTTTCGTTGTTAAAGACCTTGACGTTCAAATGATAAAAGTGATTTCAGACAGAGGCTAAAAAATGGTCATGTGTAAGGTAAGAAAGTCACTGATGAATAGATGACTCCCTCCCAGCACAGACTCGTATGGAGCAAGAGCAGCATAGGTCACTTGAAGACGATTGGCCAAGCCTCAATAATGCAAGAAAAGGGAAATCCAGATTGTACCAGAACAGACATAACCTCTTAGGCCTGTGCAGTTACAGATTTTTTCCCACTTACCTCATAAGGGAGAATTTGAAGTTAATATAAAAGAATCAAATGTTCAGTATTTATTTTATGCTTAACTAGATATAACCAATTCTACTTTAGACTCATTTGTTGATGTGCATTCAGTTACTTTCAATTAGTCCTTATAACATTTTTATAGTTTCCTGAGGAGAGAAACTCCTCCAGATAGTGTTATGGATCATTCTAGATCCAATGGGCCCCACCAGAGTGTAGCAATCAAACTTCTGTTGCTCAGAGAGGGTGAGCCAGGTGCACGGTGCTCTTTCAGAATGCTGCGACCACCAGGCTTTTTCCAGGGTGTGTGGGCAATCCATTTACTAGCAGTAGAGGAAGGAGTAGCATGGTAGGTAAAAGAGTAGCAAGCTGATGGTTTCTATGAAAACAGAAATAAGGTAAGTTCCTCCTTAGTAAAAGGAAAATATAAAATCAGAAATGGGATATCTTCCTATAAGAAAAGAATTGGCTTTACTTAAATGGAAACTGAGGAGGACTCCCTCTTCTGGCTGCAATGGAGTAACTGCTAACAGACTTCCACCCCACTGCAGACAACCAGAAGACAAGACAAAAGACATGAAACAAGTTTCAGACATTGCACAACAGGTAGCCCAAGACCATGAGCCCTCAGAGAAAGGAAACAAACAAGGTGAGACTTAAGATTAGCACAGTTTTCTGCCTGGAGGAACTTTCTGGAGTGTGATGCAGGGAGGGGAAACCCAGGAAGATTGTGGCATCTTCCTAACTGAGTTAAGGAGACAGAGATCAGAGTTCAGGGAGGCCAAGGCAGCTTGAATATTCAAGGTACAGTATCAGGAAGAAGGGAGTGAGATAGGTTCAGAAATGGGCATAAGGTTTTGTCTTGAACCCTGGACTGAACACTAAGCTGTACATATGTAGAATGAAACTCCATGACAGGTGTACAAATAAAATTATGAGAGAAGGAACAATTACCAGAGAGATCTAACATAAGCGATTAACATGAGCTCACACAGGATGGATAAGATGTTCGATTTCTGACCATTCAGAGTAGAGAGGCCTCTTTCAACAGTCATGCATTCAGTAGAGACCCCAAAATGGTTATGCTTCATGAAGTATTAGGGCTCAGCCAGGCCACAGTAAAGGCAGTGGTGTGTTGAAGTTGGCTTGCACTAGTTTGTGAGAGCCAATTGTGTATATCTCTTGTCTCAACTTCAATGACATACATTGGTAGCTGGAAATCAGCTATTACAGAATATTTACGCCAAGTAAATCAGCATATACTACAATTTACAGTTGTTTCAACCACCCCCACCCCAGAGAGCTGATTGTTGAGCACTTACCAGGTATAATACCACAGGTATTGTAGGAAGATATATAGTCTTTGTCCCTGGTCACGGGGACGCAGTACTCCTAAAAATCCTGGCATTTTCAGAATGATAAGGGTGATAGGAGTGTCTTTTGTTCTAACAAGGCAACTCTTGGCAGGCCACTAGATAGCTTCAGGATGGGGGATAGTCACCAGAAAGATAAAGCTTGGAATTTTCCACCCCACCGCTCAACCTGGGGGTTGTGTGTGGCAGTGGAAGGTGGGGAGGATGAGAAACAGGGCTAGAAATATTAAGTCAATCACTAATGGCCAGTGATTCAATTAATCATGCCCTAGTAACAGAACCTCCATAAAAATCCCCAAATGACAAGGTTTGGACAGCTTCCAGGTTGTTGAACACATCAAGGCACTGGGAGGGAATGGATGCTCTGAGTCCCCCTCCCCTCATACCCTGCGCTATGCATCTCTTCCATAGGCTGTTTCTGAGTTGTATCCTTTATCATAAATCAGTAATAGTAAGCAAAGCACTTTTCTGAATTCTGTGAGTCATTTAGAAAATTATCAAACATGAAACAGGGGGGATTGTGGGAACTTCCAACTTTGCACTCATTTTGGGCAGAATGGGGGTAACCTGGGGACCCAATAATTGAGAAGCATCTAAAGTAAGAACAATTTTGTGGAGTGAGCCCTTAAACCTGTGGAGTCTGATGCCAACTCCAGGTAGTTGGTGTTGGCGTTGAATTGAATTGCAGGACACCTCATTGGTGTCAGAACTGGTTGGTGTCAGGAAGAAAAAAGCCTCTCAATACCACTGAGTAGAACCTATCCAAGGTCCACCCTAGAAAAGCTTTCAAACAAGTCTCAAAATGATCAAGTTAGTCTGCAAGTAACTTAACTGCCTCTCAAAATAAAATTAAACTTTCTTTAAAGGAAAACATTAAAACACCACCAACAGTGTAATATTCAAAATGTCCAGCATCTAATAAAAAATTACTAAACATATAAAAAAGCAAAAAAAAAAAAAAATGTGGCTCATCACCAAAAGAAAAATCGCTCAATAGAAAGAAACCAAGATGGACCAGCTTGGGCAACATAGTGAGACCCCCATCTCTAAAAAAAAATAATAATAATAATAATAATAATTAACCACGCATATTGGTGAATGTCTGTAGGCCTAGCTATGCAGGAAGATGAGGCAGGAGGATTGCTAAAGCCTAGGAGTTTGAGGTCATAGTGAGCTATGATTGTGCCATTGCACTCCAGTCCAGCTTGGGCAACAGAGGGAGACCCTGTCTCAAAAAAAGAGAGAAAGAGGCCAAGGTGGAATTAGTAGACAATATGTTAAAATAGATATTATAAATATAAATATAAGGAGATATTATAAATATTTTCCACAATATAAAATTTCTGCAATATTTCATGGAAAAAATATAAATTGTCCCATACAATAAACAAATAAAGTAAGTCTCAAAAAGATTTAATGGAAAATATGAATATGAGAAGAGAAATGAAAGACAAAAAATTAAATGGAATATCTAGAGCTGGAAAATACGATGTCTGTAGTAAAAATTTCACTGGATAGACTGAACAGCATATTATTATAGAAGCTATAGAAAAACGGTTAACAAACTGGATAACCTAACAATTGAAACTATTTAAAATGAACAACAGAGAGCAAAATAAATTTTATAAAAAGCAGGCCAGGCGCAGTGGCTCACGCCTGTAATTCCAACACTTTGGGAGGCTGAGGCGGGAGGATCACCTGAGGTCAGGAGTTCAAGACCAGCCTGGCCAACATGGTGAAACCCTGTCTCTCTACTAAAAATACAAAAGTAGCTGGGCGTGGTGGCACATGCCTGTAACCCCAGCTACTCAGGAGGCTGAAGCAGGAGAATCGCTTGAAACTGGGAGGCAGAGGTTGCAGTGAGCCGAGATTGCACCATTGCACTCCAGCCTGGGCGACAAGAGCAAAACTCCGTCTCAAAAAAAAAAAAAAAAAAAAAAAAAAAAAATGCCGAGAAGAACAACAAACTGTGCCAGGACAAACTGTGGAACAATATCAAGGGGCCTAACATGTGTAATTGGAGTCATAGGGTGGGAGAAGAAAAATATTTCAAACTATGATGACCAAAAAATTTCAGTTTTGATGAAAACTACAAACCCAATGATCTAAGGAGCAAAATGAACCCTAAGTGATATAAAGACACACTCATACACAAAAAACACACAAAAGAACATAATAATTAAGCTACTAAGACCAGTAGTAAAGATAAAATCTTAAAAGCAACCAGAAAAAAAAGACACGTTATATACATTGATATAATGATAGGAATTCCCGAACTTATTATCAGAAACAGTGCAAGCCAGGAGACAATGTAATGACCGATTTAAACTGAAAGAACAATAAAAAAGAGCCTATCAACCCAGAACATTCTATATCTGGCAAAAATATTCTTCAGAGATGAAGGCAAAATAAAGACATTTTTAGATAAGCAGAGGTGAGAAAATTTGTCATCAACAGATCCACATTAAAAATACATGCTAAAGGAAGTTCTTCAGACTGAAGAAAAATAATACCAGATGGAAAGCCAGATAGATAAGGAATTAAAAGATCAAGAAATGGTAAATATGTGGAAATACATGAGACTTTCCCTCATTTTAAGAACCCTTTAAATGTAATTGCTAAGGCAAAAGCTTAAAAATACAATATATTTTGGGGTATATAACATAAGTAGAAATAAAATACAAGAATAGTGCAAAGGATGGGAGGGGAACATTTTAAGTATACAGTTGTACATTTCTTAAAATATACCTGAAATTGTATAATATTTTGAAAGTAGACTGTGGTGAGTTAAAAATATTGTAAACGCTAAGCAATCCCCTAAAAAATAAGACCAAGAGGTAGCTAATGTATTAGTTTCCTGGAGCTTTCATAACAAACTACCATAAACTGGGCAGCCTGAAACAAGGGAAATTTATTATTTCACTGTTCTAAAACCTAGAAGTCTGAAATCAAGGTGTCGGCAGAACCAAAGTGATTGAAGGCTCTTTCTTGCCTCTCTAGCTCCTGGTGGTTGCCAGCAATCTTTGGCCTTCTTTTGACATTCCTTGGTTTGTAGATGTTTCGCTCCAATTCCTGTCTGCATCAGTGGCATTCTTCTGGGTGTCTTTGTCTCTGTTTTCTCTTCTTATAAGGACACCAGACATTGGATCAGCATCCATCTGAATTCAATATGACTGCATCTTAAACCAATTACTAATGGAGGCTGCAAAGACTTTATTTCCAAATAAGGTTTCATTCTGAGCTTCCAGTGGACATGAATTTTAGGGGACATTATTCAACCCAATATAGCTAACCAACCAAGAGTGGAGAAAACATGGAATCATAAAAAAATTTAATAAATGAGTTGATTATTAGAGAGTAGACAACCTCCTCAGGTATGAAAAACAATATAGTTAAATCTCTATCAATTTTAACTTGGCTAACTAGTTAAAATGCCCAGTTGGTGAGTGGAAGGCATGATTTGTTTATTTATGCCCATCTAGTATCCATTTTCTTCTTTTTTCTTGCTCACAGTGATCCACCTCTGTCTCAGTGATTCATTGGATGGTAACCCAAAATCCTGCTCAGAATTAAGTCATAGTTGGCTTAAACTGCTGGTGTTGGTCCCATTTTCTTGCCAGTCACTTATTTAGAGGTGAGCATTTTTGGCCAATTATTGGCCAATGAAATGTGGTGGACATGACTGAGATTTTTCTGGGAAAAGTTTTTCTTGCCTCTAACGAATACACGTTAGGGGGCCCGGTGTGGTGGCTCACGCCTGTAATCCCAGCACTTTGGGAGGCTGAGGTAGGCAGATCACCTGATGTTGGCAGATCACCCGAGGTCAGGAGTTCGAGACCAGCCTGGCCAACATGGTAAAACCCCATCTCTACCAAAAATACACACACACAAAAATTACCCGGATGTGGTGGCAGGCACCTGTAATCCCAGACACTTAGGGGGGCTGAGGCAGGAGAATCTGTTGAACCTGAGAGGCAGACGTTGCAGTGAGCTGAGATCAAGCCATTGCACTCCAGCCTGGGCAACAAGAGTGAAACTCCATCTCAAAAATAATAATAATAATAATAAAATAAGAAATATGCCTAGGAGAAGCAATCCCTTTCCTATCTCTGAGTATTTTTGTGTTTGAGTGCCATGTTTAGAATTTGAATGGCTGCAGCCATCTTGCTACCAGGAGAACCACAAAGAAGAAGAGTTGGACCTGGTGCATGATACATGGAAATTCCCAACCTCCAAACATCTTATTATAGGGAAAAATACATGCCTTTTTTTGTGAAGGCCAAAATGAATGAGGATTATCTGTTTTTGCTGCTAAAAGTATTCTAATCAATGGAGTAGGTCTACACAAGGCCTGGGTGAATAAGCCCAAATTTTCATTAATCACAACTGTATGAATGGGAGATACTTCCCATTCTAGGACTACACTCATGCATCTTTTGAGGGCCAAGAATGAACCAGAAAACTCCTACCAACATAAAGATGAAGATTGCCTGCCTTTGACAAATGTCTTAAATATTTCATATCTAGTTACGAGTTGTAATTTTTTGTGTTAATTTTCTTTTTTTTAATTTGAGATGGAGTCTTGCTGTGTCGCCAGGCTGGAGTGAAGTGGTGCGATCTCGGCTCACTGCAACCTCCGCCTCCCAAGTTCAAGCAATTCTCCTGCCTCAGCCTCTTGAGTAGCTGGGACTACAGATGCACACCACCACGCCCAGCTAATTTTTGTATTTTTAGTAGAGATGGGGTTTCACCATGTTGGCCAGGATGGTCTCAATTTCTTGACCTCGTGATCCACCTGCCTCGGCCTCCCAAAGTACTGGGATTACAGGCGTGAGCCACTGTTCCTGGCCTGTGTTAATTTTCTTTTTCTTGGTCACATATTTAGCCTACAACTTAACTGTATGGTATGGTGACTGTATCAATCACATATCTTCATATGTAAATGTCTTACAAAACATCTTTTATGTAGGTAATTGTGTAAGAGTAAGATGAGGGTAAATCTGACATTATGATAGTACTGATGTCATAATAAGGAAAAAATTTGATATTTAAATCTTCCAATCAGAATTTTTTAATCTTATATTTTCATTTTGAAAATATTCTAAAAGTCAGATGTAAGGTATTCTAGAACATATAGAATACTTCAGTGAGATTTAAAAGTGCTCATTTACATGTGCATTTATGATTATGTTGTCACCCAGTGATCCCTAAGTGACAGTGCTTGATTTTTAATGTATTGATAATAAAGTTTGATATATCCTAATGTCAAAGTGGCAATTGACCCATGACTGTTATTGTGGTCATGTTAAATTCTTTTAATAGTTTAAGGACAAAACTTTTCTTCTGCAATGATAATTTATGCTGCAACATCATTGAGTCTTCTCTTGGCATAAATGCATTATTCATATTTTTTTAAGGAATTGAAACTCCTGAATATAGTGTTGATGCCTTAAGTGCAGATTATTTTGAATTCAGCTGCGTGTGCTATTGAATGCCTTGGCATGATTCAGTTCTGCCCCCATTTTTCTCTGTCTGAACTACTAAGAAGACTCTATTCCCTGTGACTTCATTGAACTCCACTGGGCTTATATGAAGATGCAAATGCAGACACAAACCTTGAAATATGTGGCAATATTTGATTATATGTTGGTGTTCCAGATGATCCCCAAATATCCTTTTTATTGCTCTTCCTTTTAAAAATGAAACAGAAGCTCAGAAATGTGAACTAATGTTTCGAGGTGGCATAACTACTAAACAGCAGAACCATAATTTGAATTTAGGTATTTTGGCTGCAGTTACAGTGCTTTTCCCATGAGTGTTTCCCAAGGTGATATGCATACTACTGGTGATATATCCGATAATCTTAGGTGATAAGTGGGCAAACATTTTTAACAGTTTTCTAGTTAAATGTTGTTAGAAAATATAATTAATTATACATCAAAACTGCTTCCTCAGATTTTTGCATAGGACAGGGCTAACATAGACAGTGCCACAAAAATCCATCCTAGGACACATAAAACACAAGGTACACTCAGGCAAGTGTATGGATGTTTTCAAATTCCAGTAACTGAACCTTCCATTATATAAATTATTGATGTTAGAGATGATATACATCAGTTACATGGCTTCTCATATAATGAATGCTTGCATCCTTTTCAGTAAAATATTCATCTTTCTTCCATAAGCTCTCAGTTACTTGCAAGATCGGTAAGACTGTTTCTCATATATAATCTATTGCAGCAATAGGAAAAATTACTCACTGATGTAAATACAGGATGTCTTTCCCACCAGAGAATCATATGAATATTTAACAAATCTGCTAAAATTGTCAATCACATTAAGAGCAGCCCAATATATTTTTGACTTTTTCCCCTCAAGATAGGTGGTGACCACAGATGACATTTGTTTTATAGGTGAGTTTAGTGGCCTTTGCAAAAGTCCTCTCTTATCTATTCAAGTTGCAAGAACTTCATGGCTTCCAGAAAGAACTCATCACTCTGTAAAATTATATGCATGATTAAAATTGACTTTGCAAGCTAGCTTATTCCATAGATATATTTGCTCATCTGAAAAACTTGTTTTTCCTCTCAAGGCAAGCTTATGAAAATATATCATGTACAAAACCAAATGCACACAATTCTCACGAAAATGAAATAAGGAATACATGCCATGATTGTGTGGTCTTAGTTTCTTTGTGTTATCTAAATTATCTGGCTCTTTGGATTTCTGAGGTTACCAATAACATCATTTCCTCCTGTATATTCTGTGTGTATATTTACTTTGTGTCCTGTGACTTGTTATATCCATTTATTGGTTCATTTTTTATAGATTCTTCAGGACTTTCTATGTAGATGATCACATTGTCTGAGGATTAAGACAGTTTTATTTCTTTCTTTCCAATCTTGTCTCATTGCATTGCTAAGACATCCAGCATGGTGTTGCATAGAATTGAGAGAAGACTTGTTCCCCATCTTAGAGGGGAATGTATTTAGACTCATCATGAGAATAATATGAGCTGAAGTTTTTCATAGATTTCCTTTTTTATATCATCTATTTTAATTCTCCCATTAAGCTTAGTGTTTGGGTAGAATTGTCTCCATTTACAGATGAGAATACCGAGGCTCAAAGATGTTATATAAATTTCCCACAATCATACAGCTAGCAAGAGGCAATCAAGACCCTGATGCCAGTGCTGTTTCAACTGTATCAGTGATTCCATTTGTCAAGTGTCTGGTGCTTTATTCAATTTAAATCATTCACTTTGGAAACAATTATTGAGCTCATACCATGTGCTATACTTTAAAGGTGCAAAACACTGAACAAAACCTATTTATTTGTATTAATAAGTTTTTAAAACTGAGATGATACCCAAGTAATCTTTTAAGAAAGGTTTGCAAGAGGTTTTTGCATAGATTACTTAGAAAGACAAGAGGAAATCACCTTACTGATGAAAGTAATATATCATCAAGATGACATATCCCATTAAGCATCAAAGGGATGCTAAGTTTTAGTCCTTAAAGCATGAATTTGTGTCTCCAGAGATAATCTGTGACAACTGTGTATTTGATAGCTCTATTTATCTGTATTGAAGAACACACAAATTCCACTTTAAATACAGCTTGTTCTCATAGAACAGCACCATTGGTTTGGTGATTATCATCATCTTCTTTAGCGTTATATCAGAGAATGTCTTTTCTTTCTGATTCTATTGGTAGCTAATTTATTCATATTTTAAGTGTTTTAGATAAGGAGATTTTAATTTTAGGTTTAGTTTCTTTTTATCTTTGTCCATATGTATGTTCTAATTCATTCATTCTAAATTGAGAGATAATTTGCAATGTGAAAATCAGCTCATCTTTCTTTTTCAGGTTATGAATAAATATCCAGAGGGAGATAAAGATTGGAGAAGGGAATCATAGAATGTTAGGACTGAAAGAGACCATGATGGTCACCATATTATTTTACAGCTGAGGAAATTGAGGCTGAGGAAACTTAAGCCACATGTCTAATATTATACAGCTGCTGGCCAAGTGGCAAGGCTGAAACTTAAACTCAGTTCTTACGTCTCCCAGGCCTGTAGTTTTCCTTCTTTCCTTTCTTTCTTTTTCTTTCTTTCTTTCTTTCTTTCTTTCTTTCTTTCTTTCTTTCTTTCTTTCCTTCCTTCCTTCCTCTCTCTCTTTCCCTCCCTTCCCTTCCTTCCTTCCTTCCTTCCTTCCTTCCTTCCTTCCTTCCTTCCTTCCTTCCTTCCTTCCTTCCTTTCTTTCTTTCTTTCTTTCTTTCTTTCTTTCTTTCTTTCTTTCTTTCTTTCTTTCTTCTTTTTTTTTTGACAGGGTTTCACTCTGTTGCCCAGGCTGGAGTACAGTGGCACGATCACTGCTAACTGCAGCCTCGACCTCCCTGGGCTCAGATGATCCTCCTGCCTCAGCCTCCCAAGTAGCTGAGATTACAGGCACATGCCACCATGCCTGGCTAATTTTTGTATTTTTTGTAGAGATGGGATTTTGCCGTGTTACCCAGGCTAGTCTCGAACTCCTGGGCCCAGTAATCTGCTAGCTTCGACCTCCCAAAGTGCTGAGATTACAAGCATGAGCCACCACACCTGGCCCTGTAGTTTCTATTTCCGCAGGCTGACAAACATTAGGTAAGTGGTTGGAATAGTTTACGTTCAGTATCCCTTTCAACTCAGAGAGTCTTTTGTTATTTTATCCCATTATGGGTACAATTATATTATTTCTACATCAGCTAATGTGTGAACTATTTCATGCCATTCTTCCTAAATAAACATTTCAAATTAAAAATAGTTTTAAAAATCTGCTATAGGTCAGTTTAATTAGAATCAATACCACTTTTGAAGAAAATACTCCTACTTCATATATTTGCTGTAAACAGAACAATTTGGTGTAACTGTTCATGTTTTATAGAATCAGTGGTTGTCCTTCTACCACCTGTTTTAAAAAGGACCCATGATTTTCCTGCCTTGTTGGAGACATTCACCTGCAGTGAGTCCACACATCTGTGCCTAAACTAACAATGCAACATTTGGCTTTCTCAAGACACAGAATCAGCCTCAAAAATATAAAAAATAGATCACAGCTTTGAAACGTAAAGTGTGTACTGCCAAAAAATGAAATATACATATTCAGTTTTTGAAAGTTCCATGATAAGATGGTATCAAGCAACAAGGCTGTTTTTCCTTTTAGGAAAAATTATTTTTCAGCTGGGTGCAGTAGCTTACACCTGTCATCGTAGTACTTTGGGAGGCCGAGATGGGTGGATTGCCTGAGCTCAGGAGTTTGAGACCAGCCCAAGCAACATGGTGAAACCCCATCTCTATTAAAATACAAAAAATTAGCTGGGCATGGCAGTGTGAGCCTGTAGTCCCAGCTACTCGGGAGGCTGAGGCAGGAGAATTGCTTGAACCAGGGAGGCAGAAGTTGCAGTGAGCTGAAATCATGCCACTGCACTCCAGCCTGGGCAACAGAGTAAGGCTTCATCTCAAAAAAATATATATATATACATATATATATATATATGTATATATATATATATTTCCTGGATGATGATAGAAATTATTTTTATTTCTGTCAAATCCATCAGACTGTAGCCTCTTAGCCCGTAGTTGTTTTCAACTATGTCCCTAGCATGTATTTGAGAATTACCTAGTCATGCTTACTAGAAATTCAGACATCTGGTCCAATCCCAGAGTACTTTTCTAGCTGGGGCCCTGGGAATTAGCTTTTCAATACATTCTCCTCCCCATACCCAAGATGATTCTTATTTGCACTAAGTTTGAATCATTGGTTTAGAAGACAAGAAGTATATCCTTTTGTTATTGTTGTTGTTAAGTGTAGCTTTATTTGTAAATGACCCAAACTGGAAACAACCAAAATGTTCTTCAGCAGACGAATGGACAAACTGTAGTATATCCACACCATGGGGTACTACATAGCAATAAAAAGGAACAAACAATTGATACATGCAACAACTTGGATGGATCTCAAAAAAATTATGTTGAGTGAAAAAGGCCAATCTCAAAAGGTCACATACTATATGATTCCATTTACACAATATTCTTGAAATAAAATTATAGAGATGGAGAACAGATTAGTGGTTGCCACGGGTTAGAGATGGGGGATGGGGTAGGGATGGCTATAAAGGGCAATAACAGAGCCTTATGGTGGTGGAGCAGTTCTGTATCTTGATTATATTCGTGATCACGTCAATTTACATATGCAATTTTTTTTTTGAGACAGAGTCTCGCTCTGTCACCCAGGATGAAGTGCAGTGGCGTGATTTTGGCTCACTCCACTTCCTGGGTTCAAGTGATTCTTGTGCCTCAGCCAGCTAATTTTTGTATTTTTAGTAGAGACGGGGTTTCACCATGTTGGCCAGGCTGGCCTCAAGTGATCCACCTGCTTCAGCTTCCCAAAGTGCTGGGACTATAGGCATGAGCCACCACCTGGCCTCACATGCAATAAAACTGAACATCACTACACACACACATACATGAGTGCATGTAAAACTGGTGAAATGTGAATGACCTCTGTGGATTGTCCCAATGTCAATTTCTTAGTTGTGAATTAAGAATTACATCCTTTTTAATCTTAATTCAAACTCCACTAACCATACAGGATGCTTCATACTGCATTCTCTGATGATGATAATGTAATGTGTACCCAGTCCCTACTTGTAAATCCTTTATAGCTAGAGCTACTCAGCCCCTACTTACAGGCCAGTCCCCCACCTAGGTTTTTGGATTAGTCTTATAGTTGTGCAGAAAGAATTTAGGAGCCACAGGTTAGTGTTTAGTGGTCAGCATCAAGGGTGATGATGCTGTGACATCAATATCTGTTTAGCCCTTCCCTCTTTTTTTCCTCTCCTTGGTAGCTCCAGGGAAGGGAGAGAGTTCACTCCATAGGATCCACCTTTTCTAGGAGGCCCATTTCCCACATTGTTAGTTGGTTCATTGCATAAGGCTTATCTGTAGCCTTCTAACAAACTCTTCCCCCTCTTCCCCTCCATCTCTCCCATAGCTCCATACAAGCAGCTGATTGGGCAGGATTTTAGGCTTGGGTAATATTTATATCTGTGTTTTGGCAAAAGAGTGAAGCATTATTCACTTCACTTCAAACCGACTGTTCCAGGTCTTCAATCAAGTTTTAGAGCTGTCTCTAAATTTTAATTATATTATTTCCTGTAGCCTAATTGGCACTCAATTTAAAATATATTATTGATAAGTCATCACCTCTATGTGCAAACCCATGCCTCAGACCAGAGAACCCTTTGATGTTTAGGTCTCATATTTTAAAGGAAGAGATGTAGATATCAGTGGCTCCAAACCCATTTCTTTCTGGACCAGTGAAGGCATGCAGAGGAAGTCAGGGCTTCCTTTTTCTCTCAAGCTGATTCCTCAGACCGCTTCTTCCTTTCATATCAAAGGTTTCAGTCAGTCATCCATTTTTCTCAGCTCAGAAATTCTGACACAGGGAGCTTACTTGTATGTGTGACCTGCCATTATACCTTGTTGTGCCTGGAAGTGTGAGAAGGGACAGAATTTTTACTTGAAAGAAGACAGTCTTGTTTCCAAAGAATGACAGAGAGGGGTTCTTTGCCTTTCCCATCAAGTAAGACTTCCTTTCAGTCTGAAGAGAGCCAGTCTTGAAGGGCACTTGGTCGGCAGGCACCCTTGCTCCCACTCATCTGTATTTGTACCCTTGGGTTCTAGCTCCAACTTCCTGGTAACCCAGGGGAGCAACTCTATGGAGATCCTGGCAGGGTTACAGAGGATCCTTGGGGGTACAGTTGATCATTCTAGACAAATCTCCCCAGGAACAGGTTGTTTTTCCAGATTTTACAGAATATAGTATTTATAAGACAATATTTCTTTTGCTTTCTCTGTCTCTCATGGCAGAACTTTTCATGCTTAATTGTTCCAAAGTACTGTTTCGTCAGAGCCAACTACACCAAAAATTCTTGTTCCCTTCTGAGATGGAATTACTGCTAGCAAGCAACTTTCCAGCCTGAGAACCCATCTCAGCTTCCGGCACATGTGAGAGGGACCATGCTACTAGTTCTCATCAAGAGATCTTAAGCAGAAGGGATGTGTGTCACCTCTGGGCTGAGGTGGTTATGTTCCAGGTACAGGGCATTTCATCTCTTTCTTTGACTGCCATTTGGCTGAATGCAGAGGATCCAGGAGAGGTGACAAGGAGGGCCTAGGGGATGGTGGAGCCACAGGATAGAAGGAGCCTGGATGCTGAGTTGCCACTTTAGGAGAGAGCTGCCAAGGAGAGCAGCTTGACCAGGAATGTCTGAATCTGTGACTTGCCATTATGCTTTGCTGTGCCTGGAAGTGTGTGAAGAAACAGAATCTTCAAATTTATGTGAGACAATATCAAAGACTTGGAACCAACCCAAATGCCCATCAATGATAGACTGGATAAAGAAAATGTGGCACATATACACAATGGAATACTATGCAGCCATAAAAAAGGATGAGTTCATGTCCTTTGCAGGGACACAGATGAAGCTGGAAACCATCATTCTCAGCAAACTAACACAAGAACAGAAAACCAAACACTGCATGTTCTCACTCATAAGTGGGAGCTGAACAATGAGAACACATGGACACAGGGAGGACATCACACACCGGGCGGGGCCTGTCGGGGTGTGGGGTGGGAGAGGAGGAGGGATAGCATTAGGACAAATACCTAATGTAGATGACAGGTTGATGGGTGCAGCAAACTGCCATGGCACATGTATACCTATGTAACAAACCTGCACGTTCTGTACATGTGCCCCAGAACTTAAAGTATAATTTTAAAATATTTAAAAAAATTTATGTGAGAAATAAACTTTTATTGTGCTAAGTTACTGAGATTAGGGATTATTTGTGACAGAAGCTGGGGTTAATAACCCTGACTGATACAACCATCTTCCTTAGAGTGAGGATGAGGAAGAAAAAGACAGTAGAGGGTCAGGGAGAGGACGGCCCCCATTGGCCACATATATAAGAACAACACATAGAACTATGAACTAGAAACCCAAGTGCCTAGAATCCCATACTTCACAAATGGAATCAGCATCTCTATTTGTCCTGCCTAAAAATACAGTATTTAAATCTAATAGTTATCAAGTTGCATTTTGCTGGCAGTGCAGGAGACTTAGAGACAAATGAGACAGAGTTGCTTAAGTCTTTTGTGGCAGCACAGTCCCTGCCAAACAGAAACACTGGATAAATATTTGTCGAATTGGATAGTTGGAGTCAGATATGAAACAAAATGTAACACAAGGTAAGTGTCTACACAGGGCTATGGGAATAGACAATAGAACAATTAATTTTGCTTGCATAGAGTATGTGTGAGTGGTTAGTAAAGGCCCCAGTGTCTAGATGTCTTTTACAGAACAAAGATGCAGACAGCCCTGGGTTCCTTATAGCTCTTAGCAATGAAGCTGATGGCTTGGGCTCACCCCCTGTCACTGCTGCTCTGAGAACTCCCAGGCCTTCCTGACTCCTCCACCCGTGGTCCCCCCCATCTAGATCACCCTTTGTTGGTTCCTTTCCTCCTTCCCGTGCACATTCCTGTAGTACTCTCACACTTCCCTTCCCAGCACCTCTAGGGAGGCCAGGGCTTCAGGACACCACCAGGGAGATATTCTTGCCCATTTCTTGTTTACTATGAGTCAGCCCCGACTCACCACCCAGGGCTGTGCATCCTGAACATAGGTTTTTCCAGCCTTTGATGAGAAGGCAGTGCTGTGGCTCTCCTATGACCAAGAGAGAAGCCAGCACCTGGTTATCCATGGAGTTACCTTACCTCACCACCTTTCCTTTCTGCTCACACCTTTCAAGTTTAGGTTCTGGAGAGGTTCTCAGGGGAGTAGGCACATGGCCTGGGCCTACGGGCTTCTTGGTTCTCACAGGGGTCCAGGCTCTAGTTCTAGTCTATGCTTTCTTTTCTTTTCTTTTCTTTTTTTTTTTTTTTTGAGATGGAGTCTTGCTCTGTTGCCCAGGCTGGAGTGCAGTGGTGTGATCTTGGCTCACTGCAACCTCCACTCCTGGGTTAAAGCAATTCTCCTGCCTCAACCTCCTGAGTAGCTGGGATTACAGGCGCATGCTGCCTGCCTGGTTAATTTTTGTATTTTTTTTTTTTTTTACTAGAGATGGGGGTTTCACCATATTGGCCAGGCTGGTCTCGATCTCCTGACCTTGTGATCCGCCTGCCTCAGCCTTCCAAAGTGCTGGGATTACAGGCGTGAGCCACAGCGCCCGGCCTCTAGTCTATGCTTTTGAGGGCATTAGGGGAAGTTTGTGTTTCAAATATATTTTGATATTCTTAAACATGTTTCATGATCTTTAAAATAAAAAGATGAATCCAATGTGTTCTGTAAAATGGGGGTGGAGGTGGATCTGAGGGTTCATTTCTCAGGCTGCATCTAGATCTTTTAGGAGGGCACCACTACTCAGTTCTGCCTCTTGAGGGCACCAGAGACTGTTTTGCCATCCACAGAACAGCAGGGAACTAGGCAGCCATCAGCTGAGTGACCCATGAACAGGCGATGTTTGGCCAGCCAGGGGAGCCCTGCTTGGGGGCCATAGCCTTGCAGAGCTCTGCCAGGTTAGTGGGATGATGACGGGACCCAGAAACCTGAGCTATGGCTTCAGCTCTGCTCTCAGCTAGCTGTGTGCCTTTCAAAAGCCATTTAACTTCCCCGGGCTTCAGCTTCCTCCCATGTATTAAAAGTAATGGCCAAAACCTCAATTATCTTTGCACCAACCCAAAAAAAGGCCAGGGGTAGAAAGAGCTGACCCAGATGGCTTCTTCTATATTTAGGGCTTTGAATTGCCCTAAATCATGGAAAAACTGGAAATGATAGAACGGCATAGATTCTTATTTCCTGGAGCCTTTGAAAGTGTTCCGGTCCTGAGCCCTGACCTCGACATGACCAGAAATTGGTTATGGCAAGATGGCTGGGAGCAGGGGGCAGGTGCTGACAAAGAGTAAATGAAGAAAATGAGGCTCAGGAGATAAATCAGAGTGGAAATGTCACAAGCTCTCCCTAATTTAGAATCATAACTGATGCTAGGAAAAGGACCTGAGAAAGATTGCATAACCTTTTTGTAACTATCCTCTGCCTGTCCAAGCTGTGTATGAAATAATAGCTATGAAACACAATACAAGCTAAGGGGGCTTTGGTAGCACTCAATAGCCCTGTTGAGATGTGGGTGGGTGTCTCAATAGTATTCCGAGTCACAAATGAACTTTCCTTGACATTTCATTTCCATACCTGAATTGTACATAATATTTTGGTTCACACCAACTCACTGAGGTAGGAAGACAAAATGCATGTCTATAGCATTAATCTTGGAAAAATGAATCATTCATTCATTCATGAGTCAACTAACGAAAGAAAGAGCAAGCGCCGAGTGGGAGAGTCTTGGCTGTGAGGGTAGTAAAGGCAATTCTGATTCAGGCACAACTCTTAGGAGTGGAAGTCTTTGGCCCCCGAGCAGAGAGAACTTGGTTGCAGGTCAGTGGGGTGTATTTCACTGTCCCAGATGGCACTTGTATGTAGGTTAAACTCAGAATCCAAAGTGTTGCTAAAGGACTGTATGGAGAATATGTGGGGAATGGGAGCAAACGGTAGTCTTATATGTTGTGAATGCCAGAGGATAGATAGAGACAGCAGGGGATGTTCTGAATGCTGAAAAAACCACGTTACCATTCAGTTGGGGGCGACATCAAAATTCTGCTCCTTGCCTTGTAGGGATGTCAGGTGGGATATGGGTCAGTAAAGCAAGATAGAAGTCTGGGGAGTAATAGTGCTTAGAGAGGCATCAAGGTAGTGGGATCCCTAAAAGGCTTTTTGAGAGGGAGTTGCCATTCCAAATTCAAGAACTTGACACTTTCCCTAGGGAGCCATAAGGAAAGCAAAGTACCTTTTCTTTGATCTTGCTTTGTAGACATGTCTTCTTTCAGAAAGTCCCTCCTATCAAGGGAGCCACAGGTAGATAGGGGTACAGTGGAGAGGGTTATAAAAGTCAAGGACTAAAGAGAAGGAATACACAGAAGGCGTGGGGTGAGCATGGAGGGTGGCTTGCCTTCAGACCTGGCTCCAGTGCTTATACCTATGTGATCTCGGAAAAACCCTATAATCTTCCCCAGCCTCAGTTTCCTCTTCTGCACTATGGGAGCCATACTTGTACCTCTCTCAGAAGGTTCTCATAAGGATTAGGTGAAATATAAACAAATATAAACAAAAGGCTTTTTAAAACTATACGGCATGGACTGAAAATAAACTATTATTATTATGAAAGGCAGAGGCGGTAGGTGCATACCAGAATGCCAGGATTATTACTTTTCACACATGGTGGTGTTTTGGGGACCCCTGCAGCCTTGCTAAAACTACTTCTACTGGGTGACTGCAGGTGTTAGCAAATTAAGTTTTTAAAAGGGCTCAAGAGCACCTGTGTGCGGGCTGAATCCTTGCATTATGACTTGGCAGCCTGGTAGGGCATGCTGGTCTCTGGAAATCACCTTTTGTAGTAGGCTGGGAGGGGACCTGGGGGTACCCACAAATTATCTGCTAGTTCTCCACTTTACGCAGGAGATCTACTTCTACCTCATCGTGGTAACCTACAACTTACATGACAGCTAGCCATGGTGACCAGAAACTTTATTGTTTTGTAACCCAGTAGGCCATGAATGCCTCCCTGGTGTGCCAAGAAATTGCATATACCATAGTTGTAGAGCCAGGTAATACAGGCATGCATAGGTTTGGACACAGGGCCTAGGAGGAGAAATCCTGGGCACCAGCCAATGTAATGTATTCCCAAAACACATCTTTGAAAGGCTGGATGGACCTTCTTGTCTCAACGCACCACTAATGCCACCATGGCATGCATCTGATAATAACAGATATCAACTGAGAGCTTACAACATGCCAGAAACTGTGCTGTTTTACATGCATAATCTCATTGTTTTAAAACTTTTTTATTGTAAAATATACATAACAAAATTTATCTTAACCATTTTTAAGTGTACAGTTTAATGGCATTGAGTACATTTGCAACGTTGCATGGCCGTTACCACTATTCATTTCCACAACTTTTTCATCATCCCAAACAGAAACTCTGTACCTATTAAACTATAACTCCCCATTTCCCCTTCCTTCCAGGCCTTGGTGACCACTCTTCTACTTTCGGTCTCCATGAAATTGCCTATACTAAGTACATCACACAAGTAGAATCATACAGTATTTGTCATTTTGTGACTGGCTTATTTTATTTAGCATGTGTAATTCCTAAAGTTTCATCCACATTGTAGTATGTGTCAGAATTTCCTTCTTTGTTAAGGCTGAATAATATTTCATGATATGTAAATACATTTTGCTTATCCATTTATCACTAATAAATATTTGAGTTGTTTCCACCTTTTGACTATTGTGAATAATGCTGCTTACAAGTTTTTAAGATGGAAAATTCTAAACATATACAAAAATAGAGCACAAAATATGATAAAACCTCATGTACAATGATCAACTCATCAACAATAATCAACTGATGGCCAATTTTGCTTCATCTATATGCCCACCTACCTCCCCCCATCCCATATTATTATGAGGCATCTCAAACATCATACAGTAATTGTTTCTAGTTTACAGAAGAGGAAGCTAAGGGACAGAGAGGTTTGAATTTGACCAAAATTCAAACTCAGGCAGTGTGATGACTGGGCTCATACTTATAAGTCTTTGTGTGTGTGTGTGTGTGTGTGTGTGTGTGTATGAGTGTGTGTTCATACATATACACACATGCATGGGGTCAACCTTGGGCAAAATTGCATATTTGGAAAAGTTTGCCTCTGGTGCCTCTCCCTGCGTCTTTTCCCATACTTGGATGCCACGTGGACTTTAAACATATGAGCACAAGTTTGAAGTCTTAGTTCTTAGTTACAGGTAGAGTCAGTAATGCCTGGCCTCCAGAGTGGGTGTGAGGATTAAAGGAGATAAGATCAGTAAAAGTGTTGGGCACCTTCAAGCATGTGGCAGATCAGTACACATGCTTTCCCCTCCCTTCCTTGGGGGGCCAGGCCCACCTTCCCTCCACAAAAGCAGACCTCAAGGAAACATGCACTATCAGAGCGCAACTCTCAGATGTCAAGGGGTAATCACTGCTGGGGGATTTGTGTTGTGAAATAAAGGATTTTTACCCTGCCAGTGAGTACACGACAGAGGTGGTGCAATTCCTTCTTGCCAATGAAATCATGTATGCGTGTGTGTGCAAGCATGTGCATCCACAAATGTGTAAAATAGGTTGGTGGACAAGTTCAGACTTCATTCTCTACCCAGACCATTACATTTTCTTTTCTCTGAGGAATTGTGACCCTGAAACAAATAACCACTTTTTCTCTCTTTGTCCTCTATTGGCTAAAATAGGAGGACAAGTCCTTTGTTGGGACCCTCATCATTTTCTGGCCCAAGGATACGAAACCACGGGACAGAGGTCTGAGCTCAGACAGGTCTTGGCAAGCCTGGCTCATTTCACTTCTAATCCTCTGTGGCCAGGCCCCTGGAGGTAACTCGGGAAGGACTGCAGAGCTCAGTGGACAACGGAGCAGGACTCATTGGTTGACCACAAAGTCTCAGGTAACCTCAAAATGTATCTGCAGAGGGGACAGGAGGGCACTGTGGCCTCAAGTATATTGAGTGATGGTCAGCAATAGTCTGGTTGGCCACTTCCTCTACCTGGAATGGGCTTTTCTGATCTTGCCCATGGAAGTAATAGAATCCTTTAATGCCAAGCTCAAGTACTGCCTCCCCTGTGACATTTTCTGTGTCTCCTCCCACTCTCCACCTCCACCCACCCCTGGTTGCCATACAAAGTGATCTCTCCTGCTCTGAACTCCATGGTATCACTTTTGTGCCCTCTGAAGCACTTTTAGTGCTTTATTTTTATACCATCGGAATATCAGTCTTAACTCCTTGATAGATCAAAGTGAGTTCCTCCAGAACAAGAACTGTTTCATCTATTTCTTTCCACTGTGAAGAGCCATTCAGTCATGCAACTAATGAGCATGCAGACTAATGAGCTGACAGAGCATGCAGTCAGCAACTAATAAATATCTGTTGGCTAAATGATCAGATGTCTCACACAACCATGGCACATAGCAGGCACTCACTAAATGCACACCGAACGAAGTAACATCCATCTCCAACATAAGAGACAGTTTACCCTGCCACGGATGTTCAGATGGAAACCAGTTTCATATAGCCCTTCAGGCAATAAAATATTTCAAAACCTCCATGGAAATAACCATACAAACTGCCTTGGGTAGCACCTGAGATGGTCTCAAATGGGGTTTCGAGTATTCTAATATCCCAAAGTGTGGCATTTTTATTAGTCTGTTTATTATTCTAACTGGCATTCTGAAGAATTTGAATGTCACAAAGTAGTACATACTTGTTGATTTAAGATAGTCTTGATGAGAATATCTGACCAGAATATCTGCTCATCAGCAGAATAATGGTTGACATTTGTAACAGTGACCCTGTAGTTACACAAGAAACCCAAACACCTTATTTAAGGAAGTGTTATAATATCTTTGGAAACTTGCTTTTTAAAAAGCCATTTTAATTTTCTTTTCTTTTTTTTTTTTTTTGAGATGGACTCTCGCTGTATCTCCCAGGCTGGAGTGCAGTGGAGCGATCTCGGCTCACTGCAAGCTCTGCCTCCCGGGTTCATGCCATTCTCCTGCCTCAGCCTCCTGAGTAGCTGGGACTACAGGCACCTGCCACCACACCCAGCTACTTTTTTGTATTTTTAGTAGAGACGGGGTTTCACCATGTTAGCCAGGATGGTCTCTATCTCCTGACCTCGTGATCTGCCCGCCTGGGCCTCCCAAAGTACTGGGATTACAGGCGTGCGCCACCATGCCCAGCCCTTAATCTTTTTTTTTTAAGACAAGATTTCACTCTGTCACCCAGGGTAGAATGCAGTAGGCGATCGATCTTGGCTCACTGCAACCACCTCCTGGCCTCAAGCAATCCTCCCACCTCAGCCTCCCAAGTAGCTGGGACTATAGGTGTATGTTGCCACACCTGGCTAATTTTTGAATTTTTTGTAGAGATGGGGTTTTGCCATGTTGCCTAGAACTCCATGTTGGTCTTGAACTCCTGAGCTCAAGTGATCCACCCACCTTGGCCTCCTAAAGTGCTGGGATTACAGGCATGAGCCACCTCGCCTGGCCTATTTTAACCATTTTTAAGTTAATAACTCAGTGACATTAAGTGAATTCACCACTATCTCCATAACGTTTATCATCCCAAACAGAAAGTCTATACCCATTAAACAATAACTGTACATTATCCCCTCTTCCTGGCTTCTGATAACCTGTATCCTATTTTCTGTTTCTATGAATTCACTTGTTATAGGTACTCCATGTAAGTGAAATCATAGTATTCATCCTTTTGTGACTGGCTAATTTAACTTAGCCTAATGTCCTCAAGTTTCTTCCATGTCGTAGTATATGTCAAAATTTCCTTTCTTTTTAAGGCTGAATAATATTCCATTGCATATATACACTACATTTTGTTTAATCCATTCATCTATTGATGAACATTTGAATTGTTTCTTCTTTTGGGAAAATTACTGTGAATAATGCTGCTATGAACATGGGTATACACATGTCTGCTCAGAAACGAGCTTTTTATGATCGCCTTCTCATCAGTAAATTTTATATCCATGGTAACTTCCCACTAACCAGAATATTTGACTAACTAGAATACTCCATTTTACCATCAGGCTTGGTAAGAACATTTCCTGGAATATATGGTAGACGTACAATACACAGTGATGGAGAATTATGCCTCCGTCTCACACATGGACACAGGGCCACAGGCAGGCAGATGACTGGACTACAGCAGCCCAGCATATTAGTATGGGCAGTCAGATTTGCACTTAGAGATCCCACCCCACCCCCACTCTGGCTCTGAACCCCATCACTGTTCTAGCTGTTAGACTGGGCTGCTTTTCCAAAAAGGTATGAGCATGGGGAACATTTGTTCTGAATTAAACTTGGCTGCAGTTAAAGTGTTATCATTTATGTGAAGCTCAGATTACAGAGGCTGCCTTCGGCCAGTGAATGGCACAGCACGGCTGCTCAGAGAGGTGGAAAATCCTGAGGCCCCTCCAGCACTGTTTCAAGAAAAACGCTCTGAGTGGTGTGGAGAGGGGCCAGCTGGTGATGTCAAGAGATTTATAAAAGAGATTACAGGACCTTTTAAGGGAGTGAGGCAGTTGTTAATGATGGAAAACTGCTAAAGCTGGATCTGGATGAGACCTGAACACTTAATTTGCTAGTTGTCCTGAAATGCCTGTAATTTTTAGAAAACATATTGTGCCTCTCCCTTTGTGTGGAGTTCAAAAGACAATATTAGAGCATGGTGAGAACCTGTTATGCTAATCAAAGTCTGGGGTAACTGAAATTGAGCTCTCAGGACACATAAAACTCAAAGTGGGAGATCTTGAACCTGGGAGGGAAAATTAAGGTCCAAACACACCTGGTTGCACTGTGCATCTGTACTTTTCTTTTCTTCTCTCCTTTCCTCTCCTCTTCTTGCTTGCTTTTTAAAAGCACACTAGTGGAGGGTCCAGAGCAAGCTTTATGTTTTTAAGCAACTACAAAACTACCTAAAAGTTTTTCACCAACAAAGAGAGATCTGAAAATAACATTAATTTATATTGCATTTATAAGGTTTTCCGTAGTCTTTTTACAGCCCTCGTGTCATCTTAAGAATGTAGGATTTATAAAGAGGAAGCAAGATCAGTTACAATGACACAGGATAGATTTAGTTGAGCACACAAGCCCCAGCTTTCTAAATGTAACAGCTGGGCTTACTCTGTGTTTTAAATAGATAATTAATGTAAATAGTCCCAGATTTAGGAATAGATATAACTTTGGAGAGGTAAAAGTGAGGGCCTTAAAATCAATTTTTAGTAGCGGAGCTAAATGAAAGAAAATTCTCCATCAAGATCTCTTTGCCATTATGAAGCACTAAAACCAATGAACAAACAAACAAAAACAAACGGACAATATATAAATAATACTAATATTGTCACTCAATGGGGAATGGAAGCAAGAATTAAAAAGTATCTGGAAGTGAGCAATGTGGAGGTACTTTGGGACCCATGATACAGAGGTATAATTGGTTGCAGCTTTGTTTTCAGTATCCTTCATTTGTGGGTACAGGAGACAACACGAGGACGATCTGGTCAACTCTCTATATAATCTTATAATATGGAAAAGCCAATCATTCCCTTTAATGCCAGACATTTCTCAATTGTAGCTTAAATAAAAAAGTATTCATTTTTTGGTGGTAATGGGGAGGTAATCTTTCTGAATTAGCACCCAGGGTCACATCCCAGTTCAAAAATATCCCATGGAGTGCAGTCATCTCAGCCAGCTGTTGAAGGCCTCTCTAGCTGTCTCCTGACTCTGTTCCCAGCCTTATCACTAATGGCTCTCCAATTGGAACTCTCCACCCTGTAAGCTTGTCCCCTGAGGACATTTTGCAGATTAATGTCTCTGTAGACCCTGACTCCATGTCTGCCCTCCTCCTGTGTTTTTAAAATCAAAATCCTTTCCCTTTTTTTTTTTTTTTTTTTTTGAGACAGAGTCTTTCTCTGTTGCCCAGGCTGGAGTGCAGTGGCGCGATCTTGGCTCACTGCAACCTCTGCCTCCTGGGTTCAAGCTATTCTCTTGCCTCAGCGTCCTGAGTAGCTAGGATTACAGGCGCCCACCACCATGCCCAGCTAATTTTTTTTGTATTTTTAGTAGAGACGGGGTTTCACCATGTTGGTCAGGCTGGTCTCGAACCCCTGACCTTGTGATCCACCTGCCTCGGCCTCCCAAAGTGCTGGGATTATAGGCATGAGCCACAGCGCCCAGCCAATCCTTTCCCTTTTTAAAGCCCAATGCAAGCCTGACCTTCTTCCTTGAGGCCTTTCCTGACCACGCCAGCCCCAGTGATTTTTGTCCATCCTTTCCCTTCATGCCACTTAGAGATGGGCGCCTCATTTTTATGTGTAGATCATACATTACCTTCTGCACTTAAAAGTGTCTGTCTCATGAAGGGTGTATACCTCTCTTATGTTCCTCGCTGTGCCTGGGAAACTTTTACAGCAGGAATACCTGTTAAATATGATTTTATTGCCTTTGACCAAAAGGCTTTTTGACCCAGAGCCATCAAATTAATAAGTACTTTTTACTTGAAATACTAAGTGGCACTAAGAAATCCAGCTATTACCTTTAACTTGAAAAAGAATATTCTGAATTAGAAAAGCAGGAAAGATTATACTATCCAGTAGAGATTATTCAACAAATCTACCTGAGAAGGGGAACTTAAACCGTGCCAAGAACCTAAACTTCTTTCTTCAACTCAAAATTCTTCAGACCTTCCTCTCTTCCTTAGATCTCCTAATTCCCCACAAGTGTTTCAAGAGAACCTTTGATACTGCCTGTTTCCTGCTGTTCTGCTCCAGGGATGTGTGAGAAAGTGCTATAGGAGGAAGTAGCTCTGGCCACTGCTTCCCACTCACCGTGCTGTCTCTCCTTCTGCATCAGCTAGCTGTTGTGGAAAGCTTGGATCCCAACAGGCATTCCCATTTGGAAGTTGATTTGAAAGAGTATTGAATTTATAAGAACATGATATGCATTCTTTTGTAGAGAGATTTACCTTTGAAACAGAAATAAATGACTCAATATGGCTTAGTTCTTGGTATGGGGGTGGTAGTGGATGGAGTCTGCTTCCATGAAGAGGAAAAATATGTGGACCAGCATCACAGTATGTAATACGTTTTTGAATAATCTTTCTGATGGGGCAAATATCCCAAATTATTACTTTGTTGCTCACGTAGTAAAAGATCATGCTAAACCAAACTTGCATTAGAGACCATTGGTGATAGAGGGCGCTATTTTTTCCCAAAGAGAAATTACTTAATGTCTATTGCCGCTTTAAAAAATGGGCTACTGGGGAGGCTGAGGCAGGAGAATGGCGTGAACCCGGGAGGCGGAGCTTGCAGTGAGCCCAGATCGCGCCACTGCACTCCAGCCTGGGTGACAGCGAGACTCCGTCTCAAAAAAAAAAAAAAAAAAAAAAAAAAATGGGCTAATGATTTCTAACTCTATATGTCGCAGAGAAACACTGTCAGGTAAAAACAGTAAAACATGAAAAAATAATTTGAAATCATTATGTATTTTTAATGTTTAGTATTATTTATACAAAGATTTTGTGAGTTCTATCCATCTGCATATCTGAGCAGTATTGAGCAAGCTGACATACTCTTCATTCTTTGTTGGCTCTACTCATGCCAGGATTCCTACTTATGTTTTATGACCTATACAAATTACTTCCCTCTCTCAGCCTCAGATTCCTCACCTGTTTAATGTGGATAACCTGTCTTATACGGTGAAGCAAGGCAATGCACCTGCCATGCTTAGCATGTGGAAGCCAGTGTTTATGATCAAAAGCAAATTAAGGCTGGGTGCGGTGGCTCACGCCTGTAATCCCAGCACTTTGGGAGGCTGAGGTGGGTGGATCACCTGAGGCCAGGAGTTCAAGACCAGCCTGGCCAACATGGTGAAACCCCGTCTCTACTAAAAATACAAAAATTAGCTGGGTGTGGTGGTGGGTGCCTGTAATCCCAGCTACTTGGTAGACTGAGGGAGGAGAATCACTTCAATCCAGGAGGCTGAGGTTGCAGTGAGCCAAGACTGTGCCATTGCACTCCAGCCTGGGCAACAAGAGCGAAGTTGCATCTCAAAAAAAAAAAAAAAGCAAATTAATTTTCTCAATTCCAAATATGTGCTAAAAGTAAAGTTTGCTGTCAATTCATTTATAACCCATTACTGTGTGATAGAAAGATTACTGAGTTAGCTCTAGTTCATAGTAATTTGATAGGCAAATTACTTAATCTCTCTGGGCTTCAGATAGTTCTTTGTCTCATTTAAAATGAAGGAGCTGGATTAAATGATCTCTGAAGTAACTTCCAGTTCTAAGATGCCATGATGCAGGATTTTTTTTACAATTAATTTTCAAACAAAGTTAAAATAAGAAGTATTATATGATTGACAATTTATATTTAATTAAATATACTTCAGATTAAAATTTTATCAAGCAATGTTTAAAATACAGAATGGTATGGAAACTGATACAAGTACCTGTCATTCACTATAAGAAATACAACTTGAGGCCAGGCGAGGTGGCTCATGCCTGTAATCCCAGCTCTTTGGGAGGCCGAGGTGGGCGGATCATTTGAGGTCAGGAGTTCAAGACCAGCCTGGCCAACACAGTGAAACCCTATCTCTACTAAAAATACAAAAAAAAAAAAAAAAAGAAAAAAAGAAAAAAATTAGCTGGGCATAGTGGTGCATGCCTGTAATCCCAACTACATGGGTGGGGGCTGAGGCAGGAGAATTGCTTGAACCAGGGATACTGAGGTTGCAGTGAGCAGAGATCATCCCACTGCATTCCAGCCTGGGTGACAGAGTGAGACCCCGTCTCAAAAAAAAAAAAAGAAAAAGAAATAAAACTTGATTCATTTTTTTAAAATGGGTTTGGAAATGCTGTGGGTGAGATTTAGTTACATTTAAAGGTGTAAAAACAAGATTGAAATCACTGCCTAAAAAAAGGAAATTACTTTGGATGCCCATTGTTTCTGGAAGAAGGGTGTTTTCATGCCTATGTGGCACTGACGTTATATTAGGTGGAGGCCAAAGTAGAGAATGAGACTCTCCTTTTTGGAACACTTCATATAACTGAAATGGAATGAATATTACCTTAGCAATACTATGTGCCTAAATAAAACATGGGTTCTGAATTTGACTTGCATCTCATTTGTAATATGAAGCTTTTCTTATCAATCCAGGCATGCCAGAACCACCTCTTGACACAGAATTGACCTGCATTCAAATTCCAGTTCCTTTCCTTTCTACATGTGTGACCTTGGGCAAGTTATTTAAACCCCCCTGTGCCTCGGTTTCTGTGTAAAACAGGGCTAACCTTAGAGTTGTGTGCATATTAAATAACACCTGTAAGACTCTAAGAACAATGCCTGACACATAGTGAAAGGGAATGATCATTATCTATTATTATTCAGTTCCATAAATAATTATTGGCTGTCTACTCTGTAGTAGTCTCTGTACTAGACCCTGAAATACCTTTGGGATTTCAGCCTTTTTGTTTGTGTTTTGTCTACAAACAATGTGTTATAGACTTAGATATGAAATTCTGATAAATTCAGCAGTCCAGTTAGACTCAAACTAATCTAGAAAAAAGGCCGTTTGGAGTCAGAGGACATTTTAAATTCGGGAGAGAATATGAGATGTAAATGAAATAGTTACTTAAGGTCTTGCCTTTAAGTTATTGAGTTACTGTGCCAGGTTTTAGAGAGTACATTTACGATGCATATTAAAACCACTTTGACATTCAAAGAGTCAAACATGCCTGATTAGACTTTCATGTCCTGTATTTATAAAAAGGTTAGTGGTGCATTTCTTCAGTGCAAATTATTTTTGGTTCTTACTAATATTTATGAATATAATAAAATCTGTACAGCATAATGTATGTGATTAATTTGTCCATATCATCAGTTTGCTTTTATTTAAGGAGATATCCCAGAAGTTGCTACATCTTGACCAGTAATTTCAGCAGTTAGAGAATAGGCAATATCTAGTTAAGGGCAATTGTACTTTAGCACTATGGGACAAAATGAGAAATGCAATCACGGCAATAATGTATTCTCTTGTAGAAATCTGTCATGGAAATGGTATAAGAAGACATGCCTTTTACAAGCAGTTTCGTTGTTACGCTTTATGGTAATTCCAAGCCTGGCCTATACAACAAACAATCAATAATGTTTGGTCTGCAAGTCGCCTTGGGTAGATATGTCCACAGGGCACTAAAAGTAGGTTTAAGGTGATGAATTCAACAGAGAATCTGACCCTTTGGTCTAAGGAATCTCAGATTTGACTGGCTTTGACACTGGCTTGACTGGTTACTTTCCGAGATTTTGGAGTTAGCCATGTATATAACAGCTGTCCTGCAGCTCTACCTATGGTGTTTTCACAGATACTGAATACTTGGTCACGAACTCCTCCTATAGCTCCTTTATTTGCATATCTTGCACCGTTCAGAAACTGAACACATAGGACACAACCCTTCCATTACCCGATATCTGCCAAGATGGAGATAATTAGGCAACTTTTCTCCAAAACTGTTGATGTAAAGGAGAAAAGTGACTAGGCCCCTTCTTAGCAATAGGCAAATTGAGCTCCAGCATTTACTAAGATGGGAACCATAATACGCTGGCCGGAAATAACTCGGAAGCTCATTTTGTCCATACCCAGTTGTAGACAGTCAAGAATATAAAAATGTTCTGGATTCTCTTGTCCTTAGTACTCCTTTCTGCCTTCCCCATTTCTACAAGGCTGATGGCTTTTAAATGTTAAAACCCTCCCTAAAGGCACCCCATAAGCCCTATTACACAAGTCACATACGAACAAAAAGCGCCTAAGATAGTCCTCCATTTGGGCGCAGTCTTGCCTTCTGAGAAAGGGGACTCTGAGAATTAATGAGGGCCCAGATCTGGGATATCTGGGACAAGACTTGGGCCTTCCTGGTAAAACACGAAAACAAAACAATAAACACGGCCCCTCCCCCCTCTCCAAAAACAAAAACAAAAACTTCAAGGCCATGCCGCCGCGGCCATCAGTAGCTCCGGCTCAGAATTTGACCGTTAAAAAAAGGAAACTAGGCTGAGCTAGGGCACCTCAGATCCCGGCAGTCTGGGGCCGGGGCGAAGTTGCCGGCGTCGCGCGGCCGGGGGCGCGGGCAGGGCCGGGCGCGACTCTCCCGGGGACTTTCACCTGCTCGGCTGGCAGCGCGGGCAGCGCGGGGGCGGACCCGGCGGCGGGCGGGGCCTCTGAGCCCGGCGGGAGGAGCCGGCCTGGGCCCGCCCCACAGGAGGAGCCGCTCGCTGGCGGCTGATCCAGCGTCTCCGTGACAGGCACCCTGCTCCGCCGCCACCGCCACCGCCACCGCCACCGTCGCCTTTTCTTCTTCGTCCCGGGCGGTGCGTTCCACTGCTCTGGGGCCGGCGCCGCGCCCAGTCCCGCTTCGGGCCGCAAGCCCCACCGCTCCCCTCCCCGGGCAGGGGCGCCGCGCAGCCCGCTCCCGCCGCCACCTCCTCCCCTGCCGCCCTCCTAGCCGGCAGGAATTGCGCGACCACAGCGCCGCTCGCGTCGCCCGCATCAGCTCAGCCCGCTGCCGCTCGGCCCTCGGCACCGCTCCGGGTCCGGCCGCCGCGCGGCCAGGGCTCCCCCTGCCCAGCGCTCCCAGGCCCCGCCACGCGTCGCCGCGCCCAGCTCCAGTCTCCCCTCCCCGGGGTCTCGCCAGCCCCTTCCTGCAGCCGCCGCCTCCGAAGGAGCGGGTCCGCCGCGGGTAACCATGCCTAGCAAAACCAAGTACAACCTTGTGGACGATGGGCACGACCTGCGGATCCCCTTGCACAACGAGGACGCCTTCCAGCACGGCATCTGCTTTGAGGCCAAGGTGAGGGGGCTCCGGGGAGGGTGCTACCTGTGGTGGCGGTTGGGGGGGCATGTTTGAGCGGATGGGATGCACAGCCGTCCTGGACCCAGAGCTGGCGGGCTAGGCCGATTTGGGGGCCTTTCTCTTAGGGAGGGTAACTCTCCCTTCTGAGTCTATAATTCCGCGGGCTCCTGCCCAGAACTGCTCAAGAGCAACTGCAAAGTTTGAGCGGTATTGCCTCACCTCCCCCTTCCCACCTGCAGACTCCCCCATCCTTACCCGCCTAGGACTGGATTGAGTTACTTCCCGGATCCCTCCTCCAGAGGAGAAGCCGGCAAGTGAGCTCAGCCTGGGCACCTGGTCGTTTAGAATCGGTTTAAGGAAGCTCTGGTGTTATTTACCTGCTGGGCTCCCAGGGAGAGGTGCTTTCAGGAAGGTCTTTTAAAAGAGGAATGCCTGCTTCCTAATTGAAGAAAAGAATCCAGATTTTTTTTTTTTAAACTCCAGGTAACCGGGTCTAGGTGTCAGAGTCACTTCCTAAATGGCTAATTTGCCAGACTCCTCTGCATGTGCCAGTCACTGAAGGGAGTGGTGAAAGCTACCCATTTGCTAGTTTTGTGGCTTAATGTTAAGTTTCAGCATCTAGTAGGGAACTGTTGCTGAAGAATTTAGCAGAGATGACTGGAATTTCAGCGCTGAGGTCGGAGCCCCAGGTCCACCGTTGGGGGAGGGGTGGAGCAGAAGCCTCGGCCCTGGACCATCAGGTGTGAGCAAGGCTGACTCCCTGTGATGCACCTCCCTGAGTGAGGAGTTCTGGCTTCTGAAACTGCAGTGGCGGTTCCCACTGCCCATCAGCAGGAAAGAGTGCTTTTTCTGTGGAACAGTGTTCTGCTCTTCCTTCAAGCCACTTGACCTCCTCTGTGACGTAGAGAGACCCAGGGACTTTCGGCACCTACAGTGTGCCTGTAGGTGGAAAAGTATTGTCCCTCTAAGTAGGCTGGGTCTTGCTGGTTTTGAAAACGTTGTACTTTGGATGTGGCGACAGTTTGACTCTTTGTTCTCTTTCTCTTTCTTGATGGTGTACGTGCAGGCTGTTAGCATCTCACGAAAGGATTATTCCATCAGGTGTCTTCTTCCTTCAATTCACACATTTTTCGAGTATCTGACATGTGCCCAGTGTGGTCAGTTTCTTTAGATTTTTTTCTTTCTCATGTATATGGGTGAATTGGTGAAGCTCACCTTTTTTTCCCCCTGAATAACCTTATCCCAGCCATATTTGCTGGAGCTAGGAGAACTGCCCCGCTTAGTCCCCCGAAACATTAAACCCTGCCGTGGAATGCAGAGCTGAATTACTGGGTATGGCTGGGACAGAGTGGGGCTGCAGCCAAGATCTTATCTTAGTTCTCTCATCTCTCAGAATAGACCTGGTCGGTGGGTCTAAGATGGGATGCTTGGGTTAATTTTTGCCCAGGCCTGTTGATTTGGTGAGCAGAGGTTTTTATTTTAAAGTATGAGTTTTCATCAGGGTCATGATTTAATTTTCTTGGACATACATAAACTGGGAAATTGGCTTGTGTTTTGTTTGGTTCAGCAGTACCCTATTTTACAAGTAAGAGGGTAAGAAGGGAGATAAGATTTAAAGTGTTTTTAAGGCTAAGCATGGTGGCTATTGCCTGTAATTCCAGCACTTTGGGAGGCCAAAGTGGGAGGATCGCCTGAGCCCAGGAGTTAGAGACTGCAGTGAGTTATGATTGCACCACTGCACTCCACCCTGGGTGACAGAATGAGACCCTGTCTCAGATAGATAGATAGATAGATAGATAGATAGATAGATAGATAGATAGATAGATAGAAAGTGTATTTTAAGCCTTTTTATTTTATCACAGTTCAGTCCTCTGCATTTGGTCCCTAAAACCTAGTGTGCATAAGAATAATCAGGTGAGGGGGTTAACAAGTTTGAGTCTTGCCACACCCCAATTTTAATTTGATACATCTTGGGGGAGCCCAGGACTATGTACCTTTAACGAGCATTCCAGTTGATTTAATGCAGGTGATTGTGGCCAGACTTTGAGAAATATTGGGCTTGAGGGTTGCCTCCAATTTGCTGGATCTTACTCTCCCTTTCCCAAATGTACTGTTTCTTTTCTAAGCAAATGTCTGGGGGCTGTGTGATGTAGTTCCTATAGTAACTTCCCTGGATTCACAGGCAGTGGTGGTCAGTGAAAGGAGAGGGAGCCGCAGTTGGTTCAAGCTGTTTTCCCAATGCAAATGAGAAATAGGGGACCAAGGATCCTTCTTTGAGAGAGGTGAGGCAGAGAAGAAAGGACAAAAGCATACGGTAAGGGGAGTGGTGGAACTTCTTTGGGCAAAGGCTGACTTTGAGGACCAGGTCCTAACTCCCAGATCTTTGTAATTGATGCTGCACCCTGGCACATTCAAACACCATGTTAGTCAAGACCTAAGCAGAGGTGGAAGCACGAGCTTTTCTGTCCTACATGCTCCTGGTAAGAGCCTTCTCTGGCTGTTTTCCACATCCCTGCAGAGCAGTGTCTATGCAACTGCACAATCACTGGGATTTCAGGGTTAAATCCACATCGCAGTCTTCCCTTGTTTTGGAAAAATGCAGGCTGGAAAATGCAAATGTATTATTGTTGCCTTGTCGGGTACCCTTGGAAAATGAGTGCAGCTCTTTCTCTCCCAAGGGCTGGCAGTTTTTCAGAATCAACATTGGATTGAGTGTTCCTTTGGAAGTATGCCACTCATTTTCAGGGTTCTGCAGAGATTGAAAGGTGTGGGGTTAGGATCGAAGGGCATCTGGGTGGCAGAGGTTCTGTGCACTTAAAAACCCATGCATTTAGTTATCAAGTGCAATCCCAGATTTTTTTCACCTGCAGTACCTCATTTAATTCTCACTACTTCCCTAGGAGATGGGTCTCCTTATGTCTATTTTATAAACGAGGACATAGGCTCAGGGAGGTTGTTGCGTGCCTTAGTGCTCACAGTTGTGTATGACAAAGCCAAGATTTAAGCCTGGGGCTTTGACTTCAGACTCCCAAATCCAGTGCCTTTTCATTCAATAATTTTTATGGAATATTCACTCTATGTTGGCCACGGGTTTGAGTCACAGCTCTCTAGTGGAGTGTTCTCAGGTTGCTGGCCTCTAGAACTCTGGTACAGGAAATTATTCAAACATTTATTTATTTATTTATTTATTTTGAGATGGAGTTTTGCTCTTGTTGCCCAGGCTGGAGTGCAATGGCATGATCTCAGCTCATCACAACCTCCAACTCCCAGGTTCGAGTGATTCTCCTGCCTCAGCCTCCTGGGTAGCTGGGATAACAGGCATGCGCCACCATGCCCAGCTAATTTTGTATTTTTTGTAGAGATGGGGCTTTCTCCGTTTTGGTCAGGCTGGCCTCGAACTCCCGACTTCAGGTGATCTGCCTGCCCCAGCCTCCCAAATGTTGGGATTACAGGCGTGAACCACTGCGCCCGGCTCAAACTTTTAATGCTTGGCTGTTTCCAGATTTCCCTTTGGGCTGAGAGCTGCTTGCCAGGGAAACCTGTTGTCTGTGTTCAGAGTGGGTACCTGGCTTACTGACTGATGCTGGTGGGTGGGTAAATCTCACATGCCCTGAGAGCCTGTGGCTCCTTAGTAACTGCCTCCTGATCTCCCAGTATGTCTTCCTGGTGGCCAGTGCCATCAACTGACTGTCTCTCCTCTCTTGGTGAGAAAGAGACTTTTAATGCTATGGGTACAAAGGATAATAAGAGTATTAATAATAGTTATATCTTATATCTGTAGGTGATTTTTGATTTGCATTGGACTTCTACATACAAAGACTTTTCCTCTTATAGAGACAGGCACAGGCACATTAGTGTTATCTCGATTTTTCAGACCAAAAAATGGAGATCAGAGAGATTAATTTGTCCAGAGTTGCAAATTGGTGTATCAGTTAATGATATTTATTGAGCACTTACTATGTGCCATACATTATTCTAGCCTCTGCCTCACTTAATCCTCACACTCCAGGGCTTTTGACTCCAGGTCCATGGTTCTTTCACCTCCTCCAAGGCTCACTCAAACCTGAAGTATTAATAGTTGCTCCCTTTGTAGTCCTAACACTCATTGCCTAGATTGTTCCCTTATATCTGCGTGTATGATACAGATGGTCAGAACTGGAAAGCACCATGGCTCATCTAGTACAACCCCCTCACCCCATCATTGTACAGATGAGGAAATTGAAGTTTGGAGGGGAAGTCATGGACCCAAGGTCACATAGTCAGATAATAACAGAACCAGGACTTATCCCTGGTTCCCTGGCTTCAAACTGGTTTCAGTTATCCATCACTTCAAAACAAACGACCTCAAGACTCAGTAGCTTGAAACAATAACTGTTTAATTTGCTTATGAATCATGGCTCAGGAATTCAGGCAGGGCTTGGCTGGGCTGTTCTTCTGTTGCTTATGGCGTTGACTGGATCACTCACTTTGCTGCATTCATCCACAGCTAGGCTGGAATGTTCAAGAAGGCTTCACTCATATGACTGTGCCTTGGTCGTCCTTCATGTGACTATTCTCTTCACTGGCTGGCTTGGATTTCCTCACAGCATGGTGGCCCTTTTGTTTGGCAGCTGGTTTTCAGTAGGGGGTGTTCCAAGCAGGAAAGCAGAAGCTCTTAAGGTTGGGTCTTTCTGAGTTACATAGGGTCACTTCTGCCACATCCTGTTGGTCAAAACAGGCTATTAGGGAAGAGACATAAGCCCTACTTCTTGATGGGGGAATGTCAAGTTCACATTGCAAGATTGCACGTGGGATGAGAGATATTGCTGAAGCTGTTTACCACACAAAATTCTGTTTTTTCCTCTCTGCATATATCTTCTCTGGTGATATGGAATGTTCTTTGAGGACCTTGCCTCATGCCTTGGTGTATCTCCCCCTCCCAAGCCTCAACATCAGGTACAAACATAGTCACAATGAAAAATTGTCAAGTGGAAGAAATGACCAATTGTGGAAAGTCTGAAAGCAGTAAATATCATTGCTGAGTGATTTTGTGGCTTGGGAGCATGTGGTCAGATTGAAGCTGAATTCTCTGGCTATATTTCCTTCCTTGCTACCTGGCTTCATTGGTTGATGGTTTCCCTGATGTGGATTTTAGAGATTCCAGTAACCTCAGCAGGATATCTGTGGATGCCTCTTAAACATACGGCCATGAAGGCCTCCAGATGAATGACATTTGGTCACCGTAAATGGGGTATCCCTGACTCGTCTGAGCCTGCATGGCATGGTACAGAGCTCTCAGAACCATTCCACTATACACTGGGTGTTTATGTCCCCTTTCTCCCTTCTCTCCACCCAGACTAAGGGTCCTGTCTTCCAGGGTTCTGGAACAGTAGCAATTCAGATTAAGGGTCTGATGTATTTTCTGATGTCATCATTAAGGAGGAGACGTAGTTCACTTTCTTATGCTTTTCCAGATGCTTTTAAAAACACTTATCTTCTGCCCAGACTACTTTTTTTTTTGGTGGGGGGCAGTGAGTTCCAAAGATACAGTACTGCTCTGAAATGACACCTATTTTATTTGTCCTTACATTGCTCTCAGATGTCCCAGTATGTTCCTCCACACCTGGTATCTTGGGATTTGATGGACAAATCTATTTCCACGTTAGCTGTACATTTCATGATTTTATGGCTTTCAGTCGTAGTTCCTTTGCCCACAATGTCCCAGTCCTTTTTAGTGGTCAAAATCATGCAGCCACATCTAATGATGACCTTTGCCAGTTATCTATACTAATCAGGCTTGACTCACTGTTTACTATTGCCTACTCATAATGCAGCTACTCCCAAGACTCAAACTTTCAGAATGCTTTCGCTGGCTATAATTACCTGCCTTCCCTTTATACCTTTGTTGCCTTGAGGATGCTCTTAGCTCCTCAGTGACCTTTTTGCTGCCCTTGTCCTGCTGTCTACCCTCCCCAGCAGCCTGGGACCATGCCCATGGCCGTTCCTTCCTGCCTTTTTGCCCTACCCTGCAAACTTGATCTTTGCTACTTTTCTTCTTCCTTTCTGTTTTTGGAAAAGACCATTTATATATTTTCTTTGGAGAATGTCTATTCTGATCCTTTGCTCATTTAAAAGTTGGATTGGCTTTTTACTATTGAGTTCCCTCCTTTCTAATAGTTTTATTGAGATGTAGTTCACATACCATACAATTCACTAATTTAAAATGTATAATTTAGTGATTTTTAAGATATTACAGATCTGTACTACCAGCACCACAGTCAATTTTAGAACATTTTCATCACATTAAAAAGAAACACTAGGCTGGGCGCGGTGGCTCACTGCTGTAATCCCAGCATTTTGGGAGGCCAAGGCGGGTGGATCACTTGAGGTCAGGAGTTCAAGACTAGCCTGGCCATCATGGTGAAACCCCATCTCTACTAAAAATACAAAATTAGCTGGGCATGATGGCACACACCTGTAATCCTTACCCCCTGCGTCTTCCCAGACCTGAACAGCCACTAATCTACTTGCTGTCTCTAGATTTGCCTATTCGGGACATTTCATATTTATGGAATTATACAATATGTGGTCTTTTGTGTCTGACTTCTTTGCCTTAGTGTTGTGTTTCAGGGTTCATCTATAATTTATCAGTACTTAATTCCTTTATATGGCTGGATAATATATCATTGTATGGATATACCACATTTGGTTTGTTCATTCATCAGCTGAGGCACATTTAGGTTGTTTCCATTTTTGCCTCTTAAAAATAATGCTATAAACATTCATGTACAAGTTTTTGTGCAGGCATGTTTTTATTTTTATTTTTTAAAATTTATCTTGGGTAAAAGTAAAATGGCTGGGTCCCATGGTAACCATGTGTGACCATTTGTGGGACTTCCAATGTGGCTGCATCGTTTTACCTTTCCACCAGCAGTGTGTTCATATCTTCACCAATGCTTGTTGTCTGACTTTTTGATTCTAGCCATCCTCCTGGGTGTGAAGTGGGATTTCATCATAGTTTTGATTTGCATTTCCCTTTTGAACAACATAGAATGTCTCCTCATTCCCTAGGAAGCAGACTCAGAGAAAAAAAAAAAGACCATCTTTTCATGTGTTTTTTGGCCATTTATATATTTTCTTTGGAGAAATGTCTATTCTGATCCTTTGCCCATTTAAAAGTTGGATTGGCTTTTTTACTATTGAGTTGTAAGAGTTCTTTATATATTCTGGATTCAAATCCCTTATATAGATTTGCAATATTTTTACCCATTCTGTGGTCTTTTCACTTTCTTGGTATTGTCCTTTGAAACACAAAGTTTTAAATTTTGGTGAAGTCCAATTTTTTTTCTTTTTCCCTCATTTTGAGATCCATCTGCCTTCCATGTCCTGTTAGTCTGCCCTTGTCCTCTTAATTATGCCCTTCACTCCCCACCCCCACCCTGGCACAGTTACATCTCCTGGGCACTGGCTTACTCCTCCCTGCCTAAGAGTATGCTATGGCCTTCCCTGTATGAAATACCTCTTCTTTCCACCTCTTTCTTTAATTAACATGTTGTCTTTCTCCTCCTTTCACAGCTAAGCCTTGTGAGAGAGTACTCCACCCTCTGCAGTATCTCAGTCTTCATTCAGTCCCTGGCCACTTCCTTCCAACTTCTGTCCTGGCTGCTGTACTGAAATTGCTCTGCTGCCCCCTTCTCTATCCTCATCCTTTTTGACTTTTCTTCCTGAGCTGCCTGTCCTAGTCCTCTGTGGAATGCCTCATTGGGCTCTCTGTGCCTGCTTGCAGTCAGCCAGCCCCTTGCCCCTGCCCATACCTCCTTCTTTTGTGGCTGTTCTACCTCCTCCCTTTGCCCTCTACTGTGAGTGCTCCATTCCCTCTCCTTTGGATTCTATCTACTCCCACTCTTCTGTTATGCAGGCTGCTGGCTCTCTACTTCAGTCCAGACTCCACATCTTTATGCGCAGCTTCCTGCTGGTCATCTGTACCTGAATGTGTTGCTGTCCCTATCACTCAACAAGCTGGAAATCAAATTTCTCTTCTGACTTCATTGTCTTTTAACGACCCCACCATCCTCTTGGGCACATGGGCCTGACACTTTAAAGTACCCCTTGTATTCTTTGATTTAACAGCCAACTCAAATTTGCTGTTTACTGGGTACCTATGATGTCCAGGCTCTACTCTCCTGTACCCCACATCAAGTTAGGTGCCAAATCCTCTTGAATGTTCCCAGTGACATCCATCCACCCACCCTGGCTGGTCCATCACCCGTTCAGATGCTCCACCCCCTCCCCTGTTATCAGGGCCATCAATAACCTTCTGAAGGCCTCCAGTGTCCCACTTGTTCTCTGATCCCCCTCATCCCTTAAACTTTTGCCCTATCAATTTTCTTGAAATGGTTATCCTCCCACTCAAAAACATGAAAAGTTTCTGTACCTACTATATTAGAACCAAAATTCTTAGTATGATATTCAAGGCTGTTTTTGAACAATTCCCTTTAATCACCCTGGGCTTCAACCCAACTGTAGTACCCACCATTCCCTTAACCCTCACTGCAGTTTCCCACCCCGTTCACAAGTCACTCTGTGAAGTGGATGTTACCAGTCCCACCTGCTTTGTATTAGAGCTGCTTGTCCTGTCCAATTTTCATCCCTACATTGTCATTGTCAGGGTCCATGTCACTCTGCCCCCGTGTCTTCCACAGCCCTGAGTACAGTGCCTTGCACATAGAAAATGTATTTTGAATGAAAGAGATGATCCCTATAAGATGGCCAGGACCCTCCTGGGTCACCCAATGGTGAGAGGTGCCTTAATTGACTCTCCACTCCTCCCCACCATTTCTCTTGCTTTAGTCTAGTAACTTCCGGTTCCCAGTGGCTTGAGGGACCCCCCAGCATGGCCTCTTTCTGATACCCCCAATCTCACACAGTGCTGATTCCTTCCAATGAAAATACCAAGTAAGCATTTTTTTTTCCTGAATTAAATAAAATTCCACTGATGGATGTCCAGTGGAATTAGAATCTGAATATAGAACATATGGCCAATTTCAGGAGTAGGTAATTGTCATTTCTCAATTGTCATTTATGTAAGAAACATTTTCAACTTGTTTTCTCATTAATGAATTGATGTCTTTTTTTTTTCCTAATTCATGGTTTATTTTCTGTAATTTGCTACTTTGCAATTTTTATGACATGAATTTGGTTGGTAGCATAGCATGGCATGAATTCAGGAGCCAAACTGTGTTTGGGTTCAAATCCTGGCTCTATCCCTCACTTGCTACTTGACTTTGTGTGAGTTATGTAACATCTTTCCTTTAGCGTTCTCATTTGTAAAAAGAGGATACAAATATCTCATACTTCGTAGGGTTAATGGGAGGATTGAATCAGTAGTACCTGTAAATGGCCTAGCACCGTGCATGACACAGAGTTGGCTGCTGTTTTTATTATTGTTATTAAGTCCTACAAGTTGCAATTTAGTTTCATCTGTGCATGGTTTTAATCTATAGAATATTCAGACACTCTGTTCTTTTATAAGTCAGAGGCCTAGTCATGTATTATCTTCATTATACATGCCTGCTTAAAAAATCTAGCTGCAGCTACTCTGATTCCTAAAGTTGCAAATCAGACAGCATGACTACTTTGTGGGCTTAAAATAGCTGTCAGCCTCTTTGGGAAGGAATAAAAAGGGGTTAACTAGGTTCTGGTGCATGCCACCATCACATTTGTTCCAGCCCTTTAATCCTTGTCAGGATTAAAAATCACAGAATCTTAAGTACGGTATTGTCTGTCTTGTCTTTCTCTGAATTTCTTGGATAAATATTTCTTTAAGCAGAGGTAATCTAAGCAGAAGGAATCTTCTATCATGGGATTAATTAATACCTTGTGATGCTTACATTTCCCTTTACAATTTTTATATTCAGCATCATGTTTCCTTTTAAGCACTGGAGCAGTTGGCTTTAAAAGTTATTTAAAATGGCACTTCCAGCAAGTTCAGTGCCCAGAGGGTGCTGGAACACTTTAGAATTCCTACTCTGTTAGTTAGAAAACTAACCCCTGTTAGTTTTCTCTAGTGAGGCTTCTGTGTCTTACCCCTTTATGGTCCATCCATGAAAACTGAGGAGAGTGGCTACCCCCATTTATTCTTGAAACGAAGTGCTTTCCAGGGGGAACTTGTTTAAATGAGCAGCGTTGAGTATTGAATAAGACCTGGGAATCCCTACCAAGGGGC
Source organism: Homo sapiens (assembly GCF_000001405.40). NCBI lineage: Eukaryota > Metazoa > Chordata > Mammalia > Primates > Hominidae > Homo > Homo sapiens. The sequence goes on from NC_000001.11 coordinate 162,080,490, forward strand.
CTGCCCTTGGGAGTAAGGGGGTGACCAAGAAGGGAGCACTCCCCTAATCCCACAGCACCCTGTAACATTCTGAATTCCCTTGGCATGTGAGTGTGTTGGGGAGAGAGAAAGGAGACAGGAAGGAGAACATGAGAAGTGCTGTTTGCATGCTTGCAGAATTATCATGCATCCCATGTTCTGTGCTTTTCTTCCCTGCTACTTCTGTGTGTGCATTGCTTGTCTCCTTAATTAGGCTACAAGCACCTCAGAGGTCAAGGGGACTCCCTAACTTACTTGCCTCATGCTAGCCACATCATAGAAAGATAACATTATAATTACTGTCATTTAGAAAGCGCTTACTGTGTTCCAGGCACTGTGCCAAGCTCTTTCTATGAAACGATTAATTTAATTCTCCCAACAACCATGCTAGTTAAGGTATTATCATTATTTGTATCTTATAGATGGAGAAGCCAAGGCATAGAGAGGCAGAGTAACTTGCTCATGGTCTACATCTAGTAGTGGGTAGATCCCAGAGTCAAACACAGGTAGTGTGGCTCAGGGTGTCTCCATTGTTAACTCTTGTGCTGTATGTCATTCAAAATACCAAGAGCTAATGTTTATCAAGTGCTCACTGTGTTCTGTGCATTGTTCTAAGCATTTTACATGTATTAACTAATTTAATCTTTACAGTGGCCCCTATCCCATGGGGATAGGTTTTATTGTTCCAGTTTTTCAGAGGAGGGTCTTTTAGGTTGGATTGAATAGGCAAATGGTCTGTTAAAGGTGACCTTAGTCCTTTCCATTGTGGCTATGTCCGGGACCCAGGTCTGCTGTTCTGTGCCATTGGGCAACGGGTCACCTGTAAAGACTTTTCTGGACCATGTTGATGTTGTCCAGATAAAGAAATGAGGCATCAGTGAGTAGGTGGAAATGCTGGAGAATGGGAAGGAGAGGAGCTCTGGGAGGCCCTTCCTGGAGGGTGTTATTCTTGGCTGGGCTCTTGCCTGTGCATTTCCTGTCCAGTGTGGCATTTCACTCCTTTCAATGCCCATGCCCTTTTCCTTGCCTTTCCCAGCTTTTTTTTTTTTTTCCTTTTGAGATGGGATTTTACTCTGTTGCCCATGCTGGAATACAGTGGCATGATCATGACTCATTGCAGCCTTGACCTCCTGGGGCTCAGGTGATCCTCCCAGCTCAGCCTTTCAAGTAGCTGGGACTACAGGCATGTGCCACCATGCCTGGCTAAGTTTCATATCTATATCTATATATCTATATCTATATCTATAGATATATATATATATATATATTTTTTTTTTGTAGAGATGGGTTTTCACCATGTTGCTCAGACTGGTCTGGAACTCCTAGGCTCAAGTGATCTGCCCACCTCAGCCTCCCAAAGTGCTGGAATTACAGGTGTGAGCCACTGTGCCTGGCCCCACTTCTATTTTTTTCCTTTATTCCATTTTTGAAAAACCTTTTATTTTAAGCTCAGGGGCACATGTGCAGGTTTGTTGCATAGGTAAACTTGAGTCATGGGGGTTTGTTGTACAGATTATTTCATCACTCAGGTATTAAACCTAGGACTCATTCGTTCTTTTTCCTGATCCTCTCCCTCTTCCCAACCTCTACCCTCTGAAAGGCCGCAGTGTGTGGTGTTCCCCTCTATGTGTCCATGTGTTCTCATCATTTAGCTCCCACTTATAAGTGAGAACATGCAGTATTTGTTTTTTTTTTGTTCCTGCATTAGTTTGCTAAGGATAATGGCTTCCAGCTCCATCTATGTCCCTGCAAAGGACATGATCTCGTACTTTTTCATGGCTGCATAGTATTCCATGATGCATATGTACCACATTACCTAGTCTATCTATCATTGATAGGCATGTAGGATGGTTCTGTGTCTTCACTGTTGTGAATAATGCTGCAATGAACATACACATGCATGTGTCTTTATAATAGAATGATTTATATTTCTTTAGGTACATACCCAGTAATGGGATTGCTGGGTCAAATGTATTTCTGTCTTTAGGTCTTTGAGGAATTGCCACACTGTTTTCCACAATGGCTGAACTAATTTATACTCCCACCAACAGTCTATAAGGGTTCCTTTTTCTTTACAACCTTGCCAACATCTGTTATTTTTTGACTTTTTAGTAATACCCCTTTTGACTGGTGTTAGATGGTATCTCATTGTGGTTTTGATTTGCATTTCTGTAATGATCAGTGATGTTGAGCTTTTTTTGCATATGTTTATTGGCCCACCTCTATTTTTGAGGACAAGTTCTCTCCACCCAGAGGCCCCATGGTGCCTCTGGTAGAGTACAAAACGCTGAAAAGGTCATTCCCAGAGATGTTGCCTTTTGGATTGGAAATCTCAGTCCACCACGCACAATGGAAAAGCTCCTTGGTTGTGTCCTTTTTTTCTTTTTTTTTTTTTTTTTTTTTTTTTGAGACGGAGTCTCCCTCTGTCGCCCAGGCTGGAGTGCAGTGGCGGGATCTCGGCTCACTGCAAGCTCCGCCTCCCGGGTTCACGCCATTCTCCTGCCTCAGCCTCCCAAGTAGCTGGGACTACAGGCGCCCGCCACTACGCCCGGCTAATTTTTTGTATTTTTAGTAGAGACGGGGTTTCACCGTTTTAGCCGGGATGGTCTCGATCTCCTGACCTCGTGATCCGCCCGCCTCGGCCTCCCAAAGTGCTGGGATTACAGGCGTGAGCCACCGCGCCCGGCCGTGTCCTTTTTTTCTATCTTGACTGTAAACTCTTTGCTTTTTCTTTTGGTTTCTTTGGGTGGGAAGAAGCACTCGTGTAGAAGCATTTTATTGTTCTGCGGAGAGGAAGATTCATGTCTCCTGTGGGCCAAGTGACAGATAACATATTATCTTGAGTCCATGCTATTTTCCATAAACACACATAGCCTCCACTGTAACTACATTTTCAAATTGGCAATTTTTTTATTTGGAGACAGGGTCTCACTATATTGCCCAGTCTGGTCTCAAACTCCTGGGCTCAAGCAATCCTCCTGCCCTGGCCTCCCAAAGTGCTAGGATTACAGGTGTGAGCCACTGTGCCTGGCCTCAAATTGGCTCTTTAATGTGGCTAGATTTCTTAAATTTGGCAGCCCAGGTTAAACAGACTATATTCTGGGCACCTGTATCCAAAATATGATTGAAATTTTACCTTTCCTCAAAGTCACGTAAATGCATTTTTTTCCTCCAGATAAGCATTTTGCAGCTTCCACAGATGAAGGAAATTACCTGCAAATTCCTTTGATTAATTACAGCAGGTGTTTTCAGTCTTTGGAGTAATCAGAATCACCTGAAAACTAATAAAAATACAGAGGCGCAGGCTTATTGAAGTAGCATAGGGCCTGAGTGTCTTTACCAAGTTTTCCACCATGTGATTCTGATGAACACTTCAGTTTGAGACCCACGGCATTAGAGCACTGGTTCTTAAACTCAGCTGCTCATTGGAATCTCTGTGGAGTTATAAAAACAAAATAATAGCTAAGTACTCCTAGTGATTTTGATTCAGTTATTATGCAGTGCAACCTGGGCATTGTGATTTTTCTATCTTCTGTGTCTTTGCTGAGACTTTTGACTTTTTAATTGGTTTCAAGCATATTCATAATTGCTTGTTGAAGCATTCTTAGGACTGCTTTAAGACCCATGTCAGGTAATTCTAATATTATCTGTCATCTTCGCGTTGGCTTCTGTTGATTGTCTTTTCTCATTCATGTTGAGATTTTCTTGGTTCTTGGAGTGATGAATGATTTTTGATTGAAACCTGGACATTTTGGATATTATGTTATGAGCTTTGGATCTTATTTAGATCTCCTGTTCTAGCAGGAGAGCCTCACTACTCTCAGGTGGTGGTAGAAGTCTAGGTTATCCACTAGGCCTCAGCTGATACCACCCTGGTTGGAAAGGGCAGGGGCAACTCATTACTGATTCCACATGACAACCACTAATGCTGGCCTTAGTACCACTGGGGTGGTGGCAAAAGTTCAAGGTCTCCACTTGGTCTCCTCTGACACCCCAGCAAGGAGGTGGAGGAGGCCTTGTGTTGCCAGGTGAGGTGGATGTTCCAGCTTCCCATTTGGTGTTGCCACTATCAGGAGGGAGGTAAGACTGGAACATCTTATTACAGCCTGATGAAGGAGAAGTCCAGTTTCCCCACTCGGTTGGTGAGATTGGGCCACAGTTTTTTTCTCTTCTCTTTTTCTTCTTTTTTGAGACAGGGTCTCACCCTGTCACCTGTGCTGGAGTGCAGTGGCATGATCATGGCTCACTGATGAAGCCTCAACCTCCCAGGCTCAAGTGATATTCCTGCCTCAGCCTCCCTGGTAGCTGAGACTACAGGTGGCCTGGCTAAATTTTGGATTTTTTGTAGAGTTTTGCCATGTTGCTCAGGCTGGTCTGGAACTCCTGGGCTCAAGTGATCCACCTGCTTCAGACTCCCAAAGTGCTAGATTACAGATGTGAGCCTCTGTACCCAGCCCATAGTGTTTTCTATGGTATTTTTCTGGAGTGGAGCTGTTGCTGTTGAAAAATTTTTATTGTCATACTGTGCTGCCCCTTTCCTGGTCATTTGGTTAGAGAGAACAGGCTTTCTTGGGACCTTTTTTGTTTTGTCAGTGTCTATTGGTGTTTCCAGGTCTCCAGCTTCTCCAGCAACCAGTCTGGGAGATGTGAGGCAAAAAGAAAATGCAGGGAACTTGCTGCTATGCCATCTCTTGGGTGCTGAGGTCCCCAGCTTGTCTGTCTTCTCTCCATCTTTCAGATTCTTCTCCTGCTTGTTTTATGTATAATGTCTGGAGTTTTTAGTTCTATTTCAGAGGAATAGGGGAAGGTATATCTAGTTCATTTTTGTGGAAGTGGGAATTCTCCATATTGGGAGCCTCCCCAGATAATTCTAATCAAATCAAATCAAGCAGGAAAATTTAAGAATCATAGGGTGAAAACATTGGAGCAGGCAAAGGAAGTTTCACTGGGAAGACCAAGAAGAACTGGGGTCCTCCCCAAGTGGTGGTCTTTATGAATCACTGTGTACTCCCTCATAAATTCTTATTTCACTAATATCCACTTTCCTCCCCTGGGTTTGTTGCATTCTCCTTAGATTTCTTTCTTCATATAGCCCTTTCCGAGTCTGACTCCTGTTCCCTGAATTTGCATTCCTAAATGCAGATGTAGAAATGGATCCAGTCTATAGGAAGCATTTATTGTGCATCTACCATATTTGGGACACAGTGCTTAGTGTTGAAGGCCAGAGAGAGATGAGACAAGATGGTGACTTGAAGGATGTCAGCCTCACTGGGAAGATACTGACACGTGGAAAGATAGGCACATTATATTATTAGGTATTAATCACATACTATGTGCTGGGCATTCTGCTTGGTGTTTTATAAACTTTCTGATTTAATTCTTCCAACTGTGCTGCCAGATGGGTGCTATTTTTCCTCTTTTATAGTTGCTGCTACTGAGGGTCTGTCAAATCAAGTGACTTGCCCAAGTTCACTTCATATCCAATTCTGGACAAAAATGAGCTCAAGGCTTTGGTGCTGAAATGAGGTCTTGCTTTTCACATGCAGCCCTGTTCCACTGAGCTTTCTGTAGAGCATACTCATGGGTGCTGCTGCGATGGGGCAGAGCTCATCCATTTTCCTGGACCCAGAACAATTTTTGGAGGCAGCTGTTAGTGGACTAGTCTGTGGCTTTGGAAGGGGTATTTCAGGGGTTTTAAATGATGATTCTTGAGGTTTTAAAACATCCTTAGCAGCTCTATGGAGAGTGGTGGAGGGGGCAATAATAGGCCTGGAGAGAATGTCTAGGAAGCTCATCCTGTACTGCAGGCACGAGGTGGTAGTGGTCGGAGCTAGGGATATTAGACAACAACTTCCTTTGTGTTTCCAGGCTTTTGTTAATATTTATCCACTGTATATCTGTTATTTCTGTCTTCTATACCCTTCCTTGCCCACCCTGAGTAGCTTTCCCTGGCTGGTGAGATCCTTAAAGAAGCACTGTATCTGACTTGCTTTTGAATTTCCAGAGCTTAGCACAGTGCCTGACACCTTATAGGTGTGCCATTGGTCTTGAATGAATGAATCAATGCATGAAGTTGATGACAGTCTGGGTACACTGCTTCACTCTTCACCACATTTACTGGGGTGCCTTGGCCAGGAGTGGGATCTCCAACATGGCTCTTACCCACTGTAGTGATTTTGCTTCCCCTGACCAGCCGAACTGTCATCTGAGTCATGTTGGTTATATTTCACAAAACAATTTTATGTAGAGAATCTGATGTTTAATGACTTTCCCCTCCCAGCCATTCCCTTGACAGGATGGTAAAGAGGTTTATGGTGTGGGTCTCATTTTTCTTTTACTAAAGTTGAACTAGCTTGTGGCCTGAAGCTGGCTTTGTAGTTGTAGGCATAGGATGCATACAACAACTCCACGCTCATCTTGTGAGGGTTAGCTCAGCAAATACTAGTTTCTCACCCTCGTCCAACTGTACCTGTGTGCTTCCTTGTATTGCCACAGCACCATTTGACTTATAGTAGTGTTATTTGTGTACCTAGCATAGGGCCCCAAAAGGTGGTTGAACTTTTGTATTTTCTGCAGCAGACAGAGGGCCTGATATATAGTAGCCACTCAGTAAAGACACACAGGGTTGGATGAATTCAGCAAGAGTTTGGTGTGTTAGAGTGAGGCTGACATCCCTTGAATGCTATGGATGTCCAGTAGCTCGTGACAGTGATGCCCCTTAGTGAGTCTTTATTTCCTCTTTCCAACAGTAGCTTTAAGTTGTTTTCTGTTAAAAATATGTCTGAAGCATACACTTGAGGCTGCTGACTCACCTCTTCTAGGGCAGTCTGAATGCATTGGATGTGCCATGTGGGAGGGAGGCAGCCACCTCCCCATTCTCATTTACACTTTTTTCACTTTACACTAATTTGTCTACTCTTTATTCAGCATGGAAGCTGGGGTCTGAGAGACTGGAATGTGGCCTGGGAGAGTTCAGGACAAGCTGCAATGCCAATCCCATCCTTTGTTGGATCCATGGACTTGAACTAGTCAACTTTCATCTCTTTGTACTTCAGTCCCCCTCATCTGTAAAATAACAGAGCTGATTTAGAACCTAAATCTCAGAGGTGATCTCTGAGGTCTCTTCCAACTCCAGCACTCCATGATTCTATATTTGATTCTTCCCATGTATTCTGCAGACCATCCCCCTTTACCCAGTGAAGTCACATCCCAATTACTTAATGCCCATGTACTGGTTGACAGATCAATTAAAGCAAACAGCCAGAACACAGCCAGACTGCACAGCATTCCACATGCTCCTGGACTGTGTAAAGTGCCCTCTCTCTTTGAGGCGTGGGAGGAGAAAACTTGTGATCTCTGTCTTCCCTTAGTTGTTCATCAATATGTTGTTCAAATGTAACTACACATAAGCAGGATTTATCCATTATTTGTCTTATGTTCTCAAATATTTATACCTTTTGCTGCTCTGTGAAAAAAAATCCTTTAAAGTCTAGTCATTAATTTTACCCTATTGCAGCCAAAAGAGAAGTATTTTGAAAAGCATCAGAACTCTATAGGGTCAAATTCTGCGGAAAGGCAAAGGATAAAAAAGATTTAGTTATGATCTTGGATTTCTGTAGAAATTCAAGCAGGAAGAGGCCTATATGTGCTTGAGAGCCCCAGGGGTTGTCCCAGAAGCCAGGGTCTTGGGCTTAAAAGCCGGCATTGTTGCTGACTGTTTGAGGGCTAACACTTAACCTTGCTGCCTCAGAAACCTAATTTCATGTAACAGTACTTTGCAACCCTGCTGCACCATAGGATCACCTGAGGAACTTATAAAACATGGATACCCACTGCCCCTAGGGATTCTTATTTCATATGTTCAGGCTGGGTTCCTATCATCATTGTAATTTTAAAAGCTCCCAGGTGATTTTGCCATGTGCAGCCATAAGAACTGCTGATGTGTACACAGAATAAGGACATTTGTGAGCAGAACTGGGTTGTTCAGATTATCGAGCCTGATTTATGAGGCCAGAATTTCTTTTTATGGATTGACAATGAGGAACCTAATTGAAAAGAGTTACTGGATATACTTGGGGATACAAAACCAGCACTTATCTCCCTGCAGGTAGGAGGGTGGTGGTGAGGAGGGGGACAGATCTCCATCAGAAGGGTATTTGGGAATGTTTAATGGCAGCAGGCCAAGACGGTTTGAGGTGTGCCCCCAAACAATGGTGATGATTTCCTCTTTGAGGCCAGATTACTCAGTCTGTAGGTCAAAGGCCTCCTCATACTACTAAGCATTTGGCTGGACACTGCTAGCTGTGTGTCCAGACTGTGTGTGTGTGTCCAGGGCTGAGCAGCACCTCCTTCCCCTTCCTGTGGTAACGTCTTTATGAATTATGAATTTATGAATACATACAATCTGGAGACCGATACCTCTTTTGGTATCAGGGATTTTCTCTCCCTCTCGCCATTCTCCTTCCCCTTCATCTCTCTTCCACTCCTTGTGTATTTTGTGTCTCAGACCTGGAATCAATCATTTCTCCAGGAAGACCTGGTATCTTTTAATGCAAAATTGTATTTCAAGACCATTATCTTGGCACCAGGGATGCTAATTTTTATTGAGTTGGCCATTGTCTGTAGGTCTTTTTTGGTGAACAGAGCTGGGAAACTACACATAAGGAAAGAGCAAGGATGAATGTGATAGATGTAAACATACTTGTGTGTTCATACTGATATTTCCAATATCTTAACTACTTCTGTATTTCATCTGATCTTTTGTCCACACTGAGAATTCTGGTTTTCAAATACATAGGGAATAACAGAATCCAATATTCCATAATTACTCACTTGCTTTATCCTACACTACACAATTAGGAATCTCAGAATAGTAGTACAAACACCAGCACCAATTATGATTACTGAAAACAGTCCAAAACCTTTTAAAAAATATGTCATCTGTATCCTTCACCATCTTTTAAAATGGTTATACTGTATTATTGTGATACTCTGAGTAATGGTCCCTCAAAAAGTATTCATGTCTTAATCTCTGGAATCTGTGAACGTTACTTTACATGACAAAGACTTTGTATATGTGATTAAGTTTAGGATCTTGAGATGGTGAGATTATCCTGGATTATCTGGGTGGGCTTTAAATATAGTCACAGTTGTCCTTACAAGAGGGAGGGAGGGGGAGATTACACACAGAAGAGGAAAAGACAGTGTAACCACAGAGGCAGATATTGGAGTGATGTGGCCACAGCCAAGGAAGGCTGGCAGCCTCCAGCAGCTGGAAGAGGCAAGGAATAGTTTCTCCTCTAGAGCCTCTGGAGGCCGTGCAGCCTGCCAACACCTTGATTTAGGCCCAGTGAAACTGACTTCGGACTTCTGTTCACCAGAGTTATAAAAAATAAATTTCTGTTGTCTTAAGCCTGTAGCTTTGTCATAGTTTGTTATAGCAGCCCTAGTTAACTAATACAATCATATAGTCATTACACATTATAATATTTCCTTTTTAACCCTCATTTAGTTTTTAGTTCTTCAATAATTACATATTTAATACTTACTACCAAAACTTACATTCTTGTTTCTAGTCACTTTGATTATCCAAAGTTCTTCTCTAGTATCCTTAGGAAAAGCTTATGGAAACAATATTCCCTGATTTTTTTTTTCTGAATGTTGATAACATTTTATCTATGCTCTTTGTATGCGAAAGGTCAAAACTGCTGAATATTAAATCTGTGGTTGACATTTTTTAAAAAATCTTAAGTGTTATTCCATCTACTTCTGGCATAAAGCTTGTTGTAAATCTGATCTAATTTTTCTTTTCCTTATAATTTGTATACAGTTAAAATTAGATGCTGCCTAAATTATCTTTTGTAAAAAAAAAAAAAGTCTGAGAATTTTACTAGAGTATATGTTGATATTATTCTGAGTCAGTATTCTCAGGTAAACAATATGTTCTTTCAATATCAGGTTTCAAATAGTTTTTTTCCAGGAAAGTTTTCACAGACTACTGTTTTTAGAATTATATTCCTTGCTTTGGTTTTGTTCTTCCGGAACCACTCTTATCCATATGTTGGTTCTTGTTTGCCTATCTTCGATGTTTGTCACTTTCAAATCCCTTTGATCTCTTTCCTATTATTTCTTTTTAATTAAAAAATTTCCCTAAGTTTCAGGCAGTTTTTAGGTTTATTTTTTCTTATATTTCTTCTAGTTTAGTTTTTATCTCTAAAATAGTTTTCTTTTTTTACTTTGCTTTCTTGAGTTTTGTCACTTTATTTCTGAATTTTTCTAATTCTAATTTATGTTGTTCTTTCATGCCTTGCATAATTTAAAGTATTTTTAGCTTATTTAAAAATATGTCTTTTTGGCATGCTTTCACTATCACATATTTCTAAGGATGTTATTTTGTTCCTTATTCTCTCTTTTTTTATAGAAATGTTTATGGATTTGACCTTGTTACTTTTCTGTTGTTAATTTTTATGTAAACTTAGTTTTCCTGAATTTTAAAAAGGAGGGTTGGTTTGGTAGTATTTCTAACTGCACAGAGAAATGGAGATTTAAAAATCTCTTGTTTTCATGGAGATTTAAAAAATGTGGTAGTTCTGTTTCCATCTCTCTCTTTTACCTGAGCCTTCTCTTTTCTTTGTCTCTGTTGCCTGTCCTGCTTCATTTTGATTCTGTTCCCAGCAGTTTCTCTTGGTGTGGAGTCCTGTCCTGGGCAATCAGTTTTGAGAGTTCCTAGTGGCTTGAGTGCTCCAGCCCTTCGAACCTCCTGTGGGTCCCCTGTTGTTCCAGGTTCAGCGGCAGTTCTCCAGTTTACCCTATTGGCTCTTTTGGGTTCAGGTTCATCATATGCCCCATTGCTTCCCTTTGATTGTTCCCACATAGACATCAATATCATACTGGCTATTGGTGATTTGTCTCCGATAACTTGTCACCAAATTTTGTTGAGTGTCATCCATGAGTTTTTAAATTTGCTATTTAGTTGCTCTGTTTATTTTTTGTAGAGACTGTGGAAGACTCAATAAATATATTGCCACCATTTTCCCAGAATTGGGATATTGCTTTTAATTTTCACTACAGTGTGGCAAGTTGCTGACTGAGATTTTAAGTTATTTTTCCCCCATGGAGCAGCAAAACATATAAAGATTTGAGAACATAGGATAAGGAATGAATAAATCCTGCTTATGTGTAATTACATTTGAGCAACATGTTGATGAACAGCTAAGGGAAGACAGAGATCACAAGTTTCCTCCTCCCACTCCTCAAAGAGAGAGGGCACTTTACACAGCCCAGGAGCATGTGGAGTGCTGTGCAGTCTTGCTGTGTTCTGGCTGTTTGCTCTAATTGATCTGTCAACCACTACGTGGGCATTAAGTAATTGGGATGTGACTTCACTGGGGCAAGGTGGGGTGGTCTGCAGAATATACAGGAAGAATCAAATATAGAATCACGGAGTGCTGGAGTTGGAAGGGACCTCAGAGATCACCTCTGAGATTAGGTCCTAAATCAGCTCTGTTATTTTGCAGATGAGGGGGACTGAAGTACAAAGAGATGAAAGTGACTAGTTCAAGGCTGTGGATCCAACAAAGGATGGGATTGGCATTGCAGCTTGTCCTGAACTCTCCCAGGCCACATTCCAGTCTCTCAAACCCCAGCTTCCCTGTTGAGTAATGAGTAAACAGACTATTGTAAAACGAAGAGGACTTTTATAGAGTAAATTGAAGGGTATTCATTCATTCTTTTGTTTTAGGAAGTTCAGTGTTTCAGCTAGTGGATTTTCTTAAGATACAGGCATGCAGAATTTGGTGTTTGTGTGGAATAATTGAGGGAGAGAACAGAGGAGGATTTCATCAGCACTATCACAGCTCTCCTGTGGCAGAATCAAGAGCACAACCAGAAGGCCTGGCTTCGTCAGTCCTGTTGAACTTTTCATGCCACCAAGTGGTAAATCTGGTGATTGTTGACATTTCCAAGAAAAGTGTTTCTCTGAAGGCTCCATGCTATTCACTGAATAAGAGTTTATGACTGACTTAATGAATTGACATTTTATTTATCTCAGTGCTTATTCTCTCTCAGTGGTCTTTTTGTTTCTTTGGGCAAGAAGATAGTAATTCAAATTTGCATACCCTTGCCTGGTACATGATTTATGCTCAATGTATATGCAGTGAATGAATCTGTTTGGAGAAATGGGACTAACATGTGAAAAGATGAACAAACTCACCTACTGTGTGTTGTTGAGTACTAAATTATATGCCACAGATCCTGAGAAGAAGATGCAGTGTGGGGAGGCTTCCTGATGAAATGGTAAGGAGGATTTACTCCTCCTGCATTCACCAGGCCAAGCCCTTATTCTTCTTTAGTACCATAAATGAGGGGATACGAGAAAAATGGCTCCTTTAAGCGGCAAGTGTTTGGCTGCTTCTTTTATTCTCATCTTGTACCTCCTTTACTCCTATCCTCTATTTTCTTTTGCAGTTTATCTAACACTTTAATTACTGTTTTGATCTTCAGATCCTTTGTTTGAGATAGTTTTTATTATTTCCATTTACAGGTAGGGAAGTTAAGTCTTAGTGGCTAAATGTTGTAACATCCCTTAGGTAGTGAAAGGCAGTTCCCAGTAGACCTAGGCCTCTAGAACCCCTGGAATATTGCATGCTGCCTCTCAGTGCTGGTTCTGATAAAAATATCTCCCCTATCTGAGCAGGGGATAAGTAGGAATGTGTTAAAATAAGAAGGGGATTATGAAAGAGAATTTTATTCATGCAATCAGTATTTACTGAGTACTATGGCAAGCCAGGCACTGTGCTAGATGTTAGGGACATAAACTTGAACAAGACAGTGTTGGCTGCAAGGGTCATGTGATGTAGATATGGTGTTGCACAAGCTTGGTATACCCTGTGGACTTTTTAGAATTATTTTGGTAACAGGTGTGAATAGAGTGCTTTTCATATTCAGGCAGTATTTTTGGTGGCGAGGACATTAGGTAGGTATGTGTTAGATATTTTGTCTCTCTCTCAGGCTACATACAGTTTAGTGGAAGAGATACTATGGCGCTTTATTTTATTTTATTTTTTTTTGCCGCTATCTCACTTTGTTGCCCAGGCTGGAGTGGTGTGGCATGATCATGGCTCACTGCAGCTTTGAACTCCTGGGCTCAAGTGATCTTCTTGCCTCAGCCTCCTGAATAGCTGGGACCACAGGCATGCACCACCACCCTGGCTAACTTTTTATTTTTAGTGGAATCGAGGTCTCACTATATTGCCCAGGCTGGTCTTGAACTCTTGGGTCCAGGTGATCCTCCCACTTTGGCCTCCCAAAGTGTTGGGATTACAGGCATGAGCCACTGTGCCTGGCCTGTGGACATTACTGAAAAAAATTAAGCAACAGTACAAAGCAGTTAGTCAATGTGAACAGGGCCCACAATACAATTTTCCGTCCTCTAGGACTTATGTTTCTAATGATTTTGACCAAGAAGATGGATTCTAATGTTCCTTCTGGCAGCCTAGTTGTTCTGTGACTTATTAAGACCTCAATAGGCGTAAGTGCTTGTCTGTAACTTTCCTAGCCTTTCTTGAAAGCCAGATTTATCAGTGTGCATATTGTGTGATAGACTCGCACCAATGGCAGATGTGTGGTTGGACTCTCAGCTGATGGGTAGGAGTGAGTAGTTACCCTCTTGGGAGGAGGAGGGGGCTTTTACACACTCTTGCCTCACTCTGAAAGTGAACTTTGTTGTGTGCTGGAGTGGTCTTCATGGCATCATAAACACAGGTTGGTTCTCTTCCCTATGCTCTTCATTCCATTTACTTTCATCTTTCATCAAGACAGCAGATGGACTGGTAGGGAGAGTGATATTTGCTTGTTTTTCAGACTCTGGTCTGATTGAAATGTTGGTGGTGTGTGCTGAGTCAGACTCAGTAAACTCCTGCTTGATTTATTCTTCCCCTGGAGCCCACAAAACCCGTAAAACAGAATTAGAGAACCAGCCCCTAATCATGCTTGTTAGGGCTAACCATAAACACAGTCATGTTGATGGATGGATGGTTTAATAAACATCTGCTGAGTGTCTGAGCTGAGTTCTGCAGGCATGCCCTGGGCCTGTCCTGAACCTGGCTGGGAAGTGGACACTTGGCAGATTCTGGGACATTTTAGGGACCATCACCTTTCTTTTGACTTTACACTTGTTGAAGCTCTGTCTTGAGTAAGTTTGGTGATTCAGACAAGATCTCTCAGCTAGTTTAGGATTGAGCAGAGAGGATGCAAGTGTTGACTTCTGTCCTGTTAATGGTCCTTCCAAACCATGGTCCAGTTGTTGAAGAGTGGGTGAGGGTGGAAACCAGGTATCGCTGTCCATTCCAGCTCTAATTCCAGCACCAGGCAGCCACATGTCATCTTCTACTCCTTACAGTGCTGCTGGGAACATGTTCCAGTTGCTAGAAAGAGGGATGGGGTGTAACGGGTGGAGCAGCTGGCTTTAAGTCCACTCACACTCCACTATGGGTTCTGCAGGGATTTTGTGTCATGAATGTGAGTCTGACCTAAATGTCTTTTTTCATAGCCCAGTGTGGGCAATTGGCAACAGTTATAGGAGCTGTGGCATCATATCTTCTACAAATTTCTTAGTGAGGATTGATCAGTGACTTACAGATGGAGTGCTATGGTCTGAATGTTTGTGTCCTCCCCGAATTTTTGTGTTGAGGCCCTAATGCCCAGTGTGATGCTATTTGGAGGTGGGGCCTTTGGGAGGCAACTAGGTCATGATAGCGTGGTCCTCATGAGTGGGATCAGTGCCCTTATAAGGTGAGACAGAGAGATGATCTCTCTTGCTGCCCTGTGAGGATATAGCAGGAAGGTCTGTCTGCAAACCAGGAAGAAACTAAATCACCTGGCACCTTGATCTCAGACTTCTCAGTCTTCAGAACTGGGAGGAATAAACTTCTATTGTCTAACCCACCAAGTCTATGGCATTATTTTTGTTATAGCAACCCCAACTAAGGCACTGGGTGTGTGTATACTCTGTGGCATTAGAATATGAAGTTGGGAGACAAGGAAAGAATGTAGTAATTGATAGAGCTAATTCAGAATGTTAAATTGTCTTTTCTACTACCTGTGTATTAAGTTCTGTAGGGACCATATTAGACTGCCAACACGCCTGTATGTGGGGTTCCCTCATCCGGTGAGTGGGGTTACTTGTGTCACAGAAGATGGAGTTTGGTGTCTGGAGACCTACGTTTTAGTACTAGCCTTGATACCAACTGGCTGTAAGATACTGAGCAAGTCACTTAATCTTTGTCAGCTTCAGTTTTTTAACTGATAGAATGAAGTAAAGCTGTTCTTTGCATGATTATTGTGGAGATTAAATAACGTGAATAAACTGTAAAGCACCCTTCAAAGACTACTTATCATGTGGAATTTACTGGATAGTCTTCAAATCCAATGTAGACAGTTTCTCTGAGCTTGCTTTTGCTCTCCTCCAGTCTCCTGTCTTCTAATTCATCCTGTTTAATCCTTGTTGGTGAGTATAAGTTAATATTCTTAATTTTGTTACTGTTAGGTTATTTTTATTCTTTTCAATTTTCTACCACTAGCATTTAAGGAGACTTGCAGTAAATGCTTTTCAAATTTCAATATTCAACAAATATTAATCAAGCATCTCCTAAGTATAGGCTCTGCAGTGAAGATAGGATGGTAAATGGAACATTAATGGTTCTTTCCTCTGCAGTGTCTTCTACAGGAGGGCATCTGCTTCTGTTCAGAGAGCTCCAATGATGGGGAAGTCTTCACTTTCCATGTCAGCGTATTTATTTAGAGGTAGCTCTAATTGTTAGGTGACTTTGCCCTCATATCAAACCAGTGTCTTCCAGTGTAACTTTACCAGTTGAACCACCATCAGGCCTCTTGACATGAATTTGATTTTTAAAACATTACAAAATATTTCAGGCATACAAAAATATACGTAATATAAAGATCATGTAGGTATCCGCCACCCAGATTAAAGAAAAAATATGTATAATTGAAGTCCCCTGGATACTCCTCCTTGATTTAATTCTCCTCCTTCTCTTTTTCCCAAGAAACAACCACTATCTTGAATTTATTTTATTTTCCCCATATATTTATACTTTTAAAAAACATATGCATATATCCAATAACATTATACAGTGTTGTTTGCCATGTTTTTACATTTTATTTAATGATATAATATGGTGCTTATTCTAAGTTTGCTTTTTTCCTACTTAACAATATGCTTTTGAAGTTTACCCTTATTAGTTCATTCATTTTCACTACTGAATCTTATTCCATTGTATAGATATACCACAACTTATTTATTCTTCTGTTGATTGCATTTAGGTTGTTTCTAGTTTTTCACAATTGTAGACTGCTGCAGCAAACATTCTTGTATAAATCTCCAAGTCTCCTTGAGCACAGTTACTAGTTTGTTAGATTATATATCTAATTGTGGAATTGTAGGACCATAAGCTGAGCACATCCTCCACTTTGTTTCTTCCACTTGTAAGATTGCTGGAGGGATATAAATTGACAAAATATACATTCATATTGCTGTGCTCTACACCCCTGGTAACCCTTGGTTTTGTTATCCTTAACAGTTTTTGCCAGTATGCTGGGTATTAAAAAAAAAAAGTACATTTCCCTTATTACTAGTGAGTTAAACCATCAGTTTCTATGTGTATTGGTCATTATGTTTTTCCCTCTTATGCGATTGCCTCTTCATATCTCTTGCCCATTTTTAAGCTGAGTTCTTTTGTCTTTTCCTTGTTAACTTATAGGCATTCTATCTAAATGCTGGTCTCAGTTATGTGTATAACAATTGTCTTTTCCACTATGTGGCTGCTGTTTTCACTGTCTTTATGGTATCTTCTGATGTATGGAACTTTAAGATTTAAATGTAAAATGTATATCTTTCCTTTTTATTTGTGTTTTCTTTGTCTGTTTCAACATTTTCTGTAATCTGTGATCATAATAGTGTTCTTCTATATCTTCTAAGGTTTTAAAGTTTGCCTTTCACATTTGCATCTGGAATTTATTTTTATGCATGGTTTGAAATAAGATTCTAATTTTGTTTTTTCTCTATGTAGATAACCAGTGGTTCTGAAGCACTTCATTCTGTCTGTTCACCACTTTTACCATGTTGTTGCTGTCATGTGTCAAGTGTATATGTGTGGAGGTCCATTTCAAGGTTTATTCAGTTCTATTGGTCTGTTGATCTCTCCTTCATTTAGAACCTCTATCTTAATTATTATAGCTCTATTTTAGTCTTGCGATCTAGCGGGATGATTCCTAACCTTATGGTCTTGGCTATTCTTGGGCCTCCCTTTGCTTTCTCATATAAATGTTAGAATCAGTTTAGTAAGTTCTTTAAAATAGGTATATTTATATTTATTCGTTTTTTTTCTTTATTTGTCTTTTTGGGTTGAGATTTTTAATCAGAATCATGTTGAATTTATAGAATAATTTTTGAGATTAATGACATCTTTATGATATTTAGTCTTTTAGTCCATGAATATGGCTTTATCTCTTCATTTATTTAGGTCTTCATTAATGAATTTTAATAAGCTTTTATTTATAATAGTTTCTTCTCTCTTTTGCTTTTTTTTTTTTTTTTTTTTTTGAGACAGGATATTGCTCTGTCACCCAGGCTGGAGTGCAGTAGCGGGGTCTCAGCTCACTGCAACCTCTGCCCCCTGGGCTCAAGCAGTCTTCCTGCCTCAGCCTTCTGAGTAGCTGGGACCACAGGCGTGCACCACCATGCCCGGCTATTGTTTGTATCTTTAGTAGAGAGGAGGTCTCACCATGTTGCCCATGCTTGTTTCGAACTCCTGGGCTCAAGTGATCTACCAGTCTCAGCCTCCCAAAGTGCTGGGATTACAGGTGTGAGCCACTGCATCTGGCTGATAGTTTCTTAATTAAATTTGTATCTACCTTTTGTTGGATTGATTTGTAGGTGCCTTACAGTTTTGTTTGGTACAATTAACGGTGTCGTTTTTTTTTTTTCTCTAACTTTTATTTTAAATTCAGGGGTACATGTGCCAGATGTCCAGGGTTTGTTACATAGGTAAATGTGTACCATGGTGGTTTGCTGTACAGATCATCCCATCACCTAGGTATTAAGCCTAGCATCCACGAGCTATTCTTCCTGATGCTCTTTCTCCCCCCAACTCCTGATAGACCCCTAGTGTGTGTTTTTCCCCACCTTGTGTCCATGTGTTCTCATCTTTCAGCTCTCACTTATAAGTGCGAATATGTGGTGTTTGGTTTTCTGCTCCTGTGTTAGTTTGCTGAGGATAATGGCTTCAAACTCCATTCATGTCCCTGCAAAGGACATGATCTCATTCCTTTTTATGGCTGCATAGTATCCCATGGTGTATCTGTACCACATTTTCTTTATCCAGTGTATCACTGATGGGCATTTAGGTTGATTCCATGTCTTTGCTACTGTGAATAGTGCTGCAGTGAACATATGTGTGTATGTATCCTTATAATAGAATGATTTATATCTCTTTGGGTTTATACCCAGTAATGGGATTGCTGGGTTGAATGGTATTTCTGCCTCTAGGTCTTTGAGGAACTGCCACACTGCCTTCCACAATGGCTGAACTAATTTATACTCTCACTAACAGTGTAAACGCATTCCTTTTTCCCCATAACCTTGCCAGCGTCTGTTACTTTTTGACTTTTTTTTTGTTTTTTTTTTTTGAGATGGAGTCTCGCTCTGCCAGGCTGCAGTGCAGTGGCACGACCTCGGCTCACTGCAAGCTCCGCCTCGCGGGTTCACGCCATTCTCCTGCCTCAGCCTCCTGAGTAGCTGGGACTACAGGCGCCTGTCACTACGCCAGTCTAATTTTTTCTTGTATTTTTAGTAGAGATGGGGTTTCACCGTGTTAGCCAGGATGGTCTCAATTTCCTGACCTTGTGATCCACCCTCAGCCTCCCAATGTGCTGGGATTATAGGTGTGAGCCACTGTGCCTGGCCTACTTTTGGACTTTTTAATAATGGCCATTCTGACTGGTGTGAGATGGTATCTCATTGTGGTTTTGATTTGTATTTTTCCAATGATCAGTGATGTTGAGCTTTTTTATTTTCATATGATTATTGGCTGCATGTATGTTTTCTTTTTTTTAAATTTTATTATCATACTTTAAGTTTTAGGGTACATGTGCACAACGTGCAGGTTTGTTACATATCTATACATGTGCCATGTTGGTGTGCTGCACCCATTAACTCATCATTTAGCATTAGGTATATCTCCTAATGCTATCCCTCCCCACTCCCCCGACCCCACAACAGTCTCCGATGTGTGATGTTCCCCTTCCTGTGTCCATGTGTTCTCATTCTTCGATTCCCACCTATGAGTGAGAACATGCGGTGTTTGGTTTTTTGTCCTTGCGATAGTTTGCTGAGAATGATGGTTTCCAGCTTCATCCATGTCCCTACAAAGGACATGAACTCATCATTTTTTATGGCTGCATAGTATTCCATGGTGTATATGTGCCACATTTTCTTAATCCAGTCTATCATTGTTGGACATTTGGGTTGGTTCCAAGTCTTTGCTATTGTGAATAGTGCCGCAATAAGCATACGTGTGCATGTGTCTTTATAGCAGCATGATTTATAATCCTTTGGGTATATACCCAGTAATGGGATGGCTGGGTCAAATGGTATTTCTAGTTCCAGATCCCTGAGGAATCACCACACTGACTTCCACAATGGTTGAACTAGTTTACAGTCCCACCAACAGTGTAAAAGTGTTCCTATTTCTCCACATCCTCTCCAGCACCTGTTGTTTCCTGACTTTTTAATGATTGCCATTCTAACTGGTGTGAGATGGTATCTCATTGTGGTTTCGATTTGCATTTCTCTGATGGCCAGTGATGATGAGCATTTTTTCATGCGTTTTTTGGCTGCATAAATGTCTTCTTTTGAGAAGTGTCTGTTCATATCCCTCACCCACTTTTTGATGGGGTTGTTTGTTTTTTTCTTGTAAATTTGTTTGAGTTCATTGTAGATTCTGGATATTAGCCCTTTGTCAGATGAGTAGGTTGCAAAAATTTTCTCCCATTCTGTAGGCTGCCTGTTCACTCTGATGGTATTTTCTTTTGCTGTGCAGAAGCTCTTTAGTTTAATTAGATCCCATTTGTCAATTTCGGCTTTTGTTGCCATTGCTTTTGGTGTTTTAGACATGAAGTCCTTGCCCATGCCTATGGCTGCATGTATGTTTTCTTTTGAGAAGTGTATGTTCATGTCCTTTGGTCACTTTTTAATTAGGTCATTTGTTTTTTTCTTGTAAATTTGTTTAAGTTCCTCATAGACTCTGGATATTAGATCTTTGTCAGATGAATAGATTGCAAAAATTTTCTCCCATTCTCTAGGTTCTCTCTTTACTCTGATGATAGTTTCTTTCACTTTGCGGAAGCTCTTTAGTTTAATTAGATCCCATTTGTCAAGTTTTGCTTCTGTTGCAATTGCTTTTGGCCTTTTCATCATGAAACCTTTTCCTGTGCCTATGTCCTGAATGGTGTTGCCTAGATTTTCTTCTAGGGTTTTTGTAGTTTTGAGTTTTAGATTTAAGTCTTTAATCCATCTTCAGTTAATTTTTTTATATGGTGTAAGGAAGGGGTCCAGTTTCAGTTTTCTACATATGGCTGGCCAGTTCAACCAGCACCATTTATTAAATAGGGAATCTTTTCCCCATTGTTTGTTTTTGTCAGGTTTGTTGAAGATCAGATGGTTGTAAGTGTGTGGTCTTCTTTCTGAGTTCTCTATTCTGTTCCATTGGTCTATATGTCTGTTCTTGTACCAGTACCATGCTGTTTTGATTACTGGAGCCTTGTAGTATAGTTTGAAGTTAGCATGATGCCTCCAGTCTTGTTATTGTTGTTTAGGATTGTCTTGGCTATTTGGGTTCTTTTTCAGTTACATGTGAATTTTAAAATAGCTTTTTCTAATTCAGTGAAGAATGTCAATGGTAGTTTAATGGGAATAGCATTGAATCTATAAATTACTTTGGGCAGTATGTACTTTGGGCATTTTTATGATATTGATTCTACCTATCCATGAGGATGGAATGTTTTTCCATTTGTTTGTGTCCTCTCTGATTTCTTTGAGCAGTTGTTTGCGGTTCCCCTTGAAGAGGTCCTTCCCTTCCCTTGTTAGCTATATTCCTAGGTATTTTATTCTTTTTGTAGCAATTGTGAATGGGAGTTCATTCATGATTTGGCTCTCTGCTTGCCTGTTGTTGGTGAATAGGAATGCTAGCAATTTTTGCACATGGATTTTGTATCCTGAGACTTTGCTGAAGTTGCTTATCAACTTAAGAAGCTTTTGGGCTGAGATGATGGGGTTTTCTAGATATAGGATCATGTCATCTGCAAACAAAGATAATTTGACTTCCTCTCTTCCTATTCGAATCCCCTTTATTTCTTTCTCTTGCCTGACTTCCCTGGCCAGAACTTCCAATACTACGTTGAATAGGAGTGGTGATAGAAGAGGGCATTCTTGTCTTGTGCTGGTTTTCAAGGGGGAATGCTTCTAGCTTTTGCCATTCAATATGATATTGGCTGTGGGTTTGTCATGCATGGCTCTTATTATTTTGAGGTATGTTCCAGCTATACCCTGTTTATTGAGAGTTTTTAACGTGAAGGTATGTTGAATTTTATCCAAGGTCATTTCTTCTGCATCTATTGAGATAATCATGTAGATTTTATCTTTAGTTCTGGTTATGTGATGAATTACATTTATTGATTTGTGTATGTTGAACCAATCTTGCATCCCAGGGAGGAAGCCAGCTTGATCGTGGTGGATAAGCTTTTTGATGCGCTGCTGGATTTGGTTTGCCAGTATTTTATTTAGGATTTTTCACTGATGTTCATCAAGGATATTGGCCTGAAGTTTTCTTTTTTTGTTGTATCTCTGCCAGGTTTTGGTATCAGGATCATGCTGGCCTCATAGAATGAGTTAGGGAGGAGTCCCTCCTTTTCAATTGTTTGGAATAGTTTCAGTAGTTTCAGTAAAATTTCTTTGTACTTCTGGTAGAATTCAGGTGTGAATCCATGTGGTCCTGAGCTTTTTTTGGTTGGTAGGCTATTTCTCAATTTCAGAACTCCTTTTTAGTCTATTCAGGGATTCAGTTTCTTCCTGGTTCAGTCTTGGGAGGATATATGTGTCCAGGAATTTATCAATTTCCTCTAGTTTTTCTAGTTTATTTGCATAGAAGTGTTTATAGTATTCTCTGATGGTTGTTTGTATTTCTGTAGGGTCAGGGGTGATTTTCTCCTTAATATTTCTGATTGTGTTTATTTGATTCTTCTCTCTTTTCTTCTTTATTAGTCTGGCTAGTGGTCTATTTTATTAATTTTTTCAAAAAACCAGCTACTGGATATGTTGATTTGTTTGAAGGTTTTTTTTGTCTCTATCTTCTTTGGTTCTGCTCTGACCTTGGTTATCTCTTGTCTTCTGCTAGCTTTTGGGGGTTTGTTTGCTCTTGGTTCTCTAGTTCTTTTAGTAGAGATGTTAGGTTGTTAACTTGAGATCTTTTTAGCTTTTTGATGTGGGCATTCAGTGCTATAAATTTCCCTCTTAACACTGTTTTAGCTGCGTCCCAGAGATTCTGGTACGTTGTCTCTTTGTTCTCATTGGTTTCAAAGAACTTGTTGATTTCTGCCTAATTTCATTATTTGCTCAAGAGTCATTCAGGAACAGGTTGTTCAATTTCCATGTAGTTGTGTAATTTTGTGTGAATTTCTTAACGTTGCGTTCTAATTTGATTGCGCTATGGTATGAGAGACTGTTATTATTTCAGTTTTTTTTTTGCGTTTGCTGAGGAGTATTTTACTTCTGATTATGTGATCA
This sequence comes from Homo sapiens, assembly GCF_000001405.40. Classification (NCBI taxonomy): domain Eukaryota; kingdom Metazoa; phylum Chordata; class Mammalia; order Primates; family Hominidae; genus Homo; species Homo sapiens. The sequence continues at coordinate 162,103,363 of NC_000001.11, forward strand.
ATTTTACAGTAAGTGCTGTGTGGGAATGAGAAGAATGCATATTCTGTTGTTTTTAGGTGCAGAGTTCTGTAGATATCTATCACGTCCACTTGATTCAGAGCTGAGTTCAGGTTCTGAATATCTTTGTTAATTTTCTGTCTCAATGGTCTGTCTAATATTGACAGTGGGGTATTGAAGTCTCCCACGACTACTCTGTGGGAGTCTAAGTCTCTTTGTAGGTCTCTGAGAACTTGCTTTATGAATCTGGGTAGTCCTGTATTGGGTGCATATATATTTAGGATAGTTATCCCTTGTTGAATTGAACCCTTTACCATGATGTAATTCCCTTCTTTGTCTTTTTTGATCTTTGTTGCTTTAAAGTCTGTTTTGTCAGAAACTAGGATTGTGACCCTTATTTTTTTCTGTTTTCCATTTGCTTGGTAAATTTTCCTCCATCCCTTTATTTTGAGCCTGTTTATGTCTTTGCACACAGCATACCAATGGTTGGCTCTTCATGCAGCTTGCCATTCTGTGTCTTTTAATTGGGGCATTTAGCCCATTTACATTTAAGGTTAGTATTGTGATACGTGAATTTGATTCTGTCATCATGACGCTAACTGGTTATTTTGCAGACTTGTTTATGTGATTGCTTCATAGTATCACTGGTCTGTGTACTTCAGTGAGTTTTTGTAGTGGCTAGTAATGATTTTTTGTTTCTATATTTAGTGCTTCCTTCAGGAGCTCTTGCAAGGTAGGTCTGTTGGTGACAAATTCCCTCAGCATTTGCTTATCTGAAAAGGATCTTATTTCTCCTTTGCGTATGAAGCTTAGTTTGGCTGGATATGAAATTCTGGGTTGGAAATTCTTTGCTTTAAGAATGTTGAATATTGGCCCCCAGTCTCTTCTGGCTTGTAGGGATTCTGCTGAGAGTTCTGCTGTTAGTCTGATGGGCTTCCCTTTGTAGGTGACCTGGCCTTTCTCTCTGGCTGCCCTTAACATTTTTTCCTTTATTTCAACCTTGGAGGATCTGACTAGTATGTGTCTTGGGGTTGATCTTCTCATGGAGTATCTTACTAAGGTTCTCTGCATTTTCTGAATTTGAATGTTGGCATGTCTTTCTAGGTTGGGGTAGTTCTCCTGCATGATATCCTGAAGTATGTTTTCCAGCTTGGTTCCTTTTTTTCCCATCTCTTAAAGGTACCCTACTCAGTCATAGGTTTGGTGTCTTTACATAATCCTATATTTCTCGGAGGTTTTGTTAATTCCTTTTCATTCTTCTTTTCTCTGCTCTTGTCTGCCTATCTTATTTCAGAAAGGTAGTCTCTGAGATTCTTTCTTTCACTTGGTCTATTCTGCTACTGATACTTGTCATTGCATTGTGAAGTTCCTGTGTTGTGTTTTTCAGCTCCATCAGATTGGTTATGTTCCTCTCTAACCTGCCTATTGTGGCTATCAGCTCCTGTATTGTTTTATCATGATTCCTAGCTTCTATGCATTGAGTAACAATATGTTCCTTTAGCTAGGCCAAGTTTGTTATTACCCACTTTCTGAAGCCTTCTTCTGTCAGCTCAGGCATCTCATCCTCAGTCCAGTTCTGTGCCTTTGCTGGAGAGGTGTTGTGGTCATGTGAAGGAGAAGGGGCATTCTGGTTTTTGAGTTTCTGTGTTTTTGCATTGATTGTTTCTCATCTTTATGGGCCTATCTACCTTAGATTTTTGAGGTTGCTGACCTTTGAATAGGGTTTTTGAGGGGTCTTTTTTGTTGGTGGTGTTGTTTTCTGTTTGTTTTTCTTTTAACAGTCAGGCCATTCTCCTGTAGCACTGCTGCAGTTTGCTGGGGGTCCACTCCAGACCCTAGTTGCCTTGGTTTTTCTGTACCCAGAGGTATCACCAGTGAAGGCTGTGAAACAGCAAAGATGGCAGGCTGCTCCTTCCTCTGGAAGCTCTGTCCTAGGAGGGCATTGACCTGTTGCTGTTCTGCACACACCTGTAGGAGGTGGCTGGAGACCCCTGTTGGGAGATCTCACCCAGTCAGGAGGAATGGGATCAGGGACCCACCCAAAGAAGCAGTCTGGCTGCCCTTTGGTAGAGCAGGTATGCTGCATTAGGGGGGTACCATTCCTCATTCAGATCATTTGTATACTACAAAGCCAGCAGGCTGGAACAGCTAAGTCTACCAAACTGCAGAGATGGTGGCCGCCTCTCCCCCTGGGAGCTTTGTAGTAGGGAGAGATCAGAGCTCTCTCTGTAGAACCCTTGCTGGAGTGGCTGAAGCCCCCACAAGGAGGTCTTGCCCAGTGAGGAGGAATGGATCAGGGTCCTGCTTAAAGAAGAAGTCTGGCCACGATCTGGCAAGGCAGCTGTGCTATGGGGGAACCCTCCTTCTCTGGACCGCCTGTATTCTTCAAAGCCACCAGGCTGAAATGACGGAGTCTACCAAACCACAGGGATGGTGGCTGGTCCTCCCCTCTGGGAACACCATCCTGACTCAGGATGACTCCAGCCTGCTGCCACCAGCCAGCTGGAATTGCAAGCCAGTGGGTCTCAATCCACGTGGTGCTGTGAAAGTGGGGCCCGAAGAATGATGCCAGTTGGCCCCTGACTCAGCCCCCTTCCTAGGGACATGCATGGATGGATCTCCCACCTTGCCATGGATGCCGGGGCCAGAGTATGCAAAACTCCTGGGTCTCTGTGTGTGGCTGAGCCACTCCCTGAGTGGCTGCTCTGCTGAGATTCCACACAGCTCTCTGTATTGGACCCAAATCCCTGGTGGTGTGGGCTCATGAGGGGATCTCCTGATACGTGAGTTGCAAAGATCCATGGGAGAAGCATGGTTTCCCAGGCAGGGCTGCACAATCACTCACTGCTTTCCTTGGCTGGGGGTTGGGGTTCCCTTGGCTCCGTGCAGCTCCTGGATGGGCCACTGCCCCATCCTGCTTCTCTTTGCTGTCTGTGGGTTGAGCTGTTTGCCTGGTCAGTCCCAATGTGAGAACTCAGATATCTCAGTTGAAGTTGCTGAATTCACTTGCTCCTTTCATTCCTTTCTCTGAGCACCACGGACTGGAGCTGCTTCCAATCGACCCAATGGTGTCTTTTAAAAACTTACATTTTCTTGCTACTGGGGGCTGGTATTCTTTGCTTGTATTTTATGGCTCTTTTCACTACTAGATCACCTTAAATGTTTCTCATCTTCTCTATTCCAGATATATATGTTCTTTCTTAGACTGTTCAGCAGTAGACCCTTGACTTACAACCAGAAATATGAAGAATTATTGCCACAAATGGCTTATAATACTATGAAAAGATGCTCAACTTGACTTGTAGAGTAATGTAGATTACATCCAGATAGCATTTCTCATGATCAGATTGGCAAAATTCCAAAAGTTTGACCACAACTCTGTTGACAAACTGTAGGGGGAAATCGATACGTACATTGTTATTTGCTGGGGGAATGCAAAATAGCATAAAGCTGATCTATTAATATGTGGGGGAATGGGCAATTCCCAGTACAATTAAATCTACAGTAAATCTGAAGATTGCTAGACAAAATTCCTAGAATCCTCTAGGAATCTATCCCAAAGATTTACTGGCAAAATATTTTTTATGAAATATGCGTTTTACTATTCATTGGCACACTATTTGTAGTAGCAAAAAGCTGCAATGACTGAAATATTCTTCATTAGAGGACAGTTGGGTCAGCTGTGGTGCTTCCATAGGGTGGAAAACTATGAAGATGAAAAAGAAATGGGAAATATATCAGTAATAGAGTGATTGTCATGATATATTAAGTGAAAGAACAAGATACCACTTGTCTAAGAAATAAGAGAATACGTATTTTCTTTGATATTTGCTTTCTTTTAAAAGAATAAACCATAAGAGAATAATAATAGAAAAAGGAGAAGAGGGGTAATGGGATGGAGGGAAAGGAATAAAACCTAACCATTTCTGAATATACTTTGTTTTCTTGGTTTGGTCATGGAAACATGCAAATTTTTAACATAATTTAAAAAATAGAGACAGGGTCTTCCTCTGTCATTCAGGCTGGAATGCTGTGGCATGGTCATAGCTCACTGTAATCAAACTCCTAGGCTCAAGTGATCCTCTCACCTCAGCCTTCTTAGTAGCTAGGACTATAGGTGTGCACCACCACACTCAGCTAATTTATTTTTTGTTTTTAATTTTTTGTAGAGATGGGGTCTTGTTATGGTGCCCAGGCTGGTCTCGAGCTCCTGGCCTTAAGCATTCCTCCTGCCTTGGCCTCCCAGAGTGGCAGGATTACAGGCATGAGCCACTGTGCCTGGCCTTAACATAATTTTGAAATAAAAAACATATAATCCCTGAGAAAACCAAATAAATCTAAGTGTGTATTGAGCTGGTTAGCATAACCCACAGAGAGGAACAGACAGGAACTCAGCCAACTGGCTTTAAAACACAGGGATTTGATTGTATATCCCTATCGGCGTGTATCATAAAGGTACCCAAAGTGCAGAAAACACTGTAGGCTGTTTTTAAATTATCATTACTGGTGTTGGTATTCTGAGATTCTTACGTGTATTGTGAGATAGAATAAACAACGAATTATATTTATAGGAGGAAGGAAACATTGACATTTGAACAATAAAATTAGGAAAAATTCTTGCATTCTTGAATTTGAGTTGGACATACAATATGAACTCAAAGCATTTTAGTATTTTTTAGAAACATGGTCTACCTCTGTCCACAGAGAAGGGCCAGAAACTATGGCCGGCCCAGTAACAATGAGCATTCCTTGTGCCAGACTGTGATTGCCAAATACCATTTCCTACAAAAAATAACCAGGGCTCTTTGAAACAATGGCTGCTTTCAGATTTGGAGCAGGAGATATACAAGATGTGCCTGGTTCATCTTTTTACAACAGCAAGCAGGGAAACTCTGGAGGACTCCCAGGGTCATGTTGTAGAAGGACTCAGGAACCAACGTGAAGAGGTTCCTACTGGTCAAGTTTGAACATCATATTGGATAATACAGCACTGGATTGAAACATATCACACAGGTTTAAATACATGAGTTTGTAGTGATACTCAAGAAAAAAAAATCAGTCACTTTTGCAGGATGCTAGGAAATTAATGAATTACTTTGAAAACTGGTAAATAAAGGGAAAGAAATAAGCATTTTACAAACTATGCCTTAGGATGACCAAACTGGTAATGAAGGAAAGTTTCTCTTTATAAAAGTAGCTACAGGAGAGATGAAGAGGGAATGATATCACATCATTATTATTTTGTAATTCCTAGTTCATGGATCTAGGCAATGATCAACAATGGCTGCTGACAACATGAAAAAATATTGCCAAAAAGATTGCCTAATCTGAACAAGCCTCTAAATTTAACAAACATTAAAAAAAAAGGATTTATACAGGGGGCAGAGGAATGTGTTAAATAAAACTATGGGAGTGCAATCAGCAACATTTAGAAGTAGGAAACTACAGAAAAATAACCTGGAGTTTCAATAGTTGCCAATAGATATGAAAAAAAAGATGGAGGGTAGACTTATAGATTAAACATAGATGTATTCTCACACTGCTAATAAAGACATACTGGAGATTGGGTAATTTATAAAGGAAAGAGGTTTAATGGATTCACAGTTCCACATGGCTGGCGAGGCTTCAGAATCATGGCGTAAGGCAAAGGAGAAGCAAAGGCACATCTTCTATGGTGGCAGGCAAGAGAGCTTGTGCAGGGGAACTCCCATTTATAAAACCATCAGATGTTGTGAAACTTATTCACTACCATGAGAACAGTATGGAGGAGACCACCCCTATGATTCAATTATCTCCAACTGGCCCCACCTTGACATATGGGGGTTATTACAGTTCAAGGTGAGATTTGGGTGGGAGCACACCCAAACCATATCAATTAACCAGTTACAGTGTGTGAACCTTATTTGGATCTTAAGGATAACAAAGTGTTTAACAATTTTGAGACAACCAGGGAGAATTTGAGCACTGGCTGGCTATCTGATAAAACAAATTGTTAGTTGTTTTCAGATGAGATAGCGTTGTGGCAATTATATTTAAAGAAAGGTCTTTATCTTTTAAAGGTGCATATTGAATTATTTACTTCTGAAATAGATGACATTTTATTTGGGATTTGTTTTTAAAATAAAGGGCTGATGAGGAAGCAGGTGGGTATGGATGAAACCAGAGTCGCCCTGTGTTGGTGGTGACTGAAACTGAGTAATGCGTTTATTCATTGTACTATTCTTTCTATTTTTGTGTATGTTTAAGCTTTTCAGTGGTAAAACATTAAATGAAAATAGCATTCTTAGCATAAATAGGGCTCAGAAGAAGGGAATTTCTGAAAAGTTCTATGTAAAATGGGTCTCTATTAAGTTTCATTTTTATAATGTCTTTGTACATCCGAGATAAGTTCCTAGAGGGAAACAGAATGCACACTGGGTATCTGCAATTCATTCCTGTTTTAGTTCAGCTCACCAAGCCCTTAAATTCGTGATCACAGAGGAAGACAACCCAAGTTTGCATCCCAGGGAGACCATTTGAAAGATGACTTCTTAATCTAGATTATGATTCTCTTTTAATCTGGCTCTGACCTCTGCCATCATCCCTTCCAGCCAACTGCAGACTGCAGTGTCTCTGAAGATGGAAAAGGACCTGTTTTCCAATTTCCAAATGCTCAAGCACCCTTTGAAAAGCCATCAACCTAGAGAGGGACTGTGACCTCCCCATGTCACTTGGCCAGTGAGTGGGATAGCTGGGATTCGAACCTGGGTCTCTGAACTTCCACTGCGCTGCATTCTACTGCTTTGCTCTCATTGAATAAATTAAATTCTACATGTCGGTTCCCCTCCGGTGAGGGGTGCCTGTATTCTTTGTTGAGCTTACAGTGTGCTTTTTAGGAAGAGTTTTTGCCCTAAGTTATATGTAGACCACTGTGCCTGTCTGGGCACATGTTCACCAGCCAAATAACTTTTAACATGCCCAAGGAAATGAACACAGGCTCCAGGGTCTGAGGAATATTAAACTGTGGGCAAGGAAAATTTTAATATGGATTATATTAATAAATTTGTTGCTTTAGAATTTCAAACATGATTCAAATACATGCACCACGTTATTTGTTCCTCCTTACCTTACCGGCTGTTATCAGTGATGGAATGGCTTGTCAAGTCTAAGACCCCAATCAGAATCTTATGACTTCAAAATCCTCACTCTCTCTATTTTATCACACTACCTCTTTCTTTTAGCAGAATTTGAAAATAGTAATGTAATATCTTTAGGTGATGCCAATGACCTATCAGAGTATGGCTTAGGCTGTTGCTGTCATCATCACCAAATGAGTAACAATGATTTCTAGTTCAATTTAGTACTCACTGTGTGACAGGCATGTTTGGAAACTTGAGTTCTGTCTAACATTTAAAAATAATAAAATTTAATTTTCATAAAACCCCTATGATGTACATATTAAAGTTGTATTTGCTGTGTGACATTGGATAAAATTAAATAGTTTCCAAAGTCGCAGCACTAATAAATAGTAGAGCCAGGATTTGAATCCAGGACTGTCTGATGCCAGGCCCTGAGCTGTAGCCATTAAGTCACTCACTGATGTCCATTCATTCAATAGCAGATATTTATTGAGCATTTACTCTATGCCAGGTACTGTCTCAGGCACTGGGGATACAGTTGTGATGAGATGGATATCCTCCCTTGTCCTTATACAACTTACAACTAGTGAGTAAGACAGACAGTAAACAAGATATTTTTAGGCAGTGATGAGTGGTTTGTAGGAAGTAAAACTGGGCAATGTGACACAGAGTGTCTGGAGTATAAGACTAGGATGCTGCTTTAGGCCTTTGGGGGCTTGTCTGAGGTCAGATAGGACTAGAGTATTCCAGCCAGAAGGAACAAGTAGAAATTAAAGATCCTATAGTTGAAACTGGCTTGGTATGTTTGGAGAACAGAAAGAGAATACAGGAGAGAACATGAAAGCCATTGGAGAGGCAGTGCTCATCCAAAAGCATGGATAGAGCTCCCCACATCCTCATCCCAGCCCCCTGGTGATGTAGGCGTGGTTGGGGCGAGGAGTACTGCCTTTGACCGTGGAGGAGAGCTTGTTGACTTGTGATGGGACTCATTTCTGAGAAACAAGCTCTGTCCCAGAGGAATGACATATTTCTTTCAGACCATGGGCTCTGAAGTCTCAAAACAGTAGGACAGGGATAAGTAGTTGAGACCTGGCTTGATGGCATGTGTGAAAATGATTTTGGCGTCTTAAACGGCATCAAGTAGAAGCAACATCAACAGTGTGGCCTTATTACCAAAAAAGTTGCTGCAGTCAGAGGCTTTCCTGAAGGATGACATACAGAGAGGTCAATGCCTGCCAAATACAAGGAGAATATTTCTGGCCAAAAATGGAATAGATGTCTTGGAATGCTGATGTAGTCCCTCACAGTCATCGAGAAGCTGCTCTGCCCCTGGTCAGGAATATTGCAGAAATGAGTCAAGCCGGGTTAGTGTTGGAAGAAGAGTTGGACTAGCTCATCTCTGTGGGCTTTCCAACCTGCAGTCCTCAGGGCCTCATTGCCAGGGTGGCAGTCCATGGCAGTGGTGGTTGGTAACAATTTATGGGAGATGAAATATTCAAACCCAAATTATGTTCCTAACTGGTTTACCGCTCAGGCCAGTGCTCCTTCGTGCTCCGACTCTTCTCACTGTTCTGCAGCCTGTGGTCACTGAGTTGCTCTGGGATCCCTATTATTTTTATTGGTACCTTATTTAATGCAGCTCTACATTTTCTAGCTAACTGGTACCATCTGTCTGTAATCACACTTCTCAGATCTGCCTCCTTGTCATCAGCCTACCTCCCTCTCTGATGGTTGGGAACTAGTTGTATTCTCCGAAGACTTGCTGTACTTTAACATTTTTACTTGGCATGGCCAACAAAAGTACCATATATTGTCTGTGGAAGCCAACAAAAGAAGGCTTGGAAAAGAAGGCTTGAGTTGTCATCTCACGTTAAGAGCATCCTGGCCTCTAGTGGAGGGTATACAAGAGTTGGCTCTAGGTTCTGATTCCTTTGTTACTGGGCTTTGACTGTGTAGCCTTGGCCCCCTCTTCAAACCCCTCTGGGTTCCAATTGGTTTATCTCTAAACAAGTTGAAGGGATTAGACCAATGGCTCCCTGGAGGGCCCATCCTGCTGTCAGATCATTCAAAGATGTTCATTGCCAGTTCTTTGCACCATGAGGAACATATTTGGACTTTTAGACAGGCTCTGACTTCTCAGAGCTTGCAGTCCAAGACATTCTGACATGGATGCACATTTAAAAGACAGACACTTTATAGATAGATTATTGATCAATTTTGCCACTAGTGTGAAGCTGTCACTTCTGAAAAAGGGATATGTTTTTCCTTCTCACTTTTACTGCTTTGGTTAAATCATTTGCCCTAAGAACTCCCTCAAATATAGATGTGCATATGCCATAGACTGAGTATATTAGCATTATAAGCATGTCAATGCCATAATAGCACCTTTTTGCATAAATTTATGTTCTTTATAACAACTTTATGGGGTGAATTGCTTTAGTCTGCAATAAAAAGATATGGGAATTCAGAGAGGTGAAATTTCCCTCTAAAGCTTCTGAGCTCCTTCATTATGCCTGGCTTCAGTGCCTGTGCTTTGTTTGCAGTTCTGGGCTGCATCTCTGAATAGGTATATTAGGTCAGTGGGTATATCAGGCAGAGGGTGGTGGGGATAGGGGGTTACTGAGGGAGTTAAGTTGACAGGATCAGAGATGAGGATCCCTGGTTTCTAGAGAGGAGGCTGAGGGGAAGCCTACACCTCTTCTCCTGATAATCCTGGCAGGAGGTGGAGCATGAGTCTGACAGCAAGCAGGTTATGGGGGATGTTGGTTCCCATAGTAAGCACAATTGTTGGAGCATTACTGGAGGCAGTCCAGGCATGACTTGGTTGTTAGGACGTCCACACCTCAAGCCTGCAGAAGTGTGTCTGGCGGCCCAGTGGGGTCCTGGCAGCCCCACAGTGGAATGTGTTGTCGGGCAAAGGCTGCTGATGAGGGCACCTCCTCTAATGAGTCCATTCTTGCATTGTTGTAAAGAAACACCCGAGACTGGGTAGTTTATAAAGAAAAGAGGTTTAATTGGCTCATGATTCTGCAGGCCGTACAGGAAACATGGCAGCATCAGCTAGCCTTCTGGGGAGGCTTCAGGAAACTTATGATCATGGCAGAAGGCAAAGGGGAAGCCAGCACTTTACATGGCCGGAACGGGAGGAAGTGGTGGGGGTAGGGAGGGGTGCCACACACTTTTAAACAACCACATCTTGTGAAAACTCTGTATCACCAGAACAGCACCAAATGGGGAAATCCGCCCCTATGATCCACTACCTCCTGCCAGGCCCCACCTCCCATACTGCGGATTACAATTTGACATATTTGGGAGAGGACACAAATCCAAACCATCTCCTCCTCTTACCTGTCCATCCTTCACCTCTTAGGAAGGAGGGCAGCCACAGTAGAGCACTTGCCTCTAGTTGCTCTTGAGCACCCTTCCTGGGTAAGAGAATTAAAAAAAAAAACAATTTTATGATTCTAAAGGCAGTGTTATTACAGAAAGTTTGAAAACCCAGAATTTATACAGAAAAACACAATAACAACAATGGGAGAATGTTTCCCGTGGTGGTGTGGTAAATATGGCTTCCTTGCTCATTTGTAGTTTCAGTTTAAGGTGGCACAGTGTTTGGATTATAAACAAACACTTAATTTGAATGGAAAGAACTGTGGTGTCTTTCACTCTAAAACCCCAGTGTAGAAAGAGGCCATATTATTTTCCAGCAGGACAAGATCACCCTGTTTAGCTGGTGTATCAGTCAGGGTTCAACCAAAGACGAATAGGGGATATATATATGAAGAGACTTATTGCAAAGAACTGGCTTATGTCTCTGTGGGAGCCGTTAGACAAGTGCAACATCTATAGGGCAAGCTTTCACGCAGAACTCTCAGGCACAAACTGAAGCTGCTGTCCAGAGGCAGAGTTTCTTTTTCAGGGGAACTTCAGCTCTGTCCTTGAGGCCTTTTGACTGATTGAATCAGGCTCACATATATTATCTTGGATGGTTTCCCTAAAAGCCAGCTAATTATGGGCCTTAATCACATCTGCAAAATACTTTCACAGCAATACCTTGATTAGTGTTTGGATAACCAGGGACTGTAACCTAACCAAGTTGACATATACAAAATATCATCACATCTGATAATCTGTCCTCTTTGAAAATTAATCTGGGAAATTGGATGCATCATCTGCCTTGGTTGTCCAGCCCCTCTTTCAACAACCTTCCTTGCTAGGACATAATAAGGGCTAAAGTCAATCCCAGTGGTCTCATCGGGACCTGCCTACCTGCAGCATCGTGTTCTGTCTAGATTTTGTCATATTCACTTGTATTTCTGCTTCCTAGGTATGCTTAAGTCATCGTTTGCGTCTATGTGACCTCTCCCCGTGACTAAATCGGAAGTTGTTGTAGGGGTGGGATGGTATCTCCTGTTGCATTTGTCTGTCCCTTGATGGTCTAAGTGCTGCAAGTGCTCTAAGTGGCTTTTCAGTAAACAGTGACTGATATCCATGAGTTAACTTCAGGTCCCATAATGGCCAAGATTCTTATGTCTCCTTGTTATAGCTCCTCATGGAAGAAGGAGCAGCTTGTTTCATTGCATTTGTTTTTGTTCATTCACTTACAGATTGCCAAGTAAGCATTGTTCTAGGTACTGAGCCTATGGCAGTGAACAAGACAGACAGGATCCCTCCTCTTTTGGAGCTTTACAAAACTAGTAATGGTTGTTAGAGATGTGGTAGAGGGAGAGGAAGGAAACTAATAATAAACAAGTATACAAATTAAACAAGCTAATTTCAGATACTGTAAGTGTATAAGGGAAAATAAAACAGTATACCATGACTCTAAATTGGGTGGTCATTTTCTGACTTCAAATAATGACTCCCTAGCTATGTGATGATGGGTAAATTACTTCACCTCTTTGAGCCTCAGGTGCTCTGTTTTTTTTTTTTTAAAGAAGGTAAGAATCTGTGATGTTTGGGTTCCAGGCCAACTGAACTGGGAGTTGTTGTAGGTTTTTGTGAGGGGATTCTTGGAAGAGGAATTGTCTAGAAATGTAATCTGGGATGGTGAGAGCTTTGCCTCTCAAATGTGGCTTGCAGACCAGCAGCAGGTATCATTGCAGAGCTTTTTAGAAATGCAGACTCTCAGGCCCCTTCCCAGACCCACTGAGTCCAATGTGCGTTTTGCCAACAGCCCCATGTGATTTTTCCGTATAGTTTGAGAAACACTGGAGTGGGAGGTTGAGGGCAAGTTGGAGTAACTCAGGTGTAAAACATTGGTTTCATCTTGAAAACTAGAGGCAGGGAGGAGGAAGAGAATGAATTCAAAGGTCAGTTTTATCCCGGGTGAGGTCAGTCTCTGAACAATTGACTTAAAAGAAACCAACTTATTACCAAGATTGTCAGTTGATCAGATATTTATGGGAGGTATGCAGGTTTTAAATTCTGAGAATTTGTACTGGTCTCTATCTAGGACACATCTCTCTGGGTGCTGAGTCCTCTCACGATGTCAAATACTCAAAGTAGAAGGTTGTTTGGCGATTAGAGGATTCAAAGTAGAGGTTGTTTGGCGATTGAAAGGATATTCAAGCTAGCATTGCTGGGTGTGTCATCCTCCTTTACTTAGGAATATTTCCTTTTAAGATCTAGGTTTAGCCTTTGTGAGGCTGAGCCCCTGGCCTCTGAAGTGTGAGGACAGCTGTGTCACCTTCTCCAGAAGCGGGGTCGTGACTCACTTTTGTATGCAGTCTGTGTCACCATCGTCCTCTGTAGTGGACTCCTGAGACTGCTTTGCATCCGTCACATTTCAGGTTGATGCCCTGTGGGAGATTCCTAGCCCTTTCTGTCCAGTGCTTCCAGAACGGGCTGCTCCCCAGTAAATTTGCGTGGACAGCTAATGCCATCCATGGGATGTAGAGTCTTGCATGCTCCATCCCCCAGATGGTGACCCTTCGCTCCCCAGGTTTCTTCTTTTGTCTTTCTTGGGATCCATCATACCCAGGGTATTTATTCCATTCAATGCTTCCTTTGTGCTTGGCATGGTTCGAGTCCCATATTTACTCCTAACTATGGCTCAGACAGATTTTACAGGAGCTGGTAGTTAAATATGATAGATTCGTAGTATGTTACCTTGGAATCAGCCATAGTTAGGGACAACTGTGGATGCAGTGAGGTTTTCTTTCAAAAATATCTTGGTGTTTCAGAGATGACACATAGGGAAAGGACAACTGGGCATGCAGAGGATGGGTACAGTTTCTGAATTCACAAATTGACATTTTGATTTGTTGACTTTGATGCAGATTCAGGATGGGTGGGTGTCTTAGAAGTTACTGTGCACGTTATGAAGAGAACTTCACTTGCCTGCCCCCACTCCCAACAGCTGCATCCTTTTAACAAGTACAGTTTCCTTAGAGACGTTTCTCTGCAATATTCTTTGATGTTGCTACATAGATCTGTAGCTTTTTGGGGGGGCTGGAGGGTACTCATATATTTCATCTGTTTTGGAACAGGAGACAGCCTTTGTTCCATTGTCCGAATCAAAATCAAATTCATTTCATTTCTTAAATTTCTTGAGCTCTCATGAAGCTTCTTGCAGATATGTATACCCTAGCACTAGGGAGTAAGAATGGAGTTAAAAGTGCCCCTGTGGACAGCATTAATCAATTTACTAGGACGTAATCTAATAATCAGAAAATGCTGGCTTCAGTTTCCTGGGGACAGGAGCTCATTTTATGCATTTTGTTCTGTTTGCATAGGCTGTCTCTCCAGATATTGCAGGTTTCCATACATTGGTCCTGTCTTTATCAGATTAATGTCAGGTGGTAGCAGCTAGATTCATCTGTGGATTTACTTGCTGCTGCTTAATGGATTGCGGCCTGTGTCTGACACTTTAGTCTGACTGCTTGGTAAGTCTTTTTTTAAACTGGTGAATTCTTGCCAGACAATTTGCCATTAGTGTTTCTTTCTCTAGACAGGGATGCATGAATTCAGGTACCCTAGCTATCATCCTCTTTGTTTAAAAGGAAGGGAGGGAGACATAGGGAAGTCAAGAGACACATTATGAGCCCTGGCAGACATAACTCAGGACTCCCAGGACTTCCTGCTACCCCTCAGCTGGGACTGCTGACCTCACTCCTCCTTGTCTTTCAGACATGCCACTGAGCACATTGGTGAACAAATGTATCATTGTGCTCCCTGAAATAAAAAGGGGGGCTGGTGCTCTGAAAGCACCTTGTCAGGCTGTAGCTAAAGTGCCTTTTAGTTCTCCTTTCTGCTAAGATCCCAACTGGAACGAGTTGGGGCTGTACCCTTCCAGCTCTTTCAGGAAGGCACGGTACAGGAAAAGGTGCCTAGCCCAGGTTGTGTGTGTGTTGTATGCACACATATGTGTTGGGACACATGGGGCTTCCACTGTCCCCTGGGAGCCTAACGGTCCTTCATGGCTTCTGGTCATCAGATGATGGACAGGTCCACATATCTGTCTTTTGCTTCCACTTTCTTACCACACATCAGTCAGTGAACATTTATCATATCTTCTAGGCACCAGGCGTATCTCATTGTTCTCCTTCACAACGTTGTTATGAGAAGATACAGATAAAAAGATTATGAAATGTTTTATTAATAACAATTGCTTTTTAAAAACTAATTTCAACTTTTTTATAGATTAACAAACACATACAGGTTTGTTCCATGGGTATATTGCATGACATTGAGGCTTGGGGTCCCAATGAATTCCGTCACCCAAGCGGTAAACACAGTACCCAACAGATGGTTCTTCAGCCCACGTCTCCCTTCCACCCTCCCGCATCTAGTGGTCCCCAGTGTCTGTCGTTCCCATATGCACGTTCATGTGTATTCAGTGTTTAGCTCCCACTTATAAGCGAGAACATGTAGTATTTGGTTTTTCCATTCTTGCTTTAGTTTGCTTAGGACAATGGCCTCCAGCTACATCCACGTTGCTGCAAACGACATGATTTCATTCTTTTTTGTGGCTTCATAGTACCACATTTTCTTTTTCCTGTCCACTGGTGATGGGCACCTAAGTTGATTCCACGTGTTTGCTAATGTGAATAGCACTGCAGTGAACATACAGGCAGGCATTTGTGTCTTTGTGATAGAATCAAGTGCTTTGTCTTGCTGATATTACAGTCAACTTTTCATTAAAAAACCCCAAACCAAAAACACTCCAGCTGCTGTTTTTCATGTATAAATAATCAGTATTTGTAAATCCTTTATGCATAACCATTATGTTTTGAATATATATATTAGTCAATTGATGTTTCTCAATTTGCTCCATGTTTACTGAATACCCAGTATGCACCCAGGGCTGTGCAAGAGATTGAGGTAGAGGTAGGGGTGTGTCAGACATCTCTTTTGGACTCTGTGAGTTCTTTTCACTTTTGGACTCCATGAAAACCTCATCTCGGAGCCTTGGCCTCTCTCCTCAGAAAACTCATCAACAGGGAGTGGAATTTAGCATATTATTTCAGGGAGCCCATAGACCTATGAGAAAGTTCATGGGGATTTCTAGGTCCCTATGATAAGAGCCACTTGTCTTGATGATAAGGCAAATCATGTGAGAGCTGGATGGTAATTTTGCCATCATCTGCTGCATTTTGGGAGGTAGAGCTACTACTTTTGAGGCCCTCATAGAATGTTTTTCTTTTTAAGAATGATCTAGAAACTGAAATAGTTTCCTGTCATAATAACCGGAAGAGAGGCTGCTTGGGGTCCATGGATGGGAACTCTTCCAGTAGCCCATGAGGAATAGCAGCAAGAGCTCTGGAGAAAGTCTCTCCAGGCATTCTAGAGAGTCTTTACTTTCCTCCAGTTTGGAAATGGGGTCTGGCAGCTCAGTGTCTGACACTGGCAATATGGAACCTGATTAACCTAGAAGGATTTACTACACAGACATATTCTGCAAGCATTGAGCTCGTGTGTCTGCTTTTCCCTAAGAACTGTATATGGTGTCCTTGCTTTTAGTTTCTGTTTAGATAAAGCAGAAATCTCTTTTGGGTTTACTCCGCATTCTATAAAAGCCAAAAAACAAAACAAAACAACAACAAATGGTAAAATATAAGCAAAGGACTCGTACTGCTGCTATTCTTTTTTTATTTAAAAATTGCCAACAGAAAGAGGGTTCAGTCAGTTTAAGAGAAGTATTAGGAACCTACTTGCATGGCTCTTTATTCTTCCCTTACTAAAAATTTATCGTAGTCTCCCTAATTCTTTATGCGGCTCTAGCTTTCTCTTGGATCCCAGAGTACTTAACAGCCAGGGCGAGGGAATCTCTCTCTTGTCTTTGTGAGGTATTGAAGGGTAGCAAAAGGTATTCTTTTCAGATGAGGGGATTTACAGAGGCACTTGGAATTGCGTAGAATCGTCCTCTGAAGACTTGAAGAGTGAAACATATTAGGGATCCTTGGCTTGTTGTAAAGGAAACGGATGGCATGGGGGAGGCAGCAGAGATGGTAACAGTTGGTATATGGCCAAAGTGACAAGTACGAACCTATCCTGTGAATAATAGGATGTCTTTGGTGCTGCTGGTGGGAGTGTAAATTGGTACAACCTCTTAGGAAAGCAACTTGATTTTATATATATGTATATGCATATGTATATGGTATATACATATGTATATGATATATACACATGTATATGTATATGATATATACACATGTATGTGTATATATATGTATATATCAAAATATACCCTTTAGCTGAATAATTCTTTAAGCTGTGAATCTATTCTAAAGAAATAGCCTAAATATGGTAAAATATTTTTTGCATTATATCTTTACATTCATCAATTTTATTTATAATAATGAAAAATGGAAAGACAGCTTAAGTGCTCACAATTGAGGAATTTTTATGTAAGTGGCCAAATGATAAAAATTTATGCAGTTATTAAGCTTGTTTACAAACAGGGAAACAAGGAAAGAATTGGGAACCTGGTGAAGGAAATGAGGAGAGAATTTGTATTAGTCCATTTTCACTCTGCTG
Source organism: Homo sapiens (assembly GCF_000001405.40). Lineage (NCBI taxonomy): Eukaryota > Metazoa > Chordata > Mammalia > Primates > Hominidae > Homo > Homo sapiens. The sequence continues at coordinate 162,120,459 of NC_000001.11, forward strand.
ATAAAGACATGCCTGAGACTGGGTAATTTATAAAGAAACAGAGGTTTAATGGACTCACAGTTCCATGTGGCTGGGAAGGCCTCACAATCATGGCAGAAGACGAAAGTCATGTCTTATGTGGCGACAGGCAAGAGAGAAAATGAGAGCCAAGTGAAAGGGGGAACCCCTTATAAAAGCATCAGATCTCGTGACACTTATTTACTACCATGAGAACAGTATGGGGGAACCGCCCCCCCCATGATTCGATTATCTCCCACTGGGTCCCTCTCACAACACTTGGGAATTACGGGAGCTACAATTCAAGATGAGATTTGGGTGGAGACACAGCCAAACCATATCAGAATTCTTTTAGATTTTTTCCCTCATACCTTTTAACATATCCTTCTCCACATTCTGTTGCCACTCAGATATTTACAAAAGTGTAGATGCCTCTGCTCCCTAAACCCAGTGTTCATCTCTTTTGGATATGGGTTCTGAAAAGACCTCTGGCACTGTAATTTCCTGTTCACCTACATCTCTGATGAGCAGAATTTCTCATGAGGAACTCAGCTGGGTGATCACTGCAAAGTCCTGTCGAGGCCTATAGAGAGATGCCTTTCTGCTAAAGAACTTGGCACACTAGGATTTTTTTTTTTTTTTTTTTTTCATTTGAAAAACTGCATTTGAGAGGGGTAAACCGATCACTTCAGACTTGGAGAGAATTTTTTTTTTGTTTTTTGTTTTTTTTTTGGAGACAAAATCTCGCTCTGTCGCCCAGGATCAAGTGTAGTGGCACGATCTTGGTTCAGCCTCCCAAGTAGCTGGAATTACAGGTGCATGCCACCACACCCGGCTAATTTCTGTATTTTTAGTGGAGACGGGGTTTGGCCAGGCTGGTCTCGAACTCCTGACCTCAAGTGATCCGCCCATCTCAGCCTCTCAAAGTGCTGGGGTTACAGGTGTGAGTCACCGTGCCCGGCCTTGGAGAGGATGTTTAATTCAACCTTCTCATTGTGCAAACCAGGAAACTGAGGCCAAGTGAATGTCTCCAAATGTCACAGCTGGTAGTGACAGATATGGCATCTCCATTTCCAGAGGAAGATGGTGGAGGACACTAGTTTTGCCCTTTACAGCTGTGTGACTTTGGGCATATCATCTCCTGAGAGTCTCAGGAAGTGGTAAACTGAGGAGACTGTGTAAGTGCTTAGCACCATGTCTGCCATATATGAAGTGCTCAGTAAATGTTAACTATTATAAACAATAACAACAAAAATAACAGTGAAAGTTAGCAATCATTACTTTTTATTGTTTTTACTTTAGAAAAAGGACTCCGGCTTCTCTAATTATCTGGATTGTCTCAGGAAGTAGAACCCTCACCTCTTTGGGGATATGGGATAATTGTTCAGATCATGTTCCCGCACAGAGTACATAAAGCAATAATTGAATGTTCGCAGTTGGGGCGCAATAACCCATTTCTAAATACTGTAGTTAAGGTCCTTTGAAACAAGCATATTACAATGCAGGTCAACCTCTATTTTCACAACCTAGTATTTAAAAGCTGGAATCTATCAACAGATAAATTAGGATGATTACTGTAATTGCAAATGACCTCTTGTTACAAGACAATTAATTTCAAGGAATATTTAAGTAGAGAAGCTCCCATTGATTATTATAAGATTATTCACTGACACTTTTTCTCTAGATAATAATTAGCAAATGTAAATGATATAAAGCAAGACACGTGATCTGTTGTTGAGGGAAACTTGGCTTCTAATGATAAGTGTCCAGAACAGTGCTTTCAGATATCATCAGTGTTAAAAAACCCCAGTGCCAAAAAGTGAAATAAACTCTTTGGTGGGCATGTAACAAAATAACTTCAATTTTTATTTCACACAGGATGACTAAATCTGAAATTGAATTATAGGGAAGAGTAGACAACCCTCCAGAAGCCAACCAAGGTCACATTGTGCTACGCATGTAGTAGGTCTTTGGGAGATATATCATAAGAACTTTTTATTATGAAAAAATTAAAAAATATATGAAAGTAGAGAGAATGATATAATGAATCCCCATTTTTTTTTTTTTTTTGAGACAAGGTCTGGCTCTGTCATCCAGGTTGGAGTGTAGTGGCATGATCTCGGCTCACTGCAACCTCCACCTCCCAGGCTCAAGTGATCCTCCCACCTCAGCCTCCTGATTAGCTGGGACTATAGGCGCTTACCACCATGCCTAGCTAATTTTTTTATTTTTTGTAGAGATGGGGTTTCACCATGTTGCCCCAGTTGGTCTTGAACTCAGCTCAAGTGATCTGCCTACCTCAGCCTCCCAAAGTGTTGGGGTTACAGGCATGAGCCATGGCACCCAGCCCCCAATTTTTAATTACAACTGACGTTACAGGATTTAAACTTCTTTAATTTTATACTTGTATATTTTTCTTTTTATTCAAAATCTTGGTTCCTAATATTATGTAAATGTAATTATTTGTTTTATTTGTTTTATCAACAGTATATATAGAATAGTTTTAAAAATGCCAATATTTCTGCAATAATACTGCAGTTCTCTTTGTGCTTAGAATCTATTCGACGAGTATTTATTGTTAAAAATACTGTGCTCTGAAGATCTTTGAAATATTGACTTTCTCCAGTGCTTATGCCACCAATTTGAGATAATAGTAGATTCATTTGTTTTCAGTTTGTTTCCAAGCTTTACTGATTTTTAAACATTTTTTATTTTTTGAATATCTAAAACACTTGATTCCAAATTCAAAGCTACTAACATAGTATATTCAGAGATGTCTACTCTCAGCTCACTGCAACTTCTGCTTCCTGGGTTCAAGCAATTCTCCTACCTCAGCTGGCTGGGTAGCTGGGACTAACAGGCATGTGCCACCACGCCTGGCTAATTTTTGTGTTTTTAGTAGAGATGGGTTTTGCCATGTTGTCCAGGCTGGTCTCGAACTTCTGACCTCAAGTGATCCACCTGCCTCGGCCTCCCAAAGTGCTGGGATTACAGGTGTGGGCCACTGTGCCCCAGAGATGCCTACTCTCTACCTGTGTCCTCTTTCACCCTATATGTAAACAAACTTTAAAATTAGTTTTTGGATAATATTTTCAGTGTTTGTCTTTTGCATATGTAAAAATATATATTTCCTTCTCCTTCCTAAATCTAATAAAAGGGAGCATATTATATTTACTATTCTGTGTATTTGAAATTTTTAAATTTCTTATTTTGAAATCGTTTCAAACACAGAGGAAAATTACAAAAATAGGATGAAGGACTCCAATTTACCCTTCACCCCGCTTTCCCCAGTCACCCTCTCTCATATTCATTGATCCCTTCATCTATCTATATACACACACACATTGTTTTTTTCTTGAACCATTTAAGAGTAAGTTACAGACAAGATGTTCCTTCTTCTATAAGTCCTTCAGAGTGGATTTCCTAAAAACAAGAATATTTTCTTATATAATCATAGTACAGTTGTCAAATTAAAAAAATAATATTGAGGCAATACCATTATCTTCTCTACAGACTTTATTTAAATTTTACCATTAATATTCTATATAACAAAAAATAATTTTTGTTCTTGTCCAGGATCCAATCCAGGCTAGTGTAATACATCTAGTTGTTATATCTCTTTAGTCTTCTTTAATGTGTAGTAGTTTCATTTTTCTTTGTCTTTCATAACCTTATTTTTAAATTTCAGTAGCTTTAGGGGTACAAGTGGTTTGTGGTTACATGGATGCATTGTATAGCGGTGAAGTCTGGGATTTTAGTGTACATATCACTCGAGTAGTGTACATCGTACTCACTAGGTAGTTTTTCATCTCTCACCCCCGTCTTGCCCTCTGCCCTTCTGACTCTCCCATGTCTGTTAGACCACTCTGAATGCCTTTGCGTACCCAGGGCTTAGCTCTGACTTGTAATGAGGACATGTGGTATTTGTTTTTCAATTCCTAAATTACTTCAGTTAGAATAATGGCCTCCAGCTCCTTCCAGGTTGCTGCAAAAGACATTATTTCATTCATTTTTGTGGCTGAGTAGTATTCCATGGTGTGTGTGTGTGTGTGACACACACACACACCGTATTTTCTTTTTCTTTGAGATGGAGTTTTGCTCTTGTAGTCCAGGCTGGAGTGCAGTGGCACGATCTTGGCTCACTGCAACCTCTGCCTCCCAGGTTCAAGCGATTTCCTGCCCCAGCCTCCTGAGTAGCTGGGATTACAGGCGCCCGCCAGCGCGCCCAGCTAATTTTTTGTATTTTTAGCAGCAATGGAATTTTGCCATGTTGGGCAGCCTGGTCTCGAACTCCTGACCTCAGGTGATCTGCCCGCCTTGGCCTCCCAAAGTGCTGGGATTACAGGCATGAGCCACCACGCATGGCCACACACACCGTATTTTCTTTATCTACTCATCAGTTGATGGGCACTTAGGTTGATTCCTTGTCTTTGCAATTGTGAATTGTGCTGCAGTAAATAGATGTATGCAGGTGTCTTTTTGATGTAGTGACTTATTTTTCTTCTGTAGATACCCAGTAGTGGGATTGGTGGATTGAGTGGTAGATCTACTTTTAGTTCTTTGAGAAATCTCCATACTGTTTTCCATAGAGGTTGTACTAATTTACATTCCCACCAGCAGTGAGTAAGTGTTCCCTTTACACCACATCCATGCCAACATCTATTGTTTCTGACTCTTTTTTTTTTTTTTTTTTTTTAAGACGGAGTCTCACACTCTCACCTGGGCTGGAGTGCAGTGGCACAAGCTCGGCTCACTGCAACCTCCACCTCCTGGGTTGAAGCGATTCTTTTGCCTCAGCCTCCTGAGTAGCTGGGATTACAGGCACCCACCTCCATGCCCAGCTAATTTTTGTATTTTTAGTAGAGATGGGGTTTCACCATGTGGCCCAAGCTGGTCTCGAACTCCTGAGCTTAGGCAATCTGCCCACCTTGGCCTCCCAAAGTGCTAGGATTACAGGCATGAGCCACCGCGCCTGGCCTGAATTAATTTTTATATATGGTGAGAGATAGATATCTAGTTTCATTCTTCTCTACTTGTGGCTGTCCAGTTTTCTCAGCATCATTTGTTGAATAGGTGTCCTTTCCCCGAGGTATGTTTTTGTATGTTTTGTTGAAACTTGGTTGGTTGTAAGTATTTGGCTTTATTTCTGGGTTCTTTATTCTGTTCCATTGATGTGTGTATCTGCTTTTACTAGTACCATGCTGTTTTGGTTACTATAGCCTTGTAGTATAATTTGATGTCCAATAATGTGATTCCTCCAGATTTGTTCTTTTTGCTTAGGATTGCTTTGGTTATTTGGGCTCTTTTTTGGTTCCATATGAATTTTAGGATTGTTTTTTCTAATTCTGTGAAAAACTATCTTGATATTTTGGTAGGAATTACATCGAATCTGTAGATTGTTTTGGGTAGTATGGTCATTTTCATGATATTGATTTTTTCCAATCCATGAGCAGGGAATGTATTGCCATTTGTTTGTGTCATCTATGATTTTTTTCAGCAGCATTTGGTAGTTCTCCTTGTAGACATCTTTCACCTCCTTGGTTAAATATATTTCTAGATATTTATTTTATTTTATTTTTGCATTTATTGTAAAAGGAATTGAGTTCTTGATTTGATTCTCAGCTTGGCAGTTGTTGGTGTATAGCAGTGCTATTGATTTATGTACATGGATTTTTAACCTGAGACTTTACTGAATTCATTTATCAGAGCTAGGAGTCTTTTGGAGGAGGCTTGAGGCTTTTCTAGGTATAAGATCATATCATTGGCAAACAATGTAGTTTAACTTCTTCTTTTCCAATTTGGGTGCCCTTTATTTCTTTCTCTTGCCTGATTGCTCTGGCTGGGACTTCAGGCCTCCTTATATTTTGACCAGTTATTTTGTAGAATGCCCATTATTTGGTGTTTGCCTGATATTTTCTCATGTTTAGATTCAGGGTTAGCATTTGGGACAGGGAAGTCACAGAAATGATGCCATATCCTTCCTAATGCATCATATCAGGAGACACAAAATATTGGTTTGTTCCATTTTTGATGATGTTAACCTTCACAGTTTGGTTAAGGTATGCTTTTTTTTTTTTCTCTCTGTAATTTTTTTTCACTTAACAACACTTAATTTCCACATCCTGGAAATCATCCATGCAAGTATATGGAATGCTTTCTGACTCTGTTTTAAAGCCATATAGTTTATCCTGATGAATGTGGTTTATTCAACTTGTTTTCAATAGATTGATATTTGGACCATTTCCAGCCTTTTGCTTTTACAAATACTGTCACAATATCCATATGTGTACACATATGTATAACCATGTGCATAAATAATTTAATAATTTTCTAGTTTGTTTTCAGTGTAGATTCCTGGAAGTGGGATTCCTGGGTCAAAGGTAAATGCATATGCAACTTTGCTATGTATTGCCAAACTTCTCTCCATAAAGAATATACAATCTTACATTCTGTAGCAATGATTGTTTCTCTATACCATGGCCAACAGAATGTATTGTCAAACTTGGATTTTTACTTATCTGATAGGTGAGAAATAGTATCCCTGTAGAGTTTTAATTGTACTTCTTTTGTTATGAGTAAGATTGAGCATCTTTTCATTTAAGGGCCATTGGCATTTGTTTTTCAGTAAATCATCTGCTTATATCTTTTGCCATATTTTTTTTTAAATCAGGGTTTTGGTCTTCTCAAAATTTAGGAGCTTGTTGTATATTAGGAATACAAGCCCTTTGTGATATGTTGTAAGCTTTTTTTCTACTTTGTCATTTGTCTTTTGATCTTACTTATGGTATTTCTCTACCCCAACCACATATAACTTTTTGTTTGAAAACTTTTTAAGTTGAAAGTATAGTGCAATGACCTCGTATTCTCCATCTGGGTTTACAAAGTTTTAATAAATTTGCCATATTTGTGTTATAGTTCTTTATACACATAAACACCGTTTTACTATTCCATCTGAAAATAAATTGTAGGGATTATTCATACTTCATCACTAAATACTTAAGATAAACATCCTAAATGTATTAGTTCGTTCTTGCATTGCCATAAAGAAATAACCTGAGACTGGGTACTTTATAAAAAAAAAAAAAAAGGTTTAATTGGCTCACAGTTCTGCAAACTGTATAGGAAGATTGATGTTGGCATCTTCTCTGCTTCTGGAGAGGCCTCAGGAAACTTAAAATTGTGGAAGAACGTGAAGGGGGAGCAGGCACTTCACAAGGCTGGATCAGAAGCAATAGAGAGACGAAGGTGCCACACACTTTTAAATGACCAGATCTCATGAGAACTCACTATCGCAAGGACAGTACCAAATGGAATGGTGCAAACCATTCATGAGAAACCCATTCCCATGATCCAGTCACCTGTCACCAGGCCCCACCTCCAACACTGGGGATTACAATTCGACATGAGATTTCGTGGGGACATAGATCCAAACCATATCACTAAGAATAAGAACAAACCTCTGCATATAACTACAAACATTTTTACACCAAAAAAATGATGATTTGCTTATGTTTTTTTTTGTTTTGCTATGCTTTTACATAGTTTACATAGTTTGTATGCTTTTATATAATTACATTTATTAATCTCTTATGTTAATGCTTCTGGATTTTGAAGTATAGCAAGATTTTGGTCAATTGCAGGGTATTAAGGAAATCATCCATGTTTTCTTTTAGTACTTGGATTTTTTTTTTAAATGTAATTCATATCTTTCATTCATTTGATATTTATCCTAATATGCAGCATAAGGTAAAAAATCTAATTTTATATTTTCTAAATGGCAACCTGATTGTCCCAACATTGTTTATTAATAAGTTAAATTTTTTTCTCCACTAAATGAAAATACACGTTTACCATACACTACATTTCTGTATGCACTTGGGTTTTTAAAAATACTTTCTATTGTGTTGCATTTTCTATTTTTGGGGGTATATTAATTCAGTTGAATTGTTATTTCAATTCACTCAACAATCTCTATTCTCCTATAGTTCAATTCTAATCACAAAGTATTCATTTCTTATACATATATACACAAATTTATCATGCCAGAATGAAATAAATATTCAATGTTATATTAAATATTGATAATTTTCTTCATCATTATTCAACACACCTTAACAAAAACTCCTCAAAAAAATTTGTATTCCAAACCTAAGTGTATTTGTAATCTTCTTTATTTAATAGAGGATAGATTTTCCTATTTTTTTATTATCCATTTTCTCTTCTCTTTTTATTCACAAGGTATGTAGTTAAGTGTCTGCTATTTGCAAGGTAATTTGTTAGCCTATGAATTCTACAAACAGGGAAAAAAAAATCTGTTTCACATCCCACCCCCTGCTTTCTTTTGTTACTTGAAGAAATCAGTTTAAAATGAGGATTTTTCTGGACCACTGGGGATCAGTTGCTGTCCTGTGAGGCCAGCCTGGGACTTCCCTGTTAGCCGTTTAGCTTAGTGGCTGTTGAGTCACTTAAGGGTGGATTCCAATGGAACCATTGATTCTTTTCCCCAGTTTTAGGAGATTCTCATTAGGCGCTGATAACCCCTAGGTTTATTTCACCTTTATTCTGCAGACAGGGATTTGAAGTAATACATTGTTGTATGCTAAATGCATCAGTTTTTTTTTAATGTTCTTGTCATTTCATGCCAAAGTGTTTTGGGTCCCCAGCTAAGCTCCGCCTCCTTGGTACCTGTGTTTTCTGTGTGTTCGTTCCTCTTTATGACTCACTTAAGCCTTCATCTGACCGTTCTAGCCCTCTGTGATCTGTCTTTCCTCAGGATTCTCTGTCCCCTCAATTGGCCTGAGGTCGCACATGCCTTGTGTTATTGTATAACTGGTTTCTTTAGGTGTCCTCCCCATAATTGTATAAGTAGGCTGGTCTCTCTGCCATCCAGCCTCATTTTTTAAACCCTGATTGTTGCCCACTAGCCCACAGCATCTACTCCCTATTCTGCTCAGACCAGTCCTGTCCCTGCCCTGCGTCACACAATGTGTTTTCCTACCTCTCACGTTTTCCCTGCCTAAATATCCTTTGCTTCTATAGATCTATTTGTCCTAATGGGCTCAGCTCAAATCTGCATCCTCTGAAGCTGTCCCTGATCTCTGTTTCATTAGCAAATCGTACAGTCCCTTTAGAACCCTTAATACATTGACACTGGTCTTCATGAGAATGTGAGCTCCTTGAGTTATTGATTCTGTTTTATTAAACTGCTCTATCTCTTGGTAAGCCTGGTGTTGGGTCCACAGCAGACGCTTAACTATGTATTGAAAAAACTGAATCAATCTTCCTAGCCACCAGGGCACTGCTGACCCATCGCCAGCCCCTCGAGGACATGCCGTCTCCCTCTTTTTGGCCTAGGCAGTGTTTGCAGAGCTTATGACACAGCTAAATGCAATATCATGCCTGTATTATCTGTGATTGATTTATGCATATTAACTTTTCCCATCTAAATTGTAAGTCCCTTGAGGATAGAGACCTCTAACTCCCACAGTAATGAATATGCTTAATTAATTACTTGGGTTTAATTTATACTTGTTGGTTGAGTGTCGAATATAAACCTTTCACTAAGGGAGATGCTGTGCTAGACTTTCTATCTTTCTTAGTACCAATTTAGTGCTGCAATGTAGAAATAGCAACTGCTACCATACATTGAGCTTCTGTTCAATGTATGGCATTACAGACATTGTATATATGTACAGGTGGAGTTACGGCTATTTCTGATAATGGCTATAATAACAATAGCCCTATAAGGAAGATTGCATCTTCTTCATTTTGCAGATGAGAAAACAAAGGCACAGAGAGGGTAAGTAACTAAGTTAAGATCTCTCAGCCTGTAAGTGGCAGAACTAGGATTTGAATTCAGGTCTTTCCGACATTAGAGACCACAATGCTCAATAACAAATATGTGAGTTTTTATTTCACCCCAGTGGTCAATTGTGGTGCTTTGCACCTAGTGGATACTTACTGGTTACCCTTCAAGAGCTGTTAAGAGCTTTAGTATTACAGGTGTTGAGCATTCAGCTGCCCTGCTCTGTTTCTCAGGCAGTATCCCTGTGACTATGCTGGCACCTGCTGAAAGCCCTGTTCTTGCCACCTCCCAAGAATAGGAGGAACAGACAAGTACATTAGGCCATCTCTGCTGAGGTTCCCATCAGAGTAAGACTTATTTAAGGCAAGGAAAAGGCTTTTCTAGAGGCTTTTTATAGAGAAGAATGAGACCGCTGAGAAGTCACCTAGTCTAGCATTTTAAAACTTGACTCTGCAGTCAGCCAGGCAGATGACACATCAGTTTTATTAGAATAAAAACTGCTTAGTGTGTACCCTAACATTTGGTGGGTGAATGGATTGTTGATCATCAGAATCATCTAAGGAATTTTAAAAAATGTTACTAATTCTCAGTCCTTACTCTAGACCTAACAGATTTTTTGGATTGGGATCAAGTAGGTCGGGTAGTCCAGATTTGGCATCTACAAATTTAATTCCCTTCCATCTTTTTATGGATAAAAGAAAATTGAAACTTAGGCAAACAGGTTTAGAAAAAAGACTTAGTTGTGAGTGAAACAGAAATGCTTTCCTATTTTCTTACCATTTTCTGCAAATGGAGGAGTTTCCCCTTCAAACTTGTACAGCAGGGGCCAGTGAATATAGTGAAAAGCATGACCCTTTAGAACTACTGCGTATTTTATATTTGATCGAATGTTTGAACGCTTGCTTGTGTTCTGTGCTAGGTGCTAGGTTTCGAGTTTCAAGGAATCTTTAGTCTTGCGGGCTCTCAGTGCAGTAGGAAGCATATATAATAAGCAAATAACTGTATTAAAATAACTTTATTAAATAAGCCTCTTTCCGTGGGAAATCATGGACTTAACTATTCTTGGCCCACATACCTCAACAGCTAATATAATAAAGACCCTAATATCTCTATGCTCCCCTTTCTGCCCTATTGTGGCTTGTCACTTGACACAGAATCAGCTGCATTTTAATAATGCAGCAAGCCACAATAGGACAGAAAGGGGAGCACAGAGATATTAGGGTCTTTATTATATTAGCTGTTGAGGGATGTGGGCCAGGAATAGTTAAGTCTGTGATTTCCCATGGAAAGAGGCTCTCATTTAGATTGGTAAACAGACTGATCCAAAGTGCAATGTCCTTGCAGGGACATTTCCCTGGGAGGTTGGAAAGTATTCAAAGGTGATTTGATTTAGCTGCTGTCCAAGCTCAGCTGAAACAGCCCGTTTTATGGGCCTCTTGGACCATTCTGTGAGCTCCAGTGTTATAAGGCGGCATTTTTTTTTTCTTTTTGGTTGGGAGGATGTGATTAAGATAAAGAGAGGAGGAGAAGGCACCAAGGTAGACAGAAAATGATTTTACATATGGCCTCAGTCAGTATGTCTGGCATTATTCCCTGTACTGCTGTCAAACTTTGGGCAAGTATCTACAGTTCTCTAATCTTTAGGCCTCTTAACTGTGAAACAGAGGTAGCAACCTTGTTTGCTTATTTAATGGGATTGTCACCAGGATCAAATGAGATGTGTGAAAATACTTTGAAACTGTAAACTGCACAGTGAAGGGTCCTTTAAATGACTATCAAGAAATCTATTTGGTGATAATGGCATGTGTGTGTCCCAGACATGTGATTCCTAGGCCTGCCTGGAAGGTGAGCTGAAACATTATGATCACAGTGGAGGATTATGGGAAGTTTCAAAGTACAGTTCCTGGGAGGGTGAAGGACTCCTGACTCTGCCAAATACCGGATGTGCTATACCAAACATAATGCTCCCTCTAACAGAAGTTGATGGCATCCTTGGATTCTTTGGGAAGGTGACGCACATTGGAGGAAATGCAACTCAAATATGCCTCCCCAGGCAAGAGAATCCATAGGAAGAAGCTTGTGATGGGAGGATTTACATCTGGAGAGATTAGAGTAGATGGATACAAAGTGATGCTAGTATGTAAAATAATTTTCTACCCACCTCGATAAGATCCTCATAGGAGAAATGATCTTTGTAGAAAGATAAAGTCAAGAAAAAAATACAGAGATTTCTCCGTGACCTTCAGGTCTAGTGAAACACAGGAGAATTGCCTTTGGACAGGATTATCTGATAAAGTGAGATCACGGCAATCAGATGATTATTATTTAATGATAGCACTTAATAATTGCTCAGCCTAATCTTAGCTCATTAAAGCAATATGGAAAGTAGTAGTAAACTTGGTTTGAAACTGTTATTGGTATAAAATATTTTGATGATGACATAATAGGAATCTATAGCATAGCTTCCCAACCCACAGGTCTCCATATTGATTCCTCCAGCCCTGCAAATCTATGAGTGACCCCTCCCAGGTTCCACACTCCTTCAGTTTTCCCCAGTTACCAGTGTTCTGGGTGCCATGGATAAAGGTCTGTTTCTGAAACCAGAGCTCTCTTCTTGCTGAGATTCTCCACTTTGCCTGCATGTGCCCCAATTTCCTTGTTTGCTCTGGCTCTTCTGTCAGAGCTATACACTTACTTGTCTTTTCTTTTGTGATCTCTTTTGACTTGGCGCCTAATGGAAACTTCTGCATCAGTGAGGTCCAGTGTGATAGTAAATGATGGAATATTGCAATATCACGTGTTGGCTGGGATTTCTGGGTCCATTGCTTCATATCCCATCTGAGTTCATTCTGTAGCAGCCATTTACCTAAAATATTTTCCAGGTGTGTGCTTATTATATTAGTACGCTTAATTTGTCTATATTCTTGGGTTTAATCTTTGAAATTTTGAATTAAACTGTATTAACAAAGACAAGTCATTATTTTATTAGATGCACTGTGTTGGTAATGCTTTCCTAAGTTGCCTCAGAAGATCTTCTAATCTTAACAAATGTTTTGTCATATTTTATCCTTTATCTGTCTTATCTATTGATTCTTGCCTAGGACCAATTATTGTAGATATCATACCCGTCTTGGTTACCATTGTGCCTAAACCCAGATACCATTTATAGTTTTATCTAAAAGTCTATGAATGAAATCATACTCTCTTGCTGTCTTATTATTCTAAAAGTGTGATATTTTATGTGAACTAGATTTTATAACAAGCTTTCCTTTTTATAATCTGGCAGCAGTATAAATTGTTGATGTTTATTCTTCTATCCCTTTTACATGATAGATGAATCTGTTCAATTTTGGCTTTTGAGTGACTCATATGTGGTTAGCATTCTGCTGTGGCATTGGGTGGTCTTTAGCATTTTATTGGACTATTTTATGAAACATCTCCAAAGAAATATGTTGGAACTGGTATTTATTACCTTAATCTTATTGTCTGCCTTGAGAAGCTGCTAACTAAATGTTTTCTCCAGCTTTTCCTTAATTGCAGTGTGGTTAATTCCTCTCAACTGCAGGAAGCCAAGGTATTTATAGATTGTTGTTATTATTTTTTGTGGCCTGTAGAAGTAATCGGCATTCAACGAATGCCAAGAACATGCTTGGCATGAAGTAGTACATAGAATTAGATCCAGTTCCTGCCCCATGAACTTGATGTGAGATAAGCTAACTGGGGAGGAGAGAAGGAAGAGAAGACTTTCCAAAAAATTGTATCTCTTCTAAAATTGGGAGAAAATGAATTTCAGTTTAAAAGGAAACCTTAAGAATTCAATTAATAGGATAAAACACAGGTGAAACAGTCAGTAAAAGCTAAGACACTATTTATGCTAAATTCATGAATCTAAGGAGTGAGCTATAGTAAGCCCTGGTATAATGGATAATTTATCTCAAAGCAAAACTGGGCTGGGCGCAGTGGCTCACACCTGTAATCCCAGCACTTTAGGAGGCCGAGGCAGACAGATCACATGAGGCCAGGAGTTTGAGACCAGCGTGGCCAACATGGCAAACCACCATCTCTACTAAAAATACAAAAATTCCAGGTTTGGAGGTGCATATGTAATTCCAGCTACTGGGGAGGCTGAGGCATGAAAATCGCTTGAACCGGGAGGTGGAGGTTGTACTGAGCTGAGATCACACTACTGCACTCCAGCCTGGAGTGACAGAGGGAGACTTTGTCTAAAAAAAAAAAAAAAAAAAAGTAAAACCGTAGTGCTGTAAATGGGGGAGGAGAGGAAGGAGAGTAGGGAAAAAGTCAAGATGTGGAGATGCATGCATTCAGTGGAAGGATTAAGGAATCCTGAAAATTACCCTGAATTCATCTCCCTCTCCAACAGCCACATCTGATCAGTTTCCAAGTCCTGTCCCTATTATCTCCCAGATATCCTCTCCTCCTATCCCTGATTCTTTTGCTCTGTTTTAGGTCCTTCTTATCTGTCACTGGTCTCTTGTCATGTCCTCTCCAATCTATCATCCATGAAGCAGCCATATAAACCTGATCAAAGTTCGTGGCTCAAAACCCTTAGGTGGCTGCACATGACTTAAGAGTAGCAATGCAAGGCCTTCATGACCTGACCCTGCCTGCATGTTCAGCCTTATCTCATCTGGCAGAGGACTTGTAGCATCTGAACACACCAACAGGCCATGCTGCCTCAACTCTCCATTTCTATGCACGCTGATGTTCCTGCCTAGAATGGCCTGCCTTCTCTATTTCTATCCAACCAACTATTTATCCTTCAAGTTCAAAAATTATCTTCTCTGTGAGTACTTCTGACTTGTATCCAAGCAAATTAGGTGTTTGCCTTTCTGTGCTTCTACTGGACTTGGTAGATATAACCTTATTACAGCAGTGACCTTAGCACATTGTCACTGTTGAATCATATGTCTCTCTTTATGTGTACTGTTAACGTTTAGAAGACAGATGTCATGTCTTTTGTTTTTTATGTCCTCAGAGGTATTGGTTGCCGGCTGATGGAAGGACTGGCTGGGTCATGTCAGGATGCAGGCTACTCAAGGACAGTGTGGATACTGAGTATCTGCAAAGGTTTTCGACTTTCATATACTGCAAGGGGGAAAGACAGGCTCTTGGAATTGTGGGAAGATGAATTTATTTCTCATTCTGGAAGGTTTCCAGTACTGGAGGACAGGAACAGTTGGTACAAATGTCCTGGATTTGTGGATATAATCTTGATGGGGGGACACCTGTTCTGTCTGCAGAACTGGCATTTATTTTGGACCCTGAGAAGCAGAAGCCTTCTGCATCTCCCAAGGGGGCAGCCAGGTCTGTGCAGGGAGGTTGCAGACCCAGGTTTGCGTTGTAATACAATTACTCTCACCATCTGGGGTTCTGCCTTAAAGCATGAGGGTGACTTGAACACTTCTGACCTCTGGAAACTCGGGGACGGTGAATTTCAAGACCAAAAGTGGCAAAGAGGCTGACTTACTTTTGGGAACATTAAAGGCCTCCATCTAAATGAACTTTGTGCATGTAGTGGACCACGTTTCATTTGATTCACCCATGTTACTTAAATTTGTTTAGGAATGGAATATTGTAATTGATTATTTTGTAGTGGGAATTTTAAGCATTTAAAAAATTTGTTAAAAATTTATTTTTTATTGACTTTCCTGTGTATGTACAACTGTTGTCTAGTGTTGTAGAGGAATATGATTTAGGTGTATAATACAATTTAGAATCCTGAGATTCTGGGAGTCTAGTGAAAGCTATGTTATAGAAGCAAGTGAAAACATTGAAATAACCCGAGTTAGTACTATAAAAATGGCCTCAACAAATGCTGTACATCATTCTTCAGAGGAGCAGGGTACTGCTATGGTGTGGAGTAGTCAGGGAGTGCTTCACAGGGAAGAAAATGCAATTTGAGCTGTGTCTTGAAGTGGGGTAGAATTTGAAGAGGTATAATAAAGAAAGGTAGTTCTGGGGCAGGAAAACAGCTACTGAGATGGGGATTCTTTATTTATTTATTTATTTTTTAATGTATGGTGTTATTTGACCAAGTATTTTATGATATAGATCTAGGCTCATGATCCTCCAACTCCCTTAATCTTATCTAACCTCTTCTAATTCTTTGAATACCTACCATGTATTCAGTATTGGGCTGGATACAAAAGAAATGCAAGACATCATTCTTTTCTTTATGGAGCTTCAGTCTTGTAGATTACCGTATCATATGGAAAAACATAGAACCAGCAGCAGTTTTTGGAAATGAGAATGTAAAATTAGAACTTCAGATTCTGTCTTGCTGGTATGATACCCTGGGCTTACTCTCATTCTCTCACTGCTTTCCAGATGTGTCCTTTTTCTTTTCTCATGTGCTGCAGAGGTGGGTAAATAGGGTACTCTCTACCTTTCATGACAGGAAATTCAATGTCAGGTGATTTGCCAAAGTTTAGAGACAAGTTGGTGGAAGAACCACAGTGAGATGTTTGTGTTTTTGTGTGTTTGTTTAAAAATTGCTTCTCAGCTGGCTGTAGTATGAAGGGAGTTGCCTTGGAGCATACAGAAGTACCTCCTAGCTTTTCTGGGGTGAATACTGCCCTTCCAAACATGCTCTGGTATTTTAGAAAGAGGTGTAATACATCAGGTCAACCAGAGTGCAGGTCAGAGTGCAGCAGCTCTGAGTCTGTTGCTGAGGAATTAGTGACTCATATGAAAAGCACCTCGGACTTGCTCATGAAGATTCTGAGATCCTCGTCAACTTGGTACTTGATCTCTGAATTTCCGTTCTACCCTCAGTCCTCTTGGGCCTTGGTTTTAGTGGAGGTAGGAGCTGAGAGTTGGAGTTGATCTTCGTTTGCTTCTTTGACTTTGTCTTTGATGGACCCCCCTGTCACAGATTAGGAGACAAAGCACGATTTGCATTTGCACTCAGCCTCCTGCAAAAATGCCATTTCTCAACATTTTCTTTCCATCTATCTCTTCTTTGTCAGTTTCAGCCTCTCAGCCACATTGATAAGCACATTCAAATTCTGGGCCACTCCTGCCACCCTGTGAGCCGTTTGTCTGTCCCTCTGCACTTCTGCAGCACTATTGATTTGCCGTTTGCTTGCACTTTAACTGGATCTGGATTGGCGTGTGCCTCTGGAAGGTTTTCCATCTATTGATCAGAGTTAATGGTACCCATCACCATGGTTTCTAGGATTGCTGTCTGGGATCAGCACAGTGTTGTTGCTAACCATTTTTTTGCCATGAAGCTGAGGCAGTCCAGGGACTCTGAGGCACTTAGAAGTAAACCTCAGAGCTCTGTTTTTCTTTTCAGAAATCTGTATGTGAGGATCTTTTTCTGCCCTTTCTCTGCTTGATTTCAAAATCCATCTTCTTCTTGTTCAGTTGCCTGCTCCTCATTCTGCTGTCTGACGGATGAAAAAACTCATGCCTTGTCTCCTGTGTGGTTGCTCAGGGTCTCCCTTGAGCCTTCAGTTATGCACATGCGTACACACACACATGTAATTGGGTCTCGCTGTGTTGCTGTATACCTAGACGGGCATTTCTCTTGTGGCTGCTCATATTGCTATCCTTCCTACATAGCCACTTAGGAATCCACAGACAGAGCAACCTCCTTAACAGAAAGCAAGCAAGCGGTGATTGGCTTGGAGTGTGTATGTAAGCATATATGGGTCTGTGAGAGAATACTAGGTGGGTAAGAGGGGGTGCTGGTGTGGTCAGTGAAGCCACTGTCAGTACCTCACATTAAATGTTAAATGTAACCCCAGGAAACAGGATACATTGACACCTTTTTTTAAAAATGCATAATCTGTTGATTTGGTAAATAACTCTAGTTGGTGTAGCAGATATGCACAGTGTATTGGTAGCCAATTGCCTCAAAACCTAACAGCTTAAAGCAATCATAATCATTTATTCTCTCATAGTTTCTGTGAGTCAGGTTTTCAGAAAAAAGCATAGCCTGGTGGTCCTTGCTCAAGGTCTCTTAGGAGACTGCAGTTAGTCTAAGTTTCTGTTGTGCAGTGGGGCGGTGGTGATGGTGGGATACGTGGTTTCCCTTTGGCTTAGTTTTGTAAATGTGGGCAGAGTGGCCCAAGAGGATAAGACTTTGTGGAGATGGGTGGGAGGAGTTTGCAGTTTTTAGAATTTGTATAAAAATACATACATTGAAATTAATATGAGGTTATTAATAATTGTTGTGTTATACCCTTGCATAGCATTTAATTTTATTCATTTGGTTCCCCAGATCCATCCTGGATAGATAGTGGAGGGAGAAGCTGGTGAGGCCAAGTGCCAGTTTTTGAAGAACATCTCTGTGACCCTGGCAAGCTGGAGCCAGAGGCCTGGGCTCCTGTCTGCCTGGGGGCCATCCAGAAGGACTGAGCTTGCTTTTTCAGCACCCGTTTCTTCCTTACTTTTCCATGACTTCACTTAGGAGCCAAGGCATTGAGAAAGCCCTTCTCTAAGAGAGGTCATGTGCTTAGCTGGCAAGGCTACAGGCAGCACCTGTGGCACCCCTAGTGTGCCAGGGGTGTTTTACTGTCTTGCTAGTGAAACCATTCTCGAGGAAGGGGAAGGGACACTGCACCTAGGGCAGTTAGCCAGAGCAGGGGTTCACACAGGGCCAGGGATTCCTGGGATGTGGGACTTTCACTGCTAAAACCAGGGCAGTGCCAGGCAAACTGGGATGGTTGGTCAACCTAACTATACTTGCAGATGCTTCCTGGTTGACCTCCACCTCTACTGCCCTTGCCCTTGCTTCTTACACCTGAGTAACAAACCTCATAATAGGTAAGCATCTGGCAGAAGGCTCCCTTGTGGATGAGGGCTCTGGCTTGGGGCATGTTGTATTTCACTCCGCCCTAGTGTCTACCTCTTAGCCCATCCCGGGTTTTGACCTCATTCCCTCCTTAGTTGTTATTTTCTTGGGATATCCCAGAACTCCAGGGATGAGGTGGTTGAAGACCACAAGGCTCTAACCACCAAGACACTGTGTTTCTGTTTGGTGCTGAAGGATTGCAGGGGTCTCTGGGTTGGAAGCCAATGTGGCCCTGTGGCTTGCTTCCTGTTTGTTTTTGTGGGTGGGAGCTCTACCCTGCTGTCCATTCCAGATACAAGCCTAGACACTATCTATCAGGGGCTTACAGATAGCCTGTGAATGGGAAAGGACTGATGACAGGATGTCCACAGATCTCAGTGCTGGAGGAACAATGGATGCTTTCTCAGAGGCTCACTTCCAGAATTTTGCTTTGTTGAATGGGATATATGGAGGGAGTGTTGAAAAGGCTTTGTTACGAGAGGAGGAGAAAGGGAGATGAGGCCACTGGTGCAGTGGAATAACCCTTTGTAGGAAGAACAGGGATTTCTGTCAGGGATGTTTGTTTAGCTCTGTGGTATGTAATTTGAATCTTTCGCCACAAAACAATCTTTATTAAAATATTGGTTTCTCCTTAAAAATAGCTTTTGTCAGACAAATCTGTACCCTTGCTGTGTTTCATTGGCATCTCTCAGAATGGGAGGCAAGCCGTGTGATTTCAGGTTCAGTTTCTCAGCCAGAGTTGCCGTCTTACTTTTTTTTTTTCTTTTGAGGCAGTCTTACTTTGTCGCCCAGGCTGGAGGGCAGTGTGTGATCTCGACTCACTGCAACCTCTGCCTCCCTGGTTCAAGTGATTATCATGCCTCAGCCTCCTGAATAGCTGAGATTACAGGTGTGCACCACCACACGCAGCTAATTTTTTGTATTTTCAGTAGAGACAAGGTTTTGCCATCTTGGCCAGGCTGGTCTTGAACCCCTAGCCTCAAGTGATCCACCTGCCTCAGCCTCCCATAGTGCTGGGTTTACAGGTGTGAGCCACCGCACCCGGCCTGCAGTCTTAATTTTGTTTTCTAAAGCATTTCTCTGTGTCCCAGAGAAGACCTTTGCCTGCAGGCCCTCTGTTCTCATCCACAACTACTTTCTTTTTTATTCCCTGGTTCCTTTTGTATTCATTCAAGGTCCTCCAGACAATCATTTATTTGCTAGGACAGAGTGTGGTCAATCTCTATATATATTATTAGAATCAAGGGCACACGTGCAGGTCTGTTACATGGGTATACCCAATGTTTAGCTCCCATTTATAAGTGAGAACCTACAATAGTTGGTTTTCTGCTCCTGTGTTAATTCCCTTAGGAAAATGGCCTCCATCTGCATTCACATTGCTTCAAAGGACATGATTTCTTTCTTTTTTTCACTGTGTAGCATTCTGTGGTGCATATGTAGCACATTTTCTTTATCCAGTTCACTGTCGATGGACACCTGGATTGATTCCATGCCTTTGCTATTGTGAATAATGCTGCAATGAACATATCAGTGCATATATCTTTTTTGGTAGAATGATTTATTTTCCTTTGGGTATATAACCAGTAATGGGATTGCTGGCTCAAATGGTAGTTCAGCTCTTAGTTCTTTGAGAAATCTCCAGACTTCTCCACCGTAGCTGGACTAATTTATATTCCCACCAACAGTATAGAAGCGCGCCCTTTTCTCCACAACCTGACCGACATCCGTAATTTTTTGACTTTTTAACAAAAGCCATTCTGATTGGTGTGAGATGGTATCTCACTGTGGTTTCGATTCGCATTTCTCTAGTGATGATGAGCATTTTTTTACATTTGTTGGCCTTGTGTATGTCTTCTTTTGAGAAGTGTCTATTCATGTTCTTTGCCTACGTTTTATTGGATTTGTTTTTTTGCTTATTGATTTAAGTTATTAAGCCTTTGTCGGATGCAAAGTTTGCAAATATTTACTACCATTCTGTAGGTTGTTTGTTTACAGTCTCTTTTATTCTTGCCTCCTTATCTTTGGCAAATAGAAAGTGTTCTGTAATTTTTAAAAAAGGAATGGAGCTTCAATGTGAAATACTAGGTGCTTTCCCTACATGGTCTCATTTAATCACACTGGTAATCTTGCAAAATTTCACTTCATAAATGATGAAGCTGAGGTGCTGGGAGGTTGACCAGATGGCTCAAATTCATAGAGCAGCTAGAAAGTGGTGCAGCTGGAATTGGAACCAATGAGACTTTTCATGTGATTCTAATATATATTTTTATTTTTAGAGCATTGGCTTTGAAGCCAGGATACCTGGGTCATAGCCTCTCTCACTTTGATTCTGTAACTTAGTGACCTTGAGCAAGACTCCTGATCATTGAACATTAGTCAGTCCTGCCTTGTTGGAGTAAAACAAGATGTGGGGCCAAAAGACCTTGGAGCTACTTTCTAGTGCTGATGTCTCTCTTCCCTCTTTGTTTCTGGGAAAATCTGTCCTCATCATCCATGTGTGCCCCTCACCTCCGTCTCCTTTCACTGATCGCCCTTGTGTACTCTTTTCTCTTTGACTTCTCTGATTATTTTGTGGCTTTTCTTGCTCTCTTTCTTTCCACCTTTTGGTTAGAGGAACTAATGCCGGGACTTAATTTCTCAGACTTTCTACTTCCCTTTAGCTTACTTGGATTACCTTATCTGAAAAATCATTGCAAAAATAGTTGCTGTTTTGTGATGCTGCTGCCGATGTTAATGAGAATGATTAATTCCTCTGCTATGAGGACTGTTGGGTGGATCACCATAGGAAGTTGGGTAATATGATGGAGTCTTTATAGTGCAGGAGGAGTGGGACTGCCTGAAGGCAGGTAAAGAACTAGAAAACATCTTAAAATTTCTTGCTTAAAAACAGGAAAAGCTATCATTTGTCCATTCATTTGTTTGGTGGGCCAAGCTTTGTACTGGGCGCTCAGGATACAGTGGTGACAACAACAGTTATACCTTGGAGCTACCAATGCAGTCTAGTTTGGAGAGACACAGTTAATCTAAGAAACAGATATTAACTCACAACTCTGATAAGTGGAACCAGGTATAACAGGGAGAACTAACTTAGATGTAGAGCTGACAGAAGATCTAAATGCCAATCACTTCATATGTATTATTTTATTTAATCTTTACAGTGGCTCTGTAAGGAAGATGGATAGAATGACAAGAGTGGACATCCTTATCTCGTTCCTGATCTTAAAGGAAAAACATTCAGTCTTTCACCATTAAATAGGACGTGGGTTTTTGTAGAAGCCCTTTATTAGTTTGAGGAAGTTCCTTTCTATCCATAATTTGGTGTGCGTGTGTTTCTGCGTGTGTGTGTGTTTAAATCATGAAAGGGTATGAAAGGGTATTGGATTTTGTCAAATGTGGGGTTTTTTTTGTCTGTTGAGATGAACATATGGTCATATGTTGAACTAACCTTTTATTCTTGGTGTACATTCTACTTGATCATTGTGTATGATCCTTTTTGTATGTTGCCGAATTTGTCTTGCTAGTACTTCCTTGAGGATTTGAGGACAGGCATTGTTAAAGGCGAAAGCATGTGTAGCATATTGTCATCTTTCTTTCTGCTAACAGTGTAGGAAGTTTTAGAAAAATCCTAAAAATCAGCTTCAAGGACTCAAAAGGTGTAGTATTAATAGTAGTCTGGAGCCATTCCTTGCAGGGTCGTTGCTGACTTGTAACTTACACGTTAAGTGATGTATGTAAAGGTTATTCTGGCTTATAGAGACTCGATTGTTAGGACAGCGTGGAATATATTTTAGAGAGATTTCTAATCAAGAGAGTTTAAAATATAGAAAACTTTATATTTAAGTGGGGAACATGCCAGTTATCTGGAAATTTTACTCATTTGTGGGGTTTCATTCAGCAGTGAGGCTGACAAATGATTAATGACTGCACTGCAGACCCCACATTCCCAACTCCAGGAAGGCTTTTCCTGGTCGCAACTTGCTCAGTCGGAGGCAAATGTGACAGGGTGTTTACCTCAAACTGAGCCCATCCCATGAGGTTCTGTGAGCAGTGTCATAGTTAGCCATTCCCTGATGAGGGGTGGCAGGTGGGGGTGTTTGCCAGTTGTCTCTGTGGTCTGGTCACTGGTAACACTCTGCTTGTGCCATTCACCACTTCCGTCTTCACTCCTCTTTGATTCTGTTGAGACTAATTTCTTGATTCTGCCCTTCCATTTACTCTGGCATTTTAGATCACCTCACTCTGTGTACAGTTATTAGTCTATGAGAATTCAAGGAGGCTATTATGGTAAAGCTACAAATTCTGTACCTTCAGGATCTTCTTGGCTCACAAAGCAAGAACATGATAATACAAAGAATATTATCTCCTTATGATTTTATAATATTTTCTAAACTATAAAACTTTGATCTGCATTATCTAATTTTGATTTGCAGTGGTGCAATCATGGCCCACTGTAGCCTTGACCTCCGGGGCTCAAGCGATCCTCCCACCATGGCCTCCTGATTAGCTGGCACTACAAGCGTGTACCACCACACCTGGCTAAATTTTTTCATTTTTATTTTTTATAGAGATAGGATCTTCCTATGTTGCCTAGGCTGGTCTTGTACTCTTGGGCTCAAGTGATCCCCCCACCTCGGCCTCTCAAAGTGCTGGGATTTCAGGAGTGAGCCATCATGTCTGGCCCATCTAATTTTGATTCTTATGACAACCCTGACATGTAGGTAGTACAGATACTAGGTACATTTCATGAATGAAACAGAGGCTTGGTGAGTTTAAGTACTTAGAATTTAGGAGGTGTAGGATGTTGGTGCTGCGCAAAGCTGAGTGCTTTCGTTCTTCATGTGAAGAATAAGGGATCTCTCTCTATTGTCATCTGACAGCCTTCTCATTTCTTCAGTTTACTGTTCTCCAGTAGTTGGATGACCATTTCCCTCCTTCGGTGTCATGGCACCATTTTTATTTATGTGCCTTTAATTCCATTCCCAAAGTCATTCAGATGAACCAAATAGGGATCCCCGTCCATTCCTTGTAAGTCTTGGTGCCCCACCATTTTTCACTGATGTGTTTTTGACCTTCTGACCATTTGGGTGTCCATACACAGGCATCCTCATCTAGCTCAAGTTGAGTTTAATGTAGTGAACCAGCCCTTGCTGGGGCATTGGCTTATGTTCATCCTGATTACTTATTTCCTACTGAAGTATTAGCATGGTGGTACAGGGTAGGGAGTCCTACACTGGTTCTGATTCTGCCACTCACAAGCTACGTTTTCATTCTTTCTCTGAGCCTTGATTTTCCCTTCTATAAAGTGAAGGGTTAGATCAAATCACATTCGAGGTCACTTAAACTCTGTCATTGGATCTGACTTCCTTATTGGTTTTCTGGTGTTCTTTGTTCACCTATCCATTCCTGGTTTACCTGATACAGGTGATGATTTTAATGATCATACAGCCTTTGTTAGTGTATCCCTTTGCCTCACACCATGTGTTGGACTTTCTTTTCTTTTCTTTTCTTTTCCCTAGGAGAAAATAACCTGCTGGCCAAGTCAGCATCCCAGGTAGGCATGGCAGAAAGTGCTGCCGGCCCAGGGTACAGCCCGGCCTCTGCCTCACACCTGCCTCTGTGACACGAGCCAGAGATTTTAATCACCAAGCTGAAGCTTTTATTCAGGAGCTGATAGTTGAAAGGCCAGAACAGTTTCTCTGTCTTCCTGCTTTTTTTCTCTCCTCTTTGCTGTACCCCTCAGATCCTCATAATAGAAATAATCAGGCCAACCCATCTAAGCTTTTGCTAATGGAGACTAAAAGAACTGAAAGACACAGCCTCCCCATGGGCACGCTGGTTGGATCGTTCTGTCTTACCCTCTGTCCCTTTTAGAGAATTGCATGGCATTAGCATAAAGACAAGTCATCGCAATCATTTTGCACCCAGCCCCTTAATGTTGAGGAGCAGGAAGGATTCTGCTGTGATCTCCGGCACATTCATCGGCCCCTGCTGAGCTACTGATCAATAGTGACACAGTTGCATCAGATGGCCTTCAAATAGTGCTTCCTTTTTCAGATGGGCTGGGAGAGAGAGGAAGAAATATAAGTGCCTCATTCCTCTTAGACTACAAATAAATGAAGACGTGGTGTGCAGCTGCATTTCAAGCATTTTGGAAGCTTTTCTGGTGTATGTGAGGGGTGGGTGGGGGGGTTGGCACTGAGGCTTCTCTCTTGATTGCAGTTGAGAGCAAGGATGCTGCTAAATGTCCACATGGGCGCTTTGAGTCCCTATCCCCACGTCCCTTACACCCTAGCACCTGGAGAGCCCCGAGCAAGCCTCACAAGTGGGGAGTGGGATACCCTGACGCAACTTTTCTCTTTTTCCTCCCCTCCCCCAGAGTATTTAGTAGGAGGTCACTGGCTGAGTGTGTGCCCCGGAATCTGGGGCCGCTCCTGCTGCTGCAGTTAATGCTGCTTTGTTCCATGCTAAATGAGGCGAGAACTTTCACCCTGGTCACATTCATAATCCCGCTCAGCAGGACGCTCAGCTGTGCACAAGAGCAGTTTCTGCAGGCAGGGAAGGGCTTTCCCTTTGGACAGTCCTTTGGAAAGCTCCTTTGGTTCTCTGTTTCTGGAAGCTATCAGTACAGAGGATAGGTTCAGGGACTAACTCAGATGGGCAATCTCAGCTGGGGGTTTCTAGGCACGACCAGGGTATCAGATTTCTTTATGCTTTTGTGTGTTTTGGAGAGAGGACACAGTATGACCAGGAGACCAGCGGGATATGAGGAGGTAGACAGGGAGACCAGACTGCATTTGGGACCCCCAAGGGAGAGAGTTTGGAAGAATGCAGGGGTCCTAGACTAGAAGCCAGGAGCTTGAGGGAGACTGAGCCCCTTCTCTGCCATCTGCTAACTGCTTTGGGCCTCACTGTCCTCTGTAAAAGAAGGGAGTTACCCCTGAAACTCACATGTTGTATCCTGTGTGCTGAGGCTGTAGAACTGAGCAGCTTCAGAAAGGAGATGAGAGCTGGGAGTGCAGCAGAGGCAGGGACCTTTACGTTATGCCTATTTCTGGGGGCCCTGTCCTTTCCTGCGGCCTTGCCTGCGCTAGCTAGTCACTGGGGCTTTTACAGACCCATAGCAGAAGATTCTGCTAGCCTCTTCTGAAGCATGTTTTCTTGTTCTTAATGATAGTTAACTTGGCTGGTCATAAATCCTAAATCTGCCTCCTCTGAGGTGGGGAGCAGTTAAAATCTCCACTTGATTTTCTTGTTTTTCCAACTGTCCCCTTCTGCTGGTTTCCTTGGAGTTTCCTGAGCACATGCACAGTTGGGGTCCTGAAGACCTGGCTGGGGTTTACACATGATTTTGGAGGCTTCCCCTCTGTGACTCCCTCCTGCCTGCCCTCTCTTTTAAGCTCCTCTGGCTGTCCCCGTCTCTGGTATCCAACTCCCCAGGGTGTCAGAGTGAGCTTTTCTGCCTGAGCTCCAGCCAGCCTGCACTGTGCCTGTGGGGTTGTGCTGCCAGACGAGATGCCCCACACCCAAGCCTCACCAAGAGCAGTTCCCTTCTTTCAAAGCTTGACTTCCCATAATCTCTGCCTGTTTTTTGTCTCTTTCCAGGGCTTTTAAAGTTACTATTATTATCTTAAACAATAGACTTTATTTTTTAGAGAAGTTTTAGGTTAAGAGAAAAATTGAGAGGCAAGGCCAGAGTTCTCATACATTCCTTATTATTAACATCTTACATTAGTATAGTACATTAGTTACAATTGATAAGCCAATATTGATACATTATTATGAACTAACATTCACAGTTTATATTGTGGTTCACTTTTTGTGTCCTGCGTTCTATGCAGAGCTATTTTTTCTATCTTGTTCAGAGTTCCTATTTGTTACTTGTGGGAGGCTTAGTCTGATACTAGCTACTCCAACTTTATCAGAAGCAGAATAATCTGATGCATTTATTTTTGATTGATAAATACAAGGCCGGGCGCGGTGGCTCATGCCTGTAATCCTAGCACTTTGGGAGGCTGAGGCAGGCGGATCACGAGGTCAGGAGATTGAGACCATCCTGGCTAACATGGTGAAACCCTGTCTCTATGAAAAATACAAAAAATTAGCCAGGTGGGGTGGTGGGCGCCTGGAGTCCCAGCTACTCTGGAGGCTGAGGCAGGAGAATGGAGTGAACCCGGGAGGCAGAGGTTGCAGTGAGCCTCTGAGATCGCACCACTGCACTCCAGCCTGGGCGACAGAGCGAGACTCCGTCTCAAAAAAAAAAAAAAAAAAAAAAGATAAATACATTTTTCCCTTGTCTCTGGAAGCACCTGACATAAACCTTGTGAATAAAAGGAGTTTCCAGAAGAAGGTGATGGTGATGGCAGAAAGTCTAACAAGTCTATGGATGGCAATTACATTGGTGAATGTTTCGAGCTTTCTGTCTTGCTGCTTTTCACATTATGATTCGTGTACCAGGGGCCACAACAGTAGAGTTGATTGGTGTCTTCAGAAGTTAATCTCCAGAAAATAGGGTGGAAGCCAGCAAGTGAAAGCACTTTATGAAATATTAACTTAGTACTGAGGCTGAGGTTGTCCAGAAACTTATAAAAAAATTTGAAGTCTTTCAGTTAACTTTATTTGCAGTTAGCTCCTGCTTATCTGGAAGATAAGATAGAACAGATACAGATAATCCCATATCTTGATTACCTATACAGTTTGCATCTTCTGTATAGTTTTTTTCTTTCTAGATGTTAATGAAAAAGAAGTAGGCCCTGGTATTTTTAAACTCCTTTACCTTATTTCCCCTTAAGCTCAGTGGTCAATGTTCTGAATAGAGGCCCTGTTTGATGTCTCACAGCAGGGATTCCTGGAAGGGGGGGATGCAGGAATGCTACAGAAGTCTTACAGAAGGCTAGGTGATTAAAAATCCACCAGCAGGAAGGTTTAACATACCACCCCTCTCGGTAAACCAGGAATTGCATGTGCTACTGTAAAAGCATCTGGCTTAGGTCCAATTGAAGTACCTGGATAAAAGTCAAGTAAGTTTTGCTGTGGGACTATACAGAGTGTAATGGAGGGCTGGAAGGAGCAGGCTGATGCCTCAGATGCCGGAACACCAGGCAGAATCCAGGACTCAGGATGCTCCTCAGAGGAGAGATTCTCCCATGGGCACTTGGGGTGAATCTGTGTTCATTTTTGGAGGATTCCACTCAGTCAAATGTATTTTGAGCATCTCCTGTGTACCTGGACCTGTGGGAGGCACGGTCAGCTAGTGATGACTAAAGCATGTTTTAGCTGTGTGTTCTAGACAGGAGAATTGCATGGAGGTATGGGAGTCCTCTCTAAGGGTATCTCACCTACCCTGGGGGTAAACAAAGGGGAAGTAGAGATTAAGCAGAAATCTACAGGATCACGAATGTTGGAAGATTAGGGGACGAGTGGGTAGAAGAGTATTCTGTGCACAGGGAGGAACATGTGTAGATGCCCTTGAATGTGAGAAGATACGGTGTGATTGAGGAACTTCTGAATAATTGGCAAGGCCACTGGTGTGAGATGAAGCTGGACCATGTGGCTATGTAGGCCATGCTGAGGATTTTGATTGCCATCTTTGAGCAAATGGAAGCAAGTGTGGGAGGTTCTTAAAGAAGGGAATAAGATGACCCAATTTGCTTTGTAAAGAGATCACTCTGGCAGCTTCATGGAGAATGGTTTGCAGAGGGCCATGTGGGTACTGGAGAAACCAGTAAGGAGGCCATTGTATAGACAAAGTGAGAGAGGAAGATTTTCTGGGATCAGGTAATGGCAGTGTAGACAGAGAGGTAGAGGGGAGAGAATTGGGAGGTCCTGATCACTGATTAGCTGTGACGGGTAAGGGAGAAGCACGTTCGGGGATGACTCAAGTTTCATGCTTGAAAAACCGGTGGATTTCCTGGGGGCTGCTAATCAGGATGAGGAAGGCTAGAGGAGGAACATGACATGGGAGAAGGAGGGGAAAAAGGATGAGTTTCCATTTTGAAATATATTCCTCCAATTCCCAGGCATCAGGCCAACCCAGCTCCATTGCCCTAGGAACGTGTGGGAGCCTGCATCCTGCAGGAGAGGCAGATAAAAGGAGTGCTGTTTCAAAGTGATCAACTGCCACCAGTGTATCAGTCTTTGACTGAAGGCAGGGAATTGGTGTTGCCTGACCCCTGTAGGAATTGACAGAGCCTGGATATCTGAAGGTTGTTGGCTCCTAGGCCTGAACTTCATCTACCTGCTGAGCTAACCTTCCAGTCAAGAGTGGGAGGGTCTGCCTGAGTTCAGTTTACTGCAGAATTGCTTGAAGTTGAGCAGTTAGAAGGGCCACCCTCCAGCAAGTATGTCTGGTCTTAGATGGTGTCTTACACTTTGCTCAAGATGAAGACTCAGGGACAGACAGAAGTTAGTTGTGGAGGTGGTAATGATTAGTTATCAAGGTACTCTTTGTTGTGGTGTCATATGTGTAAAGAAAGTATTCACATACCACACCCTCTGGTTTTGCCCTGTGCAGTAGACTTTCTGACCCTTTGCTTCCCTGGCACTGTAGTTCTGCTCTTGATTCATGTTATTAGAGTGGATGTTTAGCTTTTGTCTAGGAGATGCAGACCTGAATCCTGCTTTGTGTATCGTTTTAATCTCTCTGGATGACCCTAAGGTGCAGCTATAGCGAAAACAGGTTATTTATTCCAGACACATTCTCAAAAAGGCAGATTAGTGATTCTTGTTTGTAATTTATTTTATTTTAAAAAATTTATTTTCAATTTTTGTGGGTACATAATAGGTGTATAGGTTTATGGGGGCACATGAGATATTTTGATACCGGCATGCAATGCATAATAGTCACATCAGGGTAAATGGGGTATCCATCACCTTAAGCATATATCCTTTCTTTGTGTTACAGATAATCCAATTACATTCTTTCTGTTATTTTTAAATGTACAATAAGTTATTGTTGACTATAGTCATCCTATTGTGGTATCAAATACTAGATCTTACTCATTTTACCTAATTATATTTTTGTACTCATTAACCATCCTTCCCTCCCTGCTGCAACTACCCTTCCCACCTACTGGTAACCATTGTTCTACTCTCTCTTTCCATGAGCTGAATTGTTTTAACTTTTAGCTCCCACAAATAAGTGAAAACATGTGAAGTTTGTCTTTCTGTGCCTGGCTTATTTCACTAACCTCCATTTTTATCTGTGTTATTGCAAATGACAGGATCTCATTCTTTTTCATGGCTGAATAGTATTCCATTTTACTGCATTTTCTTTATCCATTTGTCTTTTGAGGGACACTTAGGCTGCTTCTAAATCTTGGCTATTGTGAATAGTGCTGCAATAATCTGGGAGTGCAGATATCTCACCAATATACTGATTTCCTTTCTTTTGGGTATCCTAGCAATGGGATTGTTGGATCATGTTGTAGTTCTAGTTTTAGTTTTTTGAGGAACCTCCAAACTGTTCTCCATAGTGGTTGTACTAATTTACATTCCCATTGATAGTATACGAGGGTTCTTTTTTCTCCACATCCTTGCCAGCATTTATTATTGCCTGTCTTTTGGATAAAAGTCATTTTAACTGGGGTGAAAGATATCTCATTGTAGTTTTGATTTGCATTTCTCTGATAATGATGTTGAGCACCTTTTTATGTACCTGTTTCCCATTTGTGTGTTTTCTTTTGAGAAATGTCTAGTCAGATCTTTCACCCATATTTAAATCAGATTATTAGATTTTTTTCCTACAGAGTTGTTTGGGCTTCTTATATATTCTGGTTATTAATCCCTTGTCAGATAGGAAGTTTGCAGATTTTTTCTCCCATCCTGTGGATTGTCTCTTCACTTTGTTGATTGTTTCCTTTGCTGTGCAGAAACTTTTTCAACTTGATGTGATCCCATTTGTCTATTTTTGCTTTGGTTGCCTGTGCTCATGGGGTATTACTCAAGAAATCTTTGCCCGGTCCAATGTCCTGGAGAGTTTCCCCAACATTTTCTTTTAACAGTTTCATAGTGTGAGGTCTTAGTTTTAAGTCTTTAGTTCATTTTGTTTTGATTTTTGTATATGGTGAGAGATAGGAGTCCAGTTTTATTCTTCTACATATGGATATCCAGTTTTCCCAGCACCATTTATTGAAGAGACTATTCTTTCCCCAATATATGTTCTTGGCATCTTTGTTAAAAATGAATTCACAGTAGATGTATGGATTTGTTTCCGGGTTCCCCATTCTGTTCCATTGGTCTATGTGTCTGTTTTTATGCCAGTACCATGCTGTTTTGGTTACATGTTCTGTAGCATGTACATGTGCATGTTCTGTAGCATGTACCTGGTTACATGTTTTGTTCTATAGCCTAATTTGAAGTCAGGTAATGTGATTCCTTCAGCTGTTTTCTTTTTGCTCAGGATAACTTTAGCTATTCTGGGTCTTTTATGGCTCCATATAAATTTTAGGATTGTTTTTTCTATTTTTGTGGAGGATGTCATTGGTATTTTGATAGGGATTGTATAGTACAGACACTTTAACAATAGTGATTCTTCCAATCCATGAACATGGGTTATCTTTCCATTATTTTGTGTCCTCTTCAATTTCTTTCATTAATGTTTTGTAGTTTTTATTGTAGAGATCTTTCACTTCTTTGGTTAAGCTAATTTCTAGGTATTTAGATTAGTGATTTTCTTTGCATGAATGAGAAGGAAGGAAGGAAGAAGAGCAAGTGAGTGTGTGGTGTGAGTGTGATGTGTTAGTAGGGGTGTGGGGTGAGGCAAGTGTGTGGCATGTGGGGTGTGCATGTACATGTACATGCGCACCATGACTGTGTGTGAAGGTGTGTGGTACATGTATGCACACATACCAGCTGGGGTAGTGGCTGATGTAGTGAAGGAGTTACTTGTGGGGTGAAGATGGTAGATGTCTTAATGTGAGCCCCTTGTTAGGAAGCCTTGTCCAAAACTCGAAGCTGCCTCTTCTCTCCACCTGTCCTCCCTGCATCCTATGTTTCCTTTGGCTTTCTCAGTCCAGCAGTGCCTCTTCCAGAAGAGGTAGAAATGGGCCAGGGTCATGGTAGCAGGATAGGGATGGGTCCCATCTGGGTATTTGTGTTTAGGCCCAATGGTGGGTCTCACTGGGCAGCAGCCCCTTTCCTGGTCTGCAGGGATCCAGTGGGAGGACTATACAGTCCCCCAGGCTCCCTGTGATGGGTGACCTTTCTCGGTCCTGTGGCCCTAGCTCTCATGTGATGGCTGAGGGAACATGAGCCCCTCAAGGCCTGTGTGTTCCTGACTGCACAGCATTCAGGGCAGGAGCCATCAGCTGTGCAGTGTCAAGGAGAGGGGGCATGGAAACTGCCCCCAGCTGGAGGGCCTGTGAAGTTGGGCAATCACGAATCTGGGCCTTACGTCATCCCTAGCTCTGGGTCGCTGTCTTGTTGACAGACTGTACCGCCTCAGCAGAGCTCAGAAGGAAAAATGTAACCACAGTTAAATCTGGCCACGCTATCAGATCTAAGTGGTTTTGTTTACCTCAGCAAGCTGCAAGGTTCTTCAATAGCTGTGTTGCTCCCCATGGGCCGTGGTGGGGCTGTCCCCTTGGGGCCAAACTGCAATGTGCTCACTGCTTGCCAGCTGTGTTCTTCAGTGTATTAGCACAAACTGTTGATCAATACTAGGGGAAATCCCTTTGTGGTATTTAGTTTTTGAAACCCTCCTCACTGGGGTCAGGCCTCAGCTCCAAATTTCGGGAAAAACTTGCTTTTCCCGTAACTACAGGACATCCCTTTCCCGCACAGATGTCGCAGTCTTATCTTCACTCTTAATGGAATCTTTGCTTGGGTAGACTTTTAAGTTAGTCTGGGCTCTTAATTTCTAGTATATCCCTTGGGCTGTTTTATGTAATTTATGTATAATAAGGAAAGGCAAGTCCCAATGAATCAGTGTGTAATGGGATGGTGTATATGAAGGCGCTCATGTCATAGATGCTTAATCAATGAATCAGTGTTGGGTGGTCCTATTTTCTTGTTTCATTCTTATAAGCAATGATATCTAGAGATTATACCTTTTTAATTTTTACTTTTTGAAACAGAGCCTCAGTCCATCACCTGGGCTAGAGTGCCATGGCACGATCTCAGCTCAGTGCAACCTCCGCCTCCTGGGTTCAAGCAATTCTCATGCCTCAGCCTCCCGAGTAGCTGGAATTACAGGCATGTGCCACCACACCCAGCTAATTTTTGTGTTTTTAATAGAGATGAGGTTTCATCATGTTGGCCAGGCTGGTCTCGAACTCCTGACCTCAAGTGGTCTCCTTGCCTCAGCCTCCCAAAGAACCAGAATTACAGGCATGAGCCACAGTGCCCAGCCAAGATTATACTTTTGATCCAGCAATCTTATCCTAGGAATCCAGAAATCTTACTTCTAGAGCTACTTGGATGGGCTCAAACTTGGCTAGATGAAAAGTATAATTTGTAGTAGTGTCATAGCATGTCCACCAGTAGGGGAGCCATTATATGTAATGTAATAGTCCTGTATTCATTGGCATAGAGAGATGCCCTAGTTGTATTTAAAGTCAAAAAACCAAGTTGCAGAACAATGTGAGTAATATGAACCTTTACATAAAACAAATTCCCTCCTGTCTGTGAATATATACCCATCAGTACACAAAGAGAGATGTACATCAACTGTTACAGTGGGGACTTTATTCTTTTGTGCTGCATATTTCTGCATTATTTGAATAGCTTACAGTAAGAAAGTACTCATATTAAGCATTCATTCATCTTCAAAAAATTTTAAATAAATTAATTCATTTCTTTCCTCCAGTCGGGAACTTAATCAAATGTGTCAGGTATCTAAAACATCTAGGGCTCAATCAGTGAAATTCCATTAGTTAAAAAAGGTATATATTCTTTTTTTTTTTTTTTTGAGAGCACTAATATTTGCCAATCACTTTTGTGTAGGACATTTTATTCTGTTTGATCTTTACTGAGAGCCAATTTTACAGTTGAGGAAATTGAGACAAAAAAAGTGAATTGCTTTGCCATAAAGTAGTGGTGGAAGAGTCTTCACACCCAAGGCTTTCTGGCTTGAAAGGCTGCTTGGTTAGACACAGTTCTCTACTGGATCTCTGGTTAAGAGCAAGATGAAAAAAGGAAGCAGTAATTTCTGGTTAACTTGCTTTTTATAAAGTTAGAAACAGACTCAAAACAAAACACCCTGCTGGCTCTTAATTTCTTCATCTGTAAAATGGGCAGATGAGCTAGTCCTTTACCCTTTGGAACTTTCTGGGATTAGGGACACTTGCTACCCCTCCTCTCAATGAGTGTTTGCTTCTCCCCCACAGTACGTAGGAAGCCTGGACGTGCCAAGGCCCAACAGCAGGGTGGAGATCGTGGCTGCCATGCGCCGGATACGGGTGAGTGGCCAGAGGTGGACTGTGTGGAGCGGGGAGTCAAGTGCCTTAGCTGCTGGCCCTTCTAGGTAGGGCTGGAGGGGCCAAAATGGATGGCTACACCCCTTGCAAACCCAAACTCCTCCTCTCTGTACCCTCTAGGTAGCTGTTCTGAATTGAACATTTGATCTTGATGAAAGGCCAATGTTAAAATGGATGTGATGGCTGGAGTGGTACCATCTTCCCTCTCTTGTGACCTGTAGCTCCTCAAACTGAGATACATGTTACCTTGATGATGTGTGGTGACTGGCCAGGGACTGATGTCTCTTTTTTATTCAAAGATTTTAGGGAAAAGGTTTAGTAATGATCTGGTAATTGACTCAAAAAGATGGGGTTTCACCGTGTTGCCCAGGCTGGTCTCGAACTGCAGAACTCAGGCAATCCACCCACCTCGGCCTCCCAAAGTGTTAGGATTATAGGCATGAGCCTGTATAATGTTTATAATGGAAGCTTTTATTAGAAACGGTGGCTCTTGAATAGAATGGGAGTGGAATAAGTACTCTAAATAGGAAAAATAACATTAGCAAAGATATAGTATAGTGATGAACTGTTGCCTGGATAAGGGAGGACAAAGAAATTGGCTTGATTAGGGTATTCGAGGGTGGGTAAGCGATGTGTTATATGGGGAGGGTGGAGCTAGTTAACAAAATGGTTTGAACTTCAGTATGAAGGAGTTTGGGATTGAGTCCATACACAGTGTGAAGCCTTTATACATATATATATACATATACATATACACATACATATATATATACACATACATATACACATATATACATATATATGTATATGTATGTGTATATATATATGTATGTGTATATGTATGTATGTGTGTATATATGTATGTGTATATATATATAGAGAGAGAGCTTATATATATAGAGAGCTCATATATATATATATAGAGCCTATATACATACATATATACATATATATATATATATAGAGAGAGAGAGAGAGGTATCGAATATAAGATTTACTTGGATTTTTAAGAGCAAATGTGAGATTTGAACAAAATTTTATTGGTTGGATGCCGTAGGCTCCGGGAGTGTAAGCGCATTTTCTTCTGCCATTTTGTCTACTTTCGGAAAGTTCACTATACATTCTCGCTGGTATACATGGTTCAGTCTGTGAACTTGTTGCTTTCTGACTCTGTGGTACATGAAGCTGAGACTGAGCAAGAATCAAATTCTCTTCTGATACCTGTGAAGGAATTTGTCCATGTGCTCTGCACTGGAACAGAATAAATTACCTTGTACTTGTGCATTTCAAAGGTAGGTTTGGGATTGGTGAAATGGATTTTAAGTGTTTTTTTAAAGAGATAATTGGCATTAGAGATGGCATGATTGGTCATCCCTGGATGCAGCCTGGTTTGTTCTTTAGAATAATTGTTCTGTAGAATAATCTACTCACCTAAATGGAAAAACATGTAGGTGATGCTGTAGCTTCATTTTGCTTTGTTAATTTTACTTTCAGCCAGTCCTTCCTCTGGTCAACAGAAACTTGAGTTCAATGACAGCAACGTTGGGAAGAAAATTTGCATGCTTGGGGCTGTTTCTCTGAGCAGTTCATCAGCCTAATAAAATCTTTTCATTGCCTTGATCTTCGCAGTATTTCAGCATTTTTTTATTGTTAAATTAAATTTATTGAGACTGCTATTAAATACAACAGTACTGTTTTTCATGGACACAGTAAGAAGTAGCTTCAAAGCACTTTCACTTGAGTTGTTTCATTCAACATTCACAGCAGGCTGTGAAGTGGGGAACCAGTTACCCTCATTTTCTAGATTAAACTGAGGCTCAGAGGGGTAGGGTGAGGAGTCTCGCAGGTCTGGGAAGGGGCAGGCATGTGGCCTGAATGCATTTCTTCACTCAGTCTCATGAGAACATGCAACTTTCGAGTGTTTCCAGGCCTCTTCTTTTCCTTCACCTTCTAGCTCAGATAGAAAGCACAGAGGCCTCGGCTGGGGAACATCTGGAGGTGTTACAGTTGTTAGGATGGGCTGCTACTTTCACCACAGTTGTGGTTGCTGCTGTGATAAGGACTGGACCTGCAGCTGGCCTGTCCTTGGGGTTTCAACCAAAAAAAGTCCCTTTTTAATTCACTTTTGACGAAGAGATAGGGAATATGTTGTCAGTAATATCACTATCATTATGAAAGTGATATCTCTGTTAATAGTAGCTACTATTAGGAATAGCTACTTATGTGCCAGGTGCTTTGTTAGGCTTTTTAATATTGAAATAATATTTTATTATTTTATTTATTATTTACAACTACTCTAGATGAGGATGTTATTATTACATTTTATAGATGAGGAAATAGAACCTTGGGTGGGTTAAATAATTCTAGGTCAAGTTGCTGTTAGTAGGAAGAGTTGGGATTCATATTCAGGACCGTGCTGGCCCATTTGTAATCCTGCTGAAGGCTCTTTGTGACCCTAATATGAGTCATTACCCCAGCTGAGGAACCAAAGAACTGGGACATGGGACCTCCCCAGTAAGAGAGCCAGTGGCAGAGATACAACTTCATGGAACAAACAGAGGTACAGGAAAACATCACCTGGAAGCAAGGGAAGGCCGAGGCATGGTATGGGGCTGGCTGGTTGTGGGATCTGGAGGCATCTGGGGTTGGAATGTGACCCCAGTCTCCTTTTCCCTCATCATCTGCCAGCCCTTATGGCCCATGTGCCTCTTCCTGTGGCTCCCTTCCTATGTGCTGCTTCCAGTGCTTAATGAGCAGCTCATTAAATTAGAGGGAGCAATTAATTGGCCAGAAAGCTGTTTGGTCTGGCTGTCCAGTCTCTTGTTTAGACTGGCCACCATTAATAGCAAGTGCCGTGGTATGTGTTTTACCCTAAACCCCTCAATTCACTGCTAGGTCCAGGCTGCTATTTTCTTTTCTTCTTTCCCTTTTAAAAGCTGTTGGCTGTAATTACAGCTGTCAAGAACTAGGGCATGGGATTTCTGTGTAAAGGACTATTCTTGACTTTGTCTTTTTATGTAGAACGGTGCCAGGCTAACATTGGGCAGGCTTTTGGTTGCTGGGTGTTCTGATGGGTTCAGAAGACACAGGCCTTACAGCTTGGCTGGAGCAGTGGGTAGACCTTGGAAAACAGCAGTTATGATAAGGATCACATGTGTGTGAGATGTCAACCTCCCTGATCCTGTCTAGAGCACTAAAGGGACAGTTAGTTGATGGGCAGTGAAGATCATCTGTTTCCCAGAGAGAGAAGCATTCAGAGTGAAGGGATCTGTGTGATGTGCCCCATTCATTCTTTGAGCTGGGGCTCTAGCTGGTGTGTGCACTCCTATTCCTTACCCCAGAGAGGACTCTGAGCTAAATATCTGGACTTTGTTTTTCACTGGTGCTTTCCTCTTCCCTCTCTCTATTTCTCATTTGGTCTCTCACCCTCTTGATGGTCTTTCTGAATTTATGTTATCTGTCTTGAGCGTATTTTGCTTTTTTTCCTTTTTAATGTGCTTTCAGTATTTTTTATGGTGGTAAATGTGTAACATTAAATTTAACTATTTTTAAGTGTGAAGTTCAGCAGTGTTAAGTATATTCACACTGTTGTGTCACAGATCTCTAGAACTTTTTCATCTTGCAAAATGGACACTCTATACCCATTAAACACAATTCCCCTTCCCCCTCTTGCCAGCCCTTGGGAACTACCTTTCTACTCTCTGTTTCTGTGATTTTGACTACTTCATATGAATGAAATCATATAGTATTTGTCCTTTTTTTGACTGGCTTATTTCGCTTAGCATAATGTCATCAAGGTTCATCCATGTTGCAGTATGTGACAGGATTTCCTTCCTTTTTAAGGCTGCTTAATATTCCATAGTGTATATATACCACATTAAAACAATCCATTCATTTAACTATGAACATTTTGGTTGCTTCTATGTCTTGGCTGTTGTGAATAGTGCTGCAATGAACATAGGTATGTAAATATCTTTTTGAGATCTTGCTTAGAAATTTTTGGGATATATACCCAGAAATGTGATCGCTGGGTATGGTAGTCCCATTTTTAATTTTTTTGAAGAACCTCCATACTGTTTTCCATAATGACTATCATTTTGCATTACTATCATATCTTCCTTGTTTATTGTTTACCAGAGATTAGAAGCTAAGTGTTAGAACGAAGACCAAACTGCAGGCCTCTGATTCCAGATCTGGTACTTTCCCCCTCTCTGTGCCAACTCCTTGGTATTAGGTTTTTCCATATATTACTCTCTGATCTCTACAATGACCCAGACAAGAAGGAAGCTTAAGGGACACTCCCCAGAACTACAGGATGGTTGTCCTGCTCGCTCTTTGTTTACCAAGGATCCAAAGGTCTGAGAAGTTGCCAGCTGGAAAAGGAAGGGGAAAGTGAGAGAAGAGGGAATATGGCTCCTTTTTAAATTGAAACATGTTTTTATTTTCTTTTAGCTGTATAGCTTAGAACAATTCACAAAGTTTTCAGGGAAGTTCTCCTTGAGCTGGGGATTGGTCTGACACTGGCGCCGCTTGCTTGGAGGTTGCTGGTTGAAGGTGCAGGGTGGCTGGTAATGCTGAAACCAGGTTGCTGGCATTGCACTGTCAGTCCAACTGTGTGAATAGGTGAGTCCAGCAGCCAGATGTTTGGTATGATTTGCATTAGTAAATATGAACACCAGTCTGTCGTTTAACTTTTTAGCTTTCCTGGGAAGGCAGCACTATGTAGTGAAAAGAGCTCTCAATGAGGAATAATGAGAGCCAGACTTGAGTCTTCTCCTTGACTTCATAACCTTGGTGAGGCATGTAACTGCTGTTAATCTCAGTTTCCTCATTTATAAAAGGCAGAGCATGAAATTTCTTGTTCTGTCTCTCTAGTGCTATTGTTGAATCTGGGATGAAGCATGGAAAAACATTTTATAAACCATAAAGTGCTATTTATATTCATTGGTATCATTTTTATGCCTTCCTTTGGGTTTCAAAGCATTTCATAAATGCAGATAAATACCCTGAGAGATACTGAGCTGCCTCATCTAGCCCCTTTTAATAGCTAGCGCCTTTTTTTCAGGTTCCAGTGCAAACATCCCTTCCTTGGGGAGGCCTTTCCTACCTAGGTCATCTTGTCCTCTCATGTTCTGTGGCACCACACCCCTCTTTTTTGTAGCACTGAGAGCAACTGTATTCCCAACATTTGGCATGGTGCCCATCTGTGCTCAGTAAACATTTGTTGAGTGACTGAGAAAGTTAATCTTACTTAATAACCACCTGAGCATAAACCCATGAAATCTGGGGAGGCTCCACCAAGGGGGTTCTGGGGAAGGAAGACAGCTGCACTCAAGTCAGACTTGACGGGTTCTATAGCTTTTTTAAGGATACTGGTGTGGAGAGAGCTGGGCTGCAGTGCCCAGCTCCAGCATGTCACTGGGTGGCTCCTGACCCCTTCATCTTTGGAACCCACTGTTGCTGTGGGAACTGGGGGCTTTCAGTGCTGTCCGTGAGGCTGGAGACTTGATTTCTTGCTCTTAAACCAGGGGATAGATCCCTGCAGTCGAAACGTGGTGCAGCCTCTGGTGGCCAATACAGACCAAACCTGGGAGGGATATGCGCTGTAGCTAGATGACACTCAGGGGTATCTGGTCTCCTGTGGTGGCTCCTCTGGCTGTAGGCTGGGCAAAAACTTGGCCCCACTGCAAATGGTCTTCTAAATGGTCCAGTGTGGAGTCAGAGTTTCCTATTTAACAGTGACTTGGTTTCTCAAGTGTGGCACTCTGGAGT
Source organism: Homo sapiens (assembly GCF_000001405.40). Classification (NCBI taxonomy): domain Eukaryota; kingdom Metazoa; phylum Chordata; class Mammalia; order Primates; family Hominidae; genus Homo; species Homo sapiens. The sequence continues at coordinate 162,160,267 of NC_000001.11, forward strand.
GGTGTTGGTCTTGGCCTTGAACAGAATTCACCGGTGACCAGAAAATGGCCAAGCCCTCCTCTCCCTGTAGCCCTCTTCCAGAATTGCCAACTCTTCCAGAAATTCTCTCAAGAAAAACAAAAACAGAAAAATATAAAATGGCCTTGGATGCTCTCTTGGGAGAACATAACTGAAATGCTCTTAGGAGAACATCCAGGGACTGGTGGACGGGCGGCTTTATGGAGGCAGCGACTGGAGTTGTGAGTGCCGCCTGTCTGCACTTGTGTTTCCTTACCCACCAGCAGTACGCTTCGGCACGTGGTCTCATGCATTCAGCCCTGAAATCCATATTTTACCTCCTCTGGGAGGCTTTGTCCAGGAGTCACTTTATCCCTTTTTATAACTTTCTCCCTAAGTGGCCCCCCTCAGCACCATTTACTCCTTTGTCATTGTTCTCCTTTTCATCCTAAGTTCAGAGTTGGCAAGCCTACCTCAGAACAGCTGAAGTTGTAACACAAACCTCTGTTTCACTGTGTTAGTATGGCTCTATTAATTTCCTATGCTGCTGTAACAAATTATTTAATAATACAAACTTAGCGGCTTAACACAAACTTACAGTTCTGGAGGTCAGAGTCCAAAATGGGGCTAAAATCAAGGAGTTGGCAGGGCTGCGTTCCTTCTGGAGGTTCTAGAGGAGAATCTGTTCCTTGGCTTTTCCAGCTTCCAGAGGCTCCCTAGATTCCTTGGCTCATGGCCCCTTTCCATCCTTAGTGCTGGCAATTTCGTCCCTGAATTATGGCCCCTGCTTTCTGTCTTCACATCTCTTTCTCTGACTCTGACTCTCCTGCACCTCCATCGCCTTTGGTTATAAGGTCCCTCGTTATTAGATTGGTCCCTCCTCATTCTTCCTTCCCCAGTAATCCAGGATAATCTCCCCTTCTCAAGGTCCTTAATTTGGTCACACCTGCAAAGTGCCCTTTGTCATGTGAGGTAACACATTCATAGGTTTTGGGGATTAGGTCATGGACCTCTTTGGGGGGCTTTGAGTCTGTCTACCATAATGGGATTAGAGTGTTAGGCTCATAGCAGGGATTGGAGAGATTCCACCCCCTACTGAGGTACTCCAATATTGGGATCAGGAAGAACTAAATTCAAATCCTGTTTCTTCTGTTTACTAGCTAAATGACTGAACACATTTCTTAATCTATCAGTTGTTCTTTAATCATCAGGAAAATTGGGATAATGTCCTCTTGGCACATGTATTTTACAGTTATACATGAATGCATGCAGCATACTGAGTGAAGTGCCTAGCATGTGGATTATGAACCATAAATAATAGTTCTTTGCCTCCTTTTTTTTTTCCCTGAGATGGGCTCTTGCTCTGTCACCCATGTTGGAGTGTGGCGGCATGATCATGGATCAGTACAGCCTCAACCTCCCAGGTTCAGGTGGCCCTCCTAGTAGCTGGGACTACAGGCATGTGCCACCACACCTGGCTAATTTTTTAAATTATTTGTAGAGATGGGGTCTCCCTATGTTGCCCAGGCTAGTTATTCCTTTCTAATTACTGTGCACTGGAGCAGGGCATTGGGGTCAGAAAACCATATATGTTGGCTGCCAAGCACGCATAAGCACCTGCTAAATGTTAGCTATTATTATTAAATACATGAATTCAGTTGCCTCTAGGGCAATTATTATTTTTAACCAGTCAGTACATCAGTGTTTCTCAGAATGGATTCTGTGGCTCTCTTGGAATTTAGGAATGTATGTTCAAGTGTCTGAGAGTTCTCCATAAGAATTTTAAGATTTTGTTTTTCATTTGATCCTAATGACAACAAGATAAAATAAGCCTGTTCTGGACTGTTGGAAGGGCCGTTGTCTGCCTGAGCACTGTCATTTGAGTTTATCATTCACAGCTGTGTTTGTCTACTTGTTTCTACGTGTGTTGCCATCAAATAGTTCTTCTGTAAGGGTTATGCCCTGAAGAAAAATAACAGAAAATTTTATATATAATGAATTCTAATAAGATGAAGGACACATGACTGCACTTTGCACAGTCATGAGTTATGAATCAAGATTTTTGCGGTCGTTGGAATAGAGAGACGAAAGTAGCAGAAAAATGGAGTTAGTGCATGGTGCACGGTACTGAAGGCGGGGCTGATATGTAGCCATAGTTCCTGAGGCAGCCTCTGGAGTTGCTGATGGCTAGTGTTTGTCCTGATAACTCTCAATGTCTTTTCTGATTTGTTGGGACTGTACCATCCTGGCTGTCAAATTTCTGAGTATCACCCTGTGTATTCCTCTGCCAAACCCAAGAGAACTTGGGGCAGGTAGTCACTGTATATTCCTGTTGTGAGCAGTGATATCATTTCAGTTACAAGGACAAAGTATTCTCTGACTTTAACATTCTTAATTTGTTTTGGTTACATTATTTGTGTTTAATTTATAAATTTATGTAAACCCTGTAAGTAATTTCTATCTAGTTTTATGCTTTACATATTTAAATGATGTAACAGACATCATTTGGAACGCTTCTTTGGGTAACAGCTTTTTGAGGTATAATTTGCATACCATATAACTCGCCCATTTAAATATACAATTCAGTGAGTTTTAGTATATTCTTAATGTTGTATAATCATCACCACAATCAATTTTCAAACATGTTTGGGGCGCGAACCCCAAAAAGAAACTCTATACCTCTAATCCATCATCCCTGATTCCCCAACACCCCTAGCCCCAGACTACTACTAATCTACATTCTGTCTCTATGGATTTGCCTGTTTTGGACATTTTAAATGGCATCATACAATATGTGGCCTTTGGTATTTGGCTTCTTTCATTTAGCGTAATGTTTTCAAGGTTCATCCATATTGGGACATGTATCAGTACTTCATTTCTTTTTGTTGCTGAGTAACATTCCATAGCATGGCTATACCACATATTATTTATTCATTTAAACACGGGGTGTTTGCCAATTTTTTTTTCTTTAAAAGGGGCCCAGACTTTATTAAATTTTAGAAAACACTTGATAGGGATTGAGCAGCGTGTGATGGAATGATTAGAACTGTCTTCTCAGTCAAAGGAAACAAATCAATGCTTTCTTAGGGGGCGAGGTATTCTCATCAATATAAAGAGCAGTGCCCAGACAGCAGGACCTAATTTTTTTCCCCACTCATTTGAAAAAATAAATTGACTTCCCTTTTTGAGCCAATACTTTTTGAGGCTCTGGGGATACAGCAGTCTACAAAACAAAGTCCCTGTCTGCATGGAGTTTATAGGGGTGGGTGCTCTTTTGCACAGACTGTTGCGGAAGGCTTCTGGGTTCTGATGACACTTGAGTCTCTAGAGATGTGAATGGAAAGAGGGAGTGAGCCGTGTGGGTATCTGGAGGAAATGTTCCAGACAGAGGTCAGCAAGTGCCCCAGGTCACCATTCCTGGGGGGCAGGAATGGGCTTCGCAGGTTCAAGAAATGGCAAGAAGGCTAGTGTGAATAGAGACTTGGGAGCTTGAGGGAGTGGTAGATTATTTCTAGGATTTTATTCCCAGGAGAATCACACCTCAGGAGAATCTGGTTTGCTAAGTACCTACTGAATACATAATGAAAAATACATTTATCTTTTCCTGAATCTGCACCAGACTGAAAAGTCACTCAGTAGGAGGAGTTTGGTTCTGCTCTGGAAGTGAAGTGATTTGGGAATGATTTTTAAACTGGGGCAGAACTGCTGAATGCATTATCTGTCAGCAGAGAAGAGTTAGTAAGAGCCAGGAGTTGTTGTCAAAGCAAAACAGATGCTATCTTTTAAATAAGGTGCTTTGCTTTATTACAGTTATTTATGCTCAAGAGTAAGAAATGATGTTATTGAGTTTCCACGGGAGGATTTGATATTGCCCAGCTCAGTCCACAGTTTCTTGCACTGACACACCTCATGTTTGGGAGTCCTCTGAAGCCAACAGTGTTTATCCATTGTAACAGGATGATATGCAGAATGTCAGTTCCTCGCTACTACACTAACCACCCTTTAGGGACCCTTTGGTTCATGTTCTTGGTGTTGGCAACAGGTTGCATTGAGCATCTACTCTTTGTTTTGATGACTTCTATGGCACACATATGTATATGCACACACACAACATAATTATCATTTTAATCACTTGTAAGTGTACAACTCAGTGACATTAAATACATTCACAATACTTTGTATCCATCACCACTATGTATACCCCAATGTTTTTCATCCTTCCTAAGATGAACTCTGTACCCATTAAACAATAGCTCTGTTTTCCCGTAGCCCTTGGTAACCTCTGTTCCATCCTCCATCTCTATGAATTTGCCTAGCCTAGAAACCTCATATAAGTGAAATCTCATGTATTTGTCCTTGTGTGTCTGGCTTATTTCACTAAGCATAATGTTTCTAAGGTACATGCATGCTGTGGCATGTATCAAAAGTTTATTCCTTTTTATGGCTGAATAGTATTCCCTTCTGTGACCTTTTGGTACTCAGCACATGACACAGGGTCTGGTGTGTGGCAAGTTTCCTCTTGGAGCCAAAAGCAGCATATTATAGGACAAGGACGGAAAGCCATGGCAGCACACACTGATGATCGGATCTGCTGGGAGCGCAAACCTCTTTGATTCCTGCTGAAAGGCCCTGATTTCTCACTTACGAAGCACTTTCTAGTTGTTTAAGTGAATTTTCATATCCACTGTCACCTAATGTTAGTCTTCAATAATCCCATAAAAAGCAGGCGTTATCCTTATTTTACAGGTAAGGGTCACATAAAGAAAATGACTCCCTTGCCTGGTGTGGTGGCTCACACCTGTAATCCCAGCACTTTGGGAGGCCAAGGCGAACAGATCACCTGAGGTTGGGAGTTCAAGACCAGCCTGACCAACATGGAGAAACCCTGTCTCTACTAAAAATACAAAATTAGCTGGGCATGGTGCCGCATGCCTGTAATCCCAGCTACTCAGGAGGCTGAGGCAGGAGAATTGCTTGAACCCAGGAGGCAGGGGTTGCGGTGAGCCAAGATTGCACCATTGCACTCCAGCCTGGGTAACAAGAGCGAAACTCTGTCAAAAAAAAAAGAAAGACTTCCTCAAACTAATTACATTGTTGTTCTTATCAACATTAACCAGAATTGAGTACAGACTGCACTATGTGCTGTTACTGTGTCGGGCTCCATGCAAAGCACTTAACAAGATTTGTTACTTTATCCTTATAACAACTCTGTGTGGTGTAGGTGTAATAATTATCCCATTGTCCAGATGAGGAAACTGAGGTACCAAGAGGTTAAATAACTTGCCATAGCTCGCAGAGGTGGTAAGTGGGGAATCTAGGATTCACTTCTAAGCTTGAACGTGGTATGGTTGTGGTATGGAACCAAGGCAAGACTCCAGTCTGCTTACATCTGACTCAGAGATCCTACAAGAACATGCCGACTGTCCCTGTTTAACCAAATGTCAGTCCAGGCAGCATTGTCTGTGTCCCTGATTGTGCCTTTCTCTAGTCTGGGAACACTGCCAGGCAGTGTATGTCACTAGATGTAAATAAGGCCATTATTTGATTTTATGAAACTCTTTTTGGAGGTTGAGACTTGTATATTCTGTGTGACACTCCCATTTGGATATCCCAAAGGCACCTTAAATTCAATATGTCAAAAAACTGAAGTTATCATTTCTGCAGTCTCTCCTTTTTGCCCTGAAAAAGAACATGCACTTGTTTTTCATATTTCCTTATCTCTTGGAAAGACATCTTGACCACTCAAGAATGTAAGCTGGAAACCTCAGGGTCACCTTTCTTCTCTGTCACTACCCCTGGCTTAGGTCACCCTTACAGATGTGCCTCTTAAATATTTTTCAATCGTGTCTCTCCCTATTCCTTCCTACCAGTGCAGCCCCAGACTGTTGTGTTTCATAGACAGCTGCCGCAGTGCCCTCCAGACTGCCACCATGCCTTTGGCTGTGCCCTCCCACCATCCTCCACACTGCTGCCTGGCTCATCTGTATAAGGATGATTCTGTAGGCATTGTCCTACTTAAAACCATGTGGTGATTCCAGGCTTGAGTCTGAACTCAGAGCAAGGCACATGGCATTCTGCCTGGCACCTGAGGCCACAGCAGCATATTATAGGTCCGCTGTGCCTTGTGCCCTGAGTATGTCCTGTTGAGGCCACTTCTATTCCTCCTCTTCCTTCTACCTGGGAAGCACTCCCTTCCCATTGCGGCTGAAGCCTGTCTCTTCAAACCTCAGCCCAACTTCTGCTTATCTTCCAGAGCCTATTTGAGCTTTCATCCCTTCTAGAAGCTTTCCCTGATGTTGGCAGAGTAGTTTTCTCTTCTTTTGTGTTACCATTACACTCTAGAGAGACCTTTGTTTCTGCATGCATCACAGTGTATTTGTCTTTTTGAAGGCAGGGACTCTGACACTCATCTTGACAGCAAAGGGGTGAATTACTCAACTGTCAATTCTTTTGTAAAATGGACAATGTCAACCCTGTTAGAAGTAAATGCAATAATGGGTGTCACGTCCTTAGCACCGTGCCTGGCCCATAGTATATACCCAGTGGACACCTGTACCTCCTCTCCACATCCCTGTTGCATGGTGACTGGGCCCAGAAGGCAGCTAGAATTGGCAACTCAAGCCCTTTTGGTCAGGATCCTTTGCTGGGTGGAAGCTCCTCGCCTACTAATGCGGGTGCCCTGTGGCTGAATCTGGTGAATCCATCAGGTCCAGGTTGAAAACTACTGAGCAGAGCCCTGCTGCCTCTGGGTATTCTGTTCACCACCCAGCCCTTTTGCATTTAATGAATGTAAAAAATAATGGGGCAGCTGCTGTTCCTTACTCTCTCTTCCTGCTGCACTAAGTCTCTGCCTCCCTGGAGAGGCATTTAACCGCACGAAGGTTTATGGTGGAAATGACAAATTGCTTCTTCACAACGAGCTCACCCTGCTTTCTAACCAGTTGGAATCACCCTTGTTCATGTAATATTAGCAATTTACCTGTCTCCTTAACCACTAACCATCCTGAGAGGATTTGGCATTCTTTGCAGCTGTTAATCCTCTCATCACCTGAGGGCTTATTAAATAGGTGGAGTGTACATCTAGCCTTTCTCCTACAGTGAACAGTCATTCATGATCTTTTCCTTTTTACTCAGCCTCTCTCCTCAGCTGCCTGAGCCCAGGATAAGGCAGGGTCCTCCCCTCTAGAGGCCACAGCGGAGAGAGCTGGGCTCTGGACCGGGGAGTCCCCGGTTTGACTCCTTGCTTGGTCAGGACTTCCTCAACATAATCGCCTGGCCCTGGTGCCAGGGTGGTTGTGGGGCTGAGGGAGGTGCCTGTGCAGCCCATTTCCCTGTGGAGGTCAGTTGCCCCTTTCCTTTCCCTTCATCAGGCTCAGGCCATCCTTGGGGCAGCCCTGCTATCTGAGGGGGTCTCTCCCGAGCCGCTAAGACATAGTCCTCATTCATATTGGGTGTTGTTGACAATCATCCCATCCTCTGCTGCTTCATTTTGTGACTTGTGGACCCAAGTGGGTCTTTGTTTATCCTGATCCAGGAGAGCTGGGAAGGGAGACAGTTTGAATTGCTCCGGGCATATGTTACTTGTTAATATTTTAAAATTTGACTTGTTGCAGTTTTTCAGAGGTATTAATCTAAAAGCCATTTCATGGAAAAAAGCAACAAGGAACTGGTTTTATTTCTTTTAGGTGACACTAATAACCAAACATGAGACACATCAGAATTTAAGTGGCTAGTCAAAAAAAAAAAAAAATACCAGTGAAAATAGCAAGTCTACATTGATGTTAGTTGTTATATAACAGGCGCTGTTCTAAGCGTTTTGCCTGTAGCAACTCACTGAATCCTCATAATTACTTTATGAAGAGGAGATTCAGTAACCTGGTCACATAGGCAATGAATGGCCAGGATTCGGGCTCTAAAACTGGGTCTCCTGACCACGACGATCCCTCTCTAGGGCTGATGGAGATCATCACTAAATCACCTCCTTTGGGATTCTCTGCTCGTTGGAAATGGAGTGTTACCTGCAGAGTACTGCTGTGACCTCTCCTTTAGGCCTCTCTGTGCAGAGACTGCAGTAGTCTGTGTTAGTGCTGTCCTGTTGAAGCTGGTCCACACTTTTCTGGACTTCTGGTTGAGCCAGTCTGCTCAGATACGAACTTCCAAACGAACCTGTTTCTCTTTGGTCCTCAGCCAGGCTTTGTGACATCAGCTGCTACAGCTGTGGAAACAGTTGATAAACAGGGTCAGGCTGCTCAGAGGGAGAATGTGGCAGTAGGGTCCCTGGCAAGGGTTGCCTGCTCACTTGGAAGGGCAAAGGCCTAGAAATCCACGCGCAATTGATGCACAAGCTGTCATTGTGCTGAGGCTTGTGGGCAGGGGGGTGTGTTTCTCTTTCCTTCTCCCCTTTTCTTCCTCTCTTTCCCTTGCTCTCTTTCTTTCTTCCTCCTTCCCTTCCTCTTTCCTTCCTCCCTTTCTTTCTCCTTTGAAAAACTAAGATGAGGTCCTGGTAAAGATAGTACATAGAAGAGAGGCTTCAAGCCTCAAAAAGTTATTTCGATAATATAGTAAGTCACTGCTCCTTATTAAATAAGAGGCCTAAGGGGCTGAGGTGGTGAGGGATTGAAGTGAAGTCTGGCTTGGTTCAGGCCTGAATACCCAAACCAGGCCAGCTTTGGGTTGGGTTGGCTCTGCCTGGCATGAGGAGACATCCAAGGATTCCGTCTCCCTCAGAGAGCCATGCTGGGAAATCTTCTAAGCATTGGACTTTGAGGTTAAAATAAAGAGTCTTGCACCCTTGGCGGGGATTTCTGAAAGATTGATGGGATTCTAACTGCCTAACAGTTCCATTTCCAGATGAGCGCCCTCCGTGCATGGGCTTTGCAGCAGCTCTCTGCCTTTCCTTGCCAAATGACCCTATTTGATCTGGAGCCCTGGCTTGACTTTTCTCTTCAGCATCTGCTGTTTTCTGACCAATCCCACACCTTCCCCTGGTTTTCTCTTTTACAGAAATCCTTTCTTCCAACTTGATTAGATTTCTTTGTTGGCTTGCACATCTGGTCTTCATTTAGTAGGGATGACACTTAATTGAAGTAAGAGTTTGGCTGCCTTTAAATTTAACAACTGCACCCTGCTGGGGGTGCTAATGAGGAGTCAGTAGCTGAATTGTTTATTGAAAGAGATCATATTGATTTGTGATTTTCACTTAAGAAATGCATTCCCATACACCCCTGCATTTAGTTGCTTAGCTGGGCACTCAGACAGCTGCTTTAAGAATCCAGTACCCTTGTCTCTGGAGAGGCGTTTCTCCTCAGTGTGCATGCAGTACTACTGTATGCACGTGGCATGTGTCCATCTGTCCTCACAGAGGAGACTGTGCATTGGTAGAGCTGGAGGGCTCCTGTTGTCCACCCAGCATGCCACTTTGAACCAGCTCCTAAAGCATGAGGTCCATCATGTCTCTATTCAAAAACTTTCAGTGGCTCCTCATTGCCTGTGAATGAAATATGGAATCTCAGCGGGCGGTCAGGGGCCTCCCAGTCTGGCTTCACTGTGCCTGTCCAACTCATTTCCTATGATTGCCATGCAGAAACCCAGTTCTCTGGCCACACCGAATTTCTTACAATCTTCCCATTCACTTGGCCATTCTGCCTTTATGTTTTTCACTTTCTCTGGAATTTCCTCCCTCCCTTTCCTGCCTGTATGGTCTCAGTTCTTCAAAGCCCATTTCAAATGAAAACCTTTGCTACGAAATCTTCCCTGATTCCTCTCACCTATAGTGCACCCCTTTGAACTCAGACACCCTCTCTGTATTTCTCTTCAGGTATTTTAGCTCACTTTATGTTATAATTGTTTTTATGATTGTTGTTTATTCTTATTCAACAGAGTCACTACCTGAGAGCAGTGACCTTGTGTTGGTCACATGTGTCCCCTGAAGGATACAGCTCAGTGCTTGGGGTAGTAATAATTGATATTCTTGAGTGCTCACTACATGCCAGTTCTATTCTAAGCACTATACATGTATTCATCTTGGTTGATCCTCACAAAAGCCCTTGGAGGGAGGTACTGTTATTAGCCCCATTTTACAGATAAGGTAACTGAGATCTAGGCTGAGTAACTTGTCTAAGGCTACCCAGGTAGCAAGCAGCAGAGCTGGGGGTCCACCTGGGCCTTCTGAATCCAGGCTCTCAACTAGTAAGCCACATGGCTTCTTTCATTAGGTACTTGCTCAATACATATCTATCAAGAAAAGTTGTACTGAAGTTAAGAGATATAGGGGAGCAGGAATAGGTTAGTTTAAAAACAAGGAGAGGGAAGAAGAGAAGGAAATTAGAATGGGCCAGTAGGAAAAGAAAAGAAAGGAGAAGTGCTAAGAAACCAAGGAACAGGCCAGGCGCGGTGGCTCACGCCTGTAATCCCAGCACCTTGGGAGGCTGAGGCATGTAAATCACTTGAGGTCAGAAGTTCGAGACAGCCTGACCAACATGGAGAAACCCTGTCTCGACTAAAAATACAAAAACTAAAAATACAAAAATTAGCCGGATATGGTGGTGTGCACCTGTAGTCCCACACTCAAGAGGCTGAGGCAGGAGAATCGCTTGAACCAGGGAGGCGGAGGTTGCAGTGAGCTGAGATTGTGCCATTGCACTCTAACCTGGGCAACAAAGAGTGAAACTCCATCTCAAAAAAAAAAAAAGAAAAGAAACCAAGGAACAGAAGAGACAGGCAGCTAAACGGGTGGAGCTCATCCTGCAGGGAGGCTTGGGGTTCATGCTTTTGGATTTGGGGTGGGGTCCAGGGCCTCTGGGATGCCAACATGCTGGGGAAGACACAGGGGCTGTTGGTCACTGTACTTGGATCCCAGCACACTCAGCATTGTTGCTGCAAATACTCCAAGTGTGACTCAAGGCTTTTACCCAAAGGGATGGAGCGGGAGGGTGCAGAGATCAAGATCCTCATGCTCCTTTTCTGGGAAGGAACCTGAGGCATGAAAAGGTTGTGGCTTGCTCTGGATCCCACAGGGCAGCAGTTCTGGCTAGAATTCAGGTCGTTTGTTCTTTCTGCTTTAATTTCCTGCTTTATAAGGAATGGCACATGACTTTCTCTCCCCTTGCTGTTATTGGAAAGGGTTATGTAACCCTGGTGTCATGGGGCTGCTCATCATGGTCTTGTATTCTGCCTGCATCTCCTAGATCGTATGTCTCCCTGCCTCAACTGCTTCCACTTTGGTCCAGTTCTCAGCCATCTCTTCCTGCCTCAGTGGCTGGCTTCTTCCTGTGCTTTACTTCTGTACTGGTCTTCACTCCTGCTAAAGTTGCATTGTCTAATCTTTGTCTCAGCCATCCCCACCCCTGAACTTGGAGCCTTTGGGGACTAAGGATCCTGTAAGTGAGCTCTTAGGCCCTCACCCTTTATTAAGGTCTTTCATCAGGCTCTCCAGCCTCTCTTTCTGAACTCATCTCCTCTCACCTAACTTCCCAGTTTGGGCCTCCACTCTTCTCTGGAGAGTTCTTTTCATCTAGTGGCATCTCTTCTCTCTTGTCATGCTTCTCCTCATGGCCATAGAACAACCAGCTGTGCCAGCCTCTCTCCTTTCATGGAATCTCCCTGTGCAATAAAGGAAAGCTGAGGACATTCTCCCATACCACCCTTTTTAGGCCATATATTTCCTCCTTAAGCCACCTTAACCCGTTAAATGGAAAGGTGTCATTCCCAAGAAAGCCACTTAGCAGCCCCAAGGTTGGGGCTTCAGCCAGTGAGATGCTTGATGGTATTAGATGGGAAGATGCTGAGTTGCTCAGTGGGAGAAACTTCCCCAGGCCTTACTCAGCCTACCCACTATCTTTTACCCATCACCAGTAAGACCTCTCTGTAAAGCAAACCAGAAGTCCAAGTTCAGATGAACCCATGACGGGTTGTGGGGAGAGGGACAAGAGGAGACCCAAGCACCCACCAGTAAATGGCAACTAAAGAGGAAACTTGTTGAGCCTATACTGGAGAAGAACACATCTTAAATTTTCACATTTTGTGGGTGGTAGGGTAGCTGTAGCAGTAGAAACATACATTATGAGCATCTTGGCTTTGTCTGAATTTTGAGAAATGGCAGTCACAGAGACTCTTCTATATGCATATCATCCCTTGACACAAAAGAATGGCTATCCCAGTCTGGAGTGGGGGATGTGGGCCTGTGAATGGGTGTGCCCCAAGTCCACATGATGGCTTTGCTATTGAAACCCTCTAGATGGCCATGACTCTGTGTTGCCAAATTACTTAACATTGCAAACTAGTGGCCTACAGGAATAATCTTGATGAGGCGGGTGGTTTAAGTGGAATGTCAGCAGGTGGTCATTGGAGATTATTGTCATATATCACTATTTTCTGTGACCCAGCCAACTCTTTGGTATATGTATGTGCTTTCCCTTCTGTCAGGTGAGGAAAGGTTTTTTTTGTTGTTGTTTGTTTTTGTTTGTTTGTTTGTTTGTTTTCATCTCAAGGTTTTGCATAGATTAACCAATGGATGGTCATGAATCATTTAAATATGAATCATTTAAATAACTATGCTGATGTTGAGACTGAGCCTTGAGATTCTGCTATTCAGGCAGCAAACTTCTCTGCCTGCTAGTTGAGTGTTATTCTTAACCAAACACAAGTTCACCCTTGCTCAATAGGAGGTTTTTTTTTTGTGATGGGGTCTCAGTCTGTCACCCAGGCTGGAGTGTAGTGGCGCAATCTTGGCTCATTGCAACCTTTGCTTCCCAGGCTCAAGTGATCCTCCCACTGCACACTGCAGCCCCCTGAGTAGCTAGGACCACAGGTGGGTGCTACCATGCCCAGCTAATTTTTTGTGTATGTTGATGCAAAAGTTATTGCGTTTTTGCCTTTGAAAATAATGGCAAAAAGCGCAATTACTTTTGCACCCGTCTAATATTTTTGACGGGGTTTCACCAGGTTGCCCAGGCTGGTCCTGATCTCAGGTGATCTGCCTGCCTCAGCCTCCCAAAGTGCTGGAAATATAGGTGTGAGCCACCACAGCTGTCCTCCACTCTCCTCCATTTATTAAATAGGATTCCCTATTTAATAAGTGGTGCTGGGAAAACTGGCTAGCCATATGTAGAAAGCTGAAACTGGATCCCTTCCTTACACCTTATACAAAAATTAATTCAAGATGGATTAAAGACTTACATGTTAGACCTAAAACCATAAAAACCCTAGAAGAAAACCTAGGCAATACCATTCAGGGCATAGGCATGGGCAAGGACTTCATGTCTAAAACACCAAAAGCAATGGCAACAAAAGCCAAAATTGACAAATGGGATCCAATTAAACTAAAGAGCTTCTGCACGCAAAAGAAACTACCATCAGAGTGAACAGGCAACCTACAGAATGGGAGAAAATTTTTGCAACCTACTCATCTGACAGCTAATATCCAGAATCTACAATGAACTCAAACAGATTTACAAGAAAAAAACAAACAACCCCATCAACAAGTGGGCGAAGGATATGAACAGGCACTTCTCAAAAGAAGACATTTATGCAGCCAAAAGACACATGAAAAAATGCTCACTGGCCATCAGAGAAATGCAAATCAAAACCACAATGAGATACCATCTCACACCAGTTAGAATGGCAATCATTAAAAAGTCAGGAAACAACAGGTGCTAGAGAGGATGTGGAGAAGTAGGAACACTTTTACACTGTTGGTGGGACTGTAAACTAGTTCAACCATTGTGGAAATCAGTGTGGTGATTCCTCAGGGATCTAGAACTAGAAATACCATTTGACCCAGCCATCCCATTACTGGGTATATACCCAAAGGATTATAAATCATGCTGCTATAAAGATACATGCACACGTATGTTTATTGCGGCACTATTCACAATAGCAAAAACTTGGAACCAACCCAAATGTCCAACAATGATAGACTGGATTAAGAAAATGTGGCACATATACACCATGGAATACTATGCAGCCATAAAAAATGATGAGTTCATGTCCTTTGTAGGGACATGGATGAAGCTGGAAACCATCATTCTCAGCAAACTATCGCAACGACAAAAAACCAAACACCACATGTTCTCACTTATAGGTGGGAATTGAAGAATGAGAACACATGGACACAGGAAGGGGAATATCACACATTGGGTACTGTTGTGGGGTGGGGGGAGGGGGAAGGGATAGCATTAGGATATATACCTAATGCTAAATGATGAGTTAATGGGTGCAGCACACCAACATGGCACATGTATACATATGTAACAAACCTGCACGTTGTGCACATGTACCCTAAAACTTAAAGTGTAATAATAATATAATAAAAAATAAAAAAACTTTCTATTATAAAACAGTTTTAGGTTTACAGAATTATTGCAAAGATAGTACAGAGAGTTCTTGCATACCCAACACCCAACTTCCCCTATTATCAGCATCTAATGTTAGTATGGTACAGTTGTTAGAATTAATGAACTGATATTGATATATTCTTATTAACTAAAATCCATACTTGTTCATATTTCCTTAGTTTTCCCTTAGTGTTCATTTTCTGTTCCAGGATCTTGTCTGGGACCACATTTAGTTCTTATCCTCCTTAGGCTCCCCTGGACTGTGACTGTTTTTCAGATTTTTGGTGATCTTGACAATTTTGGTGATCTTCACAATTTTGAAGATTACTGGTCAGGCCTATTTTGTAGAATCTCCTTTAACTGGAATTTGATGTTTTCCTCATGGTTAATATGTTTTTGGGAGGAAGACAGAGAGGTAAGATGGCATTCTCATCATATAATTTGAAGGGTACATACTATCATTATGACTTATCACTGTTGATGTTAACCTTGATCACCTGGCTTGAGATAGTATTTGTAAAGTTACTGTTTTTCTTTCCATGAAGTACTTTTTGGGGAAAAAAAAAAAAGTCGTTATGCATGGTCTGCACTTACATGCACTTACAGAGTGGAAAGTTTTGCTCTACCTCCTTAAAGGCAGTTAAAACAGTTAAAACAGTTATGTCAAGTATTTGGAATTCTTTTGCATAGATTTGTCTGTCCTCTCCCATTTATTGCTTTATTCAGTCATTTATTTATTTTTATCAGTAAAGAATCATGGATATTTGTTTTATACCTTGTATTATAAGTACTTCTTTATTTCATTGCACAAATTGTTTTAATGTGGCTGCTAAAAACTCTTTGATTTGGCTCTTGTATCCCCTTGCCCCATCATTGTTTGTTGTTTTGAGCACGTTTTAACTTTCTGGCACTACACAGTACTCCAGGCTCATCTGGTGTATTTCCTGAATCCAGCATTTCTGCAAAGAGCCCTGACTCCTTTTGTTGAAGGCATGGAGTTAGATAGCAGGATCGGAGGTGTGGGGGTGGGGGCGGTCGGTTAGTTGCTGCTGGAATGTGTTTGCATCTAGGCCCTCTCAGCAGATAGAGCAATGAAATACGTGTGTATGCTACCTCTTTAATATACAAATACCCATGAATATTTCTATATGTAGCCATCTATATTAAGCCAAACATGAGTTTGTAGTGATGTCTGCAATTCTGATCCATATTACATAAATCATTCTAGCTTCCTCCCTTGCTTATCTGTAATATCCCCCGCAAGCAGTTAGAAACCTAGCTACCACCACCCATTTGCTTAATTGTTCACTTCCAGTGTACGCGTACAGTAGTATCAGAATCGTTAACCCATACCCCCATTGGAAACAATTTTTCAGCTCTAGTACAGTGCTTATGTACAGTTCTTTTTGCCATTAGTTTGTACAGACTCCACTGATTTCTAAGATAACTTCTGTTAGCACCTTACTGTCTCACTTCTTCAGTGAGATTATTTCATACATTTGTAATACATTTAGATTTTTGGGGGTCACATTTTACATTCCATCCTGGGATCCTTGGCCTCCCACTCAATGATTTTTTTTAAAAAATTTGCATGCATTTAGGTTTACTCTTGTGCTATAAAGTTCTGTGGGTTTTTGTCAAATGCTTAATGTCCTATACTTACATTACAGTATCATACAGAATAATCTTACTGCCCCAAATAGTCCACTGTGCTTCATCTATTTAATTCCCAAACCCTATCCCCAAACCCCTGGCAACCACTGGTCTATTTACTATCCCTATAATTTTTGCTTTTTCTAGAATGCCATGTAATTAGAATCATAGAAAATGTAGCCTTTTCAGACTGGTTTCTTTCACTTAGCAGTATGTACTTAAGATTCATTCATATCTTTTTGTGGCATAATAGCTCTTTTTTTTTTTTTTTTTTTTTTGAGATGGAGTGTTGCTCTGTTGCCAGGCTGGAGTGCAGTGGTGTGATCTTGGCTCACTGCAACCTCTGCCTCCTGGGTTCAAGCAATTCTCCTGCCTCAGCCTCCCAAGTAGCTGGGACTACAGGCGTGTGCTACCACGCCCAGCTACTTTTTGTATTTTTTGTAGAGACAGGGTTTCACCACATTGGCCAAGATGGTCTTGATCTCTTGACCTGGTGATCCACCCACCTTGGCCTGGGATTACAGGTGTGATCCACTGCGCCCAGCCAATAGCTCATTTTTTATTGCTGAACAGTATTCCATAATATGAATGTACCACAGTTTTTTCACTTACCTATTCAAGGACATCTTATTTCCAGATTTTGATGATTACGAATAAAGCTGCTATAGCGATTCATATGCAGTCTTTTATGTGCACATAAGCTTTCAAATTAATTGGATAAATGCCTAGGAGAATCTGCCTCATTTGAGTATCTGCCTTTCAGCATCTACCTCCTCAATTCTACCTGGACAATGTCAGCACACTCTAAAAATTGGTAGTTCTGCTGCTGAGCTGCCCATATACTGACCTGTTTTCTTCTCTGCCTGTAAGTGGTAAGCATTGACCACCCTTCTTGCTGAGAACTTTAAAAATTTTAATCCAGGAGGTGATATGGGGGAGGAGGGTGGATTATGTGATTTGGAATAGCCCTGGAGTCAGGGCTTAGCTGAGCCCCAAGGATTACGCCATTGTGTTAATTAGGAACTTAACCCTGATTCCTGAAAGCAGTTTTCACGTGACTTTGGTGTGGCAGTAAAGGCCAGTAAACCAGAGTGTTTGTTACACAGAGTGATTCGTCCTGTGTGACTCAGGAGAGAGGCCGGCCCACGCATGGCCCTTTCAGATCTTTGGGGTGAGTTGTGGTGGTGTCTGTTTTGCCAGGTAGGTCAGCTGCGGAGTCTTTCAGCCACTGGCATGAAGGGAACCAGCCATGGGTCTGGGGTCAGTGTAGCTCAGTCTCCTGGTTTTCCCACACTTCAGTTTGCGGGGCAGCTCTCTGACCTGTAGTTATATACTGAGTTTGCCTACTCTTTTTATTTACTTATTTATTTTGAAGTTTATATTAATTTATTTAAACATTTTTAACTAAATGATGTGATTTTTCTATTTTTTAAAAAAGTAGTAAACATTATTTTTAGAGTAATTTTAGCAAAATTGAATGGAAAGTTTGGGGATCCCATATATTCCTGCCCCTGCACATGCACAATGTCCCCCACTTTAAACATTCCACACCAGAATGGCACATTGGTTACAACTGATGAACCTACATTGACACATCATTATCACTCAGAGTTCATAATTGACATGAGGGTTCATTCTTGGTGTTGTGCATTCTGTGGGTTTGGACGAGTGTTTAATGACATGTATCTACCATTATAGTTTCATACAGAATAGTTTCACTGCCATAAAAATCCTCTGTCCCCTGCTTATTCATGCCTTCCTCCTCCTAACCTCTAGCAAACACTGATCTTTTTACTGTCTATAATTTTGCCTTTTCCAGAATGTCATATAGTTGGAATCATACAGTAGGTATGAATGGCTTTTTAGATTGGTTTCTTTCACTTAGTAGTATGCATTTAAGATTCCTCTAGGTCTTATTATGGCTCGATAGCTCATTTTTTTTAGTGCTGATTAATATGCCATTGTCTGGATACACCACAGTTGATTTATTCATTCACCTACTGAAGGACATTTTGGCTGCTTCCAAGGTTTGGAATTATGAATAAAGCTGCCAAGAACATCTGTGAGCAGCTTTTTGTGTGGACATAAGTTTTCATTCCATTTGAATAAAGGTGAAAGACTGTGACTGCTGAATGATGTGCTTGCTAAGAGTATGATTAGTTTTGTATTATTTTATTTAAAAATATGTTTACTGAGTATGTGCCATACACCAAACATGGTGCTAGTTGCTAATATATTATTTAATAATCCTTTTAGCAACCCTATGAAGTAGGGCCTTCCACTTTATAGGTGAGGAGACTCAGGCACAGGAGGGCTAGGTAGCTAGTAAGTGACAGCTGGCACTTACACTCATCCCTCCTGATGCCAGAGCTTTTCCCACTGCGTCATGCCGTCTCTGGAGACCAGCATATAACAGAAGGTGGCATCCACCCAGCTAGAAAGGGCTCATCCAGAAGCACCTCGTTCAGCTCACCAGGGTTGCCCGTCAGTTTATGAACAGTGGAAGAAAAAGGTTTCTTTCTCTGTGTGAAAGTTGTAGCCTTGCCTAGGTGCTCTTATACTTCCTGGATGCTCAGCCTATGCTGGCCTATTTAGATTTAAACTGTTTTCATTCCGAGCATTGTCAAACATACACCAAAGTAAAAAGACTAGTTTAGTCCGTCTTATACCTATCACTCAGGTCCTGGAATTACCAGGATTTTATCATTCTTGCTTTATTTGTTTGTGGGGTTTTTTGGTGGGGGTTGAGGGGGGTGGTGCTGGTGGTTATGTATACTGTTTCTTTTTTGGCTGAAAAATTTTGATAACAGTTTTGTCATTAGCTCATCTCCTGGACCTGTGTGGCATCTCTCCTTTCTTTGCATGAATTTCCTACCATTGTGTATCTCGTAGTTACTGGGTATTTATTTTATGTAACAAATGTTTATATAGTCTTAATCATATGTTACACCCTTTTTTAGTTCCTTAACAAATATTAGCTTGTTTACACCTCATAAAAATCTTACGAAATAGATATGAAAACGATTCTTCTTTTAGAGGTGGTAAAACCAAGGCACAGGGAAGTTGAGTAACCTGCCCTGAGTTACACAGCTAGGAAGCCGGCTAGCTGGCTTTCAAATGCAGGCTGTGGGGTTTTATAATCTGTGTTCTTATTTGTCATGCTGTGCTAGATAAACAACAATTCTACAGCCATTGCCAGTCTGTTCTCTGGTACTGCTAAAGACAGAGGAAGGAAAAAGCTAGTTCTTGCCTGCAGATGCATCCAGTCTGTTGGGAAGACGGACCTGGAAACCAGCATTTGGGGTAAATGCTGCAGCGATTATGCAAAAACAATTCAGTGAGAATGTAAAGAAACATTATGTGAAGCTTCTTGAGAAAGTCCAAGCAGGCTTCACAGAGGCTGTGATCCTTGAACTCAGATCCAGAAGGGTGGATGAGTGGGGAGGGAAATCCTGGACCTAGAGGTGAGAGAGCACAGGGAGGGCTGGAGAGAGATGGACTTGACAGTGGATTTCTCAGGCAATAAGATCATGAAGGCGCTGACTTGCCTGCTAAAAAGCTTTGACCTCATCCTGCTGGTAGTAGTGACCTATTGGTAGATTTTTAGCAGAGAATAAATATGGTGAGGTTTGCAGATTACTAAGCTCTCTCTAGAGGTGATGCAGAGGATGGATTGGGAGGAGAAAAGGCCGGACACCATTTATTAGTGCTGGCTGCTGGCAAGAATGTAGGGGCCTAAACTGGAGCCATGACAGTGGGAATGGAGAGCCTGGATCTGAGAGGTGAGGACCAGCATTATGCAGGTGTTCATTATCTGGATTTCTGAATGATATGTTACCTAGGAAAGCAACAGTGATCATAACATCCAAATATTCACCAATGAAGCCATCACTTACAGAAACAATCCCTGTGGCAAATGCACCCGGTGACCTCCAATGTGCCAGGCCCTTGTGTAGCCTCCTCCATGATGTGTTATTTTATTTTTATTTATTTATTTTATTTATTTATTTTTTGAGACAGAGTGTCGCTCTGTCGCCCAGGCTGGAGTGCAGTGGCGCTATCTCTGCTGACTGCAAGCTCCGCCTCCCGGGTTCACGCCGTTCTTCTGCCTCAGCCTTCTGAGTAGCTGGGACCACAGGCGCCCGCCACCACGGCCAGCTAATTTTTTGTATTTTTAGTAGAGGCGCGCTTTCACCGTGTTAGCCAGGATGGTCTCGATCTCCTGACCTTGTGATCCGCCTGCCTCAGCCTCCCAAAGTGCTGGGATTATAGGCATGAGCCACCGCGCCCGGCCAATGTGTTACGTTATTTAAGACCCCATTTTAGCAGCCTGGAGCGGGACCTTCTGCATGTGAGAGGCACATGTGGAAAGGGACTACAGGAGCCTCTTGGAGCGGAGCATGGCCCTCAGCTGACAGCCAGCAAGAAAGTGGAGCCTCAGTCCTGTAGCTGCCGGGAACTCAGTTCTGCCAACGACAACGTGAGCTTGGGAGATGACCCATGAGCTTCAGAAAGGAACACAGCCTGGTTGACACCATGGTTGCAGCTTTGCAAGACTCTCAGCAGAGGACCCATGTAAGCTGTATTCAGACTCCTGACCCAGGGAAACTGGGAGATACTAAATGTGTGTTGCTTTAAGCCTTGAAGTTTGTGGCCATTATTATGCAGCAAGTAGAAAACTAAAACATTCCCTGTTCAGTCATCCTCCCCTTAACAGCAGCATCTATTCTCAGCTATCCTCAAGGTCTATCAGCCAGCATTCTGCTTTCAGATCTGGCAGTACAGTGCAATTTCCATGCAAATGTATTTCAAAGTGAAATTGCAAGTCTTGCAAAAGATGTAGGATTATAGGTAGTCAATAAAAGGATTGCTGGAGAACTGCTCAAACAACTTAACAGACAAAAGAGGACTGGGCAGGGTTAGACCCACTCATAATTGGTGAGAAAAACAATCAGTATGCTGACAAGAAACTGACTTCAAAGGAGAAGGATTTGAATATCTTTGAATATTAAGACACACCTTTGAGAAAATGAAAGCTCTTAAATAATTTCTGCAAAAATTATGCTCTGTATAGTAATGTCATGAAAGTCAGAGATGTAGTAAAGGATGTCATGTTATTATGTAGTGATGTTGGAAAAAAATTACAACAATAAATCAATAACTCAGTCTAGCCTAAGAATTAATGCAAAATTCAATATGATCTAAATATTTCACATTTTAAATAAGGTTTTACATTTTAGATAAGCTTATTTGCATAATTTTTACTTCATTTTGAAAGATTAATTCTGTCAGCTCTTATTTTTTCACTATTGTGAAGTTCTGGTTCTTATTTTTAAGGGCTTTTCTAGTACCAGCTGCCCCCTGGATAACAGTTATCAAGGGCCTTTTGAATTAGGGGGTGATGTTGACATGAACTGCTCACTGGAGTGGATGCTTCCTGATGGCCAGGAATGAGGGGATTGATTTGGGCACTTCCTTTGTAGGATGGAGCCCAAAATGCCCAATTTATTTCATTCATGGCTTCACAAGCCATCAGTATCTCAGATGCTCAAAGATTTTTGTTCAGTACTCTCCTTGTATCAGACAGGAAACATGGTAGACCACTGAGTATGGTCTGAGTTGATTTCAAGTGTATGCAACATCTTTTCTGGGGATGACCTAAGAAGGCCAGCTTTATGAAGGACTCTGGAGAATTCCTGGATAGAGTTGAAAAAAGTCCCACTTGACATTTGCATTGGGCTTGTATTTTTCACAGTGCTTCTATTTACATTGTTATTTTAATCCTCAGAGCTGTACAGTGAGATGGTCAGAGAGCCATCTTCCTTCTTCATGTACTAGAGGAGGAAGCCAGGGTCTGGAGAGATTTGAACACAAAGTCACATGGCTTTTTACTCAGAGGCCCAGAAAGAGGTAGATTATTACAATAATTGTTACGACAGTCATCATTTACAGTGTCTGCTTCCTGACAGTCACTGTGCAGGGTACTTTCATACATAATGTCATTGAACCTTATAATCGGTCACAATACTGTCAAGTTGGTACAGGCATACCTTGGAGATACTGCGGGTTTGGTTCCAGGCCACTGCAATAAAACGAGTATCTCAATAAAGTGAGTCACACAAATATTTTGGTTCCAAGTGCATATAAAAACAAGGTACACTTGATGTTGATGGCTACTGACTGACCAGGGTGCTGGATGCTGAAGGTAGAGGTGGCTGTGTCAATTTCTTAAAATAAAGCAACAATGAAATTTGCTGCAAGGATTGAGTCTTCCTTTTACCAAATATTTCTCTGTAGCGTGTGACACTATTTGATAGCATTACAGTAGAACTTCTTTCAAAATTAGGGTCAGTCCTCTCAAACTCTGCTGCACTGCTTTATCAACTAAGTTTATCTAAATCTTTGTTGCCATTTCAACAATGTTCATAGCGGGTCTACAGGGAGTATATTCCATCTCAAGAAACCAATTTATTTGCTCATCCCTAAGAAGCAACTCCTCATTCATTAAAATTTTATTATGAAATTGTAGCCATTCAGTCACATCTTCAGGCTCCACTTCTCATCGTAGTTCTCTTGCTATTTCTGTTACATGTGCAGTTACTTCCTCCACTGGAGTCTGAACCCCTCAAAGTCATCCT
Organism: Homo sapiens; assembly: GCF_000001405.40. Classification (NCBI taxonomy): domain Eukaryota; kingdom Metazoa; phylum Chordata; class Mammalia; order Primates; family Hominidae; genus Homo; species Homo sapiens. The sequence goes on from NC_000001.11 coordinate 162,182,888, forward strand.
GGAGAACTGGAATTCACTTCTTCCAAGCTCCTGTTGATGTTGATGTTTTGACCTCCTTCCATGAATCATGAATGTTCTAATGGCATCCAGAATGATTAATCTTTTCCAGAAGGTTTTCAATTTGCTTTGTTTGGGTCCTTCAGAGGAGTCACTATCTATGGCAGCTGTAGCCTTACACAATATATTTCTTAAATAATAAGACTTGAAAGTTAAAATGACTGCTGATCCATGGGCAGCAGAATGGATGGTGTGTTAACAGGCATGAAAACAACATTCATCCCCTTGAACATCTCCATCAGAGATCTTGGGTAACCAGGTGCATTGTTAATGACAGTAATATTTTGAAAGAAATATATTTCTGAGCAGTAGGTTTCAACAGGGGGCTTAAAATATTCAGTAAACCATGCTGTAAAGAGATGGGCTGTCATGCCGTCTTTGTTGTTCCGTTTATAGAGAACATGCAGACTTGATTTACCACAATTCTTAAGGACCCCAGGACTTTCAAAATAGTAAATGAGCACTGGCTTTAACTTAAAGTCACCAGCTGTATCACTAGCTGTCCTTTGAAGCTTTGAAACCAGTTATTGATTTCTCTTCTCTAGCTATGAAAGTCCCAGATGGCCTCTTCTTCCAATAGATGGCTCTTCCATTCACATTGAAAATCTGTTGTTTAGTGTAGCCACCTTCATCAATGATCTTAACTAGATCTCCTGGATAACTTGCTGCAGCTTCTGAATCAGCACTTGCTACTTCACCTTCCATTTTTATGTTACAGAGACAGCTTCTTTCCTTTAACCTCATGAACCAACCTCTGCTAACTTCGAACTTTTCTTCTGCAGCTTCGTTCCCTCTCTCAGCCTTTATAGAATTGAAGAGTTAGAGCCTTGCTCTGGATTAGGCTTTGGCTTAGGAGAATGTTGTGGCTGGTTTGATTTGTCTATCTAGACTGTCCAAACTTTTTCCATATCAGCCATAAGGCTGCTTTGCTTTCTTATTATGCATGTGTTCACTGGAGTAGCACTTTTAATCTCCTTCAAGAACTTTTTCTTTGCATTCACATCTTGGCTAACTGTTTGGCACAGGAGGCCTAGCTTTCGGCCTATCTCAGCTTTGGACATTCCTTCCTTACCCGGCTTAATCATTTCTAGCTTTTGGTTTAAAGTGAGAGAGGTAAGACTCTCCCTTTCACTTGACCACTTTACTGATGGGCCATTGTAGGGTTATTAATTGGCCTAATTTCAATATTATTGTGTCTCAGGGAATACAGAGGCCTGAGGAGAGGGAGAGAGATGGGGGAATGGCTGGTTGGTGGAGCAGTCAGAACACATACACATTTATGGATTAAGTTTGCTGTCTCATATGGGCACAGTTTAAGGTGCCCTCCAAAAATTACAATAGTAACAATAACGATCACTAATCACAAATTATCATAACAGAGATGATTATTAAAAAGTATGAAATATTGTGTGAATTAACAAAATGTGACAGATATGAGGTGAGCACATGCTGTTAGAAGAATAGCACTAATAGACATGCTTGACACAGGGTTGCCGCAAACCTTTAATTTGTAAAACAAACAAACAAAAAAACCCCAATATCTGTAAAGCACAACAGAGTGAAATGCACTAAAACAACGTGTGCCTGGCCTGTATTTTTACATTGTTACTGCTGAGAAAACTGTGACTTGGGTGGATTATTGCATCTGGTATGTGGAAGAGCCTGACTCCAGCACTTTACTCTTTCCACCACATCGTGGGACGTTCTAACATCCTTTCTCCTCCACCAATACCATGTCCCACACAATGGGAAAGGTCTCCATAGGATGCCTGTAGAGAACCTGGCAGCCCTGTTTTCCAGTAGTTCCCCTGAGACTGACTGAAGTGAGAAAGTTAGATTAAATCCAAGCTGTAGTCCTCTTTATTGTGTTGCAGTGAGAACCGTGATTTCAGCTGTTGAATAATCAATATAGTCTGTTTATTATTTTCTATTGCTGCTGTAACAAATTACCACAAACTTAGTGACTTAAACAGCACATTTATCTTATAGTTGTGTACATCAGAAGTTCACTATGGGTCTCACTGGGCTAAAAATCAAGATGCTGGCACAGCTGTTTCTTTCTGGAGCTCCAAGAGGATAATCCTTTTCCTTGCCTTTTCTAGCTTAAAGAGGCTGCTGGTATTCCCCAGCTCGTGGCCCCATCCTGTATCTTCAAAGCCAGCATTATTGCATCTCTCTGACCATTCTTCCATAGATATATCTCTTCTATCTTCCTCTTCCACTTTTGAGGACTCTTGTGATTACATTGTACCAGTGGCTGATCCAGGATAATCTCTCCATCTGCAGGGCCTTAATTTAATCACACCTGCCAAGTACCTTTTGCCATGTAAAGTAACATGTTCACTGTTCTGGGGATTAGTGTGTAGACATCTTTGGGGAGGATGCAGCTTGTAATACTGACTGTCTGTATTTGGTGACATTAGTTGTGAGCTCATGTTTCATTCTGTGGTAACATAATTCCGCCCTACTTCCTAGAATCAGTGGCCATACAGATTACGTTTGCCTTTTGGTCAATAATCTGATGCCTTGAAGAACTCAAGTCTTGATGGGGGTTATCTGAACAGCCAGTTATGCAAAGGACTGGAATGTGAGGAGACTGCTGAGTCAGCAGCTGTGTCCTCAAAGCTGGGCTCTCCTATTAACTTGCCATGTGCATTAGGACAGATTGCATAGGCTTCTACCTCTGATATTCCGTAGGAATGAGCATTCTCACCTACTGTCTAGGGTTGCTATAATCACTTATAGGATAGTAATGCAGTTTCTAAAGTTGCATTTTTACATATGTACTTACAATATTAAAGCCAAATATAATAATGAGGAATGTTATTATAATATTTGGAATGAGGATTTGTGGTGGAGGAAAAACAAAACCCTATGCATGCAAATTCCAGAAAGAAAGGATGTATGCACTCTCCCTCCTCTGGAATCATATTTTAATTCTGAATCCTTGTCACATAAGGAGTTACTGAGGTTCTGAGATTATTCTCAAACTTTAGGAGGAGGTCCTAGAAGGGGCTAAGCCTGATAAGATGCTGCCTGGAGGTTAGAAAAGCAAAGTCTTCCTTCTCCTCCTCCTTCGTAGTTGCTTTGCTTAACTTTTGTTTACTTATATATTTTTTGTAAATGTTAAAATAACACTTGTAATTATGGCATCAAGATGGGGTATTCCTGGTGTGATGGATCTATATTCAGCACCATTTATTTAAGACCTTAAGAAACACTCAGTGAAGCAACATTCTGGTTGGCACCACGTTATAATGCATGTCACTGGCAGAAATCCTAATGTCATTGCATTTGGTTCTGGAATGTTGTGATCATCCCACAGATGGGTGTTTAACCCTGTGAGATGTTTCCACAGTGCATTTAATTATTGTTAAACAGTAATTTCTGTTTTTTTTAATGTAAAGCCTGACTCATATATATTGTATAAAGTGTTTTGAAAAGATGAAGAAAAAAAACAAAACAAAACAAAACAAAAAAAAACAAAAAAACCCCAGCTCTCTCCCACTGGCCAGAAATAGCTACTATTAAGTATTTTGGTACACATCTTCTTCGGGTGGACTGAGTGTGTCTCCCCCAAATTCATACGTTGAAACTCTAACCCCCAATGGGATGATATCAAGAGGTGGTAATTAGACTTGGATTAGGTCATGAGGGTGGGGCCCTCATGATGGGATTAGTGTCCTTAGAAGAAGTGAAAGAGAGTCAAGTTCACTCTCTTGGCTGTGTGAGGACACAGTGAGAAGACTGCCATTTGCAAACCAAGAAGCAGGCCCTCACCAGACACTGGATCTGTTTGTTGACACCTTGATTTTGGATGTTCCAGCCTCCAGAACTTGAGAAGTAAATGTTTGTTGTTTAAGCCATTAGTTTATGACACTTTCGTTATAGCAACCCGAGCAGACTGACACTGTTTCAGATTTTCAGATTGTAATTGTTGCAAAAATGGAATGCTTTTAACAAAAATGAAATGTTATGCATAAAGGTTTTTTTGTTGTTGGTTTTGTTGTTGTTGTTGTTATTTATTTGTTTGTTTTTTTGAGACAGGGTCTCACTTTGTCACCCAGGCTGTAGTGGAGTGACCTGATCTCGGCTCACTACAGACTTGACCTCCTAGGCTCAAGTGATCCTCCCACCTCAGCCCCCGAAGTAGCTGGGACTATAGGCCGCACCATCACACCTGGCTAATTTTTTGTATTTTTTGTAAAGATGGGGTTTCGTCATGTTGCCCAGGCTGGTCTTGAACTCCTGAGCTCAAGTGATCCACCCGCCTAGGCCTCCCAAAGTGCTAGGATTACAGGCATGAGCCACCACATTCAGCCACCATGCATAAAGTTTTGTGATCTTCTTTATTCACTTAATAGTTTATATGATTACTTCACATCTTTAAATAATCCTTTACAACATTGTTTTTAATGGCTGAGTATAGTTACATTCTATTAATACATATATTTATTTAACCAGATCCCATTTTTTGACATTTAGCTTGTTTCTAGTTTCTCACAGCTGTCAACATCTTTGTAGTTACATCACAAAATCATTCAAAATTATTCCTTAAGAATAAATTTCTAAATAGAATTTTGCACCCAAGGGTATGGAGAATTCTAATGCTTTTGATACTTACATTGTCAAATTGACTCCTCCTGCCCTCCAGTATTATACCCTCTGAGTATGAGGATGTGTTGGGCTTTCTACCACCCTCTCCAGTGTGTAGAGGTGTTATAGACCTGTGAAAACGGCTGAGTAGAAGATGTTGGAGATAGTTCATGGAAATGTAGGTCAGTGACAATGAGGGGCTCAGGCAAATTCTTGAGCTGGATCAGAAGCAGAGTGACCTTGCAATTGTAGTCATGTTCAGAGCCATGAACATTTGCCTGCTGTCCTGATTAAAAATTTCCTGTGTCTATGATGCCATGTGATGTGCTGGGCAGATGCCAGACTGTTTCCTGCTTGATTCAGCTACATTCATGAGACCATGTAGCAATCAGAAATAAGAGAGCATTTTGAGGAGTTCTGAGGGCCAAGTAAAATGTGGTGGTATAACATATTCTTGTCATTATCCCTGGCTTGCCATCTTACTGTGAAGAAGCCCCTTCCTAGCAAGGAAAACTAGCAGCAGCCCAAAGCCAAAACCAGTTTAATTACCCATTGACTGTTTTCCCATCTGCCTAGTAGGGAAAGTGGCTGGACTCTTGAAAACTGGGACCAATTCTCATGTTTAAGACTTTAACAAAACAGCCTCTGGTCAAATGGCATGCTGGAGTTTTTAGATGAAAGATGCTATTTTGTATAAGCAAATGGTGCCCTTTGCAATCGTTTTGTAAATTATCTGTGGCCTGCTGGAAAGCTACTCAGTATTCTGTTCCACAAACTTCTGCTTAATGAGATAATTCTTCTCTATATTTCTGTTGCTGGAATTGGGCTCACACACTGTCTCTTTATAGGCCATTTCCATAATGCTTGATTAATGCTCTGTTGTTAATATCTTATAAGACCTGGATCACTTGCTTTATTGAAATGGGATTTTTTAGACTGTAGGGGCAGCACTCTTGTTTGTGGGCTCTGATATATGCCACACAGCCTACAACTCGACTCTGGCAAATGTTGAAAGTGCCTAAATTTTTTCAACATTAGCACAAGAGGGCAATCTGGCTGGCTTCTGTCGAATCTTTGGAAAAAGTGACAGAGGTGCTTTGAATGTGGGCTGCATGTGTAGTGGTCTTATGTGCCTTCCTTGAAGTGCAGTGAGTTTTGTTGAATGATAACAGTGTAATAAATGTCTCTATTTTTATTTTCAAATGTTGAACAGTTGGTTAAGATTATTTTAGGCTGAGCACGGTGGCTCACGCCTGTAATCCCAGCACTTTCGGAGGCCGAGGCGGGCGGATCACGAGATCAGGAGTTCGAGACCAGCCTGGCCAACCTGGTCAGGAGTATTTTTAGAAACTCCATCTCTAAAAATACAAAAATTAGCTGGGCACAGTGGCCTGTAGTCCCAGCTACACAGGAGGCTGAGGCAGGAGAATCACTTGAACCCAAGAAGCGGAGGTTGCAGTGAGCCGAGATTGCACCACTGCACTCTAGCCTGGGCGACAGAGTGAGACTTCATCTTGAAAAAATAAATAAATAAATAAATAAAAAGATTATTTTAGTGTTTTTCATGTATATGAAGTTTGAATTTGCATTATAGTATATGTGTTATGATAGTTGTATCATGTCATTTTACCTTACAATAGGAGGTCTAAGAACAGTTTTTTATATGTTGAACATTTCAGCTCTTAATAACTACCCAGAAATTGTCACTTGAAAATGCCATTATAAAAAACCAAAATGTGTTCCTGTCTAGGCAGACTTCATCTATTTGAAACATGGAAAAAGTTTAAGGTGCTCATTTAGTTCTGCTAATTATTTATTGTAGAAAAAACTGGTATTTTTTGTTAGTAGTCTGTTAATTCTTACCTTAAGCAAACTGGTTTCCATAATTTGGATGGAAAAGAAAACACCTTTGCATACAGAATCAGATTTCTCCTACTCAAAGAATTGGACTGTGCTTGGTGTTTCAACAAATATTCATTTAATAGACAAATATTTGAGTATCAGTATCTGACAGAATGTTCTAGGCACTGGGAAACAGGTAAATAAGATAGGCGAGATCTCTCTTCTCATGGAACTTATGTTCAAATGGGAAAGTCTGGTTATAATACAAAGACACAGTAGACAGGGTAACATCAGAGAGTGGTCAGTTCTGTGAATAAAATAAAGAGAAAATAAAGAGAAAATTATTTTTATCTAAATAAAGAGGGTAATGTGACGGAGAGTGATTCTGGGGAAGGCCAGGTGGGGCTACTTTGAAAGTGTCTGGGAAGTCCTCTCTGAGGAGGGGTAATTTGAGTTAAAACCTGAATATTGCCAATGAGCCAGGCTTGCCAAGATCTGTTCATGGCGAGGGATCAGCAGGTACAAGATTGGGAGGCAGCAGTGAGCTGGGCCCCTCCCAGCAACAGAGGGATGGTTTGTGCTGAGTGAAGTGAGTGAGAGCACCCTCCAGTGAAGATGAAGAGGGGCCAGTCCCAGATCGTGGAGACCTTCTAGGGCATGGCTAGTGAGTTTCTCACCCTTTTGTAATCCAGGCCTGTGAATTGATGCCAAGTGAGATTTTGTGGAGCTTAACTTTTTGTAGTGGATATTACAAAAATAATGTAACTTTAACAGTCTCTGTCTTACCCTCCCTGCCCCTCTCTGGCCATGTTCACATAGAACGTGTTTCATCTCTGCTCCCCATGATAGCCCTTCAGATACTTGGCTCCGCCATCTCTCTAGGCTAAACATCTCTAGTTTTATCAGCTGTCCTTCCCTGCTTGAATGGGCTCTTCAACTTCAAGATTTCTTTCTTCTCTGAACACATTTTTTTTAAATTTTATTTTATTTTATTATTATTATACTCTAAGTTTTAGGGTACATGTGCACAATGTGCAGGTTAGTTACATATGTATACATGTTCTGAACACATTTTTTTAAACAATCTGATTTTATTTATTTTTAATTGACAAATAATGTGCATATTCATGGGGTATATAATGATATCTTAATACATAGAATATATAATGATCAGATCAGGATAATTAGCATATTCATAATCTCAAACATTTATCATTTCCTTGTGTTGGGAACATTCAGTGTCTTCCTTCTAGCTATCTGAAACTTTATATATTATTGTTAACTATAGTTATCCGGCAGTGGTGGAGAAGTCTGGGACTTAGTCCTCCTATGTAGCGTAATTTTGTATCCTTTGCCAAATCTCTCCCTATTACCCTCTTCCCCCTACCCTTCCCAGCCTCTAGGACCCGCTGTTCTGCTTTTTACTTTTATGAAATCAACTTTTTTTTAGCTTCCGTATGTGAGTGAGAACATGCAGTGTTTACCTTTCTGTCCCTTAATGTCTGAGAACCTCAGGAATTGGTCACATTCTGATGGTCTGAGGAGAGCAGTGGAAGAGGGATGAGATGCTAGGGTAACCATCATCAGGGTTTTTGAGGGCTGTGTCTTTTTCCAGAAGCAATGGCTCCCTATCGTGTTACTTTTCTAGAGTCCTGAATGGGCAGGGGCCCTGTGTGGGAGACTCTGTAAGCAGAATCTGACAGAGTTGTTCCCTGGTCCACCACCGTCTAACACCCCATGGCTAGACTTGCCCGTCCATATCAGCCTTATGTAAAGCAGCTCTTCTGTTGGCCTCACTTTGATTTTTCTCAGTGTGCCCCATACCACGGGCACTGTCCACACAGGAACATCAGATTGGAAAATATCCCTGAGTTCCCTAAGAGACAGGCACTACTCTGAGGATCTTCCTGCCCTGGCCCCACTTGCTTCTTTCCTGGGGTAGGGTTTCTTCCTAGCTTGCTTCTGACTGTTCTTTCCTGGGGGGGATCTTCCCTGCTTCGAAGTGTTTTCTGTGCACTATGGTGCAGGGGTTTGTGAGGGCAACTGTACAGCTTGTTTCTTTCTGTTTCCTCTCCACAACCCATAGATCTGAGATTATCAGGTTTTGCCCATGTGGAGGTACAATGGGAAGATCCTGTGTTCCCCCAGGACTCTTTAGCATGTCTTCTTTGATTTACTGAATTACTTGAGGGATCTGTGTTTGGGCTGGCAGAAGAAGATAAGGGATTCCAGAAATTCTTGCCGCGTTCTCCTAGATAGCTGGCTACATTCTCTTCCTCTTCCTCTTCCTCCCCCATTGATAAGGCCTGGGGGTAAGAGAGAGTCCAACTCAGATTGATCCTGTAGTTGACCTCTTTGTGTTTGTCACTCATTCTTGATCTTTCTAATGAAGAAAGTTGGCCCATTAATTTTAATTATGGTAATAATGTCATTGAAATCACACCATTCATTTAGCCTAGGTATTACCCTACTCATGTAGAATTAGATAATAAATGCCAAAGTGGTGATGTAGATCCTGGCCTGTGGTTGGTGCTGAGCTAGGGGGTTCTATTCTACTGCTACTCAGATAGGGAGTGGTTGTCCCCTGGAAGATAAGGGACTTGTCTGGGGTTTTTAATGCCAGTGTTTTTGGGCTCCCACCTCTGTGTCCTGGATTATTTGAATAGTCCAGACCAGTGATTCTGAAAATGTGATCCCCAGACCAGTAGTGTCAGGCTCACCTGGGAACTTGTTAGAAATGTGGAGTTTCAGGCCCCACCCAGCACCTGTGGAATATGAAACTCTGGGGGTGGGGCCCAGCAATCTGTGTTTGACAAGCCCTCCAGGTGATTCTGATGTGTGCTCAAGCTTGACAACTGCTGGTCTGAGCCATCAACCTGACTGCCGTTTTCCAGGGTTTTTTCAAGAAGTGTCTTAGACTCTAGTGTGAAAGTTGCTACTCTGCAGATTGTCCTGTTAAACTGGGAAAGGGCTCAGGAAAGTTCAAAAGGGATGATGTATGGGTTTTTGTGTTGGTGTGTAGCTGGTGGGGAGGAAGGCACTCTGAGTGTAGCATGAGGCCTGGTGCAGCAGGCCTGGTCACTGGGGACACTAGGTTCAGAACAAGGAATACAAGTGGCACTTGTGTTAGAGGAACCAGAAGAAGAAAGAGGCTTGAAGACTGGCTTTACCACCACAGAAAGGCTGTTGCCTGCCATGTGGTTTTGGGCAAGGCCACTTTTCCCTGGCCTGTGCCTCAGTGGGCACTGCCTCTTTGCTTAGATGTCTCAACTTTTCTGTTCTTCCACTGGCCAATCCCTTTGCTGATTTAAATATATGTAAATATAGATTTTTAAAATAATTTAATCTACCTGTAGTCAGGTTTACCAGCCTGGGCACCTTTCTGTTTTCCTCAGGTAATTTTGCACCTTTCTGTGTGGATCTGATATATGTTTTATTTTTCAGTTTAATGCTCAGGTCTCCTGAGCTTTTGCAGAGCAGAGCACATCCTCCCTTCCTTTATAGAGACTATGGGGGAGACTTAGCAAGGGATCTATTCTAGTCTTCTGATTTCAGCCAGACCCTCTATCTAACAGGCCACTTTGACCCCTGGTAAAAGTCAAGAGTGTGCCCATGTGCCAGGAACTGACAGCCTCTGCAGAAAAATTCCTGTGATGAGAGAACTCACTGTGTGCTTTTGCGAACACTCAGGATGTTGAAGGATAGTTACAATAGTTACAGATTTTTCTTAACTGTACTGAAAAGATGACTCTCAGGCTGCAAGAAACACTGAAATGCCTTAAGGAGTGATGCTGTGAAGTGGCTGGAAAGGAGCTAAAGCTGGAAGCCTGGGTTGTTTGATAATAATAGGAGCTCTAGATCCCCGAAGTGACAGGTTGTCTCTTCTGAATTATCTTAAGGCAGATTTCAGGGCTCTTCCAGGCTGAAGTGGAGGTAAGCTGAGGTGAAGGGAGATAAGATTCTGGGGCATTTTGTCCTGGAGCATGTCCCAGTCCCTGGGCATAAAGGGATAGACCCAGGGAACTCACAGCTGTTGGGTATGCAGGCTGTTGAAAAGGCTCTAAGAGATAAAGTGGGAATGGCCTGAGAGTTAGAAAGGGAGCTAGACAAGCAATCAGGTCTGAGTGGAGTAAGGAGAGGGTATTTAAGAATTTGTGCTGATGGATTATTTTTGCTTCCTTTTCGCCTTGACCATTTACTGAATGTTTGTCTATCTTGCTGAATAGCAGCCAAGAGACTCTAACTTCTCTTGGTTTCCATCTGTATTTAGTTGGATTGTCTGTTCCCTTCTCTTCTGACAATTCCCTGAAGAATGTCTCCTGATTTTAGAGGGGGCCAGGGAAAAGGGGCCCTTTTCAGAAATCAAGCTAGATCTTTCCTATTTCTTCCTGACCCTTTTTCTAAAGCCTGAGATCACTCTTTTCTCACCCCTTCCTCTCAGTATTAGGTTCTGCTGCTCTCTTTTCCATCTCTAGATGGGTGTTTCTTTACTTTTCTTTCTTTCTTTTTAATTAAGTGGTTACCTTTCTGTCTGAGCTATTGGCAGGGATTTGCCAGGAGATCCAAGGCAGAGCTGCCAGCTTACTGGAGTGTGACAGCTGCTGAGGCCTCCCGTCTCACAGGCTCTGCAGAGATCCAGGGCTGTCACTTCAACAAGTGTCAGATATACACACTCTGCTTGCAGAGCTCCCCATGCATAGCCTTAAATAAATATCCCAGATATATCTGCCCTGTTTCCCATCTCAGACTCCTCTTTTCGTCTCCATCTGGTTTTCAAACATGATTTCCCAACTTCCCAATTACCATCTCGCAAGACCCCTATATGTCCCCTCTCTTCTCTTCATCTCTCTGATAAAATAAGGAACCAAAACAGCCATTACTACTTTAATAGAGCAGAGAGTCTATTCCCTTGGCTGCGATGAGTTTGCAAGACTGCTCTGCCCAGTCTTGTTTGCAGAGAGCCTGGTTGGTCCATCTCTGTAGGTTGTGAGTTTGCGCTGGTTTGGGAACCCCTCTCTCTGGCTGAGGAAAGTCCTCCCCGTATTTAAGTACCCTTCAGTGCTGGCTGTGCCCTTTTTTGTGTTGAGACGTTTTCTCAAAGGGCACTGTGGTTTCTACTTTCCTGCTGGAAGTTCCATGTCTGTGCAAAAGTTTCCTGTAACCTTTCAAGGTTTGTACTCTGTTCCAGAGGGGCTCTTGGATATGAAAATGGTCTTTTTTTCTTAAATGATCTCACAGATGATCAAAAGGAGCACATAAAAGCTGTCCTGGGGATTTGGCAAGGTTGCCAGTGTTCTCTTTACCTTTGGTCTGGTATTTAGGTCTGAGACAGTGTCTCGCCAACAGCCCTTGCTTTCCTCGGGGGGTTGGGGCTGAGAGACACAGAAGGGGAGGCAAGAGGGGCGTATTAATTCCTCTAGGAAGTAGAACTTCATTTTTATTCTAGGAGAGCCATTTGAAATTGGGTTGGCACATTCAGTCCTGAAAAAGTGACCTTGCAGGAGCTAGAATTTTATATCCAGCATTATTTTGGAGGACCTGGCCAGCAGTATTTCCCCTGGATGTATTATTGCATTAACCCTATCCAGTCACTCCTATGAGGTTTGTCTGGACTAGGATTGCTTGTGCCTCATAGTAGAGGAAAAGCCAGAGATGATGTTCTCTGGACTCACGGAAGCCGCTTAGCAGTTCTGTGATTTTTGTAAAATCTGCTTTCTCTCTGGTGAAATGGGATAGGGGTAGTATAGAGGGTCTCTGAGGACTCAGTGACACAATATATAAAGTACTTAGTATAGTATCTAGCACATAGTAGATATTCAATAAATGGAAGCTGTCATCGTGAATAATCACATTGATAATTATTAATATTAATACCAAATTACTATTTCTCAGCATGAAGTTGGTACCCCATATTTACTGTCCCATAAGTACCTTGCTCTTACTCATTGCATTTATCACTCTGTCCTTTAATCACCATTGTACTTGCTTTCTCTCTACGAGGCCATACTCCTAGACCCTTGAAAACACTAGTAATGTCAGGTTTACCATTGCATCCCAGCATCTCCAGCACCTGGCATGGTACCTGGCACATATGACAGGCTCAGTATTTATGCATTAAATAAATACATGATCAAAATTCTCTAGCTGACTTTTTATTTTTTAAATTTGTTCCTCTTCTGCAATGCTCATCCTCTACTTCATGCAAACTGGGTACCCCTTTGTACACTCTTTCTGCTTCTCCAGTTACCATTACTGTTGCCGTGTCCTTTCCTTCATTCATGCCTGTCCTCTTGTCTTGAAATGACTTTCATCTTTTCTGTTACTATTTGACATCCTTTTTTTCACTTCTTGTGTTCTTTCTCTTCTATGACGCATACCCTAATCACTCCAGCCCATATTAATCTTGTTCATGAAATCTTGTTTCATGTATAGCCCGTAAGTCCTTGTTGTTCTTGGATTGAGTTTTATATTTCCAACCAGACTGTCAGCTTCTGGAGAGAAGTCATAATATCGTTGATTGTCCCTACCCATTATATGTCATGGTCTGGGGCCAGGTACATAATTGGCTCTAAATAAAAAGTAAGCCACTGTCAAAATGATTAAATAAATTAGACTATTGGACCAAAGGGGTAAAGGAGATGAAAAGGTTTTCGCTGATAGGACACAGTCTTTAGAGTTGGTTGTGTGAATGTGGGGGTTAAAGAACAGTTACCAGTGCCTCAGTGCTTTGTTAAGATTTGGGTTTTCTGTATCTATACACTCTCTTACCAGTTCTTGGTCTTGCCTTTCCCCCAGTCATGTTTGGAGGAAAATGTGGTAAAATGGAAATCTGTCAACTGCTTCTGGGTTGGAAGGCAACATACTTGATGACGATAAAGGAATTGGGAATGCCTAATGGTGACATTGGGGCTCACCATTTAGTGGGTTTTATTCACCAATGCTGTCTTCATTTCTTTGCTAGTTTGGTTGATACCACGCTCTTTCTGTATTAAGCTGTAATCTATTGATTCATACGTTTAACATTTTTGAGGCCAGATGTACAGCAGAGAACTCCGTATGTTGCGGGGATTTCAGAAGATGTGGTGTGCAGCACATAGTAGATGCTTTGTTAATGTTGGGAAGGATGCACACAAATATAAAACATGCCCTTCAGGAATGTGCAGTCTGCTCCAGGCTGCAGTGAAGTAGCAGGGTGAGGCTGGAATGAGTAGGGGCCAAAGGGCACCAGTTCTCAAGGGAGAGTCGTTGGGAAGCAGAAACAGGAAAGAGATGCTGGATGAGCTTCCCATTGCCACATGGACTGTGGAAGGCAGACTATAATAGAAATCAAAGTGCTTTGAAAAAATGCAGTGCAGTATTCTATTATAAATATTTAAATAATCATAAATTTTACAGATTGATATAGGGGTTGCTTGGGGGGAACAGACTGCCTGGCACTTGGCAGATGGTCAGTAAAACATTTATTGTGCGAACGAATCTAGAGTAGAGTAGGGCTGGAGGCCCCGCTATGGTTTTTGTCCCTCTTCTCTTTTTCATGCCCATTCCTTCTGCTGGTTCAGGCAGTAGCATTTCATTTTCCAGCTGTAACTAAATGAGAAATTACGAGGAGTGGTTCGAATAGAGTTTGTCGGTGGCTCTCCTTTTCTTCGCCCATTCCATTGTGAAGATGAGCCAGTAAGGCTCTGCATGGATATTTTCTGGCAAGGGCATCAAACACGTTTCTGAGGGCAGAGTCCATGTTGTTGAGTAATAATTAACTGCTAATGGCATTGTCTTGGGTGTTGCATAGTAAATAATCAAGAAATAGTCTCTTTTCAATGAGAGTTTGAAGGCCAATGCAAAGACCACACACGGGCAAGCCTGAAAGGTGCTGTTTTGACTAACCTTAATGGGAAACAAAGGGAAAATCTGGCTTGTTTTGTGTGGCCATGCTTAATTGCATGATGGTGTGTTTTTCCCTTGAATTTCCTCATGCCCCGTGGAGGGCACACGCATGATGGTGCTCTGCCGAGCCAGGATTATAGAACAGAGGTTCTTGGCAGCCGGGATGTACTGGCTGCTATGTTGTCTAGCGTGCTGGATCTTACTGGGAGCTTTCAGATCGGAGTCTCTGTGAAATGGAACAAGTGAACTGAGCCTAGTCTGTTCCTAAAAATAAGTCTCTAAGAAGCAAGTGAAGTGCTTTTCAGTGGGAAGCCTGTGGAGAAAGAGCCTGGAACACAGTCTGGAAGTAAGGCAATTCAGGGTTCCTTTACCCAACCCTTTTCAGGCTCAGGAGAGAGGAAGTGACTTGTCTCGGGTCACTTAGGGGCTAGGCCTCGCACCTGATCTGTTGTATTTCTCTGCCTGGGCTCTTTTCCACCACCAGGGGCCAACTGTCCAGAATGTCATTTTCCTGAGTGAGGAAGCAGAGATGCCTGGCTCTAGGGTGTGCGGCAGGGCTACAGGACTGAGAGTGTCCAACTCTCTTGGCCCTGCCGCACTATCCTCAGGTTAACTGGTGTTCCCCGCTGGCCTGCTGTTCAGGGCTCTGTGGGAGAGAGCTTTGCAGCACATGCAAAGGAGGTATGAGGAGGGCAGATGGCTCCACCAGCCTCGCCCAGAGTGTGTCTTCATCCTACCTGCCATGGGGCGAGTCATGGAGGCGTCATGGGCCCGGCCTGGCTGTAGGAGGGCCCTGGTACTGCCTCCTCAGGGTTTGACCTGGAAGGCGTTCTAGGAGCATGATGAGGGAGGGATGGGCACAGGGTGTAGGAGAGAGTGGGCTGGTGTGATGCTCGTTTAGGGGCTGGGAGGGAGCTAGGGGAGCCAGGGAGAGAATGACATTTTAATTACACAGTGAGTTGTCAGGACTATAATCTTCTCTGATGGCTCTTCTTATTTTCCAGTCATCAAAGCCATCTGCATACGAATTGGAGGTGCTGAGGTTTAAACTTTCTGATCGTTGTGATGGTGATGCTGATGTCAGTCTGACTTTTTGTGATCTTGTCCTGGGTGAAGAGGGCAGGATCCACTGGTTGTAGTATCTGAAATGCCCTGCAGTGGCAAGATTCAATCCCTTGTGAATCCCATTCTGACATTTCCAGGGCTGGATTTAAGAAACTTAAGGCAAAAGTCAAGCCCTAAAGACATCTGAAAACGATGCAGGGTCTTGAATTATTGTTGCCTGACTCTGAGAGGATGGGCCTCAGGAGGACTACTTCTCCTAGGCTTTGGAAATGGGTACATCTGCATGGTATTTGTTAGTGTCAAAATGCAGCAAATCTCTAAATGATTGTTCCTCTGACTCAAATTTAATCCACTGATTCTTTCATTATCTCGTGGATTCAATAGCCTGGTATTTGTGGAGAGCCTTCCTTGTGTCATGCTCTTTGCTGGAACTGGGAATCAAACGGCAGACCAGGCATACTCAGTGCCTGCCTCCAGAGCTTAGGAGTGAGGCTGGAGGACACTGTGCACCAGCACCACTATTCATATGTGGCTTCTGAGGCGAGAGAGAGGACATATTTCACCCAAGGACTTGGGGCTTGGGGCCTTGCTTTCCTAGCTAGGTGGAAAGCAGCTGGAGGGTAGGATCAGGTTTTACCCCTCCGCATAATGCCCTGCAAAGAATAACCACTCAACTAATATGGGTTGATTGATTAAATATGGCAAAGGGACACCTTACACCCTCTTCCAGTTATCCTGCTTCATTGTTAGGGGATAGGCATGGGGGTTAAGCCTTGCAATCCTCCTGTTTCTCACCACAAATGTAACTTGCACTGACCATCAAACCTCCTTGAGTCGGCTTTAAGAGTTTCTTTCTAGAATCATGTGGGACTTGAGGCAAGAGGAGACTGGATGGAGGTTTTTACTCTTTGATGGAATCTCGCATAGATGTTCCTTAAAGAGTGGGGAAAAGAGGACAGCACCATTTATGGAATATCTGCTCCGCTGCTGCATGCCGGTTACGTCCTCACTGTTGTTTTATTTATTCCTTTAAACCCTTGTAAGGCTCCATAGATGAAGTGAGGATAAATAGCAGGAAACTGACATAGCTGGCTGAAGCCCATGTCCCTGTCCTCTCCACTGTGTTTCTAAAACTTTCTGAGGGATGTAGAGGTATGTGTTATCATGGGCTTTTAGTGGTTTCTGTGGTTTGCACAAGAAAAGTCTAGAGCCTGGACCTCCTGAAAATTTCCCTGATAATTCTGGACAACAGAGCATGGATTGCGTGTGTGTGTGTGTGTGTGTGTGTGTGTGTGTGTGTGTGTGTGTGTCTGTGTGTAAATTCTTGCAAATCCTCCTGCCCTGACAAGAAGGGCTGATAAACCACCACCCTTAACAGCCAGTCCCCAGGTAGTCCTGTTCTGGGATACAATTTAGTGAATTTGTTTTAACATTTAGTACTTTGTGGCTAAAACACATAATTCTGGGTTTGAGGACCACGCAGTGGACTGGCTTAATTGTTTGATTTGCCGACTTAAAATTAGAAACTGGGAATTCCGTATGGAAATGAAAATTAAGCAGGATGCAAATTAGTGCTTTGGTCCTAGAGTCTAGAGGACAGCTGATGCACCTTTGCTTTGTAGGAGGAGGCAGTAGGTAGTGGTAGAAGCCATGTGCATGGAGATGGAAGCTGTTTGGCACTGGTGGCATGTTACCACGCGAGATCTCAGGAAACCCATTTCACTTCCTTGGCTTGGGTTCTTCCATTTGTGCACTGGTAGAAAAAAAATTACTGGCTATTGGCCATCCCTTTCCTGGGACTGCTTTATCTAGAAGTTGTGGTGTTTCTGGGGAGAGGAACTACTACTGGTCATCTGAAAGGGTACAAGCCTGGGTGAGAGCACATACGTGTGCACAGGTATTTGCACATGGATATTTGGTGGTTTTCACTCCTGTGGTTTTTCTATGATTCATCCCATCAGTCCCAGAACTTGGCTTTTGAGACCTTTCCCTGACCTGGAAGATGACGTAGAAGTAATCTTAAAGCATCTCTCTTCACTTCCCAAAAGTGCATTTTCTGAGACATGGAGAAGTGCTGTCTGTGACTCCTTGGGCTGCAGGCTACCAGCCTTCCCTGGGTCCATGAAAATAGTTTGAACAAAAATCTGGCCCAATTGCCTGTATATTTTGTGAGACCCTGGGGCCTGGCATTAGGGAGCGGAGAGGATTATCTCCAGAGAGCGTTGAGACTCAGGACTTCTGTTGCAGTCTCCCTGGCATCCTTCTCTGAGGGTTTGGAAAGGGCTGGACTAGGTTCAGAGTGATATCACCCCTGAGGAATTCTTTGGAGAATATGGGAGGATGACTTTTGGAGAATCAGGAGTTCTCCAAAGAGAGGGGAAAAGATATGTTGCTGTGGTGAATTTCATCTTTACCTTGGGAACCTGTTTCTGTTCATTCTTATCTCAAGTTGGAGGAAACAGGAACTGAGGCTGCATTAACAGAGATGAGGTATCTAGAACAAGGACGTGCTACTCCTTGGACACAAGTTACTAGACCACACCTGGAACACTGTGATGAATTTAGAGCAGGACATTTTTTAAAACTTTTATTCTAAGTTGAGTCCATGTGCAGGTTTGTTACGTAGGTAAACATGTGTCATAGGGGTTTGTTGTACAGAGTATTTCATCACCGACATATTAAGCCTAGTACCCATTAATTATTTTTCCTGATCCTCTTCCTCCTCCCACTCTCTGCCCTCTGATAAACCCCAGTTTGTTTTGTTCCTTTCTATGCATCCATGTGTTCTCATCATTTAGCTCTCACTTATAAGTGAGAACATGTGATATTTGATTTTCTGTTCCTGTGTTTGTTTGCTAAGGATAATGGTCTCCAGCTCCATCCATGTTCCTGCAAAGGACATGATTTCATTCTTTTTTATGGCTGCATAGTATTCCATGGTGTATATGTGCCACAGTTTCTTTATCCTGTAGTCTATCATATCCTTTAGTCTAGACTAATGATATCCTTTAGTCTATCACTGATGGGCATTTAGGTTGATTCCATGTCTTTGCTATTATGAATAGTGCTGTGATAAATAGATGCATGCATGTATCTTTATGATAGAACAATTTATATTTTTTTGAGTATATATCCACTAATGAGATTGCTGGGTTGAATGATATTTCTGTCTTTAGGTCTTTGAGGGATTGCCACACCGTCTTCCATAATAATTAAACTAATTTACAGTCCCATCAACAGTGTATAGTGTTCCTTTTTCTCTGCAACCTTGCCAGCATCTGTTATTTTTTGACTTTTTAGTAATAGCCATTCTGACTGGTGTTAGATGGTATCTCATTGTGGTTTTGATTTGCATTTCTCCGGTCAGTGATATTGAGCTTTTCTTTTTCCATATGTTTGTCCTGCATGTATGTGTTCTTTTGAAAAGTGTCTGTTCATGTCCTTTGCCCACTTTTTAATTGGGCTGTTTGTTTTTTCTCTTGTAAATTTGTTTAAGTTCCTTATAGATGCTGGATATTAGACCTGTGTCAGATGCAGTTTGCAAAAATTTCCTCTCATTCTATAGGTTGTCTGTTTACTTTGTTGATAGTTTCCTTTAGAACAGCACATCTTAAAAGGGATAACACATTGCAGTGTGTTCAGAGGAGAGTTGGAAAGCCTACCCTATTCTATGGGGGTGGTGGAGAAACGGATTTTAATCTGGAGAGGGCAAAACTCAGGTTTTGACAGGGTTTTAAATATCTGAAAGGTTGTCCTGGGGATCTGTATGTGGTCCCAGAAAACCTAACATTGGGAGTCGAAACTCTAGGTGGAAGCTTTATGGAGAGAAATTATGTTTTATATGAAGAAGAAGAATGAATTTCATTTTGGATGGGGTAGCTTTACTGAGTTTTTTTCCTTGACCCTGAAAGCGATATATTCTTATTGCAGAGCATTTGAAGAATAGAGAATAATTTTTTTAAAAAATCAGTGAAACACCTGTAATATCCCTTTTCAGAAGCAGCCACTACTAGCATTTGGCACATTATATTTTAGTATTTTTGTATATTTTATTTTATTTTTACAAAGTTGAAATCATGGTACATAAACAATTTTGAATCTTACATTTGATGTAAAATAAAAGGTGAAACATTTAACCTTACATTTAATAATTTGTAGTAAACATACATTTTAATGGTTTCATAATATTCTATGCTAAAAATATAGTGTGATTTTGTCTAATCATTTCCTCTAATGTGGGCCATTAAGTTTATGTCATAGTTTGTGTTTTTATGGTAAATATTATGAATAAATTTTTGCGTGTGTTTCAGATTATTTCCTTGGGTTAGGTTCCTAGAAATGATTTTGTCAGGTTAAAGTATATGAACAATTTAAACTGTTGAGATATATATGTATATATAGTTTTACAGAAATGTTATACCTGTTTACATTTTGTATCAACTAAGATGCTTTTTCTTCAAATGATGAGGAAACTTAACTTCAACTGGCTTGAATGAAAAGGAACTATATTGGCTTAGATATCTGGAAATAAAATATATGGCTGGAGCTTAGCTTCAGGTATGCTTGGATACAGGGGCTCAACTGATGCCTGTAGGTCTGTTTCCTTTCTCCCCATCAGTAAGAGTGTTGGCTACTAAGAGCCACTGTTTTTGGCAGCCTTTTTTGGTGATTGTGTGTGTCGGCGGGAGGGGTGTGCTGTATTTGTGCCTTGAGTTAGGGTAGTGTCTTCATGACTGGGACAGACAGCCTGAATCATCTAGAGAGGCTATCAGAGGAACCTGCTCATTTCTTTGGTCTCATTAGATCTGGTTTTGCTGACATAAAAAAGGCTGTTTTTTTCCCTATGAAATCTCTTATTAGATGAAGGAGGTAGATTATAAATAAAGCTTTAAGAGGTTGTTCATTGATCCAACTCTCCATTGCTATGCTTGTCCGTCTGTCTGTTCATTCCTCTATTCAGGTGATGTAGTGCAGTGAGCCTTGGATAGGAGTTAAAGGATGTGATGTGGATTTTCATCCAGATTCCACTACTGGTCTGTGCTCTAATTGCATTGGCCAAAGCAGAGCTGGGATTAGGAAGCAGGGAACAGCTTTTCCCCCAGCACACATCTACAAAGTATCTACTTTTTAGCAATTTTCAAAAGGCGAGATGTCAACATTATGATGAAAAGTCATTAGAAGAAGGAGTGTGGGAATCACACAGGAAAGATAATCAAAGGGTGTAGCACCTTTAAAAAAATTGATTTGCAGACTCCATCCCAAGATTACCCACCATGACTTTAGAACTTGACTTTGCCTCTGCTGTCTGAGTATTTCCCTATTACTTAAAGGGGCTAATCCCAGTTCTGCCACTCTTAGGGAATCACAAGAAGTGATAATGCATGTGATGTAGATGATGTTTTAAATGTTGGGCACCTAGGGCATAAAAGCAAGCTCCACCTTGCTTCTGAAAGGGGTTATCACATCCCATCCCATCCAGCAGGGCCCCAGAGGATTTGGTCTTTTTCCTCTTTGGTCAAGAAGGCCAGATGGAAGTTTGATAGGATATTAAAGAAGCACCAAGGGTCAGCCCATAAAGATCTGAAGTTCAAGAAATGCATGCCATCAATACAGATTTTTCTTAGTACCCATTGCCACCACAGGCCCCCTTCAGCCTAGGCTTAGATTTAGCAGGCTCGCCTTACTGTCCTCACACCCATCCTCCACAGTATGGCCAGAGTGCTCTTTCAAAAAATTCAAGTCTTGTTAGTGCGTGCCCATTTGTGCTGCTTCAACCCTGCAATAGTTCATCCATGCTCTGGGGACAATACAAACTCCTTTACATAGCCCAAAAGGGCACAAGCAAATGACCTGGCCTGGTTGACTTCACTTTGTGTTTCCCCTTCTTTCTCTGCTGCCCTACATTACAGCTGGGCTTCTTTCAGCAACACCGTGCTCTCACTTGCCTTTGGGCCTTCTCATTTCTCCACGATGCTCTCCCATCCCAAAGCTTTAGGTCATCTTACAGGTTTCCGCTTACATGTCACTTCTTCCTATTTTTGTCAGTCTTTTGGTTGGGGGACCAAATAGATAGTCACTGATGGTGGAGTGAATTAAAATGGCTCACATTTTTGTTGCCTCTGTGTGGGCAGGTGATGACTGGGGATTGAACCTCACCTTGCTGCCTAAGTGCAGCGAATGGCCAGCCAGTGTCAGAGTGGTGTGGTCACTCCGAACACAGTTCACAGTTAGAGCTGGGAAGAGGGTGTTCTGTGTCCTCTTGTTCCTTTGGCATCATCCCATGTATGTCTGCCTTGTATATTTCCTGTGTTAGTGCCTCTTGTCATATAGTGTGGAGTCCTAGCTTTTGATCAGTGCAGCTGCTGCCAGCTGTTTGCGTAGTTTTCAAAATGGAACGGAACAGAGAAATGTGTATGTCTAGCTTAGACATTCTGAATTCCTAGAAATCATTATGAATCTGAATCACTGGGTTGGTGTTGCTGCAATTATCTGAAGACTGTACGTGCACATGTGTGGCTGTGGGTGCTTGTGTGGGATGTGAATGGATGGTGATTTGTTTATAGGGGTAGGACTAGGGGACTTTGAGAGGAAGCTACTAAAATGTATCCTAGATTTTTGCTGAATTGGATAAGAAGATATCCAGGTTCTCTGCACACCAGATATTCATGAGGCTGAGCAACACAAGCCATCTGAACTGTTTTGTAATACTTCATTTAGCACAAAGATATTGCCAGAAATCACACTGCTAATCAGTTGGTCCTGGAGAGAAAGCAAAACTGATGCCTAGCTTCTTGATAAATGAGTATGTGAAAAGAAGCCCTGTGAACCCCAGATGGGAAGTTGGTTCCTGATATTCATACATTTATTGAGCAAACATTTATTGATTACTGTGCGTCAGGCATGTGTGAGCCTGAATACATATCACTCCTTTCTTCTCTCAGGTTCAGGATCAGTTTAAGCTTTACTTTAAAAGTGTTTAAGATGAAATCTTGCATTTGTTTTAGATGGTCTGGATGTTTAGCTAATGGGGAGTGGAGCTCCCCTGTGCCTCTTGATTGCAAGACAAAGCATTAAACATGAGCTTGGCTCTCTTTCCCCAGTTGCCATACCACTTTTTTTCCTTGGTAGAGGGTGACAATTAAGTGAATGGGGATCAAAGAAAGCACAACTTAAGATGCTTCTTGAAAATGGGATTCAAAGTTAGAGTTTTCCTTCTTTCTAAATACCACTCTAATATTCTCGTCTTCATGCCTTTCCATCTTTCATCCAGAATAATGTAATGGTTTTTCCGGGGAGTATTCCGGTGTCATCACTATTGGATCTTTTTACTAAGGAAGTCTTTGGAGGTATGTTAAAAGGGTGATTCTCAGTTTGGGAATTGTAGCTGTCTTGCTGTAGATCAGGCCTGTTATAATTCCCAGCTTGGTGTGTGAGCCATCAAGCAAAATTCTGAACCCTGTAGACCTTGTTCCATGAGTAGGATGGGGCTTTTGGGGTTTTTAGTGGCTCTTCGATAGCCTAAACATTTGCTATCTGGCCTTACACAGAAAAAGTTTGGCAGCCTCTGAAGTTGGCTGAGCCTTGTTATACTGCTACTCTTTGATGGTGTAAGGAGTCACAGAGGTCTATGTCTGTTTGACCCACCTCTCAGCAAAGCAGTCATTTATACTGTTCAAATGAAGACCATTTTGTGAGGGACCTGGGCATCATCTTTTCACATTTGGAAAGGCAAAACAGTAGCATAAAACCTTTTAGAGAATGTTATCCGGTAACTGGAAAACTCAAAAGAACAGGGAAAAGAGGAAAATGTGTGTGGAGCAGGGAGTAATGTTCAGCAAGTGGCTGAAATAGCATAAAGGGATTTTTACTCCAGGGAGCTCTGGAAAGGAAAATGGACTGGGGCATTTCAAATCTATTTCTCTCTTAAAAAAAAAAAAGTAGCAAAGTTTTTTATTCTCTTGTTTCTGAGTTTGTAGATTTGACTCTATGGGTTAGTCGGATCTGTGAGAGGATGGGAAGACCCTATAATCTAGTTCAGGAGTTGGCAAGCTACATCTGCAAGTCAAATCTGTGTCTTCCCTTCCTGTGTTTATAAATAAAGTTTTATTTGACACACAGCCACACACATTTGTCTCTGGCTGCCTTGGCAGAGTTGAGTAGCTGTGATAGAGACAGTCTGTCCTGAAAAGCCTAAATATTTGCTATCCAGCCTTGTGCTGAAATAGTTTGTCAACCTCTGAAGTTAGGTAAGCCTTGTTATCATAAGATAAGGGGATTGTGAGTTTTTGTATCACAGGAATTTTTTTGTTAATATACAAGTAGGCATTCTTGATGATCATTTGCAAATTAAGTAGGAAAGGAGAGTGAAAATCACCTATTGCAAAGGGGCCATGCAGTGTGGCTGGCACATGATATTGTTACCAGACAAGCCAGAAGACCTTGTAGTGTGACCATGGGCAATTCATTTTACCTCATTGAGCCTCGATCTCTTTGAGTGTAAAATGGAGATAAGGTGACTTGTTTCTCAAAACGTGGTTGCTTGGATCCAATGAAATAAAGCCACGAGGGCATCCTATAAATGGTAAGAGGGCTGTATAAATAGAAGGAATTAACCAGCACCCATTTGTGCTGTTGCAGCTGCTGCAGATACGTGCCTTGTAAAATTACCCTATTATTTAGAGACCGAGAAATATTTGGATAGTGGTAATGTGCTGCTCTGAGAAAAGCAGTCGCCAGTGGGATTTTTATCACATAATTAGAGGGTTTGTTAAATGTGCTAGTGAAAAGAAGCTGTTTGCTGCTGCCTTGTTTTAACATGGACCAGGGATCCTGAGCCTTCTCCCTGAGGAGATTCTATACCAGCATCCTTGCTCCAGTCTCTTTTGTGGTGCTGGCTTCTGGCCAGCAGAAATTCTGGGAAGTTCTAGACGTAGTGCC
The DNA here is from genome assembly GCF_000001405.40 of Homo sapiens. Taxonomy (NCBI): domain Eukaryota; kingdom Metazoa; phylum Chordata; class Mammalia; order Primates; family Hominidae; genus Homo; species Homo sapiens. The sequence continues at coordinate 162,207,269 of NC_000001.11, forward strand.
AGAGGCACAGTGGCCTTAGAAACCCTTGTAAAATCACCGTCTACCCACGCGACACCTCCGCTTTAGACAGCTAGGTGCTGATAGCCACTGTGTGTGTAAGAGCCCTGAGGGGTGGGGCAAGCTGGAACCCAAGGAACAGCAGGCATCAGAAAGAGCCCAGGTTAGTGTGGGAACAGCAGAGCTGTTCGAGCTGGTTCTTTGCTGACTTATTGGTTTATTTATTCATTCAGCCAGTCAGTTTCCTCATTTTAGAAGTGGTAATACCAGGTACTTTACAGGGTTGTGGTCAAGGATTGAATGAGATAATGCAAGTAAAGTTGTTAAGCAAACAATCTGGCAGGGAGCAAATGTTCATTAAATAGTAGTTCCTGGTTGGTGTAGTGTATTCTTGGTTATCATATAGCTTTGGGATTTTGAATTGGTAAATATTCATGATGTGTGAAAAATCATGATACATACTGTACGGTCTCAGTCCCATAAAATTGGATGTTGTGCCTATACACACACAGGATCTAGAAGAACATGTCAAACTATAAACTGCTTGTGATTGTGAATGACTGTGTTCTTTGCTTCTTGTGTTTCTCAGTTTCTTATAATGCACATATTAACTTTTTTAAAAATAAAGTTTATTTTAAAAGCCTGAAAAAAATAGTAATTCCTGATTTAATTTTATTGTCTTTTTCTAATTATTTCATATTCATGAAATACATACCCTGCGCTAGGCACTGGGGAGTATCTGTAGATGGGAGATGAAGGTATGTAGACTGTGGTCAGGCTTGGCTTCTGCCAGCTGGCTATGATGCGGGAGGACCAGCAGTGAGCATGCTTCTTGGGTTTCTCACGGTGAGTCTGGGGATGCTATTGGAGCCCCTCAGCTCAGCCCTTTCACCTGGCAGGGGCCTCCCAGCCTGCCTATTCCAATCTTACCTGCCCTCCAAGACCAAGCTCAGGACCCATCTGTTTTCTAATTAATGCTGGCCTACAGTTGCCACACTTTTCTCAGAATCTTGAAGCACTTACACACCCAATTTAACTCTGGATCACATCCCACCTTGTCTTTTTATAATTGTTTCATGTAGCCTTGAGAGAAGAGACATGTCTTATTCATCTTTAATTCTTAAGTGCCTACAAAGTTCCTGACACATACATATCCTCAATAAATATTGAATTGGATGAATTCTAGTTCATTTTAGCCACCATGTATCTACTAGTGGATCACCTACTTTAGGGTTTCTTAACTTTATTACCACCACCATTTTGGACCAGATAATTGTTTGTTGTAAGGGGCTGTCCTGTGTACTGTGGGATGTTTAGCAGTGTCCCTGGCCTCTATCCATTATATGGATATATGAAATGCCAGTTGTGACATTCAGAAATGACCCCAGACATTGCCAAATGTTCCCTGAAAGGCAAGATCATCCCAGGCTGAGAACCATTGATTAATTGTGTTTTAGACACTGCCTGTACCCTGCCTTCTGAGTTAGGCTATAAATACTTTAGGGGAAATTTTGTTTTCTCAACAATGCCTTTATACCGACCGTAAAGTAGATGTCTAATAAATGTTTACTCCATCTGCTCAGCTCATTTTCCTGGTTGCACCACCTTCATGTGAGGCTGGGGAGAACAGAAAATTTGAGGCCATATTCATCATCTTCTATTAGCTCGTATTAAATAAATGCTTAGAATTTTCTAGTTTTCATTTTGCTTTCCTTGCTGACTCACAGGCCTGCAGTCCCTTACTTTCAGAATGCCAACACTGCAGGGGAATGAGCAAATTCTGCAACCCTTTTTCAGATTACTCTCAAACAATTGATTAAAAGAATAAGCTTATGGGTAAGATTTTTCCTCTTCTGGAATCCCATTTATGGCCTTTAAACCCCATGGGGCCTCTGTATTTGCAATTTTTGCACAAGATGTTTCCCAATTTGCTGGGGAATGACTTCCAGAAATATTTCTGGTGCCCCTTCAGGGATGGGCACCAGTGTAGGGCCCAAGTGTCTCAGGGACTGTCTCACATGTAAGGTTGTACCAGGCAACCAAAAGCCAAACGTCCAAGCCTTTAAGTTGGAAATAGTCTGGACTGAAGTGTGTGTATAAATGCATGTAGATAGAAGGGCGATAGGATAGCACAGTTCTGCTTGGGGAAAATTAGGAGAAGTGGTATTTTAGGAGAACCCAGTACAAACCTCTGGATGTGAGGAGAGCTCAAATATAACCTTGGGTGTTCTGCTAAGTGTCTATGAGGACTTGAACAAGTCAGTTTCCTCTCTTTGTGCCTGGGTTTCATCTGTGAAGGAAGAAGAATAAATGATCTTTATGATACCTTCTACCACTGAACATTCTGTGACTTGAAAACATTATTCTAAAGAACACTTTTTAAATACTCATGGAAGAGAAATTGATTAGAGAGTTGGGCCAGAGCCCTCCCAACACTTTGGGAAGATCCCTCTCTTGCTAGCCATCTTCAAGTTTTGGAAAGCTCTCATGAAGCTGAGAGCTGGGGGCGGGGGGCAAGGGCAGGGGGACTCTTCTGTACTCAAAGCAGAACCAGGCAATTGAAAAGTGGATTCTGGCTCAGTATAACAAGAATTTTCTGGTCATCAGTGTTGTTGGAAGATGAAGAAAGCTTAGGAGGGAAGGAATTCTTCATCACTGGGGCCATTTTAGCCAAGGCTGATGCAGAGTGGGCAGAGATAGAGATATCAGACGAGTGACCAGACTAGATGTCTCTAAGTTCTTTCCAACCTGGGAGTTTTAAAAATGTATATATTTTTGTTAATTTTTCCTTATTATTTTGATCCTTGTGAAAGGAGAAGGAAGAGAGATGGGCATACTGCTGTCTGAAAGACTGATTATATGGGAGGGATGGGTGGTAAGGCTCTGAGGGGGAGAGAGTATCACTTTAACTACATTTCTTCAGCAACAACTTTGCAGTGTGGAGTAGGCTGAGGTGCAAGGGCTTAGAGACGCATTGAGTGGGTTCCTTGGATCTCCTTGCTGTGGGGCCCAGCTCGACCTTCAAGAGCACGGTGACTTCTCCCATGCCCAGCCCACAGCTCTGCTTGCCTCTCTCACTGTGGGCCTCCCTGACTCACTCGACAGCAAGCAAAAGCCACACTGTTTTCCCTGCCACCTTCTGTCTATCTCCCCATGGCTCTGAATCAGCTGTCATGGGAGTTGGCTGTGACTGAGAACCAGAATTAATCCACTTTCTCTGGAAATTATTTCTCTCAGGCCCATGACTGTCATATCACCGAGCTCTCTGAGGCCAGCATCTTTCTGTGAAGTCCTTGCTTTCCATGACAGCATTTTATAGGCTCCGTGTGGAGTTGCTGTTCCACTCTGTAATTGACTGGGCATATTGGTGCCACTTGTAATTACCTCCAGATACTCGCCTGCTTCAAGGCCATGGTGGTGACTCCTCCTTCTCCTGGGCTGCCTTCATCACCAGGCTTCTTTGCCTGTGGAATGGGAGATCCATTTGCTCTGGTTGGCAGGGCATGAGTGACATGTTCAAATAGCTCCATGGCACTGGCCTTCCTCTATCCACTGACTGCCTTTATTTCTTCATCTCTGCTATTGCACACAACGAGTATGGCCCAGCGACTGAACTGGCTGTCACTGTCAGGCCCCTGAGCTCACGGAGTCCGCAGCTGCTGTGATGCTGGAGGGGCTGCAGTGCTGCCCACAAGCCTGGGGGCTCTGGAGTCCTACCATGTGAAGAAAGTTGGTCTCTTGCTACTCTGGTCTCACCCCACTTCCCACCATTGTGTTCTTGCTGTTTCTACCCAGGCAGATCTTCACATGGGGACAATGAATGTGAGACAGGCTCATCTTGGGAATGAGGGTGAATGGTACTTGAGACTGGAGAGAGCCAGCAGGCTTCTTGGGTCTCTTATTGTCTTAGCTCAGCTGCCATAACAAAATATCACAGGCTAGGTGGATTGAACAAGAGAAATTTATTTTTCACAGTTCTGGAGGCTGGAAAGTCCAAGACCAAGGTGCCAGCAGGTCCAGTGTCTGGTAAGGGCTGTCTCTTTGGGTTGCAGATGATTCTTGCTACGTCCTCACATAGCCATTCCTTAGTGCATGTATGAGAAGGACATCTCTCTCTCCCTCCCCTCCTCTTATTGGAAGGATGCCAATCCTATGGGATTAGGACTCTACCTTTGTAACCTCATTTAACTTTAATTACCTCCTAAAAGCCCCTTCTCCAAATGCAGTCACATTGGGGTTTAGGGCTTCAGTGCAGAATGTTGGTGGGGGAGGGACAATACAATCTATAGCACTTATTTATTGATGTTTCTTTTTTCAACTTCAGAAGCAATAACTCACCTCCTAGGGCATTAAAAACCCAGTGAGGCAGTGGGTTGTTTGGCTACCTTCCTGTCCGAACTCTTTCTTTCCTTGTTTCCCTGTGTTTTTTTCTTGACTGTTTGAGACCCTGGGGGAGCCACTTTCCTTCCTCTCTCTGCAGTCTGATTGTTTACACTTTGCTGACCGTATCCTGGTTAAGGAAACTGACAAGGGTCCAGGGTCTCTAGGTGTCCTGCCATCGGAGGGACTGGCTGAATTAGCAGCAGCTGGCCCTGAATCATCCTTGGGAGTGTTGTATATTTAAGTCCAGTACTTGTAGCTTCCCCCCACAAAAGAAGATCATTTTACAGAAAACAGAACCAAGACCCCAAAAGTTCAGATTGTTGGTATGAAGTCATAAGACTACTTAGTGACAGAATCAGGAGTGTAAACCTAGCTCATAATCTCTAGTCGATGCTATAGCTGGGGAAGGACCAGGCAGATTGCAGGAGGAGATGCCTTGCCTGTGTTGCTGAGTTTTCCTCCCTCGGGTTGCCCTCTTGGAGGCTCCTCTTGTTTTTATACTTGACAGGACAGGGACAGGAAAAAGGTGAGACAGCTCATCGTGTGGCCCCCTCTGCAAGGCTGGGAAGGTGTTGTTTGACATATAGAGAACCAGGGGCTGCATGATCAGTGGTCTGAGCAGTGGTCTGGTCTTCTGTAGTCCCACCTCATCTACTTAATGACCAGTTAACTCTTAATTCAGGTGACAGTAAACATTTAGCACCTGTGCTGGGTGCTGGGCTATAGTGGTGAGCAAAATGGGCTGGTCCTGCCCTCATGAAACACAGTCTAGGTTTTATGCACCAAACTATTTACTCTCCCCATCACAAATCCACATTGACACTCAAGGATGGGGAACCTCTAAGTGACTGGGGTTTGGGATGGGAAATATGTAAACTCTGCCCCCCGCCACCCCGCTGCCCACCCCAGTCTGGTAATAGGTGTGTATGTTGGTGGTGGTAGTGGAAGAGTGGTAAGGGATATAGGATAAGAACAGGGGTAATTGTAAAAGCTTCGGGATTTTAGTGAAGCCACACACTTTCCTGCCCCATGATCAGTCTAGGGGGTCTAGCTGTGGATGCAGGCCTAGAAAGTATCAGTGAGTGGGTGGAGGATAGCCATGAGATGGCTGTGGAGAGTCTCCTACCTCTCCTTCTTCCTGCTGGGATGTTGCTTCTGCCCTCGACACACCCTGTGAACTTTGGCTGCTGCCGTGTAGCTTCTGAACTCTCTGTGGAGTGAGTGCCCCCGGCACACGGCGGACCATGTCAACAAGTTCAGCTGTATGAGCCTAGAGACTGTTCCTCGAAAGCCTGTCACACAGCTGCCTTGAGCCCAAGTGACAAGCTGTGGATCTTGCCCAGGGTAACCATTTCTGACTCTCCTGAATAATATGGGGTGGATCTGGGGCATTGTGTCTAGGAAAAGCAGGTGGAGGGTGTCTCTAGGGGATCAGGTCAGGGCTGGCCGCCCACCTCCCCACCCTCAAGGAATCTAGATACAGTTAGGGAGTCCCAGGTAACTTGAACACCCTGGTACATTTCCTTAGGAAGGAAATGAACGTATGAGCATGACCCCTTTTGCTTTATTCCAATACATATTTAAATACCCCAGCAACTCTCATCCACAACATTAGCTGTGATAACCAACTGTATTTCCTGTCTGAGACCCTTTCCTTCTCCAGTAATTAGCCTTTGTCTAGCCTTTAATCCAGTGGTGGTTATATGGGGAGCTGCCTGGTCAGGAATTTTTGCATTGAGGGAGGAGACTCTCCCACTGATCCTGTGCAGGCATTTTTGCTGACAGATTGTTATGGCTGGAGTTGCCAAATACAAGAAGCAGAGACCTTTCACCTTCACCTGAGCTGTGTGCTTTAGAGAAAGAAGGATGTGCCCACCTCCTATTTTCTGTCCTCACTGTTGAATTCGGTTGACATTCAGTTGCCCAATCTGCAGTCATATCCAACTAACTGGATTGTTTTTAAGTTCTCCTCTGGATGAATTATGAGCTTTCTTGACTTTGGTCAGGCTGCCTGGAGTCATTCCCAGCCTGGGCAGGTGCTGTGCCAACTTCCCTGGCATGTGCCTGTGCCTGCGGATTTTACTATTTGACCCCTAGCTCTCCCTTGGAAATACCAAGCCTGGAACTCTGGAGAAGGCGCCGCCGCTCGTGTAGTTCTGAAAGGCTCTCTTTGTCCTGAGGAATGCCTGTTGCAATGAAGCTTGGTAAATAGCCAGCTCATTTCTCCTATAAATTAAAATGAAGGAACCTCATCCGCTAGAAGTAACTTTACTTGTCTCGTCTCATCTTCTTTATTCAAGCCTATTTAATGAATATTTATTTAAGACCTAAAATCCAGCACTGTGCCAGGCACTATAATGGGGGACATAGAAGTAGAAGTTTGTGGTCCCTGCCTTCAAGGGCTTAAGGCTTCTCAGTGGGGACAGGCCATGTGCACATGAAACTATCAAAGAATATATAAAATTGAATTCAATTAAATGCCAAGTGGAGGAGTTTTCTTCTTTGGTGTGCCTGTGGGACCAGAGTTCCTTTTCCTATGTCTTTCAGAGATATCCATTTATTTCAGCCCCTTTAACATTTGTTCCTTTGTTAATCTGTTTGCTTGTTCATTCGTTCGTTCGTTCATTCATTCATTCATTCATTCATTCAGTAAAAGCCAATATATTGTTTACTCTTTGCCCAGCACTATGCTGCGTGCCCGCCTCCAGACAGAGAGGTGATATCAGCATGGCCCTCAGCAGGCTCACAGTCTGGTTGGAGGGAGAAGGAAAGGGGGAAGTGAGTATGCACGGTGGTAAAGGCTGTACACCCAGGAGGAATAGAGTGCCATGGGGACTGGAGGGAAGGGCTGCTTAGCTTCTGAGTTTTGATTTTCCCTTCATAATTTTTTTTTCTGTTCAAAAATAATTCTCAGTGTTTTTCTTAACCTTTCCATCATTCAAATGGCTGATTAACCCTCCTTTACTGTCAAGCTGCATATCTTTTTAATTTTGTGAAGTAGCCTTTTCTTCATTAGATACTGTGTATTCATTTGTCTTTTATCTTATATTGTATATTTGTTATTGTTTATTGTGTTCTTGAATCACTTCACAGAACTACTATTTGGCCTAATTTTCGGTCTGGAAATAGCTACTATTTTCTTCCATGAAGAGTGGCTGACAGCATATGGGAGTTCTGTCTGTACGCTAACATTTGTTTGTTAGTCATATTTCTCTCTTTTTTGCCTCTAATAGTTGCTCAGAGTTACTAATTTACCATCGTTATTAATGAATTCTTAAACATTTTTTGAAAATGTCACCTTTCTCCCTGCCAGGCTACATCAGTGAGTGGAGCAACAAAAACAGAACACCTTCAATAACAGAAAACAATATTCCTCTGGCTTCACCCCAACCCACCGTGATAGGGCTTTTATGCTGCATTCTCCGCGAAGCTTCTCCAAGATTTCTTGAGCATGCTTGGGAGGGATCTCACGGGTCCTCAAGGCCACAGTGCTCTCAGGACCATGAGATGCCTAGGATTCCCTGTCTCCTGTGTGTGGTGATGCCTGCCCTGAGCACCCCTAGCCTCGGGGCCCGTAAGTCCCAGGAAGTGCCTTGCCAAGGCCCCGGGGCCGAGTCTTTCTGAGGCTTGCCAGAGCTGAGCCACAGCACTCGACTGCGGTCATGCCACTCCCTGCTTTTAGAAACTGGCTTGCTGGGTGGGCCACACTGGTGATGCACTGGACCTTGCAGGTGGCAGCACTGTGTTGTGTCCCCTACTGAAGTGGTGAAACCTTAACTTGCATTGCGGGGCTAGGCTCATGAGCCCTGGGTCATTGCTGTCTGCTGCTCTCTGTCCTGCTATTTGGCCTGTTCCTAAGATGCAAACATGGATGCTGGGCCAGGAGACAGTCTGAGTGGCAGGCACTGTATTATGCTTATAACTGACCTGCTGCCTGGCCTGAGCTCTGTCACTGGCTCAAGCTTGAGGACCCAGCTCTGTCCTCAAAACAGATGCTCTCCCAGCAGGCCCTTTAGTGTGTCATCCAGATGGTCTCCAGCAGAATGGCCCCTTGGGTCCTCCACTCATGCCCAGGCAGACCTGAGACCTCGGGCAGATGCACCTTAGGCTCAAGCCAGGACTGTTGTGATGATGTCGAATTCTATAATCTTTCAGATTTAAAGATGATAAATCTTTCAGAACATTTAGAAAACAGAGGAAAGGAACAATGATAACCCATGATCTTACCATGCTTCTTTTGTTAGCATTTTGGAGAATTTCCATCAGACCTTTCTCATGCACATATCCTTCATAGCATTATAACTCACTGTTCTCTGGCCACGCCTTGGTCTGTCTGTCCAGCTTCCGTGTGTGTTCACCCGTTTGTGGGATGGCGAGTGGAGACCATGCTGAGCCTCTCATTTGCACTTTTATTTCCTGCTCCAACTGCAAGCTGCTTCCTTGCCCTCCTCCCCCATCTCCTCCCTGTCATCAGTCTTCTGAGTCCATTGACGTTGATTTGCATTCCTTTGCCTTCTCAGGTTGCTTTCTCATTGGTTGCTCTACTCTGAGCCACCTGTGTCCCATTCCTACTCTTACTTCTGCCAGGGACCTCCTCTTGCTGGTGTGTGCTAGGCCCACTAGCCAGAAGAAAAACCCTCTTTCACACAGATGCCATGAAGGGAAGGAATCTAGGCTGGGACTGGAGGTTGTATTAGGATCCATGCCCATGTAACTCTGCCCTGGCTAAAGCAGTGCTACTGTTGTGGGGACATTAATGACACCTTTGAAAGTGGTTTTATCAGTGCCTAGACAATCACTGGACCATTTCCTTCTAGAGCGGGCTTTACATCTTATAGTTGGACTCTTGGTGACTTGCATTTTAGTCTCAGCTTTGCCTCTGAGTCCTGCTATGTACTTTAGGCAAGTCGCTGAACCTCTATGCTTTGGTTTATTCATCTACCAAATGGGAATATTACAATTTGTCCTGTCAACATCACATGTGTATTGCAGATAGCATGACAAACCTGCTGTAATCCTGGTAGTACCATAATGTAAAATAAAATAATTATATTTGAAAAGAGAAGTATAAACATTGTGATAAGAATGTTATAAGAACACTGACTGTGGAATCAGGCAGCCTGGGTTCAAATCTTGGCATGACTATTACTGGCTGTGTGACCTTGGTCAACTTTCTAAACTTCTCTGTGCTTTGGTTTCTTCTTCTATCCAATGAGTAAGACAGCATAGCAGTACTTATAAGTTTATGGTTTTGGTAGGATTAGATGAGTTAACACATATAGCAAATTTAAAGGTGGGCTCAGCACATTTGCAAGTATTGTGATTGTGGGTGCTGTTATCGTTTATAGAGGATTCATCATCAAATCTTTTCCTGCTGTGAAGGGAAGGAGCTTTATGTGACTGACTTGGAGAGGAGCAAGGGCGTTCATGTATATTTGGTGCCAGTTGTGTGATGCATACACCTAGGTACTTCTATGTTTCCACTCTTTCACATGGGGAAGCTTAGGCTCAGGGAAACAAGCCTATACGACTCAAACTCTTTTGTCTGGGTCCAAATTGGTACTCTTTTCACTACACCATACCTCTTTCCATTTGGGTCCTGAAACAGCTGTTGTTAGCTTTTTTTTTTTTTTGAGATGAAGTCTCACTCTATCGCCCAGGCTGGAGTGCAATGGCACGATCTCGGCTCACTGCCACCTCTGCCTCCTGGGTTCAAGCGATTCTCCTGTCTCAGCCTCCTGAGTAGCTGGGATTACAGGCATGAGCCACCACACCCAGCTAATTTTTTTGTACTTTTGTAGAGATGGGGTTTCACCATGTTGGCCAGGCTGGTCTCGAACTCCTGGCCTCAAGTGATCCACCTGCCTTGGCCTCCCAAAGTGCTGGGATTACAGGCGTGAGCCACTGTGCCTGGCCTTGTTGTTGGCTTTTTGTTCAAGCACTGGTGTGCTTTAATGAGTATAGTTGTCCCAATTATCATGGGTGCCAGCGAGGCAGAGTGAGAGTGTGGCTGGCTCCCTGATGCCAGAGTAAAGGACACAACCTCCACTTTAACCCTGTGACCATAATTAAAACCACATATACACCTTTCTCTTTATCCTGTCCTCTTTTCTGTGCATTTTTCAGCAACTTGGTCAGCCTGCCAGTTCCTGAAATTAACCTGCTGCCTGGTTTATGACCGAGACTGGAGATGGCCTCATGCTAATTGCTGGATGGTTTCAGCTTCCTTCCCACTCACAGATACAGTGGTAGGAATAATAATTATGTCTGCCATGTACTGAGCATATGGGGACTTTACATCATCTTGTTTCCATCTCATAAATAATCAAGAGAGGCAGTGCTGTTCTTCTTGCTACAGATGAAGAAACTGAATCTTGGAGAGGTTGACTAACTTCCTTTAAGTATCACTAGTAAGTGACTGAGTTAGGACTCAAACCTGGGGCCTTTCTCTTCCTGGAGGCCCCACCTCTGAGTCCATCAGATAAGTTCTATTTTGGCTGATTTACAATGTAAGCTTCCAGAGAAGATTCTATTTGAAGCAGTTCCGGGACTTAAAAAATTTGAAAAACACTGCTCTAGGAGAAAGAATCCTTGGCTGGGAGCCTGATGACTTGAGGTCTTGCTCTGGGTTTATGCAAAGTTGTTTGTCCTTACTGAGCCTCAGTCTCTCCATATGTGAAAGTGGACCTGTACTATCAGCCTCAAAAATATCAGGCTAATAAATCACTATCATAATGGCAGTGCTTTGAACTCTCTTACCTATTTGAAACCAAGCCCCTTCGGTTATGCCTTGAGCAATCGCAGTAAGGGTTTTATAATAATGATAATAGGCATGACTGTGATTCTACTGTTGCTCCCACTCCTGCTATCACCCTGCATAGGTCCTGCAGTTGTCATTTGTCTGTGGATGTTGTGAGAATGTCTTCAGGGCTGATTAGAGGCCTCATGGTCTCCAAGGGAGATGATCACACATGTCGTTTGCTGGTCAGTCGTGGAACTATCCAAGACCAATTTCCCTTGCTAAGTGGCCCCCAGAGTCCAGGCTTTTGCTATTGCTGGAATCCAGCCTATTAGAGCGGAGGAGGGTTTCAGGAGTGTCCCGGGCACCCTGTCCCTTCCAGCCCCACTCACTGCTTGCCTGGTGTTGCTTTCAGGCACTCCTTTGCCAGAGGACAGATGCAACTCTGGGTACTACGGCTTCCACCCTGCTTTTGAAAGTCACTTTCAAATTTCTCTTATCTGTGCCACCAGGTTTGATATCACCAGAAGATTTGTTGATAGCTTGGCCTAAAACAGTTTTTCACATGCAGTTTTTGAACCATCTTAGGGCATTCACCACCGAGCCCAGGTGAAGGCCTCAGGTGCAGCAGCAGCAGCAGCAGAATGTGCAAGTGAGGTATTATCTTCTAGTGGCTAATAGCTTCGGCATGACATTCCATCTGGGTTAGAATCTTCACTCCTTTATTTACCAGCTCTCTCTCGCTGAGTAAGCTCTTAACCTTTCCAGCCCTACCTCTTTGCTTATAAAATGGGAATAAGTACACCCACTTCATTGGGTGGTTGTGATCGATGACATAAAATATGTCAAGAGCTTTGAACAGTGCCTGGCTCATGGCAAGTGCTTAGCAATAGTAGCTATTAGTAGCAGTCGTCTCTAAGGACAGGGGAAGCTAGACTTAAACCCCAGAATATGTTTTTAGGTCTCAGATAGGCTCCTGTTTCCATCTTCCTTTCATCTCCAGGCCCCAAGAATCTGGTCCTTCTGCCTCTTTCTTTTTTAAACAGCTATCATGTATTACCTGTTCCTCTACTGAGGTGGGGCCCTGGCTTTTTGTTTATCCTTTCATCTCTGTCTCCCCTTGCCTTCTCTGACCCCCTGCCACACAAAAAGTCTTTTTTCCTTTTAAAGGGTTACTGTTGCTGGCATCATCAGGGAGACAGATGGGGCACAATAATTATTCTTTCACAATAACTGCTGGAGACAATGTTAATCTTCGAAGTGGCTGTTGCCCCCACCAGGGTTCTAGGGAGAACAGCCCTGAAAACCTTCATCCTTCTAGGAAATGTCCCCTTTTAGGAGTAATTATGCTTTAGGTTTTAGGCTTTATTCTGCAATTCTCTTGACTTAGTCTGACAGCACTGCTGCTTTGAGAGATTGATGGCTTGGAAAATTGTTGCCTGTAAGTTTACCTTTCAGGAAGCAGCTTGTATCTGCTTGTATCCCCTAGGAAAGAGTTAACATTGACACATTAAATGCAATAAACTTCTTCTTTTCTGTTGTGTGTGTGGTTTTTATTTTTGAGACAGGGTCTCACTCTGTCACTCAGGCTGGAGTGCAGTGGCACGATCATACCTCACTGCAACCTCAAACTCCTGGGTTCAAGGGATCCCCCTGACCTCAGCCTCCTGAGTGGGCAGTACTATAGATGAACACCATCATACCCGGCTAATTTTAAAAGTTTTTGTAGAGATAGAGTCCAACTATGTTACCCAGGCTGGCCTCGAGCTCCTGGCCTCAAGCAATCCTCTCCAGTAGTTGGGCTTATAGGTGTGAGCCCCCGTGCTCAGCCTAACTTCTTTACATGTGAATGGGAATGAGAAATGCTGTAGGAACTGGGAAGCTTCTTCCTTCTGTATAACTACCTCCCTCATTTTGATTCAGCTAGAATCTGGGTGGGTGTCTGCTGTGTGCTATGCGTGGGTCTCGGTTGCTGCCACAGAGAGCAAACATTTTAGTGGGAGAGGGAGGTAGATGAACAGTGTCTGGGGAACACAGGTGTCCAGAGTGCGTATTGGACCCATGCCTCCACATGGCCCAGCCAAACTCATGGAAGTGCTGTTGCTAAAAATGAATTTTCTCATTTATAAATTTTCTCTTTTATAAAATACCCAAATTGCAATCTGGACTTGGAGTCTCCCATGTGGGATCTGCAGCATTCCTAGGGCTGCTGTTTGTTTGATCCCTGGGTTTTGTCAGATGGATGCTTTATCAGGTCTTCTATGTTGCCCTGGCTGTTGCTTTCCATTCCGGCTTTAAATTCTCATACTTTGCTCCCCTCATCAAGCAAACCTTTACTTTCTCCATGGCCTCATCCCAAGGGCTCCCTGACATTTCACGCACCAGCTTTTGTTTTTGTTTTTGCATACGCTCTTGGAATCTTTGGGCCAAATGGGAAAAAGAAGTTCATATGATCTACCATATAAATATGTTCATTAGATGATGAGTCTTACTATCCAGAATTTGTTGACTAATGATTGGAGCTGTATTCTGAAAAAAAGAAATCCTTTACACATTATTTTTATTATTTTTTTGAGACAGAGTCTCACTCTGTCACGAGGCTGGAGTGCCGTGGTGTGATCTTGGCTCACTGCAACCTCCACCTCTCGGGTTCAAGTGATTCTCCTGCCTCAGCCTCCTGAGTAGCTGGGACTGCAGGCATGGACCACCATGCCCATTAATTTTTGTATTTTTAGTAGAGACGGGGTTTCACCATGTTGGCCAGGATGGCCTTGATCTCTTGGCCTCCCGATCCACCCACCTTGGCCTCCCAAAGTGCTGGGATTAAAGGCGTGAGCCACCGCGCCCAGCCCACACACTATTTTTAAACACATTTTTGAAGTGGTGGTTAAGCTGACTGCATGGTGCTAACCTACTCAGGAATTCGCATTGAAGGCTTGCTGATTTTCTTTCTATCTTTCTTTCTGCCTGTCTTACTGTGTTTCTCCTTTTTAAATTACAACTAGAATCTTTTGCTAGAAGAAAAAAATCCAAATTGTTTAGAAGTTACAGTCATTCTCCCTTTCTACAGAGTTTTTCACCATTAGCACTTTGGGTAATCTCTCATTTCTTTTTTTAATGCAACACACACACGCACACACACGCGCGCACACACACACACACACACACACACACACACACACACACGGGTTAAGACCATGGTGTCTGGGTTCAAAGCCTGTCTCTATAACTCACTAGCTTTTTTACTTAAGGCAGATTACTAAACTTCTCTAAGCTTCACTTTCCCTAATTTTCAAACGGAGGGTATTAAATAACTTATAGGACTGTTAGTAAATATTAAATTTAAAAACGTTTGTCAGCATTTAACACAGTATTTGGAATGTAAACATTCAGTAAATGTCAGCTACTTTTTAAGACAAAAATGGGATCATACTATATACATTTCTATAGCTTGTTTTCTTTTTACTCAATGATAAATCAAAGATGTCCTTTCAGGTCAATATATGCAGACACCTGTACTCCATTTCTTTTTAATGGCCTCATAATGTTCTGTTATATAGATTAAATTATAATTTATTTAATCATTCTCCCATTGAATATTTGTGTCTTAAAAATTATTTGCCATTATAAAAAATGTTGAATAAAAAATGTTGCAATATTGCAATGAATTTCGCTTCTATTTCTTTCCTTGCTCTCTCTGGATTTTTACAGTTCTTATTCCTAGCTGTGGAATAGTGGAATTGGAGGTGGTGCCAATTTCGTTAGGTAATATCAAATTACTCTTCAAAAAGTTGCACCAAGCCTTACTTCCTGCAGCAATATGTGACAGCTTGAATGCACATGGTTAATTTTCAACTTAAGCCACGTTATTGAGCATGGCAGTATACAAGGAGCACAGCAGTGTTGTATACAATGCGGTATATAATATCTAACACGGCTAGTATCATAAATTTCTTCCTTGAGCACAGGCAGTTGTTTCAGAGACCTTTTACTTGACTGATGTTAATGAAAGAGCTCATTATGGACTTGGGTGCCCCTGCATTGTCAGGATCCTTTGCAGTGTGAGGACTGTTAAGTGGTATTGACACCTCTGAGGTTATCTTCATTTGTGTACAGAAGATGCATATTGGTGCATCTTTCATCAAGCAGAGTTTTTTTTGTTTTGCTTTTTTACTTTGATAATATTTAATGCAAATTATTTGATGCTAACTCTGCCTCAACTGTGATTACTACTCAACTTAGTTCATAACCCATAGAGGCACATGCCCACACACAGGTGGCCTGTTACATTTGCTTTTGCTGGTTGGTTATGAAGTTGTACTATATTTTACCTTTTTGGGGACTTATGTTTTATGTTGGCCATGATGAGAGCATTTTTTGCATAATTCTGAAAAGGCATGAAACTGCTGAAATAAAAATGAAAAGAGAAACAGTACATCCACTTTTAAGCATGGATATTTGCATTCCTTGTGGGGTGAGGTTAAGATCACGTGTGCTGATTAGGTCAAGAGAATGGAAGAAAATGGGTGTGATAGTTATGAGTATTTACATACAGATCACACTATTCTTTTACCATTTTGTCATTGGAGAGCCATGAATAAACCCACCTGTTGTCACTTCAGCTCATTTATTGGTAATAATGCAGTCTTAGCTTTTTGTTCAAAGACGTTGTAACATTTTATTCAGGATGTTGAGTGTAAAGTATATGTAATCTTTAAGAAACTCATTCTGAAATTATATCTAAGACAGTTGAGATTATTCCTATTACATGTAAGAGTTAAGTGAAAAAATACCTTCTTTAGAATGGAGAGAATCTAGTTACAGAATTTTCTCCTCTTAACTTAGAGGTGCAGTTTATAGACCTCCCTCCCTCCCCAAACTTCTGTGAGTTTGTTTTGTTTTATTTGTTTGTTTGTTTTTTGGTCTTGTATTGAAGAAGCAGAGAAACTCAGTTGAGGACAAGAAAACAACTAAGAAAATTCCTGAGATTATTTGAAAGCAGCTATAGAATAGATTCTGTATTGCCAAAAAGTGTGTAGGGGTGGGGTGGGGGAGCTCTGTGATAATTAAGGACAGGTCGGCAGAAAGGCTTCTGGGGTCAAGCTGAGCATAATGTTTGGAGGAATGTCTGAAAGAGGTTGGGGCTCCAAGGTCAAGACGTAGAAAAAGCTTTAAGAAATCTGAGGTTAAGATCAGGGGTTAATTAAACTGATTAAGACATTTGTGAGAAAAAAAATTTAATTGTGTTTATCATTGTTTACATAAAATATTTTCTCTCTGAATCATCTGCTGTTCAGTTCACCTGTTTTAATAGCTGTGGTTTTGTAGGTAGAGGATATAGGAAATTATTAAAATTTCAAAGCATGCGCCTTGCAGTTCAGAATACCTGCTACCCATAATGGCAGTTTAGTCTATTTGAAGGAAAAAGCCAAAAGGAAGCCTAAGATGACAAAGTCAAGATAAGCATTTCAATACTATACATGAAAATATATATGTGCATATGTATGTATATATAATTTATTTTTGAATCAAAATGGCACCTTTCACTCTTGCCTGGATACGGTGCATGGATCATGGATAATACATTTTCTGCCAGAGTCACTCTGTTAAGGGCACTCTCCAGTTCACTTTGGGAAGTTTATGTAAATACTGATTTTAATTTGTACTGGGTGACACTTTGCATTCACAGGTTTAAAGGCTGTAGAGTCATTAACTTGTAATTAACAAATTTTGCAGTCCTAACGCTTTTCATTCCAGATCTCAGAGTGTTTTGGGGACAGAAAAAAAAAAAAGCACAGAACTTTTGTGCAGGTCAGGGATCCACTCAGGAAACAAGGAGAGAAATGAGTTTTTGAGACCGTTCATTCATTCAACACATATTTATTGCCTGCTTTTTTATTCAAGGCACTTATTTTTTCCAGGATTGAAATATATTCTGGCAGTTTCTCCCTGCTTCTGACATTCATAATTCTCCATTTGGTAATGAACTTTCATTACTTCATTACCTTGGTTAAAACAATAAACTTTTTTGACAGAGGAGATCAAAAGTTGGCAATGGAAACTTAGGACATTATTTGATGTTCAAGGTGGTTGAGCTTTATAGGTGCAGAGGCTTAGAATTGGAATGCTGGGGGTCAGGAGAAAGGTCACATAGAAAGACAAGTGCCAGGTTGGATGCAGGTAGCTGTGGCACTAAGAGCAATATCTCTTCTGATGGAAAGCTTTACTTTAACTAATTAAACATGAAATAAAAGTGAAAAATTGTACTGAACAAGAAGACAGAGGAAATGCTACAGACTCATCCCCTGAGCCTGATTTTATCCAGAGTAACTTAGGGCAGGAAAGGAGAGAAGTTAGAGAGGACAAGTAGTGCCTGTCTTTGTTCCCAGGAGAATTGACCAGAATCTTCCCTGTTGATTTTGGCTAAGACTGATGTTGTTTCCAGGATGAGACCCCATGTCCTGAGGGTCACTGCCTTATCAGAGATGGGCTGGGGGCTCTTGGGTCAGTGAGCAACTCAGCCAGTAAAAGCAGGGCCCCCGGGAAGTCTTAAACAAAGAAAGAAGTGAGCATTGAAAAAGAAGCATCTCAGTAAAAATAAGGTTCTAATGAGCTTTCTTCTTGGCAACCATTCTCTTCCCAGTGACATGTCTGAGTCTCAGAAGTCCTGCAGGTGATATTTGCCACTTTTCACCACCCCACATACTTCTCCTTGAAGTCAAACCATTTAATTTGGGGCCTGCTGTGTGTCAGCACAAACTTTAGCCATGTCTGAGCAGAGTCCTCCTAGGGTAGGGTTATGAGGTCACTCTCCTTATTACTTATTCACGAGTTTTGGGTAGCTCTCACCTTTCCTGAAGGCCTGGACCATCGTCATGGCACAAACCATGGCTAGTTGTGGGGCAGTGTGCCTTCTGTCTGCACTGCCTCTTCCCTCACTCCCTTCAGTGTTCCCACTCCCTAGACCAGGACACCCTCCACCACAGAAGATGCTCCAGCCCCACTGTATCTCTAAGAGCATCACTCACCTTCCTGAGCCTCAGTTTCCTGCCTGTAAGATGGGTACAATAGTATCCACAGTGCACAGTGCCTCTTCTTCAGGTAGGTTGTGTAAAGGACGATAAAGTGAGTGTTTGTGGGAGTGTTTTTTGAATATTATAAATTAAGTTATGCTTTCCCTCTTCCAAGGAGGATAAAAGTGCCTGCAGGTGCCTCATAAACAATCAGTGTTGTCCCACGATCCATTTCCTTAAAGTTTTTCTCTGTCACAGATGCAACTAACCCAGGTAAGGCTGTCAGTTTGCTAACCTCTGCTGTTTTGTTCACTTAAATGGGTGGGAAGTTTTGGGATCAAGTCTCAGAGAGGCTTGTGAAGTCCTCCCATGTTCTCTGCCTTCACCACTGGCACAGTCCGTAGATTACTGATGGTGTCATTAGGATAGAATAGGCCCTATAGTCACCTCTACTTTAGCTGCAGAATACTAATAGCTCAAATTATTTATTTTTCATACAATGAAATTATTTTAACAAATTAATTTTATGTTAAGAAGCAAGGAATGTTATAGAGAAACGAAAGCAAGATAAAAATATTTTGCTTGTATTCAACATTCAAGGAATGTTTATTGGCTGGGCGTGGTGGCTCATGCCTGTAATCCCAGCACTTTGTGGGGCTGAGGTGGGCGAATCACCTGAGGTTGGGAGTTCAAGACCAGCCTGACCAACATGGAGAAACCCTGTCTCTACTAAAAATACAAAATTAGCTGGGCGTGGTGGTGCATGCCTGTAATCCCAGCTACTTGGGAGGCTGAGGCAGGAGAATCACTTGAACCTGGGAGGCAGAGGTTGCGGTGAGCTGAGATCCCACCATTAGACTCCAGCCTCCAAAAAAAGAAAAGAAAAGAAAAGAAAAGAAATGTTTATTGATTACCTGCTATGGTGCTAGGCCCTGGGGATTTAGCCTTGAGCAAAATGACACATTCCTTGGGCTGGTATTGTGGGGCAGCTCTAAATACTAAACCTAACATCTAAATACTTAATATTTACTTACGTAGTATTTACTTAGTAATTCTTAGTATTAACATCTAAATACTTAGTATTTACCATCTAAATACCAAACCTAACATTACAACAATAATTGTGAACTTGCAAATTGTGATGAGTGCAATGAAGGATTAGTAAGGATTGTAAGGGGACCCTAACAGAGTAACCTGATTTAATTTGGGGGCATCAGGAAGGCTTTTCTGTGGATGTTCTATTGAAGCCTTTACTAACTTTTAATCCTTAGTTTTTCTGAATATTTACTTTCACCTGTATGTAGGCCAGTACAACTCACTTTCCCTCCTTAGGCTGTATGTCTTCCTAAGCTCTGCTGCTAGTTAGAGAACAAGTGGTAAATATCCCCATTAGCACTTTGTGTCTTTGTAAGCTAGCTTTGCCTTCAGGGAGCTCTGAAATTCTTCCCTCTTTAATAGCTCTTTGATGACAGGCCTTGGACTCTGTTCTTAACTCTTCTTTCTCAGTATACTAGTGACTTTTTTTTTTTTAAATCCCCAGAGGGCCAGTTTGTCTAAGGGGGACAGGGAAGAATATACAGGCCATCATACTACCTGAAATGAAATGCACCATTCATTCTCCTTTGAGTTGTGAGTTTTAAGAAAGAAAAGGATCCTGGATAATGATTAATACATGGTTATAGAAAATGTGTTTAAAATATTTAGGCTAAAAAAATTATCACCCTTAATTCCAACATTACAGAGTTATCTCTATTAACATTCATAGAGTAGATTCTTCCAGTCTTTCCCCCGCTGTGCATTGATGTTGTTTAATCTATTTCTATATACAAAAACATAAATTTTTCACACATATGAGCATTTTTAGTATTTAAGAGGGCCATATTAACATTTCCTGGTGGACTTGTTGTGAATAAAGTACAGTAAGCACATTCAGAATTATTTCTTCTGTTCCAAACACATAGGAACAATTTTAAAAATATAACAATTAAAAAACAAGGGGGAAATCTTAGAAACCAAGAATGGGGATTGATGGCCCAGACTTTAAGATCTCCTTTCAGTGCACTTAGCACATGACAGGAGATCAGAACCATCCTCCTGTGTGGACTGGGGTTGGGACCATGCTCCTTGCAAGTTGACTGGAGCCTAATCACTCATGGTTGAACTTTGTGGCAGGTAGCTCTCCCATGGCCCAGGAAGGAAGCAGAGATAGGTGTGAGAATAGGACCTACAACTGTGCAGCACACACATATCTTATGTTTTGTTGTCCGTTCTAGAGAAAATCCTAAAAGCTTACTTTGGAACCTTGTTCAGAGTTGTATATCCTATTGGTCAAGGCTCAATCATTATTTCAGCTGCTAGTGAGGGGCAAATAAGGAGAAAAAACCCTCCTATGCAAGATGAGTTTGCAAACAAATTTCTGCACTCATGGAAAACCACCACTATGAGAGACAGGTGGAAGACCTGTCAAACAAGATAATTTAAACCCTAAAAAAGAGAAACCAGGGAGCAGTCTGAAAAGTTTGAAAAGTGTGTATATTTAGAGTATCGGAGAAAGACAGGAGCGTTTCTCAAATAAAAATAGAAGGTTGTTAAATAATAGGCCAATATGAAAAGATCCAATTGGAAATATCTGAAATGAAAAATATAGGACTGAGGCAGGGAGCAAGTAATGAAGTCAACAGTCGAAGAGATCAACATAGCTGAAGAGATCATGAATTGAAGAGCAGAAGTGAGGAAGCACGGAGAGATAAAGGGCTGGAAAGTTTGAAGGAGAAAAGGCTTAGAGGTTAGATTGAGAAGCTCTGATATACCATCATAATTTTTTTCTTGAGTTTCTTCTGATTTTGTCAGACTAGTTTGTATTATACTAATCCTTCCACTGTGAATACCAGAAAAGCGTATATATGTTTACTGTGAGTGTAAATAGAAATAATATAACTCTCCTTGGAGAATACCGTGGCATTGATGCCTAGAAAGGCCAGAATGGTGGAGATGAAGGAAATGAAGAGAAATGTGCCATCAGATGCCACTTTTCCCTCCAGGTATTTGCCAGTTTGTAAGTGGCAGCAAAGAAGCTAAATTAGGTGCCAGAGCTTTCAACAGTCTCTCAGAACTGAGGAGACAGAATAGGAGTTCAAGACTCGCCAAGGAGGAGGGGCCTGGTGAACCCCCTAGGCTTTCAGTTTGGACCCCCAGAAGGTTTCTCTCAGGAGTAAGGGCAAGCTGGCAATAGACCAGCGCCCAGCAAGGCTGACACTTACCTTCTAACTCGCTCAAATGGATCAAGGTTCCTTTTCTCTACCCCGGCTGCCTGCCAAAAGCAAACAAGTACTCTCTGGAGGAAGATAACATCGTTCAGACCCTCAAATTAACGCTATCATTTTTCAAATACAATGTCTGGCAGTCAATAAAACATTACCAAATGCTTAAGATGGTAAAACCAAATGATGGTAAAACAAGAGAAAAAAAATACACAGGAGAATTAGAATTGCACAGGACCTTCTTAACTTGCAGTCATATTGGACATAGACTTTTAAATAACTGTAATTAATACATTGAAATAAATAGATAATAAGATGGAGAAATTTGCCAGAGAACTAGAGTCTCTTAAAATAAACTAAATGGAAATTCTGGAACTAAAATTTTCCTGGGAGCAGGTAATATCTTAATCCTGTGTTCAATGTGGAAGTTGGGATGAAGTTGGAGTCTGGGGCCATGATCCTAACAGGTGAAATAGAGCTGACTGGCTCTTTAGGACTGTTCTAGTAATGTGCTGCTTGGCTGTGGCTCGGGAAGGAGGCAGAGGCAAGCATGAGAATAGGAACCAGGCCTGTGCAGCATGCAGATATAATATCTAGGATTGCTCCTGAGAACACAACTCTTGGTTAGTAAGATACTGGTTAGATGTCTGTAGGGGAGAGAGGAAACCCTGGAGTAAGAAAAAGCCCTGAGGAGGACAGAATGTTGCAAAAACTTCTTTTTGTTTTCTTTACATGTTTTCCTATGGCCAATTAGGGTACCCAGAATGGTATGTCTGCCTCTTTTATTTTTAATTATTTGCTTATTTTATATTTTTAAATATTACATTATAGTGAATTGTATCATCCTTTATTTTTATTTGCTGGGTTGTTAGGTGCTTGAAGCCTGAGTTTCTGTTTCACCTGTTCCTGTTTATTTTCTCTGTGTTACTTTTTCTTTTTCAAATTCTCAACCACCCTCTGTCCCACACCCAGCATATTGCCCTCACGTGATAGGAGCTAAGTACATAAATGTTTGTTGAATGAATGGTAGAAGACATAGCCCTTGATTGACTTATGAGTTTCAGTTCTTAATGTGCTCCCTGAATGATAATCCCAGGGTGGTAGTAATACAATGAAAAACATACATTTCTGTTTTTAGGGAACTGAAAATAGAGGAGGAGGGGAGCTAGAACCTGAGAAGAACAGTGGGAAATGCAAGACGTGTCTCAACTGCTCAAAGCCTTGTGACACTTCTTCAGCAACTTTTTTCATTACTAATGGTATCCAATACAGAAATCATACCTGTAATTTGAATGGAAAATCTAGTATGAAGAATTATTAACTAGTAAATGAAAATCAACTGCTAAGATGGGTAAAAAGAACTTTAAAGAATACAAGAGAAGCAGCCTGTGTCCCTAGGGCTGAGTGAGAGTGTCCAAGGAAGAATAAACTAGGAAGGGATCCCCCAAAGCTGAGACTCAGATCTCCTTGCAGAGTTAGTGGCTGGGGCCCACTGGATGGTAGAGAAGTCACTGGAGCACCACAGGACAGGGCTGGTAAGCAGGAAGCTGTCCACTGGGGCGCCAGCAAAACCGGACGGAGGGGTGTATGCTGCTGGGTCTCCCATATCCCATTGGCCAGGAAGTTGCCTGCTGTGCCATAGAAGTAAGAACAAAAGCACTAGAACCAGGAAGAGAAGCTTTTCCTTTCAGCACCCTCTACTGACAGGACCCAATGTTGTGCCAGCTGGCAATGGGGAAATGTTCAGAGCAGCTCAGTCCAATAGAAATATAATGCAAGCCACATATGTAATTTCAGAATTTCTACTAGTCACATTAAAAAGCTAAAAAGAATCTGGTGATACTAATTTTTAAATTTGGGTAAGATATAACATAAAATTTACCATCTTCACCATTTTTCAAGGTACAGTTCAGTAGTTGTGCAAACCAAACTTCGAAACTTTTTCATCTTGCAGATCTGAAACTCTACACCCATTAAACAACAACTTCCCTTTCTTCTTTCCCTGCAACACCAGTTAACCACGATTCTCATTATTTCAATGAATTTTATTACTCTGGGTATCTCATATAAGTGGAATTATGCAGTATTTGTTTTTTTGTAATGGGCTTATTTCACTTAGCATAATGTCCTCAAGGTTCATCTTTGTTGTAGCAGGTGTCGAATTTCCTCCTTTTAAAGGCTAATATTTCATTGTATGTAGGTAGCATATTTTGTGTATACATTCATATGTCAATGGATTGGCTGGGTTGCTTTTACCTTTTGGCTATTGTGAATAATGCTGCTGTGAACATAGGTGTACAAATATCTCTTTAAGACCCCGCTTTCAGTTATTCTGGATATATACCCAGAAGTAGAATTGCTGGATCATATAGTAATTCTATTTTCAATTTTTTGAGAAACCACTATTTTCCATAGCAAATGCATCATTTTACATTTCCACCAACAGTGTACATGGGTTCCAGTTTCTCCACATCCTTGCCAACACTTGGTCTTTTCTGATTTTTAATAGTGAGCATCCTAATGGATGTAAAGTGGCATCTCCTTATAGTTTTGATTTATATTTCCCTAATGATTAGTGATGTTGAGCAGCTTTTCATATGCCTCCTGGCCATTTGGGTGTCTTCTTTGAAGAAATGTCTACTCAAGTCTTCTGCCCATTTTAAAATTGGCTTATTTGGCTTTTGTGTTGTTGAGCTGTACTTCTTATATAGTCTGGACATTAACCCTTTATCAGATACATGATTTGGAAACATTTTCTTCTGTTCAGTGTGATGTCTTTTTACTCTGTTGTGTCTTTTGCACAGGCGTTTTACATTTTAATGCAGTCCAATGTATTTATTTATGTTTTTGTTGCCTTAATTTTAATAATATATTTTATTTAACCCAATATATTTAAAATATTCAATATGTCATCAACATACAATTATTGATATTTTATGTTTTTGCACTAATGTACAGTTAGTACAAACTGTACTGTCATACTGGCCACATTTCAAGTGCTCAGTAGCTATATATGACCAGTGACTACAGGGTTCCTCTCCAGTATCAGAAAGCAGGGCAAAGCAGGAGAGACTTGGAGCTGAGAGATGATAAATTGATAACTGGCACAGGATTATAGTAATTATGTGGCCACATATGGAGCATTACATATAATTAAAAGCCATGTTCTAAAAAGTTACGAAAATTTTAGGAAAAGGCTTATGTGAAGTTCAAACAGAAACCACCTATGTATTGAAAAAGAAAGGAAATACACTGAAATCTTAGCAATGGTTATCTTTGGGAATTAGTATTGGGCTGTTTTGGTTTCTTCTTCCTACATTTATGTATTTTCAAAGTTGGTTTAATGAGCACACACAGTTTATCCACATAAAGTTTATGCTCTTGTAGCACAGAGGTATCCTTTGTAACTCTAAGCAGTGGAGCTTATTAGAAGTCTAGGCCCCTAAGCTTCAATTTGGTCGCAATTTGAGAGAGAAATAGGTACCTTGGAAAATGGGATTGACTCCAGTTAATTGTGCAAACCTGGGTTTGTAAAGTGCAAAGATCTTGCCATTCTGAGTTTGAAAGGTCATGACTGGGAGTCCTCGAGGTGGCAGAAAACCTAATCCCTCTGAATTTATGGGACAAGGGAAGGTGGTTTATTCAGTTTCTGTTAAAAGCTGCTTGTTAATGGCTGTGATTGGAATACTTGACATTGTTCACTTCCTTTTTTCCTCTTGGGGATCAGAGAATTAAAAGGCTGTTATTGGAATTGATTTATTTTGCCACTTTTATGTAGAACATTTTATCTTCCCTGCTCTGTCATACAAAGTGGAAGTTCTTTCTTTTCCTCAGGGAAGCTGAAGAGTGTTGTGATCTTCTTTTGTGCTTAGAGTGTGTGTGTGTGTGTGTGTCTAAGTGTGTGTGTGTGTGTTGCAGATGCGGTCTGCTGACACAGCTACAAGACAGCTTGCCCATTCTGTGGGATTCTCTCTTGTGCTTTGATTCTGCTAACCTGCCTCAATTTTATGCTGGTTTGGCTTACCAAGGGTGAAAGTACATGAGACCAACCCCAAATCTGAATATTAAAAAAATTTTAAAGCAAATAGTTATTTGCTTTATTATGTACCTATTATGTACCTATTATGTACCTTTATTATGCACTCTATTATGTAATAGACACTGATTTAAGTCCTTGTCATAAATGAACTCATCTAATCCTCATAATAACCCTATGATACATAGGTATGGTTGTTTCTCCCATTTCATATACAGGAAACTAACACACAGAGGTTTAGTAACTTGCTGAAGGACTCATAGCCAGAAAGAGGATGAGGCAGAATTCAAATTTACAGTCTGGCTCCATAGTCTGTGCCCTTAAGAATTAAACTGTGTAGTGGTTCTCAAACTTCAGTGTGTTTTAGAATCTACTGGAGGGCTTATTAAAACACAGGTTGCTGGGCCCCACCTTCAGAGTTTCTGCTTCAGTAGGTCTGAGGTAGGGCCAAGCACTGGCATTTCTAAGTTCCCAGGTTATACTGATATTGCTGCTCCAGGGATTACACTTTGAGAAGCATTGAGCTATATATGGAACCCCTGGTGTTGCTCATCCTCATGGCCAAAGCAAACAGAGCTTGCTAAGTAGCTCCTCCCCACCCCAATGCCTGTGGCTCTTGCATGGTGGTGGCTGGCGGGGTAGTTGTACTGCTGTGGCTCTGACTCTCCCAGGAGGGTCAGACTACCCTAGACTCTAACCTGGTTGTTTTCCAAGTGTCCTCCTTTACTTGAGGTATGTCTTTAAAAATAACATCTTTATTGAGACAAAATCAATAGTGTACAGTTTACCCATTTAAAGTGTAATATTCAGTGATTTTTTTTTGGTAGATCCAGTTGTGTTACCGTCACCACAATTTAAGAATGTTTTCATTATCCCAAGAAGAAACCCTATACCCAATAGCAGTCACTCCAATTTTCCCCCAATAACCATCAACCTTAGAAACACTTGATGAACTTTTATCATTTATTTTAAGTACTTTATTGTCCAATCCCAAAGATAGATATGACTTTCTGGGACTTTATTTGCAAGGCAGTGTTTTGAACTCAAGCCTCTCAAAACTTTGCTTTGTGGCCAGGACTTGTGAGGATTTTCTTGGCCTACTAAGTGGTTCCTCTTCTTCCAAGAAACTCGTATGAGATGTTTAACCTCTTCTCCATGCTCCTGAATACTTTGGGATTGGAGATCTGACTCTGGCACCTTGGAATGGTTTGTGATTTTCTTTTTTCCTTTAAAATTCAACAGTTAGGGAAGCATTACACATGTGGTAGTAACCTACTTTGAGAAACACATCTTGTCTGCTATTGGACATACATGAAGATGAATAAGACATGGTTTTAACACCCAAGGAATTTAAAATCTAGTAGGAAAGACCAACATGCATAGAGAGGACTGCAAACACAGGCAGAATGTGATTGGGCCCAGGAGATGGGCAGAGTGCTGAGGAAGCACATTTTGCTCATGGACAAGGGGGCATGGTATCTGGACCTTGAGAAATGGGTATCATTCCAGTACATGAAGATGAGGAAAAGCTATAGGCAGTGAGAAGCAGAGCTAGTATCCTAGCAATGAGTTGGGAACAAGAGGGCTTTAAAGGAGCGAGGGTAGGAAGTCACATTGGGCTTATATCATAGAGTGCATTGAGGACCACCATGCTAAGGAGTGTTCCTATTCCATAGATAGTGGGAAAATGAGGAGTTTTAGATCAGGGAATGGCAGAGCTGTGCTCTTGGATGTCTCTTTTATAGAAATTTTTCTCTTGGATGTCTCTTTTATAGAAATTTTTGTCTTGTGAAGTTGGCAAGATCATTGTGGCAGCTCTTCTTCCCAAGTTGCCCAGGGTCTCTAACTTCTGAATTCCTCCCACGTGGAGCCAATGTGTCTCTTCCTCTCTATGTGTCCTGTGCCACTTTGTGTCCCCATCCTTCCCAACTCACTCCCTCCTTAAAATTCTTGCTGTCCTGTTCTCCATGATGTTTCTAATCTAAGGTTTCTATCACAGGAGGAATGGGTGCTGCCATAACTCCTGAGTCCATTCCAGAAACCACAGATGGGTTTTCACAGTGCTCTGTTGCAGGACCACAGCTCCACACCCACCCTCACTCCCACTCCCATGTGCAGTGCCCTTTGTGTTTAATCAAATTGAGTGGGGAATTGTAGCCACATAGAAGAGGCTGTTGCTTCTGGAGTTCTGCAAACTATACCCTGCAATCGGCTGTTGAGGCAGAACCCTACTCTGATTCCAACCCCTCGCTGGTTGTTTTATGCCCTGTTCTGACAGTTCCCTGGGCTGAGTTTGCTCATCACATTCTCAACCTGTTCATTTAGATTTGGGCTACCTCCTTTTATTGTTTTAAACCTGAGCGTTCCTTCAGTAAATCCTGAATATGTGAAGAAGAAATGTAGTACAGAGAGAGAGAAATTTTTCCTATTAAACATTTTAAAACTTTTTTTTTTAACTTGCCAAGTGTTATGAGGTTTAGATCCTGGGGACCTGATTCTGAAAGCTTTTCCCCCATAGAAGGGTTCACTCAGCTAACTTGAATTTGAACTTAATCTTACTCATCTCCCCACAACAAATCATTTTTCTCTCTGTCATGATTTCGTTGCACTCTGTGGCAACAGGCATGACCCTTACTGGGAAGCTCTTATGTAAGAGCTTGCCTAAGTGAAGAAGACTTCCCTGGCGCTGGTATTGGCTCTTGGTAGCATGAGCCTTTGTTGCCTTTTTCCATTGCCCTCTCCCTGATCTCTGCACCTTGCAGGTCCTCACTGTTGCGCATACCTGGAAAGGGGCCATGGGGAGCCTCGTCAAGGCTGACTTGTCAAAGGCTCTTGCTGGTTTGTGTTTCAGGCTCTTGGAGCATGGTCAACAGTGCGGAAACATGCTGCATGGGGAGATCAAAGCTTCAGTGGCCAGAATGATGCAGTCACTACTCTGCTTAATTAAAACCAGGCCTGTGTACGTGGTTTTAATTAAGCAGAGTAGTGACTGCATCACTAGAGGCCAAGGGGCAGTTACAAGAAAGGTGATGGTGGTTAATTCCTGGCATTCCGTCTCTTGGTCCACATGGGGCCAGTGTTCAAGGAGCACTTGCCTGACTCACTGATGACATGAATATGTTTCATGCTCACATACATGCATCCATGTGTTTAGATCATTTGCTGATACTTGTCGCATCAGTTGGATAAATCAAAGAAATATAGAATCTGAGATCTAGAAGGCACATAGACATCATCTGGTTTCATTCATTGGAGATGAGAAACTGAGGCCAGGGGGATCCTCCAAGAGTTTGTTAGGAGCACAGTCTACATGTTAAGTGATATTTCATGTCACTTCCCCAGTCCCAGTTTAGAGTTGTATTGTAAATGACAAATATAGGTTAGTTAAATTCTCATTCATTCGTTCCACAGATGTTAACTGATCACCAGATTCTGTGTATCAGGGTCTTTGATTTCATTACTGATTTCCCATTCCTCTGGCTTCTTTCCACCTCAACTCCATAGTACAGTTCAGCTTTCCATTCCTATGCTAGTAGCTGTCCAACTTTCTAATACCAATCAGCAATTTTGAATATGTACAACTGTGCTACCATTTTCCTTGGTCACTAATAACAAAAACTACCATTATATTGAGCCCCTATGAACCTGTTAGATGCTTTACAGATACGATCTCACTTAATCCCCAGGAAAATATTTTTAGCTGACTTGCCCTTCACAACATACCATTCATATTTTCACAGCTGAAGGGCTGCAAGCTTGAGCAGTGTGTCCAGGGATACCCAGAGAGTAACTAGCGGACATGTCTTTCTACTCCCGTCCATCAGTCTGCCATTAAAGCACACCCTTTGCCCATATGTTACTTCTGTTAAGCCATGAGGAAGCAGGGCAAGTCATCCCTCTAGTCCCCTCTCTCCTCTTTCCATTTTTTGCTTTCTTGAACACTCCAGCCCCCCTTTCCCTCTTTTTCTTTGGTGGGGGATGGGGGGGCAGGTGTATTCCTGCATTCCTCAATTTGCCTTCCTTTCTGTTTCCCTTGGTTAGAAATGTTGTCTCTATAAATCGAAACCCATAGTTCACAGGCCAGTCCATGTATTGCAGAAGAGTCTGGCTGGTTTCAGGCTTCCTGGTCTGCATGCAGGCTGTACTTCCTCACTGACCTGTCTTCACCCTCCTTCTTAGGCATCAGAGGAGCCTCTCCTAGCTAAATTGCTAGTTACTTGAGAAGGAAAATGTTTCATCTTGATGGTAGCATATTATTCAGAGCCCTGGATAACCCCCAGCTCTCCTGGAAACACAATACGTGTATGTTTGATGGAATTTATCTTGATGATTGGTGAGAGGGTGGTGATTTAAACCAGCTCGTTTCCCGTTTACCACTGAGGCCAGCTCACCTTTGCTGGAGAGGGTTCTTGACTCTTTCTTTGTAGCAGGAACTCCCAAGTTAATCAAGTCTTTTCAAGAGCTTCAGGCTGAAAGTCAAGATCCCTCAGGTTAGACCCAATGTTGAAATTTTAACTGGGCAAATTCTCATTAGAGACAAAGGGCCAAAGACTGTGCTGGTGGAATCTAATGTCTTTTAATGTTGACTTCAATCCAGTAAAGCCCTTGTTAAGCCATTTAACTGTAAAATTGGGCCTTGGGAAGGCAGGACACCCTCTGAAATTAGAGGTCAGGAGATTTGAATTTGATTTCCAGCCCTCTGCCAGTCAGTCAGCCACTCACTCTCAAGCCTTAGGCTAGTCACTTTCTGTCTGTTTCTCAATTTTCCACAGGGATTTTTGTGGGCATTAAGGCCCACTGGGAAATGATCCCCTTTTCAGCTCAGTGCCTGGTTTGTTAAGGATACTGGTCAATCTGGACTTTAACACACCTATGATTTTGGATTAACTCTATTACCTCTGCCAGAAATTAACACAGAAAATTGACAGTTGATTGACAAGAAGGAGAATCAGTTTTAAAGAATTAAAATATAACTGAGTCCTTTATTACTTAAAGAATATTCAACTCAAGTGGACACAGATCACCCATTCTAACTTCATCAGCTATAGCACTTAAAGGAGGCAGGCTTTGCGGGGACAGTGTTAGCTATGTACTTTGAAAAAGTCGTGTGCTCTACAAATAAAAAGCTACTTTTGTTGTTACTTTTGGTCCCCAGTAGAAATGGAAGTCATTTTCAGAGAGCATGGGAGACACATGAGTCCTTTGCTGTCCTCTTGTCTGCCTCTGAGGGTGAAATGAGAGGAGTGTGAAGCACTTTGGGGTGTGGCCAGGCACACAGCTAGGCTCGATGCAGAGCTGCTGTCGTGGTGGTGTGGCCCCAGTCATCATGAGCCACATCTGACAGGATTAATCACATTTCATATGCAAGCATGCTCTCTGCTTGACCGTGCTGTTGTTTTTAATGAGAGCATCATTTACAGTATGGTGCAGTGCTTTAACCTGATAGCCCTGCCTAATTTTGTTCTGTGTAACAATGTGTGGACTTGAATAGGAGGCAGGGTTGGGGGAGAAGGAGGGAGAATGGACGTATGAATAAGAGAAAGGTGTCTCTTCCTTTGGAGCATGGATGGGTTCCAGTCCCCACTAACCCCCTCAGCTGGGTATTTTTGTGCGGGTCACAGCCTGTGCTACATTAAGCATCAGCCCTGGTTGGGGATAGAGTCTACAGGGGAAGGGTTAGGGCTTCATCAAAGAAGCAGCTCTCTTAAGTGACCTCCACTTAACTTACCTGCTAGTCTCCATTCCTTCTGTAAAACATACTACCGGCAACTGCTGCTACGTGTTTTTGTTATTGTTGTCTTATGTGCCACCATAATTTTTTTCCCTCCATTAGGGCTGAATGCATACCAAGAGCCAATTGTGTGAATTCCTAAACTTGTTTGCACCAGTTATATTTGTTGTTGTAATTGAATAATTTAATTATTACATAAATGAAATATGAGTGAGAAAAAATAGATGGCTAACATTCACTGAGTACTTACTGTGTGTTAGGTACTCTTCTAAGTATCTGACATCTCATCTCTTATAGTTGCTGCGTATATAAAAGTAGAATGTTTTGAAAAAAATGATAACAGTGAATTGTTACAGAAGTCACCAATGGATTAGTTATGAAGAAGACAGCATAAAAAAGTTGGAGGGAAAGTAAAAATCTTAGAAGGATCCTGCACCCATGTTACTCAGCAAATGTCTCTAAGTTCTTAATCCACTTGGAAGAAAGCAAAATTAGAAATCAGAGTCAATATATTGTGTTATTTATGTAAGGAAGAGTTTGGTAAGTTAATCTGTAGACCTATTCCTAGAGGAAAGACCTCCAATCTACATTACAATATTAGTGAATAAACATACATTTATATATCTTATATTAAAATAAAATGTTTAAGGTATGCACATACTGTTTTCTATGGTTCTTTGCCTTAACATCTGTTTTGAGTAATAGACCAACTTTTACTGGTTATGATTGTGTTTATAAGAAGTCTTTTACTGTAAGAAGATTAGTGAAGACAAATCAGATATGGGCTCCACATGGCCCCAGCTGATGTGGGCAGGTGCCTCTAGGAGAGCCGAGGAAGCTCATCTAAGGAACGTGTCTAGGAAGTAGCCATTGTGATCTACAGATCATATTCTCTTATTGCAAGTTCCTATTTTACCAGTTATTGGGTGAATTCCTAAAATTCAGTGGACTGCATCAACCAAGGTTTTGGAGCCCTATTTTGAGTATAATGCAATTTGACATATTATAATGACACTGCCCTTTGGTGCCTGTCACCAAAAGGATTCCTTTGTTGTTCCAATGGTCAGATCCTGTGAAGACTGAGAGTGAATATGTATTTGCACACATACTCACACAGATCAACACACGTGCTTATATTCAGTTAAGCAAATATTCAGCAAGCCTGCTGTATGCCAAGTGCTGGGCTGTGAGTCATAAGCCCCCAAGAGATTGCCTGATATGATTATTGCCCCTAAGTAACCTGGGGATGTACCTGGAGGAGTCACATATCACCAGCTAAGACAGATGGGCTAACAGAGGCCACTGTGAAGGACAAGAGGAGTGGGAGAGAACCCCAGTAGGAAAAGCAGCATAAACAAGTAGGGTGATGTTGCAAAGGGATTGTACAACTCAATGAGTATAATGACTTCGAGAATAATTTACTTTCAGATTACTTTTACTTAGGTTTGTCTGATTTTATGCTCAAAATAATTCCAGGAAGTAAAAAGGCCTGTATATTGCCAACTAATACTTGGGGACACAGATGTAGAGGGAAGGTGACTTGCTTCAGTAATGTGGCATCAGAGCTCCCTCCAGGCTTCCCAGTGCCTGGATTGGTGCTCCTGCCACCAGATGGCAGCTTCCTGGCACATTTACCCACCTGCCACGCTAGAGACACTCATTGAAACCCATTCCTTAACTGCTCAGATGAGATTACCTTATTGCCTTATGGTCTGTCCTTCTCAATAAGCCACAACAACTGCCAGCTGACTGAACAGAGGGGCCTCACTGACTTCCATGATTGGCTCAAGTCCCATTCCTGCTGCACTGTGTGGCCAGTGTGTGTGTGTGTGTGTGTGTGTGTGTGTGTGTGTGTGTTGAGGCATGCCTGCTCACCTGGCACGTGGATTGGGATTCCTGCCTTCTGGCCCTATGGGCAGTACCTCAGAACAGCCTCTTCATTCAGTGCCTTCTGAACGGTTCAGGGAAATATTTTTGGCTTATACATTCTGCCCAAGCCCAGGCAAGCTCAGCAGGGCCCCAGAATAGCACTTTGCCTTTTACTAGAGAAGGTTGCATTTGCAGAGGTACCATTAACCACCTGGATAAGGGCTCTTACAGCACAGCATGCTTTCTAGCGGGAGCCTGAATCACACTGTCTATATGAATTGAAGTCTCACTCACTGTTCTCCCAACTCAAAACAAAAACTACAAACGTGGAGTAAAGATAAAACATCAGCGTGTTATTTGGCAGCTTTTTGTTTGCACAGGTACACTGTGGAATGTATAAACAACCCCAAGGGAAAGATACAAGGCACATGGTCATTTCTTCATGGTCCATTCATGTATTCAACAAATATTTACTGAGCACCTATTTGGTGCTGGGTGATATACTAAGTATTGGGGATTTCACCTGGAGCAATTATGGCCCTGCCCTTGCAGAGTTCACAGTCTGATGGCGGGATACAGACGTGTCAAGGGATGGTCACAGTGGAGTAGGATAAATGCCATGAGTGCACACTGGAAGCAGGGCAGTGTGCAGTTATGTGGGGTGTGGCTGTTCAAGGGCTGTTGGCTGAAAGGATGAGTAGAGGCTGAAATCCAGCCTATCCTCTACTTCTCAAGACATGTACTGGCTAGAGGCAGGGGAGCCTTTTTGTAACTCACAGAAAGGCTCACAGGGACCAGCAGTGACCCTGATTGGAAAGGCACCTACTCTGGATTTAGCATGGAAGGGAAAGCTTCTTGGAAGGAAACATTTCAATTGAGACTTGAAAGATGACCAAGAATTAGCCAGACAAGGGAAGCAGAGGAGAGGTGGGAAAGAGCATTCTAGGTAGAACCATAATCACCAACACTGAAGATAATGCTTAGCATGTGCCAGGCGCAGAGCTGAGTGCTTTAAAAGATTAATACTTTTAAGAGGAAGTTGCATACGGAACAGCATGGAAGGGCAAGAAAACCTGGCACTTTTGGGAAACTGAAGTGAGTTCATTTTGGGAAGAGCATGGAGTTCAGAGGAGAGAGAGATCGTGAAGACTGGAGTGATGATAATAGCTAGTTAAAATTACTTCACACTTGCTCTATGCTGGGCAACCTTCTGAGTGCTCAGTACATATTGACCCATTTAATCCCCATGACTGTATGAGGTAGATACTATTATTATCCTCATTTTACAGATGAAAATGAGGCTGGGAAGGATTAAGTAACTTGACCTGGGCTACACTGCACAATGTGGGAGAGAGAATCTGCACTCCCCCTGACTGCAGAGTCCAGGCTCTTAATTCCCACACTGCCTCTACGGGAAGAACTCAAGATGAAAATAGGTCTCCAAGGATTGACTCAGCAGAGGAGAAAAGGGAAGGCATTCCAGATGAGGTGACAGATGTCAACATCAACAAAGCAGATTCACACTGAAACTCTGTGAACAAGGAGAGGCTGGCTGCATGGTGCCATCTCTAGTCTTACTTTTTCAGCAACCCTGGGAAAATGAAAATCCTTCCTCCTAAATCATCTCATTCATCTCTAACCACAATCCCATGAAAGTTGAATGTCATATCTCCACTGTAACAATGAAAGAAAACAAAGCTTGGGGACAGTAAATGACTTTTCTCTCAAAAAATAGATCTAGAAGTTTCCTTATTCAGGAAGTTCATTTGTTCTTTTTACCTTCCTTCCTTCATTCATCATCTATTTATTGAACATCTACAATGTGTCAGACACTCAACTAGGCTTGAGAGAGTAAGGAACAGAGTATATTCCCTGACCTCAAGTGAATAGGGTTTTAAGTGATGACAGGTCAGTGTGGGTTTTTAAAACATGTCTGCAAATTCTTTGAGACTCATCTCATTGAAAGATGGAGTTTGTGACTACTCTTGAATCTTGGTTTACCTTCATGATTTGCATGCAGCCAACAGAATGCAGTGGAAGTATGCAGCTTCTGAGGCTAGGTCCAAAAAAATGGCCAGTCAACTATTCCTCACTATGAGGAACACTAGCTGCCAAGAAAGAAGTCCAACTAGCCTGACATAGCCATGCTGGAGAGGCCACGTGTAGGCACTCTGGTGACAGCTCCAGCTGAGCTCCCAGTTGATGGCCAGCATCATCTGTCAGCTGTGGATTGAGCCATCTTGGACGTCCAGACCCATCAAAATTTCAGATGCAGCCCTAGCCAACATCTTACTGTAACTGCACGCAAAACCCCAAGCAAGAACTGCCCAGCCAAGTCTCTTCCACATT
This sequence comes from Homo sapiens, assembly GCF_000001405.40. NCBI lineage: Eukaryota > Metazoa > Chordata > Mammalia > Primates > Hominidae > Homo > Homo sapiens. The sequence goes on from NC_000001.11 coordinate 162,242,646, forward strand.
CCTGACCCACAAGAGTCTGAGTAAAAAACAATGGTGGTTGTATTACAGATGTAATTTGTTATATAGAAATGATAGCTCTAATCATCAGCCTCCAAGAATTGAAGAAAGCAGCAACTCAGGGGATCCACTAGAGATAGGGCTCAAATCACTAGAGAAGAAATTGCTAGTCTTCAGCAGTGAGCATAAAACCTTCAGCTATCTCCTAGATTTTATTGCAAATTGGTCTTCGGGAAGGAGGGGCGCGGGCAAAAGTAGAGGAGAAAAAGTGAAAATGAGCATTATTTAATAGAGGAGTTTATTTTGCATGTTGCTTTCGGTTTGAGCTCCTCCCCTATATACGCATACCCATGTATACATACACCCACAGACAGCAGGCAGTGCAGGAGCCTGATTAAACAAGGAGTTATGATTGTCCCTAAGGGAGCCTACTGTTCTCAGTCTTCAAGCTGGTAATGAGTAGTGCTATCTGCTTCTGCTTTAGGAGTGATATCCTGATTGAAGTCTGCATTGACTTTAATTCAGGTGTGTCTGTTGAAAGGTTATTGTAGCCGAGAGGGGACAAGGGGGTGTTAGATGTGTAATGGCGGCAGCTGGAAGAGGAAAGCATGCTTCTCAAGGTCCCATCAAGCACTGGCTAGATGAGAGAGAAGCAGGTGAGGAAGGCAATGATGAGGGGCAATGGGCATGGGCTCCTGCATAAAGAGCAGTACCTCTCAGAGACCAGGGTATTCACTTCCTACATTCTGTGTCCTCGCTTTCCCTCTTTGCTGTGAATATGCATGGAAGAAAAAAAACAAGGAAGAGAGATGATGGTGATTAGTAATGTGTTTCAACTATGGCCCTGACCTTATCGGAAAAGAGACAGAGAAGAGTGTAAGGTCTCCTTTCAAATCGGTCTGCCTCTTTGAAGAGCAAATCTCTTCCCCATCTCCAAGGGCTGGCCTTGCTCTCTTCTTAACCCATCAATTATGGTGGAAGTCATATGATTTCACCAGAAATATCTACAGGCAGCTCTTGGGGTTAATTCTGAGAGGTTCCAGGTAAATATTCTTCCTTAATTAATGTTTCTAATTTTTAGTCAGTTTGAAATTAAAGAACTTTACCCATGGGCCATCTGAGATGTTGGCTGTCTGTTCATTCTTGCAGGGACCCACAGGACCATTTTTCAACCTCATTTAACCTGCAAAACAGCTGTTGTAAGAATTGTTGGAGGACCGTCTTCCCCTCAAAGGGGGTGTGAGTGGCAGGAACTGATTAGGATTCAGCGTTGGTATTGCCTGTGGCCTGTCATTTGAGGGAGTGAGTCCCAGGTTCCCACTACAAGGTGACTTACCTCCTATCAGAGCTCCGTCTGGATTTTCAAAGACACCATATCATTGGCACAGACTCATTTATAAGTTGGAGACTGGCTCAATGAGGTGTATCGGGCCTTAAAGTATTTTTACCTGCTCTGCTGTGAAACTCAAATTTTACATGTTTATATCCCTGAAGTTGAGTGAGTAGGCATGGGATGGAGGAGAGAAGGATCCAGACTGGTGGGGCAGGGTCTATTTAGGGAGTAACTAGATCCCAAGATTCTGCTTGACAGGTGCTGGGAACCTGTCTCCCCTCTCAGTTGAGGCAAGGTTCCTGCTGGGGTCAGCAGTTGATTTTCATTCTCTTTGAGACACATTCTCAAGGACTGTTCTCTTAAACCAACCTTTGTTACCATCTTGTTGAATTTAAGTATGGAACCTAAGGACATTTTCAGGACTGCTCCAAGTTCTATGTGGTTTTGAATAAATAGCTATATTTATTTGCTACTAGAGGAGAACTTAGAGATAATTTAGGTTAGCTTCTGCATTTTACAGATGAAGAATTTAGTGCTTTGAGAGATTAAGTGTTTTCCTGAGGTTATACAACTAGTTAGTGACCGAGCTAGGAATAGAACCCAGGTCTCCTGGCTCTCAAATCTGTATTATTTCTATTATACTATATTGCTTTATCTAAAGGAGTACCTGTAAATTGATTTAAAGCAGAGTTTCCAGATAATTCTTCGTTGTGGGGGACATTGTATGACGTTTAGCAGCATCTCTGGCCTCTACCCATTGGGTGCCAGTAGCAACCATTTCTACTGTCCAGTTGTGACAAACAAAAATTTTTTTAGATATGGCCAAGTATTGCATGGGGATAAAATTGCTCCTAGTTGAGCTAACGATTCAAAGTTAGTGCATCTTTAGAGAAGAAATGGGCTTATGTTAACTCCTCCTGGGCATGCATGAGTATACATGCATTTGAGTAACAAGGATATGAGAAGATCTACTTCCTAACTATGGCTATATAGGGTGATGGGAGCTTGAGGGAAGACCATAGCTGCCTCCTCTTTTATTTAAATGCTGAGATTGTGTGCTACCATGTAGAGGAGGAGGGGACAAGGATAGGGCGAGGAAAGAGAGGAAACTAGTAGGATATTTTGTTTTTAATTTGGGGAAGGCAATTGCTGTGAACATTCCTGCCTAAGGACTTGTATTCAGAAGATAAAGAACTTAAAAAAATTAATAAGAAAACAACCCAATTTTAAAAACTGGGCAAAAGCTTTGAACAGATACTTCACCAAAGAAGACATAAAGATGGCAGATATGCATATGAACAGATGCTGAGCATCATTAGTCTTAAGGAAAATGCAAATTAAAACCATAAGGAGGAACCTCTGCATAACTAAGAATGATGAAAAATGTAAAAGACTGACCATGTCAAATGTTGATGAAGATGTCAGGGAACTGGAACTCTCACATAATGCTGGTGGGAATGCAAAATGGTACAGCCAGTTGGAAGACAGTTTGGTAATGTCTTAAAATGTTAAACATACACCTACCATATGATCCAACCATTCTACTTCTAGGTATTTACCCAAGAGAAATGAAAGCATATGTCTGTGAAAGCAAATGCAAGCGCTTGTACATGAACCTTCATAGCAGCTTTAGCTGTAGTAGGCAAAACTGGAAACAACCCAGATGTCCATCAGCAATTGCTTTTTAGACATTATTTTGTGAATGAGACATTTTACAATCCTGTCAGCTAATCAAGTTTGGTAGAGAAAAGGATCAGAACGAGAACATCTGTTTATGCCAGAATACTGGCTTGATTTCTGGGTGTGTCAGAATGTCTTTAAGTATTCTCTTTTGGCATCTGGATTTGGCAATGGAGTTGGTAATCTTCTGTAAGTCCCAGGTGGGCTATTTTAATGATGATAGCTTATGATGGATTAACGTTTACGTTTTTCCTTAAAAGAACACATCTGGCTCCAACTGCTAGCTCCTTTAAAGCATTTTATTAATACCAACGTTAACACATTTGAGGGGTCAAGGTGTCATTGGTTACTATTGACCTCTCTCCTAAAGATGGCAGGCCAGGTGCCCTTAGGGCTACAATTCTATCGAAAGAGTAAAAAATGGGAACCAAGAAAAGAAAACGTTTCAAGGGAGGGTAGAGTGATCAACTCCTGCCCCAGAGGTAACTTAGACCTTCTGTGATGTATGTGGGTTGGTTGAGACTTGTTGTAGAATCCATTTTTTATTTAATCCTTTTTTTTAAATCTCCTAGTATGTGTTGAATATTGAGATACACACAGGAAATAAGATATGGCCCAGTCCTGTCTTTAAACATCTTATAGTCCAGTGAAGAGAAAGACAATGTGCAGGGACAGTACAGAGTGATGAACAACATGGTGGATGTGGCCATTGGATGCTGCCAGCAGAGCATGCAGGCTAGATCCTTAATGAAGAGTGAGGTAGGAGTTGGTCAGGAATCACTTGAGTGTTCCTCCTAAATGTCTTAGCTTGGTGCTGGCTGTTATGGTGTGAGTGCTTAAAATTACTAGGAAAACATATAATTCTTGCTCTCCAGGAGATTTTAATCTAGTTAAGGAGATGAGATTAATACACATAGGATTAAGATGACCATGAGTTGATAGTAGTATAATATATTAGAAATAATACTGTACAGAAATAGTAATTCTGGCCTGGGATCTGCTCCTACTTGACTCTGTAACCCTGGGAAAGTCATTTACTGGGTCTCTTGGCCTCAGTTTTTTAAACTCTAAAATGAGAAGCCTAGATAACAGTATATGATATGTGGGGTCCCTTCTAGCTCCCCAATCTGTGCTGTGGGGGTGTTGATGGGAGACCTGGACAGGAATGGGTATGGCCAGTTTGTCCTCGCTAGAGAGATTTGCCTCAAGGAAGCAGAGAAGTTGTTGTTGAGAAGAAATAAAATCCATTATAAGGTTGGGTAAAACTGTAGGAATCAGGGATTTTTAAATTTTGGAAGTCATTTTGTGGGAATCATATTTAAAGCTAAAACTGAGTACAAATCTCATCTTCCTGGGATCAAGGACGTTAGATCACTGGGTGCTTTTCTTCAGTAATCCCTTTTGATTGTCTGGCTTTGAATTGGTCCTGGGTTTCTGATGGTTATTAATAGAAACCTGTATATATAGAGTGAGAACTCTTAGCATGTTTTTTGTTGTCTTGGTTCCTTCCCTCTTGGCATGCAGAATTAACCAGTGTCACCAATCCCATGATTGGAAAGGCATTTTCTCCCCTTGCCTCTTTCTCTCGTAATTCCTTCTATCTGATCCCTCAGGAAAGATGCTCTGATCTAAGAGTATCCCAACAATGCACAGCAGTGTTATTTGAAAGAAAAACATAAATAAGGAACTTTTGCAGAACCAGAGGGAAGGAACTGCATTCTCTTTTCTCTGCCATATCCGGTAGCACCTGAATGCCTCCTTTGTCTGATTCCCAGAGTTCCCAGGGTTGAGTAACCTTTCCTGGAGCACTGTAGGCCCCACCTGGCAACTTTGTGAGTGCTTATTTTGCAAGATGAGTTCAAAGTTTATGTTGTCTTTATAAAGGGTCTGAAAGATATGGAAGAGACTTTTTGGACTGGGGTAATAGCAATATAATTTCTACACTTGTTTCTGTTTCCAGACTCCAGAGCTTTCAGAACTCCCATTTCTACATGTATCAGGCTTGAAAACTTACCTATGAAAATAATTTTTGTCCCGTCCCCCCCACATTGTCCTCCTTCCATACCTACTGTGCCAGAGAGCCTTTCCTACAGCTTCAGCATCTTATTCCCTATTGAAATGTAACTTGCCAACACTACTTTGGGAAGACAGGTCTAATTGTCAGACTTGATTCCTGCACATGATCTGATGGCCTTCATGAGAAAGAAGGCTGTGAGGACATATATTCTATGTTATCCACAATTTCAAGGTCACAGTAATTGGTTGGATGCCAACTTTTCAAACAGAGCTGGATGACACAAAAGGATTTACTATGGTTCTGCCTGGAATAATTAAAATCAAAAGCTGGTCGTGTGTGGTGGCTCACACCTGTAATCCCAGCACCTTGGGAGGCTGAGTTGGGAGGATCGCTTGAGGCCGGATGTTCAAAACCAGCCTGGACAACACAACGAGATCCCACCTCTAATATATATATATATAAATCAAAAGACCTTTTTTGATATGGGTGTGGCATTTTAGGTAACTAACAAACACCATGGTGTTTGACAAGTGATAACATAATTTATTGATAAGGCTTTATCCCATATTAAGTACACTGGCAGTTACAATCCCCATGAAGTAGAAGAGATAATTGAGACTCAGGCATGTGAAGTGCCCAAGGTCTTGCAAATAATAATTGATGATATTGACTTTCAAATTCTGATCTTCTGACTTGATGCCAAGTCTAGTGTGTCTTCCATTACCCATATGCTTTTCTATGTGTTATTTATGGAACTTTTTAAATTTACCATAATCTTCTCTCATTAGATTAAAAAATCAACTCTTTAATGGCAGTGGCTATTATGAAGTAGCAGGAAAAATCAGAAGGACTTCTAATATGCTCCGCTTTTACCTGAAAAAAGTTTGCAGCAGAGGAGAGGGGGCAGAGAGCTTACATCAATTTCCTTATGACCCTTTAGCCTCAGGGGTTATGGCCTGGACCATGCTGATGAGCCTCACAACTGAATGTTTCTCTAGAGATCCTAATTGACAGGGTCCTCCAACAGATGAGTGTCGGTCATTCTGTATGCCATTTTATTCACCCCAACTCCACCAACACAAATAACAACAAACCATAAACATTCATGTCCCTAATTCATTTCCTTTGGAGATTAGAGGTTTTGTTATATACACCATTAAAGTCTTCGGGGACCCATCTCAATATGTTTTTTTCATCTTGACTTAAATCCAACTCTTCTTGTTTCCTTCTCCATCAAACCACAGCACCCCCCCCTTTCCTTTTATCAAGGGGTGATGGACAATAGATGATAGCAACAGTTTCTATGGTAACAGCATCTGAGTCATCTCCTTGGAAACCTGCATAAAGGCCTTCCATCTCCAGACCAGCTCAGTGCAACTTTGAAGGCCTTTGTTCCCTTGAATGGATCAGCGTGGGGGAGCAAGCTCTCCCGGGGTTTGGCCACTGCAGTTTCCTTTGGTTCCTGATGCCCATGGCACTTTGGATATAGAGTTGGATTCAACCAAAGGTGGGGGATGGTGGGACCTGGAGTGCTTTTCTCAGCCTAGCCCTTGGCCAGAATGCATTGTCCCTAGTCCAGCACCAGATACCCTGCAGATTTAGCCAATAGATGTCTCACTTTTTAAAATGTCCATATGACTCAGCCAGGCTCCCACAGTGACCATCTATGGATCAAAATAAAGCAATGTCTCATGTGAACACAGATGAGCTGGGTATTTTAGTATGGTCACGAAGAGAATCCTGAAAGAGGGCACCATGGGGCAGCTTGTAAGAATCCCTTTCCTTATGGTGTCTTTCAAATGCAGCAGTTTTGTTACTTCAATGAAAGCAGAATGGTTTCCAGTGGCTAAGAGGATTAATTCTCTTGTCATCATCCACACCAAATAAGAATCACAAACATATCCATTGTACTGCATATTTTGGAGATCATTTTCATATACATGAGCTCAATTAATCATCTATTCAATGGTTGAATATGTGTTAATTTGAAACCTACTATGTGCTGCATAGGGTATTGAAATTTGGGATACAATCATGAGAAAAACAGACATGGTTCCTGCTCTAATGAAGTTTACTTACAGATAAGAAAAACAAGTGCTAATCAGATAATTATGCATGAGTGTAAACATTCAACCATGATCTACTCTGAAGGAGAGAGTCCAGTGTATCAGTGGGCACGAGAGGGGGATTTGACCAATGGGGACAACTTCCCTGAAGAAGTGATAGATGAGTAGCAGTGAATGGGCCTTTTGCAGATGAGGAAGTAAAGACTTTGTAGGTTGAAGAGACATCCCTATGTCACAAACTGCTAAATGACTAGTCCAGCCCTGGAATGTGAACCCAGGAATGGAGCAGTCAAATCCCATGCCCTGTCTGTTCCCTTGTTCTGACTCTCAGAGCACTGCCTAGAGTCAGTCCTAGACCAGGTAGCCAAGGAGTGCTCTCCCATTTCCCCTTTCAGGGCTTATGCTGTCTTCAGAAAGGTTCCTCCCAGCTTCTAGGACCAAACCAAATGCCCATTTTCCCGAGGGGACAGTTCTAGGAATTTTCTGTTTATACAGACATCCTCCTCCAAGGTGTTATCTGATCATTGAAGTTAGCCTTCCTAGGGATGTTGACCTTTAAATATAGCACTCTAGGAGGCTAAAAGTTTTGAAGTACCTCTTCCCTCTAAAAAAGGATGGAGATAGGTTAAAAAAGAATATCCACTGATAGAGTATAGGCTTTAGGAGAGAGATTGTTTTAGCCAACATTTGGAAGCAAAACAGCAGCAGAAGCAGGCGAATCCATTTCATTCATACTCTGGGCCTATCTGGTTCCCTGTGGTTACATCTCCATTTAAGGGGCAAAGAAAGCTGTATTGTCTCCTCCTCAGAGGAGTGGGAAAGCCCCCCTCCATAGTCATTGAGAATAAGTGAGTCAGGCAGGGGAAAGTGGGGTGGGGTAAAATGGGACCACCCCCATGCAGCAGTTGAGGGAGCTGCTGTGTGCACAGCCCTATGGTGATGCAGTGGATGTCTATATTTAGGCATTTGCCTACTTGTTACATTTTTTTAAACAAGAACTTAAAGGTGGCAGATTCCCCCTGGCATGCGAAGAGTGTGTGAGACTACCTTTCCACCTATAGCTTGAGTTCTTCCTCCCTCTTATCCCTTTGTGGATACCATTATCAGCCAGACACCTTTTTCTTGAGCTTTTGTAACCCAAAAGCTAACCCTTCTGCCTCCTGCCTTGACGTCCCAAGCATACTGGAACTTTGACTCTTCCCTTCCTCTCTGGATCACTTGCTGTAAAGGCACACCTTATCATAGCCCCACTGGGACTGCCTTGCCTGTCATACTTCCAGGGGAGGAGACTTTAGGTATTACCTGCTGTGCCCTCTGTCCTGAGCTTTTTTGTTTGTTTGTTTGTTTGTTTGTTTGATAGTGTCATGAGACCACTACCACAAAAATAACCTGTTTATCTGTAAATTCCTTAGTATGAACTCAGCTAATGCCTGTGGCCTATGAGCTGTGTGAATAGAGGTAGTCTGAGTACAGCAATATGGTGTCATGCCATCTTTGGCCTAAACAATCCTGCTCTCCCACTAGGCCCTCTCAGCTCATGTCCTGCTGTCTCTGTCACATCTTCCCTGAGTTCTTCAAATTCCCGCAGCCCCTGATCCCCATGCCATTCACTTGCCATCATTTTCTACTACCTTGTCATTATGAGTCAACGTTTTATGTGTCCTTGTCCTGTTTCTTCAGAGAGAACATGCAGATCATCTATTACTGAGCAAAAGGGGCTCATTTCCCAATGTACTAGAAGCTAAACACTGTGACACTGGGTTTTTAAGAAAATAAAAGCTTTATATTGAAAGTTGACTCCCAAGGAGACAGGAGTCAAGCTCCAATCTGTCTCTTCAGGCTGGGTTTATTTAAAATATATATATGTGTGTGTGTGTGTGTGTGTGTGTGTGTGTCTGTGTGTGTGTATAAATATATATATATGTGTGTGTGTATGTGTGTGTATATATACACATACATATTTGAGATAGGGTCTCACTCACTCTGTCACCCAGGCTGGAGTGCAGTGGTATGATCATGGCTCACTGTAGCCTTGAACTCCTGGGCTCAAGTGATCTTCCCAATTCAACCTCCCACGTAGCTGGGACTACAGGCATGCACCACAACACCTAGCTAGTTGTTTTTTTTTTTGTTTTTTTTTTTTTTTTTTTTGTGGAGACAAGGTCCCACTATATTGCCCAGGCTGAACTCAAGTGTTCCTCTCTCCTTGGTCTCCCAAAATGTTGAGATTATAGGTGTGAGCCACCACAACTGGCCCAAGGCAGTATATTTATTAGAAAAGGTTCAGGGGGTAAATTCTTTTTTCTTTTTGTTTTTTTTGAGACAGGGACTCATTCTGTTGCCCAAGCTGGAATGCAGTGGTGCAATCTTGGCTTACTGCAGCCTCAGCCCTCAACCTCACAGGTCCAAATGATCTTCCCACATCAGCCTCCTGAGTAGCTGGGACTATAGGTGTGTGCTACCATGTCCAGCTAATTTTTGTATTTTTTATAGAGAGGAGGTTTCACCATATTTCCTAGGCTAGTCCCAAACTCCTGAGCTCAAGCAATCGGGCCACTTCCTCCTCCCAACATGCTGGCTGGGATTATAGGCATGAACCACTGCATCCAGCCCAGGGGGTGGATTCTGAGATTAATGGATGATTGGTGGAAGGAAAGGGGAGGTCTGGAAATTCCTTGGGCATGCACAGTTATCTCTGCATGTTGCCTCATGGATTGCATGTGCAAATTCAAGGGGAGGTAGTATGAAGCATGCAGTAGAAATTCAGGCTGTGAGGTCAGCAAGCCCATTCTGTGCACTCTAATTGGCCATCTTGGTTCCAATAGATTTCAGTAGTTATTTTATCTCGTAAGTGGAGGGAGCTTCAGCAAGTTGTTTCTTTAATTACCTGCCATCTTGTGAACTCAAGAATTTCTATTAATCCCTGGTTTCTTTAACTCTTTGGGGCACAGTTTCACATATGTGCATGGACCATGCTTTCTCTTATATTGGTGTCCCTTATAGCTGTGTATTCAATATAATAGCCACTAGCTAAGTGTGGCAATTTAAGTTTCAATTCATTAAAATAAAATTAAAAATAAAATTCAGTTTTTTGGTTGCACTTGCCCCATTTCAAGTGCCCAGAAACTGTATGTTCAGCAGCTATTGTATTGGATAGCACAGGTATAGAATATTTCCATTATTACAGAAAGTTCTGTTGGGCAGTGCTCTTCTATAGCACTTGGTATATGCTGGTACATGCCTGGTGCCTAATTGGTCTCTGCTATGGTTTGAATGTTTGTCCCTAACAAAACTCATGTTTAAATTTAATTGTCACTGTCACAATATTAAGAGGTGAGACCTTTAAGAGGTGATTAGGTGAAAAGGGCTTTGCCCTCTTAAATGGATTAATGTCATTATGGAGGGAGTGGGTTTGTTGTAAAAGGGCGAGTTTGGCCTCCTCTTGTTCTCTTTCTCTCTTGCCCTCTCCACACTTCTTCCTTCCGCCATGGGACGATGCAGCAAGAAGGTCCTTGTCAGATGCCAGCACCTTGATATTGGACTCCCAGCCACTAGAACTGTGAGAAATTTCTGTTCATTATAAATTATCAGTCTCTGATATCCTGTTATAGGTGCAAAATGAACTAATTCCTCAAGAAATATTTACTGCTTGAGCCTTCAAGTTAAGTCTGTTTCTCATGGGTGAAGCCAAGGGTGGTTACAGATATAGAAGAAAACTTATACTTTGCCCAATTCAGTTATGAATTGTCAGAGAGAAAACATTAGAAAAATGAGGAAAAAAGCTCTCACTTTTCATCCTTAGAAGATCAAAATAAGCAAGATTAACCCTGTCTAGTTCTGGCCAACCACATAAGTGAATGTTTAAGCATTCCCCATAATCCTAGATTTTCTAGCTATAACAGTTTTGTCCTTGACTTCTGTGATGCTGAGATCTAAGGAAATGTCACTCCCTTTGTGAATATAATGATCTTTTGAGAAATGCAGTTTTTTCAACATAAGCAGACTTATCTTCTGGGTTTTTTTTCTTTTAAACATCTCTTGATTTTTATATTTCAAGCCACTTTTTTTCTCTTATAAATGTTTTTGCTGACACAGATGAGTAGTTTAGCTGAAGATTTATCTTTTTTAATGCATGAATCCAGAAAATAAGAAGCAGGCGTATCCTATGACAAGGAAATGATGATTACTATCTTGAGGAGATAATGTCACCTCCTACAGAGGCTACTTAGTGATTGAAGAGGTAAAGGGAAGATAGGATTCCTGCATTCTGGAGTGGTATGGTTTTTGATGACTTGGCTTTTCCATCTGTAAAATGTACTTTAAGAATCATTTTCTTATTTTTTGAGTAATTGTTTTTGATGAAGGATGATGAAACATTTGTATCTTTGTCTCTAAATGCTTTTTAAAGTCAGTGCCTCGTTTCAGCATCTCGCCCTGGGTCTTGACTATAGTAGATTCTTGGTCAATGCCTATAGATTGTTTAAGTCCTCATTAAATGTGCATCATGTAACTGCAAGGCCTTCTTCTTGTATCAGGGGCTATAGTTTATAGAACACAGGCAAAGAGCTGGGATTTCTGGTGACCAGGAGCAGTTTAGGAGGATGCTGTTGGATGGGACTGACATGAACCATTGTGGGTGAATGTGCAAACGTGAGTGTTACCACTGTCCCATGTGACTAACCCTCCCCAGCAGGGGCCAGTGGTTTTAAAGGGCAAAGCCATGGGCCTGCTAGATGATGATGGAGCACGAGAGACATGGAATTCAGAGCTAAAGCTGGCAAGCTGGCTCCTCCACCACTTTGCTGGCAAACATGTTGGCCATTTTAGGGTAAGGAGTGGGAGGCCTTGAGAATCTCATGGATGTGTTTTCTACAGTAGCTAGCGTGTCACAAGAGGATGCGACTGGTGAATGTGTACAAAGGAGAAGGGACATGAGGAAAGTGTGCTCTAAATTAACTACCACAATACTTTATAGTATGCCATAGTTTATAGCATATTACAAATTATACTCTAACTGTAGATCACTATAAGCTGGGAACAGGGCAATGCATTTTACCAGTACAATCTGTGGTATGGGTGGTGTTATCCTCATATTGCAGATAAGAAAGATTGAGGCTTAGATGTTTAAGTGACTTCTTGGCACTCACACAGCTGGTAGATTCCTTATCTGGGATTTAGATTTAGATCTTTCTCCAAGTCCATATTCTTTCTATTATTCCTTCTTCCTCTCTAAAGAGGCTCTTTGTGGTCCATTTCAGTTTGGACGTTCTATGATGTTACCAAATATTTTCTTCAAAAGGTCTTTCAAGAAGCAGTTAGAGCTCCAGGAATAGTACAGCTTGAATGTGCTCATCAGTTAAACACATTCACATCTCCCTGGGGCTGCGGAGTCAGGAGAGTTAATTAGCATCTGTCAGGCAGTTCTAAAGTACTTACAAGGGCTCACAGATGACCTTGAGGAACATTTTATTTTGAGGTGGCTCCTAGAGTTTGTTTTATAGATTGGTCACTTTCCACCCCCCTCACTCCAAACTGGGAGCTTTTTATTACAACAGGTCTTTCTCCAGAAGCTGCATCTTTGCTGCAATTTCCTGTTTCAGCTGGCCCTGGCCAAACTGAATTCAGTGTCCTAGACTCTTCCCCAAACAGTGTTCTCCTCTCTTGTGGCTCCTTTTACTGTTTCAGGTCAGGAGACCCAGACAGTTGGCCCAAGGTAGGGATTTCAGATGCATAGGTTATTTGCTGCTGCTGATTTTTTTTTTTTTTTTTTTTTTTTTTTTTTTTTTTGGTAAGATAGGTAATGCATTGCTCTGAGCTATCCACATTCTCCAATTTCCTCTCTCCAGACTTTCCACTGCTATGTGTAAGATGCTGATCAGGGCAGGCATCTCAGCCAAAATGAGAGCTGTAATCGATGGCCATGGAACCAGCAAGGTCAAATGGATCCTTTAAAGAAAGACCTCTGTAGCATTGTGAACTCACTGGCAAAATCTAGTCTCACAAACAAGAGAAACGTTGGTGAGGGCAGGGGTGGAAAAAAACTATGCCAGTGATTATTTTCTGCTTAAGCACTAACCCAGTCTTTATGGGTAGGAATGAGGGAAATAAAAATTGGGTAAATTGATGCTGGGTGCGGTGGCTTACGCCTGTAATCCCAGCACTTTGGGAGGCTGAGGCAGCAGATCACCTGGGGTCAGGAGTTTGAGACCAGTCTGGCTAACATGGTGAAACCCCATCTCTACTAAAAATAGAAAAATTAGCCAGGTGTGGTGGCAGGTGCCTGTAATCCCAGCTACTGGGGAGACTGAGGCAGGAGAATTGCTTGAATCCACAAGACGGAGGTTGCATTGAGCCAAGATCGCGCCACTGCATTCCAGCCTGGGCAACAGAGTGAGACTCTGTCTCAAGAAGAAAAGAAAAAAAAAAAGAATTGGCTAAATTGGAATAGAGGTAAGCAGACAGGGGACAGATAGCATCCTCAGCTCTCCCCGTAGTCCAGCCTATGAGAATACATCTGGCATTATTACAGAGTGTCTGAATGATTATTTTGCTCTTCTGTCATCTGATGTGTTGAAAAACACTCCTGCAATTGTTTTCCTTACATTGGCTTCTGGGCTGAACTTAATCTTCTAATGGATTTTACTCCCTTTCCAAAAGGTCTTTGTAACAATCTAACTCCTTGTGAGTCCTTGGGATTTTCCCTTGTTGGCCAATCCCCGCACCGATTGTGGACACTGTTTAATTTACTGTCTCCTTTCAGACTGCCTGTGAAGATTAACTGTCCTTGAACAACAGCATCACTCATTGTACTTGGCCACATTTGCTTCACCTTTCTCAACTGCACTGTTTTCCTTCCTTGTCTCTTAGGCACACACACATACACAAATCCATGTAATTTGTTAATTCCCCCTCTCATAGATACACACACACAAATGCGCGTATGTACATTAACACTCAAATGTGTAGCATATATGAAGTAACGGGGTCTCCTATCTCTTAAGAGCAGAGTAGTTGATGTTGCAAATGTCATTTCTCATGAAGTCTTAGGATCTGAGTTTTGAAATGCCAGGGACGCCTTTTTTTTGTTTATTTCTGGTCATCTTGAACCAGATCCCAGAGTTGCTTGTGAATGTGTCCCTCATTAAGAAATCACTTCTTTGAGATGATCTCTTAGTGATTCCAGACCCTTTAATCATTTAATAGTTCAAAGTGCCAACCACTTACAGGGCATTCTCTTCTCCAAGTTATTCCTAAGTGAAACTGACTTTTGTTCAGGCCTTTCCCAAGAATTGGTCAGAGGGCTAGGGTATTAGGGGTGAGAGGGCTACATTGGAGGGGAGATAAAAGAATAGAAAGGGCATATGGGTATCCAAGATAATAAAAAATTAGCTCATTACATAGCCAGCTGCATTCATACTTACATCATGCCAAGTGCAGCAGAACTTTCTGGTTGGAGGAATATTTAGAAAGGAAGCATTGCCCAGAGCTTGCCAAATGCTGGGGAGTTGGTACATTGGGAGGGCAGTGGAAGCCAGTGGGCTTCTCTGTTCACATCTGTGAACAGAGATGTGATTTTTCTAGGAAGTGCTGCTGGAGGTAGCTACTGAAGAGAAAGCAAGCCAGGCCCAGACCAGGCACGGTGGCTCATGCCTGTAATCCCAGCACTTTGGGAGACCAAGGTGGGTGGATCACCTGAGGTTGGGAGTTTGAGACTAGCCTGGGCAACATGACGAAACCCTGTCTCTACTAAAAGTACAAAAATTAGCTGGGTGTGGTGGCGGGCACCTGTAATCCCAGCTACTTGGGAGGCTGAGGCAGGAGAATCTCTTGAATCCAGGAGGCAGAGGTTGCAGTGAGCCGAGATCATGCCACTGCACTCCAGCCTGGGTGACAGAGCGAGACTCCATCTCAAAAAAAAAAAAGAAAAAAGAAAGCCAGGCCCCAAATCTGGTACACATGTAAACACTGTCAAAGGCACTGTCATCAGTAGTGGTAGTCGAGGGAAGAGGAGAAGTGTCCATTGGCTACATGTGTAGTATCTTGAGGCCTCTGTGGCAATCTGAGTACTATGGGCCACAGTGAGTGTAACCCAAAGTTCCTGGACCTGGCTTAGCCTTTGTCTCTTCAGATTTTCTCTACTGGCTCTAGACGCATCTCTTTTCTATCCATATTTCAGAGAGGACATTTCCCGCTTTGAGCAACTCCATTAATCAAGTGGACAGATTTATTGCTTTGCTTTTTTTTTTATTTTAAATGCCATAAATTGTCTCTTGGCTAAATTTTGAGCCTTATTTCTGATAATTCTCCAGTGCTCATTTCCTCCAAATGTACAGGCCTGTTTGCTTTTCCCTGACACTGCAGGTATCTAGAGCTTTCTGCACAAGTGCTCGCTGCTCAGTCTCCCTCAGCCCTCACATTCCCCTCCTACCTAGTCTGCCTGGCAAACCCTAGTCACCCTTTCATTTTATCACATAGTATTTATAACATGGAATCATAATTATTGGACATCCATCTTTTCTTACTTGTCTCTGAGCACCATGAGAGCAGGAAGCATGTCTTAATTATTTGGGTGCCCTGCTTGTAAACAGTGACTCCTTACCCCTGTATCTCACACCAGGAATATGAATGGGATGTGGGGAGGTGATGGTTGGGGGAAGAATTATTGTAAGAACATTCCAAATGGGTGGGAGACATAGGTGCATCTTATCTGGAATCTTTTCCTCCCATGGAATCCACCACTACTTCTCCCAGCTCTCCTCTCCTCTCTTGGTTTCTCGCATTGACACGTAATGGTCCTCTGTGGTTCTATGTGTCTTATCTCCCCTGGCTTAACTCCCAGCTCCAGATATTTCTCTCCCCATGGGCTGAACCCTTAACATATACAGTGGAAATTGCCTGACAGTAATGCCTATTTGAGCTGTTGCAGGCTTGGGTGACATTCTGACAGCCATTGGCATTCATTTGGTGTCATCTTTATTTCTTTACACTGCTTCCTATATGTGAGCTCTGAAGGAGGGTGAGAGTGCCCACAAACCAGTCTAACACTGGGATAAGTACATGGGTCTTTCTAGGATTTATCATCATTAAATATTGAGATTTAAGTGGGCTTGATACAGAGTCCATAACAAATAATCTTGAGGTTGGCAGGGTGTGTTATAGGGTTCACATTGTAGGTGGGATGACGTCTGGTTGGTTCCATTAGGACCTCTGATGGCTAATTTTATGTGTAAACTTGAGAGCCCTTTCCCTCATCTTGTAAACCTCATCATATGATTCAGTATCACCAGCCTCACCATTGCTGAGGGAGACTAGAAAAGACAACCTGCGGCCTCCAATAAGGTTGTTGGGTTATGATTCTCATCATCTGGGACAGAGAGCTCCCTGTTCATACACAGGTAGCTTCTCTGCGACCACCCCGCTGTTGTACTCTCATCTTTTGTGAGTTAGATTGCTTTGGTTGACTGATTTGAACAACATTTTCAATCTTTTGAAAGACTATCCCACATCCAGAAAGGCATTCCTAAGATGTTCCTGGAGTTGTAAATCAGACTATTCATTGCAAACCCTTGACAGAATGTGCTGGTTTCTCTCTGTAAGCACGGCAGACTTAACAATACAAATATAGTTTCATATTTGTATAAATAATATTAGGATGCTTGCTAGTGTCTGATTTTCTTGAGT
Organism: Homo sapiens; assembly: GCF_000001405.40. NCBI lineage: Eukaryota > Metazoa > Chordata > Mammalia > Primates > Hominidae > Homo > Homo sapiens. The sequence goes on from NC_000001.11 coordinate 162,259,420, forward strand.
CTTTCATTTTTTGTGATTACTTTTGAAAATGTTTTGTTCAAATTTTATACAATAGTTTGACTTTGCCATTCTATAATATGTGTGGAATTTCATAAATATAGTTCCATCATTTAGTATTTATATGATTGTGATTTGGTTTTTATATTTTGTTATGGAATTTAACTGCATATGAGATTATTTTTCTTAAACTGCTAAAAAAGCTATTAAAATGTACTTTCAATTATGTTCATAGTGTGTAAATCCACACAGTTACAAAGCCACAAAGCAGTAAAAGAGTATGAAATGTTTTTAAAAGCATTAAAACATTAACATGTGCATTGTAGAGTTGCAGATCTTATTTTTAAGAAAAGTTAAATTTCTTAATTTTAATCTGGCTTACATAAGGTAGAGTGGATTGCATTATAGAAAGAAATTTGGCAGTTATGTTTCCTAGTTGCATTTATTCCCCATGTATTTGTAGTTGTAAAAATCTGTACTCTGTTGTTTTCTCCTAAGAAACTAAGATACTCTCAAAAAGCATATTATCTAACAGCTTACTTATTCCAATCAATTGTTTGGGTTTTGTCTTCTTTTAGAATCCCTTCTAGTTTCTCCCCCTTTGAAAATATAGTGATGTTGTTTCTATGGAAACAATGATGTCATGGGTATGAATGGGGCTTTAGTGACCACCAAGAGTGCCATATATCAAGGCAGTGATAGAGCCCAGCTTTACCTATGAAGTTGCTAATGAGGGTCTGTTGTCAGAAACTTGAAATATATACGACTGAGAGGGAAGCAGATTTATGTAGCAATTCTGGATGGCCCATATGGAGTGAGTGTGTGTTTGTGAAGCCATGTGTATGTGATTGTGAAATACATCCCTCCTTCACAGTTTGACTTTAAATCATATGGATTCCCAGATCTGTAGGGTGGGAACTTGAAACCTATGAAACCAAGTCCTCAGTATCTATGGAAAGAGTGAGGGAGAAATATTTGTCTCTAGGGCTTGGTATTCAGAACCATCAAGCTTGTAACATCAGCATTAATACAAGTAGGAGCTTTGTAACGCATGTAATATACAGACATTACTATAGAATAGATATATCTAATTTAACTTGCCTGTATTTAAATGTTCTCTAAATATAGATGACATTTGATGACTAACACATACAAGTTGTAACTAATTGATCAGAACTAGAGACATATTTAGCAGTGTACCTTAACTTATATATCCAAAGAATGTGGTCCCGCCCAAAGAGGAAAGAGGTTGTCTGGAAAGGCTAAACTCTTAGTGATCACACCCACCTTTTTTTGCTGCTCCTTTTTCAGAACTGCATCTAGATCTTGCAGCTCACTCTTTTGACTATTGTCAAGGGAGATGATTTTTTTTTAATAGCTGAAAGTAATTTGGAACTGAGTATAATGATTGACTATCTTAATAAGTTCATCTCAATTTTTTTGCTATTCCAGTTAAAACACGAGGTGTGGTTACAAGGTAATGAAGCTGATAATTATGTAGTTTATATATTGGTTTTAAATATCTTCTGAAGAGATGATTTCCTCAAAGTTTCAAGCAATAATTATTTCATTAGAATTTGTTATATTCCCAAGGTGACTAATATAACAAATTAGAATTTGTTATATTCCCAAGATGACTAATATAACAAATTAGAATTTGTTATACTCCCAAAGTGCCTTGAAAGTTAATATTTATTTGGAGATATATATGTTCAGGTATACTTGGCAGAAACAACCAGTAAATCTCATTGGTCTGGCATCAGAGAATGAGGTTCTCCATATAAGTAAAATTTCCAGGGAACTCAAGCTTTCCCCTCTAAGCATCAGTCCTATCTTTCAAAATCAATAACATTTAATTACAATATTTTATAACCTTTCATGTCCCCTTGTTCTTAAACAATATCCTGATGTTACCTTCTATGGCAGCAGGGAGTTTGCAGATTCTTAATGTGCAAACTTTTAAGAATCTTGAGATGGGAGATTACCCTGCATTATCCAGGTGGGCTCAATCTAATCACAAGAGTCCTTATAGAAGAGAGGCAGCGGGGAGTCAGAGAGAGAGAGAGAGAGAGAGAGAGAGAGAGAGAGAGAGAGAGAGAGAGAGAGAGAGAGAGAGAGAGAGAGAGAGAGCAATGAAATGACTGGAACAGAGGAAAAGGTGTTAAGATGCTATGTTGCTGGCTTTGATGATAAGGAAGGGGCCAGAAGTCAAGGAATGCAGGCAGCCTCCAGAAGCTGGAAAAGTGAAGGAAATGGATTCCCCCCATAGCCTCCAGAAGGAACGCATCCCTGCAGAATCATTTTAGACTTCTGACCTCCAGAACTTTCAGAGAATAAGTTTGTGTTATTTTTAAGCCACTAACTTTGTGTCCCCAGATCTCAGCTTTGCGATGGACATAGTTCATTTGGGAGATTGAGCTGGGAAAAGATCGGTAAACAGATGATTGTAATCCAGTGTATTAGGTACTGAAATTGAATTATGAACAAAAGAGTGGTAGGAATTCAGAGGAAAGACAACTCTTATTTTGGGGGATCCAGAATGGGATTCATACTGATATAGGACTTACAGAATGAATGCATGTCTGTGTTTTGGGGTCATGGTAGGGCATTGAGGGAGGCTTGCCTATAGAGAAAGTAGTAGATGAGCAAAGAGCATTCCAGGTAAAGCAAAAAGCATAAATTTCTCTGGGTTGATTTTTGTTTTAGGGAAGTAGATGAAGGTCCATGATGGGAGTCTGACACCCGTTTTGGTTTCCTGCAGCCTTTGCTTTCTGTATTTCATGTGGCTGGGTGTTTTGTCCTTTAAACTAAAATTTCAGCTATGGATAAGAGAAGCATCACTTACTATAAATATAAGCTAGAGAGATAACAAATTAGTGGCCAATGTATTTTCGGTGTGATTCCAGAACCCTCATTCTTTCATTGACTATAGCAAAGAGGAGAGCTTGATCCTAAGATCAACTTTGTTCACAGATGCTGGAGGTTCTCACAGATTATCTCATTAAATCTCCCAACAATGAATTGTGTCACAAAATATAACTAGCTTCACTTTTAGTCCAAATTTTTTTAGGGAGTTTAACTTCATCATAGTAGTAATCTAATGACATTCTAATGGGAAGGTTTTGTTATAGCATGAAGAAATGAAAAACACAGGATTATATTTAGATTAACTTTTATTTTTATGAAGGGAAAATAGGGCATCTGGTTTGCCAAGAATTTACAGCCACTTTTAATAGCAAATTATGTAGAATGACTTAGCACCCCTTTGTTTCTCCTTAATGGTTAATCATCACATCTAAAATATTTAGTGAGTGCCAACTAAGTGCAAAGCATTGCTAAAAGAGCTATGGGAGATTTGAAGCTACTAGTAATCTTAATGTGAAAAACAACATTTAACCAGACTCATTTATCGAGCCCTTGAAGTCAGTCACTATTCTAATCTCTTTAAGTATATTCTCTTTATGATTTTCAAAAGAATTGCTTAGTTGCTGCCTGTATTCCATTCTCTCACCTTTCTCATCTTAAACTGACTTCTAACCCCACCTTTCTGCCAGAATAATTCTTCTTAAAGTAACTAGTGACCACTCTCTCCAAACCCATTTGATGTTTCATCCTCTGTGAGTACTCAAGAACATTTGTCACAACTGGTTATCATCTCCTAATTTTTTGATTTTCACTATATATCGCACTCTTCTGACTTTACTCTTTCCTTGGTAGGAAAAAAATCCCTTCTATTGGATTGAGCCATATAGAAATTTCAGTTTGTGTTAGTTTATTTTGTGCTGCTATAACAGAATACTATAGACTGGGCAATTTATAAAGATGATAAATTTATTTTCTCACAGTTCTGGAAGCTGGAAATTTAAGATCACGGTACTGGCCTCTGGCAAAGCCCTTTATGCTGTGTCCATACATGGAGGAAGATGGAAGGGCAAGAGAGAGGGGGAAGAAAGTGAACTCACTCCTGTGAGCCCTTTTTGTAACAGCATCATTCCATTAATTAATGAGACCTAAACACCTCCCATTAGGCCCCACCTCCTAACACTGTTGCATTGGGGATTAAGTTTCTAACACATAAATTTCTGAGAGACACATTGCAATCATAGCACAAGTAGCTATTTTGGTCTGTATAATGGCATTTTCCTATGGTTTCACAGAGAGGTGGATTCTCTTATGTCTATAAATATTGGCATTCTCTCTTTCCTCTTTTTACTCTCACCCTAGGCAATCTCATGCACATTCACAACTATACACAGACCACCCAGAATTTCTGTTTCTGGCTTAGACTTCTTCTGACCAAATTCTAATTATATGCCCACTGCCTACTTGACATCTCTTTTTGGATTTCTCAAAGACACCTCAGAATCACTGTGTCCCAAATCAAACTCTTTACCTTACTCCATAAATCTGATTCTGTTCTAGTTCTAATCCGGTGACTGGGACCACCTTGTATTCAATTTCACAAACCTCAGAAACCTCCCCATTGACTTTTCATTCTTCCTCCTGTCCCACATCCAATCCAACACCAGGTCCTGTTGCTTTTAATTCTAAACTAGGTCTTGAATCCAACTGCTGCTCTCTCCGTCTCCAGCCAACTGGACTATTACAGTAGCCTCCGAATGGTTTCCCTACATCTACATCAGACTTGCCTCCACGCTGAACCTGTTTTTCATACTGTGACCAAGATGAGCTTTTGGAATCAGAATCTCCAGCCATGTTCCACTTCATCCTTCCAACCTAAACGTGTCCATTGGTTTCTTTCTCTCTTAGGGTAAAGGCCATACTTCTTCACATGGACTGTAAGGCCTGCAAGGTGCCCCTATTTTCCTCTTCAGCCTCTTCTCCCTTTACTAATGTCCTCATTGTCTTTCCTGGGGTCATGCTGATTTTCAGTTCCTTTGTAGCCTCTGTAATCCCTCCAGCCCAAGGCCTTTGGCTATGCAGTGACCTTTGCTTAGAATGTTTCTCATCCCTCTTTGCCCTCTCCTCTTCTCTTCCCTTCTCTTCCCTTCTCTTCTCTTCTCTTCTCTTCTCTTCTCTTCTCTTCTCCTCCCCTCCCCTCCCCTCCCCTCTCCTCCTCTCCTCTCCTCTCTTCTTTTCTTTTTTTTTGAGACAGAGTCTCACTGGTCACCCAGGCTGGAGTGCAGTGGTGTGATCTTGGCTCACTGCAACCTCCACCTCCTATGTTCAAGTGATTCTCGTGCCTCAGCCTCCCGAGTAGCTGGGATTACAGGCATGTGCCACCACACCTGGCTAATTTTTGAATTTTCAGTAGAGACAGGGTTTTGCCATGTTGACCAGGCTGGTCTCGAACTCCTGACCTCAGGTGATCCACCTGCCTGAGCCTCCCAAAGTGCTGGGATTACTCCCAAAGTGTGCGTGAGCCACCGCGCCCGACCTTTTTTTTTTTTTTTCAAGACAGGGTTGCACTCTGTCACCCACACTGGAGTACAGGGGCACAATCTTGGCTTACTGCAACTTCCGCCTCCTAGGCTCAAGCGATTCTCTTGCCTCAGCCTCCCGAGTAGCTGGGATTACAGGCATGCACCGCTACCGCCTGGCTACTTTTTGTATTTTTAGTAGAGACGGGGTTTCACCATATTGACCAGGCTGGCCTTGAACTCCTGATCTCAAATGATCCACCCACCTTCGCTTCCCAAAGTGCTGGGATTACAGGCATGAGCCACTGCACCCGGTCCTCTTTGCCTACTTTCTATCTATATTTTAAATTCTATGTGTCACTTCCTCAGGGAAGCCTTCCCTCTCTTTCCTGACTATGTTACTTCTCCCTATTAAAGGGTCGTTTTCTTTTTTTTTTTTTATTATTTTACTTTAAGTTTTAGGGTACATGTGCACAATGTGCAGGTTAGTTACATATATATACATGTGCCATGCTGGTGTGCTGCACCCATTAACTCATCATTTAGCATTAGGTATATCTCCTAATGCTATCCCTCCCCCCTCCCCCCACCCCACAACAGTTCCCAGAGTGTGATGTTCCCCTTCCTGTGTCCATGTGTTCTCATTGTTCAATTCCCATCTATGAGTGAGAACATGCGGTGTTTGGTTTTTTGTCCTTGTGATAGTTTACTGAGAATGTTGATTTCCAATTTCATCCATGTCCCTACAAAGGACATGAACTCATCATTTTTTTATGGCTGCATAGTATTCTTTATGAGAATACGCAGTTTCAATTTTATGTGGATTTGTGGGGTTCTTTGCCATGTATATCTCATAAATCTGAGTTAAGTAACATTGATCCCATTTTACAGATGAGAAAACTGGGGCAGTTGATTTGCTTGAGATTATTTAGCCAGAAAGTGACTGAGCTATGAGTTGAACCTAAATCTGTGTGACTATATTACTGTTAGGCTCAGCTGTGAGGAACAATAAAACCTTAAAATAACATAAGCTTACACAAGATAGAAGTTTCTCTTTCTCACATAAATCCTGTCCCAGAGTGGTGTAGTAGCCCATGGTATCGGAGATCTTGACTCCTTATGTAGTGCTGCTCTGCCTAGTATGACCCTGACCTCATAGTCCAACATGGCTTTATCCGAGGCCAGACAGTAGGATGGACGAGGGGACTAAGGAGAGATGACAAAGGACAAAGATGCATGTGGTGTCTCTTCAGGTGTTTAGGAGCTGCCACAGGTCATTTCTATTTTTGTCCCATTGGCTAGAATTCAGTCTCATGGCTGCGTAAGTTGCAAGAGAGGCTGTGAAACGAAGTTATTCTGGGTGGTTATGTGCTAGCTAAAAATGTGGGTTTCTATGACCGCAGGAGAAGCAGCAGTGTGTATTGGGAGATTACAAGCAGTCTACATAGATTCTGAAACCCATGTTCTCAGGGCTGTAAGTCCCTGGCCTCAAGGATTTCCATCTCATTGAGTAAACAAGTGAAAAGTTAATGGTAAAAGAGAAATAGCAAAATGCAGAATAGAATGTTACCAAGCATGTGGGAAGGATACAGGAATGTGAGATGAATTTTGATGGTATTCAGGAAGGGTTAGGTGTTAGATGGATGTGGCAGTCCATAACCATGAATCGCCTGGTAAGAAAATTCTTCCCTTCTTAAATACCTTTCAATCTTTTGGATTATGTCAACACATGATATTAGCTGGTCTCTACCACCAATCTAATACTGGTTGTAAGAAGATTACTTTTTAATTTTGCATTCTGGTTCATGGTCTTTTCCTTGCTACTGAGTCTTAAACATGGTTCCTTTTGGTGTTATTGTTGAAAGCTTTGCCCAAAGAGCTTATCTGTCTTCATATGCTAGAATAGTTCTGAATTGCCTTCTGCTGAATGCTAGCTTTCTGTTATAATTAATCCTTAGAGAAGAACCTATCAAGTATTTAAAATATTATACTACGATGCTTATAATTCTGATCTTTTGTGCTTTTCTCCCAAGGGGATACCTTTTTCTAGTCCATAGAAATGACTTCTCATCTGTGGTTGTTAGGTTGAGTGTAAAGTGGCTTCTTAGGAAGGCATATGGAAGACTCAAACCCTTTGTACAGTTTCTGAAGATAGTATCATCATTATGTTATGGTACCAGATCCTCTCTTTCTTCTATAACATTAATATAATGGAGGTGGTTCATGTGGATCTTGTCTGACCCTATTTGCCTGTGGTAATGATCAAACAAATATAAACAGATCACAATGACATAGAGTGAGTAATTGTTTTGATTTTTGACACTGCCAAAGAAAGAGAACCATGTATGGTAGGCCTGGTGTAAGTGGAAAACTAGCAGATAGATCAAAGAGCTGTATCTGCCCCATTAAGATAATTATCTATCTCCAAACTAATGTTTGGAGTGAAAAAAGTCTGCTTCTGTCAGAGTTTTGGCATCACTAAAATTGGTGTGGAGAATTATACTAGAGTTTTCCCAAAGGGCCCCACCAGTGTTAGGGAATGGTTGTTAAACCTGGTGGATCCGTGATGTGCATTTATCTCCTTTTCTCTCTTGAAGCCCCACTGGAATAACCACTATGACAAAGAGAACAGGAGAAGAAACAGTCAATAAAGAGATTTCATAATAACTTTTTACAAGACAGAAGGGCTGGGCACAGTGGCTCACAACTTTAATCCCAACATTTGGAAAGCCAAGGTGAGAGGATCACTTGAGGCCAGGAGTTCAAGACCAGACTGGGCAACATAGACCCTGTCTCTACAAAAAAAAAAAAAAAAAAAATTATTTTAAATTAGCCAGGCACCTAAGTCCCAGCTACTCAGGAGGCTGAGGCAGGAGGATCACTTGAGCCCAGGAATTTGAGGCTGCAGTGAGCTATGAGTGCACTACTGCACTCTGGCCTGGGCAACAGAGCAAGACGTTGCCTCTGGAAAATAAATAATAAATAAAATAATAAAAGAATACAAAGGTATGTTGATAGCCTTAATGGAGCAGAGGTAGCTTTAGTCCAAGGTCTGCAGAAGGGGCTATTGATGGCAAGTAAGTTGATTGATGCCAGATAACTCTTGAAAGGCTTAAGATGTTAGAAGTACCAGTTGTTGCAGAAGGTGGGAGTGAGGTGCCATGATTAAAAAGGTCTTAAGGCCAGATTCGGTGGCTCATGCCTGTAATCCTAGCAGTTTGGGAGACCAAGTGGGCGGGTTACTTGAGGTCAGGAGTTTGAGACCAGCCTGGCCAATACATTAAAACCCCTTCTCTACTAAAAATACAAAAATTAGCCAGGCATGGTGGCGTGTGCCTGTAATCCCAGCTATTCGGGAGAGTGAGGCGTGAGAATTGCTTGAACCCAGGAGGCAAAGGTTGCGGTAAGCCTAGATCGTGTCATGCTAGCCTGAGTGACACAGCAAGATTCTGTCTATAGGAAAAAAAAAAAAAAAGATCTTAAGTCTTTATACCAAACTAGTGTGGCCCTGTAGCTCCCCCCCCCTATTTCTAGAATATTTATTATAAGAGTTTTCTCTGGATAAACTGAATGGTCCCAGAGAAAAGATCTCCAGGCCTTGACATGTGAAGGTTTCTGCAACTAGAAGGCCAGTTTGCTTCCTGATCACTTTATAACAAAGCTCACTCATCAATGAAGCCTTGTGGGCAACAAGCCCTAGTCACTCACATAGCATTTCTAGTCAGCTTTGACTTCCACTTTCTTAAATATGGACGGGCAGCCCAAAATCCCAGGATGTTTGAGGAAACTCTCCAACGCAGAAAAAGAGAGAGACCAAAATAAATAGAAGGAGGAAGCTGAAGAAAACAGAGATAGCAGGGGATTAGAAAGAAACCTGAAAACAGAAAATAGAATTAAGACACTACATTCTAAAACAAGCCTCTATGAAAAAGAAATAGAGAACTCTCAGAAATTAAAAATATATTCAAACTAAAAAAGAAGTCAGTAGAAGGGTTGAAAGGTTTAAAAAAAGAAGAAAACAAAAAATTAGAATAGAAATACAAGTTAGAAGAGGAAAGACTAGCAAATTAGAGAATCAATCTAGGAAGTCCAACATCTGATAAATATGAGTTCTAAAACAGAACAGAAAAAAAGGTGGAAACTGGCCTAAGAACCAATACAAGAAAAACTTCCAAATTCATAGATTTAAGTTTCCAGAGTGAAAAGACCCACTGAATAATCACCACAATGAAAATGAAAGGAGCCACTAGTACCCCAGGCAGATCCAGGCAAGCCAAAGCACACCAAAGATCAATTTCTTTGCCAAACATAGCTGTGCTATTGCATTTCTTCTGAGCTGGCCCTTTCCATCTCAGAGGGGGCCACAAAACCAGAGCAAGAGTCATCTCTGTCACTTAAGCTCATTGAGTTTGAGAGCCATCAGTCACCTTGCAGCCAATTTCTCAAGATAAAATATCCCTTACAGTTCCTTGGTTATCTTAATTATTCATTATCAAATATAATATCCTCATCTTAAAATTGAATTTCCTTTTATTCTTTGTAGTGACTGGAGGGGGAGTTGAGATATAAAGAGGTGAAATTACTCTTTCTCTACTTTTTTGAAAAGTAACTTTAATTTAAGAAACGGATAATGGCTGATATCTTGGAAATAGATAAAACACATTCAGGTTTTAAAAACCAGTACTTATTTTTGAAAATTAATCTTAATGTAATTGGTTGCAACTGAATATCTTCCTGATCAGGAAAGGGTTGGAGAAAATTAAAAGGAACTCAGTTCATTTTTGCCTGGAGAAAAATAGTTTTCTTTTTGGCACAATTATTCCAAGCTAATAAATTGTTAAAATGACATATTGTTATGGAACTCAGTCATAGAAGATCCTTTGATTTGGGCTCAGAATGTGATGATTGCTACAAAACAAGGTGGCCATTAGAGATTTTTCCAAAGGGCTATACTATAGATACCATTTTTTTTTTCAATTTCCTTTTGAAAAATCAGGAAAGAGAGTAATTTACGTGTAGTTCACTCAGTAGCCTGATTTCCTAAAAGTTGTTAAGTTCTTAGGAAAAGAGAAATAGGTCAAACGGGGTGGGTCTGTGGTCTCCCAACTAAAATAACTTGTCACAGTGTTGAGCTGGTAGTCTAAGGGTGTTAATCTGCAAATGATAAAATTACATGGGCCCATCAGTTCTGAGGTTTCATGAGACTATGACTATTATTTGTAATAGCCATTATAATAAACAAATATATTAAAAATAGATGGAAGGGGAACATTAAATGGCAACTAGTCAGGGACCTGCCCACTGGAAGTGTGCTCCTTGCCTGGGATTATTCTGCCTCTAGGTATGGGGTAGTGTTTATAAGCCTGGTATCATAGTTACTTGTATACTTTTCTCACCCCATGGGAGACAAGTGGCCTCCTTAATGATTTCCTTGCTTCCTCCCTGAGTTACATTCTCAACTCAGCAGGCAGAGCTATCTTTTAGTATTGTCAGATCAAGTCCTTAAAATTGGTTGAAAACCCCGTAATAGATGCTAAAGAGGATAAAGAGCTGAACCTATATAGCGCTTGCCTGCAAAGAATTTACAGTGTGGTTGAGAAGATGAGAAAGAACCATGTTCCAAGTTAAGAGTGTTGTGTAATATTAGGAAATGTATTTTATATATAACATTATTATAAAATCAATCCCCTGAGTGCTAATTGCCATAGCAGTATAGAAACTCTTTCAAGCTGTGGTAGTCAGAGGAGGTTTTTATAAAGTGATATTTGAAGTAAAACTTATGGGGATGTTTTGGATAGATTAAGGGACTGAGCGAGGGATTTGAAAGTAGTAATTACATAAGTGCAGACATGAGAAAATCCAGTTTCTCTTCAGGATAGACAGTGAATAAGCCACTGTGCAATTGAAATATTGTAGCGTAGTATTTTATATAGGTCAGTGATTTTCGAATTCTTCTTTTTAAAGCGATGAACCTTTTGTCAAAATATCACATGGAACTCCAACTTATTAAACCTGAGGACTGTAGCTTCTGTGGGTGAAGCAGGATGGGCAGAGGTTGGTTGGCATATCTGCCTGCATGACCTCTCAGCCCTAGAGTGGCCTTTGAGGCTCGTCCACTGAACCCAGGGCTCTGAAGAATACAGCTTAGAAACTGTATGTATGTAACTGTATGTACGTTTCAAGAGCAGCTTGGTGGGAGAAGGGAAGCTGGCTGCTTTGCGTCAGTTGGTAGAACATGTTGAATATCAGTTTTGATCTTCTGGTTTAGGCAATGGGGTATTATAGAAAGTTTGTGATCAGTACCTGTTATATAATGTTTCAGGAAGGCTTAAATGGTCGTGGGGGGTGTGCGTGCAGTTTTTGTTCTTCTTCCCTCCCCCAACACCCCAGTATGATCCTTAGAATTCTACCCAGGAGTCCAGTGATGGCACCCCCAACCCCCCAGCATGATCCTTAGAATACTACCCAGGAGTCCAGCGATGGTACCCCCCACCCCCCAGCATGATCCTTGGGATACTACCCAGAAGTCCAGTGATGTAGAGAGTGTTTACTTTTTTCATATTGAAGAGCAAGGCAAGTGTGGTGGAAATAACTTATGGAAAGAAAGTATGAGGGCCACGTGGTGAGCACCAGCCGAGGCTAAATAGGATAATAGATATGAAAGTGCTCTGATATTTATAAAAGGCCACTGTGTAAAATGCTCAATACATGAGTTAGAATTAATATCCCAGCATTAATATTATGGAAGAGTAGGCAGCCTTTGAATGGAAGAAATCAGTTCAGCCTTTCGTGTGTGCTGGTTCTCAGAGCATGAGCTTAGCTCTCAGATGTCATCATGACCAGCCAGCTCGCTGTTTTCCTCTCAGACCAATGACTTTCTTGATTTCCTATAACAACTCTTATCTTAGTCAGCTTGGGCTTCTATAAAAGAATACCATAGACTGGGTGGATTAAACAACAGACATTTGTTTCTCACAGTTCTGGAGGCTGGAAGTCTGAGATCAAGGTGCCAGCATGGCTGGGTTGGTTAAGACCATCTTCCTAGCTTGTGGATGGCTGCCTTCCTGCTGTGTGCTTCCCTTAGTCCTGTTTTTGTTTGTTTGTTTGTTTTTTGGTCTCACTCTGTCACCCAGGCTGGAGTGCAGTGGCATGGCTCTATCTAGACTTGAACTCCTGGGCTTGAGCAATTCTCCCACCTCAGCCTCCTGAGTAGGGACTGCCAGCTAATTTTTTTTTGTAGACACAGGGTCTCACTATATTGCCCTGGCTGGTCTGTAACTCCTGGCCTCAGGCAATCCTCCACCTCAACCTCCTGAAGTGTGGGGATTACAGGCATGAGCCACCACTCCTGGCAAGTACTGTTTTTATAAGACAGTAATCCCATCATGCGGGGCCCACCCTCTTGACGTCATCTAAACCCAGTTTCCTCCTGAAGTTCCCACCTCCTTGAAGCTGGGACATCAACATGAATTCTAGAGGTACACTAACATTTATCCCACAACAACCTCCTTTATCACTTCCCACTGTTCTCGTGTGTGGAGAACAGGATGGGAATCCTGCTGCATGTATTCCAGAAGAATGGCTGGCTGAAGCTGGGGATGCTGCCAAACACATAGATTTCCTGTGTCCATGGAGGTGCTGGGCTGAAGCACAGACATCTGAGGCTCCAAGGAGGAGAAACTCACCCAGAGAGGCAGCAACACGAAAAGATGAATTGATAGAGATGACGCGAGGAAGAACTGAATACACTAGATGTTCCCCTTCTTGAACTGGTGATCGCCTGATGATTTCATCAGCTGCCACCCTGCAGGCCTTTTCTCTACTGGCTGCTCAGGCATGTGCTCGTTATTTATCTTGTCCTTTTGTCTGAGTCCCATATATGTGAGCCTGTGTGGATTCAGTCAGAAGGCAGAGGTGTTCAGAAACCAACAAAGTAGTTGGTTCAGTGTTGCTATGGGCAGAAGAGCTGAGACTGGGGTGAGACTTTTGCTCTGAGAAACTAGGCTGAAAAATTATTTCTGCCCGTTGAAATGTTAGAGTTCTATATCTTGAGCCCCAGAGCCTACAGAGACGTGTCTGGGCCTCACTGCAGCTCCCATTATTCCATTATTCCTCCAATAATGGAATAATAACCTCCCATAGGGATTGAGTTACCAGACTGAGTTGACCATGACTTGGTACCATAGCAGCTGGATGACCTTCATGGGTGTCCATTGCCCTAGCTTAGTGACCCTACCAGTGCCTGGACTGGCTGTGTATAGGCTGGAGGGGACTCTGTGTCTGGGAAGACTTCCCTTATCTTCTGAAGCCAGTATGAGATTCTCCTGGCCTGCTCTGCAGGACAACTCTGGAAGCCCTTGTTCTTTTTTTTTTTTTTTTTTTTTGAGACGGAGTCTGGCTCTGTAGCCCCGACTGGAGTGCAGTGGCGCGATCTCGGCTCACTGCAAGCTCCGCCTCCCGGGTTCACGCCATTCTCCTGCCTCAGCCTCCTGAGTAGCTGGGACTACAGGCGCCCGCCACCACACCCGGCTAATTTTTTTTGTATTTTTAGTAGAGACAGGGTTTCACTGTGTTAGCCAGGATGGTCTCGATCTCCTGACCTCGTGATCCACCCACCTCGGCCTCCCGAAGTGCTGGTATTACAGGCGTGAGCCACCGCGCCCGGCCGAAGCCTCTGTTCTTGACCTGGGAACAGTTAGTTCAGAATTGTCTCTGTGCTTTGCACTGCAGTGGAGAGGGTATCCCTCACATTCAGTCTGTGCTAACCTTGGAGGCCTGGGGGCAAGGTTTTCATTCACTCCACCTGAGGAGGAGGAGTTTGGGAAGCATCTCCTATCCTGACACTTCATCCAGCCCAAAGGACTTTAATTTTCATTTTATTTTTAAAATTAACAGTAAAATTGATTTTGGGGGTATAGTATTATGAATTTATGTGTCTGTATAGATTCATGTAACCTTCACCCCAATCAAGGTAGAGATACTTTCAAGTTTTGTGTGTATCAGTAGTTCATTCCTTTTTATTTGTTAAAAATTTGTTTTACATTTCAACCAATTCCCCTCTAACTTTCTGTAACAATACTGTATCACACATGAACTGCTTATTTTCCTTTTTATTTTTGAGTAGTATTCTATTATATGGATATACCACAATTTGCTTATCCATTCACCCTGTGGAAGGATATTTGAGTCGTTTCTAATTTTGGTAATTATAATAGAGCTGTTAAACATTCATGTACAGGTCTTTGTGGGAACATAACTTTCCCTTTCTCTAGGGTAAACACTTAGCTGAGGTAATGCTGGGTCATATGGTAAGTGTATGTTTAACGTTCTAAGAGACTGCTAAATTAGTTTTGGCTGTGCTATTTTCCATTCCTTCAGCAATGCGTGAGAAGTCCAGTGGCTCTGCATCCTCCCCGGTGTTTGGCGTCTGTTGTGCTGGACCCTGTTGACTTCAGTAGGGATGGCACCAGGTTCAAGAGGCCGGAGGAGAGACCCAGAACCGGTGAACAAAACATGTGGTTTATTTGGGGGAACTTACAGAGACGGTCCAGTGGCTGCAGGCTGGAGAGGAGAATGATAACCGCCTGTAAAAAGCATGCAGTTTATATAGCACCCTCACTTGGCACACTTCCCTCAGCAACCTGCATGTGGCAACCCTAATTTCTTGTTATTTCTGTCAGGTGCATCTACCATACAGTGTTTAGTTGTTGTTTTAATTTTATCTATTCTAATATGTATATAGTGGGATCTTACTGTGGTTTTAATTTGCATTTCCCTAACAGCTAATGATATTGAACATCTTTTCATGGGAGGCCATTATTCCAGACTTGGGTGAATACCCTATTGTCTTAGGGAGCTGTAATCAGGTCTGAGTGTGTTTCAATAGGCCCTGGAGCTCAAGATTCAGACTTTAAAAATCCCAGTGGGCAGATATAATTTTTTAGCCTTGTTTCCTAGGCATGAGCCTCACCTGTCTCAATTCCTCCTGTTAGACAAAAACACTGAACCAACTACCAAAACTTGTTGGTTTCTTTACATGTGTTTATTTGCTTTCAATATATCCCCTTTAATCAAGTGTCCATTTGAGTCATTTGCCCATTTTTTACTTCGGGTGTTGTCTACAGCTGTTGAGATTTGAGAGTTCTTTATATGAATGTATTCTGGATACAAATCTTTTGTCAGGTGTCCTATTTGCAAGCATTTTTTCCCAGTCTATTACTTGTCTTTTCATTCACTTAAAACTGGCTTCCACGGAGCAAGTTTAATTTTATGAAGTTCAATTAATCAGTTTTTTATTTTTTATGGATCATGCTTTTGGTATCATATGTAGAAGTTCTATATAAACCCAGGTCACAAAGTTTTTTGTTGTCGTTGTTGTTTCTGTTTTGTTTTTTGTTTTTGATACGGAGTCTCACTCTGTCACCCAGGCTGGAGTGCAGTTGTACGATCTTGGCTCTGCAACCTCTGCCTCCTGGGTTCCAGCGATTCTCTTGCCTCAGCCTCCTGAGTAGCTGGGACTATAGGCATGCTCCATCACACCCGGCTAATTTTTGTATTTTTAATAGAGATGGGGTTTCACCATGTTGGCCAGGCTGGTCTTGAACTCCTGACCTCAGGTGATCTGCCTACCATTTTCTTCTAAAAGTTTTATAGTTTTACACTTAAGCCTGTGATGCACTTTGAATTATTTCTGGCATAAGGTATGAGGTTTATTTTCATGTTCATTTTGGTTTTTTGCCTGATCTGGTCACATCTCACTCTCAGTAGTTCATTCTCTTTCCCTGTCAAGTTTGACTTTAGATTTCCATCATAGTTGGAGGGGGAAACCTGCCTCACATCACAGATTGTTTTTCCTATGGGAAAATAATCCCAGGATTAGGATTTTGCAGTTTGTAGTGGGGGCTTCTTCCCATTTTCATCCTCGTTTCTGAATAGTCACCTTGCTCTGCTTTGGATCCATGTTCAAATCTCATCTGTCTTCGGGGGCCCTCCCACGCATTTCAGTCTCTATCCAGTAGACTCCTTCCTGCACTCTGGATGTCACAGTGGTTGTGCTTGGTAATGCCACATGCTTTAATAGAGCGGAGACAGAAAATTCAGAGGGAACTCAAATGAGGTAAGGCAGGAGTTGGCAAACCATGGCTCATGGATCAACTCTGGCCCACTGAGCGCCTTTATAAATAAAGCTTTATTGGAACATAGCTGCACTCATTTATCTCTGTATTGTCTATGGCTGTTTTTGTGCTGGAGCAAGAGAGTTGCATAGTTGCAACAAAGATCACATAGCTCTCAGAACATAAAATATTTACCACTTTATCTTTTACAGAAAAAAATTTACTGACCCTCGGAGTCAAGGCTGGTACTGGGGATGAGTTGGGTTATGGCACTTTGCTATGGTGAAAACAGTCCTGCAGAAAACAGTGCTCTTCCTACATAAACCATCCTGGCATCTCTTCACCCAAGTTCATTTGTTGTCATAGAAATTTGGACGACGTAATGTCTGGTGCAGCTTTGGAGTTACCTATGGTGATGGGCTGGAAGAGAAGATGAGATGGAATAGAGATCATGTGGTGCATCAGTCAGTCCCAGTGAAGAACGGGGAGACGCAGGGAATCAGGAGTGACTTGATGACCAGCACTGACTTCTTAGTTTCTATGGTCTGCTAAACCTCACTCTACTTTAGTGGACCTCAGTCTTAGCTGCTCATGAGAATCACCTGGGTAGCTTAAAAAAAAAAAAAAAAGCCCAATGTCCAGGCTGCACTCTAGACCAATTACATCAAAACTTCTGGGGGTGGGATCCAGACACCAGTATTTTTTAAGTTTCCCAGTTGGCTCTAGTTTACAGCCCAGGCTGGGAACCATGGTTCCACTTTACAATCCCATAACCCCGAGGAAATATTGCCACCTACTGACAGTAGATAATTATTATGCCTTGAAAGAAGTCAATAACTTCAGATTCCCCTCCATTCTGGGAACTTGTGTATTGGTTACTGTATTTATATCATTTATGTATGAGAGTTGTATGTTAGAGTTTGATTTGGGGCCATCTTAAGGTGGTTGTTCCTGAGAAACACCTCATGTCTCAATTTTTATGTAACTCAGAATATTGACATATATAATTGGTAGGAATCATTGAATGTTAGCACTGAAAGAAACCTTAGAGATGGTTAGTTCACAAAGCTGACATATCCAAATACCTTTTGGACTTACATACTGTGGTTCTGGCTCCTTGCTTCTCAAAGTGTGGTCTGTGGACCAGTAGTGTCAGCATCATCTGAGACTACGCTAGAAATAAAGAACCCTTGGCTCTCCCCAGACCTGCAGAATGGCCTATAAATTAACAAGGTCCCTGAGTGATTTATATGGACCTTCAAGTTTGAGAAGCACCAGTTTAGAGAATCATATAAGTGGAATCTTCTGGGTGTAGCTTCCAGTTTTATTGTAAGAAACTACTTTTCAAAGAGAGCTGCCAGTATTCTGTTAGAGGCTGAATGATTGCTCGACAGAGACAACACTGTGACTTCGAGAGCCCTCCAAATTCTGATTTTATTATTTTCCTCCTCCTTCTCAAATAGTTTCTTCAGTATCTCTCAAGAATTACCTTCTTCATCATACCTTTCATTATACCACGAATATTCACTGGGGCCATCAGTTCTGCCTACTGTAGTTTCTCTCTTCCCAGCCACCTTACATCTGGAACTTGTATTATCCTAATGGATGAATGCAAGCACAGGTTTTCCAAATTTACCCTTATCTCTTGCTCATCATGTTAGAAAGTCTAAGCTCACCCTAAGCGTACTATGGGGAAATTCAACGGGTAGAAGACTTGGGAGAGCATAGGAAAAGCAGTCCCACATGAATGGCTGTGTGACCCCCACATCCTGTCTAGCTCCTATTACCTGATTCTCCAGTGCAAGATAGACTTTTTCAATGTATAACACATTCTTGTGTTCACCTGTGCTGGCATTGGTGAAAACATTGCTACCTTTTCCAGGCAAGGGATTTAGGGACCACTTCCTTATTCTGCTTCTCAGTCTATATAGTGATTTCATCCAGATATTTTCTTTATTCTTACTATGCAGTGCTTGATACATGTCTCTAGTCTTTCCTAGATTTCTCATTTACAGTGTCTCTTCTTCCTGATTCCTTAGTGCTGTTGCCAAGATTATGTTCAGGATTTGCACCTCTATTTTTCACTCTTTTTAAAACCCTTAAGCACCCTCCTACTTTCTATGCAAAACTATAGTAACTTCTTTTCCATTTTAGAACTTTCCCCATCTGTCTGCATCCTTTCTGCCTTCCATCCTCTTCCCTTGCTTCTGGGATTGACCTGGCCTCACCAAATGCCTTCATTTCTATGTTGGTATACATTTGCCCCACCTTCCTCAAGTGTGCCTGCCCATCTAACTCTTCCTACAAGAGCTATGAAGGTTCATATCACATTGAGTCATGTTTAGAGCTGGGAAGGTGTAATCTAACCCAATACCCTGGCTTCACAGAAGGGAAGAATTATACCCTTCTGTAGGGTAGGTGGCTTGCTCAAGGTCACGTAGCTAAGAATGTGAATACTTGCTGTGAAATAGCATTACTATTCAGTGTAGCTTCTTTGACTTCATAATACTTCATGCAAATTGTTTAACCTAACTTCACAAGGTAAGTGTGGGATGTGTGTGGCAGATAGTGAGAGGTGCTGGGAGGTTTATTAAACATGATTGATTACCTTCTTTTCAAGAGAGGTAAATTGAGCCCTAGAAAGACAAAAGGATTCATCATTTGTCTCATACCCACTTTTGGTCTGAGGCAGAAAACCGTAAATCCTTGATTCATGACTCTTCTAAATACTAGGAAACGTTTACTCCTTCTACGTGTGTGTGTGTGTGTGTGTGTGTGTGTGTGTGTGTGTGTGTGTGTGTAGATATGAATCATACTGTGGTAACAGTGTTATCTCTGCCCCACTCCTCTGCAAGACTATTTATTGCTGCATAATGGATGTGTATATTTTGGGGTACATGTGATAATTTGATACATTCATATAGATT
The DNA here is from genome assembly GCF_000001405.40 of Homo sapiens. Taxonomy (NCBI): domain Eukaryota; kingdom Metazoa; phylum Chordata; class Mammalia; order Primates; family Hominidae; genus Homo; species Homo sapiens. The sequence goes on from NC_000001.11 coordinate 162,278,839, forward strand.
GTAACGATCAAATCAGGGTGACTGGGACATTCATCACCTTAAATAAGTACCTTTGCTTTCTGCCAGGAACGTTGTTTAATGTCTCTAGTCTTCCTACTTACATCATATATTAACCATTTAGAGGAGTTTAGAGGACAGTCTAGGCTAGATATTAGTGGAGAATGATAGAATTGACCGGAGTAGGGTTTATACTGTTGTATTTTTATCTTGCCATCCACCTCTGTCTCTTTTTTTACTTAAAGAAGAGAAGATTCTAATACTTGTTTTTAACATGCTGTGAGAGATATAGAGAAGAAAGCAGCTGAAAGCAGCAGATGATTGTTAGTACTGGTACTCATCTTGCTTCATAAATCAGCCCTTCAGGCCCCTTAATCATTTAGGTTGTTGTTCAGCTACCCGTGACCTGTCAGCATGCTCCTGGTCAGAGAAAAGTGATGGCTGTATTCCCGGGGCTATCTCGTCTCCTCTCTACAGGGAGCAACCGCCACTTGGAGCTCCCCTGAGTACACAGTCCGAGATTGCTTGCACTTGAGGCTGCCGCTGCCTTCCATGCCAGGGCCTGTTTGACTTGCCCTATGCCATCATGCTGGTCTCCTGACACTGTGGAAATGCAGCCTCCTCACAGAACATCTGTGTGTGCATGAACCGCTCTTCCACCTTCTCAACGTTCCAAACAGCAACGAGCTTGAATATTTCCTGCCCCAAAGCCCTCCTTAAGTTCAGAAGGTCTCTTTACCATGTTTTTCTGTCCTCACTGGTATTTCATACCCTTCCCACGTTATTGACATGTGTCCCTGGGTGTGGAATGTTCCTGGTCCTGTGAAGTTAATTTCCAATATGTTCTTATTTCTCTTCTTGCTTTCTGTTATAAAATGGGGTTTGTGTGCTCATGAGACAGCTCATTAACCATGTATTGAATGAATGGAGGAATGAATGAATGAATTTTATTTCCTGGAGCCATGATTCTGAGCTACTAAAAGACACAAGTGTTGGGGAACATAACAAGCACAGAGCCAAGAGTCAGGAGATGTAGGTTCCAGATATGGGTTTTCTGCTAATGAACCTGGGAAGTCTCTTATCATCCCTGGGCACTGGTTTCTTCATCTATAAGATGAAAAGCTTGGTCAACCCTGGTGGCCTCAAACATTTCAAATACAAAGTTTCCTCTATAAATTTTTTAATGAACTATTTCAGGCTGGGTGCAGTGGCTAATGTCTGTAATCCTAACACTTTGGGAGGCCGAGGTGGGAGGATTGCTTGAGTCCAGGAGTTTGAGATCAGCCTGGGCAGCATAGCAAAACTCTGTTTCTATTTAAATAAATAATAAAGAAATATTTCAGATGTAAAAAATGTATGAAAGGTAAAGTATGAATACCTAATGCTTAGCACTCTGTGGAATTTCCTCCCAAAGTAATACTTTTTATTTTATTAGCTTTTGATTTAGAAAATGGATGACAACAACTAGCAATAGCACTTTCATAAGAATCTATCTTGTTACAAGAATAGCTATACTTAAAAAATAGTACATATATGATTAAGACACATTGATTAGTTTATGGCAATTCTTAATGCAAATAAAAATGTATAATAATCCTTGCTTTTGTGGCCCAAAGTAGTGTTTCTGAATAGCATGGTCTACATTACCATGTGCATTTTAAAAAACGCCAACTTTTGGCCGTACTTCTGATCTGCTGAATAAACATTTCTAAAGCCTGGGCCTGTGATTCTGCCTTTTTATCAAGTATTCCAAATGGGATTTAGAACTTGAGTTTTAGATCTCCTTGGTCTACAAAGTAGGATGATACTTCATTTCTATATAATGACAATGAATATTTCTTTAAAAAGTAGCTTCTGTGGTTCCTTTTGAGTATTTTGGAGATTGCAGAGATTTTATTTATACCCAATTTTCAATAATATATCTATTGCAAAAATAAGTCATGCTGGGATTGAGGTAGGTAGATGGGAAATAAATGTCTCTACCCAGTGTTTCCAAGACTCCTCATAGATATTCTGGAATTTAGATTCATTTCAAACTTTGGTGTTGGTCATGCTGGCATTTCTGAGATTTTATATAAATCAACAATACAAGACACATCAGTATTAGAAACTGCCATGGTTCTCAGGAACCCTGCCCCCAAGATTCTGGTTCCATAGGCATAAGAGCCAGAAGTTAAGGAAGCTGGGTAGCCCACAGAACAGAAATTCATCTCACGACCATCCCCCCAATCATTACTCCTAACTGTACAGTCAAATGATTACGAGTGGCTTTGGCCAATAATGACAGCTCTACAGGATTTCATTTTTAAAAGGCTGTATCAAGCATAGATAAAGTGCTCAGTACTGTGCTGTGGACCATGGACCATATAAGGAAGATTAGTTCTTAAAGTCCTTGCACTTCGGAATGGAATCCAGATTTTAATAATTTGGTAATTAACTTCTGGAAGGCTTACTTTATATACAGTGCCTTTTCTTGGGCTCTGTGAATAACCACTGTCAACTATATTCATTACTTTGACATTCATTTATCACCCTCCTATGTCCTGGTCTCTTTTCTTGGGTAGAAATATGTATCAGTCATATTTCTTGCTCTCATGAAGGGTATGGCCTGTGGGATAAATAAATAATCAACCAATCAACAGTGAGTGATAATAGAGGCTTGCATATTGCTGTAGTAACCAACTCTGTGGGAGGATATGGGAAGCGGGAGTTGGCTTCACTGTGTAGAAGTGTGAGCAGATATTTCAAGAATAAACAAGAGTTCACCAGGCAGATGGTGTGGGGAGGGCATTTTAGGCATAGGGAATAGCAAATGCAATTACATGGAAGTGTGGAAAACTATGGCATGTTTAACTTGCATGTGGGGGAGTTCCAGAAATATCATTTCGTGAGCAGAATTTAAGTGGACTTGCCGTGAGAACAAATGTGTTTGTTACATGGTGTTTTAGATTTTGCATTTTTGTATTGTGGTAAAATATACATGACATAAAATTTACCATTTTAGGCCGGGCGCGGTGGCTCACGCCTGTAATCCAAGCACTTTGGGAGGCTGGGGCGGGCAGATCACCAGTCTGGCCAAAATGGTGAAACCCCGTTTCTACTTAAAATACAAAAATTAGCTGGGCATGGTGGCAGGTGCCTGTAATCCCAGCTGCTCAGGAGGCTGAGGCAGGAGAATTGCTTGAACCTGGGAGGCAGAGGTTGCAGTGAGCTGAGATTGCACCATTGCACTCCAGCCTGGGGGACAAGAGTGAGACTTCATCTGGAAAAAATAAAAATACCATTTTAACCCTTTTTAAGTGTACGGTTCTGTGGCATTAAATATATTTACATTGCTGTACAACCATCACCACCATCCATCTCCAGAACTTTTTCATCTTGCAAAGATGAAACTCTGTACCTGTTAAACAACTTCCATTTCCCCTTCTGCTCAGCCCCTATTATTTGTCTCTGTAAGTTTGACAACCCTAGGGACTTCATATAAGTGGAATCATAGAATATTTTCCATTTGTCATCAAGATTCAACCATGTTGTAGCATATGTCAGAATGTCCTAACTTTTTAAGGCTGAATAATATTACATTGTATGTATACACCACATTTTGTGAATCCATTCATCCATTGATAGACATTTGGGTTGCTTCTACCTTTTGGTTATTGTAAATACTGCTGTGAACATGGGTATACTCAGATTTTGTATCTTACTGTCTAAATTTTTAGACTGTCACATCACATAATACATGCAAAAGGACTTTCTGAAAACCCTTTGTGAGACAGTACCTTTGGTAGAGGTGCTTATGGTTTTGTTTTGGAGATCTGCTCACACTCCTGAAACCGAGACTATAGACAGAATATGATTGGAATGCCCAGCAGCACTGTCAGAGTCCACTTTTAAATTTCCTGTGATCATTTGCAAGAAGCGAAGCTCCAAAGCTCCTTCTAGATAGGTAGTGAACACAGTCAAGGACTTACAGAGCCTGGCATAGTGTTTGCCTTTGCAAACTGAATCCTCTCCCCTTGGTGAAGTTGCCTTTGAGCACCTTGACTCATAAGCAGGTCTTGGCTGACATCTGTAAGCATTGCAGAGACAGTGAGAAGGACTTGGCAAAATGAATTTTATGGTTAAGAATGAGGGAGACCTGCTTCCTATGAAGCAGGTGAGAGAGTGTATCACCAGCCAAATTATTTCTGGCCAAGGTGACTGAAGAACCAAGGATCCTGTTTTCTCTCTCTCTCTTTATTGCTTGCTCGCTCTCCCTCTCTCTCTCTCTGTGTGTGTGTGTGTGTTAAAAATCCATGGATATGTTAATATACATATATATTTTTAACATATATATATAATATATGTTAAAAATCAGGTATTTTCAAACATCCAGGGATTCTTTAGGGAGCTACACATTTTTGTGAAAACAGACTGCTAAATGTGTGAGGAGCATCTGATGGCCCCAGCCCTTCCCCTGGACTCTGAGGAAGTAATTCTATTCCTTCTGTTTCTGAAGTATAGCCTCAGGTTTAGGGCTGGCTGGTCCCTTCATGAGATGCCCACTCTGCTGTTGCAGACTTCTGGCTTCCCCTTCTTGGATACTCAGTGACCAGGACAGAGATATATAGGGTTAGGAGGCAGTTTGGGAAGTTGGGAAAAAGGAAGCACTGGGGTGTCAGGAGATGATTAGAAATGAGGCTGCTGATCTGTCAGCAGCTTTCCAACTTCTCATCGATGTTCTTACTCATGTCTTCCATTGAGTGTTCACTCCTGGCTCCTGTTGGATGCTTTTCCCAGCTTCCCCTTCCTGGACCTCACTGACTGGCACGGCACATTAAGTTCCAAGGCCACTATTCCAAAACAAGGTCCCAAGGCTCTATTTGTGAAACCCCAGACACTTTCCCCTGGCCTTTCCAGTCTGCAGGTGGTGTTCCAGGACTTGCATTGTTTTGTTCCCTGAAAGGTCAAGTCCTGTAGGGCTTCATCTGTCCAGGCTGGTGGGGCTCTGGCTGGCAAAGCAAATGCATCAGATCAGCCTGGCCATATTCAGGGAGGGCCAGGCCCGTTGGCACAGACTGCAGGGCTGGCATGGGCTTTGTGGGAGGCTGGTCTGAGCCACAGACGGTGGCACCAGCAGTCTTGTTTGTTCTTCAGCCCCTGGCAAAGCCTGAGCAGATTGGATTCCTGTCCTGTGGAACACAGATGCTTCCTCCAGAGCTCACCTGCCCAGGCAGTGCTCCACCTTGGAGCAGCACCGTCAGTTTGGGAAAAAGGAGGATTTGTCCCTGAGAGCCCCTTCTCTTCTCCATTCTTGTGGTTACTCCATTATCTCTCCTCTGTCCAAATTCATTTTCTCACCCCTCAGTGAACACAATAACATGTTGTCCAAGCAAAGCATAATTGCCATATAAACAAATGGCTTAATGATAATAAATATTCAAGCATTTTCAGATACTTGATTTCCTTTTATTTTCCTAGTTTCCAACATAATTGCAAGTTAATTTTAATTTTTCTATTGGAAAGGGTATGGGACATCTGACCAGCAGGCAGGTGGGGAAGATGCAGAGTGTGTCCAACCCAAGAGTCCTTATAAATAGCACTCAGGCAGTTCTGGCAGCCGTGATGGAACCTGGAGGCCTATTTCCTGCCTCTCTTGTCCATCTTCATTTTGAAGGACTCCAGAGCATTCCACCAGCTATTGTAAGGAGCACCTGTGTTGTCACCATCATTGAGGTTTTGGGAGAAATCATTTGGTCATGCTTTTTCATGCAGTGACTGTGCCCACAGACCCTGTAAGAGCCATTGGGAACTATGTGCATGGTGATTGAATTAGAGACCTGTTTCCAGTTCTAAAGAGAAAGTTCAGTTGCACTTTTGAGTTCTTAAGACGAAGGTATTAAAAGGCATGGCCAAGCCTGCCAAAATACTAACTGTAGAAATAGATAAGGTTTCAGATACACAAGCAAGGAGCTGGCTGGGTGCCTCTTGCTATGCTCGGGTAAGAAATCATGATTAATAAAGGCCACAGAGAGAGTGAAACCAACAGGGAGGTGGACAAAGCAAGAAAGAGAGATATGGTCAACTACAACATTCTTCCAGAAATATAAGACATTTAAGGTTATGGCATAGCAGGCAATATGTTCTCTAAAACCAGGACTGGGGAGAATGATGTAGTGTTTTGCAGAGGTAGGTACTTGATATTTCTGCTTTGATTTTATTGTTAGAAAAGAGAAGTATATGGGGCATATGAAAGTGATATACTGTAAGAGACCAAAGAACAATAAAAGAGTTGAGGTCCAACCTGTCTAGGGTAGGTTTTGCCCTCTTCTGGGTGTTTCTGGGACTCTTCAGCCTTTAACTTCCACCTGAGTGCATCAGACACACTCTTCTGTACTCCTTTGGCCGGCAGGAGCAGCCTGATTTTAGTGACTCGTTCAGAAGGGAGGTGCAGCTGGAAGGTTGTGTTTATTAAAGCCCAAGTGACTGGAGGTAAATGCAGGTGTGGTCAGGAAATGTAGCTGGTTCACCTCTCAGTAGGCACAAGGCCAAAGTCAGCCGACTTGCAGATTGTAATGCCGGTTCTCCCACCCAGAGGTTATTTGAGTTCATCCAGCACTGCAGCTGAGCAGAATGCTGCAGTCAGGGTGACACAATGCAAACTGGAGCCATGTCCTCAAGTGCATGCCAATCAAACCAACTTTAACCTTCGCTGGTTTGTGGCTGCTGACCTAGAGAGGAATTTGTTATATGGCTGAGGTCCTGTCCTACCTAAGCCAGACTCCAGTGCAAAAAAAAAATCCTGTCAGATGCGCCTCTTCTTCTCTGTCTCCATCTCCCTCTCTGCCTCCCGTTTCCCCTTTACTCTTTACTGTTAGTTGGCCTGGGGTTCCTGGGCTGAAGTGGAGTTTCCTCCTGTCTCCGTGTGTTTGCTGCTCTGGTTTGCTCTTCTTCCAGGGCCCCTTGGTAAAAGAAGAGCTGCTGACAGGGTAGAGTGGAGGTGGGGAAGTGACCACCAGACTGGGAGTGATGTAGGTTGTGGTCATCAATGATGTAGGTTGCTGTCACCAGGACACTCAAATCAGCTGTGACCAGAGCCTGCAATGACAACGTGAAGAAGGATCTCTTACCTCAGTTAGTGAGGTCCTATTCTTGTAGAGACAAGAATGTTTCTTGTGGAAACAGATAGCCAAGAAGTATCAACAATAACTCTGTACAGTGGAATAGAAGATCTGAGATTTTAGTGAAAAGGATAGACTCAGGACAGTAGGAAGCTCTGAGTTGAGTTTGTAACATCAGAATATTAAAAGGCACAGTGAAGAGAAGGTTCTGGATTTCTAATGAGATTTCCAAAGTAGGCTATGTTTTTATCTCATTAGGATGGATTAAGTTCATGCCTATCAATGCTAACTGTAGAAATAATTAGGTTTCAGATGCACTGTCAAGGTGTTAGGTGCCTTTTTCCAGGCTTGAGTGGCAACATGGTAGGAGAAGGTCTTGAGTATAAAAGGTCCCGGAGAAGGGATGTGGGTGGGCTTTGGGTCTTGTGTATCTTAATTTTTAATCTGTAGCCCAGATGTTTGATTGGAGAGCTTGCAAGTGAAGTTTGCTAGGCGGTGATAGTAAGATGGGAATCAGATGAAAATGGTTTTAATAAACTGGAGAAGTGCTCAAAATGAAGTTCACTGAGGAAAATGTAGAATTATACCACCAGTTATGAATAGCTACACAAGTGTTAAGAGATGGCTATGAATGAACAAATGTACCAGAAAGAGCTGAGATTGAGGATGACGCCAACATCCATCAGCAGTATGGGTCTGTGGTTGGAGCATCCCTGTCTAGAACTACAAATAAGAGTTCAAAACACAGGGGTTGTCACTATATACCCCATGAATATGTACAATTATTTGTCAATTAAAAATATAATTAAATAAAACTTAACAAATACATGGTTTTTGAGGCCATATCTTTTCTAGATGTGCCAAAATCTTCAGGCTAGCAGGGCTGTGGGTAGACTTGTAGACTGACTCACAGATAAAGGAAATTTGAAATTGAACTTTTAGAGAGTAATTGAGAATTCATAATTATCTTTCAGTGTGTAAAAAACCCTGATGTGAAGATTGGTTCCAGCTGTTAGTCTTTGCTGAGGATGGAATGTAGTTTCTGTAGCCTTTGATGAGACACTAGGAATACTTGCCTGACCGTGGAAGTCATTAAATGATAGAATGAGTTATTGAGGGAAGGTTCTGATTTTTTATGGGATATTCCAAATAGGCTATGTTTTCATCTCATGAGGGTAGCTAGCTGATGGCTGAGAAGTGGTATAGACTATTCAGAGTCCCGTTTCTAACCCAGAGATTGCCTGAGACATCCACCTGCTTTTACATCCCCCGAGGTGCTCCCTGCCCCCAGGAGCTATTCCCCACACCTGTCTGGGGACCTTTTTTCCAGGCATGGGCTAGCTGGGTCTGTATAGATGCACTGATCTCATCAGATTGCACTTTCTTTTTGTTTTCTTCTTTCTTGCAGTATGAGTTTAAAGCCAAGAACATCAAGAAGAAGAAAGTGAGCATTATGGTTTCAGTGGATGGAGTGAAAGTGATTCTGAAGAAGAAGAAAAAGGTAAGTGGCTCTGAACCAGAATCTGAGGTGAAGAGGAAAGCAGGGGAGGTAGGCATGGGGTACCTTCTTCTTCTGGGCCCACCTCCAGAGAGAATCCCTCCCTTATCTGGCAAGCTCTTCTGCTTTGAGCAGCAATGGTGCTGACAGGCTGCAGCAGAGTGTAGGGCGAGGCGAGGCCAAAGGCCTAGTCACCAGTTGGCTCAGTCAGTCCTGGTACCCCAGGTGATGGGAGTCACCTCCTGTCATCCATGCCTTCAACCCCCCTCCCCATTTTCATACCTTTATCTTTGAGTTTTGAGTCCTGATGGTAGAAAATATTTTCAATTTTAGTAAGAATAGCAGGGTTCAGTGGGATTGGGCAGCGAGAGGAGGCTTCCTCAGCAGCTGTCCCCTTCGATTGCAGGACCATCCTTCAGTCCCACCCCAGGTGCCATGCAGCCCCCTCCGTTGTATGTCCTTGCATCCTCCTGTTGCAGCCTATATTTACATCGTCCCTCAAGACCCAGCCACTGCTGCTGCTCCGTGTGCAGGGATGGTGGGGTGTGGCCAGGTCGGGAGGATGGGCAGGGGGATTGATCCATTCAGCGTGAGTTGGGGAGAGACAAGCAAGTGAGCATATGTTGTTTAAACACTTGTCTGTTTTGTGCCAGTTGTATGTGGTTGTGGCAGGTAACATTAACCCCTTGGAAAGGCTAGATTCGTATGGTGGGAGGATGGGAGGATGTGTGTTTTCAAAAAGAAACAGAAAAGAGCTTGGCTGATTGAGTATATATAAGGAGCCCTTTTTGTCCCTGTTTCTCAATTCTGCTGATGTTTTTATTTTTTATTTATGATGCCTTTGTTTTACATTTATTGATGGTAGCACCATATCATAGTCCTCCATAGACCTCCTGAGCTTATTTTGGTTCCAAATCTCAGTCACTCTTAATTCAACTGGGACTTAAAGCAGACCTTGAATGTCGGGGCTAGAGGGAGAGAGTGTGGAGGTTATGGAAGCAAAGACAAATGAATCATAGTAGGCAACATAAATTTGAAGAACCATATAGCTGAGAGAGATCTTAAAGGGGACTTGTCATATCAATCCAAGGGCTTAAATCTTGTTTATAATGTCCGTACAAGGGGCATTGTCCAGTGTATGATTGGACACCTGTAGCAATGGGAAATTTACTACTTCCTGAGGCAGCCCCTTTCCTCTCTGGATGTTTACAAAGGTCTCTTACGTATTAATCCAAAACTTGTTCTTTCATGCTCCCTCAATACTTTCATTGGTGGTTTTAGAAAGTGTTTTATGGCTATGATGCTGCAAGTATGTAGAAAAAAGATATACTGTTTATAAAGAACCACCTTCTTCAAAATTCACAAGTATAGGGAATTAAATATCTTTGGCTTTGTAAACCTTTGCTGTGTGCATGGGCCCCATCTTGTTCTTCCTTTGGGGACATCTGTTTTGCTTCTTCTCCTCTCACATGTATGTACAGAGTGGACAGTCACGGGACAGTCTTTAGAGTATTGTCCTCTTGGAGTTCCTGAGCAGGACATCAAGCTGAGGCCTGTCAAGCCCTGGGCCTGTTAAAGAAATCGTGGATGATGACAATATGAATTTGAGCAAAAGATATCCTCAGAGGAAAAAAATGGGCTAATTTTGTCACATGTGTAAGATTGCTTTCCTCAGCAATCTGTGGCTGACACTCCCAGAATCTTCCCACCACCCCACTACACATCCACTTCTGACTGACATATCTTTGTTTGCCTTTCTTTCCTTCCTTCCTTCCTTTCCTTCCTTCCTTCCTTCCTTCCTTCCTTCCTTCCTTCCTTCCTTCCTTCCTTCCTTCCTTCCTTCCTTTCCTTCCTTCCTTCTTCCTTCTTTCTTTCTTTCTTCTTGATGGAGTTTCATTCTTTTGCCCAGGCTGGAGTGAAGTGATGCAATCTTGGCTCACTGCAACCTCCACCCCCTGAGTTCAACTGATTCTCCTGCCTCAGCCTCCCGAGTAGCTGTGATTACTGGCGCCTGCCACCACGCCCAGCTACTTTTCTTTTTTTTTTTTTTTTTTTTTTTGAGACGGAGTCTCGCTCTGTCGCCCAGGCTGGAGTGCAGTGGCGGGATCTCGGCTCACTGCAAGCTCCGCCTCCCGGGTTCACGCCATTCTCCTGCCTCAGCCTCCCAAGTAGCTGGGACTACAGGCGCCCGCCACTACGCCCGGCTAATTTTTTATATTTTTAGTAGAGACAGGGTTTCGCCATGGTGGCCAGGTGGTCTCGAACTCCTGACCTCAGCTTATCCACCCACCTCAGCCTCCCAAAGTGCTAGGATTACAGGCATGAGCCACTGAACCCAGCCTGTTGACTTTCGATTAGGTTAAATGTAAACACCTACTGTCCTAGGGGCTGCTCTGTCCCTTTCAGGTATCTTCATACACCTCTGTTGTTGTCCATCATGGGGCAACTTCATAGTTTTGCCCTTAGAGCACAGTCTTGTTTCTCACCTCACTGTCTCTCCCATGTACCTTTACCACGTGTGGTGGCTTCCCCATTGTGCATGTGAGAAAACTGAGGTTGGATCTCATGACACAGTGTGTGCTGAGGTATCACCTGGAGAGAAGCCTCCCTGCCTCCACTAAGCACATGAAAGCCAGGCTGGAGTAGCATCTCCCTGAGGGAGTGCATGGGACCTCGTGACTCACTTTGAAACTACGTCCTGGGTAATCTCCAGTGTGGCTTCATCGTCCTGCTGGCCCAGAAAAAAAGATGGTCTAGCAGGTCTTTCCTAGATCTAACTCTTCTGATGCCAGGCTTGGGAAAAGGGAGCTGCCCATCTTGTTTCCTGCACCCACACTTAGTGTCCGTTCCAGGGCCGTGGCTGTGATTTGAATAATGCCTTTAACCACGGGGTTCATTTTACACAATCTCTGACAGATGAATGCACATTAACAGCAATCAGCCTTTTTGTCATCTTGTTCTCATATGACAGTTCTCTGGTATCTTAATGCTACCACCACACTCAGACACATGCACACTTTCTCTCTCTGCTTATAGAATTGAGAGAGGTGAGAGTAGACATGCTATTGTGTAAATGCACAATTTTCTCCAAGGAAATGGAATACTTGGCAAATGTCACTGATCACCATCATGATTAGGTTAAGAACTAGAGCTCTTTGCCAAGTAGCTGTAGGTGTAGAGAGAGCCATAGCCTATATTCAGCCGTGAGGCAATGGTTCCATGTACAGCCTGACATTGCCCACTGATTCGTTGGTGCTTGTGCCAGGCTAGTGGGTAAAAACATTGAATAGCCCTCTCCTCCCACAATTAGCTTGTTGATTTTCACTAGGTTAGTGTGACAAGCTGGGAGGGACCCTCACCCCAGATGAGAAGACCTGGGTTTCAGTCCTGGCTCTACCCTTCTTGGCCTGTGGTTCTAAGCATGTTATTTTGCCTCTCTCAGCTTCAACTGTGAAGAGTTCAATTAGGTGATCACTTTAACTTTTCTAGCTCGGATACTCTGTGCCAGCTCTGGAACCATGCTTTTTGGTGTTTGTGTGTATATATAGGTCACCTGTATGTATTTAGGTCTTTGAGAATCTACTGGACTATCAAAAAAAAAAAAAACCCACAAAAGACAGCCCCTGGAGTCTGAGTGGGTCACTATGTTGTTGTTTCCCAATCTTCTAGAGCAGGAGGGGACCCTCTGAGGTCCAACATCTCTGAGGCAGCCATCCCAGCCTCCTCTCTCTCCCAGCCTGTCTGTAACTGGTGAATGGTGATGTGTTTCCTGGCTGAGAACTGTGTTTACAGTAAGTCTCTGCCCTCCAGTGAACTTTTTAAGGGCAGGAGCCATCTTTGTAAGCCCAGCACTTGCCTGGGCACCAGACACATGTAGTATGTTTTCAGTAATCGTGGCTGTTCACTAGCTGCTTGATTGAACATTATTTGTGTGTAATAATGTCATTAAATTATGAGAAAATAAATACTTAGCAATTGGATCAAATGAAGTCTAGTTTGTTACCTTTATCATGTTGTCCTCCCTCTTTTTCTTCCTGTCAATCTGCCAGTTTAAAAGGAAAAAAAAAAAGGATGAGATCCTTTCTCAAATATAGGAAGGCTTCCATAAAAATTGCTAATTCCATAGTATTAATTGTAGGATTTGTTCAGGTGACTGTAATCTTCAGGTGCATTATACTAGTGTAGGCAGTGGCCAAATATATTCAACTTTCATTGAGTTGTAAAAAACATCTTTTTGGTTATAATAACAAATATCTAAAAATGCTGTCATCTTGAACTGACGCCAACAGATAATGAATCTCAAATTCTTTATGAATCTTAGGTTGAATTTGTGATGTAAACCCAGTTACTAAGATAATTAGCTGTACTTTGATGTCTCTCAACCAGTACATTTTCTTCAACTCGCATCTAGGCTCAAGTAATTATCTTTTCCATGTATATGTAATGATTAGTTATTATAATACTGGAATCACGCTATAGCACCATTTGCTAGGGAGTGGAATCCTGAGTAAGAAAGACTAGTCTTGAACTTCATCCAAGGGATTTTTCTAATAAAGGACCCAAAGAGCTTCAGTTTTATATAGTTTCTCTTATGAACCAATAACTTTCTTGGGATCCCCTAAGGCAGCATTCTAAAAAGGCTCCATCATTTTCATTAACAAATATTCATTGTGTGTCTACCATGTTCAAGGATCTGCATAGGTTACATAAGGATATTAGATATGAACCCTTCCCTGCAAAATTATTCTTTGTCACTGTATGCACACATAGGTCTATTACAGGTTTTATAAGATTGCATTGTAGTTATTTATCTCTTTCCCCCATAGTTTGTTAGCTTTAGGGGGCAGGGACCATGTCTTCCCTCAAATCTTATTTCATCTGTTTGGAAAAGTAGAAGACCAGAGGGAGCAAACTGATGTAAGTAGTTACACACTAAGGTGATAATGAGAACAGCTAATAGTAATAGCTAACACTGATGTGGAGTACCTGCTATTGCCCAGGCCTTGTTTGATGCATGTTTACACTTAACAAATCCTCACAACTGTCCTATTAGGTAGATACCATTCTTATGATTGTTCAAAAGCAGATTGAGCAACTTGCCTGAATCTCACATCCTATCAGTGGTGAAGTCAAGGTTCGAACCTTGTCTTACTTAAATCCCAAGCAGGTTCTTTCCACTGCTCTGTTGCTGTGTGTGTGACTGATCTTTTTGGACCCCTTTGGATAATAATCACTCCATAGGAAATGCCTAATTAATTAAGCCAGAGTCTTTAACTCCTAACCTGTACTCTGTCATGGGTGTATTACATCACAGGGAAACTATGTTCCTGCCCAAACAGTAGTGCTGGTTACTATGGAAACACAGAAGTCAGATCGAATTAAGAAAAGGAGGCACTCAGAATTATAGAACCAGAATTTAGGAGACTTAAAAAGTGATTTGGCCTGATCCTCTAATTGATTAGATGTGGCAACAGGATAAGAGAAGTCCAGTGACTGTCCCTAGGACCCCCAGGTAGTTACTGGCAGCCAGGGTGTGAATCTAGGCCCTAAACTTCATCCAGTCTTCTTTCCACCGTGCTGTGTTTCTTGGCCTTCTTTATTTTCTGCTACTTTAAAAACAGGCCTATTAGGAATTGTGCACATGGGAGGATTTATTACTGCTTCAATTTTGAAATGCACGTTCCTATATCCATAGGTTATACCTGAAGGAGAGAGATAGCTTTATTTTCAGTAGTATCCCATTCTATCTAGAAGCATGGAGAACTTGTCAAACTGAGTTTATGTGGCCTTTGCAATTTTTTTTTGAGTCACCGCTGCTATTAGGTGCTTGAATAATGCTGCATGAATAATGGTGAAGCTTGCAGGCTTTGTGATACGCCTACTGATAATTCTAGTAGGGATAGGAAATGAATGTCAGTACAAATTTCTCCTCTACTTTAGCATTCCTGAGGAAGGGTTTCAAAGATGCCATATCCATTTCCACATATCAAAAGGAGAAAGGACCACTGTGATAATTATTCCTGACTCTGTTTTCTCTTTTTGGCACGGTTCCAGGAAGACCTACCTCTAAACCAGTTCCCATATAACATTCCTTGCCAGGAGCTTTTAGAATGATAAAGTGGCTGTGAATTTCCATGGAGGACTTGACATTTGCACTCAACAGATTAAGGAAAGAGAAGGTCCTATATCAAAGATGCGCTTACCCCATTCAGTGGTCTTACAAAAGCATACAGAGCAAGCCCTTTATTCCCTTCCTCTGTGGAAAGCAAAGAACTTCCTGGCAGTGGACAGTGAAAGACTGATTTCATCATTTGGAGTTACAGACCATGGGACTGCAGGTAGAAGAGTTGGATTTTATTTATCACTGGACTAGGTGGCCTTGGAGGGAAATAAGCCAACTTCTCTGAGCCTTAGTGTTCACCTTTAAGGTGGAGACCAATTTTAGTAATCTAAAAGCATTATGTAGTTCTTTCCCTAAATGGAGGAAATGACTTTTTTCCCCACATCAACTATGAGAATGAAAAATGAAGCAGATACAGATGACTTTCCTATATCTTTGCTTTCTCACCTTCTCACTTTCTGTGTTAGTCTAGGTCCTGTGAGAAGCAGATGCCAAGACAGTGTTAAACGCCTGTGGGAGAAAAGGGGGAAGCATCTGAGAAAGGCTGGGAGGACTGTCAGGCTGCAGAGAGGCCTGCCCCTGAGTGCAAGAGAGAGGGGAAGAAGGAAGGAAGGCAGGTAGGAAGGAAGGAAGGAAGGAAGTAAGGAAGGAAGGAAGGAAGGAAGGAAGGAAGAAAGAAAGGAAGGAAGGATAGCAAAAGGCTCTTAGACTGCAGTGCAGTCTGAGGAAGGCTTGGCAAGGTTTCAGGGTGTCCAGAAGCCAAAGTTGTCTGTCGGGATCCCCACATCTCCCAGGGACGGGCCTGCCTTAGTATCCCTCCATTCTCAGTCACTGGCTGGAGCAGTCTGTGGAAAGCATAACTCCTGAACCAACACGATGATGAATTTCAGAGTGCAGCAGCTGGGTCCCTTGGGTGCACCTCCCTGTGACTGGAGGTCTGTGGTGTACACTCTATGATCACACCTTTCTTTCTCACTCCAGAAAATGTTTACTAATCGAGATATGAAGTTGAGCCTTCCTTCAAGTTAACCTACTCCCTCTATCTCGCTGACTTTTAAAAATACCCTAGAGTAAGGAATTCATAAACAAAGAGAAGAGGGGAAGGGAGGAGATGGCACAGAGAGAGAGACAGGTTAATAAACTCTAGTTTAGAGACCTCCTAAAAGGCTCAGCAGTGCCATAGGTGTCCTTAGCAGACGCGGAGGGCACAGGAGTAAGAGAAAGGAGTTACACATATCCACATATAGAATTTGGGCATGGCAGAATGCTAGACAGTTGCCCCTAGGACTAATTAATCTGCTCCACCAGGCACTCCCTCCCCACTCACAATTTTTTCTCCATTTGCTTTGTTTCTGGAGTGAGTGAAGAGGCAGATCCTTGTCTCCTTGAGCATTTAGCGTATTGGCCTCACCACTGCTGCTGCTGCTGCTAGTGCTCCTGCTCCAGCGGGAGCCCTGCCTGAGCCTGGACTCATAGTGGAAGGAGGTTGAAGACCAGCCCTGCTGGTGCCCAGTCCTGTGGGTTCCCTGGGCTGTTTTTAGTAAATAAGCCTGTGAAGGGCCCCCTTACCCCAGAAGGCACTCAGAGAGGTGCTGACAGCTTTAGAGGTGTGTGTCCCCTCCTTTTCTCCTCTCTTTCTCCTCCTGTTTCCTTCCAATCCCATCTGAACTGAAAATGTCCTCATTTCCTGGCATATCATGGAGACCACAGCTGATCCTGAACAGTGAGTAGCAAGACTGAAATTTCCCTCACACAGCTACCAAGACTCCAAGTCTTTATTTTCAAGGATTTCTTTTTTTTAAAGGAAAAATAAAAGACTTCAAAGACAGTTAAACTGAGTTTGGCTGTAGTTATTGTTCAGTAATACATTCTGTCCTATCTATTTTTGAAGCCAACTTTGATTTATAATCCCATAGGTTTGGGAAATTTGTTTTTCTTTCTATTTTTCTGCTCATTTCAAATTTTTTTTTTCTGATTGTTTTTCCTTAGAAGAGTATTTCCATATAGAAAAGTGAGGAGGAGCTGGTTTGTTTGTGTTGTTTTGTTTTTTTCTTTGAAATACTTGCAAAACATAGGCAATAAGAGACACAATTTCAGACCAGGAGACAGGAAGAATCAAATTGTTCTTGAATTAAGACATTGGTGACAATCATAAAGTCATGTGAGATATGTGAAGCGGGGCCTCCCTCTAAGTTAAGCCATTCATTGTATTGCATTGCCTACGAATTGTGCCAGAGTAGTGGAGTCAGCACTAGTCCAAACATCAGGAGAATTTGTTTTTACTCTTGGCTGGGCGGCTAACAAGGAGTGACACCTTGCTTGAGTGACTACACTCCTCAGGGTATTATTTGAAAGAGGTGCGGTGGGGGAGGGGTGGAGACCCTTTAGTTCTAAAGTTCTTGGACTATCATTCAGGCTGTGAGGAGATTGGGTTAAAAAGCTCCAACAGTGGCCGGGTGTGGTGGCTCACACCTGTAATCCCAGCACTTTGGGAGGCCGAGGCAGGCGGATCACCTGAGATTAGGAATTCAAGACCAACCTGGCCAACATGGTGAAACCCCATCTCTACTAAAAATACAAAAATTAGCTGGGCATGGTGGTGAGTGCCTGTAGTCCCAACTACTCAGGAGACTGAGGCAGGAGAATCGCTTGAACCCAATAGGTGGAGCTTGCAGTGAGCCGAGATCGCGCCACTGCACTCCAGCCTGGTGACAGAGCGAGACTCTGTCTCAAAAACAAAAAAAGCTCCAACAGTATTTGCATTAGCTTCTTGAATAACCAAAACATTGGTGAGTCCCTGTTACTCCCCAAACCCATTGAGTTATCTTGATGATTTCCTGATCTCTTCATAGATTTAATAATTTTCATCCAAGGATGAAGGTCTGTAAAGTGACAGGACTAGATTTTAATGAGCTCTTCAGAAAAGGAAAATTAGTAAGTTGGTGAAAAGATCTTTGTGGTTTTCTCCCTTTTCAGGACATTCTATATGGGTGCTGGGACCTCTTTTAAAAGTAAAGTATGTTTTGGCTTCTGTAGATCCTGCTAATGCTCATTCTTATTAAATTAACCCAAGGGGCCCTGGGAGCCTGGTTTCTCTGTCCTCCTATTCACATCTGCCAGAGAAAGAAAATAGTTCTGTATTATTTTGCCTCATTATTCTTTCCTTTTAATGAATGTCTTAGTTACATTCTATAGAATTGCTGAGAAGAGTCTTGCCCAGCTTAGCTTTGATGATGGAGGCGCATCGCAAGCCTTGGAAGAAACATGAACTGGCGCCCGATGCATCCTCTCCCTCAGTGTTGCCACCAGTATGAGTGGAAATAGAGTCACAGGTCACAAAAACTGTCCACTGTTACTGGGGCTCAGCCTAGACTCCACTTAGGATTTGATATTCCCCAAAGAGAGGAATTGATTGGGTAGAGTTGGGTCTTTTTACCATAGAGCTCAATGATTGGGTGATTTAATGACAGCCCCTTGCTGGCTCCCCATGGTCAGTCAGGTGGGGATCCCAACCCCAGACAGTCATGGGCAGATTAGCACAGTTGGCTTCCTCAGATGCATGCAGCATAAACCAAATCACCCTCGTTCAGACCCTCTTTGGGGCTGCTTTCCTCAGAAGGGAACAGGACATGTGGCTGGTTGGGGTTTCACAGCCTCTTTGATGTATTGGGTCATTGGCTCCTCTCAGTCACTTTGCAAATCACACCAGAGCTGCAAGGACTGTTGGGAGCAGACTGTCCTGATGGTAAGAGCATGAGAGAAGTGAAGATGCATTCTCTCAGGAGCAAAGCAGGTCTGCTGATGCCCCACCAAGTGTTTATGCCACCGCAGCCACTTCCTGAGTATGCTGAGGTGGGCCCTGGCCTGAGACAGTGGTTAACGGGACCGTGGTCAGTTGGCTTTCTTTGAAATGTCAGGGGACCTCCCTGTGCCAGGCCTGAGACTCCAGAGGAGTGTGTGGTGTGTGAAAGAGAGCTTCCGGTTGAGGATTTCAGTCCAGTCTTTCTTTGGTGTATAGCAGTGGCTCTCAGGCCCAGGGTCACATCAGAACCACTTGAAATGTTTGTTAAAGCTACAGATTATGGGGCGTCACCTCTGACCCACTGTATTCATGTCTCTCAAGAGGTGGAGCCGAGGCAACTGTAGTTTAAAAAGAAAAAAAAACATGATAGATATAGGAACCAGACTTTTGCTTCTGGGAAGACCAAGTAGATGCACTTTACCCTATTCCTCCTGCTAAGTACAGCTGAAAACCCTAGACATTTTATATAAAATCAACATCAGAAGATTTTGAGAGGTGGAGAGAGGGCAGCCTGGCTAGGAACTTAGGGACTCACAAATTACATAGTTGTGAATTCCCTGGGTTTCTTTTCACCTCATATATCCCAGATGCAGAGCTGAAGAAGCTGGCAACTCACACATGCCAGTGGGAACAGGCATAAAAGCCCCAACAAAAGCCTGCTCTCTCCAGCCAAAGAGGAGAAAAGGGGCAACATAACAAGGCAGAAAACTGTCCACAATAACCACTCTCTTCCAGCCAAACAATTCACGGAAGACCGTCCTCACTGGCACCCAGGCCCCCGTGGCTGAGCCGGAGCCCAGGCTTCCACCCTTGCTGGGCTGTAATGAGGTGCCCCAACACCCCCTCCAGGTGGTGCCACAGAAGGCTGAGAAGGGTGCCAGGCTCATCTTCCCTGCCAGCTGGTAATGAGTGTACCACACCACCCTTCTTGCTCCCGTTTCCCATGTGGTGTCTGTGGAGAAGCTACACTTCCACCACTGACCTGCAGTCATGAAGCCACTGACTATGCATGTTGTCAGCGGATGCCATGTGGGAACTCCAAGGCACTCCTACCCCTACAAACCAGGGTGGTGTAATTGGAAGCCCAGTGGGGACCTAGAACTCCCACCCACACCCAGCAGTAATGAGGATCAGCAGAGGCAGAGTGGGAACCCAGCCTTAACTCCCTTCTGGGGGTAATAAGGTGGCATCCTACTCCTTCCCCTATTTAGTGTCACAGTAAGACAGTGAATGCAGAAAGCTTAAATAACATCTAGAGTCTTACAATACTCAAAATGTCTAGGCTTCAGTTGAAAATCACTCACTATACCAGGAATGAGGAAAATCTCAACTTCTGTAAAAAAAAGACAATCAACTGGTGCTAACACCAAGATAACAGAGATGTTAGAATTATCTGAGAAAGATTTTGAGAGAGCCATCACAACAATGCTTCCACGAGCAGCTACAAAAACTTTTAAAACAAATGAAAAAGCAGAGTGTCAGCAAAGAAAAAGAAATAACCAAATAGAGATATTAGAACTGAAAAATATAATAGCTAAAATAAACTCAGTAGATGGACTCCACACCTTCATAAACATTGCTAACTGCGTTAAATTAAAAGTGCAGGTAGAATATGTGGTCACGGCTATAGATGTGACTTAATTTAATATTTATGTCATAAAGATTTTGCCCTGAGATCAAACCATCTTTTAAGCATATTATTATATTTTGCTGTTTGAAGGACTACTATGGAGAACAATGATATTGGATGTTTACAATATGCATGCAGATATTTGGACTTTAACTCTGAAGAATTTCAGTGCATCAGTTGGAAAGCAGCCTAATGTGTGCTCATTATGAGGTCATTAAAAAAACTGCTATAAACCAATCTGCTGGGTTAAGAGGAGTGTCATGGCTGGAACATTAAAAGGCTGTGTCTCTATGTGGCTGGAACATTAAAAGGCTGTGTCTCTATGCCATGCAGATCAGGGATCCAGTTCATTTTACCAGGTTTTGGGGGGATCACTGGTAAGTAGGATACATACAAAGAAAATTCACTATGGTAGCAGGTAGTCTGGAAGACTTGTCTAGTGAGGGATGTTTACAAAACCTGGGATTATTTAGTATAAAGATGTTCTGGACTTGCTCTGTTTATGTATTTGAAGGGGTTCTTGCTTAGAAAAGAGATTAGTCTCCTTCTGTGTTGCTCCAAATAGGTAATTCGTATATTAAAATTTTATAGGGTAGTCAGTAGCAATTATAGGAAGGTATCTTTTTAAAAAAATATTTAGTTTTTGGCTGTAACTGAAGTTTTGTTGTCTATAAAACAGTGTTTGATATTGGATGTTTTTAAACCAGTCTAAAATCCACCTCTATGGATCATATTGGTGTTTAATCAAAATTCAGGGATTAAATGTGGTGTGTGTGTGTGTGTGTCTGTGTGTGCACGCGCACATACGTAGTATGGTATTTGGGTAAAGCTGCTGACAGTGCTTCTTCCTAATGTCACTGTAAGAGCCTGGACATGATCTCCCCTAGTCCCGGTGGGGGCTTAACAACCTCCAAAGCCCAGTATGTTTAGAGAGTGGCCACCCTGTGCATTATCTCTGAGAAATCCATATAGCTAAAAGCATTCAATTAATCCACTGTATACCCCTTGCGCTTTCCCCCCTCTTGAGTCCTTCTTTCATGGATGAATGTGTTCTTCCCTAATTTCCCTGGACAGCAAAGTCTCTCTGACAAAGGCGGATGAAGGTAGAGCAGGATTCTCTGTCCTTGCACCTGGAGGTTGAGCCTGAGAGGGTGTAGTTGGCCGCTGACCCTAATGGCCCCCCACACTGGGGTGCTTCTCACCTCAGCAAGCACTACGATTGAATCCACTCTCCTCCAACTCCTCATTCCTAGCTTAGAGGGTTTCTTTTGTGTTCACTGTAAGTTAGGTTTACAGCCAGAATGAATAGCCTCTTAGGGGTCACTCTGCAAATGTACCAATTAACCTACCTAGCTTGTCTGGAGCTTCACATTACGTCCCCACTTCACCCCGAGTTCCCTAAGGACTTCTTGGCTTTTGCCTACCCTCTGAGCCCTGGAGAGGCACTCTCCTAAAGTGCTTGGAGGAAACTGATCAGACTAGACACTTGATATTTTGCACTCGTCGTTTTGGAGCAATCAACTCCAGGCCTCTTAGAGGGAAAAAGTCAGGTCAGGAGCAAAATGCATGTGTTTGCATAAGTATGCATAGCTCAGTGTGTGCCCTGGTCCTGTAACTGAGGACAAGCCTAACTTATTCATTTACAGCTTCTTTTATTGCAGAAAAAGGAATGGACGTGGGATGAGAGCAAGATGCTGGTGATGCAGGACCCCATCTACAGGTAAGAGCCCAGTCCAGCACCCAAGATATCACTGAGCCCCAGAGTCCTCCTGCCCCCTACAGCCACCTGTCAGGCTGGTGGATCCAGGCAAATTTAAATAAACTTCTATGCTTTTCCCTCCTGAGACCTGTTGCTTCCATTAGATGTGAGTTCAAGAAGTAAATCTGCCTTATCATTCTGGTCATGCTTGATTGCATTAAGGAAGCTATGAAGTATATCTGCTTGATGTTTAATTTAAACCTCTCGGTTGTAATTGGAGACCTTTTAAATTTGTGCTAGTGTTGTCCCAATTGAAATTCTAAAATTGCATATATTGATCAAAATAAGAAAACTGGATTATTCCATCACCCTATGCTAACAATTTCCCACAGTTATCTCTTCCACCTCTCTACCCCTTCAGAAACTGAGCATAGTAATAAGAGCTTTCATGCAGTAATCGAAAGTCACAAATGTGTCTACAGGTCTGAATGCTTTTGTCTCCCCAAAATTTGTATGTTGAAATCCTAACCCCCAAGATGATGGAGTTAGGAGTTGAGACCTTTGGGGGTGATTAAGTCATGAGGGTGGGGCCCTCATGTTTGGGATTAGTGACCTTATTTTATAAAAAGAGGCCCCAGAAAACCAGCTAGCCCCATGGTGATGTCCTTCCCCTATGGGAAGACACAGCTAGAAGGTGGGCCCTCACTAGATGCCGAATCTGCCAGCACCTTAATCTTAAACTTCCCAGACTCCAGGACTGTGAAAAATAAACTATTATTTATAAGCCAGCCAGTTTCTGGTATTTTATTATAGCAGACCGAACCAACACACAACCAGAAATTGCTTTTACAAGGAGACTGGTATGATTCCTCTAGAGATTAGATGGCTGCCAACCATGTGTATTGTCCTGGGCAGAAGAATATATCAGATAGCAAGAACATATAGAAAGCCAGGCTCTCCCAGGAACCATGACAGGAGCTCGAGTCATGGGTGTCATTCTTGTGTCCTGGATCTCGGCAGACTAAGCCCCACTTCCTTCCTGTTTTCCTCATTGGGAGAATGGCCATTCCTTTAGGAATTTGGGGACGTAGATTTAGGTTTTGATTTTGTCCGCTCTCAAATTATTGCCATGCTTTTGTTGACAAAGTGGATAAGGGTTGGAACTCAACGTGTGAAGTTGGCAGCATGGTGGCCCTGCCTTTTAAAGAGCAGATGCTTGTGAAATGGAATGTCCATTCATCCAAACAATGTGCAGGTGTGAAATACTCATGCCAGGTACTGTGCTAGGTAATTTCATAGATTACTAAACTAAATGAGTTGCAGTCCCTTGTTCTCAGGGAGTTTTAGACTAGTGGGAAATGGACAAGTTACTGAGGTATAAGATAGTATGTCTGACAGAATGAATTTCTGCCTCTGTGTTCCTGTAGTACTGTTTAATGTTTTTTTGAAATACTTGTTATAGTGTTTCTGTTACTTTTTTAAAAAACAAATGTCAATTTTTTGCCACTAGCCTGTTAGGCTCTTGAGGGAAAAATCTATGCCCTTCTACTCACTTTTGTATATCTAGCGCTAAACCTGCATCTGGCCCAAATGAAGCACTTAATAAATGTGCAATGGGTGGATGGATAAATGCATTGAATTAATATCTGAAAATTAACATAAGTGTTATGGTGATTCATCGAAGGGAACAATTATCTTCTACTTGAGTGATGAGAAAAGGCTTTAAGAAACAGATTGCATCAGAAGCTGGCTTGAAGAATGTGAATGGGCAGGCACCTATGATATGCATTTTGTAAAAGGAAGAGTTTCTTGGCTTTATTTTCTTAATGCTGGCACCATATATGGAAAAAAGTGACTTCCTTATGGATGCTGATCATGAGTGAGTTCTGCCTTTTCCTGGTTGAAAGAAAGGACTTTCCCCAAAGTTTTCACATGTCCCAAGTAAGCTGCTGACTTTGCTTATTTTTAATAGCTTCATTGAGGTATAATTGGCATGCAAAAATCAAACATATTTAAAGTTGAATAACTTGGTGAATAAATCTCAGTCAAGATGGTGAACATATCTATCACCCCAAAAGTTTCCTTGTGCTTTTTGTAACCCTTCTCTCCTCATTTCTCTCCCACTTTTTCCCCAATCTCAATCCCCACATCCCCAAGCGACCACGATCTCCTTTCTGTTATTGATGAGTTTGCATTTTCTAGAATTTTGTGTAAATAGAATCAACAGTATATCCTCTTTTTTGGGAGGAGCTGGCTTCTTTCACTCAGCATAATTTATTTTGAGATTCATTCCTTGTCATTGCATGTATCAGCAGTTCATCCCTTTTTATTACAGATCAATGATCTGTTTTATAGGTATATCACAGCTTGCGTAACCATTCATGTGTTCATGGACATTTTGGTGGTTTCCGGTTTTGGGCTGTTACTATTAAAGGATCTATGAATGTTTGTGTAATGAACATTCATATGTTCATTATGTTCAAGTCTTTGCGTGGACATATGCTTTTATTTTTCTTGGGTAAATACCCAGGAACAGAATGGCTGACTCATATGATAGGTATACATTTAACTTTTAAAGAAATTGCCAGATTACTTTCTAAAGGGATACCACCAGTGGTGTACAAGAGTCCCAATTCCTCCATATCTGCCAACATCCAGTATTGTCAGTCCTTTTAATTTTAACTCTTCAAATATGTGTTTATTAATATCTCATTGTGATTTAATTTGCATTTTCATAATGACTAATATTAAATATCATCTTTTTGTTTGTTTTGAGACAGGGTCTTACTCTGTCACCCAGGCTGGAGTACCAGTGGTGTAATCACGGCTCACTGCAGCCTCAACCTTCTGGGCTCGAGCAATTCCCTCCCCTCAGCCTTCTGGGTAGCTGGGACTACAGATGTGCACCATCACACCCAGCTAATTTTTAAATTTTTTGTAGAGACAGGGCCTCACTATGTTGCCCAGGCTGGTCTTGAACTGCTGAGCTCAAGCGAACCTTCCATCTCAGCCTCCCATAGTGCTGGGATTATAGACGTGAGCCACTGCACTCAGCCTTCTCTTGATCTTACATGCCATTTGTATATATATTTTTAAGCATCTGTTCAAATCTTTAGCCCATTTTGTTTTCATAATCTTGAGAGTTCTTTATAAATTATGGATGTAAGACTTTTTGTCAAATACATGGTTTACAAACATTTTCTCCAAGTCTGGCTTGTCTTTTTTTTTTTTTTTTTTTTTTAAATAGTGTCTTTTAAAGAGCAAAAGTTTTAAATTCTGATGGAGTCCAATTTGTTAATTTTTAAAATTTTATTGATTGTGCTTTTGGTGTCATAGCTAAGAAATCTGTACCTAACTCAAGGTCACAAAGATTTTTCTGTTTTCTTCTAAAGCATGAAGTTTAAATTTAGGTTTTAAGTTTATGTGTATAATCCAAGTTGATTCAATTTTTTATGTGGTATGAGGAATAGATTAAAGTTCTCCTTCTCCTCCTCCTCTTCCTTCTCTTCTTCCTTCTCTCTGTTCCTCTCTCCCTCCCTCTCTGCAAATGGATGTCCAGTTGTTCTAGCCCTGTTTGTTGAAAAGACTGTTCTTTCTCCACTATAGTGCCTTTGCTAAACATCAGTTATCCGTCTCTGTGAGGTTTATTTCTGGACTCTTTATTCTGTCCTATTTGTCTAATTGTCTGTCTTGACACTAGTACCACACTGTCTTGATTACCATAGTTTAATAATTCTTGAAATCAGGTAGTAATAGTCTTCTTTCTTTTTTAAAAAAGTTTTTTTATTCAATTAGTATTAGTATCGTATGTCTTTTTCCATCCATTCACTTTTAGGAAGAAATATTAGAGGGAATGGGGAATGCCAAATACATTTTAAATGTTAAATGAATTTTTCTTTGGCCTCAAAACTCACACAGTAGGCTCTCTGATTGTTGATAGTCTTGTGGATGTCTTTCTAGTCTATCAAAATTTAGCAACTTGTGTTTAAAAACAAAGAAATAAACTTTAGTCCCTGTGTTTTCGGTGTCCTGGGTACTTTTTTTCATGTATTAAATTGTGATGTTTTGGTCTGTGTACATGTGAATTTTTATATCTGTGTGTGTGTGTGTGTGTGTGTGTGTGTGTATGAGGACTTTTTTCTAAAATATATATGGTCCATTTTATCATGAACAAGGTTATTTATTATGATAATATGGTAACATTTACAAATGAGCTTTTCATG
The DNA here is from genome assembly GCF_000001405.40 of Homo sapiens. Taxonomy (NCBI): domain Eukaryota; kingdom Metazoa; phylum Chordata; class Mammalia; order Primates; family Hominidae; genus Homo; species Homo sapiens. The sequence continues at coordinate 162,304,909 of NC_000001.11, forward strand.
GGTACAGTTATTTTTCTGCCCTGAAGGGACCACTCTGGTTTGATTCACTAGCTCTGCTGAAGAATACATACAATTGTTTGTGGCTTTATGAAACGCTGGCTTACTGAAGTGTTCATTTTAGACGAATGAATTTTTAATTTTTTATTAAGTCAAATTTTTTATTTAAATCTTTTGCATTATTCACATAGAATAACAGAATCATATATTTTTTAATTGTGGTGAAATAAATATATATAACATAAATTTTGCCATTTTAACCATTTTTTAAGCATACAAATCAGTGGCATTAATTACATTGGTAGTCCTGTGCACCCATCACCACTGTTTCCAAAACTTTTTTATCACTCCAAACAGAAACTCTGTGCCCGTTAAGTAGTAACTTGCCATCACCCCCTTTTTTTAGCCCCGGTCACCTCTAACATCATGGAATCTGAAGAGGTTAACAACACTATGGTGGACATCTAAACCAATTCCTCCTATTTTTTTTTTTTCAGTTTATCCTTTATTACAGTATACCTCTTTATCACAGGAAGTGATTCGCTATTACAGTGTTCTTCATTAAACGAAAGTAAATTTTTTTAATGTATAATTGTTTTCCATTTATCCTAGCTCTTATCTCTGGAGCCACAAATATATAGATCTTTTTCTCTTTTAAGTTAACCCAAGTTCCTGAAGCCATTCTTATGGTATTTTTCTAGACTTCTTAATTTCAGAAAACAGTATTTCCTCTTTAAAATATTAGCGTTTAATAGAATATCCCAGATATTCTGTCTTATCAGTGTAAAATGTGGAAGACATATTTTTACCCCCACAATATGAAGTTATACATTCATTTTGTATGAATTAGATCCAGTGTAATTTATTTGCTTAGCAAACTGTGATTGGTCCTAGGTCATAGTGGAGTTGGAGTTCAAACTCCTCGGGATAATAACAGTAATTGTTTTTAATTCAGGTTTTACTCATTCTTTATTTCTATAGGTTTCTTTGTTTTTTAGCCTAAATATAAAACTTTACATATATTAATGTTCAATTAAATGTAATTGATTTGAGACTATTCTTCAGTTTTTGAATCCTTGTGAATCAGGATTTCAATCAGGGAAGCAGGATGACTGTGAGTGTCCTGTAATAAGGAATTTGCTATAGGATTTGGACCTGTACAATTTCAGTAGGAGCTGGGAAGTAAAAAGTCTAGAAAGGCTCAGAGAACAATTATTAACCAACCCTGGTGTGGGTTATGAGTCAGAATGTGCAGGAAGCCAGCCACATCCATGTGCTAGATTAGAACTGCAAAGGGGACAGGTGCAGAAGTCTCCGGAAGGCTGTTGGCTCTTCATGGCAACCACCTTTGAGTTTGCAGTGAAGTTTCTGATGCTGGGCCTGAGCTGACTGTTGTTCAGCAGGGCTAATAGTCATGAAGGAGAGCTTGATGCCAAGCTAGGTATAGAGAAAAGTGAGGACAGACTTAAGCAAAACAACTCCCTGGCACCTTGACATCCATTCTCTCCCAGAATAGCTGGAGCTATTATGACCTCCAGCACATAATAGCTGCTGCTTCACTCCCACTTCCCAAATCTCCCACAAATTATTCTTGTGGGCAACCGTAAAATAGGAGAGGGAATGCTCAGACACATAGTTCTAGCCTAGGTGAGTTGACCCGGTATAAAACCACCACATCAGGTTCTAGTAATAGGCTAACTCTCCCTCCCAGTTTTTTGCTAAGTGCAGCTTTAATAAGAATAGTTTCATCAGTCGGCTTGGTGGCTCACACCTATAATCTCAGCACTTTGGGCAGCTAAGTTGGGCGAATCACTTGAGGTCAGGAGTTCAAGACCATCCTGGTCAAAGTGGTGAAACTCCATCTCTACTAATTATACAAAAATTAGCTGAGCATGGTGGTGGGTGCCTGTAATTCCAGCTACTCAGGAGGCTGAGGCAGGAGAATTGCTTGAACCTGGGAGGCAGAGGCTGCAGTGAGCCAAGCCTGGGCAGCAGAGTGAGAACCTGAGAGGCAGAGGCTGCACTCCAGCCTGGGCAACAGAGTGAGACTTTTGTCTCAAAAAAAAAAAAAATAGTTTCATCCAAGTCACCGATAAGGCTGTTGAATAGAACAGTGGTAGGCCTGGAAAATAGAGACTTTGTTTTTTTTCTCTTTTATTCATTTTGGATTTCCTTTTCTTTCTTAATCTGCTTATTCTACTCTTTCTGGCTTCAAGGGCATGCTTCCTAGAAAAAAATAAACTAAATAGTATTGGAGTAGTTGTTCTGTTATGGAAGTCACTGTGCTTTTGAGTTTCAGTTTTCCTGCCTTAGCATCCCTTGTCCTAGTCTTATTGGTGGACACTGATGGAATTAACATGTTTGACTAAATTAGTCCCTAGGCTGTTTATGTTCCTTGAAATGAGTGAATAGACTAACAAACAAAACTCCTTTTTAAAACTAGGGGGAGTAAATTAATCTGACCTGAAGTCTTCAGGAGCCAGAATGGAAGTAATTCTTCAGTTATGAGTTTAAATGATCAAGTTAGGTAGAGTCTCCATTAGGAGTTCCAGCCAGTCTCCAGAAATGGCATCAGTTAACATCCAAATAGTGACATGATTAAGAATTAGAAGTCTAGGCCAGACGCGGTGGCTCATGCCTGTAATCCCAGCACTTTGGGAGGCTGAGGCAGGCGGATCACGAGGTCAGGAGATCGAGACCCTCCTGGCTAACAGGGTGAAACCCAGCCTCTACTAAAAATACAGAAATACACTGTAATAGCCAGGCGTGGTGGTGGGTGCCTGTAGTCCCAGCTACTTGGGAGGCTGAGGCAGGAGAGTGGCGTGAACCTGGGAGGCAGAGCTTGCAGTGAGCTGAGATTGCACCACTGCACTCCTGCCTGGGTGACAGAGCAAGACTCTGTCTCAAAAAAGAAAAAAAAAAAAAAGAATTAGAAGTCTATTCCAACTTTGGCTTTCTACATTGATCTGTTTTGATTTTGAGCAAGTCAAAGTTAAATTATTCAGGGCTAACTAGAGAAGGGAAGAAGGGTTGCATGGAGAGGTAATGTGTTTTGTTGTTCATTGTGCTAGGCACTAGGGGAAACAGTGGTATGTCAGCCTGGGTCCAATCAGGAGACAGAAACCAGGCAGTGATTTAAACAGAAGAAATTTATTATAAAGAACTATTAAACTATAATAAAAGAGTACCTACAAAGTGTAAAGAGGAGAGTACTCAAGGCAGCACAAATTTGGAAAGTAGACCCATTCCCAAGATGCCCTTTAGACATTAATGTAGAAGATATGATTACAGCTACTAGTGACAGAGAAATTCACCAGATTGCCTATGTCAGAGCTGGTCCCAGGTGCAGGGAAAACAGAAAGCCATCCTCCAGGGCTTGGATCAGGTGATCTGCAGCTGGTGAGTGGGCACACAGGTGGAGTTGGGGTATGGCTGTGGGTAAGAGACATAGAGTATGTGATGTCTACATCAGGAGAGCTGTGAGAAACAAACCTGGGGGGCAGGGGGAAGGCTAGCAGAGAGAGTTAGAGCATCACTGTGGATGGGAGGCCCACAACACCTAGTGTCTGCTTTAGGAGGGCTGTAGGGAGGTGATAACCAGGCGGGGCTGGTGCTGAGGTCACTGAGGGATGTGTGTTCTGGGCATGCATACCACTGGACATCCTCATATCCACACCACTGATGGGCTGTGTAGCAGTCGGACCAAGGGAAGCCCTTTCATTCTGCAGTGTTGCCCCTCCATTCTGCAGAGGAATCTTACCATCGTGCTGCTGTACAGGAGATGTGCTTAAAGGAATTCCGTCCATTACCACAGAGCTTGTATTGAAAGGTAAATTTGGAGCTGAGTAGCAATAAATTGGTACAGGTGGTTACTAGGACACAGTCCTACCCTCAAGGAATATGGTCAGATAGAACTTGACATGTGTTACTTCACTTAATCCCAGCAACCCTGAGTGGTAGAATGGTAGAATCTATCATTCTCATTCTTAAGACAGAAATTAAGCTTCAGTGATATCGGGCAACCTCCCCATGGTCACACAGCTGCTGCATGGTTAGAGAGCTGTCTGGCACTCACACTTTTGCCCATTTTGTTTTACCTCTGTGCTCAGTGCTATCCACCTTTAAAGGTGCCTCATTCATAAGCTTGCATACTCTGTTTTTGTTATAAAAATTATGTATAAAAATACAGGACAAACTACATTTTAAGGTAAATGGGGATTTTATAGAGCTATTCTGTGATATTTGGGATTTCTTGGGAAATCAGGATACCCATGTAGTATGTTTCACTTAGTTAACAATCAAGAGTTTAAATGATCAAGATGAGCAAGATTCAGGAAAGAGGAGTATGCTGAGATTCAGGAACCATATCAAACTACAAGCAAGGTAAACAAGAAATCAGTTCTTAAACTCTAGACTCAGTAATGAAATGACAGAATGTTAAAGACAAAGATTTTAAAACCAGCTGAAGGGGAAAAATATATTGCCTACAAAGAAATAATTTTTTGATGGCAAAAAATGTAAGGCAGAAGACAGTGAATTATCTTTAAGAATATGCTAAGTTAAGTGCTTATCAAGTGCTGAAGCTTAGAAAGTACTCCTTAAATACCTTTTTATTATGGAAGTAAGGTAGAAGAAATCCTGGGCAGCTTTTGTAAAGACTTGGAAATAAACAAAAAGGGCATCCATCCTTACAGGAGAATGAGTAGTTCAGAGTACAGACAGAAGAAAGACTTGCATTTATCAGGTGACTTCTGCAGAGCAGTTTCAGTAGGGAGTTGGGGACAGCCGTTTAGTTACTTGGTAGTGAAAGAAAGGAGAGCCATGTTATGATGAATTACAACTTAATAGTGAGATCAAATAAATATGTATTTAAAAAGAGGAGCTAGTAATGCCTTTATAAAGGGAAGATGAAAAGGTCCTATGGGGATAAAGATGGAAGGTTTTTAAAGTATGTGTAATTTTAAGCATTATTATTTTTTCAAAATGTGCTTATATACAATCCTGACCTGGGATATGTAAGTGGAATCATAATTATGAGATAAGGGAAATGCTGTAATATTTAGTCACTGTATTGTTTTGTGGAGCCAAAAAGCACTCTCAGGATTTAAGGATATCTTTAAGATACCTCTCCAAAGTCCATGCTGTCCCTCCAAAATCAGAGACCTCCCAGACAGAGATGACTCTATATCTTCCCTTCTTCCACATCTTCACATGCCCCACGCTCCAACTCAAATCCCGGAATGCATTCCCTTTTCTCCATTCCCGTTAGACTCTGGAAGGGGTCAAAGGCACAAAGGGTCATAAAAAAAATCAGGGAATGAGGTATACCCCGTTCTTTGCTTATGATATATACATGTCTCTTTTGCTCTCTGTGTGGTTTATAAGTGATGGGGTGACATCTGCACCTTCTGTACTGTTTCTGTAAGGTTGAGTGTTTTCTCTTCCTTCAGCCTCGCATTGCCTAAGGTTTTTGAGCAGCCTTTGCTAAACTGAGGAAACTGATCATCAGGGATGTGGAGGCAGCACAGCCTATAGATCTCTTTCTAACTTCTCATATCATTTCTGGGCCAGCCCATCTGGCGGATATGAGTGTCCATCACTCTAGTCATGAGTCATGTTTCATGTAGAGTTGATGTTTTTATTTCCTCCGGCTTCAAAACCTTTCATTGATAGTTCCTTTTCATACATATGCATGAGTAGGAATTACCCAATTTTACGCATGGAGAATCTTATGAACTAAGAAGGGGAAGGAAATACCATTCATGCTGCCTAGCTTCTGTTAGTTCCCAGGGCTACTTAGCAATCCCTTATTCATCCTGGTAGATGATAATACCCATCATAATGCCCTTCTTACCTTCTACCTGTCAACCCTGTATACCCTCACTTTCCATAGGTGACCCCCACACCTCTCTGAGATTCCTCAGCTGTCCTCTCCTCCCTTAGAATATCTTAGTGTCACTGCCAACTGTCTCTCTGTTCGCTGACTCTCTCTCTCTCTTCTGGACCCATCTTCGCTTGTTTCTTCAGCATCTTGAGCTGTGAACTATGCTCTGTCTCTCTGTCTTCCTGGATACCCTCTTTCTCCCTACAAATATGTTCAGCTCTCTCCTTTCCTTTTTTTAACCCTGCTAACACCACCCAAGAGCCCATCTTCTGTTAACCCTCCCTTTCTTCCAAAGCCCTGGGTATGTCTTTGTCAGGGCCACCATCCTGCAGGTCCTCATGGCCTGGCCTTGCTTTCCACCACTTACTTCACAGAAATGGCTCCCTCCACATTTACCCTTGCATTCCCCACACCTCCAAACACACCAGCACATTCCTCTGTTCTTCTGTGTTGCCCTGCAGTATCATCTACCACTTCTCATTTCTCCTATTTCTGTTTTTTGCCTCCTTCTCTTTTGTTTGCTTTCAACCCTACATAGTTATATGTATTCTTTATCTTTCCTGAAGGGAAAGTTCTGGGTTGTAGTGTTTATCCCTCCTTATAGGGTGCAAAAAGTCCCTTGTGCTTAGTGAGTCTCAGTTAATACCTACAATGGATGATGAGTCTCCAGCAAGGGATTAATGACTTATAAATCATTGGAGGCATGGTGGCTCCAAGTTATATGTACATATTAGCACATGTGTCCAAGACCTTTCTTTTTCTCTCTCCTTCTTTCTTTCACCCTTTGTTTTCTTTTTTTTTTTTAATTATACTTTAAGTTTTAGGGTACATGTGCACATTGTGCAGGTTAGTTACATATGTATACATATGCCATGCTGGTGCGCTGCACCCACTAACTCGTCATCTAGCATTAGGTATATCTCCCGATGCTATCCCTCCCCCCTCCCCCCACCCCACAACAGTCACCAGAGTGTAATATTCCCCTTCCTGTGTCCATGTGATCTCATTGTTCAATTCCCACCTATGAGTGAGAATATGCGGTGTTTGGTTTTTTGTTCTTGCGATAGTTTACTGAGAATGATGATTTCCAATTTCATCCATGTCCCTACAAAGGACATGAACTCATCATTTTTTATGGCTGCATAGTATTCCATGGTGTATATGTGCCACATTTTCTTAATCCAGTCTATCATTGTTGGACATTTGGGTTGGTTCCAAGTCTTTGCTATTGTGAATAATGCCGCAATAAACATACGTGTGCATGTGTCTTTATAGCAGCATGATTTATAGTCCTTTGGGTATATACCCAGCAATGGGATGGCTGGGTCAAATGGTATTTCCAGTTCTAGATCCCTGAGGAATCGCCACACTGATTTCCACAATGGTTGAACTAGTTTACAGTCCCACCAACAGTGTAAAAGTGTTCCTATTTCTCCACATCCTCTCCAGCACCTGTTGTTTCCTGACTTTTTAATGATTGCCATTCTAACTGGTGTGAGATGGTATCTCATTGTGGTTTTGATTTGCATTTCTCTGATAGCCAGTGATGATGAGCATTTTTTCATGTGTTTTTTGGCTGCATAAATGTCTTCTTTTGAGAAGTGTCTGTTCATGTCCTTCGCCCACTTTTTGATGGGGTTGTTTGTTTTTTTCTTGTAAATTTGTTTGAGTTCTTTGTAGATTCTGGATATTAGCCCTTTGTCAGATGAGTAGGTTGTGAAAATTTTCTCCCATTTTGTAGGTTGCCTGTTCACTCTGATGGTAGTTTCTTTTGCTGTGCAGAAGCTCTTTAGTTTAATTAGATCCCATTTGTCAATTTTGGCTTTTGTTGCCATTGCTTTTGGTGTTTTAGACATGAAGTCCTTGCCCATGCCTATGTCCTGAATGGTAATGCCTAGGTTTTCTTCTAGGGTTTTTATGGTTTTAGGTCTAACGTTTAAGATAAAATACTGGCAAAACGAATCCAGCAGCACGTCAAAAAGCTTATCCACCATGATCAAGTGGGCTTCATCCCTGGGATGCAAGGCTGGTTCAATATATGCAAATCAATAAATGTAATCCAGCATATAAACAGAGCCAAAGACAAAAACCACATGATTATCTCAATAGATGCAGAAAAAGCCTTTGACAAAATTCAACAACCCTTCATGCTAAAAACTCTCAACAAATTAGGTATTGATGGGACGTATTTCAAAATAATGAGAGCTATCTATGACAAACCCACAGCCAATATCATACTGAATGGGCAAAAACTGGAAGCATTCCCTTTGAAAACTGGCACAAGACAGGGATGCCCTCTCTCACCACTCCTATTCACCCTTTCTTTTCAAAAGTCATTTCATGCCTCTATGTAGAAAGCGCTTGGAATGCAAAGACAAACAGGGTGTCTCCCATGCCCTCAAGGATCTCACTGTGACTTCTATTAAACTTTCCATGATAGTTTTTAGATAAATATTCAGGGGAAGGTGAGGCATAAGTTTTAAAATGACCAAATAATACATAACTGTTACTAAAAATAAAGTAGTGAAGAGTTTTATAAAGGAAAGTGTCCGTTTTCTTTCTTCAACACCTATTCCTCCTAGTACTGCTCCATATGCAAATATATTGACACTCGGATATTCTTTCAAACTCTAATATTCTACATTTAGTTCTAAATTATCCTGTTTTTCTCTCAGTAATATATCAAGAGCTGCCTCCCACATCTATACTTGCAGTCTTCCCATGATGGCTTTGGCTCTGAGAGTTCCAAAGTGAAAGTGATATTTTAGGAAAACCAGTCTGGCTTGGAATGCAACTCATCCCAAATGGAAAGAAACTCCTGTCAGTGAGATGGACTGAAGAGAGATTGCTTGGGGATCTGAGTGTAATGGGGAGAGTATCTGGGTCTGGCCAAACTGGGTGACAGCAGTAGAAATGCATAGAAAGCAGTCAGCCTGTGGGCTGTTTTAAGCATGGACCATTCAGACTAGTGGTGTCTGAATATAGAGTAAATGAGGGAGGGAAAGGAGGCCCCAGTGATCTCAGGTTGAAGCTTCAGTGCTTTTACCTTTGTCCTTTCTGAGGGCTTTCTGCCTCTGCTGGCCTCCCGCTTGATTTTAAATTCAGTCATCCTGAAACATGGAAATTTGTGTCATGGTAACTCTTAGCATGAACTCCATGAGGGTGGGGACCATGCATGTTTTACTGTTGCATCCCAAGTGCCTAGAAGGATTCTTAGTGTATAGTAGGTGCTCAATAAATACATACTTCACGACAAAGCTGGGGCAGCCTTGATTTGCTTGTTTGCTGCACTAAAATATTCATCTCAAAAAGGCTACTAAGCTGATTTATCCTTTTGGTGGCCTTGTCTTCTACCCTTGCATAACCCTTTTGTATCTAAAACTGGGAAGGGTTATCACAGCCCCCAGGGCAGGGAGCTCATGAGAGAGCCCATAGACCTGCACAGCAGGAAACTGAAAATAGCTACCAAAGCAATCAAAATTAAACCTCTGGATCCGCCTCTCTGGGCCTGGCCCTAGAGGGCATCTTTTACACTAATGATGGAAAATTAAATTAGGCCACCTTTAGAAAACTTCACAAAATTAAATACTGTTTGCCAGGGAGGGAATTACCCTATGGAGAAAGTAACAGGGGAGCAGGGAAACAGGCTGGTCACAGTTCTACAACAAAATGATTGGCTGGTGTCAAATTTCCTTACTCTGTGCTTCATTTTATTCTTCTTAAATGTGTAAAGGGAATCAATTTAGAATTTGTGCAAAACATTGAAGAATCTCAGAAGGGAAAGTGTGTGCAAAATAAAACAAACACTTCTTTCCTTGTCTTCTCTCCTTGTTACCAAATTGGCACTGGCCTGGGAGTCCATCAGATGGTCTTGACCTTTTCTGGGATACAAATACCTTTGAGAATCTGCTGAAAACTGTATTTTCTCCATAGGAAAAAAATCATTCTTGCAAAGTTTTGAATTTTAGGAGAATTCATGTACCCCAGAGTCCTGCATGTTTATGAATTCCAAGGTAAGACTCCTATTTTGCCAGTAAGTGTTGAACATCATCTTTGAATATTTGCATCTAAAGCTGGGAAGGTTTAGCATTGGCTCTTCTACTGCTCAAGTAAGAGTAGGAGGAGAAAAAAACAAACCAATCTAACTTTATTAATGATTTAATGTTTGAATGCTTAATAAATTTTATTTACCTTCCCAAGAGATATTTGCATTTTGTTAGAGGAGTCATTCAAAACAAACCAATCTCATGTTGGTGAGTTTCAGATTATTAAAGGGAAGAGGATTCGCTTAGGAGGGACCTTTATGTTACCCTCAGTGTCCTTGGAATCACATGGATGATGGGAATGTTGGCCTAGGGCCTGGGTTTTACACTGACATGTAAGGACCATGTGAAGGCCTAGAGTAAAGGGCCAGAGTAAAGGGCCAACCCTAACCCCAAAGGTAAATAAAGATTGGTCTTGATTTGGAGCTGTAGCCCCTGCCTGACAAACCTTTAATATTAATAGATAACCTCTGGGCTTGTAGTAGGACCGTGTTGTAGCTTACTCCGCAGCATGAGCATTTTGCACTAAACACCTGTCTAGATACTGCCACAGTGCCCTGTCCTCTGGCCTGACTGGGTAAGCTTTCCGTGGCTTCCATCTTGTGTCCTGGCACAATTGGGAGGAAGGATGGTGGCGTCACACCTCTGAGACCACAATCAGACTGTGAGCCTTGGCTTCCTCTCTGGTGGCAGACCTCAAACTGGAGAGGTGAGGATGACTGCGAGGTCCAGAGGGTTAAGCACAGAATTTGGGAAAGATGGAGTGGAAAAAGCTGGGTTATCTGCAAGTCTCCACATCCTTTATCAGGAGACCCTGAGAACTGGCTTTTGAGGAGTTACAGCCTTTCCCAGTTGCTGGCAGTCACCATGATCAAACCATGATTAACTGAGGAGTCCTCTGTATTTGGCTTAACATTTCTGCCTGTCAAATTCTTATTAATCTTTCAACGTTTATTGTAAATAACACATCCACCAGGAATGCTTTCCTGATTTCATCCCTACCCCCACAGTGGGGATCTAATTAAGGTTTGTCCTTTGGACCCTAAGGTGCTATACAGCCCTTAAGTTTATCCTTTTATTGTAGTTTATCTATCATAGTTTTTAGTAGGAACTGTATCTTATCTATCTTTGGGGCTCCTTAACCACTTGTCTCACACACAATAGGGCTCAATACGTATTTATTCCATGTAATTGACTTATTAAACTTTTGCACAATTCCCAGAAATTAATTACACTCATTCTGTAGACTTTTATTCGGGACTGAGTGGATGAATGAATGAACGAACGAATGAATGAACCAACCCACCTATATAAAAAAAGTGTGTTGAGCACTGAACACAGCCCATATGTGAAGGTATTTGAGAACAGTGGCAAAAAATGTTAACATTAGAACATCAGAACATATATTCTAATAGAAGATAACAAGCAGCACACAAATAATACTAAAAAGACAGCATCGCAGTTGAGAACACTGAGAAACAAGAAGTCGAATGACTTTGTTCAGCTTTGCTCAGGAAGAGAGCCCAGCACCTCTTGATGTTGTGGGTTTAACCACTAAGCAAAGCTGCCTTTGAAAATGCACACCCTCCTTCCTCTGGTTGGCCGAGGATGCCAGTCCTGTCCAGCTACTGCTGTGCAGTTAGCTCTTTGCTTTAGGGCCTGATTATCTTTTCTCGTGGATTATCTTGGCCTTTGACTGTCTTACATGTCCATGTGAAGAGACCCCCAAACAGGCTTTGTGTGAGCAACATGGCTGTTTATTTCACCTGGGTGCAGGCAGACTGAGTCCCAAAAGAGAGTCAGCAAAGGGTGGTGGGATTATCATTAGTTCTTAGAGGTTTTGGGATAGGCAGTGGAGTTAAGAGCAATGTTTTAGGGGCAGGGGGTGGATCTCACAAAGTACATTCTCAAGGGTGGGGAGAATTACAAAGAACCTTCTTAAAGGTGGGGGAGATTACAAAGTACATTGATCAGTTAGGGTGGGCAGAAGCAAATCACAATGGTGGAATGTCATCAGTTAAGGTTATTTTCACTTCTTTTGTGGATCTTCAGTTGCTTCAGGCCATCTGGATGTATATGTGCAGGTCACTGGGGATATGATGGCTTAGCTTGGGCTCAGAGGCCTGACATTGACCTCATCTCTTGTCTCATTTGTTGCAGTTTTTACTGATAATTCATAATGATAAGGGGGTGGGTGGGAGAAATGAAGCCATCATAAAGGGTAAATGTGTTCATCTTGTTTGTATTAATTGCTCCAATAAAAGGTTTTTTGGAGGAGGTGAGCAAGAAGAACCTCAGAATGGCAGCCCCTGACAGATGAGATCTACACATGAGCTCATCGTTGCTCAGTGTCTCCCATCAGCACATAATTAATTGTTGGAGATGGACCTGATTGCTGGGGGAGATGAGGTAGTGCAGGTGCATTTCCTTCCAGAGTCGGAGCAGCCGTCCAGGGTCTGGGCCAGTGGTGTGTCCTCAGACTCAAACACTGTTAAAAATATATAGAGAGATATATGTATATACACATGCGTACACACACGTGCACATACACACACCAAAGTTTTTTGTATGTGTATATGTATGTAAGAAGAATTTTCTTAGTAAAAGAGTTAAACCTAAATTTCTCTTGATTACCTTTGTTCACTCATGAGAAGGACAAAACCCCAAGGAAACAATTTAGCCTGTCAAACACCTCAGCTGATGAAGGGGAATTTGAAAAGCTAAATGTAAAAGAGAGACTGCAAGACTCATAAACAGATCCCAAGAGAGCATGTAGTATTGGCTAGGCCTCCCCACCCTTCCAGCCCTCGTATATCTACATGAGCCCCATCCCTCAGGTCCTGAGAGCCAGGAGGAATTCATATGAATCTCCTCTCTAAGAAAATAACAGCAAAATGATTTTGATTTCACGTACTGTCCTTTTGATCCATGTCACGTTTCTGGTTCCTTCCTATGAGAAAGGGAAGTCAGTAACAGATGGGTGAAATGCAGGTCTGGGGCAGTTACAACAGCCCTTGCTTTTTATCAGGACACTTTACTAAACATTAAACTGACCTCTTGCCTTAACCAGCCCCACTCCTACTTCCACATCAAAACGGCATTAGCTCTCTCGCAGGGAAAGGCTTAGCTACTTCATAAGGGCCACCAAAATACTGCCCAAGAAAGGGAGAGGGATACAAGCCAGGGGTAGGACTGGCCCCCACCTTAGTGGCAGGTTCATAGTTGGTGCTGTCTCGGACCCCAGGCGAGCTCCTCTTCTTGCACTCTGCCTTCTGCTGTCTCTGTCTTGAGCCATCATTTTCCCTACATTCCCCTAGATCTTGAGGCTATTTCTGTTTTGTCCCTTATTTTCTAGCCTATAAATAGGCTTAGGTTTTGCCATCCTAAAAAGAAAAGATGACCCTCAAACCCACCATCCTGTCTTGCCGTTTCACTGCCAGACTCTTTGGAGAAACTGCATTTGCTATCTATATTTCCAAAACTCCCATTCACTTTTCAGCTCATTTTAATTGGGCTTCCTGAGCTACTCTACTGAGACTGCTCTTGCTAAGGCCACCAGGGATGTCTTAGTTGCAGAATCCCTGGCTCGCTTTCTGTCTGCATCTTATTCAGTCTCTGTGAAGCACTTAATGCTGTGGGTCTTTCCACCCTTCTGGAGACTCTCTGCTCCCTCAGCTTCCACGATTGTTTTCTCTTGTTCCTCCTCAGATCTCTTGGTCTTTTTCTGCTCAGTATTTTTTTTTCTGACTCCTCCTATTACGCCCTCCATTTAAATGGGTACTGTTAGTGGGATTCTCTCAATGAGCCCCCTTTCTTCTTCTTCTTCTTGATCCTCAGGGGATGTCGTATTTCCTATGGCTTCAACCACCCTCTAAATCCCAGTCTATGCTCCTCTGCCCCCACACTCTATCCCCTCCATCCCTTATTTCCAATTGCCTCTTAGACAATTCCATCTGGCTTTTGCCTTCTCAAATCTGACCTGTCCAGAGCCACACCACTCCTCCTCCTTCCATGTTCCTTAGTTCTTTTTTCCTTCTGTGGCCCTTGACCCCATTAATGTTTAGTCCATCTGCCAAGTTACACAGCTCAGAATCATATCCTTCCCTCTCATTATCACACCCAGAGAAATGATTCTTGTGTCCACCTGCTCTCCCCATGGTGGCTGCCCCTGCCTTTGTTAGGCCTCCAGTGTTTCTTGCCTGGACTCAGGGTTGGTTTGTCTGGCTGCATAGACTGTGCTGTGCATCGCTCCAGGTGTGTCATTCAGGGCCCTGAGCCCAGGTGCCCTGCACTTATTTCCCAAACTGTAATTCTCACAACAGCTCCCCTGTTTGTAGATGAGAAAACTAAAACTTGAGCATTGAAAGACTCACCCAGTAGCTCACAAATGTAAGCAGCAGAATGGGGATTTGAGTCCGGTTCTTCTGACAGCAAGCCCCAGGTCCAGATTCTGTTGATTCCCCTAAGCATTCTGTATTGCAGTAGGCTCTTGGTGGCCTTCCTTCTGCTCCTGCCCTCCTCCAATCCATCCTCCACACCACCATGACTACCAGCCATGTGATCCCCCTGCTTAGACTCCCATCCTTGCCCTGAGCCCACAAGGTGAAGTCTGAGCTCTGTAGCTGGGCTCTCCACAATTGGCCCTGACCTCCTTCTGTCCCCATCTCCCACCAGTCCTTCTGTATGCCCTGCAATCCCTGTACCCAGGCAAACTGTGCTACCTCATGACCTCATGCCTTTCCACATGCAGTTTCCATTGCAAGGGCTCTCCCTGCTCTTCTGTCTCGGTGATGGATAGATTTCCATTGTCCCAGATCTGCTCAGCAGCCCTCCCCACTGTCCTCAGTGCCCAGGGAGGCTGGCCTGTGTAGACCTGTCCTGAGAGCTCCTGCCAGATGGCACACAGCTCTTCCTCTCTTGGCTCTGGAAACTGCTCCCTGCCCTGCCTCTCTGGACTTGGGGTGCTGAGGGCTCCCAGGGACACTGCACTGCCCTCACCTTTGTGAACAGTCCTGTATTAAACTCTCTTCAGCCTACTCACATACTCTGTTTCCTGCCAGGACCCTGACTGACACATTCCCCACCCCACAATCCTGCCACCTCCCACGTTGTCTTCGAGTCACAGCTCAGGCAGCAGCTCCCTGTGTGCCTTCCCAGTTCCCACAGGCAGCTGGCTGCATCCTCCTCCGCGTTTCACTGGCTCCATTCCTCTGTCCGCACTTGCCACACCCTGTCTGTACCCCCTGAGCTCCTCAGGGCAGTCTCTGAAGCAGACTCAGCTCTGTATCTTGGAGAAGCCAATATGGGGCCAAGGGGGGCGGGGTACGGAGTAAGATGTGCGTATCTTAGAAGAGAGGTCATGCTGGACCACCCCGACACCTGCTTTTCGGTGGTGGGGAGACAATGAGAAAAGAGCTTCTGGCATACAGCAGATGAAAATAACAGGAATTCTCAGGCAAGGACTTGCCTCCTTCACAGCCTTCTGCTCACATTTCTCCACCCTTTGTGGACAAGGAGTGGACAAGCAAGTGTACAAACCTTTGTTGATGATTATTTTGCACTGGGAAGATTTTGCCTAATGCCTCTCTGCATATAACACTTGAAGGAAAGTATTCGTTTGCTTGAAAGCAAAAGGATAAACTTGAGAAAAGAGAAGAGGAAGGGTCCTTACATGCTGCCTTCCAACCACCCCCTCCCCACATTGCCAAAAGAAAGATACAAGACTTTTAAAAAGTAATTGGAGCCGGGAGCGGTGGCTCACGCCTGTAATCCCAGCACTTTGGGAGGCCGAGGCGGGAGGATCACAAGGTCAAGAGATCGAGACCATCCTGGCCAACATGGTGAAACCCCGTCTCTACTAAAAATAGAAAAATTAGCTGAGCGTGGTGGCGCGCGCCTGTAGTCCCAGCTACTCGGGAGGCTGAGGCAGGAGAATCGCTTGAACCAGGGAGGTGGAGGTTGTAGTGAGCCGAGATTGCACCACTGCATTCCAGCCTGGTGACAGAGTGAGACACCATCTCAAAAAAATAAATAAATAAAAATAAAAAATAAAAAAGTAATTGGAAATCAAAACGAGGTCAAATAGGAATGGGTTCATTTTTCTCCCCCACTTTTTTTTAAGGTTTGCCAATGGCCTGGAAGTAAAGGTACACAGTCCTTTAAAAAGCAGCAACATGCCTGTGTCCTGAATGGTATTGCCTAGGTTTTCTCCTAGGGTGTTTATGGTTTTGGGTCTAACATTTAAGTCTTTAATCCATCTTGAATTAATTTTTGTATAAGGTGTAAGGAAGGGATCCAGTTTCAGCTTTCTACATATGGCTAGCCAATTTTCCCAGCACCATTTGTTGAGTAGGGAATCCTTTCCCCATTTCTTGTTTTTGTCAGGTTTGTCAAAGATCAGATAGTTGTAGATGTGTGGTATTATTTCTGAGGGCTCTGTTCTGTTCCATTGGCGCTATTCACAATAGCAAAGACTTGGAACCAACCCAAATGTCCAACAATGATAGACTGGATTAAGAAAATGTGGCACATATACACCATGGAATACTATGCAGCCATAAAAAATGATGAGTTCATGTCCATTGTAGGGACATGGATGGAGCTGGAAACCATCATTCTGAGCAAACTATCGCAAGGACAGAAAACCAAACACCACATGTTCTCACTCATAGGTGGGAATTGAACAATGAGAACACTTGGACACAGGGTGGGGGACATCACACACCAGGGCCTGTTGTGGGGTAGGGGTAGGGGAGAGGGATAGCATTAGGAGATATACCTAATGTAAATGACGAGTTCATGGGTGCAGCACACCAACATGGCACATGTATACATATGTAACAAACCTGCACGTTGTGCACATGTACCCTAGAACTTAAAGTATAATTAAAAAAAAAAAAATATATATATATATATATATAAAAGCAACATGGATGCAGCTGCAGGCCATTATCCTGAGTGAATTAAAACAGAAACAGAAAACCAAAGACTGCATGTTCCTACTTACGAATGGGAGCTAAACAATGGATACACATGGCCATAAAGATGGAAACAACAGACACTGGGGACTCCAAAAGGGAAGAGGGAGAAGGGGGGACAAGGACTGAAAAAGTTCCCGTTGGTGCTGCGTGCACTGTTTGGGTGACGGGTTCAAAAGAAGCCCAAACTCCAGCCTTGCGCAATATATCCGTGTAACAAACCTACAAATGTAACCCCCTGCATCTAAAATAATAAAATAATTTCTAAAAAACACACAAAAAAGAAAAAGACACTAGATTGTGATTGAGAGTGAGTTGTCCCAGGCCAAATCAGAATGGCCTGGACATTGACCTGAGGGTGGGGCAGGTGAGAATTAGAAATGCTGATGCCTGGAGTACACACAAGCCACCAGCAGTGGCTTGTCATCTTATCTTCAAGTCCTGGGAGGAAGTGCCTTCAGGTGAGTTCTGATTCTGACTTCCTCTTCCTCAGATACAGCATGAGGTAGGCAGGTCAGAGCAACTGGAAAAATAAAAATATTAGAAAAGAAAAGTATCTGGACCTGCCAGCCAGGCATGCTCCCACCCCTGGGAAGCTTGGGGAAGGAGGTGGATACTCTTTCTTCATTTCCCGTCATGGCACATGGGACTCCTCACATGCTGAGCAGGTGGCATGAGAGGTATGGAGTTAGAGTCAGGTACAGAGGGAGTTATGGTGGGAATCCTCAGACGCTCAAGTGGGAACTCAACTGCCTTGGAAAAACAAGATGTGCTTATGATGTGTATCATATCCCTGGATTGGTTTATTTGAAGAAACATGGATGGAAAGTGGACAATCAGTCAGGGATGATAAAGAAATCCAGCACCTCTTACCCACGTGTCCCCTGAAAATCTTACCAACATGAGAATGAATTTGTTGGTGACCATAGAGACATCTATGAAGACATCCAGGACTTGGAAACATAAGAGGAATAAAAAAATCCAGGCTTTCCAGGTGGCATAAATGTAACATGGGACTAATTTCTAGCCCAGGTATAGAGAAAACAATAGTAATACGGGTAATGAATGACATTCAATATTCAAATGATATCTGATGATTAATCAGGCAGATGGTGCAGCAGTTTTCAGAACTTGGTGAAGATTGCTAGGGTTCCAATTCTAATGCAGATACTATAGTGAGTTGAAATATGTCCCTTAGAAAGCTATGTTAGGATATGTTCCTCACCCCGGTACCTGTGAATGTGGATGTTATTTGAATATAGGGAGTTTGCAGATGTAATTAAGGTGAGGTCATATTAGATTAGGGTGGACCCTAAATCCAATGACCAGGGTCCTTACAAGAAGAGGGAAATTTGGACACAGAGACAGAGGAGACACAGGGCAGAATGCCGTGGGAAGGCAGCGGGAGCAGACTAGAGTGACGCTGCTGCAAACCCAAGAATGCCAAGGATTGTTGGCAGCAGCCAGAAGCTAGGAGAGATGTGGAATAGATTCTCCCTGAGAGCCTCTAGAAGGAATCAGCCTTGATTTTTGACTTCTGGCCTCCTGAACTGTGAGAAATGAAATTTCTGTTGTTTTAAGCTATCCGACTTGTAATAATTGTTACAGCAGCCCTAAGAAATTAATACAGATACTACTGGCTGTGTGACCTTAAGAAAATGCACAGGGGTTACCTCTCTGTTTCTTCATCTGTAAAATGGAGATAATAACTGTATCCACTTCATACAGTTGTTGTGAGGATTAGATGAGTTTTTGCCTGTAAAGTGCTTAAGCAGTACCTGACAGATGGTAAACACACAATAGATTAGCAAATATTCTTCTTTGATCACTTCAATTTAGTAAAGATTTTTTTGAGCAACTACTATGCGGCAGACCCTATATGTAAGTTATTTCATTTGATTCTTGTAACAGTCCTGTGAACCTCTTCTTATCCCATTTTGCAGTTAAGAAAACTAAGGCTCAGAGTATTAACTTGTTTTGAGAAAGCAGACGAGCTGCAACCTCGACTGAGCCTTTGGCTCTGTTCTGTCAGGTCTTCTATTCCACAAAATTACAGGCATCTCAGTGTATACTGGGGAGTGGACAAGGAAGGGTGCGAACCTTTGTTGATGATTATTTTGCACTGGGAAGATTTTGCCTAATGCCTCTCTGCATATAACACTTGAAGGAAGGTATTTGCTGGCTTGAAAGCAAGAGGATAAACGAAAAAAGAGAAGAGGAAGAGGTAATTTTCTAGATGATGCTCCTCCAGCATACACCAGTCAAACTAGTGCCCCTAATATTTGTGGTGTGTTCATTTTCTCTCTTTTTTCTGGCTCTGGGAGGGAAGTTGTGTCTCTGAGCACAACCCTCAGGAAGTCCGAGGGTCCTGAAAAGTGTGGGATGGATGGTTTAAGCCCCCCAAATGTGAACAAGCTACATGTATGAACTCAGATAACACAGACACACAGAAGAAATAAATTGGCAGCCTGTGTAAATAGATTTGGTTTTTGACAGCCAATAGCAGGTGATGGTTATTTTGGAGAAATTATGAGTGTTGGAGAGAAATTAAAGTCTTGAAATATATGAAAGGATTTTTGTGTAGTGGTTTTGTGAGGGACACTAGCCTTTTTTTTTTTTTTTTTTTTTTTTTTTTGCCTCCCTGTCAAGTACTGAACAAGAAGAAATTAATTTATCCCAGTACTTGGCATTTAGAAAGTGCTGTGTGGTGGTTTGTGGTTGATTCAAGTAAAGCAGGGGAGGTTTTAGTGGGACATAAGAAAAAACTTAACAGCTGTGAAATTAAAACATAAATTAACTGCTGATGTAGGCCATGAGGGTGCCTTAGCTAGACTTTCAGAAGATAAAGATGCATTTGTCTGGCTCTCGCTAGGTCTTAAAACCTCAATTGGTTGCTTATTCGTTACTCTAGGCACACAGTAGATCTTTGTAACAATAAGTTAGACATTTGTATAATTTTATTCATTGAAGAAACCTTAGGAATCAGCTCTTATATTTGCATTTCTCTGCCTGCAGTTGAAGTGATGAGCTTGACTGTCTCTCGAGGTCTCTCCCAGCCCTGGAATCCCAGGCTTCCTTCCAGACTGTGCTGCGATGAAGCAGATCTGTGATATACATCCCAGTCATGGTGACAAGGGGCGACTTGACAGTGTGGCCCCACACTTCAGGTGTCTGTGGAAGTCAGGCTGTGAAGTAAGGAGACCAGTTCCATGAGGGATTTCAGGCACCATTTCATGAGTTTATTACCCTTCTTTTTTGCCAAATAGCCCTGAGGAAGGTAGTCATCAAATCGAGAATGGCTAAAATGAGGAATGAAGAAGATGGAAATTACAATAACTTCAAATAAAAGCAAGCCAGCTGATGTGATTAAAAAGCCCTGTATATACAGTGGGGGGAAAATGATAATCAGACCAAAGCAGTCATAAGAGAGAACAGTGATCAAGATGGGAGACAATGTTATATAAAGATTAAATTAAAAATAAATAAGATAGATGAGGAAAAGAATGAGTAACAGCTGCGACAGGAGTGTGAAACTGTGTTCATGCTGCAGGGCTGGTTGAGAAGAGAAAAAGACACACCAGTAGGCAGGCAGCATGCTGGGGATAGGAGTAAGGGGTGCATTCTTCCTATAGTGTCTGGTGGTGTTCTATCAGTGAAGCATTTGGAGACTCTCGTCAACCCACCACCCCTTCTGATATTTTCCCCAGTCCCTCTAAGGATAACACATTGGGCCCCCCAGAATCACATGGGCTGGGACGCTTAGGGAACCCTTCTTCCCGAGACCAGGAGTCATGCTGGATTTCCCAGGACCATGCCTTCACAGTTAGGCCTCATTTATCTGGTCTTGAGCAGCAGGTTGATTCTGTTTTCCGACTTCTGCATGTGTCACATTGTGCTTCTTACTTTCCCAGAGGTTTTCCTTAAGAATACCACTTGATTTTGTCTCCACCATCTTCAGGTGACTTGGTACCTTATCTTTATCAGCTGGTTTCATTTCGCTCTGTGCTGCAGCATGTCTTTTGGGGTTAGGAATGCCCATGCGTTCCAGGACCTCAAGAGAAAAATCTCTATACCACACACTGGAGACTCCCCTAGCCCCACCGAGAGATACTGATGTTGGGAGAACAAGAAATATTTCTCTTTGTTTTTCCACTTGACATTTCTAAGTTTGTTTCCACAGTTTTCAAGTATTTGTACAACATTTCATGGGTTAGAGAATATTTGTGCATCTGTTGTCGCATCTGAACCTTATAATCACCCTGAAAGATGTTTTTATTATTCTCACTTCAACGATTAAAAAAGAAGAAGGTTGAGAGAAGGAAAATAATTTGCTCAAGGCCCCTTGGTAGTCTACATCCTCTACCCTAAAGTTCTGTTTTGGGCTATGGCAGGAGAGAATTGCGTGGCAGGTCCTGGGCTTGCTGGGAGAGACCCAGTGGATCTTGAGCAGGAGGCGAGGAACATGGATGTAGACTCAGGAAACCTTGCAGGTGACTGGAGACCTTTCACAGCCTCTGCAGTCCTAAAGTCAGCAGGCAGTCCCCATGGAGATGAGGGGCATTAGAGGTAGAATGCTAATACCTGGGGGAATATGGCTGTGTTAGGATTCTCCAGTGAAACAGAACCAATAGGATATATGTGTGGGTGTGCATGCTTACACATATTACATGTGTTTATGTATAGGTACACATACTTAATATATACAGGCACATATAAGAAATAGTTAAGGAATTGGCTCACATGATTATGGAGGCTGAGAAGTTCCAAGATCTGCAATTGGGAAGGTGGAGACCCAGGAATGCTAATATATGGTTCCAGTCTGAGTCTGAAGACCTGAGAACCAGGAAAGCTGATGGTGTGAGTTTCAGTCTGCACATTGGCAGGCTTGAGACCCAAGAAGAGTCTGACCTGGCTGGAAAAGACCAATGTCCCAGCTCAAAGCAATCAGGCAGGAGGCATTCCCTCTTACTCAACCTGTTTGTTCTATTCAGGTGTTCAGTTGGATTATTGGATGAGGCCAGGGATGATGACAGAGTAAGATGAGGTCTCATGGCCAGAGACTGAAAGAGGGAATAAAGGATGAGAACTTGAAGACAACATAATTGATTCTAGTCAGGCCCCAAAAATGTGAGATCATGAAGAAAAATCATGTGACTGCCCAGATTTTCATAAAATGCTTCTTGAAAAGTATACAATATGGAAAGCAGAGCTTAAAAACAAGTATGAGTGCAAAGGAACAACAATTACTGAGAGAACTGAAACCCTGAATGCATTAGGCTTATGGAAAAGGCTGAAGATGAGAGAAAAAGGGGTGTGAAGGAAGAGAGAGTTGGCACATGGCAAGGGGAAAATCTCAATCCCATTTTTCTAACTGTCTTGGTTTTTTTCTTCTCAAGTAGAGAACTGATCTTCAAATTAGAAACACTAGAACATATGTAATTTTAAAAAACCGAAGTTCAAAACCAAGAGGAAAAAGGAAGGTATTCCTCACTACCATGTGTCCAGGCCTGAATCACTGGCTTCTGGGTTCCTGAAAAATATGATTGCAAAATAGTGATTGGTCATCTTTTGCAAAATCATGAGGGATGGAGAAGAAACAAAAAGATTGCAAAAATAAAATATTGCAGTTTTTAGAAAGGGGGCAAACCTGCATCAGGAATTACCAACTAGTGAATTTGTCATTGCTCCTGGGCAGAATTCTAGAAGAGATCATTAAGCAGATGGTCTGTGAGAACTTGGAAAAGGAAATCATGAACACTGAGAGCTAGTCCTAAAAAACCAGTTACCCAAGTATGTTCAGGAAATCTGCCTTACAGCTGTTGCGCAAATTAGCTTTGAGCATTTGAGTAGACTACAGTGTGAACCAGCAATGAGATGTTATAACAGAAGAAAAAAAACATGATCAGAGATGCTTTGCTAAAAATTCAGTTCTAGGGCATAGAAAATATTTATCCAAATATACTCTGTGCTGTTCAGATCCCTCACAAATGAGTTCAGTTCTGTGAGCTGCATTTTAAGATAGTCACTGGCAAGTTGGAATATGTACGGAAAAAGTTAAGAGAAGATGGAACTCATATTTATTGAGCAAGCAACTTAACATGTGTTGGGCATTGTGTAAAATGTGGTATGTGTGTTTTAATGCTTAAAACAATACCATGAAGAAGTCATTAATATGCCTATTTTAGATGAGGAAATGAAGGATTATGTAACTGAGTTTTTTGCCTCAGGCCAGCAGCTAGAAGATGGCAAAGCTAAGACTTGAACCTGGATCTTTCTCATCCCCAAGCCCATGCTCTTTCCACAGTGCAAACCTGCCAGAGAAATAAGGGACTTGGAAAATGAGCCAACTGAGAAACTGTTGAAGGAAGAAGTAATTCACTTTAAAAATGAAAGGAGTGCAGAGGAGTCGGAGAGTGGGGAGGGCATCAGGAAGAATAGCTAATGCATGCTGGGATTAATACCTAGGTGATGGGTTGATAGGTTCAGCAAATCACCATGGCACACATTTACCTATGTAACAAACCCGTCCATCCTGCACATGTACCCCGGAACTTAAAATAAACTTAAGAAAGGAGTAAATATAAACATGATATTGTTTCCATATATTAAAATGTTGGCCATTTGGAAGAGGAGTAGCCTTGTTCTCTGAGATCCCTAAGGATGGAACTAGAGCAGTAGTGTGGCAGTAATTAGAGCAGTTCACATTTATTAACCATTTGCTGTAAGCTGACCCCTCTGCACATACTCATTCTTTAAACCTTACTAGCATGAGTGAGGTACAGCACAATGATCATACCTGTTTCACAGGTGAAGAACAAGAAGGGGGTTGAGATAATGACCAGGGTGTCCCAGCTAGTAAGTGGCAAAGCTTGGGCTGAAATCCAGGTCTGTCCCCCTCAGGGCCAGTGTTCTCAGCCATTTTCCTCCACTGCATTCCTGTTGGCAGAATTCCAGTCAACATGAGGGAAAATTTCCTGGTAACTAGAACCTCTTAAAAAGGGATCAGATACTTTGTTAGAGAGTGAATTGCCTATCAGTGATGAATCCTGACAGACAGAGATGCTGGCTTGTATCCAGGCCTTATGACCCCATAGGTTTCTTTCTACTCTAAATTGTTGTTGCTGCTGTTGTTGTTGTTTTTCTATGATCTTAAGAGAAGCGAGTTTACCTATAGATGAATAGTTTGAGAAGGGGGGTATTGGTGGTGAATCTAGTTGTTTTTAAAATCACGTTGTCAACCTAAATTCCAGCATGATGATAAACCCAAAATCCAGTTTCTTCCAGATAATGTTTTTCTTTCAGTCATTTATGGTAAGTCTGTGGACATATGATGAATCTGCAGAAAGGTTTATTACTGTGTAAAAGCATAACAGTTCTGTTAGTAAGTAAAAATTATAATGCTATACATATTTTGAAATAAAAGTAAGAAATTTTAGGGCCAGCTGTGGTGGCTTACACCTATAATCCCAGCTACTCAGGAGGCTGAAGCACAAGTATCACTTGAACCTGGGAGGCAGAGGTTGCAGTGAGCCAAGATTTCACCAAGAAAAAAAGAGAGAGAGAGAGAGAGAGAGAAAAGAAATTTAAAGGAGAAGAAATTTTAGGAAAGTTGAAGGGGGAATAAAACCTTATTAACATTATATGAACTACTTTGGTATCCTACTCTTTATAATTATAGTGAAAGTTGGGAAAATTGACTAAGGTACTTTTTGGAAGCAGGATTATCAGAACTAGGCTAGACTGACTTAAGGGTAAAGATGAAGAAGGAAAGAAAAAGGGAAATCTTTCCTATTCTCTTGAGCACTCACCTTCCTCTACTCTCCCCCAATTTCTACCACCCCCACAATCACAGTGCTTAAGAAAACCAAGTAATGGAGAAATAAGGGTTCTTGGAATGTATTTCTTGATCTGGAAATTTGGACCCAAGAGACATTAATTTGCGGATTTATTAGTTTGTTGATGAATGAGGTCGCATGGAAAAACTTTCTGCCTCTTGGTTATGTTGGTGGAAACTTTTCTAAGCTTTAACTAGCTGACTTTTTGGTTAGCTAGAGATTATTTACTTTTAATAACAACACGCTAAGTTTCTGAAATCAGATATAGCAGAGCAGTCTCCAGAGAGCTGTGGTCCAAAGGCAGTGGCTGCATCCATGTACAGTTCTCATCAGATTTTCTGAAAAGATGCTTTATCTGTTAAGGTTAAGTTAACCTTGGCTTACTGCCGTTCCTCTGTTCCTTCCACATCTCTGTGTCTTGTGGGCATGCCAGTTTGCATTCAAATCTGCTGTATCAGTTTTAAATCCAGTTCTCAGTCCTTAGGGTATTACATAAGAATAAGTTAACTAAAGAATCCAAGAAGTTTTACGTATGATGCTGAACTAACTGGATCTGACTTCCTTGGGGAAAATGAATAGCCAGGCAGATCACATTATAGATGAGCATTAATGACAGCTGGAACACCTCCCTCCCTTCTAAGCAGGCAAGGAACCTCCCATGTGCCAATCACTGTGCTGGCACTGGGGATACCAAGATGTGTTCCTTGTTCCTTCAAGGAGCACATGTAAAAACATCATAGTGTGAGATATGTGCTGTGGCAACGTTGAGCCCCAGGGTATTCAGCAACTCAGACTGCTGAAGAAAAGGGAGGGGAAGGCTGCTCTGAACCAAGTCTTGGCGGCCATCAAAGGTGTTCACAGCAGTTGCAGAATTGGGAAGATGCACACACCTAGTTCTGCAGGCCTGTGTAGGTCAGGACTCTGGAGAGAGATGACTGCAGAAAGGTAGGTACACCATGCTAAGGAGTTTGGACTTTATCCTAAAAGCAGTAGGAAGCCTTTGGATGGCTTTAAGAGGAAAATGATGGGATGTAATTTGTCTTTTTTAAAAATAACACTTTGCTGGCAATGTAGAGAATGGGTTGACAATAGGTGAGTTAGGAAGCAGAGCAGCACACTGTTTACAGGATGTTGTAAAAATCCAGGTGAAAAATGAGAACTCTAGATGATCAATAGCTTGGAGTTGAAGAGAAAAACATAAATCAGAGACATATTAGGGAGCGAGTCTGCAAGGAACTTGCTCCTGAGTGATGGCTATTGGGGAACAATGGAGGAAGCTGTTGAGAATGACACCTGGGTTTCTGGCTTGAGTAGGTATGGTGTCCCCTTATCAAGATAGGACATGGAGAATTATGGGGAATATGATGAATTCACTCGGGGGTATGAGGAATTTGAGAAGCTTGAGAACCATTCAGGAGGAGATGTCCAGGAAGGTTGGCTGAATGGGCCTGGAACTCAGGCAGGAGATGCTGAGATACAATTGTAGATTTGTCCCTTTGATGTTAGGAAGACAGTTTGACATCATTAGAAGGATAGGGGACTGGAAACCACACTAAACAGCCTCTATTTCAGAACCATTTAGAGATGATAGACATGTGAGATGTACTGAAATGCCTGCTAGCTGAGTGTAGCAGAGAAACTACAGTCCCCAAGGTGAACTTGGGTTTTTTCACAGTGTTGTTTTCCTCTCTGTGCCCACCTTTCTTTTGGACTTTCCTCCCAGGCTTCTTGGGGTCCTGTGGCAAGAATCTCAGTTACTAGGCTGTTTAGAGGCTATATCAGTAAGGGGATGTAAGATGGCATTTTACTAACTATTCTACCTCCTCAATAACTCTTGGAAGGGTTACTATTAGTAGTCCCATTGTACAGATAACAAAACTGAGCCTCTGAGGGGTGACATAACTTATTTTTTAGTAAGTGGCAAAGTCGTAGATGAAGTTGTAGACTCTCAATCCCATTCTCTTTCTTCTATACAGCACAGACCTACACTAAAACAAATCAGACCTGTTAACTCCTTGAATGAAAGCCATCAGTGTTGTTAGTGGTGAAAAATGTTTTGCAGAAATGATGTGGCCTCTTAGGTGCTACCAAGAGCAATACACTCCTTGGACTGCCCAAAACTAATTCCACTGATGCACCCGCTCCAACTCCCTGCACCGACCCCACAGCAGTCAGACCTGGAGGCCCTGGGGGGGCCCTGTCCTAAGCCATCTTAAGATGCAGCCTCTAGGGCCTTGCTTATAATTTTCCCCCTTTCTCCAGCCTCCCCTTGTTCCTACCTCTGCCCACCCCAAGCAGCCAGAATGATCCTTTAGTTTAAAGCATAAGCAAGTCAGTCCTCTGCTTAAAAGCCGATGGCTTCTCATCTCACGTAGAATATAAGCCACGACCTTCAAAGCCTTCTACATTTTGGCCTCTGGCTGCATCTATTACCTTGTTGCTGACCATACTCCACTTGAACCACACTCCGTTGAGCCTCCCTGGGTGTTCCTTGAATGCTTTTAATACCTTCTGAACACTGCAGGGCTTGTAAACTTGCTATTCCCACTTCCTGCCATGGTTTGGCCCAGGTGTCTCAGTGACTGTCTCCCTTACCCCATTCAGATCTCAGCCTCTCAGTGTGACCTCCCTGGCTACCCTGTCTAAAATAGCCCCCATCATGCTCCATCCCTTAGTCTGCCTTATTTTTCTTCATAGCACTTATTTTATATTTGCTTATTTGCATTGTCTACGTGTAAGCTCCATGAGTTCAGGGGCTTTTTCTGTCCTGTTCCTGTTGTGACCCTGGCTGCTGGGATAGTGCCTGGCCCACAGTGTGCACTCAGTGGCATTGGTTGAATCATGGAATGAACACATGGATGCTGTGGTCCAGGCAGAGAGGGGACAGAGAGTGGGATCACTATCACCAAAGGAACTAAGAGTATCTTAGTCCCTCCCAATGTGGTAAACATTGCTGGTTCCCTAAGTTTCTGCATTTGGGGATAATTGTAAACAGGCATCAGAAAACGTGTATGCATCTCTCTGGGTAAGAAGCAGGTTTGTTGCTCTGATAAGGATGGGAATGATTTTTCCTTCTAACATACAAGTTACAGGGACAGATTTGCCACCTCAGGAGATGGTTAACAATAGTGTCGGTTCCATGTCCTACCCCTGCCCCCTCTACCAAATCTGAAAGTCACAGTGTTAGTGTTTGTGGAATCTGTTGAAAGTGCCTCCTGCATTGTGACTTTTTGATCCTGAAGGAAGAAGACTTTCTGTAATAACTTGGCTCTCATGAGCTGTGCTTCAGAGTGTCCTTAAACAGAGCTTTCCTGGTTGGAGATTTGAACCTAAGGCCATTTTCAGTGCATTTTTCTGTTGTTCTTCCTTTAGGATCTTCTATGTCTCTCATGATTCCCAAGACTTGAAGATCTTCAGCTATATCGCTCGAGATGGTGCCAGCAATATCTTCAGGTGTAACGTCTTTAAATCCAAGAAGAAGGTAAAGAGGCGGTTGCCGTCCATCTGCTATTTTCCTCTAATGGTTCCAAAGCACCCCCAACATTGGCCCGTCTCCCTGTTGAAGACAGCTGTGGTAATGCCGACATGGGGCAACTATCTCAGTCGTCTGTCATTGCTCCTATATAATGGAATTCTCTTTTAGCATCATCTGAACTTTGTACTTAGTTACATACAGATAAATGCAAAGGGATTGACCGTTGACTACGTGCTCTGGGATGAGAGCAGTTAAACAGCACCGGGAGTGATGCTAACCTTAGCCTTGGGGTAGGAAAAAAGCATTGTCATTTACTAAGGAGACCCTTCATCACAATTCTGTATATTGATTAGGGGGCTACAAAATATGAATACACATGGAGTCTGGTTTAGACTCAGTGTGTGATATTGGTTATCCTGGGTGATTATTTGTTATGGCAACCTTGATACTCAAGTAAATGCAACTTTGAGGATTCTGAAGAGGCATTCTTTATGTTAATGTCATTCCCCCAGGAGTCTAACACACACAACTGGGGTTTTAGAAGCCTAGGATCTAGCCCTGCCTCTCACTGGAACCCTGAGTGACGTTATGTAGGTCCCAGCGTTCTCATCTATAAAATGAAAAGAATCGTCAAAATCAGCATTTCCTAAATGTGTTCTGTAAAACATTTATCAGCCAAAATGTTTCATGTTAAAACTACCTGATTTAAGTTGCTGAGAAGGTCTGATGATAAAAAACATGTTGTTTAACCCAGAATTTCCCAAACTAATTTCACAATGGAATCATATTTTTTCCATGTAATATGTGTTAATATCCTGGGAACTGTTTTTCTGCAGAAGAGATTTTGGAAAACACTATTTGTGCCCCTAAGGACCCTAGTAAGTCCATCATTCTAGAAACAAACTACTAAGCCTGGCTTTCTACAAGAACTTCATTTTATGCATCTTTTGTCTTCAGGCCTCTTTAGCAGATGTTTAGGTACCTTGTCAAGTACCTTGTCAATAACACATGCCAGGGTCCAGATTTACTGATGGGTGTCCTATTCCCTACCCTAGCTCCACAAAGAGAATTATGCTTTGTTAACTTAGCCTCTTCCTCTATGGAGATTTGTGCCCTTAACCACCCTGTTCCAGGCTTTTTAAATGCAAATCATGGAGTTGGATGAAAAGTGCTACAACTGGAAAGATGGCAGGAATAAAAGAGTAACTTGCCAGACTTCACATCTAGATAATAGTATAGCTGAGAGGGAAAAAACATAAATGAGGCTAAGTCAAGCTGCATTAAAGAACTGATAGAAAGGGGAATAGGAAGAGGGAGAAAAAGAAAAGCCATAGGCGCTGGAGATGAGAAAGTTTAGAGTTTGGGAAAGTGAAAGGCTCGTATGTGGCCTTGTGTAGGGGACCTGGGGAGGAGAGAAAAGGAAATACAAAGTCTCCCTGATGGTCATGAATTGGCTCGTCTGTAAGGTTCTGACAGATGCAACAAAAGACTGGAATTCCCTTTTAATTCATTTTGAGTATTTGACTGTGCTTCTGACTTTAGTTTCGTACAAAGACTGGACCATGTGGACCTTGGAATTTATTAGAGTTACAAATAACGCATTATCATTTGCCAGGTTCTTTAATAGTTAATCTTATTTTATCCTTATAACACGTCTGTAAAGAAGGTAAGACATGTAACTTTCACTTCCCAATTTTACCGATGAATAAACTGAGGCTCAGAGAGGTTAAATGACTTGCCTGAGTTCTCATGAATAGGCACTGGCTAGAATAGAACCAGGGAGACATGCAGGACAAAAGAATTTTGAGCAGGAAACCTAGGTAAGAGGACCATTATGTTATATTTGCCTTGCTATCAGATCTAACATAGCAATACGGACGCAGTGGGGGCATCCACTTCTGACAAAACCTGAGTTTAAGACCAGTGCTCACTTGGAACTTTGATCTTGAAGTGAAGCACAGAATGGAGTTCCCATTATCCGTGAAAAGGAGTAGTCATCTGGTTCCCTATCATGTCAATTTTTTTTCCATGTCTCGTAGCTCTTACAGCGAATTCTGATCTCTGGCTTTCCTGTTTCCTATACCGCTTTCATCCTCACCTACTGAGACCCTAGCTCTTCATAGAGTTGGTTCTCAGGCCCTTTCCTGGCCTGGAGCCATGCAGCTGAGGGGATTGTTTCCAGTCAGCCTGGGCGTTGAGCCCTGTTGCTGCTGAGCTGTAGGTGGGAAGGCTGGTTTCCAAGCTAAGAAAGGGAAGTGAATTGTTCGGCAAAGGATGCAGAACTGGGGAGGGCTGGGGAACACATCTGCAAGGTTTTGCTTGCCCTTCTGCTTAGCCTCCAAACATGGTGATTTACCTTTTTTATAAAGCACTTCTAATGTCAAGAGGTAATAGTTAACTTGGGAAGGAGTTTTAACTGGCAAATCATAGGAATGCTTCAGAAGTGGTGGGCGGGGGGAAAGGACTATAGAGGACATGTGTGTTGCAGAGATGTTGCTGGGTTGTTGGAAGTCAATAGGGAGTCCTCTTGACTGGAAGCCCGCAGATGTGGGTGTTCTCCGGAGCCCTCGTGTTGGTCATAGTGTAGAAAAACCTTGTCTGAGATCCTTTTTGTGTTGGGACTTTGGTTATTGCTGTTTCATATCACATCATGTCCCCTGCGTATATGCTCATGACCTCTAATGGGGTGTCATCATCACCCTAGAGTTCACATGGGGAAAGGGTTACCTCCTCTCTTGGTTGAGAATATGGGTCAGATGTCTTAGCTTTCCTGGTTGAGGGCCTCCCTCGACCTTGTTCCCTGCACAGCTATTACTCTGTACCTATGGATCTTCCTTGGGCCACTCACACAGATAGCCAGTGTGGCTCCCACCTTGGGAGTTGTATCCTTGAGCTAAGTTTTTTTTCAAGTGGGCTTTCACCAGAAGCTAGAAAGCAAAAATATTGCAGGAATATAACATGGTACCTGCTATTCTTCTATACTCTAGATTATCTAAGTTCCAGCCTCATATTACATCAGATAATAATATCTAACCTGTTTTGATTAGTTGCTATATGCCTGAGACTGTTCAAAGCTCTTTACATGAATGATCTAACTTTATTCCCACAGCAGCCCTGTGAGGTAGGTGCTGTTATGCTCTTCATTTTATAGGTGGGAAAATGGGGCCTAAAGGTACATAATGTGTGTAAAGACTCAACAAGTAATGGAGTCAGAACTGAACCCAGAGGGTCTGACTGTGGAGCTCACACTCTTACCCACTCCATTATACTATTGTTGTTGGCTCATGAGGAAGTTATATAACTCAGAAGTTGCTTTGTTTTCCAAGACCCATTTGTAACTGGGTTCTGCTGTAATTATTACATGGGTATGAAGAGCTCCTTAACTCCGAATGGCCCAAATCACTTTAACATAGATTTTCCTTTTTTCCTCATAGTATCTTTTTGTAGTTAATATTGACTCAATTTTGTAGTTGAAGAAGAAAAGGCCCAAGGAAGTAAATCACCCTTGGTCACACAGTGAATCAATGATGCCACTGAAATTAGAAACAGGCTTCCTCCTTCTCAGGCCAGGACTTTGAACGCTAAACCCTATTACACAAAACTCATAAGAAAGATACGTGAGCCTTTCTGGACTTGAGTTTTCTCTAGCCATCAAATAAGATGAAAGGCATCTCAGGAGTGCTGATTGTTGTGTGTGAAGTGACGTCATCTTTAAGGAACAAATTCTCTGTGACTGGGAAGGATTGTCAGGATTGTGGTGGAGGGACCCTAGCACTCTTCAGACCCATGCTAGAAAGGAGGGATGGGAGTGGGTCTTTTCCTCACTGTGAGCATCCAGTGGAGATGCTTGCTAATAACATGGGCATTCCTTGTTTCCCCTCCTTGGGGGATATAATGATAGTATTCATTTGCAGGGCCTTTTGCCTCTCGAGAAGACTCTTGCATGGTCTCTTGACCTCTCCCGTGGAGTGGATGTCATCCTCCTGTCATTTTCTTCTAGCTCTAGGAGTATATGGCTGTCTGCCCTGATTACCAGTGACTGCACTTATTAATGCATCAGTGCGTGAAGTGCTGGTGATTAACAGGAGCTGCAGGCATCTCCCCATTATCTTCATGGGCAGCTCCTTGAAATAATTTTGCCTGCAATCACAGCTCGATTGGTTTGGGTTAGGAGAAATAATTTCCTCCTATAATGCTGTCACTATCAAATTGGGGGCCACAGCTGTGAAGTTGAACTGTCCTTTAGAGGTTGCAATGGATTTTGAATGATGATGACAGCCATGTGCTAAAGAATAAGTCACTTGCCTGGTCAAACTTACGAGATGAAAGATAGGAAAGTTCTAAAGTTAGGGAAAGAGTCTGTTTTTTATACTTTAGGTTGAGTTGGGAAGTCAAAATGCAGGAATCATGGGTCTCAGAACTCATCTAGTCTGAATCACTCTCTTTGTGGATGAGAAAATCAATACTGAGAAAGGAGAATTAACTGTCCACAGTCACCCAGTTGGTTCTGACAGCACTGGGATTGTAACTCAGACTTCTTTTCTCTGGGGTACTAAGTTTCATGGACTAGCAGAGTAGAAGGAAAAACACAGCTATCTGTTGGAAACTTTAAGATGCAGTATGTCCTGTCAATGTAGAAAATCACACCTGCTTTGAAACTAAACTTTCCTTATACTGAGCAATATTCTGATGTCCAAGGCATCACCTCAACCAAATTATATAATCAAAGCCACAAAATAATGTGTTGGACAAAAACCTAACCCATCTACCATTTCAGAGCCTTAGTACTGTAGATCCTACTGTATGTAGAAGTCCAAATATAAATGTATTTTCATGCTTTGGCATTGTAAATTCCATAGATTAAGATCATTTGATAGATATAAGCTGAATCTTTTACTAAGATTCCCCCCAACCCAAAAAAATACATTAAAGAAACATGACATTCAGTTCTGTTTTTGTTGAGATTCTGTGGCAGTTAAGGTCAAGACAAGGACATTATCTTGTATTGCTGTGATAGATAAGAATTATAAATCTGTGAGCTGTCCCACAGCTGACCTCATGGACTTCAGTTCTCTAAAATTCAGAACCACTTGTCAGTCAAATTTGAGTACCCAAAAGAGATGGGGGAGAGGGGGAGTGGAGGAGGGGACAGGGGAATAGTAAACTAGAGAGCTGGTAGACCATTAAAGAACCTTACTTGAAAGATGTGTGCCCCCATTATTCTCTTTTCTCCTCTTATTATTGTCATTGTCATCATCATCTTCATCTGGTATTTTGTACTTATACTCTCTACTTGCTTATCTGGTGACTCTTAATCCTCTTTGTAAGTTGTAAAGTAAAGAGAGAGCTTCTTCCAGGACAGTGAAATTCAGAACAGTGCCCAAAATTATTTATCAAATCAGCTATAGAATATGACTAATAAGAACCATTCTTTACATGCATATGGCACTTAAAGATTCCCAAATTTTATAGGACCAACCAACTACAAAGTCGTTAAGAAAGAGAATAGAAAATAAAATCATGGTCTATGGCCATACCACCTTGAATGTGTCTGATCTCATTAGCTAAGCAGGGTGGGGTCTGGTGTGTACTTTGATGGGAGAAAATAAAATCATGATTGACTATAATTTTTCTATGGGCCAGTGAGGTACAGGAATCAACCTTTTGATTTATGTCTTCCTAAAGCTACCACTGTCGGCTTTTGTTTGCTTTCGGGTGTACAACCCACAGTGATTGTGAATATAGTGTTATTTTCATGACCATTGCCGCAGTTCATCAAATGTTGACTCCTGCTAGGTATGAAGTTGATACCCACATTAGGTGTGCTGAGGAGAACAGCTGTTCATTGCATTTGGACTTAACTTTGGTTCTGGCTTGAGGGATGTCCTAGGGTTGTGGGAGAAGGAGCTGTGTCAGCGTGAAAAGATGGGTGGTTTGAAGAAACATTGCTGTGTGTATAAGGTAAGTGTATACAGTTTTAAGCTCCCTTTCCAGCTGTATTTTCACAAAATTGCCTGTAGTTGACACTCCCATGAGCAGGCTCTCCATCTGGAGCTAAGAGCCACTCTGAGGTTAGAGATCCCTTTCCAGCTTTGAAAATATCAAAGCAACCATATCCAGCCTAATCTTGACAATGAAGAGCCCACAAATGCTTTTGGGCTGCTAATAGAAAATGGCTTTTGGACGAGAAGATTTGATCCGTGTGGCAAAGCACTTTTATGGGCTTATGTAAAACTAAACTGGATTTGTACAGAAATAATGCAGTATAATGATGCTTTTTTTAAAAAAAAAAAAAATCTAGTAAATTCCAGAGAATGGCCAGATTTTGGAACTCAAAAAGGCTGCTTTCTCAAGGTTCCACTTGTTTACCCTTTGTACCTCACTGCCTTCAATCTTTAAACCTCTGCTTTAGTCTCCAAAGGCCTGTATGTCGTCATGAGGTGGGAGCAACTGCTTCACTGTGATCTAGAAGACCCACAGACAAGCATTCATAAAAACTTCTGGAAGGGACTTTTTAAAGCTGCTATTTACCAGAGTTCTCCCTCTTGGGTGCAGACATGGCTAATTAATGATAAAATCCCAGCGTGTGTGATTCTTGCATTTTGGGGTTGAAGGCAGAACCAGTTTTCTTGCCCTGCAGGCCAGAAGGTGGGGTAACTAAGTGGGGTAGGCCTAGCAGGCAGGAGCCAGCATGGCTGTGCAGAAAGCAGATGGTGAAGACACAGCCCCTCCCAGGCACAGGCTGCCTCTACTGACCACCTTTAAGTAATCACCTCCCTAACGAGGTCCCCATATAGAATCCTCTAAAAGTAGACTTTTTAATGGTGAAGCAAGGAGAGCCTAAAAGGTCAAGGGACATCAGAACTCACATAGCCATTTATGAGTACAGTGAGGAGCTGTTTAGCCCCTTCTGACTCCCTGAGTGGTAGATAGGAAGGGCAATTCTTTTATGTGTATGTATGTAGTCATTCTGTGAAACAGTTAGAGTAGCTTGATTATGTGTTCCAGTGCAGAGGGCTCTTTATGAAACATGCTACAGTGTCCTTTTACTGTGAATAGAAATATAACCTTCACATTAAAGGAGTAAAATAAAGGATAAATTAAACCATTTAATTTATTAATTTAATTATTAAACTGTTTACCACTCAGTATGCAGATCTAGAACTCTTAATGCAACAATTTCCTCACATGTAGAAACTATCATACTAGCTCAGACCAAAGATCCATTTGGCTCAGGAATTTTCCTGTGCTGCTATGGTGGAGGCTATGCTATCTGATGCACAGCCTTTTGGATGTTAGCATACATAAGTAAGAGGTGATTCCCTTAGTCGCTTTATGTTTCTACTATGATAAAAATTGTTCCACCTTTCCTGCACTGCTTTTTCTTTTCTGTCTTAATTGCCTCTTGGTGCAGTGAATTCCATAGTCAGGATAAAACATTTCTTGAGCATTTACTATATGCCAGGCACTGTGGTAGGTGCTATCATATATTCAGTTTTTCAGTGCAGTTACAGAAATACCGTAGAGAACAACGGGTGGAGGGAGGATAGGAAGGAAATGGGAGGCTGAAGGATGGGATGCCCTTTCCAGCATGGGGAAGGCAGAACCAGTAAACCTAAAGTCTGCATTTCCTACTTTTTCAGGGGAATCAGGTAGAGGTTAGGGTCAGCTGCTGATCCTAGTAAAAAATACTAGTAAAATGTGAAAATGAAGTGTTATCAATATTAACCATTAAAACCAGCCTACTTCCTTACAGCCACTTTGGGCTTATAGATGGTTGAATATGTGAGTATGTTGCACATGTTTGTCCTTGATAAAGGTGGCAGAATAGAGATTTGAGCTGGAGTCTATATTCTTAAGATGCTCAGTTCTGAGCATAGCCCATCATCCATTGTCATCTTGTGATGCCTGAGAAATACAGGTCCTCTGTGAAGTCATTCTCCCACCACCTTTATCCTCTTATTTAAATCTGAGGGATTCCTTCCAAAGATAAATTTAGAAATTCGATTCCTACCCCTGTCTAATCCCATAGATCAGGGACATTTGTTTGAGGATCTTTAAATTTTTAATATCATCTTAAAAGCTGGTTAAAGGAAGTATCTGTGATTTACAGAGATGATGGAATTTGTAACACGTCCTCCTTAGGAAAACCTGAGATGTTATAGGAACAAACTCAGTAGTGAATTTAGAATTTTCTATATAACTGTATTTTAAAGGGGGAACTGTATTTTAATCTGTACCCTGGGAATGAAACCGACGGGAAAAGACTAACTCAGTCTTTGCAGATATTTATTCAGTATGAGATATCTGGGTTAATTCATGTAAGAGAAGAAAGTAATGGAATTAAACACTTAATCTCTACATATCATTTGGACTTACCATATTTTATTGTTACAACCTAAAACATTTACCTTTTTTACCTTTTGTAAAGATACCTGGGGGAGCAAAATTCCCAAGAGTCAGAGAAGAAAGTAGAGGAAGGTTTCTGTATAGTGGACACTGGTAGGACAGTGGTAGGCAGAATAAAGTCATACCTAAGGTTTAGTAAACTAGTAACGAGCTTTGCCGTAGACGATTAACCATAGGCAGTCTGCTCTTACTCTCATAAAAGGAATAGGAACCAAAAAATCTCAAGGCCTAGGGGAATAACAGTTTCGGATGTAGGAGCCTTTACTTCTCCCTTTTCACCTGAGAGTTAAGCTTCCTGGCACAGCCTCCTAAGCACAGCACAGCTTGGTGGCTAAAGGAAATGTAGAAAGCTGGAGTGTTCCTAGCCCACATTTGTTAGGGACTGTGTCTTCTAAATCACGCCTTTTTGTGTGTTTTGGGAGTGGGAAGTGTAGGGGCTTCTTGCTTAGGACTGATGCCTACTGCTTCTCAACTTCCTGTGCAGATAGAACAGTCATGTCTTACACACTGCAAGCCTATGGTATGAGAAGGGGCCTAAGCCTGCCCTGTGGACACAGGAGGAAATTAAGGGTAGATGTAGAAAACAGAGGTTCTGATTCGCCACTGGGTGATGGTGGACCCCACAGAAGTTACCCATCTCCTCCTGCTTCGCTTAAGGTTCTTATCTCCCAGAAGTGTCAGGATATTTCAGGTGAGAGACCAATGGAGAATATCTCTGGAGTTAGTCTAATGGCTAAGAAAGGTTAGAGCTGTAAAACAATTACTTCTAGGAGTAGATTTGAACTGAAGAATATAGGGAGCAGTAGAGTTGACTGAGATCTCAAATTGACATGTAGATGATAATTAGTCAAGATGCCTTTCACATTAATATGGATGCTCTGGCCTGAAATAAGCAGAAGGAACATAGAAATGACTCCAGGCTTGAGGAGAAGCAATTCTAGAAGTTATACCCAGCAGAGAATGGACTACAGCAGTTGTTCCATGCACAGGGTTCCAAGGTCCCTAGGAGTTCACAAAGATAGTAATAAGAAAGATGAGCTCATTGTAATATGAGCTTCATTTATACATTTCATATTACCATTAGCTCATCTTTTTTATTACTACCTTCAACAAGGCCTTCTAGACTTATCAAAACACTGGATATCAGTTAGGTAATGTAATACCAGCTACCTCATGCTGATGAAAAGCCCTACTTGATTGCTGCCATTACCTGGGGTGGGTGGGAGGTGGATGTGATTGATGGACTATATGGTGTCAACAGGTGGCCATGGCTGACCTGAAGTCAGATCATCCAAAACACGATGAATGTTAGACTTGAGTATAGGGTGACAATCACAATTAGATTAAATTGTAGCCCATGGTGGTGGGATGCTTGAGGCCCACTGAGGTAAGAGAAGCAGTGTGCTGAGCCCTTCCCAGCCTGAGCTCTGAAACTCTAAATAAACCACATCACTCATTTCTGTCCTTGAAAGAAAGCAAAAGCTGACATCTTCAAACCATAATCAGTTATCCACCTTTGAGGCCATGCCCTGGAACCCCTGCATGTGGCTCTTCCTCACAGCCTGCATGGGTGGCCTAAGACTCTACATAGGAGCAGGCTTCTTTGTCCTCTCTCTCTTCTCCTAGTTAAATGGTGGAATACTGGGAACTAGGGTCAAGTTCTCTTCTTGGGCTCTTAAAGCAAGAGATTAAATACCAAAACAAAAGAAAGGAAGGAGCCACAGAATAGACCCAAGAACGTGAGGTCTTTGGAGTAAGTCTGGGAAAGTGTCACCTTAGATTTAGTTGGCTGCCAACTAGTGGTGTTCCAGAGGAGCTGGGTGCTGAGCTTCCATTGGTTTCTGCTGTTTAGGCCATGGCTTCCAAGCCTCATGTTACCACTGCCCTTGGTCTGCAGGAGCTCCAGGGAAACTCAACATTTGCAGCAGCATTCAAAAAAGAAAAAAATGATAGCCGAGTTCCTCTTAGTTTGATGGACCCATTGAACATTTTATCATGGCTGGCAAAAGATTCTGAAGCATATTGACTACTTCTGTTACACATGGGAGGGAAGAATTGGGGCTAAGTCCATAACTGGCATATTTGCTATCTGTCCTTTCAGTTGACTGATTGTTTCAGCACTGTGGTGACAGTTTCTGTTTTCTGGAGTATTTCAGAAAGGGGAAATGTCTTTGCACTCATTTGTATGTGCATATCTGAACAACTTTAGATTTTTCTGTCTCTTTCTTTGGCTGCTTCATGAGTTTCTATCCACATGCCCCTTGCGCATCCTCACCCATCCTGTTCTTCTCCTTTCTCCTTCCCAGAGCCAAGCTATGAGAATCGTTCGGACGGTGGGGCAGGCCTTTGAGGTCTGCCACAAGCTGAGCCTGCAGCACACGCAGCAGAATGCAGATGGCCAGGAAGATGGAGAGAGCGAGAGGAACAGCAACAGCTCAGGAGACCCAGGTAGGCACTGCGGCTTCTGTGGATGTGGGTGGGAAGGCAGTGCACACAGTAGGCTCTGGTGGATCACTGCCCTGACCCCCAGGCTGTGAACTCATTTTAAGAAACATTTTATTTTTTCCGTTTCTCTCTAAATTCTAGATTCTCTTTAAGGAACACGTATTACTTTTATAACAGAAATTAAAGATGTTTAAATTATTAAATGAGGAAGTATTTAAACTGGATATCAGGGAGAGGTAGAGCTGCTATACTACCAAATCTGACTTCAAAGAAGTTTTCAGTAAAAAAGCACCCCCATAAAACAAATTAGAAAGAACATAAATTTATAATTACCTAGTTTGTTTTATTAAATTTCTAACTTCTGTAGTTCTATAAGCCCTCAATATGGATAGTATTTTAATATCCCCAACTTTCAAGCCTCATTAAAAGTCAGGAAGGAGGCCGGGCGCAGTGTCTCAAGTCTGTTAATCCTAGCACTTTGGGAGGCTGAGATGAGCAGATCACTTGAGCCCAGGAGTTCAAGACTAGCCTGGCCAACATGGCAAATCCCTGCCATGTTGCCTGTATTTTCTACTAAAAATACAAAAATTAGCCAGGCGTGGTGGTACACGCCTATAGTCCCAGCTACTTGGAAGGCTGAGGCAGGAGAATTGCTTCAACTCAGGAGGCGGAAGTTGCAGTGAGCCAAGATTGTGCCACCGCACTCCAGCTTGGGCTACAGAGCTAGGCTGCCTCAAAAAAAAAAAAGTCAGGAAGGAGACAATAAATGTGAAAAAATGAAGTATGGGCAAGAAAAAGAGCAGATAAAAAAAATATTGTTTATGTTAATTTTTAACATGGGAAACCCAAGAAAATAAACTGAGAACTATTAGAAATAATAAGAGAATTCAGCTAGAAAGTCAAAGTTCAATAACACATACAGCTATATTTGTGATTTTCATATATTCCAAGAACAGCTGGTTAGAAGTCATAGTGGAGGAAAAAAATCCATTAAAATAACAATTAAAAAAAAAGATACTTATGAATAATCACAATAAAAATGTGTTTGTTACCTACGAAAAAATCTTAAACAAATGGAAAGGCATGCCATATTCTTGGATGGGAAAGCTCAACATCATAAAAATGTTAATTCTCTCTTTGTTTATCTATAAATTTAACATGACAATACAGATTTCTTTTCTTTTTTTCTTTTATTATTATACTTTAAGTTTTAGGGTACATGTGCACATTGTGCAGGTTAGTTACATATG
Source organism: Homo sapiens (assembly GCF_000001405.40). NCBI lineage: Eukaryota > Metazoa > Chordata > Mammalia > Primates > Hominidae > Homo > Homo sapiens. Next base: position 162,345,224 of record NC_000001.11, read on the forward strand.
TATACATGTGCCGTGCTGGTGCGCTGCACCCACTAACTCATCATCTAGCATTAGGTATATCTCCCAAAGCTATCCCTCCCCCCTCCCCCCACCCCACAACAGTCCCCAGAGTGTGATGTTCCCCTTCCTGTGTCCATGTGATCTCATTGTTCAATTCCCACCTATGAGTGAGAATATGCGGTGTTTGGTTTTTTGTTCTTGCGATAGTTTACTGAGAATGATGATTTCTAACAGCAAAAGAGGTACCACAGTAAGCTACAGTATTCAAAACTCATGGGATATAGCTAAAGCAGCACTCAGAGGAAAATTCAAAGGTTTAGTTATTTACGTTAACAGATGACAAATCATGAAAGTCAAATGAATTAAGCATCCCACTCAAAAAGTTAAAAAACAACAAAAGAAATGCTAGTCTGCAAATGGCAGCATTGCAAAGTGGCTCAGAGAGAAGACCTTTGCTTTGCATTGTAGCTGCACCAGTCACTGCCTGTGTGATCTTGGGCAAGTTCCATAACCTCTCTGTGCTTTAGTTTACTCTTCTGAAAAACAGAAATAGTAGTACTGTGCACTTCAGAATTATTGTCGTAATTAGATAAACTGATACTTTTAAAATGCTGAGCCTGGTGCTTGGCACAGAGTATGCACCACATACATGTATGCTATTATTTTTAAGTAAATATGTGAAAATTTAAAAAAACAAGAATAGAAAAAATCCTGGAAAAGATGAATGATAGCAGAGGAGGAGTGGCTTTCCAGTAAAACTGTGCTTATAATAGGTAAAACTCATGTTCAAATAAGTGCCTGAGCGGATCAGAATGGAAACTCATATACAAACCCAGATGTGTTTGCAAATTTAGTGTATGATAGAGAGGGAATCCCTATGGAGAAAAATGTGGAAATCTTTATTGAATTTGAAAATTCATATGCCTTTTGACCCCCAAATTTCCTTCAAATTCCCTTCTAAGAATGAATCCTAAAGGTAAACCCATAAAGGTGTGAAATGATTTCTATATAAGGTTACATAGCAAAGAATTTGTTATAGAACCAAAGGATCAGAAACAGCAAGAGGGAACTTTTAAATAAATTACAATACAATATGGTACAAATAATGGAATACTGCACAACTATTAAGAAGAATAAGTTAGTTCTCTATGAACTGATTTAAAGCCATCTTCAAGATATTTTGCTTACTTAAAAAAGTCAAAGTTTAGAATTGTGAATAAAGGAAAAAAATAGAATTGTGGGTATGAGGTACTACCAATTGTATTAAAAATGTATAGATTTAAATGTGTGTGTATATGTAGGTATATATGTATACACATGCATGCACACACACACATTTCTTATGCATGGAATATCTCCAGAATAGTACACAAGAAACTGGTAACTGTGGTTCATCCTGGGAAAAGGAACTGGGTGGCTGAGGTGGCAGGAAGATTGACTTTTCACTGTACTTTTATGGCCTTTATACTTTGGATATATATTAGTTATAAATCTTGAAAACCTGACATTATTTTCATCCTAGTGCTCAGTTTCTATGTGACTAGAGGGAATTACTTTACTTCTCTTTTGGCTTACTCATTTCTATTAAGTAGTGACATTCTATTACTAATGACAGCATCTCAGTGATCTTGACTCATAAAATATTATCACACAGACGGAGCCTTGCATTTGGTCATGTACCCTTGGCCAGTCTCAGTTTTAGCAGGCCGTAGTACTAATGTGATGTAAACCTTAACATTTTTCCATCTCTGTGATCTAGGGCTTAGAGATAAAACAGAGAGATAGATAGACTTTGGCGAATATTTTATATATCTCTGCTGGTCAATTTTTAGAGCGTAATGGTGACAGTTTCCTATAACTAATATGGAGGACACATCAGACCTCTAGCTGGTTGCTTGGCTCAAAGAACAGAAACCAATCTGCTCATTTCTGAATTGGAGGATTTGCCGTAAGAACTGCTAGCTGGAGAAGATTGAAGTCTTACATTGTTAACTCTTCTTTGGTCATGCCCATGCCCCGTTGGTGGCCTGATTGGCAGAGAGCCACATCCTAACTCTCAGAAGCTTTTAAACCCACAGTCACATTGGCAGCCAGTATACACATGTACAAAGAAAGTTTAACCAGAAAGTAAAGGATATTTTCTCTGGTGAAGACACCTATTCCTGGAGTGAAAGCGGTTGGACGCAGAGAGGATGCCCAGAGGTTGAATGTTTGAACACTGTTATTATCACAGAACAACCATCGGAGGAATTTAATCTAATCTCCAAGTACTTAATCAGAACCTGTCACTCAGCTGCTGGCCACAGAGGTCAGAGTTATATGGTCTGGCCAGGTGGAGAGAACCACCTGGATAGCATTTTATGTAAACAACACCAAGGGCTAGATCTTATTTCCCTTTTGCAGTGGGAGCTGCTCTCTCCTTGCACTTCTGGCCCCTGCAGTGGTCTGCTGGGTGGAGTGGGTTTGATGTGATTCACGATTCCCTGGGGACTCAGTGGGGATTCCATAAGGATCACTTCCTATACTTTTCTTTCAGTACTACTTCCCTCACTCCTCCCATGTTCCCTGAGCTCCTTCCTGCCCTGAACATATAGTAAGTATCATGGACTTTTCAGCCACAGTCAACGCCGTTCCCTCTGCCATGGGTCCCTGCCTTCACCTCCATGCAGACATCTTACTCATCCTTCAAGCCCAGCACTGTCTTCTGGGAAGCCTGACTTTCAGCTCCCACTCTCGTTCAGAAAATTTAAACCCTTTTTTTCTGGGTTCCTGTGTTTTCTTCACTCCTGGCTGATGCCGTTAACATTAACATTTAGTCCACTGTGTACCAGACATATAGCATAGCGTCCTCTGTCTTTAGTGGAGTGTGAGCTCTGGGAGGGTAGGGACTTCCTAGCACAGTAAAGACTTGTTGAATAAACTGACAAACAGAGCCAGTGAGTGTGGCAAGGAGTACATATGTTTTAGTCATTGTCAACAAGTGTTTGTTAAATGCTTACTGTATGCCAAAATGAACAGAGATTAAGTAGAGATTTCAACTTTTAAGCAGCCCCTTTTGATGAGGAATGATGACACTTGGTGTCAGGGGAGCAGGTAGAAATGAGGTGAGACTGGGAGGCTGAGCAGAGTATTGATGAGAAGGTGGTGACAGTGACCATGAGTACAAATAGAGGCCAGTGTGGTCACACTCCTTGATTGTAACAGATGGTCAGCTTGGAAATAACAGGCATACCAGCTATGTTTCTCTCTCATTTATATTACCTTTTTGGAGATAGTTTTCCCAAATCACATTACTATACGTGAGACCTCAGCTGCTTGGCTTCCGTATACCACTCTTCCTAAGAAAAATGGAATTGATATTCTATGTGAAGAAACGCCTGGGTCCATTCTAAAAAAGCCCATCAGGCCCAGGATAGTTTCTTCAAGGTTTAAGATGTCCAACAGAGCACTGAGTCTCTGCAAGGAGATCAAGCATGGGCTGGATATGTTAAATAATATAAAGGGAGGCAGCAAGGGCTCTCCCCTGCTCGTGTAGGTGAGGAGAGGACCTGTGGGGTGATGGAAATTGTGTTAGGGACATATAAAGAAAGAGAAAGACAGAGATGGCTCATGGGCCTATATGGCAGAATTCTCTCTTCCTCCAGGTAGGTCGGCCTTTGCTCTATTAAGACCTTCAACTTTGCCGGGCGCAGTGGCTCATGCCTGTAATCCCAGCACTTTGGGAGGCCAAGGCGGGCAGATCACCTGAGGTCGGGAGTTCAAGACCAGCCTGACCAACATGAAGAAACCCCATCTCTACTAAAAATACAAAAAATTAGCTGGGTGTGGTGGCGCATGCCTGTAATCCCAGCTACTGGGGAGGCTGAGGTAGGAGAATTGCTTGAACCCGGGAGGTGGAGGTTGTGGTGAGCCGAGATCGCACCATTACACTCCAGCCTGGGCAACAAGAGCGAAACTCCAACTCCAAAAAAGGGGAAAAAAAAAAAAAGACCTTCAACTGATTGGATGAGGTCTTCCCACCTTATGGGGGAGTAATCGGCTTGGCTCAGAGTCTACTGATTTAAATGTTAATCTCACTTAAAAAAATACCTTCACAGCAACATCTAGAATAATGTTTGACCAAATACCTTGGTATGGTAGTGGCCTAGCCCAGTTGACACATAAAATTAACAACCACAGAAATGAAGAGACAGAATGGCATGATGGAGAGAGAGTTGGAGCCATGGGCTAGAGGAGCCACTGAGGGTTTGGGTTCCAGCACTGGAACCACTGGGACTTGAATCCTGACTCTACCACCTTTCAGCTGGCTAATCCTTGGCAAATTTCATGCTCTCTCTGGAGCTTCGTTTTCTCATCTCTCTGGTATTGTGAGAGAATGTATGTAAAGCAGCATAATGCCTAGCATATAATATGCTCTCCGTAAGTACCCACTGTTTATCGAGTTTTCTAATGTTATAAGTACCCACTGTTTATTAAGTTTTCCAATGCAGACTCCAGAATACATGACCTCATCTGTACAGTGAGGGAGCTAGACAAGGCCTCTCCAGTACTGATTTTATGACGGGTCCAAGTGAAATGATTAACTGGACGCCCTCTGGTTATTGTGTAGTGCCGAGGCCATGAAGCTAAACCATACTTTGAGTCTGAGCATTTGGAATTAGCATTTGGTTCTGGGATTGGAAATGTTTTCTTATCAAGGAAGGCTGTTTACTGCCTAGCCCATTAGTCACTTCCTTTTTACAGCCCCACACACGTTTTCACTGTCTATAAACTGCTAGGAATGTGTTTCTTCTTACTGTAAATGCTTCTCCCAGAGCATTTTTGACTCTACTAAGATTGTTGCCTAATGGCACACCTTGAGCGCCCAGAGTTGAACTGTTGGCTGTTGTTTTTTTTACGAGAATCTCACCTTCATGTTTGGGAGCTTTTCATTTAGTGCAATGTTTATCTTTCCAGTGGAGCTGCCCCACCTGACACGTCAGCAGGCCCTCCGTTGTGCAGAAAAAACATGTTTACTCTGAGGAGCTGGAAAGTGCTGTCTTGTCATGTCTTTTCATCGTTTTCAGCAGTGCTTTCAATGATGTTGCTCACTTTCATTGTGTGCCTCTTCCCTCTCTCCCTCTTTGTGCCTGTCTTTCTTTCTTCCCTGTTCTTACTACTGTTCCCTCCCTGGGGGAGTTTTGTCTTTTGTATCATTTGGCAGCAGCTGCCCTTGGCCATCCCTGGGACTCCAAGCCAGGTGGAGCCACTGCCCCTGTGGCACTTGCCCTGTTGTGCCCTATACTGCTTCTCTGACTCCTTCTGGAGAGGGTTTCCTGGGTGAGACCCTGTTCCCCTGGAGGTGACCCTCCTCCCCCAGCTGCAGACAGTCCAACATGGGAAAGGGCTTGGAGCCTTTTGGCAAAATAGACCTTTTTTGAAAATAAAACTTTTTTTATTTAATGTGAGAAAAGCACCTAACATCTACTCTCTTAGCAAAGATTGTGAATATGATATTATTAACTAGAATCCTCGTGTCGTACATTAGAGTTCTGGCCTTATTCATCCTACATACCTGCAACTTTGTATCCTTTGACCTACATCTCTCCCTTCCCCGCAATTCCTGGTAACTACCTCTTAGTTATGATGATAAATCAGTTAATACAGGTTGAGCATCCTTAATCTGAAAATCCAAAATCTGAAATGCTCCAAGATCGGTAACTTTTTGAGCACCGACATGACACCGCAAGTGGAAAATTCCACTCTTGATACCTTTGCTTTCTGATGGTTTCATGTACACAAATGTTGTTTCATGCACAAAATTATGTAAAATTACCTTTGGCTATATAAGGTACACATGAAACATAAATGGATTTCATGTTTACACATGGGTCCCATCTCTAAGATATCTCATATATATGCAAATAGGCAACTCTAACATCTGAAACACCTGTAGTCCTAAGCATTTCAGATAGAGATACTCAGCCCATACACATAAAACTAGTGCAGTGCCTGAAGCATACTAAGTGCTGTTTAAGTTTAAGCTGTTATTGTTGCAGTTTCAAGGCAAAAAGTGGCCATTTCAAGCACTTTGAGACTGAGCTTGTAACTCCTTGCTCATTTGACTGTACCAATCTGGCTAAACCCCAATTCTACATTAACTCAGGAGTATTTTTTCATTTTTGCCCTATGACACTGAACAGCACTGGAGAAAACTGCCACCCACAGACCGATTACACATTTGTGATCCCCAAGCTCAGCCAGGGCTACTTCACCATTCAGCAGCCCTGCTTGTCCCCCCCTTCTGTCTCAGTGGACAGTGACCTTCTCCTGTCACCTGCCTCTGCATTCCACCTCCATCTCGCCTCCTCTGGAACTTTGAGCAACTGGTTATCTCATGCTCCTGAATCTTCACCCAAATTATCTGCTATTGCTGACTTGCCCTTCCTCGCCCAACTGCAGATAGATAAGGTCGGGTCTTTCTTATCTTAAAAGCTGAGCAAAATTAAGCCTTCCTTGTCCCTATGTCTCCCCCCGACCTACGACCTTACCTCTCTCCTTTCCTTGGTAGCCAGGCTTCTTGCACAGCTTGTCTGTACTCACTGTCTATTTTCTTATTTTCTCCCAGTCTTTCTGTCCACTCTTGATATCTTTTCAACCTCCAGTAATCTGGTGTCTGCTGCCCTGCCAGCCCTTCCTGAAGTTACCAGGCAGGGGTTCCTAAGGGCCACCTTTCTCTGTAGTGCTCAGCCCCGGGAATGAAGTGCACCTTTGCAGCTTCTGGGGCACCCCACACTCCTTCCCTCTTGACTCTGCTAGCTGCTTTTCAGCATGCTTTGTAGGCTCTGCTTCTTCGTCCTCTTTTTTTTTTTCTCAAGACAGAATCTCACTCTATTGCCCAGGCTGGAGTGCAGTGGCATGATCTCAGCTGACTGCAACCTCCGCCTCCTGGGTTCACGCAATTCTCCTGTTTCAGCCTCCCAAGCAGCTGGGATTACAGGCATGTACCACCATGCCCAGCTAATTTTTGTATTTTAGTAGAGATGGGGTTTCACCATGTTGGCCAGGCTTGTCCCAAACTCCTGAGCTCAGGTGACCCACCCACCCCGGCCTCCCAAAGTGCTGGAATTATAGGCGTGAGCCACCGCGCCTGGCCTGCAGGCTCCTCTTCTACCTACCCCTTAAGTGTTGGAATTTCTCCTGGACTTGCCCCTGGTATTTTTTTTTTTTTCTGACATTCCATGATTTCAACTAAAGTTTATCTTTAGGCCAGGCCTTTTTCCTGAACTTTCCATTCATGCACTATAGTAATCTACACAGCCTGCCATAATAAAATGCAGTAGATTGGATGGCTTAAACAACATTTATTTCTGACAGTTTTGGAGGCTGAGAAGTCCAAGATTAAGGTGCCAGCCAATTTGGTTCCTGGTGAGAACTCTCTTCTGGTTCGCAAACAGCTGCCTTTTTGCTGTGTCCTCACAGGGTGGAAAGAGAGGGATCTCCTACATCGCTTCTTATAAGGGCATGAATCCCATCATGAGGACTGCATTCTCATGATCTAATTACCTCCCAAAAGCTCATCTCCAAGTGCTATTACATTGGGAGCTAAGGCTTCGACATATGAACACCAACATTCAGTCCATAACATACCCAACAGCCTAATAGGTATCCCTACTTGACTGTTACACAGACTCTTACAATGTCAACAGGTTTAAAACTGAACTCATCTTCTTACCTGCAATCCTGCTTCTCCTGGATTTTTCCTATAGGATGCCATTCTCCATTCAGTCACCTGAATCAGATATTTTAAGACTCATCCTGCACATATCCCCACCCCCGCCCCCACCACAGACAAGCAAACCCTGTGCTTTCTGCCCCCTGACGATCCTTCGAATCCATCTCTTCTCCATGTTATTGCCATTGTCTTCACTCAAGCCCTCATATTTTCCACCTAGAGTATCACTTTCTCTCATTGCTGCTGGATCTATCCTCCATACTATATCTAGAGTGAAATTTTGAAGGATGAAAATGTTTTGGTATTACTTGCTTTCAGTCCCTCAAGATAAAATGCTGACTCGTCCTGGTCAGGTCCCTCCCTACGGGACCACTTGCATTGCCTGACATGCCGTGGACTTCCTGCCTCTGTGCCTCTCTGCCCCTGCCCCCGCGCCCGGCCAAACCTGACAAATTTTCTGATTCCACCTGGGCTTCTGGCGAGGCCCTGTCCAAACCCTCTGTGTCTGGGGCTTCTTAGTTCTTGTTATTAGGATCTCCAGGGATGGGAAGTAGATAAGCAGCCTTCTCCTGCAGCCTGTTCTCCTGTTTTGCTACCCTGTCACTACATTACTTACTTTGTCAGTATTTATGGAACACTTTCTCTGTGCCAGAGAAACATTTTTAGGAAACATGAATGAGACACAGCCTGGCCTCAAGTCTGTAAGGGAAGACTGATGGCCAGGCACATCCAATATCATGTGCTAAGTGCACAGAACACTGCAGTAGCCCAGCTTCTCCTGATCACTGATAGAAATTTCACCCTGCTTTTTCCTGTACAGGCATGGAGAACCAAACGCTTAGTTCCCAGCACCACCCACCTACCGACCCTCCATCTCTCAGGCTAAGCACCCAGCCATCAAGACGGTCACTTCCAGGTGCAGGCTGTGGTAGAAAGCAGGCTGCTCCCTGTGCTCCCCGCCTACTGGCTGACCAAGGGGCAGAAGAGCTTCCCCTTCCCTGCCCCCACTAGCTGCAGTCAGAACCATCTTTTCTGTTAAACGCCTTTGCAGCCCTCCACAGGACTGTCTCCTCAGCTCCTGGAGTAGCCAGGAAGAAAACCAAGCCCACTGTTTACTTTCTAAATGCCAGGCTTGTTTCCCTTGATGACTTGTGTAGGTTTGCATAGGAAAACTTCTTAGAACAATTTGTTCTACAAGGCAAGCACTCAAATGGCCAAGGCCTGGTTGCCTGGGCTAGCTTCAGCACTGGGGCATCAGCTCTGTGTCTCCTGCTTTACATCCACCTGTTCCATTTTATAATTGGTGCGTGGTCTCTGAAAACTCATGAGAAATCTTATTTAAAGACGGCAGTAATTAACCTAATTGCAAATATAGAAAATGAAAATATTTCCTATGAAATGCCCAGGAGTTGTCAGATGTTTTTACAGAATCCCAGAAATAGGATCAAGGAAGGAAGATAAGTAGGAAATAGCAGGGCTTTCATACATTGGTATTAAGCAGTATGCTGTGCCTGTGGTTAAATATTAAGTAAAGACATGGCCATTGTCTTCAGTGGAAAGGAAGAAATGTGGGAAGTAGAAAAATTAGATAAGGAAGCATGGAAAAGCAGCCACCCCATCTCTCTCCTCCTCCCCGTGCCACTTCCTGCAGGCGTCTTCCTGGCTTCTGCTGTTGGTGAGAGGATCAGGCTCTGAGGGCTGGGAGATTGATACTGTGTTAAAATGCAGCCTCACATCTCCCTGCCTTATTCCTCAGTCATGGAACCCTACCTGTCCATCTAACTGAGCTTCTAATTCTGTAGTTAAAGAAACATGGCCCAGAGAGTGAGGGGATTTGCTTCTTGTCCAGCAGTTTATTGGAGGCCCAACCTCCTCATTTCTGGACCCCCGGGCCAGGGCCCTTTCCCTTGACTGCTTCCGTTCCTGAGCTGCGATGACATGGAGATGATCAGCATCCCCTTCTTCCAGTGTACCTTGTCAATATATTCCTGTGAACCTGGCAAAACTTTTACATCCAGGCTTGAGGAAGTATTGCCTTTTTTTCTGGACTTTGAAAAGATACTAAGATGAGAACATCTTACTGGGCTGGAAATGCACTTTAACGTACTTGAGTGAAAAGATGTGTGAAAATGTTACAAAGCCAGTGGCATCCCTAGGCTCAACATGCCTGAAAGCTAAAGTATTAGGAAAGGAGGACTTTGTTCTCGGTGTTTTCATTCTCTTCCCTCCCTCCCCTGTTGTTCCTGCAGGCCGCCAGCTCACTGGAGCCGAGAGGGCCTCCACGGCCACTGCAGAGGAGACTGACATCGATGCGGTGGAGGTCCCACTTCCAGGGAATGATGTCCTGGAATTCAGCCGAGGTGTGACTGATCTAGATGCTGTAGGGAAGGAAGGAGGCTCTCACACAGGCTCCAAGGTAGGCAAGAGATGGCCCATCTGTGTGATCTGCACACGTGTGCCCTCAGGTCATCAGTCACTTCCTAGCCCCTGCCAGCTCAGCTTCCGAGTGAGGCACTCCATGGCACAGTGGCGGTGCCAGAGCGCACTTCATTGCCTTTCAGAAGGTCTGACTTCCAGAGGGTCTGAACACTAGATGCTGCTGCAGGCCAGGATGCTGTGGAGCTGATTCCTGACACACATCGCCCTCCCCAAATCCCACCAATATTTGGTCTCCTACTCCCTGGCACCCTCTTCCCTTAACAGCATCTCATCTTTGCACAGTATTTTGCAAGGCTCACTCTGGCACACACACACACAGACTCCCCTGTGACTTAGCTAGTAGAGCAAAGTCAGTTTGGGCCCGCTCTGCCTGCAGTAGCGGTGGTATACCGTTGGTAATTCCTGTGGATAGCACTTTGGAGTCTGGAAGTTGGCCCACTGGATGTCAGAAACTGAGAGACCACCTTAGTCTTCATCAGCTCTAACCTAACATCATATAGGTGAGATGACTGTGGCATCTGGGGGTTCCTAATGTGATCCAATTAAGAAACTAAGAACTTGAGATCAAATTCCAACCTGAAGCCAAAGCTAATTAAAAATGTTTTAAACCCAGAAGCAAAATTACTGACCAATAGCTCTACCCTTAGATTCCCAGGCGGTTTATATCAGGGCACCTCTCTCTCTTTAACATTCATATCTTATCTCACATGGAGGTTTGGAGGGCAGTTCAGTTCTAAACTAGCTGCCTGACGTTTCCTTTGGAACCAGTTTATCCTCTACAAGTGGAAACAGCCCTGTGTCACTGGGGGCCTTCCTTGTGTATGTCTGAAGAAGTCCCCACAGCAGAACTGCCAGAAACAAAATGTCTTTCCCTGCCATGGAATTCTATGAATCGTAGAAGCCATCTTGGTAAAAATGTCCACAGGAGAGGGAGACAGAAGGAAAGGAGGGAAGGACACAGGAACTTCTTTCATCTAAGAGGATCTCTCCAGATCATTATATATTTTAGGATCCAAACTTCTTTGCCGATGGTTCTCACCAGAGGCAGTGGAGGGCAGGAGGTAGCCCCCTCACATGGCCCCTTCCTCCAGGACCCAGCTCCACGCTTCTCCCAACAAGGGAGAAGGAACATCTCAGACCCTGGAGGAGGGAGCCCTAAGGACACAGCAGAGTAGAGGATTGAAGCTGGGTCCTTCCTGTTATCATGGTAGGGTGGATGGAAGCTACGTTTTCCTAAAATAGATTCTTCTAAGTCTAGAACCTCAAGGAACTCAGTGACAGGGTATCATTGGAAGTGGTGGGCAAGAGATGGAGCAGTATCAGCCATCAGTCTCCCATCGGGGTCAGTTACCGAGGTGTCCCCCTAGTCCCCCTACGATTTTCTGACTGTGTGGTATCAGCCCAGGCAGCTACACCATTTCCTTTCTGGGCCTCTACTCCCATTTCCATTGAAGATATAGTGCTGTCAGCTTATGGGTTGTAAGTGTGCCAATTTGCTCCTCCTGAGTGCATGCCAAAGAGAGGGAGGCCCCTCAAGATGGCTCCTGCCACATGTCATGTCCTGTCTTCTCCTTCTCCTCCAGGTTTCGCACCCCCAGGAGCCCATGCTGACAGCCTCACCCAGGATGCTGCTCCCTTCTTCTTCCTCGAAGCCTCCAGGCCTGGGCACAGAGACACCGCTGTCCACTCACCACCAGATGCAGCTCCTCCAGCAGCTCCTCCAGCAGCAGCAGCAGCAGACACAAGTGGCTGTGGCCCAGGTTCTCCTCAGCCTCCTCCCTACTTCGCAGGCTCCACTCTCATGGGCTTGATGCACCTTCCCTAGCGAGGGGCTCAGGGCAGGTTTAAAATCTAGGGAGTCATAAGGAATCGCTCATGCTATTGGATCATTGCTTGTTGGGGAGTGGGGGCAGCGGGAGGGGGATAGATGGGGGATGCAGTTGAAATGGAGAGGCACATTTTGGTTTCCCATGTATCCCCTGCTCTGAGCTGGGCTTGGCTGGCTTGGCTGAATGTTGTTAATGACTTGAACTGACCAAGGGAAAAGATGCACACAATTCCACCCTTCCTTTCCTGCCTTACTTTCCTGATATTTGGGGTGGAAAGTGATGCCTTTGGAGTCAGAACAGTTGTGGCTTTATGATACCACTCTTAAAACAGCTTAAAGTATGAATTTGTGCCAAACACTGTTGTAAAAAGATTACTACCCTAGCATCCCAGTCTCCGTGTCTATAACAGGTTTCCCAGCCTTCATTACGATCTACTTATTCCAGGCAGTATTTGATTGGAATTCATTATTGTAGGATTTAACTTACAGGAATTTAGGTGTATTATTTGAGCCATAATGAAAAGAATTGGCTTAGATCTCAGAATCAAGGTGGTGTTTGTACCCCAAAAAACTTGTTCGGGGGCTGCTACATTATAGGGGAGGGTGAGCTGATTTCCCTTGCTGCTTTCAGCAGGGATTCTTCTTGTTTGCTTTCTATAGAGGGCGCTGTAGTCCACATCTTTCTTGGGAAGTCTGAGCTCCCTCTCTACCACCAGCACTCAGGGAATGGTGAAGACATTCATTCATACCCAAGGCTGAATCCTGAGGCGAGAGGCAGGGTCAGGGCCTGATGAGTGCATGAAGATCTTAGGAGACGGGGCAGTTGGGGCTTGGAAGAATTGGTAAAGGATCTGGAAAGGCAGCCTGCATCAACATTCTAAATCTGCTTGACCAGACTGTTGACCACTTAGGTTTTCTGCATTCTAGAATGGCGGGGAGCAGACTTCTCCAGGGAGCACTTATTGCTCTCTGTTATGTCTTCTGCTTACTCTTGTCCTGGCTCTTGAGTGGACTGAATCATCCAGCCAGAGATATCCTTTCCACCTTTCCACCTTGAGGAGGCATCCGGCGTCCTGGCCATAACAGGATCTGCTATGACTCAGGGTTTGAAGAAGACCTTCTTGTAACACGGTCTCTCCTGACCTGGGCCTGAGATGCAAGGCTCATGGATGACTTTTGCAGCCAGGTTTCAGGAGAGTAGAGTCAATGGGACACAGCTCTCAAGTTATCGGAGTCTTTTTAAAAAGTCTTACCATGAAACAAAAGGATATCTCGTGATGCTAGGAGGATTTGCAGGTGTTCCCAAAACAGCAACAGAGAGGGGGAATGTCATTAATGGCTTCTTATATTTGGAGAAAAAAAATCATTTCTCTTTGTCAAATAAAAGAATCCATCTCCTGTAGTTAATGATGGCACAGCAGTCTGAGAATCCCCTCCCTAGTGTGACAGTTGACAGGAGCACAAAGACTAAGCACTGCAGCACGGGTCCATTCTCAGACTCATTTCATTTCCACAAGTTTCCCATTGAATACAGAACATAATACTTTTATTTTGCAGCGTATCAATTGCCAAGTAATTATTATTTATCTAAGAGTGGGCTTGATGCATATTCATGATATGATTTTATCAGGGAGGCATTTGAATTCGAAGTCACTGCTAAGTACTAGAGAGAAACTATTTGCAAATGTGTAATCCACACAATAGTGTTGTGGCGGTGGAAGGAAGCATTCAATCTCCAAAGCAACAAGACATGTAACTTATCACAGGTCTACTACAGTCAGGATGAAACCTTAAGAGTAGTTTTCTGGTATAGAATCAATTGTCAGTCTCCATGGGAAATCCTGCCCTGGCCCTGTTTTAATTGTGTCTCTCCTAGAAGACAATGAATCTAGGGGAAGGAAAGGGTGTGGTATTAGAGATTTGCTTCATGAGCCTCTCTCGGTTCCACATGTCCACAGGCTGAGCACCCTTAGCCTCTCACTCACTTGGAATCTGTTGAATATAGTTGCCCTGCTTGACTCTCAATACAAGCAGTGTGGTGATCAAAAGGCCACCATACTGCATCTGTGTCCCACATTTGTGAGATGACTTTAGGGAGAGTCTTAGGCTTCCAAAATCATCAGATAGGACGTTGGGGTCATCTGATAGGTTCTTGAACATACTCCTGTACCTCTGTCTGCCATGCCCATCTGTCTCTGACTACCTTCTTTCTGTTCGCATCTTGCTTTTGCTGTCCAGGACCACAGCAGGGATATTGTACATTTCAGCTGGCTTTCAGCTCTCCTGTCCTGCAGACGGATTCGGTCCTAAACTGACCTTCAGTTAGAGGTTTCTCCGCACACTGTTCATTCTTCCACTTTCTTTGTAGTGTTTAATTCAAGGGCTTTTTTACTAGTGTCTATATCCTTGGGTAAAAACAATTACGTAAGATGTAGCTGGATTAATAGGTGGGTCTTCTTGGCATCTTTCACACATTTGAAATAGACCAAGTATAGCAAGCTTGGTTTCTCTACGCGGGGGGGGGCTGATTTCAGTTTCCAGCACGAGGTCAGCTCTTACTTGTTCTGTCAGACTCTATTGCCACCAAACTGCAAGGCTTCTGTCTGTCTTTATTAAACTACCAGCAGTCCCCAGAATTCCAGTGAGTAAAACTATGACCTCAGCCTTTCAGGTGGGAATAGTTTCCTTCTCTCGGAGAGCATCCAAATCCTCCTATGTTGTTCCTGGATAAAAATCTAAGGATAAAGACAGTTTCTTGCAGACAAGTGTACCCTTGATGTCACTTGTTGCACTATTTATGTCGTCCCCCCCCCACCACCCCCATTTCTTCCCACAGACTAGTCTAGTTCTGCTGTTGCCATGGGGACCAGGCTTAGGTTTCCTTCACAGTGTCCTGATTTGGTCTAAGACCGCAAGACCTCTCCCAGCCTCACCCTAAATTGGTTCTGAGCTGGTCTCAAAGGGGCCCGCCCTGACCTTAAAGGTATATGGGCAAAGGTGGTATTCAACCAACTCTTAAGTATTTCCGGGTTAGACCTCAGTGGGTAAGTAGTGAATACCCAAGTCCCTCTGACCGCTCTTCCGACCCAGCATGAGGCTTGCCTGGCTGCACTAGCTTCCTGCTTTTAGGTGGACCAGAAGTTCAAGGGTGTGAATGAGAGTATAGCTAAGCCTCGAAGCGAAGCTGGGATGTAGCTGGCACCTGCATGGCCATGGGCTGGGCCGACATAGTCTCAGAACTGATCTGGGCACTGTGGCTGATTGGCAAGTGTTAAGTAGGCCAGGTCTATTCACAGTTTGCCAATTCCCAGCCTTTTTCCTGAGGAAAGTGTTAGTACAGTTCAGTATTGCTATTTAAAGATTTCTCCTCTACCTGCTGCCACTTCTGTTTGTTCAGGAACAAGGAATTGGTTATTTATGCTTCGCAATCATGTATGCTGTAGTTAGAGGAACAGTGCTAACAAAACTCCGCATCCCCACCCCAGGCCCTCTATTTAGCATATGTCCCTGTGGCTTCTCCCAGTCCCCAGCACGCTGGCATGCACTGCCCAAGTCCCTGCCATGTGCATGCTGAGACAGCGGCGCCTGCCTCTGCTTCTGTGTCCAGTGTGTGGTGGGGCAAATTGCTCTGGTTCTCTCCACTGCCATTTCCATGTGCCTGCTACTCCCTAACTTCAGCCTGGCCCTGCCCTCACTTCTGATGGAGGAGCTGGAGTCCAGGCAAGTAAGCTGGAGAGTGAGGGCGCCAATGGTCTGGTGTGGCTGGGTGGGTTGAGGGTGGGTTTCAGAGTTTGGGAAAGCAGTGTAGAGCTGGAGGGTGCAGGGCTGAACTTTTGTGTGTCATGATGAGGCCAGAGTGCAGAGCTGGACATCTGAGCCCTGGCACTCGGGACGTGGCCGTAGTGTCACATCACTCTGTGCCACATCACTGACTTAGTATGTAAGTACAACATTCATTGCCAAAGACAACACAGTTCTGCAAAGGAGACACTAATTTGTACCTTTCCAGAAAGAAATATGGTCTACTTTTACAAAAGGGGCTTAATTCTTTGAAAGAAAAGCATGCTAAATACAAAAAAAAAATCCCATCTGGTGGGGAGGAGGTGGTGCTCTCTGCCCCTGTTGTATGAATGGGGAAACAAAGCACAGAGGGCTGTAGCAGACTGCCCAAACCAAGGTTTCACGTAACGCTGCCTCGTTTCAGTGCTTCAAGTTCGAGCCTACATAGTTATAAAATGCTGCACCTCAAAGTTAAAAGAAGTCCAGGCTATTTTGTCTCAGTATGGCCTGGTTTGGGTTCTCCTGCAGCACAGCCTGCCACAGCTTGAGGTTTGAGCCTTATGCCCAGTACCACTTTTGACAGCTGCAGAAGCAGAGGGCTCATTAGTGCTGGCTCAGGCAGTAGCAGCAGTGGGTGCTCACATATTCACAGGACTTGAAAATACCTGAAATAGTGTAACTGGGTTTACAGAGGTAAAACTCTTATTTAATCTGGTACAAGGAGCATTTTCTCATGGCACTTGGTGCCAATGGATCTGCGATGGGAAGCATTTGAGTCAAAGGTCTTCTTCTAGGTATTGCTGGTACTCCACCATTGAACTTGGGTACCTGCAAAAAAAGCTTTCAATTTTTTTCCTGGCTTCTGTAAGAGGGGACTTTTCCTTCACCCTCAATTCTAATTCTGACTTCACAATGGGGAACTGAGAGTTTTCTTCAATGAGCCATTAACAAATTGCCTCCAGTACTGACCACAATGTCAACCTGGATGTAGAATTATCAACTGTCTCAGCCTCAAGCCAGTCCTCTCGGTTGACAGATGGAGAAACTGAGGTCCAGAGAGAAGTGAGTTGTCTACAACTGCCTAGGGAGTACCCAACAGACAAGCACTCCAGCTCCTGGTCTGGTGCATTCAAATGGCCTGTCCTGTTGGGATGTTCAGACTGGAAAGCAGGAAACTGACTCTGGGCTGGGCATGGTGGCTCACACCTGTAGTCCCAGCACTTTGGGAGGCCGAGGCAGGTGGATCACTTGAGGTCAGGAGTTTGAGACCAGCCCGGCCAACATGGGGAAACCCCGTCTCTACTAAAAATACAAAAATTAGCTAGGTGTGGTGGCGGGCGCCAGTAATTCCAGCTGTTTGGGAGGATGAGGCAGGAGAATCGCTTGAACCCAGGAGGGAGAGGTTGCAGTGAGCTGAGATCATTCCACTGCACTCCAGCCTGGGTGACAGAGTGAGTCTCAAAAAAAAAAAAAAAAGAAGAAAAAAGAAAGAAAGAAAAGAAAAGAAAAGAAACTGACTCTGCAGTATGTGTGCAGAGAGCCCTCAATAAGTGCCAGTTAGAGGTATGCAGGATTCTCTACTTTCTTTGTTTATATCTGCTGAAAGACTTTGTTCCACATTTCTCTCTGGTTGGTTTGGTTCCAAAGAAAATGGAAGATGAATAATTTAGTAATTTTATTTGCTCAGTAGGTTCCTTTCGATGCCACTCTTTGTTGGGATAAGTAACGGTACTCATAAGTGCAAGATTAAGCTTACCCTTCTCTGAGGCTTATCTGTGGGCTTCCCATAGCAGTTGTCCTGTTCCTTAGAACCAAATAGATTTGGGGGACCCCCAGCTGAAATTTCTCCATGCCTCCCTTTCCAAAGAGGAGAAAACCTTAATAGCCACCCACCATCTGACATCCAGATTACAATATTATTGACATTTCTTTCCCTGTTGAGTGGATATAGGAAGAAACAAACTCAGTTTCTTCCTGCTATACTGTCACAACATACTTCTATGACCAAATGTATGGGGCTTTTTCCCACACACCAAGCAAGCAAGCAGTTCTGCAGAGGGCACACAGTGTCCTCTAACTCAGTTTGATTCTGATACTATCTACCTGGAAACAGCATCAGATCCCACAGTTTGAGGGCTCAATCCCACAAGACTTTCCCCCATTTCAGACACCAATCACAAGTAATAGTTTGTCACCTACACCTCTGACCAAGTGGCTATAAATTGGTGTTCCCACTACCCTCTCCTTGGACTCAACTGATTTGCTAGAGCAACTGACAGAACTCAGGAAAACACCTACATTTACTGGTTTATTTTAAAGGATATTATAAGGGATACCAATGAACACCAGATGGAAGAGATGCATAGGGCAGGGTCTGTGGGAAGGGTGGCAGAGCTCCCATGCCCTCCCAACGTGCACCACCCTCCAGGAACCTCTAAATGTTCAGCTGCCCGGCAGCTCCCCACACCCAGTCCTTTTGAGTTTTTAATGGAGGCTTTATTATGTAGGCATGATTGATTACATCATTGGCCACTGGTGATTAGTTTAACTTTTAGCCCCTCATCTCCTGGAGGTTGGGGCGTGGGACTGAAAAATCCTATCCTCTAATCATACCTTGGTCTGTCCTGTGAGCAGCCCCCATCCCGAAGCTTCCAGGGGTTCCCCAACCACTAATCATCTAATAAGCATACAAAAAACACTCTTACCACTCTGGAGATCTCAAGGGTTTGGGGAGCTATATGTCAGGAAACAGGGATGAAGACCAAACATGTATTTCACTGTATCACACCTGTTCTCACCCCTCCCCAGATCTTCTCTCAATTAATATGAGACAAAAAAATGAGTCTGACTTCTTGACCAAAATATCAGTTCTGTCCTTAGCAGCTTTATGGAGGACAGATTTAGTTTAAATTCCTTAGGCATTATGCCCCTGTGGCTCCACTCAATCAGAAATAGGGTCAACGGCAAGGTCAGGGCCTCCAATCTGGGCAAGAGGGAGGCAGCCACGGTATCCACAAGTGTAATTCTCTGAGTGCTGGTTGCTGGGAGGGGCACACCCTGGGCCAGCAAGTCACTTGGCCAAGGGTGGCCAACTGTGAGGTAGCACTGCCCTTTACTCCCTAAAAAAATGTGAATCTCTTTGGAGCAAACTCCTCTTCAGAAATTTGAGCACTTGTTTTCTGAGCAAGGGAATCAGCTAATGCTTTTGACTCCCCATCCATCTTCCTGCATCCTCGTCCCACCTCTCCTGCCCCCACTCACCTGGCTCTGTCTTTACCCACACCATGGTTTTGGTACAAGAACACCCTTTTCCCCATAAGCTACATTGGTCCAGGCCATAAAAATTCATTAGTTCCCTTTCTTCAGGGGCCTTCTGAAATGCTCCCTGGAGAACTCTTTATTCACTTCTTTGCACAAGAATCACATATGTGTGAACACTGGTATTGGCCTTCTAACTCAGTTTCTTCAAACCAGGGTCCTGGTCTGGTTGCCCCTGTCTCCTCCCACTGAGTTTTATCTCCACATAAGTATTGCTCACCAAGAACAGAGCTGTTGACACCACTGGGCCTCAAGCATGCTGAATGCATTGCTGCCAACTGCTCTGCCTTAAGAAGGTTGGAAACTGATGAGGGTGCCACAAATTGTTCACCTCAGCCCTTCTGGGCTGGTTGGAGGAGGCCCTCTCATGAATCAGTCAGCAAATGTTTGACCCCTACCAGGTGGTCCTGGTAATATGTGGTATGAATCATGGTCCTAGATGTCTGCCATAGCAAATAAAAAAGGAAGACAGGGAAAGAAGCTGTCGCCTACAGAGTGGCTTGATGACAGCTGCCTCACTAATTTAAAAAGCCATGTGTAGTGCTTCCTATTTCTCACTATGTTTGGGTGAGTGGGAGAGGGAGAAAGATTATATGGGCTTCGTTGTGACACTGTTCTTAGCCAGTGGGTCAATAGATGAGTTTTGGTTTTGTTTTTTAGAAGACAGGATGAGAAGAGAGTGCCCCCTTCCACCTCCAACATGGCATGCCATGCTAGGTGCTGAAGGAGTTCTCTAAGCAGGGATGGAGCACCGTGCGTGTGTGTGTGTATATGTGCACGTGTGTGTGTACGTGTGTGTGTGTGGCAGGTCTAGAGGGTCGATGGCTCTTTCCTGCCTCTTGCCCTTGGTATGGGTACCTTAGTGATGCATCATGGCCCTCCCTTAGGACACACAGCTTCGCAGTGCCAGTGAACCCACTCCTTTTGGCTCCTCCTCTGGAATGATAAGCCCAGATGCCCATGCTGCCCGTGAAGGGCTTCTTCTTGAACTGAATGTGGAGGGCATCTCTGGTCCCGGCCATCTGCCAGTGACTCTCATGTGCATTCATGTCCCTCTCTTCTCTCTGTCCTGTCTTCTCTGCCGCTGCCTCTTCTCTGCAGGTACACTTGCTGAAGGACCAGTTGGCTGCTGAGGCTGCGGCGCGGCTGGAGGCCCAGGCTCGCGTGCATCAGCTTTTGCTGCAGAACAAGGACATGCTCCAGCACATCTCCCTGCTGGTCAAGCAGGTGCAAGAGCTGGAACTGAAGCTGTCAGGACAGAACGCCAGTAAGCCAGTGCCCTGCCCAGCCCTGCTTCCTCTGTGAAGGCTCTGGAAAGAGTGTCACTTTCCTTAAGTTTTTGGTGGTGCTTTCTTGGACCCCTGACCTACCCCTATATTCCAGCAGAAAACATAGGCAGCTTTGTTTTCCCATTAGTATACTTAATGAATTACAGAATCACATGCCCAAAGGAGATCTCGGGTGCCTTCTAATCCAGGCCCAGGGCTGGACTTTGAATGTCCCCGGAGTCACTGCTATGTGCTCATCCAGTCTCTATTTGATAGGGGCTCAGGTACTCTGTGTTCTAGGGCAGCCCATTTCTTTCTCAGAGAGCTTTTGCAATCAACAAACAGTATACTTGGCACCTATTGGGTGTCATGGTCTCTGTGAGCTCTGTGGGAGACAGCAGATTGTTTCTTAGTTTACTACTCTGCACTATGTATTTCAAGACTCTGTCACACAGAAAAAGCTGGGAGCAGTATATCTGTTCAGTGGATAAGGCAGTGGAATCTGGCTGCACTGCTCTGCTGGGCAATAGCAGAGGTTGCCTGGCCCCTGCTTGAGAAGCTGTCTCTACACTCAGTACCCCTGGGCTGGGCTGGGCAGCTGTAGATCGCAACACATTTTCACGCCTTCCTCTTGAGCCTTTCCGTGGGTTGTTTGCATGCTCAGAGTGTGTGTGGGCTGTGGACCAGCAAATAGCCATTGATCACATATTGTGCCAGAAACTGTGATAGAATTTTTTGCCTGTGAGCTCATTTAATCCCTGTAGTTCTGCTGCAGAAAAATGGGATGCCATTTTACAGATGAGGTAACAGACTCAGGGAGGTTAAGTAACTAGCTCAAGGTTATAGGCCTAGCAAGGAGCAGAGCCAAGATTCAAACCTAGATCTGATTGCAAAATTTTGTTCCAACTATACCAGTGGTTCCCCCAAACCATCCCATGAGCTCTTTTAAAAATGCGTCTTTCCTACTGAGATCCTACATCGTTCTGTCTAGGGCTGGTCTGGGAGCCTGTATTTTTAAAGTAGCCCAGAGGTGTGGATTGGAAACCAGTGCCCTTCACCACTCTGGAAGCCTCTCTGGATTTTCCAGATTGTTCATTGAAACTCTGCTCTATCCTAATTAATGCTTATTTACATGATTGTACTAAAGGTTACCACAGGCTTCTAACATGGTTCTCTCAATTGGTACCTTTTTCCTACCACTAACCCTATTCAGAGCCTTCAGTGGCTACCAGAACCATCATATGGTTCTTATGTCCCCGCCTTTACCACGTCCCAAAGCTCCTCCCCTCCAGCGAGGTGTGTCTGGAGCTATGTGGGGGCGGGAGGAAGGGTGAAGTGTTAAGAGACCCAAAGCCCGGAGAGGTGCTGCTAAGCTGGTCTGGGAAGGGCTTTGGCAGGGCACGGGCGGGCAGAAGGCGGGCATCCCAAATCAACAACCTTGCCTAACGCTGCCCCTCTGCTACCTCTTGTCTCCCCTGCAGTGGGCTCCCAGGACAGCTTGCTGGAGATCACCTTCCGCTCCGGAGCCCTGCCCGTGCTCTGTGACCCCACGACCCCTAAGCCAGAGGACCTGCATTCGCCGCCGCTGGGCGCGGGCTTGGCTGACTTTGCCCACCCTGCGGGCAGCCCCTTAGGTAGGCGCGACTGCTTGGTGAAGCTGGAGTGCTTTCGCTTTCTTCCGCCCGAGGACACCCCGCCCCCAGCGCAGGGCGAGGCGCTCCTGGGCGGTCTGGAGCTCATCAAGTTCCGAGAGTCAGGCATCGCCTCGGAGTACGAGTCCAACACGGACGAGAGCGAGGAGCGCGACTCGTGGTCCCAGGAGGAGCTGCCGCGCCTGCTGAATGTCCTGCAGAGGCAGGAACTGGGCGACGGCCTGGATGATGAGATCGCCGTGTAGGTGCCGAGGGCGAGGAGATGGAGGCGGCGGCGTGGCTGGAGGGGCCGTGTCTGGCTGCTGCCCGGGTAGGGGATGCCCAGTGAATGTGCACTGCCGAGGAGAATGCCAGCCAGGGCCCGGGAGAGTGTGAGGTTTCAGGAAAGTATTGAGATTCTGCTTTGGAGGGTAAAGTGGGGAAGAAATCGGATTCCCAGAGGTGAATCAGCTCCTCTCCTACTTGTGACTAGAGGGTGGTGGAGGTAAGGCCTTCCAGAGCCCATGGCTTCAGGAGAGGGTCTCTCTCCAGGACTGCCAGGCTGCTGGAGGACCTGCCCCTACCTGCTGCATCGTCAGGCTCCCACGCTTTGTCCGTGATGCCCCCCTACCCCCTCACTCTCCCCGTCTCCATGGTCCCGACCAGGAAGGGAAGCCATCGGTACCTTCTCAGGTACTTTGTTTCTGGATATCACGATGCTGCGAGTTGCCTAACCCTCCCCCTACCTTTATGAGAGGAATTCCTTCTCCAGGCCCTTGCTGAGATTGTAGAGATTGAGTGCTCTGGACCGCAAAAGCCAGGCTAGTCCTTGTAGGGTGAGCATGGAATTGGAATGTGTCACAGTGGATAAGCTTTTAGAGGAACTGAATCCAAACATTTTCTCCAGCCGGACATTGAATGTTGCTACAAAGGGAGCCTTGAAGCTTTAACATGGTTCAGGCCCTTGGTGTGAGAGCCCAGGGGGAGGACAGCTTGTCTGCTGCTCCAAATCACTTAGATCTGATTCCTGTTTTGAAAGTCCTGCCCTGCCTTCCTCCTGCCTGTAGCCCAGCCCATCTAAATGGAAGCTGGGAATTGCCCCTCACCTCCCCTGTGTCCTGTCCAGCTGAAGCTTTTGCAGCACTTTACCTCTCTGAAAGCCCCAGAGGACCAGAGCCCCCAGCCTTACCTCTCAACCTGTCCCCTCCACTGGGCAGTGGTGGTCAGTTTTTACTGCAAAAAAAAAAAAAGAAAAAAGAGAAAG
Organism: Homo sapiens; assembly: GCF_000001405.40. NCBI lineage: Eukaryota > Metazoa > Chordata > Mammalia > Primates > Hominidae > Homo > Homo sapiens. The sequence continues at coordinate 162,368,466 of NC_000001.11, forward strand.
AAAAAAAAGAATGAATGCAAGCTGATAGCTGAGACTGTGAGACTGTTTTTGTCCACTCTTCTGAATCACTGCCACTTGGGTCAGGGACCACAGCCATTGCCACCCTTGGCCCATCTCTCTGCGTGCGTGCCTTGAGCACACATATAAAAAGTGCCATGTGCAATTGTCTTATCTTTTATGATCTAGGCTTTGCCTAGGGATCACTACTCCTTAACGGGCTGGCTGGGGCAATGAGGAAAAGCTCCTTTGCTCCTGTAAGGCCATAAGTGGCTGTTAACAGATTTTCAAATGCCTGAAGAGATTGCTGAGACCTGCTAGAGTCATATGTTCGGGGAATTAAGTCTTTATCCTAGACAACAAGGTACAGATGCAAACTGCAGTGTTATTGGAGGGTCAATCGGCAAGGATATGATTATCCCAAAATGGAGTTCATCGACCCTAGCTTTCCTTTAGATTATATATAAATAAAAGTGCAGTCCTCTTCTAATGGCCACAGTTGGTTTTCTTGTAGCCCAGAAAGTCCAAATTAAAGGAAATAAATTCAGTTTTATGTTAGCCTTCCTTGGTGCATCAGGGTGTCAGTGGAAATAGGATCAGGTGGTGTGTGTGTGTGTGTTTTGTGTGTGTGTGTACACATGTGTTTATATATACATGTGTGAGGGAAAGTGTGTACATATATGTAGGATTGTAACCAGACGGAAAAGAACGAGGATCTCCAGGGTGTTTGAATCAGCAACAGATTTGTGTTTTCTAACATGCATTTAGTTGGAGAGGCATGGTTCTGTTTGTTTTGTTTTGATCTAATTTGCCATTGGAAATAGGTACAGTTACACAGAGAAGGAAGAACCAGGAAAGTGAGATCCATGAAACTAAATGAGCAGCTGTCAGAATCCAGTGTGGCTGAGCCTACCTAGCTTATGAAATCTAACCCAGGGTTCCCTGAGTCCAAGACCACTTAGATTATTAAGATTTTGAACGTCCAGAGGAGTGAAAAGTCTGTTTTCTGACGTAAGCCGGAGCTGAGGATAAAGCCAGAGGCCAGTGGATTAGGTGTATGGAATGTGGATGGAGAGGGCTTGTGTGGGATGTGGCCAGGGAGTGGGTGAGGAAGGCCGCTTCTAAATGGCCTGTAAAAACTTGAGATTGGATAGACGAAAGGAAATGGAGAAATTAAAGAATTGGAGAAACTAGTTATCTGTGTTGCTGACTTTGGGACCCATCCAAGACTCCTGCCCTTGGGGTGTTCCATGGTGGTTTCTTCCTGCCTGGGCGCCACCCTTTCCCCAGTTCAGGCCCTCCCTGGAGGACTAGTTTGTGTATTGGTATCCTCCCCAGTGGACCCAAACCAGCGCATACTTGGTGTGTGGAGATGGGAGACAAAGGACAGATCTAGGAGCCTTGAAGGATCACCAGCCACCGACCCTCCATCAGGGCCAACTGGGCAGGAAAGGGAACATTGCAGACCTGATTTCCCGACGATGTCACCCTGTCCTCCCTCCTTGCTTCTTGCTCTGCTAACTCAACTCTGCCTTCCTCTTTTTCATTCTTCTACTCTGCCCTATATGGAGGACAAATGGACACCAGGGGTGCTAACCTTATTGGTGCCTGCCCCAGCCTACCCCAGGTGCCAGCAGACTCTCGTGCACAGGAGGCTCCCACAGTTATGGAGCCAGGAAAGAATTTCTCTGCACTGGATGGACTGTATATTGAGATTAAAAATTATATTCCTTATATTCCTGCTTATATCAATGCTCTCTCTGTAAAACCTCTTCCTAGCCTCATTTCTCTCAACTGATCTTGTTTAGGCGTTGTATTCCTTTTATTTACTCTTTGCTTGACTGCTTCCTCCTAACCCTCTACCCACTAGCACTCTACTTCCTAAAGCTGTTGTGTCATTAACTCTGTTGGATCAACTCTCTGGGAAAAGATTCTGTTAATGTAAGTGCACTTACTCCCTGGATGTTGTCACTAGTCTAGTGGCTTTTGCTAAATAAACCTTTCTTATTTCTAGAAGCTTTTCCATTGTCTTTTCTTGCTGCTTCTATTCCACCTGCTCCTTCTCTCCCCCTCACTTCCACCCCACTTCCCAAGCCAAGTGGCATCAGCTCTGTGAGATGGTTCCCAAGGGTATGGGATTGAGGAAAGATTCACAAGTTCCCTGTAGGAGGAGAGGAAGATGGTGGCTTCATTTGCACTTTATATAGATCAGCCCTGCGGGATCAGAGGTATCAGTGGTTCTTAACTAGGCCTGATTTTTCCTCACCAGGGGACATCTGACAATGTCTAGAAATGTTTTTGGTTGTCACAAAGCTACTGGCATGTAGTGAGTGAAGCCAGGGATACTGATCAATATCCTACAATGCACAGGACAGCCCCCCACAACAAAGAATCATCCAGCCCCAAATGTCAGTAGTCCTGAGATTGGGAAACTCGTCTACACCCATTTTTGCCGACTCTGCCAATCCCAGGTTTTTTCAAACTCCAAATATCATTAGAATATGTGGGTAGTAGCAGCCAGTTGGTTTTTTTGGTTTTGGGTTTCAGGGCTTTTTGTTTTTCAGGTGTTTTTAAGGCAGGGTCTCACTCTGTCGCCCAGGCTGGAGTGCATGATCATGGCTCACTGCAGCCCTGACCTCCCTGGGCTCCATGATCCTCCCACTTCAGCCTCCTGAGTAGCAGGACTACAGGTGTGTGCCACCACACCCAGCTAATTTTTCTATTTTTTGTAGAGACGGGTTTCGCCATGTTGTCCGGGCTGGTTTCAAACTCTTGAGCTCAAGCAATTCTCCCACCTTGGCCTCCCAAAGTGCTGGGATTGCAGGCATGAGCCACCACACCTGGCCAGCATCAAGTTCTGAGTGCTTGAAAAATTACTACATCATAGATATTTGCCAATATAACTGTGTAATTGTATAAACAAGATTATTCAGCTCATGCCAGTAATCCCAGCACTTTGGGAGGCCGAGGCAGGTGGATCGCTTGTGCTCAGGAGTTTGAATCAACCTGGGCAACATGGGGAAAGACCGTTACTAAAAAAAAAAAAACATAAAAATTAGCCACGCATGGTGGTGAGTGGCTGTGGTCCAAGCTACTTGGGAGGCTGAGGTGGGAGGATGGCTTCAGCCTGGGAGGCGGAGGTTGCAGTGAGCCGAGATCATGCCACTGCACGCTCCAGCCTTGATGATAGAGCGAGACCCTGTCTCAAGGAAAAGAAAAAAAAAAAGATTATACTATTTCACGGACTTCATGACTAAATGCCTGAAATATGTAGTTGGTAGAAGTCTGAATAGGCCCATTCCAGAAATGTTCATACTGGGGACAAAACTGGCTCCTCCTCATACCTACCTCGGCGGGGATCATGGTATCACTATGACACAGCTCAGCACAGAAGTCCTGATTCATGGGAATGTAGGCTTCCCTGCAAGGAGTACAAATGAAAGGGCAGAGGAGCCTGGTAAAGGAGGGAGTGTTTGAGGAATGAGGAGCTGTGGGATCACACAGAACAGACTTTAGAAAAGCCAGGTCACTTTGGCTGGAACTTTTAGCCATTTTGCAGGCAGAGGATGTGTTAGGCCTGATGGCTTCGTCAGGCCCAGGCTAGAGAGAAAGTTGAAAAGGTTAGATCAACTGGGTTCACATGCTCTCTGTTCTTTTCTGGCTAAGTGAACTGAACTGAGTTTTGTATTCTCATCTCGAAAATGGGGATAGTATAAACCACACAAAGCTACTATGGAAAGTAAATGAGATTGTATTTTAAAAGCACCCAGTAGAGAGTGCCTGGCAGTGACCCAGGGTACAGAACAATTTCCCTTTTAGGGAGCTTCCTTCTGCCTGCACCTGTGCTGCTCAGTACAGTGCTGGGTGCTCTTTCCTGCTCTGCTAAAACTTAGCTCTGTACTGAGAAAATTCCTGGGGTTACATTGATACAACATTAAATGTGGAATGTGAAAAACGCCCTGTCTTTAGGGAGAAGACACTAACCACGAGCACCTGGCAGGCGGGATGGGCACGTGCCATGGCACCTGGGCTCAGTCCCTGGCCTGCTTGTTTTCCTTCTCGTGATATGTTCTATGCCTGTTGTACAGATGCCATAGAGAAGGGAGCATGGGGTTGGCAAAGGACAGAGACAACAGTAGCTCGGAGTGAGGATTAAAAAGATTGCCCAGAGCCACTCATCTGCCCTTTCAGGGCACAGGGTCCTGGGAGTGATGTCAGGGCTGCCTGGAGACCTCTGCACACTGGACTGGATAGGTTGTGACCTTGTCCTGGATCCCAGCCCAGCTGGAGCCTGGCAGTCAATTGGACTTTGGGATGCAGGCTGGGTGGGGTTGGGGACAGAATGGGGTGAGAAGCATGGCTCGAGGGCACAGGGCCGCAGTGGTCTCACAGCACATGATGCGATGGGGATCGAGCCCAGCCTCCCTCCCACTCTGTGGGGAACGACCACAAATGAGGTTTTAGCAGCACACTGATAAGCAGAGCAGCTCTGCTAAGCCACAGATAAGACTCTGGAGGAAAAGCCTTTGGGAGGTGAGGGAGGACCCTCCACACCACCTGCTGGCCAAGCCCTGAGGGAGGCAAAGACCAGGGCGGGGGTTTGTGCCAGGGTCCCTGCAAGGCAGTGCCCACTGCAGTGGAGGGGCTACTGAGTCATCAGGGTGATAAAGCAAGAGGTAAATGAGGCCTGAAAGGATGACCAGCAAGCATTTGGTGCTTTTTAAAAACCACATTACAGTCAAGATAGATGTCTCTGCTGCATCCCTGATGCTTATCCATCTTTCTGGGTCAGATGGACCAGGAGGTTCACTCAGAAATGGAGGCAGAGTCAGGGCTGCCCACTGGACACATTACTTGGTAACAGGAAGCAATAGGTTCCCATGTTTACCTGCCTATTTTCACCTGGCTCAAAGCAGCCAAGAAAAGACGTCTCCTGGGTCAAAACTGATTCTATTCTGCCCCAGCACTGGATGGCTGTTCTAAGTGAATGATGGTAGTGCCTGAGAGCTCAGTCCCGGGTGAGCTCAGCCCCATCTGCCTCTTACCTGCCTTATACTCAGAGGCATATTTTCCTCCACATTCCCCCCTCAGAAGATCTACCGTCAAAGAAGCCTTTAAAACTGCAGAGATTCTTCCCCATGCAAATAGGAAAGGGCATCCAGCCCCTTCTTCCCAGGGTGGGGCAAGGACTGACCACATAGGGACCAAGCAGAGGCCAGAATCCTAGAGCAGTGCTTCTCACAGCTGAGCTGCATCAGAGTCACCTGGAGGGCTGGTTAGGACATAGACCGCCAGCCCCAGACCCATAGTTTCTGATTCAGTAGGTCTGAGGAGGGCCTGAGAGTTCCCAGGGGTTGCTGGTACTGCCAGCTGGGCACCTTTGAGAACCTCTATCTTAGATGATTTTCCCAAACTTCAAGTATTGTCTTTATTTTTAAAAGAGAGAAAGGGGAGGGTGTGTGCCTGGTGTTGCTAGGCAACCATTAGCCAAAGGTGATGAGAGCCGGGTTCTGGGAAGGACAGCAGGCTGTGCGGGGTGACCTCAGACTGGACAGAAGGCTGTGACTAACTTTATTGGCATCTCTCTAGAGACATAAGTAGGCTTCACCGCCAATTTGCCTAAGGTGTTCAGCAGGACTATTGAAGGCCTGGCAGCTGCCGGAGGAGAGCCTGTCTCCCAGCCGGGCCTTCTGCTCCTTGCTCCAGAGGGCTTTGAGCTTGCGGTAGTACACCTTGCAGCTGAAGCCCTCCCTGAAGCCCCTCTTGATGTGGCTCTTGAGGAAGTCCAGGGTGGGGTACATGCGGCAGCAGGCCACGCACTTGTAGCCATTCTGCTGTGCTGGGTGCCACCTGGAAGCCATTAGGATGTCCTGGGATGTGATGGAGTCCAGGCCATGCCTGGATTTCTTGGTGGCTTCTCGAGGGCAAGTGTTCTCTGGGGAGGAAGAGGACGAACAGATGTTCTCAGCCATGTCCTCAGAAAGGCAGTTGTCCCACTTGCCCTCATCCTGCTGCACCTCTGGGAAGTCATAGGCCTCCAGCTGGCTCTCTTTGTCTGCACACACGAAGTAGCTGTAGGGGGAGAACCAGGGCCGGTAGATAGTGCAGTTCCGCCTCAGCTTCTCTCCGTGCTGGGTATCCCCCAAGCTGCAGTCTGCAAAGGAAAGGACCAGGTCTGAGTCTCTGGCAGGGAGCAGTGGAGCCAAGGATGCTGGAGCAGAAAGGTAAGAAGGCAAACATCAGGCATGACCTCGGTTACCTCCACCCCACCACGATTGCAGTTCTGAGAGCAGACGCAAGACAGTGGTAAGAGCAGCCGAGGGCATTCCTTCTCACTGCATTCTTTTTCTAGGGGTACAAAGGGCCGTTGGATCTTGGGGCAGGAGAGGCTGCTTTTAGTTGGTAAGCCTTGGTATTTGTCGAGGCCTTCCCCTCCTGGAGACACCATGTCCACTGACTCCTCTAAGGATAGACACAGACAGGTGACCCAGCGGATAGCCAAACCGGCGGCCTCCCACAGTCCCTCTTTTCGCCACCCATGGCTGTGACCCTTTTTTCAGCCTCACTGCTCATCTTGATCCCTCCACGGCCCACTCAGCCAGAAACTGCTCTTGCACACCAGTTTCAGAGACAGGAGAGGGGAGGCAAGGCGAGAGCCCCAGGCCTGTGGGTGTCTACCAAAGGAAGAAGGGCCAGATAGGAGGCTGCAGGTGACAAGACCGCGCATGGGGGTCCAGCTTCCAGACACCTCTGCTTCCTTAGGGAAGCAGCCCCTTTTCATCCTTAGCCTCTCACACATTCCCGCCCAGAGTCAGAGAAGTCCTCACCTGGTGAGAGCGCTGTGTTCTGTATCCCTTGCCTGACAATGATGCTTTGGTACTGGGGTGGCAGGGCCTGAGCTGGGCTGGATGCCTCAGTGGGTACTGCTGTCTTTGCAATGTCTGGGTTATAGAAGAAACACTGGTGAGCTGAGCAAGGTTGGGATTCCACTTTCTGGGACTCCCCCAGGCATACCTAGGGGCTCAACCTCTGTACTTCAAGGCATCTCAACGCTGAAACAGAACAGTGACCTCTCAAACTCAGCCAGGCAGAGCTATTCTGGATGACATCCTGGGGAATTCTGAATGGGGCCATTTCATTCAGGCCTCAGAAAGATCCTCTGGAAAGTGGGATTTATGATGTAGCCCAGATGACACCTCTCCGCCTGGCCTGCCCCTCACCTAACCCTCCTGCATCTCATCACGCGGATGGCTTCACTCCGCATTGCCAGTCTCCTGAGCATCCTGGGACCCAGAGTCACAGGCTGCAGAGCAATGTTCCATGCCCGCTTTGAGGATTGTCCAGTTGAAACATCTCATACCCACAGTCAGGGTTCCCGTGGGCCATCACTGCACGGCACACCCTGGAGTGCTAACACTTGGACAAAAAGCTGACCTGCCTCAAATCCCAGAATAGCAGCTGTGTTCAGTTTGGGGGACAAATTTATAAATGTCATATATGTAGACAAATGGATGCTTAGGAGGCCTACTCCACTGAGCAGTACTTCTCCATTTTACTGTGCATAGAGATCCCCTAGGGATCTTGTTAATAACACAGATGCTGATTCAGTGGATCTGGGGTGGGAACCTGAGATTCTGCATTTCTAACAAGCTCCCAGACGATGCAGACGTTGCAAGTCTAAGGACCGTATTTTGAACAGGGAGTCCTCAGGGTGTCCAACTTTATTCCATGATGTGCTCATCAGTTTACGCTGCTGCTTAGGCTTCTCTGATTTGGCTAACTCCAAATCCTCTCCAAACTTGTCAAAACAGAGCTAAAACTAGTTTCTACTCTATGTAGACATACTGCCACCTTGAGATTTCATGCACAATCTAGGGGGAAAAACTTGATGATAAATGGAGACTGAGGCAGGAGAATCACTTGAACCCAGGAGGCAGAGGTTGCAGTGAGCCGAGATCACATCATTGCACTCCAGCCTGAGCGACAGGAGTGAAACTCTGTCTCAAAAAAAAAAAAAAAGTTTTCCCCTTTCTTCCCTTACCAAAAATCAATACACAGCAGTAACTACTTACCACAAATGCAGCATTTTGAAAAATTATTTTCTCCCCATGCGTAATTTGACTTTCTCACTAAATCATGGTCCTGTAACATGATCTGGTAGGGTACTCAATTAAAAGCTTCAAAAAAAACCACATCTTTGTGGCCCTAGTGGCACCAAAGTTTACCTGGCAGGCTGGTGGCACGAGAGAACATAATGTCGGGAAAAGCACTCAGGGCGGAGGAAGAGATTGGAGGTCCAGAGATGCTGAGGAGTGAGAAGTTCTCCATATTCTGACCACTGCGGGGGTACAGAGATCACACGCCTGCTCTGGAGAGGCTGGCTGGTTTGTCCAGAGGATAAACATTCTGAGCACAGTTGATGTCACAAGGCACATGATTCCACTACCAACTAGGTTACCCTTTGGAAGATGAATGGAGTCTACTGAAAGCAAGATTAAAATGTGTAAAGATTGTATTTGACTTGCCATTGCCCAGTGGCAGGCCCTGATTGACAATACCCAGAGAGAAGAATGTAGTAGAGATACTGTAGTGATGCTGTCTATTTGTCCCCTTTTATCTTTGTTATCATCAGTTTTCTGTGTTGACACTGTCTACCCCCAGCCCTCCAGCCCTGGAAACCTCTGTCCTGTCTGAATAATCTCCTTCCTTTTCTTCTCCTTTATCAGCCTAATCTCTGTCAGCAAATATTTTTATTGTTTTGTTTTAGTTTGTTTTTTGAGGTGTATATATTTTTCACATTTTCTTTGGAAATTCAAATTTGTAAAAGTTGCAGAAATTAGGCTGGGTGCAGTGGCTCAGGCCTATAATCCCAGCACTTTGGGAGGCCAAGGCGGGTGGATCATTTGAGGTCAGGAGTTCAAGACCAGCTAGACAAACATGGTGAAACCCCATCTCTATTCAAAATATAAAATTTAGCCATGCGTGGTGGTGGGTGCCTGTAATCCCAGCTACTTGGGAGGCTGAAGCAGGAGAGTCGCTTGAACCTGGGAGACAGAGGCTGCAGTGAGCTGAGATAGCGCCACTGCACTGCAGCCTGGGTGACAGAGCGAGACTCCATCTTAAAAGCTGCAAAAAATAAAATCAATACAAAGAACACCCTTATGCCCTGTATCCAGATTTTCCTATTAACATTTTACCCCATTTGCTGTATCCGTCCCCTTCCTCCTGCCCCCTGCCCCATGTGTATGTGTATATACTTAATTTTTTCTGTGAACTATTTGAAGGTAAGTTATAAACACTATGTCCTTTTATACCTAAGTACTTCAATGTGTATTTCCTAAGAATAGGGGCCAAATATTGTTTTCAGTGGTTGGTGCTCTTTTTAGCAAGTGACTAAAGCACAAATGGGTGGCTTACTCAATACTATTTTGCTCATTGCTTAAGTCAGTTTGATGGGGAGACTCTGGGACTCCAGAGAGGCAAGGTTGCCTCTTCGTTTCGCTTGTCCTATAACAACCTTGTGCACTAACGAGGTGTGGAATAAGGTGAAAGATGATTGTGACACTTGGAAGATAAGCTGAAGACACCCCTTTCTAGATTATCACAACATGTCAACTAGATACAGAGCAGGGCTGCAGATCTAGATGGCAGGTATGTTTATGCTGCATGGGGAGCTATGGCCGCTCTGGAAATAGTGATGGGCTTGTTTTGCAGTGCTGTCGAGCATGTGTGAGTGAGGTGTGAGTTAGCTTCTGCACGTGAGAGCCCAGAGTTGTCTTCCTGTGTGTATTTATTCACGGTACTGAAACATTCGAAGGACAATGGGAGAACATGATTCCCCTCGTGTTCCTCCCAGATAGCCTGGTTTGGAACATTAGCATGTATTGGAAAGTAAGTTGAAGCCACATACTTTGGCAGTTTGGGGGGTATCAGCAATTTCATTTGGTCCATTATGGTGTAGAGAAAGCTCATGAGTCTGGGCATCAGCTTATGTGACTTCTAACCCTGCTCCGCCATGAGCTACCTGTGTGATATTGGGCAAATCTCTCTGCTACTTGGTTTACCCATGTTATTAGTTTAGACTCTAAACTGGAATGGATGAACATCTTCCTGGCTAAAACCCAGTGACTGACATGTGGACAGTAGCATACTTGTGAGTGATGCACACAGGACCCCGAGGACTTGGAATTGCATTCTGTCTTGACCCATCACATTTCTCCGACTGCCAACTTCAGACTCTCCCACTGCAACCTCAGACTTAAAGTAAAGGGAGCTTAAAATACTGGGGGGAAATATGGGAGGCAGAATCTCTCAGTGCCTGTGTAGAGTTTTTAAAATGCGACCCGGTTTTGGTTTAGTCACTGAAAAGTTTGTGGGAGCCTGGCGGTTCCAGGGTGCACACCACTCCTCGTAGCAGGTCCCCTGTCTTGTGTGCTGTGTCCCCCCGAGGTATGCTGGTGCTGGTGGCCCAGGCAGGAGGTGACACTCTCAAAGTGACTGGTCACTACGTAAAATGTGTCTTTCTTTTGTTTGTTTCCCACCTGCTTTCCGAGCCCCTTTCTCGGACAGGTAAGATATCCTGTTTTTTTGTGGATGACTTACATCCCCAGATGCCCTCCTCTGCTTGGGTGTGTGCATGTTGGGGGGTACTGTTGGGAGGGCCACCTGGCTGGGGTCCAGTCATCTCTCTGTCCTCCATTGCCATTATTTTCTGAACCATCAAGCCTCTAGTCCTGAAGCAAGAGAGATAATGTGTGGGGGTCATTAGCGTCATCATCAAGAAAGGGACCCATTGCACATCCTCAGACATAGGGATAAAGGGACCCCCCAGCCAGAGCCCCACTTTCACTTTGAATAGAAGGGCAGTTATCCGGGTCTGACCTCAAGAGCCCCTGAAGACCACTCCCATAGAGGGAGTTTTGAGTGGTTTTTATAAATGGAAAAAGACTTGTGAGCAGTTTCCCTACAATGTCAGTCCATCATGCAATTTTTAAGAATTCATATAAAAGTCAAATTCAATTAAACAAACTTATTAAATGCCTACTATCGTGCAAGACCCTAAGCTGGGCATTGTAGAAGATAAAGAAACACTTCAGGAGCTATGGCCCTCAAGGACCTTACCATTTTAAGACAAGGTGTATTTACTGGAAAGACTTAGACAAGGGTAAAGGGAGTGCATGGTAGGCTATCTTTACATTACTTAAGAATTCAGTGCGTTATAGACTATGTTATGAAGGGTAGAGAGCAAAAAATACAGGAAATCCAAAATGGTGCATAATCCAGAGTTCTGTTTATTACAAAGAGTGTTTTAAAAATAATAATAGCTTATAATTTACTAATCACCTTGACAGGTGTTTTTGGTGCTTGCCTTTTTAAAAACGAGTATGTCTGCTCTGAAAAGTCACTTTAAACCAATAAGGAGACCACCAGGGAAATGTCTGATTTGGGAAGTGGTGGCAATTTGCCTTCCCCGGGCATTTCGTACAGTTTCATTGTTGTCTATGTACTTTCTGGTTTGGGGGGAAATAGTTAAATGGTTTGGTTTCCAAATCTTCTTTGCTAGTTTGCGGATGACGTGATTAAAGAAAATAAGAAGGATGTGGGACCTGACAGGCAAATTGTGCCAAAGTGGATGATGTGGCAAGATACACACTTAGGAGAATCATCAGGAGTTGATGACCCTGCTTGCTGTGGAGCGGGCTGGAAGCTTCTGCTGGTGTGGTGGGTCTATCTGGAGCCCAGCCAGCTTGGGCCCTGTGTCCCAGGGATGCTGTCATGCTGTTCCCTGGCAGGTCCTCACCCTGCAGTGGTGCAGGCCACAGGGCTCATCCGCAGAGAGTAGTCTCCACTTCACTTCCCACAGGTTTTCCTCCCTGCCACCCAAAGGCCCTTAGAATATGGCATACCTAGGTAGTTGGCCTAGAAAGGATAGCACCACTGAAACCACAAGAAAGGTTTTCACTGGCCCGGGATACAGCAGTGCAGGGCAGAAAGAACTGCTTTACACAAAAATTCAGCAGAAGAAAAAGTACACCCTAACCCCAGTTACTCTTAGAAGAGGCTCAGTGAAAATAGACACTTAGCAGAGGTGTTCACAAGGAAAGGAGCCTAGTCATCAAATGATCGAGCGATCTCCTTTCCTCAGACTGACAACATATCTGGGGTAGTTGGTGTAGACAGAAACCTTGACCCAGATTCCAAGGCCTCAGAGTGGGTCTGGCTGCCTGATGACTGAGCTGGATTTCCAGATAGGGAGAGGATGGCCAAGTGTGAGTGTGTGGACAGCATGGCTTAGAGCCTGGAGCTCCAGTCATTTCAATAACAAACCTTTAAGCTACCACCTTGGCCACCACAATTTTCTATCTACAAAATGGGTTTTGGCGATTCAAGATCTGTATTGAGCACAGCTAGGTACCAAACCCAGGCTAGGTGTTGAAAATACAAAGATGAATGAGGCATGCTCTCTGCCTTGCAAATCTTTACAACCTAATGGGTTTATACCCAGCTCTTTGAGTTAATTTTTCAAGCCAAAGAGGATCCCTACAAGAAGGACCATGTACCAGGCATATATAGGCAGCTGTTCCATGATCTATAGCAGGGCAAAGTTGTGGACAGAGCCCTGAGCTGTGGGTTAGAAGGCCTGAGTTCTAGCTCCAGCCCTGCTAGTATTTAGCTGTGTGACCTCAGGCACGGCACTGCATTACGCGGAGTCCTGCAGGCTTCATCTGTAGGTAGATATCCTTCCATGTACCACCTCCCTAGGTGGTTGTAAGGATTAAGTAAGCTGATGTTCATTGGGATCCTCGTGCTTCACTGGCACCGAGTTCCTATCCATTTGGTACGAACTGATTCTGAACCACCACTTAGCACCTCTGCAAGAGCTGGCCCACTCGCTCAAGGCCCACCTCTGTAGACCTGAGGAGCTGCTGCCCCATTTTTTGTGGAGAATATGTGCTATACTCATGGCCTTCAGTGGGGAGCTTCTAACACCAAGCCTCATCCATGCCATCCCTCCACCAGCTTCCAACCCACTGAGAGCTCAGCACGTGCTTACGGTGATGTAAAAATGTCATGTTTCATTGCTTCATCCTCATTTTTTCTTTACTCCAAAGGGCGTGGTGACTCCAAGGTAAAGGGGCCAAGCCCATGAGTCAAGGAGGCAGGTTTACAGGAACAACTTTATTTTTTTATGGCTAGCATTAGTCACTGATTAACTTGGGTGGGGCAGAGCTAGAATTTCTAGTTCCTGTCCCATCAAGAAAACTACACTGGAAAGTTCAAGAGTGTCTTTGCTGGCTCTTTCTTGAATATTTCCAAAGCCTTGGAAGTTACAGGTTTTGGGTGTGGGATAAGGAAAAACTGAATGATAGAGCACAGGTACCGCTCCCCTTTCCTCATCATGCCTCTCTGTCGCCTCTTTGTTCATAGTTGACCACGGCATGTTTGAGAATTTGAACACAGCCCTCACTCCAAAGCTCCAGGCCAGCCGCTCCTTCCCCCACTTGTCCAAGCCCGTGGCCCCCGGCTCTGCCCCTCTGGGCTCTGGTGAGCCTGGGGGGCCAGGACTCTGGGTGGGCAGCAGCCAGCACCTCAAGAACCTGGGCAAAGCCATGGGGGCCAAAGTGAATGACTTCCTGAGGAGAAAGGAGCCCTCCAGCCTGGGCAGTGTGGGTGTGACAGAGATCAACAAGACTGCAGGAGCACAGCTGGCCAGTGGGACTGACGCGGCTCCAGAGGCTTGGCTAGAGGATGAAAGGTGAGCCCCTCACCCGCCCAACATCCATGCCCCTCTGTGGACCCACTTGAAAAGGTACAGGGACAAACTGCAGTGTCTGCACAGGAGAACAGCCCCAAGGGAGGGGTGTGAGATTGTCCTGTACTGAAAAGCTGCAGGATCAGGCCACGTTCTCGGGAGCTGGCTTCACCTTCTGCAGCCACAGCTGAAGGTTGCTGAGTGCCCACCATGTCCTCGGCTCTGTGCTGCTGAAGGTTGCTGAGTGCACACCATGTCCTCAGCTCTGTGCTGCAGGCTATAGTTGCATCATTTTGTCTAACCCTCCCAGCAGCCCTGGGAGGTAGATGATATTTCCATCCTGCAGATAACTCACGTTCAGACAGACAAAGTAAATAGCTTGAGGTCACAAAGATAGTACTTGGCAGAGCTGGATTTGAACCCAGCTATTGCCCAGAAGGTCCCCAGGTAGATTCTGATGCCCGGCCATAGCTGAGAAGCGCTGCCGTAGACTGTTGCTTGTGGAGAAGCCTGCACCTGTCACAGCCCACTAGGGCACAGTGGGAGAAGCCCCCTGTAGCAGCCCTCCTGTTCTTCCCCCTCCTACCAACAGGCTCTTTCCAGGCCTTGTTTTAAACACCTGTGCATCTGAGGTGGGAATGCCCTCACATTCCCTGTTTTAAACACAGGACTTACTGCCTGGGTTCTGATTTGACAAGCTTCACCAGCGGTCTCTATCCTGTCTTCTAGAGGCCAGCACTTTGTGCTGCTCTGAACACTGAGTAAGCATGGACCAGGCCAAAAGCTACTGTTATGCTGAAATTGCTAAGGCCTATGTGCCAAACCAAGAACCAGAGCCCAAGGAGTAGAGCAGTTATTGGGTGGGGTGGGTTGAAAGTGCAGTTGGAGTTGGAGAAGCAAGATGGCAGGTGGATTGGTGTCTTGCTGTCCTTAAGGCATGTGTGTTTATTGTCATTAACCTTACAGGTCAGTCCTGCAAGAAACATTTCCTCGGCTGGATCCTCCACCTCCCATAACCAGAAAGCGAACCCCTCGGGCCCTGAAGACCACCCAGGACATGCTGATTTCATCACAGCCTGTCCTCAGCAGTCTGGAGTATGGGACAGAGCCATCACCTGGGCAGGCCCAGGACTCCGCTCCCACTGCCCAGCCTGACGTCCCAGCAGACGCTTCACAGCCAGAGGCCACCATGGAAAGAGAAGAGAGAGGCAAAGTTCTGCCCAATGGAGAGGTTTCCCTGTCAGTACCTGACCTAATCCACAAGGATAGCCAGGACGAATCCAAGCTAAAGATGACTGAGTGCAGAAGGGCCTCCTCCCCCAGCCTTATCGAGAGGAATGGCTTCAAACTCAGCTTGAGCCCCATCAGCCTGGCTGAGTCCTGGGAGGATGGCAGCCCCCCTCCTCAGGCACGGACCTCCAGCCTCGACAATGAGGGCCCTCACCCAGACCTGCTGTCCTTTGAATAGAGCCTCTGCTCTTTCCTGCTGAGCTCTGCCCTTGTCTTCCTGCTGCTTTCTCCTCCACTGCGCACACTGGCCCTGGCCTCAACTCCGCTGTGCCCTTTGTCTTCCTTGTATGAGGCACCAGCAGAGAGCCAGTCGTCCATCATGGGATTTTGCAGGACTGGAAGTCCTTGAGTAGTTCTAGTTAAAGAGTCTATCCGCAGAATGGCTGAAGGACTTGATGCCGTTTTGAGCCTAATTTTCTGTAACCTCCTCTGAGTGGGCTGCAGCCCTTGGACATTAGAGCTCTTCCACTCTTGAGCTTGTCCTGTCTTCTCAGTGAATTGCAGGGCCACCAGCTCAGGACAATGGATCTTACAGGAATTCTTTTTGCCTGTCCCCTACATGCGCCTCCTCCCCTGCTGTTCTCCCTCCCACACCCCTGTCCCTTCTCTCTCCTCCTTGATGGGTCCGATGCCCCTGGCCTCAGCGGGAGGAAGGCTGGATGAGGAATGATGTGTTTGGCTTGATGACAGGCCATGGCCTAGAAAGCCACACACCCTGACCACAGCCCAGCCATAGCTCCTCTTGGTCCCAGGACAGTGCAGGCCCCTGGTTGCCATGTTTGCTCTGCCCCTGGGGTGGAGGCCAGAGGAGATGCTTACCAGGCCTGAGACCTTGAGAGTTCACCCAGGGTTTGAACGCTGCCACCCAGGGTTCCCAAGGTTTCTCCCATCTGGTCAGATGTCGAACACAAAATGTGGGCATTCTGCACGGAAGGAAAGATCAGGCTTCTCTTGCTGAGTGTGTGAAGACAGGGAGAGCCAGGCCCCAGCAGATGCGGCCTAGCACACTCTGATTTGGTTTTGTGGGGAGGGCCCAGGAACTTGGGGGTGGTCTTGGCATTCAGAGCTGGTGCTAAAAACCCAGAGCAGAAGCAGGGAGAAGGGAGTGAGGATGGGACAGAGAAGAGCGACCACTGGGGATCAGAACAGCTTTTCAGGGGCCACCTTGCAGCCTAAAATAATGCCGTTTCAGGGCCTGGGCCTGCTGTGAGAGCCAGAATGAAGCATGTACAAGATTGGAATGTGAGAAGAACTGTGGGGGGAAACCAGTTTTAATTAAGTGGAAGTGCTTTGTGCTTGTGCTGAAGTTGCCTGGGCCTCCTGCAGCTCTGGACCTCACTGGAGCGGCCCCGCCCTGCCCTTGCCTGCCTTTCTTTTATGCTGATGCTGGTGGGCTTTTTCCTGCTTCAGGATCCATGTAAGGGACTGACCAGGTTCATCCAGCCTTAACTGGTTCCTGCAACCCACTTTTAGGTCTCCCACCAGGGGCCTATTGTGCTGTCTTCCTGTGACCAGCAGATCCTGTAAGGGGGTGATCCTAATTCTGGGGCTCTTTGCAGCAAGAGGAGAACGTTCTTTTTCTTGAACAAGGTGGCCGGTTCCCTGGGAGAAGGCTGGGAATGGCACGTCCGGCCAGGGCAGGCGGTGCGGCATCCTCCTCCTGGGATTCCTGTGGCCTCCCCTGTTCTATTCATTGTTTGGCTTCCCACCCATAAGCTCTGGGATACCCAGGGCTTGCTTCCCAGCTCTTCTCATCTCCAAGCCTCTGCTCCCCTTCCCACCACCACTGCCATATAAAATGGCCATGCTAACTCCTACACAACTAGGAGCCTCAGCAGGATTGCTAGGATGTGGGTTCCTTCCTGCATGCTTGCTTCTGCAGCTGTGTGGCCTTGCCATGGCCCTCCCACCACTTTCCCTTCTACCTTGCCTTCCATTGTCTTCCTTCTCCCAGAAAGCCAGGTTTCACCACGTGCTCACCACAAACTGTCTCCCCTCCCTCGTAGGAGTCACTGCAGTAGGGCACCTGCAGGCCCTGGTAGAGTGAGCAGGGCTTACGTGTACATTCTTTCTCACTCTAAGGATGTGATATCTGACCCTGATGTCAGAGAGGAGGTCTCAGGACTAGCATTCGGGGTCCTTTGAGTGTTCCCAGAATGGTTTGGGGTATCACACAAAACACCAGAGCTGAGGATAGGGATAGAGTCCCCAAACACACATCCTGGGAGCAAGCCACTTCATCTGAGCTTCCCATACCAGGAGCATGGTTTGTGCTTTGATGGGAAACCTAGCAAGCCCCTGCACTCTGGGGCTTCTCCTCTCCTGGAGCCCAGGGCGGCTCTGGCCCGATGATATGGCAGCCATAGGTACAGGTATTGCAGGTGCAGCCTTTCTTAAGTACCCTGCCTCCACTCTATAGCCCAGCTGCTGCTGGAGTCCAGGACCTTAGACCCAGGATGAGCAAAAGGATCCCACCAGGTTGTCCAGGACCATTGCCAGGGTGACCCCAGAGTTCTTCAGACCTGTGTCTGATACTGAATACAGTGCCATGGGACCCTGCTCCAATCTAACTGCCTACAACCTGCCCGTCCCCCTGCTGCAGGGATGTTGCTGCTACCTCGGGAGGCTCTCTGAGACTGGTGTCTGGTCTTAGATGCTGCACATAGTACCTGGTGCTAGGGTCTAGGGGCTGCCCAAAGCCCAGCAGGAACAGCTACTACTCATCCTGCAGAGGCCTTGGCCCAGACCAGCTTTCCATCCAAAGCCTCACCTGGTTTCCATGTCCATCTCAACAGTCTGGCCTTCCTGTGACTGTAGCCTGGCAGCCACACCCTCAGTAATCCCGCACAGTGAGTCCAGCTTCTCTGGGAGCTTGGCCTTCAGTTAGCCCAGTCCATGAGAGGGCAGGGTAATGAGGAGGAGTAAAGGACCTATCTTCTCTGTCCACATAAGGAAGTTGGGACCACAAGGTCTTTTATCTCCTTGTTACTCCCCAACCCCACCATAACCTCCTACTCAGCACACAGCTGTATCCTGGTAGATTATAAGGTGAGCTTCCAGAACCTGGCAGGAGGCTGGTGTATCCCCCTGCACAGAGGGAAGTGTATCTGAATGTTGTGTATGTGGCTGATATGGAAGACATACATGTATGCAATCCATCAGCGTTTAAAGAAGAAGATTGGCTCCAGTTCGGAGGAGGAGGAGGAAGATTACAGATCTATTCTGAGTATTTTTTAGAGAGTTAATATTTATATTTTTAGTAATTTTCTGGTAGAAGGAAATTGCACAATAAAATGATTTGGTTTGGTTTGCTGGCTTTGTCTGTTTTTCCTCCTGACTGATGGGGAGCAGTTGGTTTCCTCAAGGCTGACTTGTTGGCTGAAGTATGTTGGCATTTTCCTTTGTAAGCCTGGAAAAGTGAGAAATGAGGGAGGTAGAATGTGAGGAAGATGGGCATTACCGACACCTCCAGCCTGAACCCTTGGCGGGGAAATGACTTCTGAGGATGTGCCATCATTGGCTCCCCTGGCTGGCTGGCTGTGAGGGGGTACCTCTGCCAACCCGACCTATCACTGTTTCAGGATGTGCCATCATGATGTGCACAGGCACGACCCTCCTTGGGAGGAAGTGGGGATAAGCGGACATGGCCTTTGGATCATCCTCTAGGACACTCATTCTTTACCTGGGTCCAAAGCCCTCTTCCACCAAGAAAGGGATGAAGCTTCACATTCATGTATGCACGTTCTTCCATAGAGGAACCAGAGCTTCTATCAGCCTCTCAAAGAGAGTCATCAATATATGTCAGTGATTTGGACTTAGGTACTTCCTGGGAGATTGCCCCCAAGGGCCCCCCATGGACAGGGACATTCTTATTGCTCACCTGCGGAGAGAAGGTGGCTCAGAGAAGAGCTGGCCTGGAGTCCCTTTGCCCCTTTGCTGCCCCTGGGCCAGTGTCAGATCCAAGGATCCAGAGGACCCACACAGCTGAGAATTGGCCAGGCCTTTATCCTCCTTAAAAGGAAGGAAATGGGGGAAAAACAGGAAAGGAAAGGGGCGTTCAGTCTGTTCACAGAAGCCACGCACATTTCCAAAGGGAAACATGGGGCCTTTCTGCGCAGCCCTCTCACGTGCAGATGTGACTATGCCTGGGGTTGGATTCCACAGTTCCGCATGCAGGGGCTCCCTGGCTCCATGTCAGAGGCGTCTCAGGCTTGAGGCTAAGTCCCTAACGTTTTCTGCATTTTTTTCCACTCCCACACTTTGTTTCTCAGCAGAGGGGCAAGAAAAGAACAGCTGTGATCTCAAAGGTTGCTCGCTGTCTCTGCAGTGGGCTGCGGCGTTATCGTCCAGGGAAAGCAGGAAAAACACAAAAACCAATCCTCCATGTTTTGGGAAAAGGCATTGAAAATGCTTACGATAGCAACTTTTTTCTTTATAAGTATGCTGCGGTGACTCCAGACAACCTCTCCCATTGAATGGCTTCGGTATCTTGCTGCAGTCGTTCAGGTGTGAAACGTGCTTTTAACATGCCTTTCCCGCTATTATGTGAAGTCGTTATTTTTGTCTAAGATCAAGTATAAACAGTTCTAGTGTAAAAAAATTTTTAAGGGAATTTTAAGTGTGAAAACGGAAGTGCAGATGTCATGTTTTTTAATGCTGTGCTCTACGCTGAGTCACTGTTCTAGAATCTGGGGGACAAAGATGCATTTATTCAGACAATATATCCAAGCCCCTTCCTGCCATGCACTAAGTGCTATCTAGGGGACTGTGGTGACGTTGGTGGAAAAGTGACACGCGGTCCTCTTTCTCCATTCTGAATGGATGGGAGTGCCATCATACCTGCCCTCCCGGGCGCTATGCTAACAGGGTATGTGATCAGGATGTGAAATGCAGTGGAAGCACCAAAGTGGGGCTCAGGGTGAGGCAGTTAATTTCAGCCGAGAGAGTGCTCATTTCCTCTGGACTAAATCTGCCATTAGTAGTTGCTGAAGGAAACACACTCAGGGGCCATCAGGAGACCCACCTCATTCCTTAGGTCTGTGCCTATGCTGGCAGGGACCCCAGTTGGTATTCAGAATTTTTATGAAATTAGCCGACCCGGAAATGTACTCAGATGCTACCCTAATCTCAGAAAATTCCTGCTGGGTCAGTTTAATCTGCTCTCACATTTCACAATGCCTTTGAGGTCAGTGAATCCTGGGAGTGTTCTAGAACTCTCTGTGCTTGGACTCCCTGTCCTCCTCTCTCTGCTGCCCTCCCCACACTGCGGAGTTTCCCAGGCCAATCTAGCTGTGGTGGCAAACTCAGTGATGGTTTGTCTGAGACTTTGGCCCTCAGAGTGCCCCGGGCTTCAGTCGCTCAGTTCGCCGCCCTGCTTTGGGACATTCAGCCTGGAGCCTCCCACTGTGGCCTCTCTGTTAGTGGGAACAAGTAATTAAGTCCATATAGCCCTTGTAGAGAGACTCCTACCTCCCCCTTGGAAAGCTTCACCAGTGCAGATGGCATTTAATACCTTTCGTCTCTCCCAAGGAAATCTACTCTGGAAGCTTTAAGTTGTCCAGTGAAAGCATCTTCAAGTACATCTCCCCTCCAGGACGCCCCCTCCCTGCTACTGTTTGCACTGGGGGCACAGGAGGAAAGCCCAGAGTCCCCACCACTGACTTCCTCCTAATGAGAAAATTCCTCCACTTTCTGTATCTAGGGACCAGCTCTCCTGAGACACAAATCCTCTTTGTGTCCAGCTTATCTCCAGCTGCTGCCATGATAAATAGTCCAGCCCAAGGGAGCCTGGGGAAGCTACCCCACAAAACGAATCACTTGGCTATTAACAACACAGACGAGGAAGCAAGCTTGAGGAAATATTTAAGGACCACCTCAGACTCCAGACTGTATTCTCCTTCGTGCAAGTTGCCTGAGGAGTCTGTTGGTTATATAGAGCAGGGAACATTGCCAGTGTGTTCTTTGGAATTGACCAAAACAAAACAAAAAAACCCAAACAAAAAGCAACCTTCCGACAAACCGCAACATTTTTTTTTTACTGTTTAACCAGCCAGCTGTTTCCAGTGCCATCTGCTTAGCTACCTATTTCCTGAATCATCGCTCCATGTCTGCCGCCACCTGCTTTCTAGGCTTGCGTTTATTGGGAAATTCTTGTTGGCTTGGTCTGATGTTCAAGCACATCCCAGTGTTCAGCCCACTTCGGGGGCTCACTCACAGCAACTTAGAACAATTCCCTGTGGTTGTCACAGGAGTGCTTTGGGTTGGTCCAGGCCTTCATGGGGCAAGCCAAAGGGGCAGGAGAAAAGTGAACTGTCTGCCCTGGGAACGGTTTGCAGCTTCAGCAAGATGCATGCCCCCCACTTTATCCTGAGCCTGCAATGGATGGATCCCCCTTGCTGGATAGGAAAGCTCAAGACAAGCGGGGACTGCCCCTGTTGTTTTGCCTTCCCATAATCTCCTGGTACTTGGTAAATTCTGTTGCAGCCAGCCTCCCTTGTTCAGCTTAAATCCTGGGTCCTATGTGTCAGGAAGTCTTTGCAGCTGACCTGGCAAGTAGTCTTTAGACCTGGCCAATGTGTGACATTTCTAGGAACTGGGCCTCCCGGAGAGGCTGTGTAAGCCATCTAGGAAGCGATTTCACGTGTAAGAAAGCTAGAGGGGGAGGTGGGGGTGGCAGTCTTGTCCATGCCTCTCCCTACCCCACCCCCTTAATCATCAGTCATCGACTGTGTAGGTGGCACATGCTGTGACCTGGCCAGGAGGCTTGCTAAGACGCATGTGGGGGAGGTGTCAGGTGGGTTCTCCGCACTCTGGATTATTTGTGGCCGGCCTGCCTGCCTAGCTGGCGGCGACTGCCACTGCTGCCTCTGTGCTGTACTTCCCTCAGAGCCCCAGCCTGCTCCGAATTGCTTCCATGCCTGTGTTTAAGATGGTCCATCTGCCCGGGTCACGTTTCTACCTTCCCGTCCCTTTCCTCTGACTTCACTAGGCTATGTTAATTCATCTTTCACATTTCCACTCAGGCATCCCTTCCTCCAGGTGGCTTCCCGGACACCACCCCACCCCTTCTCTGCGTTCCCGTAGCATCCTATGTGTTCCTCCATCACGGTACTCTCCATGTGTCATAGAAAGTCGCTTCATCCTCATGCTTCTCTCCCCCAGGTCTCTGAGCTCAGGGGCAGGGACCATGCCATCTTCATCCCTGACTCCTCGGTTCCCAGCACAGTGTCTGGCATATTGCAGGAGCTCGATAAAGATGCACTTTGAATGGAACTAAACTCAGGAAACCTGCAGTTGAATTTGTGTGGAACAGACTAGACAGGCTCTGGGGTAGACCAGCAGGACTCTTTCAGCCCCTCTTCCTCAGGATCTCTATCCGCAGGCAGCCTCTGTACATGATCATCAACTCCACAGAGAAGGATTGAGGGTGGCCATTTTCGAAGTGGAAAGTGATTAATGGGCCAATGTGAAGCTCATTTATCTGCAGCCGGAGCCTTCATTAACTCTGTTCCTTGGACAGATGCCACCTTGCCACGGAGCTGGTAGAAGCAAGCACTTATATCCAGCATAATGCAAGAAGGGCTGTGCTTCAGTGCCAGGCACCTGCCTACCTCTGGGAGCTGCCTACAGGGCTCTGAGTTCCAATTCTTAACATTCTACTTCACTGTGTTAGGCTTGACTGTTAATTGGTGCTTTATCATTCTCTGAAGCTTCTATATACTCCAGGAATTGTGTTAATCAATTTATACACATGGTCTCATTTGTTTTTCTCATAGCCCTCCAAGGGAGGTCTTACTAAGCCCATTTTCCAGATACGGATGTTATTCTATTGTGCTTAAAGAGATTCACACACACGATCTCATGAATCCTATCTTGTGAGGGAGGTATTTCAGCCCCATGTTAGGAAGAGGTAAACTGAGACTGAGATGATGTCTAAGCCAATTCCCTGGGTCTTACAACTGAGAGGCAGAACTCTCTGGGAAGACCTAAGTCTTCAGGCCTGAGGAACAGCCACCCTCCCCTACTTCTCTATCTCCATCGCGCCAGTCTGATAAATAATTCCAGGAAACGTTCATGGCTCAGAAACATCTTTTTGAGTTAGATCTTCTCCAAGGAGTAATACAGTTTCATTAAACACTGCATATTCACATGGGATGGGAATTTAAAGACCCATTCCACAGTCCCCTCATTTTACAAAAGAGGAAACAACAAAGACTGCATTGTTAACATGTTAACCTGGGCTGGCGTCATCTCAGTGAAGCTCCACAGTAACTTTATGTGGTAAGTCATTATCCTCATTTTCTAGATGAAGCTGACCAGAGGCTTAGGGAGTCTTAGCAATTTGCCCATAGTCACTCTACCAGTAAGTGACAGAGCTAACAATAGTACCTCCTGAAAACATTCGTTCTTAAGGGTGTCGGTAAGAGCCTTCTCTGAATTGCAAGAATTTCGCCCTGCAGTAGGAGTGGCAAGAGCACCTATTACATCTCACATTGCAAACTCAGGGAAGCCTGGCTTAGAAACTAATCCTGTTATCGACACTGGAGATTAAGCATTCAATGGGGAAGTGAGTACTGTTTGGAGAATACTTGCTAAAGAAATATTTCAGGTCTAATAGCTACCATGGTACTCAGCAGGGCTTTACAAAAAAAGAGAGAGAGAAAGAAAAGGAAGGAAGGAAGGAAGGAAGGAAGGAAGGAAGGAAGGAAGGAAGGAAGGAAGGAAGGAAAGAAAGGAAAATAAAACCCTCAAGCAGTACTAGTTTTCTTGATGGCTGTCTGGCCTCTTGTGGCTGGCATCAGGTATTGCAGTTTCTGGTAACTGAAAGGAAGACTTCCATGACAAAACTAATAGTAATTTATGAGATAAATATTGTCTCCATTTTAGAGAGGCTTGTATCTTTCCTAAGATCACTTAACAAATATCATTTCAAGGGCAAAATAAAAGAGAGGACAGTTCTTAATTAGAAATTCCAGTAGGAGGGAAAAAATAGAAGAAATCTTTGAAAAATGAATGAGAATTCTCATTCATTCATTCATTCATTCATTCTATTCATTTAAATAGTAATAAAAGTAAAGAAAGATTAAAATCCCAAGAGCAAAATGGCCTATAAGGTTTCATATTTGATAGAGAAGAAAAAACTCACTATTAGACACATCACAGTGAAATTTAAGATCATGAAGACAGGCCATTTTTCAACTTTCCACGAAAAAGTTCAGCAGTGAAGGAGGATCAGATTGACATTAGACATCTCAGTAAGAAACCTACACATAAAGTGCTAGCAACTTAATATGTTTTATATCACTGAAGGAAAATAACTTTAAACCTACAATTCTATATTTAGCTCAACTATCATTTAAATTAATCTAAAATTAAAAAGACCGCAAAAGGTTTACCACTCAAAGACCATCTTTGATGAGAACACTTAAAATCTGCTCTCATAGCAATTTTCAAATATGCAAAATACTTTTGCAGAAAATATTCTGCCAAGAAGAGAAACTCAGGAGAGTGCTATGTGTTTTTTAAATTTACAAGAAGGATGACTAATTGACTCAGTAAAGTATACTGTTATTTAAATGATAAAGGACCCAAAAGAGTAAATAACAATTAAAATTTTAGATAATTTCAGAAAATCTGATGGGATTGGTGATGGTGACAGAAGAGAAATGAGAGCATGTTAAATTATAACAATTGATATATTTACAATGTTATAGAGAAAAATAAAAATACAGGGCCTAATAAGTTATGGGTAAACACTAAATTTTTTTAATAGAGCTTTCAAATTAACAGAGATAAATTTGATCTATTCAATGGAAAGCAGAAAAGGAGAAAAAAAGGAAAAAATGTATAGCAAATGGAAAGAATGTATAAGATGGCGGTATAAATTCCAATAGAACAAATTATAATAAACATGTGTTTTGAACTCACCAAACAAAAGGAGAGAATCTTAAATTGGAAAAAAAAAAAAGATCCAGCAATATTGTGTCCACAGAAGACAGAGATAAAAGGTGTAAAAACTTGAAAATGAAAGGACAGAAAATTACATACTAGGAAAGTATGAATAAAAGTTGAGATAGCAATTTTAATATGATGTAAAATATAAATAAAGGCAAAACTAATGAGAGACAAGGAGGAATACTTTATAAAATAAAGGAAATGAAGATGATAAAATAGTAATAAAAATATATACACATAAAAATATTAAAAAACAGTTAAAATAAAAATGGTAAAATAACAAAAACTAGTTAATATACTAACTATTATAATCAGAAAGTTAAATACTATTATATATAGAATTAAAAGATTTATCTTTCTCTGACGCTGATAGATCAAATAGATAAAATATGCAAATCTATGAAAATATTTGTTTTATATAATCTATAATCTTGAATACATTTGGGGAAGAGGTAAAGAGAACAAGCTTTAAAATGAATAGAAAGAGTAATTCAAACAAATGAAATATTCACAGAATGTTCACATATACCAGGTCAGCAAGGAAGCCTCAGAAATTGAAGTCAGGCTGTTATCCAACCTTAACGTGATATAGTTTGAAATCTATACTAAAATAACTAAAAATGTATGTTTGAAAACAATTATGAACTACTAAATAGTTTTTGGATTAAAGAAGATACTTTTACAAGAATTAAAAATACTTTGACCTAAACTGCAATAACCACTATTTGTGTTAAAATTTATGGGATACAGCTAAAATAGTACTTTGAGCTAAATTCATAACTATAAATATATTTATTAGAAAATAATAAGTATTGAAAACAAGTCAGATAAGCCCCCCTAAAATGAGGCTGGAAATCAAATAAATAGAGAATAACAATTTAAAAGCAGTAACAAAAAAGATGAACAAAACCAAAAGCTGGCTTTGAAAAGACTAATAAGATAGATAAAATCAATAAATATAAAAGAGTAAGATCCAAATAGACACAGTGTGAGAAAGGAGATGTTGCTACAGTCACAAGAAAGCATTAAAATAATGCAAGAATATTACAAACTATCTGCCAATAATTGTGAAAACAGACAAAATTGACACATTTCTAGAAAAACAAAAAAAGACAAAATTGGCAAAATATTTTAACAAATCAAAAAGTATTAATATTTAAATAGTAATTGAAGATGCCCCCCCACTCCACCCCACCCCACCCCACCAGAGTCTCAAACTCAGTTTTATAAGAAAGTACTGTACTAAAAAATGTCAAGGAACAGATAAGTTTATTTTTATTTATTTATTTACTATATATATATTTTTTGAGATAGGGTCTCACTCTGTCACCCAGGCTGGAGTGCCCTGACATGATCTTGGCTCACTGCAACCTCCACCTCCCGGGTTCAAGCGATTCTCCCACCTCATCCTCCTAAGTAGCTGGGATTATAGGCGTGTGCCACCACACCTGGCTACATTTTTGTATTTTTGTAGAGACAGGGTTTCACCATGTTGGCCAGGCTGATCTTGAGCTCCTGACCTCAAGTGATCCCCCCACCTCGGCCTCCCAAAGTGCTGGGATTACAGGTGTGAGCCACCACACCCAGCCCAGAACAAATAATCTTTACCTGAAGAGTTGTTGCAGAAAATGGTAAAAGGAAAAAGACTTTTCTTCGCTTTATATGAACAGTGTAACCATGATTCAGTAAATTATAGTCCTATTTGGTTTATGAGTTTTAATGCAAAAATCTTAAATGAAATATTAACTTACCAAATTCCACAGTTTATGAAAAATAATAAAATATTATCAAGTGAAGCAATGCAAGGATGAAATGATATCAACAATTTTATTAAGGTAACTTACCTTTATAATGGAGTGAAGACAAAAGGAATGTGACTATCTCAATAGATTAGAGATAGAAAAAAATCACAATAAATGTCAAAATATTTCTAGTAAAAATTATAAAATAGCCTTTAACAAGGCTACAACAAACATAATGTTTAAATAAAGAAAATTTCTAAGCATTCCCTGTAATACTGGGAACAGTGTAAGAATACTCACTATCATGACTATGAACTGTTTAATGTATACAGGAGGCCCTAACCAATGGGTAAACATAAAAAATAAATGAGCATAGGTATTGCAAGGAAAGAGAAAATAAAATGTTATTATTTATAGCTGACAAAATCATTTACATAGAAAACACAATAGAATCAACAGGTAAACTAGTAGATCTAATGAGAGGGTTAACATTTCACCAACACCATATCCTATTAGAAATGTAATAAAACATAAGATATCATTTACAGCAACTAGAAATAGGAATTAATCTAACAGAATATACAAGACTTCAGTTGGGAAAATTTATGACTCCATGAAAGGGCAAAAAAGATGACCCAAGAACATGGATGTGGCATGTTTATGCATGGGAAAACATCACAAGAACGTCAGTTCTCTCCTATTTACAAATTTGTTGCAAGTTCATTAAAAATTCCAAAAAGAGGTTTTAAGCAATTTCACGTATTTATTATAAAATGTATATAGAAGAATCAAGGTCCATGAATACCTAAGCCAGTTTTGAAAAGTAAAAGAGGACATTTGTCCTACCTACCAGACCCAGGGAATAGTAGCCATAAATTGCTGTGACCCCAAATCTCACAATGCTCCACACTTTGGGGCTCCAGCCACAGTGTCTGTTCATCTGTTCATATTACCTCTAAGTCGAGAGCTCCTCTCTTTTAAAACTCTGAAGATAAGTCCAGTGGGGTGAAATACATTACTACAATTTGATGATAGGTAAGAGAAAGGGCATAGAATTTGGTATATTTCAAACTGACCAGGTCCTAATTCACATTTTGAACTAGCAGAAAAATTCAGCAAATCAATTTCAGTAAACCTTAAAAACCAATTCAACAAACCTCCCTCAGCAATGTGCTTCCAGTCAGTTTCTATGAACTAGGCACAGCTCTGGGCAGCACAAATTTCTACACACTGTGGAAGATACAAGGGAGACCCAACCGTGCTTTGATGGCACTTAGAACCTAGTTGGGAACAGAAATCACACATAGAATATTTTAGAAATCTCCACATACATCACTGTACAGAACCACATTCATGCTGTTGAAATGACTGATGCATAAGTGGAATTAAGCAAAACCAGGGAGAAAGTGTGGCTGGGGCAATGCTCACCAGGAAGTTTAAGATTAGAAAGAACCAGGAGGAGAGTAGCCCAGGCTGGAGGGAGAAGGGTGCACATGGGGGTCCAGCAGGTACAGAGAAGGTGCTGATCTGTATGCATCTCCATCACTCCCGATCCCTCACCTTCACCTGACACAAGCAGGCTCAACAGAGAGACTGGGGCAATGTTTATCATCCCACCCAACCACAGAGACAAAGAAACTAAGACCTGGAGATGGGCAGAAACGTGTTCAAAGTCACACAGCCACAGGACTGGAACTCAGGGCTTCAAACTCACAGACAAGTGTGCCCCTCCTCTGTATAAAGCTGCCCCTCTGACTGCATGGTCCAAAGGAGGGTGTCAACCATGATGTAGGGTGGTACCTTTAACAAGTCAAAGGGAAAATGTTCAGGCTGTCCCATTCCAAGAAAGAAGAGTGAAACTGGAGAGGGTTTTGAAATTGCTCCTGGTATATGTCTGGGAGGCGGGGATGTGGAGAGTGACCTCTGGTGCTGGTGGGCAGAACATCTTCAGTTACACAACCAGGAGAGTCTGAATTGTCCACTAGAGTTTGGTGCTCTGGACCTATGCCTGCAGAAGTGGGTCATCAGTGAGAACTGTTACTCATCTCTTCAACTTGCTTTGTCCGGCAGCCTTATCTTCAAGGCAAGACATCCACATAATCGCTGTTACTGTTCTTTGGAGGGAAAAAAAAAGCAGAAGACCAGCCATGAGACCACACCCAGAAGTCATATCAAACAACCCCACTCAAAGGAAAGAAGACCCCTCCCCAGGCACAGAGCCATGTTGATGCCACCTGAAAGTTGTATCTTTAAAGGCTGGGGTACTACAGGGAGCCCTCCTAACAAAATAGGAGATCTCTTTATAAGCCAAGCCTCAGACCTTCCAGCACAAGTGTCTCCATTCACCAGCAAGAAATCTGCACCTCCCTTGGAGTAAGAACATCTGAAGCTTCTTCTAAGGAAGCAATGGGAATGGGAGGAAGAGGTTGATGGGGAATATTTCCTCTTCAGTAGCTGAGAATTTTGGAGCCTGCTGTGTCAGCACTGACCCGGCATGGAAAACTGATGGAGTGAGATTCATGCCCAGGTCTTGGGGAAGATTTCTGAGGGTTCTCCTCCTGGGATTTATGATTCTTTTCTCATTGTTGAGACAAATGCTACCACCACCCCAACCAGTCCCAGCAACTCATCTGGGTTTGCCTAAGGGCTGCAGCACAGATACATTCCTGGGTTTCTAGATCTGCCACACTGTATACTTTTTATTCTATAAATTTGGGGGGGAAAGTAGCTGTGGGACTACATCTGCAGCTGGACCTATAGAAAGTGATTTTTTTGTGTCCATGAGTACACACTGCCCTTCATGGGGATGGGGGGACAGGGACACAATGGTAGGGAAGGGAGTTGTATTTTATGCTTAGCCTTGCTGGGGAAATGAGAAGCCGGCTATGGCAGCCTAAAGGGTGACTTTGCCGCAGACAGAGTAGAATGGGGATGGAGTGATTGCAGGCTCCCAGAGAACTCTCTGTCCTCTGTCCCTCTCCTAGGGAGGATATCTGATCTCATCCCATCACCTGCCACTGATAACTGCCATCCCTTTCACTGAGAATATAACCACACATTCCAACATGGGAAAACAGGATTAAGACCTAAGTGTTTCTGGAAGTCTGAGCTAAATTCAAACAACATTGCAACTGATAGTAAATTCTTTACTGAGAGCAGATTTCAAGAGTGTGGGTAAGGAAGAGTAGCTGCTCATGATATAATTTGAGAGGCTTAGGCAGGGATTCTCTGCACTCAGATTTACTGACCATCTCTCATTTTCCACTACGGCTTAATGCCTTTAAAAATGTATCTGACATAATTTGACACCCAGCACTTTATAAATGAATGCTTAGCAAATATTGAGCAAAGTGTAACAGTATACGCTTTGGGGAGGGCTTGAAGGGCTAGAGTGATTTTCTCATTTGAAAATCTGCCCATTTGCCCATTTATTCTCAAACTTGAATCGTCTGCACAAGGTCACAGAATGAATTTGAAGTCAGCTGTCTGCCCAGGAACCACTCTTGCTATCCTGGCTGCAAACGCAGCAAGCTCTCTGTCTTGGCC
Source organism: Homo sapiens (assembly GCF_000001405.40). Lineage (NCBI taxonomy): Eukaryota > Metazoa > Chordata > Mammalia > Primates > Hominidae > Homo > Homo sapiens. The sequence goes on from NC_000001.11 coordinate 162,398,748, forward strand.
CTCAGGGACTAAAAGACAGCACTTCTCAACAAAATGGAAATTGCTCTTAGTAGGATGAAGCTTTTTAGAGATAATGTCACAGAAAAGAGCATTTGTCTGTATTGAGTTTACAAAGTAAGGCATTGGTGGAAATAGGATTAAGATTGCTTTCTGACCCCCACGTGAGAGATTTTACCACAAATGTTTCCAACTCTAATTTCAATCCTCTCCATCTCAAGCTGGGGCTGGTTCTCTTTATTGGCTTTAAAAGGTGAACCACCATCCCCTGATTTGGTTTTTCAAATTTGGAGATCAGTTCCTTTAGGCTTGGAAAGACCTGTTTTGGAGAACCTTCTGCAGTCTGCAAAAATACAAGAAAGGAAATCACTCATTATCATGCAATTGCGTGTGAAATGTGACACTTCTCAAAGCAGTGGGTTTTCAGGGCTGCCCTTCTATGAGCTGAAAAACTGAAAACAAGTGGCTGGAGCTCACACCACTCCCAGTTCACAGAAACTCTCATTTCTAAGACCAACCTCTGACTTGAGCCACTCTGAGTAAAGAGGATTTGCAATCAAGGGATCCCAGCGCAGTCCATAGTATCAAGTGAACCCCATCCTTGGGAAGTTTACCTGGGGCAGTTCTCGCAGATACACTGTGAAGGGTACCCCTGTAAGGGCTTACGTCTGTACCTACAGGCGGGCTTTGCTATCTTAAGGGACTATCGGAAGTGGACTTCTGATGGGAATGCAAAAATGCAATTAAAAAAAATTCCAACTGTTATTTTAAGTTCAGGGGTACATGTGCAGGATGTACAGGTTTGTTACATAGGTAAACGTGTGCCGTAGTGGTTTGCTGCACAGACCATCCCATCACCCAGGTATCAAGCCCAGCATTCACTAGCTATTCTTCCTGATCCTCTCCCTCCTCCCACCCTGAGCCCTCCAACAGGCCCCTGTGTGTGTTGTTCTCCTCTGTGTGTCCATGTGTTCTTATCATTCAGCTCCCACTTACAAGTGAGAACATGCAGTATTTGGTTTTCTGTTCCTGCATTAGTTTGCTAAACATAATGGCCTCCAGCTCCATCCATGTCCCTGCAAAGGACATGATTTCATTCTTTTTTGACCTAAGCTCCTTTCTGATCCCCATGTGAGAGATTTTACCATAAATGCTTCCAACTCTAATTTCGATCCTCTCCATCTCAAGCTGGGGCTGGTTCTCTTTATTGGCTTTAAAAGGTGAACCACCAGCCTCTGATTTGGTTTTTCAAATTTGGAGAACAGTTAGGCTGCTTAGTATTCCATGGTGTATATGTACCACATTTTATTTATCCAGTCTATCACTGATGGGCATTTAGGTTGATTCCATGTCTTTAAAATATGCATTTTGTATACTTTATGAATTTAAAATACACAATTTGTATACTTGATGAATTCACAATCTCCATGTGGGCAAAACAAAACCAAAAAAGTCCCAATGTAAATAGAAAGTGGGAATGGCAACACAACTCAGTTAAGTTGTAAATAGATGTTTTCTGTTTACCAGCTATACACCACGTACTTTTTTTTTTTTTTTTTTTTTTTGAGACGGAGTCTCACTCTGTGGCCCAGGCTGGAGTGCAGTGGTGTGATCTCAGCTCACTGCAAGTTCCGCCTCCCGGGTTCATGCCATTCTCCTGCCTCAGCCTCCCAAGTAGCCGGGATTACAAGCACCATCACCATACCTGGCTAATTTTTTTTTTTTTTTTTTTTGTATTTTTAGTAGAGATGGGGTTTCACTGTGTTAGCCAGGATGGTCTCGATCTCCTGACCTCATGATCTGCCTGCCTCAGCCTCCCAAAGTACTGGGATTACAGGCGGGAGCCACCATGCCTGGCCCACCAAGCACTATTTTCTAATATAACCTTTTAGAAATAATTTTAAAATGAAAAGAATTTTCTGGCTAGGCTCAGTGGCTCATGCCTGTAATCCCAGCCCTTTGGGAGGCCAAGGTGGGTGGATCACTTGAGGTCAGGAGTTTGAGACCAGCCTGGTCAACATGGCAAAACTCCGTCTCTACTAAAAATACAAAAAATTAGCTGGGCATGGTAGCAGACGCCTGTAATCCCAGCTACTCGGGAGGTTGAGCCAGGAGAATCGCTTGAACCAGGACGCGGAAGTTGCAGTGAGCCGAGATCACGCCACTGCACTCCAGTCTGGGTGACAGCAAGACTCTGTCTTACACACCCACACACACATGAATTTTCTTCCTCTACTTTTGTGTATTTGGTTTTCTTGATCGTCACTGTGGTTTTCATATGGCCACCAAGTCAGACTAGAGAAAGGGGTTGGTGATCAGAAGGTTTTCTGATATGCGCCTGATTAACCTCTGTATTAGAGGTACAGGCTGACATCAAAGTCATCTGCAAGGAGGTTCCTTTAATGCAGTCATTTCAACAAAAGGCATCACTGCAGGCTTCTAAGCTCAAAGCTGCTCCCCAGTGAAACGCCTCTTTGTGTCTGAGTTACAAATGATTTGGATGTCTCCCTCTATTTTGTCCACACAAGAGACAAAACAGGGTACTGAGGAATTATCCAGAATTTCCCAAAGAATAAACAGAAAAAAAAGTCTTAAAATAAGTTGCTTTTTATAAGACATTTTATCTTGAAATTATTTCAGACATAGCAAAGTTGCAAAAATAATTTTTAAAAATTACCATATATTTCACCCACACCCCAATGTTAACATTTTATTATATTTGCTTTTTATTCTCTTTCCAAATATATACACATATATTGTGCATGTATATATACACATATATATAAGCTATTTTCAAAGTTAATTTGCAGACATAATATCCCTTTAAATACTTCAGTATTTCTTCAAAAGTAAGGATATTACATAACCATACTACAATGATTAAAATCAGGAAATTAACCTGGATACAGTACTATTTGTTAATCTTATTCAAAATTTGAATTTATTCAAATTTTGTCAACTGCCTCAATAATGTCCTCTATAGCAAAAGAAAAATAGTATAAGTGAGGTGTTTGGGGATCATTTTATATTCTAGTCTCTTTCAGATATTCAGAGTAAACATTAATATACTGAAGATTCTTAGAAATCTGTAGTCTCCTTAACCTTATATGTAAGTGTTTGAGAAAGATTATTTTAGGATTCTCTGTTAGCAGTTATGTTTATTATACTCTACTTCTTAAGCCAGAGAACTAAATTTAAAAGAAGCAAAATGTTTTTCTGCTTAGCTCTCAGTAAACCAGAAAAATTAAACAAACCCTAAGACTTTCAGCTATCTGATGCTTCCCACTATATTTTCGTACAACTATTGGGCACACTTGACTCCCTAAACACTCTGACCTCTTTCCACCGTCCCTTTCTAGCTCCATCTTGCATCATTGTTGAGTCTTCTAATTCAACGGAGGTTTTGCTTGGAGTCCAGGCTGGTGTGTTTGGCCAGTGGAGGAGCCACAGTGGAATAACAGTGAGGGTTATTCAAAAGTAGAACCCAGCTGGGTGCGGTGGCTCACGCCTGTAATCCCAGCAGTCTGGGAGGCTGAGGCCGGCGGATCACAAGGTCAGGAGATCGAGACCATCCTGTCTAACACGGCGAAAACCCTTCTCTACTGAAAATACAAAAATTAGCTGGGGGTGGTGGCGCGCGCCTGTAGTCCCAGCTACTTGGGGGGGCGGGGGCTGAGGCAGGAGAATCGCTTGAACCCGGGAGGCGGAGGTTGCAGTGAGCCGAGATCGCACCACTGCACTCCAGCCTGGACGACAGAGCGAGACTCCGTCTAAAAAAAACAAAACAACAACAAAAAAAGTAGAACCCAAGCCTAGAACCTTCCTATTTCTCTTCAGGGAAAAACCAGGTTAACTCGATCTGACTCTCATCTCTGCATTGTGCTTTCCTTTTTAGAATGCTTTCGCACAGTCATGGCTCAGGTAAAAGACATGTTCCCAGGTTCTTCTCCCCCAACTTTTGTGTTGTTGTTGTTGTCGTCCTTTTTGTTCTTACCTGTATCCTGTAATACCCGTGTTTCTCTCTGAAGATTCGGTATGTGTAGACAATATTTTTAAACCTGTGGAAAAAATGACTGTGTGAATCAAAATGTTCTATGCAAATCCAGGTAACATCTATCGTTATGTTTCATATGCAATACCTTTGTTAATCTACAATCCTAAAAAAACTCTTTTTTTTTTTCTGGGACGGAATATCACTCTGTCGCCCAGGCTGGAGTGCAGTGGTGCGATCTCAGCTCACTGCAACCTCCGCCTCCCGGGTTCAAGCGATTCTCCTGCCTCAGCCTCCTGCGTAGCTGGGATTACAGGCACCCACCATCATGCCCGTTAGAATGGCTATTATCAAAAAAGACAAAGGATATAGAGAAAGGAAAACCCTTGTACAATGCTGATGGGAATGTAAATTAGTATAGCCATATGGAAAACAGTATGGAGGTTCCTCAAAAAATTAAAAATAGAATTACTGGCCGGGTGCCGTGGCTCACGCCTGTAATCCCAACACTTTGGGAGGCTGAGGAGGGCAGATCACGAGGTCAGGAGTTTCAGACCAGCCTGGCCAACATAGTGAAACCACGTCTCTACTAAAAATACAAAAATTAGCTGGGTGTGGTGGCGTATGCCTGTAATCCCAGCTACTCGAGAGGCTGAGGCACGAGAATCGCTTGAACCCAGGAGGCGGAGGTTGCAGTGAGCCAAGATCATGCCACTGCACTCCAGCCTGGGCGACAGAGCGAGACTCTGTCTGAAAAAAAAAAAAAAAAAAAAAAAATATATATATATATATATATATATATATATATGTAATTACTATATAACCTCACTACTGTGTATATATCCAATGGAAATGAATCTAGTATGTTGAAGAAATATCTGCACTCCCACTTTTATTGCAATATTAGTCACAATAGCCAAGACATGGAATCAACCTAACTTGATTAATAGATGAATGAAGAAAGTTACACACACACACACACACACACACACACACACACACACACAATGGAATATTATTCAGCCATAGAAAAATAAAATCCTGTTACTTGCAACAACATGGATAAATCTGGAGGATGTTATCCTAACTGAAATAAGCCAGGCACAGAAAGAAAAATACCACATGGTCTCACTCATACGTGGCATCTAAAAAAAGTTGATATCATAAAACTAAAGAGTAGAATGAGAGTTCTCAGGCCTTGTCAGTGAGAGGGGGAGGATTAGGGAGATATTGGTCAAAGGATACAAAATTTCAGTTAAACAAGAGATCTATTGTACAACATGATGACTATAGTTAATAACCATATATTACGTTCTTAGGCAGGGCACAGTGGCTCAGGCCTATAATCCTAGCACTTTGGGAGGCCAAGGTGGGTGGATCACCTAAGGTCAGGAATTCAAGACCAGCCTGGCCAACATGGTGAAACCCTGTCTCTACTAAAAATACAAAAATTTGCTGGGTGTGGTGGCAGGCACCTGTAATCCCAAGTACTCAGGCGGCTGAGACAGGAGAATAGCTTGAACACAGGAGGTGGAGGCTGCAGTGAGCCGAGATGGTGCCACTGCACTCCAGCCTGGGTGACAGAGTGAGACTCCATCTCAAAAAAAATAAAATAAAATAATAACCATATATTATATTTTTGAAAAATGCTGAGAGGATATTTTAAGTTTTCTCACTACAAAAATGATAACTTGATGAGGTAATGCATATGTTAATTAGCTAGATTTAGTCATTCCACAACGTATATATATTTTAAAACATCACATTGTACAAAATAAGTACATATAATTTTATCTATCAAATAAAATAAAATGAATTAGATTGTATACTTTAAATATGTACAGCTTATTTTACTTGAATTAGACTTAAGTTTTTAAAAATAAAAAAAGTAAAATCTGCTGTTGAACCTCAATAAAAAAAGAAAAGAAAATACATGGATGGCAAATAAGCACTCGTAAAGATACCCAGTATCATTAGTCATTAGTGAAACGCAGATTCAACTCACAATGAGATACCACTACACACTTATTAATACAGTTAAAATGTAAAAGACTGACCGTTCCACATGTTGGTAAGGATGTAGAGCAATCAGAACTCATGTAATGCCCATGGGAATAGTGAGATCGCATGATCACTTTGGGAAACAGTTTGGCAGTTTCTTAAAAAAGATAAGCCTACATAGAACACACAACTTAGCTGTTCCAATCCTGATTATTTACCCAGGAGAAATGAAAGCATACACCCACACAAAGACTTAGTCACAAATATTCATAGCAACTTTAGCTGTAATAGCTATAAATGAGTAAGCAATTTGGGATGCATCCCTACAATGGAGCACTATTCAGCAATGCAAAAAAATGAACTATTGCTGCATGCAACCACATAGATGGATCTCAAAATAATTATTCCGAATAAAAGAAGTCAGATAAAAATGACTACATACTCTATGATTTGATTTACATTAAATTCTGGAAAAATACACATTAATCTATAGTGCCAGAAAGCAGTTTGTGGTGGCCCAGAGTCTGGGCATAGGTGGGAGGTATGTTGATGAGAAATTACAAAGGGGTGCAAGTGAAGTTTTGGAGGTGATAAATATGTTCATTATCTTGGCTGTGTTCGTTTCATAAGTGTACATACATATGTCAAAATCCATCAAATTGTACACTTTTTATTTTATGTCAGTGATACCTCAATAAAGCAGTAAGACATATTCATGGCATAAAAAGGTAGATGAATATAATTTATCTTTCTAATATATAAACTAAATTTTAATTCCTTATACATATGTGCTTTTGCTGTTTTCATGATTGGTTTTTGGCCTCAGATAGAAAAAGTGTTTCCTATTTTTGCAGTTATGTTCTCAATAAATATGTGGTGTCTTGACTCTCTGTGTGAGACTGATACCCAGTGGAGCCTACCTTTTTGTTTATTCTATGGAAATCGTTGTCGTCATTTATGAGAAATACACTGGACTTATAAAAAACATTTAAAAATCTTAGGCATTAATTTCTCAGTTGAGGTTCAAAAAGGCTGGAATACAGGACCTCTAAGTTTTCCCATATCTTTGAATTGTTTTACTCTATCTATTTAGCTTTCAAAGTGATCGTTCCATGAGGTGCTGTGCACGGATCTCTGAGTCCTTGCTCAACGCATGAACAGCCCACAGATTAGCACGGTCTCATGTTGTGGCCATTGTTGTGGGGAAACTTGTTTGTGTTCAAGTTTTTATTTTAACTAACCTTCAAAAGGTCAGCTGAAGGAAATGGAATCGACTGCACCCTATAATATCAACAATGTGTTCTGCATTTTTCCATGCCATGATGCAAGTGGGAAATCCAAGTCAACAAAGAAATATTTTAAGACTTTTGACCTCTGGCCTTATCACTGTTCCTGATCTCAGTGTATCTTGGTGCAACCTTTTGTGGTACTAATTTTTCAGTGTGCATGAAGATTTTTTTAAACATCTAGGATTTTATCCTAACTAGGGAGTAAGGCAAACTTTCACAGATGTAAGTACAAAAATGTTAATCATTCCAAATTACACTGAGTCCACTGGACTAAATTGCAAATGAAAATTGAAAATAACCTAATGTATGATATGTATACATTATGATATATCAAATCAATAAAATACTAAGCAGTCATAAGGGGATGACCTGCTTTCTTTGATGGGGAAAGAGACCTACAATTATGGAGAAAACAGGTTGCAAGCCATCATGTATAATGAACCATTTATGTACATATATTGGTTTATAGATGCGCAGAGAAGTCTGGAGAGATGTATGCCAAAATATTAAAAATGGTGATTTCAGAGTGGTGAGACTGATATAGTTTGTTTTGTTTTTTATACCTTTCTCTATATTTGATTTTCTAAAATGAATTTTCATTAGCTTGATAAACCACCACAACAAAATGGATCATTTCTTTTCTTTCTGTACTCTACAATCCTTGCAAAAGTCTCAGAATCTGAGACTCATAAATGACTCTCAAGGCAATAGATAGACATTGCCATTATTATTCTTAATGAGAGCATGCAGTAGGTTAGGGCTCAGGTCTTCCTCACCTGCAGCCTTCCTATGGCTTTGCAAAGTCCTCCTTTTCTTCACACTTGCAGATGAATCCTTTGCACCTCCTAATATCTACTCCATTTAATTTTACTGATGATAAAGGCAGACAGTTTAGACACTCACAAAGTCACACTACACAGACAACCTTTTACACACTGGAGTTTTCTAGACACTCTATTACATTGTAAGATCAGAAAACATTTCCTGTCCACAGTTACCACATAGCTTTCTGGTTAGTGCCATATGCTGCTAGGTCAGCTCTCTCTGTGACCTCCTTCTTTTATTTCTAACCTTCCTCACAGTATTTTCATCACTAAATATTTAGCTCTGTGAAAGTCCTGAAGTATCGGGGGAACCAGCCCCCAATATTTCAACGTAGGTTCTTTTCTATTCTCCCTAAGTGTCGGCCAGTCTAAGAAATAAAGGGAAAGAGTACAAAACAGAGAAATTTTAAAGCTGGGTGTCCAGGGGAGACCCATTTTAATGCAGCAGAGAAGAAGGGGACACTGCATATCAGAGTCCACTCCCAAGCCCTCAGGTCCCCTGCTTGGGCATTTTATAACACAGATCCAAGGTGATTACCTGAAACATATTTCAGTGAAGCTGGGGACATTGGTAAGAGAGGGAATGTAATAACATATTAGCAATTTGGCCCTAGGCAAGCTATTAAATAAGAAGCTACAGTTTATTTTCTCACAAAATAGTGATCATGTCGCCTACCGCAAAGGGATTGCAAATGACAAATAAGATAATGCATGTACCATGCTTAGCAAAATGTTTGGCTCATAGATAATACCTACATGGTAACTTTTTCTGTGTCAGTGAAGACAAGCAGGCTAACACTTGTATCATAATAGTAATTCTTGCTTTGCTTGCAAAGGGTTGTATCTTGAAGCATGAATTGGTTGATGTGACCTCTTCAGAGAAACCTTTCCTGTACCCAATGGAAAGCAGCAGCTGTGTCTCTCCCTGTCATATGACTCTGTTTCATTTTCATCATATTTTCTCCTCTTACTGAAATTAACTTCATGAGGGCAGAAACATTGCCAGTAGTATTTATCACTGTATTACCAATGCTTAGGACCACGCATGGAACATAATAAGTGCTCAGTATATGCTTGTTGAATGAATGAAGGTTCCACTTATTCTCCTAAAGTCTCAGCTCCAATATCTGGTTCTCCCCTTTTTGCTGTCAGCTCTACAGTGCCCTAATGATAGTCCAATCATCATAATTATCACATGCATCACTGTGTCTGTTTACTTCTTTATTTTCCCCACTAGGCTCTGAGTTGTGTTGAAGGCATCAACCGAGTGTCTAGCACACTGTCTGACATATGAGAGAATTCAAATATTTGTTGAACAACTAGAATTTAATAGTCCATACTTATCTGTATGATAATACATTTTTACAAGGCCCTATGAGGAGATAGCTTCAGGGGTCACTTGACCTAAGCCTTAAGCCTGAGGGTGAATGAAATGTTGTTTGCCTTTCAGTGACATGTGTAGGGAGGTGGGTGAGACCTGATCATGTGCAGGGGCTTAACAAATATTTATTTTTGCCTCTCCACTTGGTTTATTTTCATTTTTTAGCTTCTCTTTTTTTCTCTTCTTTTTTTTTTTTTTTTTGAGATCAAGTCTCGCTCTGTAACCCGGCTGGAGTGCAGTGGTGCGATCTTGGCTCACTGCAACCTCCGCCTCCTGGGTTCAAGCAATTCTCCTGCCTCAGCCTCCTGAGTAGCTGGGACTACAGGCGCATGCCACCACACCCAGCTAATTAGTTTTGTATTTTTAGTAGAGACAGAGTTTCACCATGTTGGCCAGGATGGTCTCAATCTCTTGACCTAGTGATCTGCCCGCCTCGGCCTCCCAGAGTGCTGGGAATACAGGTGTGAGCCACCACGCCTGGCCCATTTTTTAGCATCTCTTAGTGACCTTTGCTTTAGATGAATATGCAAGATGGGCTGATGCACCACAGAACAGTTGAGAATAAATATCAATTTTCAAAGAGAATCCCAATATAGGCTGGGTGCAGTGGCTCATGCCTGTAATCCCAGCACTTTGGGAGGCTGAGGTGGGTGGATCACTGGAGCCCAGGAGCTCGAAATCAGCCTGGGCAACATAGCGAGACCCCATGTCTACAAAAAATTTAAACATTAACCAGGCATGGTAGTGCGCACCTGTAGTCCCAGATACTCAGGGGGCCTGAGACAGGAGAATCTCTTGAACCCAGAAGGTTGAGGTTGCAGTGAGCCATGATCGCACCACTGCACTCCAGCCTAGGAGCTGGAGTGAGACCCTGTCTAAAAAAAAAAAAAAGAAAGAAAGGAAGGAAGAGAATCCCATATTGACCATATACCCTGAGATCCTGGCCAAGGTCTGTCCTTGCACCTTCTTGTTTTTTCCCTTCCCACTGCTTGCCCCAGCACAACTAGCTCTTCACCGTCTCCCGTCCAGAGACACAACAGTTTCTGTTGCCATCATTTCCCAGCTTCATTGTGTTCTCCACGTCAAATTGAAGTTCCTAAATTCACCAGTCTTTTCACTTCCCTGCTCAGAAACCATCCATGTTTCCCTGTTATCTATAGAACCATTCTTTTAAAACTCCATGATCTTATCCCACCCTCCTTTTCCAAAAGCTGGTTTCCAAACTACATTTTAGGAACCTTGTATGTAAATCCTTTAAAATATCCCACTTCTAGACTCCTGTTCCTACCTCCTCCCCTTCCTAAAATGCCCTCCATCCCATTTACATGTAAGCAGATCTTTTCCACTCTTTGTTTATTTTATTTGAGATGGAGAGTCTTTCTCTGTCTCTCAGGCTGGAGTATAATGGCGCGATCTCGGCTCACTGCAACCTCTGCCTCCTGGGTTCAAGCGATTCTCATGCCTCAGCCTCCCAAGTAGCTGGGATACAACTGCACCCACCATGCCTGGCTAATTTTTGTATTTTTAGTAGATGGGGGTTTCATTATGTTGGCCAGGCTGGTCTTGAACTCCTGACCTCAGTGATCAGCCCACCTCAGCCTCCCAAATTGCTAGGATTACAGGCATGAGCCACCGCGCCTGGCCAATATATATTTTTCTTTAAATGGTACTGTTGGATGTAGATATGAGAGAAATAGCCTGTATCTCCAGTACCATTTAAAGAAAGAAATATGTCCCTGTGTATTCTATTAGTAATGACAATCACTTTTGTCTATAATCAGACTTCTGAGCCTATTCCAAGGCCCATTTGTGTACTTCCTTGTAAAATCCAGTTTTAGCAAAGAACCCTACTAAGTCAGTTTGGCAAGGACCCCTCACCCTAGCTATCTGATCACTGTTGGATTCTGATCAGATTCCTCATCCTCCACCATCCCCCAGGCAACATCTGATCACCCGGGCCTGTCTTCAGCTACAATTCTGTTAGGCTGGTTTAGCCAGAATCCACTTTACCCCTGATGTTTCCTCCGAGTAATTTTCTGTCTACCGACAGCCACACTGCTCCTTGGCCATAAATTCCCACTTGTCCATGCTGGATTCAGAGTTGAGTCCAGTCTCTTTTCTGTGCCGCAAGAGCTCATTGCAGTGGTCCCTGTACCTTTGTGATGATCCTGAATAAAGTCTTCCCAACCATAATTTAACAAGTGACATTGAGTAATTTTTTTCTTTAACAAGAGACATTTGGATTTTAATTTCTGTTACAGGTATAATAAAAGGTTCAGTGGTCCCTACTTTACAAAGAGGAACATACATAAAGATAGGAGGTTTCTAGTGATTTCTGTTCAGGATTGCTTTCTAAACTGGGCATAAACAAGTTCCTTCAGCTAGGTCTCTTTGATACTGTGGCCTGGAATTTGTTTTTCTTTTTCTTTTTTTTTTTTTTTTTGAGATGGAGTTTTGCTCTTGTTGCCCAGGCTGGAGTGCAATGGCACAATCTCAGCTCACTGCAACCTCCACCACCCGGGTTCAAGTGATTCTCCTGCCTCAGCCTCCCAAATAGCTGGGATTACAAGCATACGCCACCACACCTGGCTAATTTTGTATTTTTAGTAGAGACGGGGTTTCTTCGTGTTGGTCAGGCTGGTCTCGAACTCCCGACCTCAGGTGATTCACCTGCCTCCGCTTCCCAAAGTGCTGGGATTACAGGAGTGAGCCACTGTGCCCAGCCACTCTTTTTTCTTTTTTTTGGACAGAGTCTCACTCTATTGCCCAGGCTGGAGTGCAGTGGTGCAATCTCAGCTCACTGCAGCCTCTGCCTCCTGGGTTCAAGTGATTCTCCTGTCTCAGCCTCTCAAGTAGCCAGTATTACAGGCACACGCCACCACACCAGGTTAATTTTTGTATTTTTGGTAGAGATGGGGTTTTGCCGTGTTGGCCAGGCTGGTCTCAAACTCCTGACCTCAAGTGATTCACCTGCCTCAGCCTCCCAAAGTGTTGGGATTACAGGCATGAGCCACCATGCCCAGCCTGGAATTTCATGTTTAACTTAGACTCTGGAAATTCCAAATGAGTTTTAACACAAACAAATTATTTGAGAAATTCAGGTCTCTGTTTCTTTACCTATGAAATGGTGACTGCTTATGCTTGCCTTGATAGACTACTAGGATGAAAGGAAATGACGAATATTGAAGTCCTTCACAAATCTAACAAAATGTGAAATATGATTGTATTTATAGTTTACGTATTGCAAGCAGATGCTGCAGAATAAGTGTTTCAGATTGAAATTTCTTGAAGAACCCCTAGCCTTTTCCATACCAAATAAACAGATCTCTGGAGGACAGGACCTCTGACATTTGTACCTTCTTTCCATCCCTCTGTACCCCTGTACTTCCTGCAGCCCTTCCCTTCACCACCACCATGTCCCTCCTGCTGCTGCAGAGTCTGCTTGCAGGGCCTTTACACCAGGGAGAGCAGGCAGATGGAGGAGCATGGACAGATACATTCCTCTCCTGGCAGTGTCCATTACTTCTCATTCTACTCATTGAGACTCCAAAGTCAGAGTGAAATACTGAGGGATATGAATTCCTGTACTGTGTGGCAGCCATTGCCACATTCAACATACGATGTCAGATGTGTGCAAGATGAGGCTACTCACGAGACACAGAGGCACAGGACTCCTGGTATCGACTCGCTGTCTCTTAAAAGAAAGTTGCCATCCACCCCTTCCTTGAGCAGCAAGGTCTCACAGTCTTGCTTGGTCAGACGTCCATGGTAGTAAGGCAGATCCATGGAGAACGCTCTTGTATCCCAGGAAGCCCTGTTGGCCTGAAATTCACCCCCAAGTCAAGGGACAGCTCTGAGGAGAGATGTGTAAGCAGCTGTACCTCCTGTGGAGCTACCTCTTCCTCTAGCGGTCTGTGGGACTCAGCCAGCTTCACAAGATTCAGGAAATGAGGAGGGCGGGGTGATAAAATGACCAACACTTTTCACCCTCTAAATGGCCCACATGTGACTCACAGAAGTAGGTAAAGCACATTTAAACACACAATGGAATCAGTGATGCTCATGGCTAGGGAGGCAATGCTGAAGTCAAGCTTCCTGGAACTGTGTTGCAGCCTTGTATATTACCATGGACTATCATCAACTTCTTTGGCTACTGGTATCCTTTCCAGGAAGCACACCGCTGCTTTTGCTGTAATGGTACCCATTTTCTGCTGAAGTTGCCTAGGATTGGGCTATGCTTAGCTTAGACTGGGTGCTCAAAAACCATTTGGATGCTGAGAGAATTGATATGCTCAGATACAATGGGAAAATTGAAAGGGTGGGATTTCCGTGGATCAAATGACACTAAAAATGGAAGACATTAATGGCAATAAAAAACAGTGGGACACTGTGGATGAGGACAGCCCATTCCATGGCTAAGGCTCCCAGCCACTGGTGAAAAAAGGCCATTTGAACACCCTCAAGCATTGTTCCTTTTGGAGAAAGGGCTGGTGTAGGTGGGAGGGATATCTGGGTATACTCATATATCTACAGAAAATCACTATATATATCTCAAAAATGTTATCTATGAAAATAGAACTATGTGCTAACGATTCATCTTTACTTCTCTTAACTTCTTCTTTTTTTTGTTTTCTTCATCTCCGTAGTACCTGGAGATCTTAACTTCTTCTTAACCTAGATGTTTATTTCACCTTGCTACTTTGCTTACCAGCTGTTTACTCACAGTTGGGTGTATCTTCTATGGAACTTCCTTGTAACAGATCTTTGTTCTTCCTTGGAATTCCCACTCTGCATTTGGCATAGTGCAGTTTCACTGATCAGGGAACTCGTTATCAGACAGATATGCTCTCAAATAGCAACTTTTCTTCTGTGGTTTTGGACAATTCATTATTCAATTCTCTGGAAACTATGGCAGTTGAAGACAGAGTTGTTAATAATGAAAGAAGAAATTTGGTATTTCTTGTGAATAAATTCACAATCGTGGTGTAAAGATGCTTTTTGACATAAGAGAGGAAATAACTGAAAGCATGCTCAGGCTCTTGGTCATCACAGGGGCTTCCTTGCCCTTTTTGCTGTTTCAAAATCCAACCCTCACAATAAAAGAAATGCAAATTACCTGCATGCTGAGATAACAACTCTCACCTATCATATGGGTGAAAATCAAAAGTTTGAAAGCTTATTGGGTTGGTCATGGTGAAAGAAAATAGAATATCTTGTATATCATTAGTTGGAATAAAAAATAGTTACAACTATAGTAAAAGATGGTTTGGCAATATCTTGCAAATTTATGTATGCCTTCACCATCTGATAGAACAATCTCAGTTCTAGAAATCTGTCACAAAACTACACAGGCAGAATTAGAAAATGACTTGTGAATAAGGTAGTATTTTTTAATAGAAAAAGATTACAAACAACTCAAAGACTTGTGAATAGAGGGACAGGTGAATAAACTGTGATTCATGTATACAATGGAATATTACTATAGAATAATAAAATGGGATTGAGGAAGATCTCTATATGCTGATATGCAATAATCTTCAGGATGTATTTTTAGGTGAAAGCAGCAAGATGCACAATAGTATATAGAGTATGGGGGATATAAATAAATATATACATTTATAATATTTGCTCATATTTAAAAAACAAACGAAACACCCACTGGAAGAACAAAACTAAAACTAATTAAAACTAAAAACTTCTGCCTCTAAGAGGAGAGCGGAAACATGCATAGAGGTGAGACTTCTCTCAGTAAAACTTGCTGTAGAGTTGTTGGTTTTTTGTTTTGTTTTGTTTTGAGACAGAATCTCACTCTGTTACCCAGTCTGGAGTGCAGTGGTGTGATCTCGGCTTACTGCAACCTCTGCCTCCCTGGTTCAAGCAATTCTCCCACATCAGCCTCCCAAGTAGCTGGGACTACAGGCACGTGCCACCATGACTAGCTAATTTTTGTATTTTTAGTAGAGACAGGGTTTCACCATGTGGCCCAGGCTGGTCTCAAACTCCTCACTTCAAGTGATCTGCCTGCCTCGGCCTCCCAAAGTGCTGGGATTACAGATGTGACCCACTGCGCCCAGCCTGCTGTGGAGTTTTGAATGTAGAATCATGTAATTGTTTTTTTGTTTTGTTTTGTTTTGTTTTGAGACAGAGTCTCACTCTGTCGCTCAGGCTGGAGTGCAGTGGTGCGATCTCGGCTCACTGCAAGCTCTGCCTCCTGGGTTCATGCCATTCTCTTGCCTCAGCCTCCCGAATAGCTGGGACTACAGGCCCCTGCCACCACGCCCAGCTAATTTTTTGTATTTTTAGTAGAGACGGGGTTTCACCATGTTAGTCAGGATGGTCCCAATCTCCTGACCTCGTGATCCACCCACCTCGGCCTCCCAAAGTGCTGGGATTACAGGCGTGAGCCACAGCGCCCGGCCATAATTGTTTTACACATTGAAAATAAACAAGTAAAAGGGTATTCCTAAAAGGAGGAATAAAAACTAAAATAATGTATCTAACTGAACATTACTTTGGTAATATAATCATAAAGAAAATTATTTCAACTGACTTTAGAATGTAGAATTTGAGTGAACAGTTTTAATTAAATATCTTGTACATTAAATAAACTAGCAAATAAATTTAGTGATAATTTGGTGTAATTTAAATATATTTAACTCATATTATAAGATAAACAAAAATCATACTGATATTAACATTTTAAGAACTAAGTAAGGTAAACAACTGTACCAGTTTGCTTATGTCTGAGGGGTTTCCCAGTATCTACGACTTTCAGTGTTAAAGACAGATGAGTCCTGGGAAAATTCTAGAATCAAGATTTTTTTTCAGTATAAGAAAAGAGATACACATATAAAAGCAAAGAAGTTAAATAAAATTTTTGATGCTAAATTTGAATTGGAAATATCAGCATGGATTTACAACTTGCTTTTCAACAAAAGGCCTAAAACAGGGGCCAGCAAACTTTTTCTTAGGCATTGCAGGCAATAGTCTCTGTTGCAACCATTCATCTCTGCCATTGTAGTGTAAAAGCAGCACTATGGGCTGTAGTTTGCCAATCCCTAGCTAAAACAATGAAAACTTGGTAGCAATGAGCACACCTAGGGATAAGGCTATGGTCTCTAAATACCACTTCTCCTATAAAAGAAGCAAGAACTTTTTAGAGAAATGGCTGAATTCATGCCAGGGACATATAAGTGTGTCAGTGAAGACTGAGTCATGTCAAAGGACATAAGACCCAATATGGAAAAATTTAAGTATCAAAGGAATAATGATTGTGGTTGATCAAAATACGTTGAATTTATATTATCCAGTAAAAGATCAACCTTGCCCAAATATAGATGTAGCCCTTTGTCCTAGCTCCTTGGAGAAAAGCTTTAAGCTCTTGGAATCCAGTGTATGGGACATTCAGTAGAACAAATAATGTGGTGTCTTCATAGGTTGTAAAAACTGAGTCAGATAGTTGGGTGAGAACTGCTCTAGGTTAAAAAGATGGTTATGCAGCATGAAACCAATGCTAGATGACATCTTGTTTGGATCTTGGCTTGAAAAAACCAAATACCAAAAATTTAGTGCTGGGGGAAATTTAAGTATTGATTTGATATTAGATAGTGCGTGTAGCAATGGCATTATGCTTTTGTGAATATAACTTTTAGAGATACGTATTGAAGTGTTATGTCTGATACTGGGTGATTGTGTGTGTGGTTCATTATATTAATGTCTCTTTTTGCATGTGTTGTAAAGTTTTAATAGTAAAAATATCTTTCCATTCCCATATTATTCTGATCCCATGTCACCTTTAAGAATAGCTCCACAGTACACAGGAATATCTTCAATTTCTTGCGTGGGTCCCCTTTCTCTCATCCACAGAAACAAAAACCTAGCACTATGTTTGTAGAACATGACCCTATTCTTCTGGCCATGGGTGATTTGATCAAGGATAGGCCTCCGACCTAAGATAAGTTAATCACAAACCCTTATCCAGGAGTTTAGAGAAAATGGGGAAATGAAGGAAATGAGAGAGAAAAAGAGAGAGAGATGAAAGGAAGGAAGGAAGGAAGGAAGGAAGGAAGGAAGGAAGGAAGGAAGAAAGAGAAAGAAAGAAAGAAGAGAAAGAGAAAGAAAGAAAAAGAAAAGAAAGAGAGAAAGGGAAGGAAAGAAAGAGAGAAAGAAAGAAGAAAGAGAGAGAAAGAAAGAAAAAGAAAGAAAGAAAGAAAGAAAGAGAAAGAAAGAAAGAGGGTAGGGGGCTGGGATGGGTAGGAAATGGGAATGGAAATTAATTCTCTAGGAATGGCTGTGTAACAGGTACATTTTTACACTGTATACTGGTGGCCATATCCCAGCAAGCTGTCAGGAGAAGAGAACTGGTCTGCAAAATGAGGAATGAAGTGGACACATGAAAAAAAGCAGAGTCAAAAGATAGTCTCACTTGGATTTTCCATGGGTTTTCATTCCAGGATTCAGTGATTTCTGAGGTCTGGCTACATGCTTGCCCTTGAGTTTTTTTGTCATTTTAATAGATTTCCCTTTTGTCATAAGCTAGTTGGCATTTGTTTTTGTTATTTTCTACTAAAGATGTCAAATAAATCCAGCCTTACAGATAAAATTCTGTTCTCAAGACCAAGGAAGCATGAGGCCAAATGTGAATCACAGTGTTGTTCTGAGTGAAAAGTCACGTAGAAACTGGACAGTGTGGTGTCAACCCCAGAAAGCCCAAGATCACAAGATCATCACTGACCACAGCAGCATGGCAAATGCTTGTGTTGTGCTTGTTAAAAGATGCCTGATGGAGGGCAACAGTGTAGGACCTCCCACTTCATTCCTACTGTCTTATCGTAGGAGATAGCACTTTGTCTATCTCCTTAAAGAGCTAACTCATTGCATCACCATCATTCATTGAACATACTTTATAGTGGGACCCCAATATTCTTGGAATCTCCATGACTCTAAGGGCAGAACCGCCTATGTGAGAGGCAGTGTGGTGTGGGGGCTTCAGCAAGAGGCCTTGCCACCTGTTCATTCTTGCACTGCTACAAAGAAACACCTGAGACTGGGTAATTCATAAAGAAGTTGAATTGGCTCACAGTCCACTGGTTATGCAGGAAGCATGGAAGCATCTGCTTTTGGGGACGGCTCAGAGAGCTTTTACTCATGGTGGAAGGCAAAGAGGGAGCAGGACTGAGAAGGGGGAGGTGTCACACACTTTTATACAACCAGATCTCACAATAACTCACTCACTATCACAAGAACAGCACCGAAGGGATGGTGCTAACCCATTCATAAGAACTCTGCCCTCATGATCCAATCACCTCCCACCAGGCCCCACCTCCAACAATGGGGATTACAATTCAATATGAGATTTGGTGGGGACATAGATCCAAACCATATCACCACCAGACTGCCTGGATTTGAATTCCAATTTCGCTACTCAGTGATGAATGCAAACTGCCTAGCTTTTTGTGCCTTTGTTTTTCAGAAAATGGAGACGATCATTATAATGACCATATAGAGTTGCTGAGAGGATTATATACATAATGCAGCTGGCACGTAGTTAGGGCTTGGTTTTCTATTATTGTTCATATCTGAAAGATTCCACACAAGATGGCCCCTGTTTTGTCTGGATGGTGATATGTCTGCATGGGAGGCCTTGACCTTTGGCAATCATTCTGGAGCCACAAGAGTGTCAGCCCGAGGGCCAGCCGGTCTGCCGAGAAAGGAAAGGCAGAGAGAGAGAAAGAATCTACGTCCTTGAAAATGGCACTGGGCGGCTTTAACAACTGACCTAGAAGACCATTCCTCTTCTTGACTTCCAATTGGATGGGAGAATAAATTTCCTCACTCTTCAAACTATTTGAATACGGGCATTTTTTTTTTTTTTTGCAGTGAAAAGATCCTAACAAGTACCCTGGCATATGCAATTGAATTTTTTATTAGTTCAAATGTTATCTTCATTGATATTTTGAATATAATTACTCATCTACTAATATTGTGTAGATGTTTTATAACATCAAACATTGTGTAGATGAGCACACAATGAGTTTTATAACATCAAACATCCACTTAAATAGCTCAGATGTTTACCTGCATGTCACAAGTATGCTCTTGTTAATTTAACATCAAGCTATTATTTTGAATAACTAATATAGTTTCAATAACTAATACAGTTTCAATAACTAATACAGTTATGGAAAATAATAATAACATCCAATAATAATATTGGATGTTTCCAGTGTGGATGTTGACACCCACACTATCCAGTTTATATTGGAATCTACTGAATGTTTCCACAATAATGTTGACCTTCTACTACTTGTTGATCTCCTCTTACATTGAACTAGCAGCTTTCTTTTTTTGAGACAGGGTCTTGCTGTGTTACCCAGGCTGGAGTGCAGTGGCACAATCTTGGCTCACTGCAACCTCCACCTCCTGTGCTCAAGCGATTCTCCCACCTCAGACTCCCGAGTAGCTGGGATTACAGGCATATGCCACCTCGCCTGGCTAATTTTGTATTTTTAGTAGAGATGGGGGTTTCACCGTGCAGGCCAGGCTGGTCTTGAACTCCTGACCTCGAGCAATCTGCCCGACTCAGCCTCCCAAAGTGCCGGGATTACAGGCATGAGTCACTGTGCCCAGCCCTGGACTAGCAGCTTTCTGAAAGCCACTCTACCACAGATGTATTATCTCTCATTTTTCCTCTCATTTCTCAAATAAAATTTTAAAAGCCATGCTAAAACTGGATTAGTTATATAAAATAACAGCTTGGTGTTAATAAGAGCATACTTACGACATGCAGGTAAACTTCTGAGCTGTTTAAGAGGTGAATACAGATACAATAGCAATAGTATATCCATTTAACAGCTTGAACTATTGAATATACTAGAAAAAGGTTTTTATATGCATCATTTTATTTTAAAAATAAAATACTCAGAAGTAAGCAAAATGATAATAAAAAAAATCCCTGAAGAGTGCAAAATAAAAATCTCAAAACGAGCTGAGATACTCTAATCAAATATAAAAGGTCAACTTGGTGAGTACTGTGTGAATTTTAGAAGATGTGATTAGGAAGTTTGTTCATTAGGAATATATACATTTTGCACCTTTCTTCCCCATGCAATTTGGTTTAGGTAAACTGTGGAAAGAGAGTTTCTGGGGTGCCAGTTGAGTTGGTCTCCCCTGTGTGAGACACCCATGGGGAGCCATGGGCGGCCTCTGAGGAGAAAAGTCTCCTTATTGCCTTCATGCCTTTATGCCCCGAGAGCATAACTGCTCAGCGGCATGCCACAGGTTGCTCAGGGAGATAACACTCCCTTGAAGCAGTGGAGTATAATCAAACATCTTGGCTCCTCCTGAAACCCACTCCCACCCATTTCAGTCTGGATAAGTTAAAGATCTTAAGTAGTTTAGACATACACCTTTGCTCAAGGAAATTCACAGAAACTGCCACTGCTATACATCTTATTGAATGACTCACGAGTTCTCCTTCACTGATTAATCCTTTTCCTCATTCCCTCCTCGCCCTCCCATCTGCCCTAAGAACGAAGAGCTTGTAAACCAATAAACTGGGCGGAGCCCGAGAGCTCTGGGCCTTCAGCAAGCCTCAGCTGCTCCCATCCCCTGGACTCACCTTTTAAAGCTTATTCTGTCTCTTTCTAACTCCTTTGTCTCTGCCGGACTCCGGGTACCCTCTGGGTGGTGTGGGGCTGGTTTCCCCCAACAGTAAACAAGATGAGTCTTCTTGGAAGAAGAAACTGAGTTTAACCCTGAATACTTGACCTACAAGGCTTGGTTGCTGGGCTAATTCATAGTGAAGAGGATCACGCTATTCAACGTACAGACACAGGTGAGTGAGGAGAAGAAAATTAATGAAATCTACCTCATTCTCCACAGGAGGAACCTGGGTTTACTTCTTAAGGGGACCTGATTTGTTAGGTGTATAAGTTTCCTATTGCTATTGTAACAAGTTACCACAAACTTTGCAGCTTAAAACAACACAAATTCATTATCTCACAGTACCCTTAGGTGAGAAGTCTGGCAACTTTGGCTAGGTTTCTGCTTAGAATCTCACAAGGCCAAAATCAAGATGTTAGCAGGCCTGCGTTTTCTTTAGAGGTCCTAGGGGAGAATCCATATCCTTGTTCATTCAGGTTATTGGTGGAATTCCATTTAAGGTCATTGTAGCACTAATGACTCATTTGTGTCTTGTCTGTCAGTTGAGAGGCATTACCCGTTTTTAGAGGCTTCCCACATGCCTTGGTGCACGGCCTTCATCCTCCAACTTCAGAACCAGCAATGGTGGGTGACGTCTCTCACAGGCTTCCAATCCCTCTTCTGTCTCTTGATTCCACTGCATATCTCTGACCACTATTCTCCCTTCTTCTTCTACTGTTAAGAAATCCCATGGGGGCTGGGCACAGTGGTTCACGTTTGTAATCCCAGCACTTTGAGAGGCCAAAGTGGAAGGCTCACTTGAGCCCAGGAGCTCGAGATCAGCCTGGGCAACAAGATGAGACCCCCATCTCTACAAAAAATCAAAAAATTAGTTGGGCATGGTGGTGCATGCCTGTAGTCCCAGCTACTTGGGTAGCTGAGGTGGGAGGATTGCTGGAGGCCAGGAACATCAAGGCTGCAGTGAGCCATGTTCACGCCACTGCACTCCAGCCTGGGTGATAGAGTGAGACCATGTCTCAAAAAAACAAACAAACAAAAAAAAAAAAGAAAGAAAAAGGAATCTCATGATTTTGCATTGGGCCTACCCAAGACAGTCCAGAATAATCTCCGTGTCTTAAAGTCAGCTGATTAGTAATGTTAATTACATCTGTCATGTCCCTGTTGTCAAGAAACGTAACATATTCACAAAATCCAGGGCATAAGGAACCATTATTCAGCCCACAAAATTAGGGATATGATCAAAGGAAGAAATATTAATAAAATTAAAACAAAATGCTGAAACAAATATCAGGGACAATCAGAAGAGAAAACAAAAAGGTAGTTCATGGTCAGCTCCAGGAAATCACATGTCTGCTGCACTGCCAAGGCTCTGTGGCAGTCTTGACTTCTCTGCCAACTTCTAAACTATGTTTCCTGGGCTCTTGGTGGGAGTCTAGCCCCTGAGAAATCTCAAGAGGAAGGAGATTGTAATCAACTGGCCACTTCTAGCTCCAGCCACAGCACAACTGTGGTTATTGTTTATGTCCAGCATATCTGATAACACCAGCATTAGGGCTCTCTGATCTACTGCCAGAGTGAGCGGGGGTGTCAACAAGAGATGCTTTTGTACACGTTTTCCTTCCGGACTTACAAGAAACATAATTTCACACACTAAACCTGTTTTATCCTCTTATCATGAACAGTTGTCTGGAGGAGTTGTTGGCTCTCTCCCTGAAAGCTCTTAGAAGAAAGCAGATTAATATCACTACCTAGTTTATTGATTTTGTATCTCTTGCCCTCATAATACCAAAAGAAAGAAAGCCAGAAAGCATCAGGGTAAATGAAACCAAAAGTGTAACTGACCTTTACCTACTTTTTGCTGCAGCTCAGTATCTTGACCATGTTAAAGGGCCCAGAGTATGTTATTGTCCTCCAGAGCATTCTTCCATTTCTCTGTTAGGGGCTTCAGAGTGTAAGGATGCAAGTGACATCACTGATGGCAAGGTGGGGACGTTTCTCACAAGACCTTGGGGACTGGATATCTCTTATTAGAGGTGATCACTGACATGGACATTGGCCCAGAATGCTTTCTGGAAAGACTTCTTGTTCCCTCCTTGTATTCGTTTCCTGGGGCAGAGTCCCAGAAGCCAGGAGGTTTATTGTCTTACAGAGGCTTGAAGTCTGCAACCAAGGTACCAGCAGGATAGTGCCCTCCAGAAATTCATGTCCTACCCCAAACCTCAGAATGTGATCTTATGTAGAACTGTGGTCATGGCAAATGAACTTAATTAGGCTCTAAGATTTAGAAGAGGAAGAAAGAGGTGGAAGAAGGGGACTAGGTTGCTAGATTCTTGAGAAGAGCCCGTCTAAACAAGAACTGTAGAAATGAACCCTACCCCTCAGAGCAATGCCAGAGCAGAGAAATAATGTACCTTGATGACCAGAACTCACCAACAGATCCCAGCTGATGTAATTAGTTATAATTGGCTGAACAAACTCAGATGATCTGTTTCTTTTTCCAGAGGCTAAGATTTCTCAGAGTCTGGGATTAGAAGAGT
The DNA here is from genome assembly GCF_000001405.40 of Homo sapiens. Lineage (NCBI taxonomy): Eukaryota > Metazoa > Chordata > Mammalia > Primates > Hominidae > Homo > Homo sapiens. The sequence goes on from NC_000001.11 coordinate 162,422,432, forward strand.
CTGAGATCTTTGCTGTTTTTTCTCCCCTTCATCCGTAAGTCTTCTTCTCTTGGGATGTTCTAAAGAGGACCCTGTTTTCTCTTTTCATTTTTTCAAAAAACTATTGCTTCCAGCAGCTAAAAAAGCCTCAAGGTACACTGGAATCCACTATCTCTGAGAACAGTGCCTGTTATGCCATGTTCTAACATGTTCCTTGAAGGGAGGAGGTGAAATCATACTTACAGGTGGACCCCAATGGACCAGGGGATGCTGTGTCCTAGGATGGATCCACTCACAGTGACTCCTTAGGCTCTGCAACCTGGACCAGACTTACATCTAGACAGCCTTAAATCCTATGAGCAATAGCATCTCCTGCCATCCCTGCTGGGCAGCCTTGTGCAGATAACTGACCTTCATGGCCTCTATAGGACCCCTGGGATATTCTGAGAAGATCTGGGGAGTGCTGAAAAAAGGATGCCAGGCTGGGTGCAGTGGCTCGCGCCTGTAATCCCAGCACTTGGGGAGGCCGAGGCAGGCAGATCACGAGGTCAGGATATGAAGACCAGCCTGATCGACATAGTGAAACCCCGTCTCAACTGAAAATACAAAAAATTAGCTGGGCGTGGTGGCGCATGCCTGTAGTGCTAGCTACTCTGGAGGCTGAGGCAGGAGAATTGCTTGAACCCGGGAGGCAGAGGTTGCAGTGAACTGAGGTCACACCATGGCACTCCAGCCTGAGCAACAAGAGCGGAACTCCATCTAAAAAAAAAAAAAGAGGAAGTTGTGGTCATGGGCTAGTGCTTGGATGGATTTGAAATTCAGGTTCACATAAGCTGGGTACTCAAAGGCAAAAAAAAGCAGAACAGACTCAGCAAGACTTCAGATTCCTTATAATCAGCCACACAGACTCAAAAACAATTATGCTTAAATAAGAGACACCTTTGGAAATCTCTTCAAGAAACAGGAGAATTAATACTGTTAAAATGTCCATACTACCCAAAGTGACCCACAGATTCAATACAATCCCCATCAAAATTCCAATGACATTTTTAACAAAAATGGAAAAAATAATCTTAAAGTTTGTATGGAACTATAAATAAACCCAAGTAGTCAAAGCAATCACGAACAAAAAGGACAAAACTGGAGGCATTATACTATCAGACTTCAGAATGTACTACAAAGCTATATTAATCAAAACAGCATGATACTGGCATAAAAACAGACACATAGGCCAAAGGAACAGATAAAAAGCCCAGAAACAAATTCATGCATTTACAATTAACTGATTTTTGACAAGGTGCCAAAACACACAATGAAGAAAGGAAAGTCCCTTCAATAAAAGGCATTGGGAAAATTGGATATCCACATACAGAAAAATGAAATTAGACCCTTACCTCACACTATATTCAAATATCAACATGAAGTACATTCAGAACTGAAATGTGAGATGTGAAGCTGCAAAACCACTAGAAGAAAACATAGAGGAAATGTTCCATGACATTGGTCTGGGCAAAGATTTATTGAATATTCCCCCAAAGCATAGGCACTAAAGGCAAAAATAGACAAATAGGATTGCGTCAAACCAAAAAGCTCCCGCACAACCAAGGAAACAATCAACAGAGTGAAGAGATAACCTATAAAGTGGGAAGAAATATTTGCAAAGCATACATCTGATAAAGGATTAATATCCAAAGTGTATGAGGAAGTTAAACTACTCAATCGTAAGAAACAAATAACCTGAGTAAAAATGGACAAAGGATCTCAATAAACAGTTCCTAAAAGAAGGCATACAAACGACCAACAAATATAAGAAAAAATAGGCCAGGTGCGGTGGCTCACACCTGTAATCCCAACACTTTGGGAAGCTTAGGTGGGCGGATCACGTGAGGTCAGGAGTTCGAAACCAGCCTGGCCAACATGGTGGAACCCCATCTCTACTAAAAATACAAAAAAATTAGCCAGGCATAGTGGCTCATGCCTGTAATCCCAGCTACTCGGGAGACTGAGGCAGGAGAATCGCTTGAACCCGGGAGGCAGAGGTTGCAGTGAGCCGAGGTCATGCCACTGCACTCCAGCCTGGGCAATAGAGCAAGATTCTGTCTCAAAAAGAAAAAGTGCTCAACATCACTAATAATTAGAAAAATACAAATTAAAACTGCAATGAGATATCACCTTATGTCTTAGAATGGCTATTAACAAAAAGATAAAAGATAACAAATATTGGCAAGGATGTGGAGAAAAGGGAACCTTGCACACTGTTTATAGGAACATAAATTAGTACAGCCATTATGAAAACACAGTAAAGAGGTTCCTCAAAAAAATTAAAAATAGAACTACTATATAATCCAGCAATCTCATTACTGGGTATGCAGCAGGACAGGTAGTCAAGGAAGCGACCATGTCCTTGGACACAGCAACCTTGGTGACCATACAGTCAGTACAATAAGCCTCAGCATTTGCATTGTAGTCAAGCTCATTCAAGCAAAGCTATCTCCAATAAGGCCTTTCCCCTCTACAGAGCATGTGCCTTCTGATTTTTACCTATACTCCAACTGACCCTTTGCTCATTTTAATAGTAAGAAATACACCCCTGGATGGAGATTAAGATGCTTATGAGACACGCGACATATGAACAAGCATGTACAGCTACTGTGCCTGTGCATCTAGAGGACCACCCAGAACACGCTTACTAGTAACACCTCTTCCCACCCCCTTATGAATAATATGAGACTCCCATGAAGGGAATCTCCTCAGTGCCAGTCTTTGCTGTCTCATCCTTATGAGCAGCCTGCCCTGGATCTTCTTTCTCTCAGAATGTACTGTCTATTCTGCACTTTTAACTTTCAAAACGTTCTTTTTACTTTGGAATAAATTATTCTACGCTGCATATCTTTTTCTGTGTGTCTTTTGTTTAAATTCTTTTAAACTAAGAAGATAAAAACTGAAGTATCACAATAGCCGTCAACAAGTATATAGCCAAAGAAAATGGAATTAGTATGTTGAAGAGTTATCTGCACTACCATGTTCATTGCAGCACTATTTACAATAGTCAAGATATGAAAGCAACATAAGCATCCATCAATGAATGAATGGATAAAGAAAATGTAGTATATGCACATGATGGAATACTATTCAGCCTTAAAAAAGAAGGAAATCCTATCATTTGCAACAATATGAATGAACTGGGAGGGCATTATGTTAAGTGAAATAAGCCAGGCACAGAAAGACAAATACCACATGATTTAACTTATATGTGGAGTCTAAAAAAGTTGAACTCATAGAAGTAGAGAGGAGAACAATGGTTACCAATGGTTAGAGAAAGGGGGTTGGGAAAAGTTTGGTTAAAGGTTACAAAATAAGTTTAAGAGATCTATTGTACAACATGGTGACTATAGCAAATAATGATTATCTGTATTTTTGAAAATTGTGAACGGAGTAGTTTTGAAGTGTATTCACCATTAAAAAAAGCATGTGAGGTAACGCATATGTTAATTAGCTTGATTTAACCTTTCTACAGTGTATACATATTTTAAAACAACATATTGTATATAATAAATATATTCAATTTTAACTTGTCAATTAAAAATAATTTTCTTAAAAAAGAAAAATGTGAAATATTATATTTGAAAAATAACCAATAGAACTTACAGAAATAAAAAGCAAAAAAAAAGTTATATTTAAAAAAGCCAATAGATGTAATTGGCAGCAGACGGGATATTGTAAAAGAGGTAATTCATGAATTGGAAATTAGGTTAGAAAAAAATATTCAGAAGGTAGTACAGAGAAACAGAAAGGCACAACATATGGAACAGAGATTAAGAGGTATGAAGGATAGGGTAATAAGTCTTAAGAGGTGCTTTATTAGAGTTCTGGATAGCAGGAGAGTAAAAATGGGACAGAGGTGGTACTGAAAGAAATAATGGTTGAGAATTTTTAGGACTAATGAAAAACACCAGTGCATAGAGCAAACAGGCAACAAATTCTACGAAAGGGAAATGAAAAGAAATCTACATCACAGCCGGGCACGGTGGCTCACGCCTGTAATCCCAGCACTTTGGGAGGCCGAGACGGGCGGATCACCTGAGGTCAGAAGTTCGAGACCAGCCTGGCCAAAATGGAGAAACCCCATCTCTACCAAAAATACAAAAATTAGCTGGACGTGGTGGCGGGCGCCTGTAATCCCAGCTACTCGGGAGGTTGAGGCAGGAGAATCGCTTGAACCCAGGAAGGTGGAGGTTGCAGTGAGCCGAGATCCCGCCACTGCACTCCAGCCTGGGCAACAAGAGCAAAACTCCGTGTCAAAAAAAAAAAAAAAAAAAAAAAAAAAAAAAAGGAAATCTACATCAAGAATCAAGATGCGGCTTAGTAAAAATGTAGAATTCCAAAGATAAACAGAAAATTTAAAGGGAGTCAGAAAAAAAAGACAGGTTGCTTTAAAGAAACAACAGTTGGCCGGGCGCGGTGGCTCACGCCTGTAAACCCAGCACTTTGGGAGGCCAAGGCGGGTGGATCACGAGGTCAGAAGATCAAGACCATCCTGGCTAACACTGTGAAACCCCGTCTCTACTGAAAATACAAAAAATTAGCTGGGCGTGCTGGCAGGTGCCTGTAGTCCCAGCTACTCGGGAGGCTGAGGCAGGAGAATGGCGTGAACCGGGGAGGCAGAGCCTGCAGTGAGCCGAGATAGCGCCACTGCACTCCAGCCTGAGCGACAGAGCAAGACTCCGTCTCAAAAAAAAAAAAAGAAAAAAAAGAAACAACAGTTAGACCTCTGACATTTTCCCTTTAATAGTGAAAGTTAAAAGGCAGTGGTATAATATTTTCAACATACTAAGAAGGGATAATTCTCATCCTACAATATTATGCTCAGCAACAGTATAAGAATAAACATTAAATAAAAATACTATCAGACCCCCCCCCCCACAAAAAATGGAAAAAGTTCACCATGAGTAGATCCTCCATTTATGAGGGATATACTTCAGATGGAATTAGATAATGCCAAATGAAAGAACTGAGCTGTATATTATCCTAAAGAAAGGGAAATATAGAGATTAAATTACAATAGATTAAATGTAGATAAGATTAAGCAAAAAGTATAACATCCAAAATAGTAGACAGAAAAATAGATGATAACAAAATGATTAATCCAAAAAGAAGGCAAGAGAGAGAAAAAGAAATGTAGAACTTGTGGGACAAATAAAAAGCAAAACATAGGATGGTACATTTAAACCCAAATGTATTAGCATCACATTAAATGTAAATGGACTAAGCGCTCCACTTAAAACACCAGCGTTGACAAATAGGATTAAAATAAACAAAATCCAGCTTTGTAATGTTTAGTAAAGAAACATTTAAGACATATGCACACAGAAAATTTGAATGTAAAAGCATAGAAAAAGATTACAGCATGTAAATATAAACAAAAGAAAATTTGTGTGGTTATATTAATATAAGACAAAATAAAGTTTATGACAATAGCATTAACAGAGAGGATCGCCTTGTAATAATGAAAGTTTAATTTCCGAGTAATATATAAGAAATTGACATTTACATGCACCTTAGATAGTCTTAAAATATATAATACAGGCCGGGCATGGTGGCTTATGCCTGTAATCCCAGCACTTTGGGAGGCCGAGGCGGGCGGATCACCTGAGGTCAGGAGTTTGAGATCAGCCTGGCTAACATGGCGAAACCCCATCTCTACCAAAAATATAAAAATTAGCCGGGCATGGTGTCGGGCACCTGTAATCCCAGCTACTTGGGAGGCTGAGGCAGGAGAATCACTTGAACCTGGGAGGCAGAGGTTGCAGTGAGCCGAGATCATGCCACTACACCCCAGCCTGGGCAACAGAGTGACACCCTGTTTTAAGAAGAAAAAAAAGAAAAATGTATGATGCCCTTTATGAAAACAAAGCATTTCAGACATCTAGATCTAGCAAAAGTTTCACAAGACCCCTAGAATCAAATTATAAAGCATTATTTGGAGAAATGAAAGAAGACCCAAATGAACAGAGGGATATGTATACAATATGGAAGAATCAATACTGTAAAGATGTATGTGGTCATGTAAGAAAACACCACGTTTCCCAAAAACCTATTGAAATAGAAAAACGCAGTATAAAAAAAAAAAAAGTGGTATGTGGGCTCCAGATTGAGATATAGATTTTTTAGAAATCACAACAGTTTCTTTTTTTTTTTTTGAGACAAGGTCTCTCTTGGTCACCCAGGCTGGAGTGCAGTGGCATGCTCACGGCTCACTGTAGCCTCAACCTCCCAGGCTCGATCAATCCTCCCACTTCAACCTCCCAAGTAACTGTGATTACAGGTGCATGCCACCATGCCTGGCCAATTTTTTTTTTTTTTTTTTTTTTTTTTTTTTTGTAGAGACAGGGTTTCTACATGTTGCCCAGGCTGGTCTTGAACTCCTTCCACCTCGGCCTCCCAAAGTGCTGGGCTTACAGGTGTGAGTCACCACGCCCAGCCATTTTTGTTTTGTTTTGTTTGTTTTTTGAGAAACAAGTTCTTCCTCTGTTGCCCAGGTTGGTGTGCAGTGGCACAATCATAGCTCATAGTAACCTCAAACTCCTGGGCTCCTGAGTAGCAAGGACTATGAGCTTATGGCACCATACCCAGCTAATTTTAAAATTCTTCGTAGAGGTGGCGTCTCACTATATTACCCAGGCTGGTCTGGAACTCCTGACCTCAAGCAGCCTCCCCCTTGACCTCCCAAGGTTCTGAGATTACAGGCGTGAGCCACAGTGCCCGGCCTACAGCAGGTTTTTTTTGCGGGGAGGGGGAATGGAAAATGACAAAACGATTCTAAAATTTATATAGAAATGAAAATAGTCACTGCTAGTCAAGACACTCTTGAAGAAGAAAGGGGACTTAACTAATTCTAAAGATATTAAAATCTATTATAAAGCTACTAAAATTATGACAGTGTGGTTATAGCACAAGAAAGGCCAAATAAACCAATGGAACAAAATTAAAGTTCCAGAAATACACACTATTATATGTACACACTCAGTCTGTGACAAAGGAGATACTACAGAGCTATGGAGAAATGACAATTTTTTTGACAAATGGTGCTGCGTCAATTAGACATTCATTCAGTGTGGAAAAAAATGAAACTCACACCTTACTTCACACTTTACATCTCCAAATTCCAAGTATATTGAAGACCCTCATGTGACATGTAAATTTTTTTAAAATCTTCTAAAAGATATCCGTATCTATAGAAGAGTATCTGAATTCTGCCGGGCACGGTGGCTCACGCCTGTAATCCCAGCACTTTGGGAGGCTGAGGCAGGCAGATCACCTGAAGTCCAGAGTTCAAGACCAGCCTGACCAACATGGAGAAACCCCGTCTCTACTAAAAATACAAAATTAGCCGGATGTGGTGGTGCACGCCTGTAATCCCATCTACTCTGGAGGCTGAGGCAGGAGAATGGCTTGAACCCGGGAGGCGGAGGTTGCTGTGAGCCAAGATCACGCCATTGCACTCCAGCCTGGGCAACAAGAGCGAAACTCCATCTCAAAAAAAAAAAAAAAAAAAAAAGAAGAGTATCTGAATTCTGTGTGATCTTGTGGTAGGGAAAGAATTCTTAAACAGAACAAAAAAAAAAAGAAAGGCTAACCCTAAAAGAAATGATGATGTACTAAATTAATCTTAAGAAATTCCACTTATCAAAAGACCGTTAAAAAGTAAAGAGACAAAGCACAGAATAGGAGAGAAGATTTGCAACACATAAAACAAAAAGCTCTTATCCCCAAAATATATAGAATTGTACAAATCAAAAGGAAAATGACAGACAACTCAATCGAGAAATTAGCAAAAAACTTGAAAAGCATTTCAAACAATAACCAATAAACATTTTTAAAGGTATTCAATCGTATTAGTAATCAGGGAAGTAAAAATTAAGACTAAAATAAGATACCAATACACATCCACAAGGAATAGTTAAAAAGACTAATAACACCAGGTACTAGAGGAGCAATGAGAACTCTCATATACTGTAGATGGAAAGGTAAATTGGTACAATACGGTTTTTCATTATCAATTTTTTTTTTCTTTTTGAGACAGAGTGTCACACTGTCACCCAGGCTGGAGTGCAGTGGTGCAATCTCAGCTCACTGAAACCTCTGCCTCCCAGGTTCAAGCAATCCTCCCATGTCAGCCTCCTGAGTAGCTAGTATTACAGGCATGCATCACCACACTGGGCTAATTTTTTTTTTTATTTTTAGTAGAGAGGGGTTTCACCATGTTGGCCTTGAACTCCTGACCTCAAGTGATCTGCCTGCCTTGGCCTCCCAAGGTGCTGGGATTACAGGTGTGGGCCACCAAGCCTGGCCTCATTATCTATTAAAGTTTAAACACAGACATGCACTATGACCCAGTAATATTCTACTCCTAGGTATATACCCTTAAGAAATGAGAGCGCACTGTGCAAAAAAATTTACAACACTCTTCGTAGAAATATTATTTACGACAGCATCAAGCTGAAAACAACACAAATGCCTATCAGTAATAGAACATGTCAGTAAATTGTCGTGTGCACATACAGTGGGATACTATATAGCAACGAACGTGAAGAAACTACAGCTACTTGCCACAGCATGGCTGACTCTTACAAATGTAATAGTAACCAAAGGAAGCCAGATATAAAATACAGAAACTGTATTATTCCATTTGTATACAACTTAGAAATAGGCAAACCTAATCTATGGTGTTAGAAGTCAGACTATCTGGTTAACTTTTGGGGGATAAGTGCATCTGAGTATTGGGAGAAGGCAAGAGATGGGGCTTCAGGGCTGCTGGTAATTTTTTATTCCTTGACTTGAGTGTTGGTAACATTGATGTGTGGACTTTCTGTTAATTTATTGATCTCTCGTTTATCATACACATATTTTTCTGTATGTTACAGTTCAATAAAAATATAATTAGAAAAATAATTCCCACTGAGAAATTTCAACCCCACTGAGCCCCAGGGGAGCAGGAAAGTGTGGCCAGCCTCTTGCACTGCTTTGTCTCCAAAATAAACTACCAAAATCAAACAGCAAAAAAAAGAAAAAGAAAAGAAAAGAAATTTCAACCCCAAATGCCTTCATTGGAGAGTTCTATTTTAATTCAAAGAAGAAATAATTTAAATAATTTACACAATCTCATCTAGAGAAATGAAAGAGGAAATATTCTTCAACTAATTTGTGAAGTGACGTTACATCGAGAGAACACACTTTAAAAATAATTGCCTTAGACATAAAATATACTTGAAAAATATTGGCCTCAGGCTGAATTAATAGTCTAAATATATAAGAAGCTAAATACAGATTGATAAGAAAATTACCAAGTATTAGCCAGGGGCAGTGATTCATACCTGTAATCCTAGCACTTTGGGAGGCCGAGGCGGGCATATTACTTGAGGTCAGGAGTTCAAAACCAGGCTGGCCAATATGGTGAAACCCCGTCTCTACTTAAAAACACAAAAAATTAGCGGGGCATGGTGGTGCACACCTTTAATCCCAGCTACTAGGGAGGCTGAGGCAGGAGAATCACTTGAACCCAGGAGGCGGAGTTTGCAGTGAGCCGAGATTGCACCACTGCACTCTAGCCTGGGCGACAGAGACTTTGTCTCAAAAAAAAAAAAAAAAAGGAACAAAAAGCAAAAGAAAAAAAAATTACCAAGTACCAAATAGATAGGTAAGAGCATAACTCATGTAGCAAATCAATTTGTTTTTTTTTTAAAGTGCAACCTCACTAGTAGTTACAAAAAGTTATATAAATTAAAAAGTTATTTTCTTAATTACCAAATGGTATATATTTTTTAAATGATATTCTCCGAGGCTGGGGAACCTACGCATTGGTAGAATCATTTTGAAGGGGAATTTGGCAATCGTATAAACAGTATAAAATTGTTAGCATCCTTTAATCCAAATACTATATTTCTAAGAATTTATCTTTTTATTTATCTTATGGAAGTAATCCTAAATAAGGATAATGATTTAAGCAAAAAAGTATAATCTTGTCACTATCTCACATGGTGAAAAATTGGAAATACCCGAAATGTTCTATGTTAGTGGCCTGGTTAAATAAACTATAGTGCATTCACTTGGCGGTCTATTTTTATGTGATCATTAAAAATAATGTGCATAAATAATATTAATGACAGTAAAATATGCTAAGAATATAACTACACAAAAAGGCTAAACACAAAATTGTATAAAGATTTTGACATCAATTATCTATTTTAAAACATATTCAAAAGAGGCCGGAAGAAAAGACAAAGTACTAAGCAGTTTTTCTACTTTTTGGAATTTTCTCCAGTTTTCAAACTTACTATAATAAGTGTATGTTCCCTTTTAAAAACCTGCCCAAAGCATCTTTTTTAAAGTACCATAATAGCAATAGAAAGAAAGAATATTACGTATCTATTTCTCACTTTAGTCATACGTATTATTCTTAATATTGTAATTGTTAAAATGTTACAAATTTATATATTCTGTGCTTAACATTAAAACTGTGTTCATCGATGGCCAGGCACAGTGGCTCACACCTGTAATCCCAGTGAGAGGTGACAGCTTGCTGGCAGTCCTCACAGCCCTCGCTCGCTCTCGGCGCCTCCTCTGCCTGGGCTCCCACTTTGGTGGCACTTGAGGAGCCCTTCAGCCCACCACTGCACTGTGGGAGCCCCTTTCTCGGCTGGCCAAGGCCGGAGCCCACTCCCTCAGCTTCCGGGCAGGTGTGGTGGGAGAAGCGCGAGCGGGAACTGGGCTGCGTGCGGCGCTTGCGGGCCAGCTGGAGTTCCGGGTGGCGTGGGCTTGGCGGGCCCCGAACTCGGAGCAGCCGGCCGGCCCTGCGGGCCCGGGCAATGAGGGACTTAGCACCCGGGCCAGCGGCTGCGGAGGGTGTACTGGGTCCCCCAGCAGTGCCAGCCCACCGGCGCTGCGCTCGATTTCTCGCCGGGCCTTAGCTGCCTTCCCGCGGGGCAGGCCTCAGGACTGCAGCCCGCCATGCCTGAGCCTTCCCCCGCCTCCGTGGGCTCCTGTGCAGCCCCAGCCTCCCCGACGAGCGCCGCCCCCTGCTCCAAGGCGCCCAGTCCCACCGACCACCCAAGGGCTGATGAGTGCGAGCGCATGGCGCGGGACTGGCAGGCAGCTCCACCTGCAGCCCCAGTGCAGGATCCACTGGATGAAGCCAGCTGGGCTCCTGAGTCTGGTGGGGCCTTGGATAACCTTTGTGTGGATACTCTGTATCTAACTAATCTCATGAGGAGGTTGAGAACCTTTATGTCTAGCTCAGGGATTGTAAATACACCAATCGGCACTCTGTATCTAGCTTAAGATTTGTGAATACACCAATCAGCACCCAGTGTCTAGCTCAGGGTTTGTGAATGCACCAATCGACACTCTGTATCTAGCTGCTCTGGTGGGGCCTTGGAGAACCTTTGTGTCCATACTCTGTATCTAACTAATCTGATAGGGCCTTGGAGAGCCTTTATGTTTAGCCCAGGGATTGTAAACGCACCAGTCAGCACCCTGTCAAAACAGACCACTGGGATCTACCAATCAGCAGGACGTGGGTGGGGCCAGATAAGAGAATAAAAGCAGGCTGCCCTAGCCGGCAGTGGCAACCCGCTGGGGTCCCCTTCCACACTGTGGGAGCTTTGTTCTTTTGCTCTTTGCAATAAATCTTGCTACTGCTCACTCTTTGGGTCCACACTGCTTTTATGAGCTGTAACACTCACCACGAAGGTCTGCAGCTTCACTCCTGAAGCCAGCGAGACCACGAGCCCACCGGGAGGAACAAACAACTCCAGACGCGCTGCCTTAAGAGCTGTAACACTCAGGGGGAAGGTCTGCAGCTTCACTCCTGAGCCAGCGAGATCGTGAACCCACCAGAAGGAAGAAACTCCGAACACATCCGAACATCAGAAGGAACAAACTCCAGACACGCCACTTTAAGAGCTGTAACAGTCACTGCGAGGGTCCGCGGCTTCATTTTTGAAGTCAGTGAAACCAAGAACCCACCAATTCCAGACACACCAGCACTTCGGGAGGCTGAGGCAGGTGGATCACTTGAGGCCAGGAGTTTAAGACCAGCCTGGACAACATAGTGAAACCCCATCTCTACTAAAAAGACAAAAAAAATAGCCGACCGTGGTGGCGCACACCTGTAGTCCCAGCTACTCGGGAGGCTGAGGCAGGAGAATCGCTTCCACCCAGGAAGCAGAGGTTGCGGTGAGCCAAGATGGCACCACTGCACTCCAGTCTGGGCAACAGAGCAAGACTGACTCAAAGCAAACAAACAAAACACAACAACCCACAAAACAAAACTAAACCAAAAAACTGTATGCATGGAACATTTTAAATTTTTTGCTATAATAGAAGCCAAGTTAAGTTGATTTTATGTCTGTGGATCTTGATGTTTTCTTTGCGGGTCTTTGGCCCTTGATAGAAAAAAGATTTCATATATTTGTTTTAGGTCTTCAATAAATAAATGTTGGCTGGACCTTAGTGGAGGACAACTCTGAATATGACAAAGAGGATGAAACTGTTCAATACTCTCTAAGATTTTCAAGACAGACTATTGAAGTAGCTGCTTTTATCGGTTCTCCGTGGAAATCCTTGTCTTCATTTGAGACCTCCATAGAGTTTATACCATCTGTTTGTCCGTCTTTGGCATAATATTTCCAGTTGTGGTTGCAAGGCTAGACTATGAAATGTAGTTGTTTGTTGTCTGGGTTCTTTTTTGTCAGAGGGATGAGCTTTAAGTACCTTGGCCATGTTTCATAGTCTCTGAGTTTTACATCTGCTTAGAAAAGCCTTCTTAATTCCAAGACTATTTTTAAATGCAATGCTTTCTTCTGGTACATTTATAAGTGTTTTTATGTTAAAGTACTAGACCTAATTTTAATTAAACTTGATCTAAGATACAAGAGAGGGTTCAGCTAATTCTCTTTCAAATAAGCAGCTAGCTGTTGTAACACCATTAATTGAATCATTCTTCTTTTCCCTACTAATTAGAAATTCCCCTTTTATTCTATGCTAAATTCTAAATGTATTTTTTCCTGTTTTTAGATGTATTTCTCTCCACTATTCTGTCAATACCAAACTCTTAATTACTGTAGCTTTCCAATACATTTTAGTATTAAGTTCATCTCTGTTTCCCCAGCCTCCCCACCAAATTTGCCTGGCTTTAAAGCAAAATTAAAATGGAGGACAGGCCTGAAAAATTCCTCAGCAAACAAAACTAAGCCTTAAAAATAGCCTTAGCCTTGCTTAAACTACAAACATAAGTGAAATTTAACTTGAATTATTTTTGGTAAAAGTTATGTCAGTCAGAACCTAAACCTCAGCCAATCATAAGTGGCCAATTAACATATGATTATGTGACTAGGGACTTTGCAGCAAAGTAAACCAAAAAGGGTAATTTTGTAACTACAGCCAATTAAATGTCTTTTATTTTGCTTCCTCATTTTCCCAATAAATGTTTTCCTCCAATGTTTCATCACAAGAATACTACACCTCTTCCAGTTTGGTGTTCCCCAGTTTGTGAATTTCTTCTTACTCAAAATCTTTAAAATTTTATTGTTCTTCAGATTTTTCTTTAACACAGTATTTTTACTTCTGATGAATTTTATACTCACTTTGTCAAATTTACAAAAAAACTCTGTTGGTGTTTAGATTTATAGAATGTATAGATTTATCTGAGAAAAAAGTGGCATGGGTCCCAAATCAAGTCCTTTTATTCATTCAAATTTTCTTTTATGTCCTTGAGTATATTTTAAACATTTTGAAAAACAATTCTCTTGGTTACAAAAATTGCTAATATGTTTGTTGTTATTCTCATTATTATTGTAAATGGGCATCTGTCTTTTATTATATCTTTTTAGTGATTATTGTTTGAATAAATAAAAACTACCATTTTTGTATTAATTTTGTAACCAGTCACTCTAGCTAATAGTCTTCAAAGTTTCATTTTGTTTCCCAGTTAAGTTTCTTGGATTTCCCAGGCATAAAACCACGTCATGTGCAAATACTGCTAATTTTGGCCTTCTCCTTAAAGATTTTTAAACCTCATTTATTTTGTCTGATGGCACTGGCTAGTACTTACAGTATAAATTTATATCAAAGTGGTGATAATATGCATATTTATTTCATTCTTTTATTTATTTATTTATTTGCTTGAGGTGGGGTTTCACCATATTGCCCAGGCTGGTCTTGAACTCTGGGCTCCTGGGTGACCCACTTGTCTTTGCCTCCCAAAGTGCTGAGATTACAGCGTATTTATTCCATTCTTAAAACCAATGTGAGTTCTTTTAGTGCTTTATCCTTAAACATAATTCTGACCATTAGTTAAGGAACTATACCTCTAGCACTACATTTTTCAGATTATGTATGTTAGTGTGAGAGTGTTTGAGAATGGTAGTTGAATTTTTCCTACCTTTTAAGAACCTTTTGAACATTTAATTTTTATTTTTTTACCTATTTATATGACAAGTTATGTTTATATGACAAATTTCCTAACATAGAAGCACTCTTGGGTTCTTGGAATACACACTGAATCATAACTATTATACTTGTAATATGCTACTAGATTCCAGCTATTAGTAGTTTAAGATTGACATTAAGTTGGTCTGAAGTTGTTTCTGTGTGCATGTGAACATTCTTTGTTCATTTTTAAAGCTTCATACACAGAATTTATGAGAAATCTGTAAAACAAGATAAGCAACTCAATATTAAAACAATAAAAGATATAAATAGGCGGCTGGGCGCGGTGGCTCACGCCTGTAATCTCAGCACTTTGGGAGGCCGAGGCAGGCAGATCACAAGGTCAGGAGATCGAGACCATCCTGGCTAACATGGTGAAATCCTGTCTCTACTAAAAATACAAAATATATTAGCCGGGTGTGGCGGCGTGCGCCTGTAGTCCCAGCTACTTGGGAGGCTGAGGCAGGAGGATGGGGTGAACCTGGGAGGCGGAGCTTGCAGTGAGCCGAGATTGCTCCACTGCACTCCAGCCTAGGCGACACAGTGAGACTCTGTCTCAAAAACAAACAAACAAAAAAAGATATAAATAGGCAATTCTCAGGAGTTAAAATACCAATAGCTAATAAAGATATGGAAACAGATCAACCTCAATAGTAATCCAGAAAACACAAATTAAATAAGGTGTTAGCTTTTTCTCAACAAATTGGCAAAAGTAAAAATTATTGAAAAAAGTTAGTAAAGGTGTGGAGAAATGAGTTCTCCTATGTGTTGCAGGAAATGGTGGAAATATTGACTACTATATATTTTTTTAATTTTAACAAATTAAATTAATAAATAATTCTCAATATTAAAAATGCAAGGTGTAAAGAAGCATATATATGTCCCCTCACTGCCAATTCCCCTTTCCGGGGGGAAAATTATGTTTTCAGTTTTTAATGTGTCCTTCCAAAAATATTTTAACCCCTCAAACACATTTTCATCCCCTTCCTCCTCCACCAACTTTTCTGAATTATAATTGAAGTGCAATAAACTGGACATATTTGAAACCTACAATTTGTTTGGTTTTGACATATGTTTACATATGCATATACCTTAGAAATCATCAGTGAGTCCATATAATCAACATAGTCACCTCCCTGCAAATTTCCTTGTTCTCCTTGGTAATCTCTCCCTCCCTCTCACCCTTCCCGACCTACTTCCCGGGAAACTACTGATCTACTTTTTGTCACTATAGATTAGTTTGCATTTTTTAGAAGTTTATGTAAATGGGCCAACTTTGGTGGCTCACGACTGTAATCCCAGCACTTTGGGAGGCGGAGGTGGGCAGATCACCTGAGGTCAGGAGTTCGAAACTAGCCTGGCCAACATAGTGAAACCCCGTCTCTACTAAAAATACAAAAATTAGCCAGGCCTGGTGGTGCACACCTGTAATCCTAGCTACTCGAGGGGCTGAGGCAGGAGAATTGCTTGAACCCGGGAGGCGGAGGTTGCAGCGAGCCTAGATCACACCAATGCACTCCAGCCTGGGTGACAGAGCAAGACTCTGTCTAAAAAAAATTAAAAAAAAAAAAAAAGTAGTTCATGTAGACAGAATAATATAGTGTATACTTCTTGCCAGGTCTATTTCATTTTGCATAATTGTTTTGTGATTCATCATGTTATTTTATGAACAGTTCATTTTTTATTGCTGAATAGTATTTTACTGTATGCATGTACCACAATTGGTTCATATATTCACCTGTTGATAGACATTTGGATTGTTTATATTTTGAGGCTATTACAAATAAAGTTGCTATGAGTATTTGTGTACATGTCTTTTTTAAACATATGTTTTAATTTCTTTGGGTAAATATCTAGGAATGGTCTACTTTTAACTTTTTAAGAAATCAAACTATTTTCCAAAGTGTCTTTACCATTTTACATCTCGTAGTATTTGTATTATTGTTGGTATCATCAAGTATCATTTATCCCATTGTGGTCAGAAAATATATATAATATGATGTGTACTTTTTTGAATTTGTTGAGACTTGTTTTGTGGTCTAAGATATGGTCTATTTTGGAGAATGTTCTGTGCACTGATTAAAATAACGTGTCTTCTGTGGCAGTTGGGTGAAATGTTCTGTCAATGTCAGTTAGACCTACTTGGTCTAGTGTATAGTTTAATGCTTCTCTGTTGACATTCTGTCTGGATGATCTGTCTATTACTGAGAGTGGGATGTTGAAGTTCCCTACTATTATTGAATTGCAGTCTATTTCTCCCTTTAGATCTGTTAATGTTTGCTTTATATACTTGGGAGCTCCAGTGTTGGGTGCATAGATACTTATAATTGTGATATCTTCTTGCTGATTTATCATTATATAGTGACCTTCTTTGTCTCTTTTTATAGTCTCTGATTTGTAGTCTATAATATCTGATATAAGTATAGCTACTCCTGCTCCTACTTGGTTTCCAGTTGCATGGAATATTTTTCTCCACTCCTTTACTTTCAGTCTGTGTGTGTCTTTATCGGTGAAGTGAATTTCTTCTAGGCAGCGTATAGTTGGGTCTTGTTTCTTTATTCATTCAGCCACTCCGACTTTTCGTTGGAGAATTGAGACCTTTTAAATTGTGTTATTATTGATGCATAAGGACATATTACTGAAATTTTGTTGCTTGTTCTCAGGTTGTTTTGTAATCCCTCTTTCCCTTTCTTACTGTCTTTTTTTGTGGTTAATCAATTTGCTATGATAGTATGTCTTAATTTGTTGCTTTTTATTTTTAGTGAATCTATTATAGGTTTTTGCACTGTGGTTACCATGAGGCTTACAAAAAACACATCATAAGATATAATGAGACATTTTAAAGAGGTGACAACTTGTCTTAGATCACAAAGAAAAGAATAGGAACAAACAAACAAAAAGACAAAGAAAAAATAACCCTCTACACTTTAACTCCATCCCCCTCACATTTTGACTTTTTGTTGTCCCAATTTGCATATTTTATACTGCTTATCTCTTAACTGGTTGCTCTAGCTATTACTGGTTTCAATAGATTTGTCTATGGGGCTTCATACTAGATTCATGAGTGAACTGCACACCACAATTACAGTATTAGTGTATTTTGGGTTTGTCCATGTACTTAATTTTACCAGTGGATTTTGTACCTTCAAATGACTTCTTTCTGCACATTTGTGGGGTTTTTTTTCCTTCTCTTTAGCATTTCTTATAAGATGGGTCTGGTGATGATAAATTTTCTCCTCTTCTGTTTGTCTGGGAAGACTTTCTCTCTCCTTTATTTGAAGGATAGCTTTGCTGGTTACAGTATTCTAACATGGTAGTTTTTATCTTTTAGCACTTTGAAAATATCATCCCATTCCTTGCTGGTCTGTATGGTTTCCATTGAGAAGTCTATTGCCAGATGAATTGGAGTTTCTTGCTATGTTACCTGCTTCTTTTCTCTTGCTGCTTTTAGGATTCTTTGTGCTTGACCTTTGAGAGTTTATTATATGCCTTGGGGTAGTCTTATTTGAGTTTAATCTGTTTGGTGTTCTTTGTCCTTCCTGTACCTGGATATTTATACTTTTCTCAAGTTTTGGGAAGTTTTCTGTAGTTATTTCTTTTTAAAAAAATAAATTTTAAAAACTTCTTATTACATTATTTTGTTGAGACCAGGTTTTACTCTGTCACCCAGGCCAGAGTGCAGTGGAGCAATCTTGGCTCACTGCAACTCCTGCCTCCCAGGCTGAAGTGATCCCCCCACCTCAGCCCTGCCAAGTAGGTGGGACTACAGGCATGTGACGCTATGCCTGAATAATTTTTGTATTTTTTTTAGAGAGAAGGGATTTCGCCATGTTGCCCAGACTGGTCTCGAACTTCTGTGCTCAAGCGATCCATCCTCTTCAGCCTCCCAAAGTGCTGGGATTACGGGCATGAGCCACTATGCCCAACTATTTCTTTAAATAAGCTTTGTACCCTTTGCTTTTGCTCAACCCCCTCCTGAACATCAATAATTTATAGATTTGATCTTTTGAGGTAGTTTTCTACATCTTGTAAGTTCCCTTCACCACCACCCCACATCCCTCCTGCTGCTACAGAGTCGGCTCACATTTACACCAGGGACAGCAGGGCAGATGGAGGACCATGGACAGGCACGTTGCTTCCATCCTTTCCTGGCAGTGTCTATGATTTCTCACTCTACTCATTGGAGCTGCAAGGTCAGAGTGAAATCCTGAGGCATATTAATTCCTGTGATGTGTGGCAGCCATTGCTGCATTCAACATAAGATGTCTTGTGTGAAAGATGAGGCTACTCAACAGATACAGAGGCAAAGGACTCCTGTCATCGACTCGCTGTCTCTTAACAAAAAGTTGCCATCCCCACCTTCCTTGAGCAGCAAGGTCTCACAGTCTTGCTTGGTCAGAGGGCTGATCCATGGAGAACCCTATTTAATCTTAAGCTGATTTGACAGCAGTAAAATCAGCCCCAACATTTTAATTATACATTCTAAGTGGAGGATATTCTAAGGATAAGTATATTTGTAAAGAAATTCTATACTCATTCAGTGTTTATTGTTGCTATAAATAATTTTGGTATTATTATTTAAAAACTATATATTTTTTCCAAGATAAACTGAACATGTTTTTACATCAGTGCTGTCAAAAAATAGGCTTTCTCTTGTAAGAAAAAAAAGATACATGTAAAACAAATAATCTAAATAAAAATCAGGAAAATATATGCAAACTTTTGTTCTATTTTTTAGAATATGAATTTTCTAGTTCTTTTCTCTAAAAAGACCTGGAAGCAATGCAACCCAATATCAGTATGTATGCTTAGAGACAAAATTTTGATCCTTACATACTATTCCCCCATGAAAAGAATCAGTCATCTTTTGAGAAATGGCTGATCTCCTGTCTATAGCAGATAATGAACAAGATAAGCCTGGGATACTTTCTTGTTCAAGAATTCAAAGAAATTTAAAAATATTAATGCAGGCATGTTAAAATAATATAGGAACCAACATAAAGTTGGGGAAGGGTGCTCATATTGGCCACAAGTGAGAAAATTTAAGCACCAATATAGAGATGATTGCAGTTGATTGAAATAGATAAGTTTATAAATTCATGAGAAAAGGGAAGAGTGAAGGAGAGACCTCCCTCCAAAAACAAAAAGAGGGAAAAAAGGAGGGGAGAAAAGAGTACTGAATTCTCTATACTAGAAGATATTTATGAGGTTCAATAACAAAACATAGCATAAGGATTTTGTCTGGATCCTGATTAAAACAAAACCAACTACGACATGTTTTTTGCCATCAGAGGAACTTTGAATATGGACCAGGTATTTTACAATACCAATGAATTATTTTTCAGTTTTTTAGTTGGGATAGTGGCATTAAGGTTATGTAAGAAAGTATATGTATCTATTTTTAAACACATAGTGAAATATGTAGGAATGATAGCATAATATATAGGATTTGCTTTCAACACTTGGATAAGAAGAAAGGAAGAAAAGTATACATAAAATAAGAGTGGCAAAAATAGTAATAAATATTGAGTTTGTGTTGGTAGATATTTTGGGAGTTCATTTACAATTATCTCAACTAATGCTTGGCTGAAAATTTCTAAAGACAGTCCTATGTTAGGCCAATTCTCTTGTATTATTAGCAGTTGAGAATGGTTTTCCACTTTACTAGAATACCCTTACTTTCTCACATTGTGGAAAGTAAGAATGAGATAGGCAAATTTGCAGATAACCTTACTGCCCTAACTAGAGTTTCTTCTCCCAGGAATTTTGAATTGGGAGAGAAGGAAGAAATGAAGACAGGGAGAGAGAACGGTGATGAGTCTCTAGATATGGCTAGCCCTATAATAGCTGTGTACTGGTGACCATATTCTACCAGTAGGCAGGTGGAGAGAGAGCTGATCCAGAAAGAGAGAAGTAAATTAGACACATACAGAACAGGGTCAAGAGACAGTCCTGGTTGGTGTCCCCTTGGTTTTCATTTCCTAGATTAAGTGCTTTTTGAGTTCTGGCTACATGCTTGCCCTTGGGCTCTTTATTCTTGTAATTTTCCACCCCTTAACCCCATCATAAGATAGTCTACATTAGTGTTTATTACATGATGCCAGTGGTATTTTATGAATCCAGCCCTATGTAACAAAGTCCATTGCCAATCCAAAGAAGTATTGGGTCAAGCTCATCAATGCCAACAGTGCTGGAGGAATTTTGTTGCTGATAAATTGAATTGTATTGCACCTGTTTTCTTAAAAAGTGCACGGTTGGGACAGACCATGTAGCACCTTCCACTTAATTCCTATTACTTATTTGGAGGTAGCAGCACATGGTGGTTTTATTCTTTTCATTTAACTTTGTAAACCATTCAGGGTGTATTTTATGTTAAGGGTAAGACAGGGATTTAAATAGAAAAAAACAGCCAATTATTATTGTTATTATTATTGAGACAGAGTCTTGCTCTGTTGCCCAGGCTGGAGTGCAGTGGCACAATCTTGGCTCACTGCAACCTCCACCTCCCAGGTTCAAGTGATTCTCCTGCCTCAACCTCTCGAGTATGGATTACAGGCACACGCCACCATGCCTGGCTAATTTTTGTATTTTTAGTAGAGATGGGGGTTTTACAATGTTGGCCAGGCTGCTCTCGAACTCACGGCCTCAAGTGATCCACCTGCCTAAGCCTCCCAAAGTGCTGGGATTACAGGTGTAAGCCACTGTGTCTGGCCAAAACTAGCCAATTATATCAGAACCATTTCATAAGTGTATTAGGTTCTTCTACAGTGGAATCTCAATATTTCTGAACAAATGAGGACTATAAGGACTGAAGCTGAGGCAAGTGTCTAGCCCAATTAAAAGAAAATAACACATTGTCTATATGTATCAAAATATCACATTGTACCCCATAAATACGAACAAATATTGTGTCCATTTAAAAAACTGAGTGAAAGATACAGAGATTTCCCATATGCTCTCTGCTCCATACACACACACACACACACACACACACACACACACACACACACACACACAAAGAAGGAGAGAAAGAACAAAAGAAAAAAAGCCGGGAAGCAAACAAGAAAGAATGAGAGAAAGAGATATGGTTAGGCTTTGTGCCCCTACCCAAATCTCATCTATCTCATCTTGAATTGTAATCCCCACGTGTTGAAGGAGAAACCTGGTGGGAGGTAATTGGATCATGGGGGTGGTTCTTCCATGCTGTTCTTGTGAAAGTGAATAAGTTCTCATGAGATCTGATGGTTTCATAAGTGTCTGGCATTTCCCCTGCTTGTACTTCTCTCCCCGGCTACCGTGTGAAAAAGGTCCTTGCTTCCCCTTTGCCTTCCACCATGATTGTAAGTTTCCTGAGGCCTCCACAGACATGTGGAACTGTGAGTCAATTAAACTTCTTTCCTTTATAAATTACCCAGTCTCAGGAAGTTCTTTGTAGCAGTGTGAGAATGGAGAAAGAAAGAAAAAGAAAAAAAAGGAAAAGAAAAGAAAAGAAAAGAAAAGAAAAGAAAAGAAAAGAAAAGAAAGGAAGAAAGAAAGAAAGAAAGAAAGAAAGAAAGAAAGAAAGAAAGAAAGAAAGAAAGAAAGAGAGAGAAGTGGTTAGCAAATGTGATCATGTGATCAGCATGGGGAACAAAGAGAGTTTAATCTATTAGCTGTTCATGCTGCAGAACAGGACTTAATGTTCTCTTTTGCCTTCCTCTTAACTCCTCGCGATCTTCAAGGCAAACCAGGTCAGTCCTGCCACCATGAAACCTCTTGCTCAGCTTCTCCTCTTTCTCCTCCAGTTTCAGAAAGGTGAGTGAGTCAGAGGCTCCTTCCTTGACCTCCCAGGGGGTAGGAAGTCTACACAGGCACAGCCCAGCCAGATATTTTCAGAACTGAGACCTCATATTAGGGAGATTGGGGGACAAGAAGATAGAAGACATTGAGAGACTCTTGGACATGGGAAAGACTGACTAGGGAGTGAATGAGGGCAAGGAGGAAAAGGAAAAGAGAAAAATCTAAGGTACATAGAATAATGACATTGTGAAAGTCAGAGTTGAAAGCATTCTGAAAAGCTCTGCATTTTATCTCCCTTGTTTTAAAAAAGAAGAGAAAAGGACTGGAAGAATCAACAGGCTTCCCCAAAGCTGCACATCTCAATAGAGGCAGGATCAGGACTAAGAAGCAGGTGTCCTGTATGTCATCTGAGATCTTTATATCACATACCATTGAGATACCAGAACTGCAGTGACAGTGAAACTCCAGTTCTGTGGGGCAGAAACATTTCAGAAAATAGGAAGTTGTGAGAGTTGAAATCTCAAACTGAATAAAAAAGAGGGACCAGCCAGGGCAAGGCTGGCTTCTGACTTCCCCAGTGGTCTCCATTCTGGTCTTCCAGGGCCAGTAGCTCTCAGGGGAACACAACCCCAGAGACAGGGATGAGTGATCCTAGCTGGAAGGATCCCTGGGGTGATCACTGGAGATCCCAGCAGGAAGGAGAGTTTAAGCATTGCCCACTTTGAGCTCCAGCCACAACACCACTGCTAATACCTGTTTATGTCCAACATTCTTGTGGGCCCCAACATAGGGGAGCTATGACTGACTGGGAGACTTGTGGGGAGGGACAATTGTCAGGGACATTTTGTAGCCTTTTCCTTCTGTGTTCACAGGGAATCTAGTTTCACAAAGCAGCTCAACCCCATTGATGGTGAATGGGGTTCTGGGGGAGTCAGTAACTCTTCCCCTGGAGTTTCCTGCAGGAGAGAGGATCCAGTTCATCACTTGGCTTTGCAATGGAACATCTTTTGCCTTCCTAGAACCCTATGAAGGCAAAAGTCCAAAAATCTACGTGACTCATCCGAAATGGCAAAAGCGACTGAGCTTCACCCAGTCCTACTCCCCGCAGCTCAGCAACCTGGAGATGGAAAACATAGGCTTTTACAGTGCCCAGATAGCCACAGAGACCTCTGCAAAGCTGTCCAGTTACACTCTGAGGATATTCAGTGAGTAAGGGCATAGAGGACCAGGTCCCTACTGGTAAGGGTGAGTGGGCTACCCACTAAGCCTGGGGGGCTGTATGACCCTTGGTAAAGGCGGTCTCCCAGTTTCACTCTTTTTGTCCGTCCAGAACCTTTCCTAGGTAGATTCTTTTTTCTTCTCTCTCCTTATTCTTTTTTGTCCTTCTTCAGTCTGGCAGCCCCTGGCTGTGGTTGTGGCTGGCTGAAAAACATACAACTTACCCCTTCCTTTATGCCGGTGCTCAGGAGTTGGAAATGAAAGAGTCAGAGATCTTTGCATTAAAGGGGTCTGGATTTCTTGCTGAGTTCTTACTCCTTGATGATCTGAGTCTTCTCCTAGCATGACCTGGAAAGGTCCTTAATTGCTATTTGTGTCTTTTAAAATTACTGTTTCAAAACAGAGCAGCTGCCAAGGCCTCAAGTTAGAGTGGATTCTATCATCTCTGAAAATGGGATCTGTAATGCCATCTTGAGGTGTTCTGTGGAGGAAGGAGGAGAGACCATCACATATGAGTGGACATCAATGGGACCAGGGGCTGCTGTGTCCCACGTGGGGTCAGTCCTCTATGGCTCCTGAAGCCTTCATGACCTGGATTGGATCTACACTTGCACAGCTCTGAATCCTGTTAGCTACAGCAACTCTACTCTTACCCTTGCTGCACAGCTTTGTGCAAGTAAGAGTCCCCTTCTGGTCTCTCTAGCACCCCTTGGAAATGTTTTGTCTGGTCTCTGTAGCACCCCTAGGAAATGTTTTGGGGTGAGGGCACAGCAGCCCTTGTCACCTGCCAACAACCCTCATTCGACTTACACACATGTGCTCTGTCCTCTCTCATTCTACTTTCTCTCTTTCAGGTTCCAAGGCAGCTGAAGGCACCTATTGCCCAGTGAAATGGATTTTCCTGGGGAACAGGCTTCTTCTCCTTGTGTTCCTTGGTGTCCTACGAACTTGGCATATTCAGGCACAGGTGCTCAGCAAACCCTTGAGGCCTAACTCAGGGTAATAAGAGGCCACCAGTACCCCAGGAGAGCCAGGCTGTGCCCAACTGAGGCCATTACTTTTCTGTGGCTCAACTAAATTACATTTATTGACCCGTACTCTTTTCAAGGTGAAGTACTATGGATTGTCAAAGGCCATTGGGATAAATTTTTTTATTTTGTCATGTCTGAGCCCATGTACATGCTTATTTTTTTTTTTTAAAAGAAGAAGTTTGGTCAAGAAGAGATAAAATAACTGCACGAACACCATATGTTATCTATTCTAAGCATATTTTTTCTCCACAATTTAAGGTTTCTGAAATCAAGATAAGTCATAATATAAATGTATACAGCTAAAAGGAATAGGGTGTTTTTCTCCCAAAATATCATTATTAAAATGATCTGCTTTTTAAAATTCAGTGGTGTCTTCTGTTGATAGAGATGTGAATTAGTACACTATTATGGAAAAACAGTATGAAGGTTCCTAAAAGAATTAAAAATAAAACTACCATTTGATCCAGCAATCCTACTACTGGGCATATATCCAAAGAAAATTACATGTCGAAAGGATATCTGCACTCTTATGTTGATTGCAGCATTATTCACAATAGCCAAGATATGGAAGCAACCTAAGTGTCCATCAGTGGATGAATGGATAAAGAACATGTGGTATATATACACAATGGAACACTATTCAGCTTTTATTTATTTATTGAGATGGAGTCTCACTCTGTTGCTCACACTGGAGTGCAGTGGTATGATCTCAGCTCACTGCAACCTTGCCTCCCGGGTTCAAGCAATTCTCCTGCCTCAGCCACCCGAGTAGCTGGGATTACAGGCACGTGCCACAATGCCCAGCTAATTCTTGTATTTTTAGTGGAGATGAGGTTTCAGCATGTTGGCCAGGCTGGTCCTGGCTCCCGACCTTGGGTGATCTGCCTGCCTCGGCCTCCCAAAGCGCTGAGATTACAGGTGTGAGCCATTGAACCCGGCCAGCTTTTAAAAAGAAGAAAATCTGTCATTTGCAATGGCATAGGTAGACCTGGAAGACCTTATGTTAAGTGAAATAAAACAGGCACAGAAAGATACATACTACATAATCTCACTCATATGTAGAATCTAAAATAGTTAAACTCATAGAAGTAGAGAGTAGAATAGTGGTTACCAGGGGCTGGGGTAGTTGGGTGTGATGTTGGGGACATGTTGGTCAAAGGATACACAATTTCAATTAGGAAGAAGCTCAAAAAATCTATTGTACAATATGGTCACTATAGGTTAATAATATATTTCAACTTAAATAAAAATTTAAAATATCTTAAGAAACAATACAAATCTGTTCAATATTTATTAGAACTAGATAGTTCAAGGGGCAGTTCCAAGATGGCTGAATAGGAACAGCTCCAGTCTACAGCTCCCAGCATGAGCAATGCAGAAGATGAGTGATTTCTGCATTTCCAACTGAGGTACTGGGTTCATCTCACTGGGGACTGTTGAACAGTGGGTGCAGGACAGTGGGTGCAGCGCACCAAGCGTAAACCAAGGAAAGGGGTGACAGACGGCACCTGGAAAATCGGGTCACTCCCACCCTAATACTGCGCTTTTCCGACGGTCTTAGCATATGGCACACTAGGAGATCATATCCCACGCCTGGCTTGGAGGGTCCTACACCCACGGAGCCTCACTCATTGCTAGCACAGCAGTCTGAGATCAAACTGCAAGGCGGCAGTGAGGCTGGGGAAGGGGAACCCACCATTGCTGAGGCTTGAGTAGGTAAACAAAGTGGCAGGGAAGCTTGAACTGTGTGGAGCCCACCAGAGCTCAAGGAGGCCTGCCTGCCTCTGTAGACTCCACCTCTTGGGGCAGGGCATAGCTGAACAAAAGGCAGCAGAAACTTCTGCAGACTTAAATGTCCCTGTCTGACACCTTTGAAGAGCGTAGTGGTTCTCCCAGCACGCAGCTTGAGATCTGAGAACGGACAGACAGCCTCCTCAAGTGGGTCCCCGACCCCCGAGTAGTCTAACTGGGAGGCACCCCCCAGTAGGGGCAGACTGACACCTCACACGCCGGGTACTCCTCTGAGACAAAATTTCCAGAGGAATGATCAGGCAGCAACATTTGCTGTTCACCAATATTCACTGTTCTGCAGCCTCCACTGCTGACACCCAGGCAAACAGTGTCTGGAGTGGACCTCCAGCAAACTCCAACAGACCTGCAGCTGAGGGTCCTGACTGTTAGAAGGAAAACTAACAAACAGAAAGGACATCCACACCAAAACCCCATCTGTACGTCACCATCATCAAAGACCAAAGGTAGATAAAACCACAAAGATGGGGAAAAAAACAGAGCAGAAAAACTGAAAATTCTAAAAATCAGAGCACCTCTCCTTCTCCAAAGGAATGCAGCTCCTCACCAGCAATGGAACAAAGCTGGATGGAGAATGACTTTGATGAGTTGAGAGAAGAAGGCTTCAGACGATCAAACTACTTTGAGCTAAAGGAGGAAGTTCAAACCCATGGCAAAGAAGTTAAAAACCTTGAAAAAAGATTAGATGAATTGCTAACTAGAATAACAAATGCAGAGAAGTCCTTAAAAGACCTGAAGAAGCTGAAAACCACAGCACGAGAACTACGTGACAAATGCACAAGCTTCAGTAGCTGATTCAATCACCTGGAAGAAAGTTTATCAGTGATGGAAGATCAAATGAATGAAATGAAGCAAGAAGAGAAGTTTAGAGAAAAAAGAATAAAAAGAAACGAACAAAGCCTCCAAGAAATATGGGACCATGTGAAAAGACCAAATCTACGTCTGATTGGTGTACCTGAAAGTGACAGGGAGAATGGAACCAAGTTGGAAAACACTCTGCAGGATATTATCCAGGAGAACTTCCCCAACCTAGCAAGGCAGGCCAACATTCAAATTCAGGAAATACAGAGAATGCCACAAAGATACTCCTTGAGAAGAGCAACTCCAAGACACATAATTGTCAGATTCCCCAAAGTTGAAATGAAGGAAAAAATGTTAAGGGCAGCCACAGAGAAAGGTCAGGTTACCCACAAAGGGAAGCCCATCAGACTAACAGCGGATTTCTCGGCAGAAACTCTACAAGCCAGAAGAGAGTGGGGGCCAATATTCAACATGCTTAAAGAAAGGAATTTTCAATGCAGAATTTCATATCCAGCCAAACTAAGCTTCATAAGTGAAGGAGAAATAAAATACTTCACAGACAAGCAAATGCTGAGAGATTTTGTCACCACCAGGCCTGACCTAAAAGAGCTCCTGAAGGAAGCACTAAACATGGAAAGGAACAAGTGGTACCAGCCACTGCAAAAACATGCCAAAATGTAAAGACCAGCAATGCTAGGAGGAAACTGCATCAACTAACGAACAAAATAACCAGCTAACATCATAATGACAGGATCAAATTCACACATAACAATATTAACCTTAAATGTAAATGGGCTAACTACTCCAATTAAAAGACACAGATGGGCAAATTGGATAGAGTCAAGACCCATCAGTGTGCTGTATTCAGGAAACCCATCTCACGTGCAGAGACACACATAGGCTCAAAATAAAGGGATGGAGGAAGATCTACCAAGCAAATGGAAAATAAAAAAAGGCAGGGGTTGCAATCCTAGTCTCTGATAAAACAGACTTTAAACCAACAAAGATCAAAAGAGACAAAGAAGGCCATTACATAATGGTAAAGGGATCAATTCAACAAGAAGAGCTAACTATCCTAAATATATATGCACCCAATACAGGAGCACCCAGATTCATAAAGCAAGTCCTTAGAGACCTACAAAGAGACTTAGACTCCCACACAATAATAATGGGAGACTTTATTTTTATTTATTTATTTATTTTTATTGACACTGAGTCATAGGATGCATAATCTTTATGGGGACATCTATCTGCCTCATGACATGCTTATTATAGATTTCTGTGAATATCTTTTTTTTTTTTTTTTTAGTATTTATTGATCATTCTTGGGTGTTTCTCGGAGAGGGGGATATGGTAGGGTCATAGGATAATAGTGGAGAGAAGGTCAGCAGATAAACACGTGAACAAAGGTCTCTGGCTTTCATAGGCAGAGGTCCCTGCGGCCTTCTGCAGTCTTTGTGTCCCTGGGTACCTGAGATTAGGGAGTGGTGATGACTCTTAAAGAGCATGCCGCCTTCAAGCATCTGTTTAACAAAGCACATCTTGCACCCCCCTTAATCCATTTAACCCTGAGTTGACAAAGCACATCTTTCAGAGAGCACAGGGTTGGGGGTAAGGTTATAGATTAACAGCATCCCAAGGCAGAAGAATATTTCTTAGTACAGAACAAAATGGAGTATCCTATGTCTACTTCTTTCTACACAGACACAGTAACAATCTGATCTCTCTTTCTTTTCCCCACATTTCCCCCTTTTCTTTTTGACAAAACCGCCATCGTCATCATGGCCCGTTCTCGATGGTCGCTGTCTCTTTGGAGCTGTTAGGTACACCTGCAGAAAGGCTGTCACTTCACACTTGGAAGGTTGCACAGTGGCCAGGCAGAGGCGCTCCTCACTTCCCAGACGGGGCGGCCAGGCAGAGGCGCTCCTCACTTCCCAGATGGGGCGGCCGGGCAGAGGCGCTCCTCACATCCCAGACGATGGGCGGCCGGGCAGAGGCGCTCCTCACCTCCCAGACGGGGCTGCCGGGCAGAGGCGCTCCTCACTTCCCAGACAGGGCAGCCGGGCAGAGGTGCTCCTCACTTCCCAGACGGGGCGGCCAGGCAGAGGCGCTCCTCACATCCCAGACGATGGGTGGCTGGGCAATAATGGGAGACTTTAACACCCCACTGTCAACATTAGACAGATCAAGGAGACAGAAAGTTAACAAGGATATCCGGGAATTGAACTCAGCTCTGCACCAAGCAGACCTAATAGACATCTACAGAACTCTCCACCCATTCTCCATCCATACAGAATGTATATCAACAGAATATACATTCTTCTCAGCACCACACAGCACTTATTCCAAAATTGACCACATAGTTGGTAGTAAAGCACTCCTCAGCAAATGTAAAAGAACAGAAATTACAACAAACTGTCTCTTAGACCACAGTGCAATCAAGCTAGGACTCAGGATTAAGAAACTCACTCAAAACCGCTCAACTACATGGAAACTGAACAACCTTCTCCTGAATGACTACTGGGTACATAACGAAATGAAGGCAGAAATAAAGATGTTCTTTGAAACCAAAGAGAACAAAGACACAACATACCAGAATCTCTGGGACACATTCAAAGCAGTGTGTAGAGGGAAATTTATAGCACTAAATGCCCACAAGAGAAAGCAGGAAAGATCTAAAATTGACACCCTAACATCACAATTAAAAGAACTAGAGAAGCAAGAGCAAACACATTCAAAAGCTAGCAGAAGGCAAGAAATAACTAAGATCAGAGCAGAACTGAAGGAAATAGAGACACAAAAAACCCTTCAAAAAATCAATGAATCCAGGAACTGGTTTTTCGAAAAGATCAACAGAATTGATAGACTGCTAGCAAGACTAATAAAGAAGAAAAGAGAGAAGAATCAAATAGATGCAATAGAAAATGATAAAGGGGATATCACCACCAATCCCACAGAAATACAAACTACCATCAGAGAATACTATAAACACCTCTACGCAAATAAACTTGAAAATCTAGAAGAAATGGATAAATTCCTCGACACATACACCCTCCCAAGACTAAACCAGGAAGAAGTTGAATCTCTGAATACACCAATAACAGGCTCTGAAATTGAGGCAATAATTAATAGCCTACCAAACAAAAAATGTCCAGGACCAGAAGCATTCACAGCCGAATTCTACCAGAGGTACAAGAAGGAGCTGGTACCATTCCTTCTGAAAGTATTACAATCAATAGAAAAAGAGGGAATCCTCCCTATCTCATTTTATGAGGCCAGCATCATCCTGATACCAAAGTCAGGCAGAGACACAACAAAAAAAGAGAATTTTAGACCAATATCCCTGATGAACATCGATGCAAAAATCCTCAATAAAATACTGGCAAACCGAATCCAGCAGCACATCAAAGCTTATCCACCATGATCAAGTGGGCTTCATCCCTGGGATGCAAGGCTGATTCAGCATATGCAAATCAATAAACATAATCCAGCATATAAACAGAACCAAAGACAAAAACCACATGATTATCTCAATAGATGCAGAAAAGTCCTTTGACAAAATTCAACAACCTTCATGCGAAAAACTCTCAATAAATTAGGTATTGATGGGACATATCTCAAAATGAAAAGAGCTATCTATGGCAAACCCACAGCAATATCATACTGAATGGGCAAAAACTGGAAGCATTCCCTTTGAAAACTGGCACAAGACAGGGATGCCCTCTCTCACCACTCCTCTTCAACATAGTGTTGGAAGTTCTGGCCAGGGCAATCAGGCAGGAGAAGAAAATAAAGGGTATTCAATTAGGAAAGGAGGAAGTCAAATTGTCCCTGTTGCAGATGACATGATTGTATATCTAGAAAACCCCATCGTCTCAGCCCAAAATCTCCTTAAGCTGATAAGCAACTTCAGCAAAGTCTCAGGATACAAAATCAATGTGCAAAAATCACAACCATTCTTATACACCAACAACAGACAAACAGAGAGCCAAATCATGAGTGAACTCCCATTCACAATTGCTTCAAAGAGAATAAAATACCTAGGAATCCAACTTACAAGGGATGTGAAGGACCTCTTCAAGGAGAACTACAAACCACTGCTCAACGAAATAAAAGAGGATACAAACAAATGGAAGAACATTCCATGCTCATGGATAGGAAGAATCAATATCGTGGAAATGGCCATACTGCCCAAGGTAATTTATAGATTCAATGCCATCCCCATCAAGATACCAATGACTTTCTTCACAGAATTGGAAAAAACTACTTTAAAGTTCATATGGAACCAAAAAAGAGCCCGCATTGCCAAGTCAATCCTAAGCCAAAAGAACAAAGCTGGAGGCATCACACTACCTGACTTCAAACTATACTACAAGCCTACAGTAACCAAAACAGCATGGTACTGGTACCAAAACAGAGATACAGACCAATGGAACAGAACAGAGTCCTCAGAAATAAATAATGCCACATATCTACAACTATCTGATCTTTGACACACCTGACAAAAACAAGAAATGGGGAAAGGATTCCCTATTTAATAAATGGTGCTGGGAAAACTGGCTGGCCATATGTAGAAAGGTGAAACTGGATCTCTTCCTTACACTTTATACAAAAATTAATTCAAGATGGATTAAAGACTTAAATGTTAGACCTAAAACCATAAAAACCCTAGAAGAAAATCTAGGCAATACCATTCAGGACACAGGCATGGGCAAGGACTTCATGTCTAAAACACCAAAAGCAATGGCAACAAAAGCCAAAATTGACTAATGGGATTTAATTAAACTAAAGAGCTTCTGCACAGCAAAAGAAACTACCATCAGAGTGAACAGGCAACCTACAGAATGGGAGAAAATTTTTGCAATCTACTCCTCTAACAAAGGGCTAATATCCAGAATCTACAAAGAACTCAAACAAATTTACAAGAAAAAAGCAAACAACCCCATCAACAAGTGGGCGAAGGATATGAACAGACACTTCTCAAAAGAAGAAATTTATGCAGGCAAAAGACATGAAAAAATGCTCATCATCACTGACCATCAGAGAAATATAAATCAAAACCACAATGAGGTACCATCTCACACCAGTTAGAATGGCAATCATTAAAAAGTCAGGGAACAACAGGTGCTGGAGAGGATGTGGAGAAATAGGAACACTTTTACACTGTTGGTGGGACTGTAAACTAGTTCAACCATTGCGGAAGTCAGTGTGGCGATTCCTCAGGGATCTAGAACTAGAAATACCATTTGACCCAGCCATCCCGTTACTGGGTATATACCCAAAGGATTATAAATCATGCTGCTATAAAGACACATGCACGCGTATGTTTATTGTGGCACTATTCACAATAGCAAAGACTTGGAACCAACCCAAATGTCCAACAATGATAGACTGGATTAAGAAAATGTAGCGCATATGCACCATGGAATACTATGCAGCCATAAAAAAGGATGAGTTCATGTCCTTTGTAGGGACATGGATGAAGCTGGAAACCATCATTCTCAGCAAACTATCGCAAGGACAAAAAACCAAACACCACATGTTCTCACTCATAGGTGGGAATCGAACAATGAGAACACATGGACACAGGAAGGGGAGCATCACACACTGGGTCCTGTTGTGGGGTGGGAGGAAGGAGGAGGGATAGCATTAGGAGATATACCTAATGTAAATGACGAGTTAATAGGTGCAGCACACCAACATGGCACATGTATACATATGTAACAAACCTGCACGTTGTGCATATGTACCCTAAAACTTAAAAGTATAATAATAATAAAAAAGAACTAGATAGTTGAGACTATTTCATAAAATAGCATTTAACTGCTTTGAAAAGGCAATAAGTAGCCCCAATAGGTGCGAAAATATTCAGAATCTGCTAATCCCATCCTAGCATTAGGAAATTCATCAAAATTAAAATTTTCATCATAAATATCAAGTGAAGGCCAGGTGTGGCAGCTCATGCCTGTAATCCCAACATTTTGGGAGGCCGAGGCAGGCAGATCACCTGAGGTTGGGGGTTCAAGACCAGCCTGGCCAACATGGCGAGACCCCATCACTACTAAAAATACAAAAATTAGCTGGGCATGGTGGTACACACCTGTGATCCCAGCTACTCGGGAGGCTGAGGCACAAGAATCGCTTGAACCTGGAAGACAGAGGTTGCAGTGAGCTGATATCGTGCCACTGCACTCCAGCCTGGGCAATAGAGTGAGATTCCATCTCAAAAAAAAAAAAAGAAAAGAAATATCAGGTCAATATAGTCAATATTAAAATTTTTTTTTAGTTTATTGCAAAGAGATCTGTAGGTAGGAAGCAAGATGAAGTACCTTAATACTTTCTTACTAGCTGGTGAAGGTGGGCTACATGTACAATTGAAGATAAATAATATTCTGGGTGGAGTGGCTCACGCCTATAATCCCAGCACTTTGGGAGGCTGAGGCAAGTGCATCACTTGACCTCAAGAGTTTGAGACCAGCCTGGGCAACATGGTGAAACCTTGTCTCTACAAAAAAATACAAAAATTAGCTGGGTGTGGTGGTATGCACCTGTAGTCCCAGATACTTGGGAGGCTCACTTAAGCCCAAGAGGTCGAGGCTGCAGTAAGCTGTGATCGTACCAGTGCACTCCAGCCTGGGTGACAGAGTAAGACCCTATCTCAAAAAAATAAAAATAATAAATAATAAAGTACATGAAATCACAGAGAGTAGTTATCACAATGATGGAATATATCGTGTAAAAATAATCTAACAAATATAATTTCTTATAAGAAATATTGTGCGTGAATAGCCTTGAGATTAAGGAGACATAATACCGTCACATAAAGATATCTCAAGGAAACTTCTGGTAACCAAAATTTGCCAAAACACATTTCCTTCATAACAAAATAATAGTACGTATAAATGTGATAATAAAGGATTTAACCCTCATTTGCTTAATGTTTACATTCTTACTGCCTCCAAGGGGATGATCTTGTAATTACGTCCCCATGTTCATCCTTATATAACAAGATGTAATGACCAGCTCAGTGCTTTGTCAATCTCAAAACACAATAACAGGACTTTTCCCGGTTCCTTATTAAGTTGTTAAATTACATTTTTTGACTCTGGCTTTTGTTACAAAACTGAATTAGGAAATATAGGGCTCCTAATTTTGTTTCCCCTATAGCCTGAGGATGTTTTGCCATATATGAATCACTGCAAATTTGAAAACGTGATTTTTTTTTCTTTTTTTTAAATTATACTTTAAGTTCTAGGGTACATGTGCACAACGTGCAGGTCTGTTACATATGTATGCTTGTGCCAGAAAACATGACTTTTAGGCAAGTGTATTATTAGGCAAATTGCTTGCCATTAAATTTTCATTGTAATTTTCTATGTAAATTTTCATAGTCTTCTCAACAAATGATGCTTGATCAATTGGATATAAATATGTCAAAAAACTTTGATCAATTTCCTATACAATATTGTAAAATTAACTCAAAATGAATTATAGGCATAAAAGTAAAATCAGAAAGCATAAGACTTCTAGAGAAAAACAGGAAAAATTATTTGTGATCTTGGGTTAGGCAAGAATTTTGCGGATAATAACAAAAGCACAATCCATAAAAGAAAAATTTGAGCTTCTGCTCTTTTTTTTGAGACGGGAGTCTCGCTCTGTCGCCCAGGCTGGAGTGCAGTGACGTGATCTCGGCTCACTGCAAGCTCCGCCTCCCAGGTTCACGCCATTCTCCTGCCTCAGCCTCCCGAATAGCTGGGACTACAAGGCGCCCGCCACCACGCCTGGCTAATTTTTTTTGTATTTTTAGTACAGACGGGGTTTTACTGTGTTAACCAGGATGGTTTCGATCTCCTGACCTCGTGATCCGCCCGCCTCAGCCTCCCAAAGTGCTGGGATTACAGGCGTGAGCCACCGCGCGCGCGGCCAGGCTTCTGGTTTTTGAAAGAGAATGAAAAGACAAACCACAGACTAGGAGGAAATATTTACAAATCCTATCTCATAAAGTACTTGTATCCAGATTATATAAAGAACACCCAAAGATGCTGTTAATCTATAACCTTACCCCCAACCCCGTGCTCTCTGAAACATGTGTTGTGTCCACTCAGGGTTAAATGGATTAAGGGCGGTGCAAGATGTGCTTTGTTAAACAGATGCTTGAAGGCAGCACGCTCGTTAAGAGTCATCACCACTCCCTAATCTCAAGTACCCAGGGACACAAAGACTGCGGAAGGAAGGCCGCAGGGACCTCTGCCTAGGAAAACCAGAGACCTTTGTTCACGGGTTTATCTGCTGACCTTCTCTCCACTATTATCCTATGACCCTGCCACATGCCCCTCTCCGAGAAACACCCAAGAATGATCAATAAATACTAAAAAAAAAAAAAATAGCTGGGCATGGTGGCGGGTGCCTGTAGTCCCAGGTGTGAACCCGGGAGGTGGAGCTTGCAGTGAGCCGAGATCGTGCCACTGCACTCCAGCCTGGGTGACAGAGCGAGACTCTCAAAAAAAAAAAAAGAAGAAGAACTCAATGGATGTTTGCTATGTCTCTCTTCTCTAAGCTATACCATATTTAGGATCTTTTAATTACAGTGAGGCAAAGCATACAATAAAATGGCCTGGTGTGGCGCTCACACCTGTAATCTCAGCACTTTGGGAGGCTGAGGCAGGAGGATTGCTTGCAGC
The DNA here is from genome assembly GCF_000001405.40 of Homo sapiens. Lineage (NCBI taxonomy): Eukaryota > Metazoa > Chordata > Mammalia > Primates > Hominidae > Homo > Homo sapiens. The sequence goes on from NC_000001.11 coordinate 162,458,217, forward strand.
CAGGAGTTTGGGACCACACTCTCTACAAAAAATAAAAATAAAGAAATAAACACCAAAAAAAAAAAAAAAAAAAAACACCCAAAACTCAATTTTAAAAAGACAAGCAATTAAAAAGTGGGCAAAATATTTGAATAGGGATGTCAGAGAAGTGGTTTTCATGCGCGTTTGCCTAATGACTAATGTGTTGAACGACTTTTCACGTGCTGGCAAATAAGCACATGAAATGCACATGAAAACCAGATGAGACACCACTCCATACATATGATAATGTCTAAAATTACGGTGAGCAGACCAACTATTTGGTGATGGTGTGGAGGAACTGGAGCACTCATATACTGCTGGTAGAAATACAAAATGGTACAACTGCTTGGAAAAACATTTTAGATATTTCTTAAAAAGTAACACATATAACATGATTTAGCCATTCCACTTGTAGGTATTTACACAAGAGAACTGAAAACATATGCCTATACAAAGAGTTATGTGGAAATATTCATAGCACTTTTTATTTGTAATAGCCTCAAAGTGGAAACCACCTAAATGCCCATCAACAGATGAATGATTAAACTGTGGCACATTCATCTGATAGAATACTGCTCATAAACTAAAAGGAAGAAACCATGGACATATGCAAAAACATAGATGTACCTCAAAACTATTCTGAGTGAAATAAACCAGACAAAAAATGAACATGAATTTAATTATTTTATTTATTTATTTATTTTTATTTTTATTTTTATTTTTTGAGACGGAGTCTCTCTCTGTCGCCCAGGCTGGAGTGCGGTGGCTCACTCGGCTCACTGCAAGCTCTGCCTCCTGGGTTCATGCCATTCTCCTGCCTCGGCCTCCTGAGTAGCTGGGACTACAGGCGCCTGCCACAACACCCGGCTAATTTTTTTTTTTTGTATTGTTAGTGAGATGGGGTTTCACCGTGTTAGCCAGGATGGTCTCGATCTCCTGATCTCATGATCTGCCTGCCTTGGCCTCCCAAAGTGCTGGGATTACAGGTGTGAGCCACCAAGCCCTGCCTTAATGATTTAATTTATATAATGTTTTGAAAATGCAAACTAATCTATCATGATAGAAAGCAGATTAGTGGTTGTCTGGGAATGAGGGGGTTGAGAGTGGGAAGGAGGAAAGATTCCACTAGGGCATAGGGAAGCTTAGGAGTGATGGGTATGTTTAGATTCTCGTTCCTAATGATGGTTTCACAGGTGAAAACCTGTGAAAACTTAATCATTGTACACTTTCCACAGGGGTAGTCTACAACATGTCAGTTGTACCCCAATAAAGCTGTAAAGGAATGGAAAGAGCATCAGTGACCCACAGAGAAATCTCAAGGAGTCTAATATGTGTATTTGGAGTCCCCTAAGGTGAAGAGAGTGGAAAGACATAAAACAATATTTGAAGAAATAATGACCAAAATTTTCCTAATTTGATGAAAACTATAAATCTACAGGTCCAAGAAGCCCAATGAAACTCAAGCCAGATACACAAACACACACACACACACACACACACACACACACACACACACACAAAGACACACACTAAGGCATGCCATCACCTATAAGACTGCATAAAGTAGCCATAAAAATTTTACAAGAATACACGTCTGTAATCTCAACACTTTGGGAGATGGAGGTAGGTGGATTGTTTGAGCCCAGGAGTTGGAGAACAGCCGGGGCAACATGGCAAAACCCCGTCCCCGTCTCTACAAAAAAATTTTTTTTAAAAATTAGCTGAGCATGGTAACACACGCCTGTAGTCCCAGCTACTAGAGAGGCTGAGGTGGAAGGATCACCTGAGCCCAGGAGGTCGAGGCTGTAGTGAGCCGTGATTGTGCCATTGCACTCCAGGGCAACAGAGCAAGACCCTGTTTCAAAAAACTCCCACAATTTTTACAAATAAACAGATATGTAAGGTGTATGTGGAGGACGAGAGGAGAATGGGAGTGGGAAAGATGGATGAATAAAATGAAAAAGAGGCTTTTGGTGGATCAGTGAAGATAATGTGCCACAGAAGGTGTTTAATGAATTAACTTGACCCTCTGTGGCTGAGGCCAAAATATCGACATAAGCAGGAATTTGGAGTAAAGGTTCAAACAGAAGAAATATTATGAAATAGCTAATGCTTTGATAGCAATTACAACATGTAAGGAACTGTTATAAGTGGCTTGCACATATTAACTCACTGAATGTACACAATGCTATAGTGTAGGAGTTCTTATTACCATCATCCCTGTGCTTGGTTTTTTGTTTGTTTTTGTTTTTTTGAGAGGGAGTCTTGCTCTGTCACCCAGGCTGTAGTGCAGTGGTGCAATCTCAGCTCACTGCAACCTCCGCCTTCCGAATTCAAGTGATTCTCCTGCCTCAGCCTCCTGAGTAGCTGGGATTACAGGCACGCGCCACCAAGCCCAGCTAATTTTCGTATTTTTAGTAGAGATGGGGGTTTCACCATGTTGGTCAGGCTGGTCTCAAACCCCTGACCTTGTGATCTGCCCGCCTCAGCCTCCCAAAGTGATGGGATTACAGGCGTGAGCCACCGTGCTCGGCACATCTTCCCTGTTTTAAAGATAGGGACAGGGCCGGGCGCGGTGTCTCACGCCTGTAATCCCAGCACTTTGGGAGGCCGAGGCGGGCGGATCACGAGGTCAGGAGATCGAGACCATCCTGGCTAACATGGTGAAACCCCGTCTCTACTAAAAATACAAAAAATTAGCTGGGCCTAGTGGCGGGCGCCTGTAGTCCCAGCTACTTGGGAGGCTGAGGCAGGAGAATGGGGTGAATCCGGGAGGCGGAGCTTGCAGTGAGCGAAGATTGTGCCACTGCACTCCAGCCCCGGCGACAGAGCGAGACTCCGTCTCAAAAAAAACAAAACCAAAAAAAAAAAAAGAAAGAAAAAGATAGGGACAGTTGGCCGGGCTCAGTGGCCCACGCCTGTAATCTCAGCACTTTGGGAGGCCAAGGTGGGCAGATCATGAGGTCGGGAGATCGAGACCATCCTGGCTAACACGGTGAAACCCCGTCTCTACTAAAAATACAAAAAAAATTGGCTGGGTGTGGTGGCGGACGCCTGTAGTCCTAGGTACTCGGGAGGCTGAGGCAGGAGAATATAGCGTGAACCCAGGAGGCGGAGCTTACAGTGAGCCGAGATTGCACCACTGCACTCCAGCCTGGGCGACAGAGCGAGACTCCGTCTCAAAAAAATAAAAATAAATAAATAAATAAAATAGTAATAAAATAAAGATAGGGACACTGAGGCACCAGCAGAGTAAATAATTTTCCCAAGATGCACAATTAATAAATGGTAGAACCAGGATTTGGATCCAGATGAACTGTTTCTAGAGTCTAATTTCCTCAGCTACTATACAATATAGGTTTGCAAGAATTTCCAGGAATAACAAAACGATGGGATTTTAAGCCCATTTTATCCAAATCTTTAATGACAAGGTAACTCAACAAGTAGAAGAAATTAGGAACATGCCAAGAAACTGGCACATGTGTATTGTGTGTGTAGAGCACTGTTTTCTTGAGTGCAGCAGATATCAAGATAAAAAGGCTACAGTTGAAAGGGCACGGTGGTTCATTCCTGAAATCCGAGCACTTTGGGAGGCCAAGGTGGGTGGATCGCTTGAGGTCAGGAGCTCAAGACCAGCCTGGCCAACATGGTGAAACCTGTCTCTACTAAAAATATAAAAATTAGCCAGGTGTGATGGCGTACATCTGTAATCCCAGCTACTCAGGAGGGTGAGGCGGGAGAATTGCTTGAACCCAGGAGGCAAAGGTTGCAGTGAGTCATGGTTGCACCACTGCACTCCAGCCTGGGTGACAGAGTGAGACTCTGTCTCAAAAAAAAAAAATCATCAAAAAAAACCCCTCATAATAAAGAAGAGGGTACAGACTGAGCTGCCTCATGAAAGGGATGGGGCTGTACGGTTGGTATCAGGAAGGGATCACAGGTACAAAATACTACATCTAGTTTGGGAGAGTAGAAAATACTTTGCAAGAGAGGCATTTGAGATTGATATTGAAAGATGGGAGGAGACTGAGTAGGTCAGAGAAGGATTTTAGATAATAGGGTAATATAATTATCATTTATGGAGTGTCTCTTATGTTCCAGGTACTATATATCACTGAATACCCCTAACAACTGTAGGGGGTAGGCATGGTTACTCCCATTATTCAGATGAAGAAGCAAGCCATTATTATTTTCCCTGATCTTATTCTCTCTCTGAATGTTACCACTATACAAGTAGTCTTCCAAAATAGAAAACTGGAGATTATTAAAATTTGTTCTCATTCATCCCTATAGCCAATGACTAAATCATGTTCTTTTCATTACCTAAATAGTCTTATATCCATTCCTTCTCACCCATCCCTATGGTATAGTTTGTTTAATTTTATTTATTTATTTATTTATTTATTTATTTATTTATTTATTTTTGAGATGGAGTCTCACTCTGTTGCCCAGGCTGGAGTGCAGTGGCACAATCTTGGCTCACTGGAAACTCCGCCTCCTGGGTTCAAGTGATTCTCCTGCCTCAGCCTTCTGAGTAGCTGGGATTATTGGCGTGCACCACCACACCCAGTTAATTTTTGTGTTTTTAGTAGAGGTGAGGTTTTACCATGTTAGCCAGGCTGGTCTCGAACTCCTGACCTCAAATGATTCTCCCACCTCAGCCTCCCAAAGTGTTGGGATTACAGGTGTGAGTCACCACACCCGGCCCCTATGGTATCGTTTAAATGCATGGTCTACTCATCTTTTTTGAATAATTCAATCACCTTTTGGCTAAGCCCTATCTCTAGTTTTATCCCCTCCCAATTCACCAGAATGATCTTTGTGAAATAAAAACTGATATCTATTTCCTTACTGGGATGTATGAGTTAGGGTTGTTCATGTTTCACATAATAGAAATCTTATCTCAAACCTATTCAGTAAGGAAACTCAACCAGAAAACTTCTTGGCTCATGTCATGGGAAGTTCAGAGAGAAGGTAGTGTTTGTTTAATCTAGGCTCCAGCACCATTTCCCTGCAATTCTCTCATGTCTGTCTCTCCACTATCAGTTTCGTTCTTCAGGCTAGTTGAAAGGTATCCACAGTAGTTTTGGCACTCACACTTATAGTATGATGTCCAGTGAGAGAGGAAAAACTGCCCCTTCTTGTGTTTCAGTCTTGGGAGTGAAAAAACTTTATCTGGAAACTGTCAGAAAACTTAAATTGTATTAGCTCATATTTCACCATATGTACAATTTCTGACCCTATCTCTCTGGTTAAGGGAATGCCATCCAGGGATGGGTTCAGGTCTGAGATCCTGAGCCAATCACTAACAAGGAGCATGGGATTATTAAAGTAGCTTATTCAGAATATGCTCCCAGAGCTGGGGGTTCAATCTTCCATACCACTTGGATGTTACACAACAGAAGTGGGTAAAATTGATGTTGAGTAGAAAATCATGGGGTCACTACATGGATAAGGTCCAAACTCTTTTGCCCAACTGACAAAGCCCTTTGAGTTTTGTCCTCTGCTTACCTCTCAGGACTCATTCCCTGCCATTCTTCTTTGCACACTTAAAATTGAGCCATATTGAACTACCTGTACTTCCTGAAAAAGAACATGCTTTTCCAGATGACCATACTTTTCATATATCTAGATCTACATTTGCATCTTTGCATACTTTCTACTTCCCGGAATGCCAGCCCCCTTTGACTAACTGATAAACACATCTTTCAACATGAAACTCAAGTGTCCTTTCCTATATGAAGCCTTCCTCGATCTCTTGGACAAGTTTAACCAATGAATCCTTTGTGCCATTGGTTACCTAGTTCACACTTCAAATATCTTTTCTTTCTTTCTTTCTTTCTTTTTTTTTTTGAGACAGGGTCTTCTTGCTCTGTCTTCTGGGCTGGAGTGCAGTGGCACTGTCATGGCTCACTGGAGCCTTGACCTCCTGGCTCAAGCAATCCTCCCACCTCAGCCTCCTAAGTAACTGGGATTATAGGCACACACCACCATGCCCAGCTAATTTTTTAGTTTTGTAAAGATGAATTCTTGCTATGTTACCTGGGCTGGTCTCAAACTCCTGGACCCAAGCTATCTGGCTGCCTCAGCCTCCCAGTGTTGGGATTATAGGCGTGAGCCACAGTGCCTGGCCCACACTTCAAATATTGTAGTTATCTCACTGATGCACAATTATTTGTTTTTGTTTTTGTTTTGGTCTCCTCAACTAGATTGCAAGCTTTTTAAGGACAGGTACTATATCTTCTGTCTTTTTCTACTGCCTAGTAGAGTTTCTAGCACATTCCAAATACTCATAAATATCTCTTGAATGAATGAAGCATGCCCTCAGCATCATTGTTTCCCCTCCTCCTTTAGGTTCCCCTTGCTTAGTCTCACCAGCCCTGGCCAGTCTCCCCAGTGCTACTTTGTTGGTGCCCAGATCTTGTCATTATCAGGCTTAGGTGTAAGATAAGACCTGTATTGGGTCTTACACCTAGGAGCTGTTACCTCTCTAGTAAGCTAACTCACCAGGTGAACAAATACACTTATATGTGGTAACACTAAAAAGCTGGGAGACCGCCTCCCAGATTTGTGCTTGTTACTTCTTTCACCACATCCCTCAGTGATATGCCTCTGTCTCTTTGTGTCTCTGATAGGCAAGAGAACAGGCTGCAAGACAGATTTAGGTCCCTCCGATATCTGGATTACTGGAATAGCCTCCTATTGTCTCTCTGCTTATAGTTTTGCTCTTTTTCCATCTATTCTCAACATAACCATCAAAGAGATCTTTTAACAGTTTAGTCAGGCAGGGTGCAGTGGTTCACACCTGTAATCCCAGCACTTTGGGAGGCCAAAGTGGGAGGATCACTTGAGCCCAGAAGTTCAAGACCAGCCTGAGCAATATGATGAAACCTCGTCTATACAGAAGATACAGAAATCATCTGGGCATGGTTGTGCACACCTTTAGTCCCAGCTACTTGGGAGGCTGAGGTGGCAGGATCGCTTGAGCTCTGGAGGTGGATGCTGCAGTAAGCTGAGATCACACCACTGCACTTCAGCCTGGGTGGCAGAGACCCTTTCTAAAAAAAAAAAAAAAAAAAAAGTTTAATCAGACCTTGTTTTTCCTTTGCTCAAAACCCTGCAAACCTCAACCTCTCCCTCTCCCTCTCCCTCTCCCTCTCCCTCTCCGTCTCCCCACGGTCTCCCTCTCTTTCCACGGTCTCCCTCTGATGCCGAGCCGAAGCTGGACTGTACTGCTGCCATCTCGGCTCACTGCAACCTCCCTGCCTGATTCTCCTGCCTCGGCCTGCCGAGTGCCTGCGATTGCAGGCGCGCGCCGCCACGCCTGACTGGTTTTCGTACTTTTTTGGTGGAGACGGGGTTTCGCTGTGTTGGCCAGGCTGGTCTCCAGCTCCTAACCGCGAGTGATCCGCCAGCCTCGGCCTCCCGAGGTGCCGGGGTTGCAGACAGAGTCTGGTTCACTCAGTGCTCAATGGTGCCCAGGCTGGAGTGCAGTGGCGTGATCTCGGCTCGCTACAACCTCCACCTCCCAGCCGCCTGCCTTGGCCTCCCAAAGTGCCGAGATTGCAGCCTCTGCCCAGCTGCCACCCCGTCTGGGAAGTGAGGAGCGTCTCTGCCTGGCCGCCCATCGTCTGGGACGTGAGGAGCCCCTCTGCCTGGCTGCCCAGTCTGGAAAGTGAGGAGCGTCTCTGCCCGGCCGCCATCCCATCTAGGAAGTGAGGAGCGCCTCTTCCCGGCCGCCATCCCATCTAGGAAGTGAGGAGCGTCTGTGCCCGGCCGCCCATCGTCTGAGATGTGGGGAGCGCCTCTGCCCCGCCGCCCCGTCTGGGATGTGAGGAGCGCCTCTACCCCGCCGCAACCCCGTCTGGGAGGTGAGGGGCGCCTCTGCCCGGCCGCCCCTACTGGGAAGTGAGGAGCCCCTCTGCCCGGCCAGCCACCCCGTCCGGGAGGGAGGTGGGGGGGTCAGCCCCCCGCCCGGCCAGCCGCCCCGTCCGGGAGGTGAGGGGCGCCTCTGCCTGGCTGCCCCTACTGGGAAGTGAGGAGCCCCTCTGCCCGGCCACCACCCCGTCTGGGAGGTGTGCCCAGCAGCTCATTGAGAACGGGCCATGATGACAATGGCGGTTTTGTGGAGTAGAAAGGGGGGAAAGGTGGGGAAAGGATTGAGAAATCGGATGGTTGCCGTGTCTGTGTGGAGAGAGGTAGACATGGGAGACTTTTTGTTTTGCTCTGTACTAAGAAAAATTCTTATCCTGTTGATCTGTGACCTTGCCCCCAACCCTGTGCTCTCTGAAACATGTGCTGTGTCCACTCAGGGTTAAATGGATTAAGGGCGGTGCAAGATGTGCTTTGTTAAACAGATGCTTGAAGGCAGCATGCTCCTTAAGAGTCATCACCACTCCCTAATCTCAAGTACCCAGGGACACAAACACTGCGGAAGGCCGCAGGGTCCTCTGCCTAGGAAAACCAGAGACCTTTGTTCACTTGTTTATCTGCTGACCTTCCCTCCACTATTGTCCTATGACCCTGACAAATCCCCCTCTGCGAGAAACACCCAAGAATGAACAATAAAAAAATAAATAAATAAAAATAAAAACAAACAAACAAACAAACAAACAAAAAAACCCCTGCAAACCATTTCCCCTTTCACTTACAGTAAAAGTCAAATGCTCTACTAGGCTACGAAGCCCTGATGATCTGTTCCACTGCCCCGCTCCTCTCTGGCCTCATCTCCTACCCTCCCTCTTGCTCACTCAGCCTCAGCCACCCTGGCTGCCCAGTCCCTCTTAAGCACACTTGGCGTGCCTCAGAAACTAAGCCTTCACACTGGCTGTTCTTGCTGCAGGATGGCTCCTTCTGCAGATTCACATAGCTAATTCTCTCACCTCCTTTAAGTCTTTGTTTAAATGCTGTCATCTCAATGAGTCCTGCCTAGACTGCTCCTCTGAAAATTGTAGCTCCCCTCACCCCACCTTCAGGCACTCTTGGTTTCCCTTACTCTGCTTTTTAAAATTAAAACATAATGTTTTATTAATGCACTTATAACTTTTGTACCTACTATATAATTTACTAACCTATTAAGAGTATTGTTTTTGTCTGAATTCTCTGGGTAGAACATAAGCTGAACGAAGTCAAGGACCTTAATTCTGTTCACTGATGTATCTCAAGTTCCTGGAACGGTGTCTGTTCTATGGACTCACCAAAAATACCTGTGAAATGAATGAATGAATAAATGAATGAATGAATTATGACACCTTTAAATTATGAATTTATGAATGAATGTTCAATTCATTCATTCATTATGAAATGAATGAATGAATGATGACAGCTTTAAATATGCAGGTGGTTCTTTTGAGAACAAAAGAGACACGGATTTGCATAATTCAAGGATAGAGTACATTTCTGATACTTACAATGGGGAGTCAGATACTTATAATGGGGAGTTATGTTTACAGAAAAGCTCAAAGAAAAAAAAAATCCTGTATCTTTTTACCCAATTTTATCACAAGCTTATGAAATGTAGCTATTGAGCAGTGTTAGAATAGACATATGTTGTAATCATGGCTGTTAAGTATAAAATTATCTGAAATGAGAAAGAATATTCTGCCAAACCATTTACATATATTCTACACTCGCTGCATCCTCTTTAACACTTTAGAATCCAGATTCTATCTTTTTAACTGTTTCTAATAACAGTATTTGTGCATATTTATACTTGGTCTGCTTCCAGCCTTTTTTTTTTTTTTTTTTTTTAGCTCCCCAAGGCATCTGATAAAAACCTCTAGTTTAAGAATCACTTATTTAAGACAAGAACTCTATCTTAACACAATTTTTTTGTCCCTAGCACCTAACACACAATATGTACAGAGCAGGCATTCAGTAAATGCTAACTGAATGCAGGAGAGGAGTCTCACCATCCTCTAGGACATTTTCTGCATTATACCGCAAGAGTTACTCTTCAACATAATAGAGGTGTTTGGCTTTAGCATTCTTGAATGGTATCAACTCCAAATACATAAACTGTGAAACTTAAATATGTACATTGTGAAAATCAAATTTTTATCAAGATATGAAACACTACCATTATCCTTAAAATTTATTTGTGTCTCATCCCAGTCCATTTCTGCCCCAACCCGACCAGAGACAAACACATTTATGATTTTTCTCACCGTAAATTAGTTTTGACCTTTGGAAAATGTCCTATAAGTGGAATCATAAGGTAAGTAATCTGTGTAAGTCTTTTGCTCAGTATAATTTTGCCAGTTATTTTGTTTAAGATATTTGGAATTATGCTCATGAGTGAGACAGGTCTATACATTTCCTTTCTTGAACTATCCTGGTTTTGTATCAAGATTATGACTTATGTCCCCATGTTGCTCTCTTCCTTTTGTTTAATAGCTAATACAATGACTGGCACTTAGTAAGTACAGAAGAATATGAATAAACAAATGAATAAACAGAGCTATAATAATTACATAATTGTCTTGTTATAACAAGCGCCTAGTCTTTGTCAAATTCTATGGTGGTTCAAATGAAAATATCAATACCTTCAAAGTTAACACTGGAAAATTAATTTTGACCAGATCCCAATGATGAATTTGTTAATTATGATAATGTAATAGTATTTTAATAATAATAAACCATTGTTGTTACTTACTGTGGCTTACACTAATAATTGCCACCCAATATCCACCTTCCTTACTAATTAACACCTTCCTTACTAATAGAATCCTTATTTTAAGACAATGATGTGCACAAAGAAAAAGAACTTCACACACCTAGCCTCTCTTGCAGCTAGGGGTGGCCACACTACACAGGTCTGGTCAATAAGACCTTGATACGTAATTGCCAGGGAATTGCTGGGAAGTTGCTTGTCTCCCATAGACATTGCATCTTCTTCCCTGTCATTTCCTTATTCATGTATGGAATACAAACATAAATTGAAGATGAATTAGCTATGTTGTACCCGTGAAGCAACTGAGACAATGAAAACCAGGTGCTAATACAGATGCTCCTTGGTTTACGTCCCAATAAATCCATCGTAAGTTGAAAACATCGGAAGTCAAAAATGCATCAGGGTGGGCACAGTGGCTTACGCCTGTAATCCCAGCACTTTAGGAGGCTGAAGCAGGAGAATTGTTTGGTCCCAGGAGTTTGACACCAGCTTGGGAAACACAGTGAGATGCCATCTCTCAGAAAAAAATTAATGTAGTACACCTAACCTACAGAACACCATAGCTTAGCCTAGCGTACCTTAAACGCACTGAGAACACTAATGTTAGCCTAGAGTTGGACAAAACCATCTAACACAAAGCCTATTATATAAAAAAGTTTTGAATATCTTATGTAATTTATTGACTACTGTACTGTAAGTGAAAACACAATGGCTGATGAGTACTTGATATACAATTTCTACTGATGCATACCATCATGAAGTCCAAAATTTTTAAGTCCAGCCATCAGAAGTTAGGGTCAGTCTATATGTTAATTGGGCTATAGGCTAATCGGCTGTGACAAAGAGACTGAAAGTACAGTGTCTTAGATAAGAGAGTTTATTTCTCTGTCTCTAGAGTTTGCAATTCAGGCCTCTGCCATTCACGATGTGGCTTCCATCTCTGTGATGAATGCATTTTCTTCACCTTCAACATTTCATGGCCTTTGGGAAGGTGGGTAGAGACCAAGAAAGCACACACCTGGTTCTGATGATGTTAAGACCCACAGGGGTACACATTATTTCCATTCATACCCCATTAGCTTCTACTTAGTCACATGACCTCACCGAGCTGAGAGAGAGGCCAGGAAATCCAGGCAAAATTCTATTAGTAACAGAAGAACAAGAGAATGGATGCAGAGGGACAGAAACAGGTCTACCTCACTAATACTGGCACAGCAGAAAGGCAGAAGGCTCCTGGGTCCCTAATGGCATAAAAGAAGTCCATTCTGGCTTTCTACTGCCTTCCCCCAGCCTTCTTGTTCCATGAGAAAAATAAATCTCTGTTTGATTAAGCCTCTGTTACTATTCTTGTTTTTTATAAGATGTACTGTTTATTTGTTGTAGCAGAATTGTTTTTTATTTTTGGTAAACTATGCATAACATATAGTTTACCATGAAAGCCATTTTTAGTTGCACAAGTAGATAATGTTAAGTACATTCACATTGTTGTGCAACCATTACCACCAACCATCTCTGGAACTCTTCTTATCTCGCAAAATTGAAACTCTATACTCCTTAAAAAACTCCCCAGTCTCTCCTTTCCCCAGCCCCTGGCAGCCACCATTCTACTTTCTGTCTCAATGAATTCGATTACTCTAGGTACCTTATGTAAGTGGAATCACACAGCTTTTGTCTTTTTGTGATGGGCTCATTTTACTTAGTATTATGTCTTCAAGGTTCATTCATGTTGGAGCACGTCAGAATTTTCTTCCTTGTGAAGGCTGAATAAAACTGCGTTATGTGTATACACCGCCTTTTTTTTATCCATTCATCCACTGATGGACACTTGGGTTGCTTCCACCTTTTTGAACATTGTGCATAATGCTGCTATTAACATGGGTATACAATGGGTACACAAACACTGCTTTGGGACCCTGCTTTACATTCTTTGGGAGTATATAACCAGAAGTGAAATTGCTAAAACATGATAATTCTATTTTTAACTTTTTGAGGAACCACATTCTGGTTTTCACAGCAAGTGGGCCATTTTACATTCCCACCAAGAGTGCACAAGGATTCCAATTTCTCACAAACACTTGTTCTTTTTTTTTTTCTTTCTCTTTTTTTATGGTGGTCATCCTAATGGATGTGAGATAGTTAAGCCTCTGTTATTTGGATTCTCTCTTACATGAACCCAAATGCAGTTTCTGACTCATATGCCGTACAACATTGTGTAGATATCACTAGATTTAATCTCCAAAATCCTAAGGCAACTACTATTATCCCCATTTTTCAGACAGAGAAACAGGGGGTTCAGTGACTTCCTTAAGGTTACACAGTTAGTAGAAAAACCAGGATTTGAAATTAGCTCTGAATATTTTTTGGAGGCCCTATTTTTAACAATTCTAATTGCCTCCCTGCTTTTTGTCTGGATTACTTTGTGATTATTTACTACATAAACTATTCGGTTCACTATTCTGCCTCGTTGCTGCAATGTAAAGAGTTGGTGAATGAAGAGGTGAGGTGGGCAGGGGAGCTGTGGAAGCATGTGGGAGAAAAAAGTTGTGGTCTTGGTTCTGCCTCTAACTCGTCTGAACCAGTCTTTCTGAGCTTCTGTTTCCTCATCCGCAAAACAAAGGAGTTTGATTAGATGATCTCCATGGTTCCCTCCAGCTTAACATCACTGATAGTTGCACTTCAAGGGGGATGGGAGTGCTAACGGGAGGGAAGACAAAACGAGAAAGTACTTGACTGAGGATAATTATTGGGGGCAATGAGAGTGAAAGTGAAGAACAGATAATTCAGTCAATGAAGCAGTGAAATAGGTAAAAGGGAGAAAGCCACACCTGGGAAAATCATCAGGTATGTCAAAATGTGTTGTGGGTCTCTTGTTTGATAATAAAAGAAGAGAGTGTTTGGAATTAAAGAAATTGAAAAACACACAAAGATTGATCCCATAGGTTCTGGAAGAATTATTTGATATTTAAAATCAGAGTCCTGGACATTCTTAAAGTTTGACATTTCTAGTTCTAGTCAATTCAGTTTGTGTTTTACCAGTCCTATTAGCTTAACATTCTTATTTTTTTTTCATTCTATTTACTTAAAATAAGGTATCTTGATTATTCCTCCATATTAATGGATTTCAAGTGATCCCCCTCATCAATGTAGATATGTACCTGAAATATCCTAAGCCCATGGCTGTCCACATTTCTTGTATTAAGAGAAGCCTGCTGGCCAGGTGCAGTGGCTCTCACCTATTATCCCAGCATTTTGGGAGGCCAAGGTGTTAAGGATCACTTGAGCCCAGGAGTTCAATGTCAGCCTGGACAACATAGTGCAACCTCATCTCTACAAAAAAAATTTAAAAAATTAGCCGGGCATGGTGGTACGTTCCTGTAGTTCCAGCTACTTACGAGGCTGAGGTGGAGGGATGCTGATGTACCAAGAATATGTATATAAGAAGAAGAAAAAAAACAAAAAAGAAAAGAAAACTAAAAGTCAGGTGTTCTTGGCTTACTACACACAAATGTCTAAATTAGGATTTCAGCCAAGTTTCAGTGGAACCCAATGGAACCCCAATGGTCCAGCAAAAAATTGTGATTGAAAAACAAACCTATCATTTTTGGTACATTATACACTGCCCAATGCTAGTGCTCACAGTGATGGACAGTACCCCAAAACTATGTTAGCAATTACATTAAGAGGTCAACCTATGGGGTCAGCCCCATAGGTTGGCACAGGGTAAGGCCATGTTTATTTAGTTGGCTCATTGTCAGTTTTTGATGTGATAATTGGTGATTGCTATATTGCACAGAGGGAAGGACCGGAGACTGATGACATCAACCTCTCCCTCCCAAATTGTCTCGCCCAATCTCTCTTACAAGCTACTAAGCCACCAACTGCTTTTATGGGAGCAAATTTCATCAATGTAATAAAAACTCGGCCGGGTGTGGTGGATCAAGCCTGTAATCCCAGCACTTTGGGAAGCTGAGGCGGGAGGATCACCTGAGGTCAGGAGTTCAAGACTAGCCTGACCAACATGGCGAAACCCCGTCTCTACTAAAAATACAAAAATTAGCTGGGAGTGGTGGTGGGCACCTGTAATCCCAACTACTCCAGAGGCTGAGGCAGGAGAATCGCTTGAACCTGGGAGGCGGAGGTTGCAGTGAGCCGAGATCACGCCATTGCTCTCCAGCCTGGGTGACAGAGTGAGACTCCATCTCAAACAAACAAACAAACAACTCACAGGGAATTTTTTATTCTAAAGGAGGGACATTTATGTGCCATGATTCAGCTACTCTTTGCAGCTTTGCCATTGTAAACATTGCAAAATGTGGATGATTTCGGTTGGAAGTAAACTGTATTGTGAGGTTTTCATATTTCTTTCTTTTTTTTTTTTTGAGACGGAGTCTCGCTCTGTCGCCCAGGCTGGAGTGCAGTGGCGCGATCTCCGCTCACTGCAAGCTCCGCCTCCCGGGTTCACACCATTCTCCTGCCTCAGCCTCCCGAGTAGCTGGGACTACAGGCACCCGCCAGTACGCCCGGCTAATTTTTTGTGTTTTTAGTAGAGACGGGGTTTCACCGCGTTAGCCAGGATGGTCTCGATCTCCTGACCTCGTGATCCGCCCACCTCAGCCTCCCAAAGTGCTGGGATTACAGGCATGAGCCACTGCGCCCGGCCTCATATTTCTTATAATATTCTCATTTATTTATAATGCTCTTCCATTTTAAATTAGCAATTATGTTTTACCAATATGTCTGATGGTCACGTGGCATTTTTTGAAGTTGAGTTGTGAAAATGTTAGTGCTAGGCCTAGGCCTGTGGAAAGTTCTGCTAAGACTAGCAATAAAAAATTACTACCTTCTGAATCACTTCACTGTACTAGTACAATAATGACAATGACAGAAGTTCATATTTAAAATGGAAGCTGATTATCAATAGGTTTTACATAGGATGATAATCCAAACTGTCCATTGTTGAATGCCTCCCAAACATATGTCCACATCCTAATTCCTGGACCTTATGAGTGTTGTCTTATTCGGAAAAAGGGTCATTGTGGATATGATAAAGTTAAGGATTTTGAAATGGGGAGATTATCTTGTATTATATGGATGGGCTCTAAAGGGAGTCAGGTGTTCTTATGAGAGGGAGGCAGAAGGAGAGTTGACACAGGAGACAGTGATGCGGAAATGAAGTAGAGTTAACAACCGCAGGTTCCAGGAATAACTTTAGGGGCCATTACTTAGCCTACCACATGCAGTAGGAAAAACTGGGAAGCTCAAACAATACAATAAATCCACGTATTGATAACAAGTTATATGACATTGAGGATATTTCGTGTAGAAAAAACTAGAGAATGGCCGGGCGCGGTGGCTCACGCCTGTAATCCCAGCACTTTGGGAGGCCAAGGTGGGTGGATCACAAGGTCAGGAAATCGAGACCATCCTGGCTAATACGGTGAAACCCCATCTCTACTAAAATACAAAAAATTAGACGGGCGTGGTGGCATGTGCCTGTAGTTGCAGCTACTTAGGAGGCTGAGGCAGGAGAATTGCTTGAACCCGGGAGGCGGAGGTTGCAGTGAGCCGAGATTGTGCCACTGCACTCCAGCCTGGGTGACAGAGTGAGATTCCATCTCAAAAAACAAAAAAAAACTAGAGAACACAAATTTTTTTATTTAGGATGATAAGTCAACAGAGTTCAAAAATAAATATGCGTAGCAGTTTTAGGATTTTAAATGATGGCAAGATTTGCTGGGCGTGGTGGCTCACCCCTGTAATCCCAGCACTTTGGGGAGGCCGAGGCAGGTGGATCACCTGAGGTTGGGAGTTTGCGACCAGCCTGACCAACATGAAGAAACCCCTTCTCTACTAAAAATACAAAATTAGATGGGCATGATGGTGCATGCCTGTAATGCCAGCTACTTGGGAGGCTGAGGCAGGAGAATCGCTTGAACCTGGGAGGCGGAGGTTGCGGTGAGCTGAGATCACACCATTGCACTCCAGCCTGGGCAACAAGAGCGAAATTCTGTCTCAGAAAAAAAAAAAAAAAAAGATGGTAAGATTTAAGAAAATCTTTTCTGCTGCAAAGAACTGACTGAAACAAGAAAAGGCCAGGAAATATGAAGTATTCATTTTTGTGTCTAAAAAGGAAGGTATGGGCAGGGTGCGGTGGCTCATGCCTGTAATCTCAGCACTTTGGGAGGCCAAGGTGGGCTGATTGTGGGACTTTGCATTGGAGCTTAGTGCTGCCCTGTCACAGTGGAAGACAACACAAGGCAGAATTCTGCCAGCACCCATGGAGGTAGCATTTAGATCAGCCCTGGCAGGAGGAAATCGAGTTCTGGCTGGCTCCACCACTGGCTGAGTAAAGTGGCCTGGGGCCCAGAACAAACTTGAGTGGTAGCCAGGCCACTGGGACTACAGTCCCTGGGCAAGCGATGCTGCTGCACTGAGCTTGAAGGCAGTAGATTTGGTGTGTGTGACCCAGTGAGACACCAGGAGTGGTGACCAAGGTAGTGCCTGTATTATCCCTCTCCCAACCTCAGGCAGTACAGCTTAGGGAGAGACTTCTGCTTGGGCAAAGGTAGGGGCAGAGTACAGAGGACTTTGTCTTGCAACTTTGGTACCAGCTCAGCCATAGTAAAATAAAGTACCAAGCAGATTCCTGAAGCCACCATTTCAGGCCCTACCTCCCAGACAACATTACTAGGTACACCCTGGGCCAGAAGGGAACCTGCTGACCTGAAGGAAAGGACCCAGTCTTTACAAGATTCATCACCTGCTGACTAAGAAGCCCTTGGAATTTGCATATACATCAGTGGTAGCCAGGCAGTAGTTACCATGGGCCTTGGGCAAGACCCAGTACCGTACTGGCTTCAGGTGTGATACACAGCAGTAGCAGCTGTGGGGGTCACAGGAGTGCCTGCATCATTCCTTCCTCAATTTCAGGCAGCTCAGCACAGAGAGAGATTCCTTCTGATTAGCGGAAAGTGAGGGAAGAGAGTGAAAGACTTTGCCTGGTAATCTAGGGAATTCTCCTTGATCTTACCGAGGCCAACCAAGGTGATTCCTCTGAGTCTGCAAGAGTCACAATGTTACTGAGCTCGAGGGCACCCCCTAATGCTGATAATGGCTGCAGCGATCACAGTCTCACATGACAACACTCAACTCCCTTTCAATAGATGGAAAGTCTTCTCAAGAAAGACAGGTACAAATAAGCCCAGACTGTGAAGATTGGAATAAATACCTAACTCTTCAATGCCCAGATATTAATAAGCATCACAAGCATCGGGAACATCCAGGAAAATATGACCTCGCCAAATGAAATAAATAAGATACCACTGACTAATCCCAGAGTGATGGAGATATGTGACCTTTCATTTTATTTATTTATTTATTTACTTATTTTTAATTTTTTTTTCTTTTCTTTTTGAGACAGAGTGTCGCTCTGTCACCCAGACTGGAGTGCAGTGGTGCAATCTCGGCTCACTACAACCTCCGCCTCCTGGGTTCAAGTGATTCTCCTGCCGCAGCCTCCCGAGTAGCTGGGGTTACAGGCATGTGCCATCATGCCCGGCTAATTTTTGTATTTTTGGTAGAGACGGGGTTTCACCATGTTGCCTAGGCTGTTCTTGAACTCCTGATCTCAAGTGATCTGCTTGCCTCAGTCTCCCAAAGTGCTGGGATTACATGTGTGAACCAACGCACCCGGCTATATGTGACCTTTCAGACAAAGACTTCAAAATAGCTGTCTTGAGGAAGCTCAATGAACGTCATGATAACACAAAGCAGAGAAGGAATTCAGAATTCTATCAGATAAATTTAACAAATAAATCAAAATAATTTTAAAAAATCAAGCAAAAGTGCTGAAGCTGAAAAATTCAATTGACAAACTGAAAAATGCATCAGAGTCTCTCAACAGCAAAATTCATGAAGCAGAAGAGAGAATTAGTGAGCTTGAAGACAAGTTATATGAAAATACACAGTCAAAGGAGAAAAAAGAAAAAAGAATAGAAAAGAATGAAGCATGCATATAAAACCTAGAAAATCACCTCAAAAGGGCAAACCTAAGAGTTCTTGGCCTTAAACAGAAGTTAGAGATAATGATTGAGGTATAAAGTTTATTCAAAGAAGTAAAAACAGGCCGGGCATGGTGGCTCCTGCCAGTAATCCCAGAACTTTGGGAGGCCAAGATAGGCGGATCATTTGAAGCCATGAGTTCGAGACCGGCCTGGCCAACATGGTGAAACACCATTTCTACTAAAAATACAAAAAATTAGCTGGGCCATGGTGGTGCACGTCTGTCATCCCAGCCACTCAAGAGGCAGAGGCACGAGAATCACTTGATCCTGAGAGGCAGAGGTTATGGTGAGCCAAAATCGCACCACTGCACTCCAGCCTGGGTGACAGAGCAAGACCTGCCTCAAAAAAATTAAAAAAAAAGTAACAACGGAGAACTTTTCAAACCTAGAGAAAGATATCAATATTCAGGTACAAGAAGGTCATGGAACACCAAGAACACTCAACCCTAATAAGACAGCCTCAAGGTATTTAATAATCAAACTCTCAAAAGTCAAGTATAAGAAAGGATTCTCTCACGCCTGTAATCCCAACACTTTGGGAGGCCGAGGCAGGCGGATCACGAGGTCTCACCATGGTGAAACCTCATCTCTACCAAAAATACAGAAAATTAGCTGGGCGCGGTGGCGGGCGCCTGTAGTCCCAGCTACTCGAGAGGCTGAGGCAGGAGAATGGCATGAACCCGGGAGGTGGAGCTTGCAGTGAGCCGAGATCGCACCCCTGCACTCCAGCCTGGGTGATGAAGCGAGACTCTGTCACAAAAAAAAAAAAGAATTCTAAAAGCAGTAAGATAAAATAAACAAACATATAAAAGAGCTCTGATACATCTGGTACCAGTCTTCTCAGGGGAAATCTTACAGGCCAGGAGAAAGTGGAATGACATGCTCAAAGGGCTGAAGGAAAAATTTTTCATTATGGAATATTATAAACAGCAAAAATATCCTTCAAACATGAAGGAGAAATAAAGTCTTCCCCAGTCAAACAAAAACTGAAGGATTTCATCAACATGAGACTAGTCCTACAAGAAATGCTAAAGGGAGTTCTCAATCTGAAAGAAAAGGGCATTAATAAACAACAAGAAATCATATGAAGGTATAAAACTCATTTATTATAGTAAGTACACAGACAAAAACAGAGTGGTATAACACTACAATTGCTTACATAAACCACACATATCTTGAGTAAAAGGACTAAGAGACACGTATCAAAAACAATAACAACAACTTTTTAGGAGACAGATAGTATAAAATGTTACAGAGACAACAAAAAGTCAAAAAGAGGGTGGTGGTGTTAAAGTGTAAAGTGTTTTAGTTTTCTCTTTGCTGGTTTCTCTTTTTTTGTAATCAGAGTTAAGTTGTCATTAGTTTAAAATCATGGATTGTAAGATATTATTTGGAAGCCTTATGGTAACCTCAAATCAAAAATCTGTAACAAATACATTAAAAGATAAAAAGCAAGAAGTTAAAACATATTACCAGGGAAAATTACTTTTACACAAAGGAAGGCAGGAAGGCAGGAATGAAGGAAAGGGAAGGGGAAGGGGAAAGAAGGAAGGAAAGACCAACAAAACAACCAGAAAGCAAATAAACAAAATGACAATAGTAAGTCTTTACCTATCAATAATAACACTGAATATGAATGTCCTAAATTTTCCCATCAAAAGACACATAGTGACCAGGTGTGGTGGCTCACGCTTGTAATCCTAACACCTTGGAATGTCGAGGCAGGTGGATTGCTTGAGCCCAGGAGTTCAAGACCAGCCTGGGCAACATGACAAAATTCTATCTCTATCAAAAAGAAAAGAAAGAAAGAAAGAAAAAATTAGCCTGGCATAGTGGTGTGTTCCTGCAGTCCCAGCTATTCAAGAGGCTGAGGTAGGAGGATCATTTGAGCCCGGGAGGTTGAGGCTACAGTGAGCTGTGATTGTACCACTGCACTTCAGCCTGAGTGACAGAGTGAGACTGTTTCAAAAAACAGAAAAAAAAAAAAGACATAGAGTGCTTAAATGAATAAAAAATAAGACTCAAAGTATATGCTGCTTATAAGAAACTCACTTCATCTACAAAGACATTCATAGACTGAAAATGAAGGGGTAGAAAAGGATATTCCATGCAAACGAAAGCCAAAAAAGAGCAAAAGTAGCTATATTTACATCAGATAAAATATATTTAAACATGAAAGTGTAAAGAGAGACAAAGAAGGTCATTACAAAATGATAAAGGGGCCATGCATGGTGGCTCACACCTGTAATCTCAGCACTTGGGGAGGCTGAGGCAGGTGGATCACCTGAGGTCAGGAGTTTTGCCAACATGGTGAAACCCCGTCTCTACTAAAAAATACAAAAACTGGCCGGGCGCAGTGGCTCATGCCTGTAATCCCAGCACTTTGGGAGGCTAAGGCGGGTGGATCACGAGGTCAACAGTTCGAGACCAGCCTGGCCAAATGGTGAAACCCCATCTCTACTAAAAATACAAAAATTAGCTGGCCGTGATGGTGGGCGCCTGTAATCCCAGCTACTTGAGGGGGCTGAGGCAGGGAGAATTGCTTGAACCCGGAAGGCGGAGGTTGCAGTGAGCTGAGATCATACCACTGCGCTCTAGCCTGGGTGACAGAGCAAGACTCCGGTCCAAAAAAAAAAAAAGGATAAAGGGGTAAATTCAGCAAGAGGATATGATTGTAAGTATACATACACTCGACACTGGAGATATATAAAGTGAATATTATTAGTGCTAAAAGAAAGAAAGGCCTCGATACAATAATAGAAAGGCCTTGATACAATAATAGCTGAAGACCTTAACCCCCACTTTCAGCACTGGACACATCATCCAGACAGAAAATCAACAAAGAAACATCCAACCTAGGGGAGGGATAGCATTAGGAGAAATACCTAATGTAGACGACAGGTTGATGGGTGCAGCAAACCACCATGGCACATGTATACCTATGTAACAAACGTGCACGTTCTGCACATGTATCCCAGAACTTAAAATATAATTTAAAAAAAAAAAAGAGGTCGGGCTTGGTGGCTCACACCTGTAATCTCAGCACTTTAGGAGGCCGAGGCAGGCGGATCACAAGGTCAGGAGATCAAGACCATCCTGGCTAACATGGTGAAACCCTGTCTCTACTAAAAATAGAAAAAATTAGCCGGGCATGGTGGCACACACCTGTAGTCCCAGCTACTCGGGAGGCTGAGGCAGGAGATTCACTTGAACCCAAGAGGAGGAGGTTGCAGTGGGCCTAGATTGTGCCACTGCACTCCAGCCTGGACAACAGAGCAAGACTCCGTTTCAAAAAAAAAAAAAGAAAGAAACTTCTGACCTAATCTGCACCAAAACATGGACCTAAAAGACGTTTACAGAACATTTCATCCAACTGCCGGAGGATACACATTCTTCTTGGCACATGAATCACTCTCAAGGATAGACCATATGTTAGACCATGAGACAAGTCTTAAAATTTTTTTTTAAATTGAAATCATATCAAGTATCTTCTCTAACCACAATGAAATAAAACTAGAAATCAAGAACAAGAAGAACTTCAGAAACTATACAAACATATGGAAATTAAACAATATGCTCCTAAAGGATCACTGAGCCAATGACAAATTAGGAGAGATATTAAAAAATGTATTGAAACAAATGAAACATGGAAACACAATATACCAAAACCTATAGGATACAGCAAAACAGTACTAAGAAAATTTTATAGCAATAAATGCCTACATCAAAAAACTAGAAAAACCTAAAAAAAAAAAAAAAAGTCGTATTACCTGACTTCAAATTATACTACAGAACTATAGTAACCCAAACAGCATGGTACTAGCATAAATATGGACACATAGACCAATACAACAGAATAGAGAACCCATAAATAAATCCACACATTTACAGTAAACTCATTTTTGACAAAGGTGCCAAGAACATACATTGGGGAAAGAACAGTCTCGTCAATAAATTGTGCTGAGAAAACTGGATATCCATATACAAAAGAATGAAACTAGACCCCTATCTTTTGCCATATACAAAATTGAAATCAAAATGGATTAAAGGCCAGGCATGATGGCTCACGCCTATAATCCTAGCACTTTGGGAGGCCGAGGTGGGTGGATCACTTGAAGTCAGGAGTTTGAGACCAGCCTGGCCAACATGGCAAAACCCTGTCTCTACTAAAAATTAGCCGGGCATGGTGGCGTGCACCTGTAATCTCAGCTACTCAGGAGGTTGAAACGTGAGAATCACTTGAACCCTGGGGGGCGGAGGTTGCAGTGAGCCAAGATCATACTACTGCACTCTAGCCTGGGTGACTGAGTGGGACTCCAAGACTCCATCTCAACAACAACAACAATGAAAAAGATTAAAGACTTAAATCTAAGGCCTGAAACTATAAAACTACTAAGAGAAAATGTTGGCTAAACACTCTGGGACATTGATCTGGACAAAGATTTCTTGAGTAATACCTCAAAAGCATAGGCAACTGAAGCAAAAATGGACAGATGAAGCTAAGAAGCTTTTGCACAGCAATGGAAACAATCAACACAATAAAGAGACAACCCACAGAATGGGAGAAAATGTTTGCAAACTACCCATCTGAAAAGGGATTAATAACCAGAATATATAAGGAGCTCAAACAACTCATTACGAAAAAAAAAAAAACAAATAATCCATTAAAAAGTAGGCAAAAGATCTGAATAGATGTTTCTCAAAAGAAGACATGTAAATGATCAACAGGTATAAAAAGAAAATGCTCAACATCACTAATCACAGAAAAATGTAAATAAAAATTACAATAAGATATCATCTCACTCCGCCCAGTTAAAATAGCTTTTATCCAAAAGATAGGCAATAATGAATGCTGGTGAGCATGTGGAGAAAGAGGAACCCTTCTACACTGTTGGTGGAAATGTAAATTAGTACAACCACTGTGGAGAACGGTATGAAGATTCCTCTAAAAACAAAAAACAGAGGTACCATACCAGCTATCCCACTGCTAGGTATATACCTGAAAGAAAGGAAATCAGTATATGGAAGGAATACCTGCACTCCCATGTTCATTGCAGCACTATTCACAATAGTCAAGATACAGAATCAGCCGAAGTGCCCATCAGTGGATGAATGCATAAAGAAATATGGTACATGTGCATAATAAAATATTATTTGGCCATTCAACAGAAAGAGATCCAATCATTTGCAACAACATGGATGAACCTGTAGGGCATCATGTTATGTGAAATAAGTCAGGCACAGAAAGACAAATTTCACATGTTCTCTCTCCTAAGTGGGAGTTAAAAATTATTTTAAATGAACTCTTGGAGACAGAGTAGAATGATGATTACTAGAGGATAGGAAGGGTAGTAGGGAGGGGATGCAAAAATACAGTTAGAGTAAGTACAAAGATACAGTTAGATACGATAAATAAGATCTAGCATTCAGAGCACAATAGGGTGACTATAGTTAACAATAATCTATTGTAAGTTAAAAAATAACAAAAATAGTGAAATTTGAATGTTCCTAACACAAAGAAATGATAAATGCTTGAGGTGATGGATACCCCAATGACTGTGATTTGATCATTTCATATTATATGCTTGTTGCAAATCATCATATGTACCCCATAAATATATACAACTATTACGTGCCCATAATAATTAAAAATTTAAAACATTTTTTTTCTTTTTTTTTTGCGGCGGAATCTTGCTCTGTCGCCCACGCTGGAGTGCAGTGGCGTGATCTCAGCTCACTGCAACCTCCACCTCCCAGGTTCAAGCAATTCTCCTGCCTCAGCCTGCCAAGTTGCTGGGATTACAGGTGCCCACCACCACACCTGGCTAACTTTTTTTAATTTTTAGTAGAGGTGGGGTTTCACTAAGTTGGCCAGGCTGGTCTCCAACTCCTGTTCTCAAGTGATCCTCCCACCTCTGCCTCCCAAACTGTCGGGATTACAGCCGTGAGCCATTGCTCCCGGCCAAAATTTAAAGCTTTTTAAAAATCAGAAAGAAATGCATAACAAAATTGAACAGTGTTTTGTCTTCTTTCAATCCAAGTGTGTGACTTGGTAAGGGATTTTTTTTTTTTTTTTTTTTTTTTTTTTTTTTTTTTTTTTTGAAACGGAGTCTCGCTCTGTCTCCCAGGCTGGAGTGCAGTGGCGCGATCTCGGCTCACTGCGAGCTCCGCCTCCTGGGTTCACACCATTTTCCTGCCTCAGCCTCCCGAGTAGCTGGACTACAGGCGCCCACCACCACGCCCTGCTAATTTTTATATTTTTGGTAGAGACGGAGTTTCACCGTGTTAGCCAGGATGATCTTGATCTCCTGACCTCGTGATCCACCTCCTCGGCCTCCCAAAGTGCTGGGATTACAGGCGTGAGCCACTGCGCCCGCCAGGGATCTTTTTTTCTAATGCGTCTACTCTTGGCTTTGAGAGACAAGAAAGAGCTCTGTAAGGTATAATCTGTTCATATACAAAAGATGAGATTTACTGACCTGCTCCTAGACAAGTTCTGGAATTTGGTAAAATGAAAATATCCTGCTATTCATAGGAAAACAATAATTTGCTTCAGTTTTTTTTGGTTGTTGTTTGTTTTTTTGTTTTTTGAGACAGAGTCTTGCTCTGTTGCCCGGGTTGGAGTGCAATGGCACAATCTTGGCTCACTGCAACCTCCACCTCCCGGGTTCAAGCGATTCTCCTGCCTCAGCCTCCGTAGTAGCTGGGATTACAGGTGCCCGCCACCACGCCCAGTTAATTTTTGTATTTTTAGTAGAGATGGGGTTTCACCATATTGGCCAGGCTGGTCTCGAACTCCTGACCTCAAATGATCCACCCGCCTCAGCCTCCCAAAGTGCTGGGATTACAGGAGTGAGCCACCACACCTGGCTTTGCTTCAGTTTTTAACTACTTAAATCCGTGAGAATTTTTTATAGTATAGAAAGTATGAAGAGTAAAGACAGAAATTGTCTCATTTTACTGGAAAATGAAATCCATGTATGCTTATCTTAAACTCAGAATTCAATATTCAGAATTAAACTTCAACTCAGAATTATTTGTGCAATAAAAAACAAGCCCAAGTTTCACATTAAAGAAGAAAATTTTCTTTTTCATTTTTAGCCTCAAAAATAACAATTTTGGCTGGGCATAGTGGCTCACGCCTGTAATCCCAACATTTTTGGGAGGGTGAGGCAAGAGGATTGCTTGAGGCCAGGAGTTTGAGACCAGCCTGGGCAACATAGCAAGACCCTATTGCTATTATTAAATAAATGAATAAATAACACTTTTATGCAAGAAATCAATACCTGTATATAATGATTTTGTCACTGCCACGCTTACATTTAAGCTTGATCATGTCACTCAGTAAGAAAATGTTCTCTTTTAAGTCTTGTACAAAATTGTATCTTATACTAGATTTTTATTCATATTGGTTTTGTTTATGATTTTCATAGCTTACCTATTCAATAAATGTTAATAAAATTTTATGTTGTGAATAATATTAATCAAAATAAATGTGCAGTCTTTGTTTAAGTTAAATCAACCAAGCCTACCTTTAGAAAAAAATCAAACACCATTTTGGCTTGTCAGTTATTTAACAGAAATTTGTCATCTGCCTTCTGAATTTTATTTTATTTTATTTATTTATTTATTTTATTTTATTTTGAGACAGAGTCTTGCTCTGTCACCCAGGCTGGAGTGCAATGGCGTGATCTTGGCTCACTGCAGCCTCTGCCTCCCAGGTTCAAGTGATTCTCCTGTCTCAGCCTCCCGAGTAGATGGGATTACAAGTGCCCGCCACTTCACCCTGCTAATTTTTGTATTTTGAGTAGAGATGGGGTTTCACCATGTTGGTCTGGCTGGTCTTGAACTCCTGATCTCAGGTGATCTGCCCGCTTCTGCCTCCCAAAGTGCTGGGATTAAAGGTGTGAGCCACCATGCCCAGCCTGCCTTCTAAATTTTAAAAATTCATGAAAAGAAAGAGATTAATTTTTAAAAAGGTAAGTTAAGCTTAACTACCGATTTTTTTCCCAGAAAGGTTGGCTATAAAGTAATTATTAGTTTTAGATAGGGTGAAGAACTACTTTTGCCCATCAAATATGTTATAATATACCCCATTAATATCTTACATAGTAGAAATTTATTATAAGACTTTTAGGCCCACTTGGATAAGGTAAAAAATCAAGCACATTTCAACAAAGGAAAAACTAAAGTTTTCTCTATTTATACTAATGACTTAGATAAGAGTTATCCTTTGTAAGGAGGGAGAACCACGCAAAAGGTATACTAATAAGTCAGACAAAATAAGCAGATCTATAGAAAACTAACATTGTCTACTAAACAACATTGACCATCATCTACAATTTACTGATAATGTAAGCCATAGATTTAATAATTTTTATGTAGGGTTTCCTTGAGACTTGAAGATTATTATAAGCATTCCTCCAGGGTAAGGAGATTGAGAAATGTTAGGGAGAGTCTAGTTATGAGTCAAAAACCACAACAGTAATTGGAGCAGGAAAAACTTTCAAAAATGGAATTATTAAGAAGTGAAAGATGGTTAACTAAAAGGTATAAAAGGGGATTTCACAAAATACAGGAATGGCAAATACAGGAAACAGCTACCATCCATAGGGTTAAGGGAGAAGATATCTAAGGAGGAAACTAAGAGTTTGGAAGAAGATACTCATCCCATAAGGTCAAGACTCAGATCTTGTTAGAGTGTGGCTACAGTCCAGCCTGGTAGGCAACAGAAAGTTTGCTGGGGTCCTGGTGGGCCAGGAAACTGAGGGTAGGTCTGTTAACATCCTCTGCTAAGAACTGAAGGTCAGGCTTTGGAATTGTCCTGCTGCCACTTGGAGAGATGGCTGAAAGCTTTATTAAGAGAAGAGCAAGGTTTTGGCGGGGAGGGGAAAGAAGAGGTTTTCCTTGCCTTTGCTCAGCCATATAACATTAAAGGATTTTTAAAAATTGTGTTGCTATTCCTCATGAGGATTGGGATGTGCGATAGGCAGAATACTAATCTATCCTTTTCTATGGCACACCAATTTTTTTTTTTTTTTTTGCCTAACTCCTACCAGTACTGTCTATATTATAACACAGCTCCAGCACAATGAAAAAAAAAAAAAATAAAACAATACATCTCTCTCTGTCTATTCCTCTTCAAAGGAATAAATACAATATAAAAATCTATAAAAAGATATATTAAAATATACAATACCATATTATAATAGAACATAGTAATTTAGCAAATGACTTAGTATTACATCACACAAGAACCCATGAAACAAAAAGGATTTAATGGAAACCTGCCCAGACTGTAAAAACCAGAACAGTAATTCATAAGCAGAAAAGAAAATGTTCAGAGGAAAAGCTGTTGGCATTTGAAAGACTAATGCAGCTCTTAATGCAAATTAATAATGAATGCAGTTAGTTTGTGACACCATGTAAAATAGTGACAAGTGATGGTGTAAAACAATCTGAGTTTATATATCTTGTTTGTGATTTCCATTATTTCAGGATCAGGAGTAAAAACAGTGTTTTTGAATATAGAGACAATTCTCGATTATCTATAATCATACAGTTTCTGGATTATCAAGGTCCTTAAATTTTCCTTGGTTTTGCTAACCATCTTTTTTTTATATATATATACTTTAAGTTCTAGGGTACGTGTACACAATGTGCAGGTTTCTTACATATGTATACATGTGCCATATTGGTGTGCTGCACCCATTAACTCTTCATTTGCATTAGGTATATCTCCTAATGCTATCCCTCCCCCCTTCCCCCACCCCACGACAGGCCCCAGTGTGTGCTGTTCCCCTTCCTGTGTCCAAGTGTTCTCATTGTTCCATTCCCACCTATGAGTGAGAACATGTGGTGTTTGGTTTTTTGTCCTCGCGATAATTTGCTGAGAATGATGGTTTCCAGCTTCATCCATGTCCCTACAAAGGACATGAACTCATCCTCTTTTATGGCTGCATAGTATTCCATGGTGTATATGTGCCACATTTTCTTTTTTTTTTTTTTTTTTTGAGACGGAGTCTCGCTCTGTCGCCCAGGCTGGAGTGCAGTGGCGGGATCTCGGCTCACTGCAAGCTCCGCCTCCCGGGTTCACGCCATTCTCCTGCCTCAGCCTCCCAAGTAGCTGGGACTACAGGCACCTGCCACTACGCCCGGCTAATTTTTTGTATTTTTAGTAGAGACGGGGTTTCACCGTTTTAGCCGGGATGGTCTCGATCTCCTGACCTCGTGATCCGCCCGCCTCGGCCTCCCAAAGTGCTGGGATTACAGGCGTGAGCCACCGCGCCCGGCCGCCACATTTTCTTAATCCAGTCTATCACTGGTGGACATTTGGGTTGGTTCCAAGTCTTTGCTATTGTGAATAGTGCACACGTATGTTTATTGTAGACCATCTTTTCACTGTTTATTACCACTCTCGCCAGAAGATGGAGATCAAAGTAAAGAGGTTGTGAAGTCCAAATGACTCAAATGTCACCATCAGTGAAAGTGGCTTTTCTCAGCATTAGTTGGTGCTGGGAGAGAAAGGGAGGTTGGTGCTGGGAGAGAAAGGGAGGAACAGAAGATGTTGAAATAAATTCCCTGGCCGGGCATGGAGGCTCATGCCTGTAATCCCAGCACTTTGGGAAGCTGAGGTGGGCATATCACGAAGTCAGGAGTTCGAGAGCAGCCTGGCCAACATAGTGAAACCCTATCTCTACTAAAAATGCAGCCTGGCCAACATAGTGAAACCCCATCTCTACTAAAAATGCCAAAAATTAGCCGGGCATGGCAGCACCCACCTGTAATCCCAGCTACTCAGGAGGCTGAGGCAGGAGAATCGCTTGAACCAGGGAGGTGGGGGTTGCAGTGAGCCAAGATCGTGCCACTGCACTCCAACCCAGGCAACAGTGCAAGACTCCAACTCAAAAAAAAAAAAAAGAGAAAGAAAGAAAGAAAAAAGGAGAGAGAGAAAGAAAGAAAGAAAGAAAGAAAGAAAGAAAGAAAGAAAGAAAGAAAGAAAGAAATGCCCTGCTCTGCCTAGTGCCCTTTTCTTTTGCCTCTTCTTCCCCCACCACGTTTGCCTCTCCCTCATCCTTCCTGTCTTTCATCCTTTAGTACCCTTCAATTCTACATGAAACAATCTTGGTCCAGGATTGATAATTAGAAAAAAACAGCTGAAGACTTCCCTACCTGGAAGAAGGATAAGGTCCCTAGGTTCTGTAGTGGGTGAGCTGCGGGCCTGGGTTCTTCCTTCAGACGTTACAGATGCTTCTGCTTGGTCTGGGGAACAGCAACGCAGCAAACCAGTAATGTGAAGCTACAAAGAAAAAAATAATCATTACATAGGAGGAAACAAGTACTGAAAAACAATCCATCATCTTGCTGTACCAGTGAAGACTCCAGACTGCAGCAATCGTCCTACACTTGAGACTTCCTCTAAATATAGAAAAGTACAGACTGATGTTCCAGAGGGAACCTTAGGGCTTATCTTGGAGCTGAGACTCCAGGTGGAGATTGCCAATCACTGCCACCTAACCCTCCGGCTACATTGTCTGTCTCATATGTCTCACTTGTTTGGGAAACTCTCATCTCAGTCAGAGGGTAGTGGCAGGAGATGAAATAAATAAAGCCCCAAATCTTGACCTTGACTCATGAACACATTAAACCCTTTTGGGACTCTTAATTTGTTCTCATGTGGCCCCAGCAATGGGCCAAACACCTTTAATCTTGTAAGGCAGGTGTGTTTCACTCACATCAGTTTCTCTGTTCTCTACCTTCCTCAGTTCTATTTCTGTTTTTTTTTTTCTGAGATGGAGTCTCGCTCTGTCACCCAGGCTGGAGTGCAATGGTGCGATCTCCACTACTGCAACCTCCGCCTCCTGGGTTCAAGTGATTCTCCTGCCTCAGCCTGCCAAATAGCTGGGACTACAGGCCCATGCCACCACGCCCAGTTAATTTTTGTATTTTTAGTGGAGACGGGGTTTCACCATGTTGGCCAGGGTGGTCTCAATCTCCTGACCTCGTGATCCGCCCACTTCGGCCTCCCAAAGTGCTGGGATTACAGGCATGAGCCACTGCGCCCGGCCCCTCAGTTCTATTTCTAATTGTCTTTCCTCCTTAAGACATAATGCCCTTTGTTAAAGTCCATCTTCTGGTTTTTCCATTTTCTCCTACTGGTTGTCATCCCCTCTCCATCCACTAGCCTCCTGTTGCTGCCTGAAAAATAGACAACCATTTAACAAACATTTGTTAAGAGCTTAATAATGTTCCAGACACTATTCCAGGCACTGGAAATACAGCGGTGAACAAATCAAAATCAAACTCGTCCTTATTTTAGACAGGGGAATCTAATTTAAAAAATGAATTATATACTATGTCCAAGGTGATACAGAGTGAAATGAAAGCAAAGTAAGGGGTGCAGAGGATACCAGGGAAGTAAGGAATGGCTAATTTATATAAATGTGATCAAGAGAACTTCATCAATTAAGGACATTTGGGCAAACACTTGAAAGAAATGAAAAGTTGTCTGGGTGTGGTGGCTCATGCCTGTAATCCTAGCACTTTGGGAGGCCAAGGCGGGCAGATCACCTGAGATCAGCAGTTCAAGACCAGCCTGGCCAACATGGTGAAACCTTGTCTCTTATTAAAAATACAAAAATTAGCTGGGCGTGGTGGCGGGCACCTGTAATCCCAGCTACTATGGAGGCTGAGGCAGGGAGAATCTCTTGACTTTGGGAGGCGGAGGTTGCAGTGAGCCAAGATCACATCGTGGCACTCCAGCCTGGGCGACAGAGCGAGACTCTGTCTCAAAAAGAAAAAAAAAAAAAAAGAAATGAAAAGTGAGTCATGTAGATATCTGTGGAAAGACTATGCCAGGCAGAGGAAACAGCAAATTTCCTTCTTGAGGAAGGCAGCTGCCTGATGTGTTTGAAGAACAGGAAGCTGGTGTGTTGGGACCAGAGTGGACATGGGGGATAATGGGAGGACATGAGGCTGGAGTGGTAGAGGGGTCTAAATCATGGACAGCTTCATCACCCATTTTATGGATTTTGACTTCAACTCTGGGAGAGATGGAGGGTTTGGAGCAAAGCCATGAAGCCATGACTTAGCCCGACTTCTGCTCTCACTGGATCACTCTGGCTACAGTGTTGAGAATAGACTGTAGGAGGGCAGGAGTGGAAGCAAGGAGACTGGCTAGGAGGTTATTTCAATCATTGAGGCAGGAGGTGATGGAGGCTTGGAACAGACTAGTAGCTGGGAAGGTGGTAAAAAAAAAGTTGTTAGAGACTGAGTATATGTTGTAAATGGAGGAAAGAGAAGAATCAAGAATGACCCTGGGGGCTGGGGGTGGTGGCTTACGCCTGTAATCCCAGCACTTTGCGAGGCCGAGGCAGGCGCATCACCTGAGGTCAGGAGTTTGAGACCAGCCTGGCCAACATGGTGTAACCCCGTCTCTATTAAAAATACAAAAATTATCTGGGTATAGTGGTGAGCGCCTGTAGTCCCAGCTACTCAGGAGGCTGAGACAGGAGAACTGCTTGAACTGGGGAGGTGGGGGTTGCAGTGAGCTGAGATTGCACCACTGCACTCCAGCACTCCAGCCTGGGTGACAGAGTGAGACTCTGCCAAAAAAAAAAAAAAAAAAAAGAATGACTCCAGGGTTTTTGCCTTGAGCATCTGGAAGAATAGAGTTTCCAAGAACTGACCTGGGGAAGGCTGTGGAGGAAGAAAGTTGGGAGGAAGATCAGGAGTATAGTTATATATATACCAAGTTTGAGATACTGATAAAATGCTAATTTGACATTCCCCACTCAAAATTCCAGGAAAAAAAGTTCCTGTAGCCAGCTGACAAGAGTGACATTGAGACATTCCCCACTCCCTGCAGCCTCTTCCCCAATAGTGTATCAAGTACAGAACTGCTTGGCTAACACTGAGTAAGCGCCAACCTCAAATCAAGCTTCCATGTAGATACATGCTGTTCAATTTAAACTCTTCTCTCCAACACATTTCCCACTGGAGTTATTCTCTCTTTCAATCCCCATATGCTCTCCCTCTCCTCTTCCAATGATGCTATCATGCCACCTTAATGGGAAAGTTTGAAGTCATCCAGCATTTTTCAGTTCATCACATCGCACATTCCCACATCATCCTCTCAGAACTCTCTCCAATCTCAAATGATGAACTTTCTCTTTTTCTCTAAGCAAAGTCCTGTGTTTTTTTTTTTTTTTCCTTAATCTTGTCTGTCTCCCCTACTAGACTATGAGTTCCTTGCCCAGGAAGCTAGTGGTTCTTTATAAATATATATTGAAATAATGAATAAGTGAATAAATAAATGAATGAATGGTTTTAAGCTACCGATCTTTTCCAGTTTTCTGGATTTGGGGCCCCACAATCCTCTCCCTAGAATCGTCAATCTCTCTAGGCTAAATAGATCAAGACCAGACTGATTTTAATTAGTGGCTTGCGGAATAAATCTTTTTACTATTTAGACCTACCTGTATCATTAAGCACCTACTTTTCAGGCAAGAGCTAGCTGGGACAGGAGTGAGGGGAACTAAAGAGAAAAAAGAAAATCTACCAGGTGATCAAGAAAATTTAAAGAAGAGAAAATAAAAATAAAAGAATTTTTAAAAAAAACTCTTGAAAAGTAATGAAAAGTCACCAAAAGTATGAAAAAAGTACACCCTACTAATAACAACAAAAATTAAAAACTATATCAAAATGTCATTTTGGCTTTTAAAATTAAAAAGAAAAAAGTTTAAATAATAATGCTTTATATTGGTATGGATGTGCTAAGTCAACTTTTGACTGCTGATTAGAACACAAATGTATACAATTGGTTTGAAAAAGTGTTAAATTTGGGGGACATTATTTATTCCTTTCTAGTGTACAGCTACTTATTGCTACATAACAAGTACTCTAAAACTTAAAACAACAATAAATATTTATTATCACACATAATCTCTGTAGGACTGAATTCAGAAGTGGCTTAGCCGGGATGGTTCTAGCTAGGGGGTCTCTCATGAGTTGGCAATCAAGACTTCAGCAGAGCTGCAATCATGCTGAAAGCTTGACTAGGATTGAAAGATCCACTTCCAAGGTGGCTCACTAACATGGCTGTTGACAGGAGACCTCAGTTTCTCAAAATGTAGACATCTCCATTGGGCTGCGTGAGAGTCTTCATGACAAGACAGGTAGCTCCCCCAAGGTAAGTGATCAAAGATACAGCAAGGTGGAAGCTGAAATGTCTTTTATGACCTAGGAAGTCTCACACCATCATTTCCATAAATTCCCCTTGGTTATACAGATCACCCTGCTCAACATGAAAGGGTGTTACAGGAAGGAGTGAATACTAGGACACAAGGATCATTGGGGGCTATTTTGGAGACTGGCTACCACAGGGTGTAATCACTTTCATGCTTGAAGGATATGGATCTATCTTTAAGAGCTCAACAATTAAAATACAGGCCACCCCTTCTGTTAATGATATTCCAAGGCACATCTGTTTCAGAATATTCTTGGTATGACTTTTGAATATGGCTCAATTCTATAATTTAGTATCCTCATCTTTTAGGTTAACAAGTGAAGCAATGAGAAGACACTGAAGTATAACAGAAGAGACTGGAAAAGCAGAAAGAAAGAAAACTTTACTGGGAAATATTTTCAGATGGATAACTTTTATTTGTAGTGTTCAGGAAAAGGGCTTATAACTAACCAAGATATGGCGTATAACAATGGATATTTTTCACAAGGAGGACCTAGTCAACTTCTAAAAGTTTAGCGCTTAAACTCTCTGATTACAATACACTTTATTTCAACAAGACCCTCTGAGGATCCCTAGTACTTTACTTGGCATTCCTTTAGAGCATTTTTACCTATATTGTTTGATCATATTACACATGTCTAAGTCATTCTACCAACTCCAAAGTCCTTAAAATCAGAGTTCATTTCTATTTCATCTCTTCCCTCTATTTAGGATCTAATGTCATTTTGTTCTCCACTTCCCTCCCTACTTCTCAACTTCCCACTTTGCTCTCCCTTTATACAAACACAGATGGCTGTACTTATTGCCTTAGAGGAGCCATGTGGCTGCAACATCACAAAAACCTGTGAGTCTTTGCTTCAGTTTTGTATTCCAAAAGCCCAAAGCCCTCAAGAGATTTGTGTGGACTGCAGACTTAGAGAAAATGCTTTTTAGATATAGTAGGAGAGGGGCTGGGCATGGTGGCTCATGCCTATAATCCCATCACTTTGGGAGGCTAAGGAGGAAGGAGCCCTTGAAGCCAGGAGTTCAAAACCAGCTTGGGCAAGAAAGTGGAGACCTTGTTTCTAAATAAATAAATAAATGGATTTTTAAAATGAAAAAAAAAAATAGTTGTGCAAGATGGTGTGTGCCTGTAGTCCCAGCTACATGGGAGGTTGAGGCAGGAACGTCACTTGAACCCAGGAATTGGGGGATGCAGTGAGCTATAATTATGCCACTGCATTCCAGCCTGGGCAACAAGTGAGACTCTGTCTCTAAAAAAAGAAGAAGAAAAAGAGCAGGAGAGTGCACACATCTCAGTGACAACCAGACAAGATGATGAAAAATGATACTGAAAAGCAGATGTGTCAATGAAAAAAGCCAAACTCTGTAAAATATTTGAGAAGATTTATTCTGAGCCAAATATGAGTGGCCATGGCCCAAGGCATAGTCTCAAGAAGTCCTGAGAACAAGCTCCCAATATGTTTGGATTACATCTTGGTTTTATATGTTTTAGGGAAACATAAGACATCAATCAATATACGTGGGTACACACTGGATTGGTCTAGAAAGGTGCAACAAAGCAGGGGTGATGGCTTTCAGGTCATGGGTGGATTCAAAGATTTTCTGATTGCAGTCGTTTGAAAGAGTTATTGTCCTGTAATCAATAGAAAGGAGTATCTTGGATAAGATAAGGAGTTGTATAGTGAGAATACATAGATACAGGGAGGGTAACAACACACACTGGGGCCTGTTGGGGATGGGATGGGAGGAGGGAGAGCATTGAGAAAAATAGCTAAGGTATGCTGGGCTTAATACCTAGCTGATGGGTTGGTAGGTGCAGCAAACTACCATGGCACACATTTACCTACCTATGTAATAAGCCTGCACATCCTGCACGTGTACCCCGGAACTTAAATAAAAATTAAAATTAATAAGAAATAAAAAAGATAAGGGGTTGTAGAGACCAAGAATCTCATTATGTAGATGAAGTCTCATAGATGGTCATCCTTAGAGACAATAGATGAAAAATGTTTCTTATTTGGACCTTTAGAAGGTGCTAGACTCTCATTTAATATCTTCAGGGTTGGGAGGGCCTGGAAGGGGGAAAAGCCATAGTTATGTTAACACAGATTATTTACAGATGCAAATTTCCCCCACAAAAGACAGGCTTTGCAGGGCCATTTCAAAATATAGCAAAGCAACATATTTGGGGGCTAGGCACAGTGGCTCATGCCTGTTATCCCAGCACTTCGGGAGGCCAAGATGGGTGGATTACCTGAGCTCAGGAGTTCGAGATCAGCCTGGCCAACGTGGTGAAACCTCAACTCTACTAAAAATAAAAAATTAGCTGGGTGTGGTGGCAGGCACGAATAATCCCAGCTACTTGGGAGGCTGAGGCAGGAGAATTGTTTGAACTCGGGAGGGAGAGGTTGCAGTGAGCCAAGATCGCACCATTGCACTCCAGCCTGGGTGAAATTCCATCTCAAAAAAAAAGCAAAACTCTGTCTCAAAAAAAAAAGAGGCCGGGCATGGTGGCTCACGCCTGTAATCCCAGCACTTTGGGAGGCTGAGGCAGGCAGATCACAAGGTCAAGAGATAGAGACCATCCTGGCCAACATGGTGAAAATACAAAATTAGCGGGGCGTGGTGGTGGATGCCTGTAATCCCAGCTACTCGGGAGGCTGAGGCAGGAGAATCGCTTGAACCCAAGAGGCGGAGGTTGCGGTGAGTCAAGATCGTGCCATTGCACTCCAGCCTAGGCAACAAGAGCGAAATTCCGTCTCAAAAAAAAAAAAGGAAATATATTTGGGGTTAAAATATTTGTATTTCCTTCTTTATCTGTCATGTGATGTTATGCCAGAGTTAGGTTGGAAAGTAAGTCACGTTATATGGGGTTAAACAAAACCCATCTTGTGGCCGGGTGCAGTGGCTCATGCCTGTAATCCTAACACTTTGGGAGGCCAAGGTAGGAGGATTACCTGAGGTCAGGAGTTCGAGGCCAGCCTGACCAACATGGCAAAACCCCGTCTCTACTAAAAATACAAAATTTAACCGGGCATGGTGGCGCATGCCTATAATCCCAGCTACTCGGGAGGCTGAGGTGGGAGAATTCCTTGAACCCAGGAGGCAGAGGTTGCAGTGAGCTGAGATCACGCCACTGCACTCCAGCCTGGGTGATAGAGTGAGACTTTGTCTCAAACAAACAAACCAACCAACCAACCTATCTTGTTACTGGAAAGTGGTCTCAATCCAGACCCCAGGAGAGGGTTCTTGGACCTCACGCAAGAAAGAATTCAGAATGAGTCCATAAAGCAAGTTTATTAGGAAGTAAAAGGGATAAAAGAATGGCTACTCCATAGGCAGAGCAACAGCTTAGGCTGCTCGACTTATAGTTATTCATATTTATAGTTATTTCTTGATTATATGCTAAACAAGGGGTGGATTATTCATGAGTTTTCCAGGAAAGGAGTGGGCAATTCCTGGAACTGAGGGTTCCTCCTCTTTTTAGACCATGTAGGGTAACTTCCAGGACGTTGCCATACCATTTGTAAATTGTAATGGTGCTGGTAAGAGTTTCCTTTAGCATGCTAATGTATTATAATTAGCATCTAATGAGTAGTAAGGACGACCAGAGGTCACCTTCACCACCATTTTGGTTTTGGTGGGTTTTGGCTGGCTTCTTTACTGCAATCTGTTTTATCAGCAAGGTCTTTGTGACCTGTATCTTGTGTTGACCTCCTATCTCATCCTGTGACTTAGAATACCTAACTTCCTGGAAATGCAGCCCAGTAGATCTGAGCCTTATTTTACCCAGCTCCTATTCAAGATGGAGTTGCTCTGGTTTGAACACCTCTGACAATCTGATGAGATTTTATGGTTTGTAGGCTGTGACTCCTCACATCCCTTAGATAAGAATTTGGGGCCAGGTGCAGTGGCTCACGCTTGTAATCCCAGCACTTTGGGAAGGTGAGGCAGGCGGATCACAAGGGCAGGAGTTCGAGACCAGCCTGACCAACATGGAGAAACTTCATCTCTACTAAAAATACAAAATTAGCTGGCATGGTGGCAAATTCCTGTAATTCCAGCTACTTGGGAGGCTGAGGCAGGAGAATCGCTGGACCCCAGGAGGAGGAGGTTGCGGTGGGCGGAGATGCCGAGATCATGCCATTGCACCCCAGCCTGGGCAACAAGAGCGAAACTCCGTCTTACCAAAAAAAAAAAAAAAAAAAAAAAAAATTGAGCAAGAGAGAAGACAGGTCAGAGTTTAGTCCTCAACCTCTCCTCAAACTTTCCACTTAGCACTACATGAACCATCTCATCTGGCTGGGAACTTACACAAAACCTGAAGAAAAGAAGATAGGGCCTATTGTCTGATACTAAGTTTTTGCCACACAATCAGAATAGATCTTGAAATAGAAAAGGTTGAATGACTGAAAAGTAAAGAAGGCTACATTTCTTACACACTCGAGTTTGTGGATTGAGATGCCTATTTGCTACATTTGTTACTCAATAAACGTTTGCTGAATGAATAAAATAATTGAATAAATAAATGAAAAATAAAAATTTGGAACAGATCCGTGTTTGCCCAGGGTGAATGCTTTTTGATGAGGGAGCCATAGGCAAGGTGGACTATGTTGATAAAAAGAGTTAAACTCTGTAAAATATTTGAAGAGATTTATTCTGAGCCAACTATGAGTGACCATGGTCTGTGACACAGCCCTCAGGAGATCCTGAGAACATGTACCCAAGGTGGTTGGGGTGCAGCTTGGTTTTATACATTTTGGGAGACATGAGACTTCAATCAAATATATTTAAGAAATACATTGATTTGGCCCAGAAAGGTGGGAAAACTCGAAGCGGGAATTGGTGGGGGGAGAAATGGGTCCTTCCAGGTTATAGGTAGATTTAAAATTTTTCTAATTGGCAATTGGTTGAAAGAGTTATCAATAGAAAGGAATGTCTGGGTTGTCATAAGAACTTGTGGAGACCAAAGTTTTGTCATGCAGATGAAGCCTCCAGGTACCAGGCTTCCAAGAAAATAGATTGTAAATGTTTCTTACCAGACCGAAGGTCTGTGTTGACCTTAACCGGAGAGGTATGAGGCTAGTCGGACCCCCACTTCCCGTCATGGACTGAACCAGAATTTTAGAGTGCCCTGGCCTGGGAGAAAGTCCATTCCGATGGTTGGCGACACGGGGGGCTTAGAATTGTATTTTCGGTTTACATCTAAAAGAAGAACAAAGGTCTAGGCTTCCAGAATCATGGGTTCTGGTGACCGTGGACCTGGAGGTGATGGTAAACTCTCTTTTTGTTCCTGGGGTGTTTTCCTTGGGATCCTTTCTATGAGAAATGTAGGCCGGGTTTTATTTTTCGGGTTCCTAGTGGTGAGGTAAGGTGAGGTGCCTCAACAAGAAAAAGGACCAGTTTTGGCTTCAGGTCTATGTGAAAGCGGTTAACACTGGGCCTGGAATGGTAGATACTCAATAATTAAGGTTACTTCTTATTCTCGGTTCTTTTTTCCAAACCTAGCGCGTCTAATCTCTTCTAGGCCCCGCCCCTTCTGAGCCCCCCCTCCTTCGGCCTGTATGATAGGCTCTTCCTCCATTTCCGGCTTCTGGGACTCGGGTGCACCACGGCTTCCGGTGTCATGGCTGCTTGAAGTCCCGGGAGTCGGTGAGGCGGCTGCAGGTCCCTCCCTGCGGAGCCGCTGGTCCGGCTGGCGGAGATGTGACCGCGGGCCCGGCCGGCCTGCCTCAGGCGTCGCGTCAGCTCCCGTGTCCGTGCCCTTAACCCACACCGATGGCGGGATCCGGCTGCGCCTGGGGCGCGGAGCCGCCGCGTTTTCTGGAGGCCTTCGGGCGGCTGTGGCAGGTACAGAGCCGTCTGGGTAGCGGCTCCTCCGCCTCGGTGTATCGGGTTCGCTGCTGCGGCAACCCTGGCTCGCCCCCCGGCGCCCTCAAGCAGTTCTTGCCGCCAGGAACCACCGGGGCTGCGGCCTCTGCCGCCGAGTATGGTTTCCGCAAAGAGAGGGCGGCGCTGGAACAGTTGCAGGGTCACAGAAACATCGGTAATTGCCGCTGTCTCCTTTCTCTTCTTGCCCAGGTCACAGTCCGAGCACACTCTTCCTCTCGCTGTCTGGCGTTCCATCTTCCTCCCCTTCTGCGGGAGAAGCGGGTTTAGCCCTCTTTATCACCCCATCCAGGCCCCTTTCCCCTTTCACTTTATTACTGTCTGCGGTATAGTGGAGTTGGTGGTCTGCTTTGCCAGGTGTCACATAGATGCTCAGTAAATTGTCTTGCTTCGAGTCTCATCGGAGAATGCCGCATTCATTAGCATACAGAAATATCTTTTCTAGTGAGAGGAGGCATGTCTTTGCTAGATTGTCGTGTCTTGTGTGGAAATTTTTGAATCTTTGCATACCAGTAGAAAATGGGAACTACGTCTGGGCCTTGTGACATCAATGCTAGTAACTCGTATAGCTCACCTATTATATCTTTAGTACGGATTTGGAAGAAATGATGCACTATTCCATGGGAGCCTTTATAGAAGTGTGAAATTTAGGAACACTATACCTTTGCTCTCTTGAGACTGTTTCAAGAATCAGATACTCAGAATGTAAGATATGTAATGATCACTGATGATTGATCTGTGAAAAGGTTTCATTTTCATTACACGACAGAAAGCTTATCATTAGTTATAGCTTTGGTTATTAAAGAAAAGTCTTATTTCCTAGCAAGTATGATGCATAGTTAATTTGAAGAGTGAGTTTTTTTATAATATCATTTTGGAGAAGAATTAACACTAGTGCTACATTTTTTTAGTTTACTAAATGGTCTGTTACTATAACCTTGGTATTGAAAAGGGAAAAATTTTGCAAGCCTAGGGACTTGCCTGATCTCTGCAAGATTAAAATTTCATCCGAAAAGTCTTAATCTCTTTGTTAGTATTTAGATTATAGAGAGCTGTTTATTTTTGTTTTAGTTTTTTTTTTTGAGACAAGTTCTTACTCTGTCACCCAGGCTGGAGTACAATGGCGAGATCACAGTTCACTCCAGCCTCCAATTCCTCCTAAAGCCATGCTCCTACCTCAGCCTCCCAGGTAGCTGGGACTACAGGCACGTAGCACCAAGCCTGGCTAATTTTTTGTAGAGAAGAGGTCCCCTTTTGTTACCCAGGCTGGTCTCCAAACTCCTGGGCTCAAGCAGTCCTCCTGCCTCGGTCTCTCAGAATGCTGGGATCACGGGCATGAGCCACCGTGGCAGACCTAGACTGCTGTTTTGGATGAAGAAGCAATGTTTAGTTTGGTTTTTGCGCATTGTGACATTCCTTTTAAAAGAGTTACTTAATATTTGGGTTTTTACTTTTAAAAATTTCTTTTTTTTTAAAGGACCTCATGATGCAACAGTAAGTTTTATTTATTTATATTTAGGTTTTTTACTTTTAATCATTTTTGCTTGGCACTCCAAGTTCGTGTTCATCACCAATGAGTACTTGGTGAAACACAAATTGAATAATTGTACCATATTTAGTATCTGTGAATGGTAATCAGCTGTTGTAGGCTGTCTCATCTTATTTTTATTAAAATAACCCAATTGCCAAAAGATCTTATTCATGGGAAAAATAAATTACAGTGGAAGCTTGCTCATCAAAGTTATCCTTATCTAGACTATCTCAAATTTGTACTGCAGTTACCTACTTTAGTAGTGACTTACTCTGAGTCTGATTTTTAAAGTATTATAATTTCTTTTTCTAGTGACTTTGTATGGAGTGTTTACAATCCACTTTTCTCCAAATGTGCCATCACGCTGTCTGTTGCTTGAACTCCTGGATGTCAGTGTTTCGGAATTGCTCTTATATTCCAGTCACCAGGGTTGTTCCATGTGGATGATACAGCATTGTGCCCGAGATGTTTTGGAGGCCCTTGCTTTTCTTCATCATGAGGGCTATGTCCATGCGGACCTCAAACCACGTAACATATTGTGGAGTGCAGAGAATGAATGTTTTAAACTCATTGACTTTGGACTTAGCTTCAAAGAAGGCAATCAGGTAAGAAATAACCTTTTCTTTTCTCTCGCAGTTTAAAATGTAGTGGTTGAAGCCAAATATTTTTAAATGACAAGGGTAGTTTAGTAGGGGCTTACAAGTCATTTTAACCTAAATTACTGAAATGCCAGGGGATGCAGTAAATCAAAAGAATTTCAGTGCCACCGTGTAAAAAAAGGACATAATGTTTGGGTCAGGTAGGAGGAGCCAGTGAAGCATGAGAGCTCTGGAATTATTAAAAGTACTTAACCTACATAGAATGGTTTTTTAAATTTTATGCGTGTTTGGCTAATTGCTGAGTTACTATTCCTGGTCTCTTCAGTGTTGGGGCTGTATCTCGTGGCAGAATGCATATGATAGTTCTGCCAAATCCTCTTTTCTCCATGGTTTATCATTTCTTTGCAGTGTCCTTATTATCAGCAGTGCCTAATAGGTAAGAGACAATCCAAAGAAGACTTCTTTATGAGCGCTATATGGAAATGTACAGCTTGCCTCTGAGAACTGCCCAGTTAATGAACCAAAGAATTATGGTAATCAAGGACTAAAAATTTTTAGCATTTAGCTTGGCAGTGGGTTTACTGCACTCTTAGGGAAGTAAATTCACTGTAGAGATGGATAGAAAGGGAGCAGCTTTTTTATTGGTTGTAATATTTACTCATCTTTTTTAGGATGTAAAGTATATTCAGACAGACGGGTATCGGGCTCCAGAAGCAGAATTGCAAAATTGCTTGGCCCAGGCTGGCCTGCAGAGTGATACAGAATGTACCTCAGCTGTTGATCTGTGGAGCCTAGGAATCATTTTACTGGAAATGTTCTCAGGAATGAAACTGAAACATACAGTCAGATCTCAGGAATGGAAGGTAAACTTCACCAGTGCTTTGCTTTGGGGTCCTTACTTTCAACTTAAGAGTATTCAATTTATGATGATTTTTTTTTTTCTTTTGAGATGGAGTTTCACTCTTTCACCCAGGCTGGAGTGCAGTGGCGCAATCTCAGCTCACTGCAACCTCCACCTTCCGGTTTCAACCAATTCTCCTGCCTCAGCCTCCTGAGTAGCTGGGATTACAGGCGCCAGCCACCGTACCCGGCTAATTTTTGTATTTTTAGTAGACACGGAGTTTCACCATGTTGGCCAGGCTGGTCTCAAACTCCTGACCTCATGATGCACCCGCCTGGGCCTCCCCAAGTGCTGGGATTACAGGCATGAGCCACCGCACCTGGCCAATTTATGATGATTCTTTTAGAGAACTCTTGATTGCTGTCTGTTGTCCATACTCCTCTTTTTCTATTGATGATACTTGAATGCCACTACCAACTCCTATGGCTATCAATCTGCTAGTGAGTATTGCATTCTTATTGTTCCTAGCCTGTGGCTTGGCATATAGTAAGTGCTTGATAAAATGTTTGAATGAATGCATTTTCCTGAAGAAACAAAAGTGGTTTCTTTTGTTTACTAACAGTAATATTAAGTTCTAAAGTGTTACTAATACAACCATAGCTTATAAGTTAA
Organism: Homo sapiens; assembly: GCF_000001405.40. Classification (NCBI taxonomy): domain Eukaryota; kingdom Metazoa; phylum Chordata; class Mammalia; order Primates; family Hominidae; genus Homo; species Homo sapiens. The sequence continues at coordinate 162,501,755 of NC_000001.11, forward strand.
ATGATAAGTTTTATAGATTATCTTAACTGCTTTACAGTTAAAAAATATTTTTGCTGGGCATGGTGGCTCACACCTGTAATCCCAGCACTTTTGGAGGCTGAGGTGGGAGGCTCACTTGAGACCAGGAATTTGAGACCAGCCCAGGCAACGTAGTGAGACCCCAGTCTCTAGTAAAAAAAAAAAAAAAAAAATTATAAAAGGTATTTTAATACTTGTTTAATATCAAGAACAATAATCATTCCAAAACATTGTATTTATTAAACCTCAAAAAATTAGCTGGGTGTGATGGCACACACCTGTAGTCCCAGCTACCCAGGAGGCTGAGGCAGGAGGATCACTTAAACAGTAGCCTAAAGGATACTGATATTATCACAACATTAAAGCCCCACAATACCTTTGAAAACATACTGTAGTTAATTCCTAATTTATAAATGCATAAAAAGTTCATTCAAATATTAGAGGTTTGGAACTTAGATATTAAGCAACAAGTTTTTGATACTAAGCAACAAGTGTTTTTTTGAGCATCTAATACATACTGTATAGCTATTATAACATATAGTTTTGTTTCTTTTAAACACCTGGTCACTGATTTCCATTGTAGCATTTCCTGGAAGGGATATTTTAATAGCCCAATGTATGTACCTGATGCTTTTATGGGTAAAAATTGCTTTCTTGGGAGTAAAATCAGTATCATTCTTTATTATTGATATCCCAAACAATCAAGAGTCTTACGTATTCTTTCTTGGTGCTAATCCAGACATAGATCAGTTATTTGAATGAGTTTTGACTGTCTTTGAGCCTTTTGGACTATATCTGCTTGGCCTAGAGCTCATCAGAACTAGATCACATTCAAATTTGTGTGAAATTTAGAGGGGTGATGTGTAGTAATGGGATCTCCAATATATGCCTCTAGATAAAACGCTATTTTTCTGTTTTATCCCTTTCTATGGAGGCAAAATTGCCAACTGATTATGAGCATAGGCTCTAAAGTCAAGCTACTAGGGTTTGTATCTTGCCTCCACAAAGCTCTTACTAAGTTATTTATTTAGGTTCACTAAGCCATAGTTTGCTTTCTTTAAAATGAGGATAATAATGGCATCTATCTCATAAGACTACTGAGGTTAATAAAGAAATGATACTTTTAGCAAACAGCTCATGGTAAGTATTTAATAAATTTTACTGATAATGATAGTATCTGTTCTTTTAACTCATGTACACAGTTCTAAATTGTGAGTTAGCATAGTATTCAAGGAGAAAATATATTCTGTAAAGATTTAGAGAATGAGTAATATGACAAATAAGATGTTTTAATACTGCATCATATTCGCTTTGATAGTTTATTTCTGCCTGAAAACCAATTGAAGACTCGTTACGGAGATACCCTGAGTCACCTATTATACATTCATTTTTGCATTAAACTACATTCTTATGTGGTTACTTCGGTATTTATTTTTTATTCTTTCATCTAGTAGATGTTCATAGAGTGCTAGGCGCTGAAAATGAAGAAAAAAATGTTCTTCTCCAGAAGTGTGTAATTATGTATATTATTTCCTCTGTTAAGATTGTAGGCTCTTGCTGGGCACGATGGCTCACAGTTATAGTCCCAGCACTTTGGGAGGCCACGGTGGGCAGATCACTTGAGCCCAAGAGTTTGAGACCAGCCTGGGTAACATAGTGAAACCCCATAGCTATAAAAAATACAAAAAATTAGCTGGATGTGATGGCACACACCTATATTTCCAGCTACGCAGGAGGCTGAGGCAGGAGGATCACTTAAACCTGGGAGGCAGAGGTTGCAGTGAGCTGAGATTGCGTCACTGCACTACAGCCTGGGTGGCAGAGCAAGACCCTGTCTCCAAAAAAAAAAAAAAAAAAAAGATTGTAGGCTCTCAGAAGATAGTGTTTTCTGTTGCATTTTACTCTCAAATAGTGCTATATGCCTAGTATTCAATAAATACAGACTGAATAACCAAAGGAAAACTTTTCTCCGTTTTTTAAGGCAAACAGTTCTGCTATTATTGATCACATATTTGCCAGTAAAGCAGTGGTGAATGCCGCAATTCCAGCCTATCACCTAAGAGACCTTATCAAAAGGTATGTTACACGTACCATAAACTTGCTTTGCATTCATGTACTATGTGAAATGGTACGTCTTTTTTTTCTCTGAACAGATTTATATTATTATTTCTATGTAAGGAACATAAGTAATGAAATAGTTTTACCAAATTTGTTTTCAAAGGAATGCTCTTTTGCTCATAGTATCAGATGTTAAGCTTTTCCTGGCAGCTGCCTTTTCACTGGAAGATAGATTCACTGTACCTTTGGCCACTCATAGCCCTGGCAGTTCTGGATACTTGATGGAAAGCAGGTTTTTAAAGAGAGTCTTTTTTAACTAAAGATTGAGTTTGCTTTTGGACTACTCCCCTCCCCCCAAAAAAAGACCCAAAAACCATTTCGAATAAGATAGTTTTTTATTATACTTTAAATAATTACTCTTGACAACGGTCTGGGGACAGATACAGTTTTTCTGATATCTGAATAGATCCGAAAACAATAGATATTTTGAAAATACAAATGTGTACAGTCGTGTCATTTAACAGTAGGGATCTGTTGTGAGAAATATGTCATTAGGTGATTTTGCCATGCTGACATCATATAGTACTTACATAAATGTAAATGATACAGACTTCTGCCCACACCTAGGCTATATTGCACAGTCTATTGCTCTTAGGCTACAACCTATATAGCGTGTTACTGTACCAAATACTATAGACAGTTGTAATACAATGGTAAGTATTGTGTCTAAACATAGAAAAGATACAGTAAAAATACAGTATAAAAGATTAAAAATGGTATACCTTATAGGGCACTTTACCATGAATAGAGCTTGCAGGACTGGAGTTGCTCTGGGTAATTCAGTGAGTGAGTGGTGAGTGAATGTGAGGGCCTAGGACATTACTGTACACTATAAGACTAAGGGTAAACACTGTATACTTTGCCTACACTAAATTTATTTTAAAATTTTTTCTCCTTTTTTTGAGACAGAGTCACACTCCATCACCCAAGCTGGAGTGCAGTGGCACAATCTTGGCTCACTGCAACCTCTGCCTCCCAGATTCAAGCGATTCTTGTGCCTCAGCCTCTTGAGTAGCTGGAATTACAGGTGCATGCCACCATGCCCGGCTAATTTTTGTATTTTTAGTAGAGACGGGGTTTCACCATGTTGGCTAGGTTGGTCTCGAACTCCTGACCTCAAGTGATCTGTCTGCCTCAGCCTCCCAAAGTGCTGGGATTACAGGTGTGTGCCACCGCTTCTGGCCAAAATTTTTTTTCTTCTATAATAAATTAGCTTAACTGTAACTTTTTTACTTTATAAACTTTAATTTTTCTTTATCTTATTTACTTTTAAAATTTTTTGTTAAAAACTGAGACACAAGCACACCTTAGCCTAGACCTACACAGGGTCAGGATCATCAATATCATTGTCTTCCACTTCCACATATTGTCTTACTGGAATGTCTGCAGGGGCAGTAACATGCATAGAGCTGTCATCTCCTATGTTAACAATGCCTTCTTTTGGAATACCTCACAAAGGACCTGCCTGAGACTATTTTACAGTCAACTTTTTGGGGGAGGGCGATGTACTTTAAAGTAGGAATAAAAAAATATATAGTTATAAATACATAAGCCAGTAACACAGCTATGTATTGTCATTATCAAGTACAGTAGTTTTGTTTACATCTATGTCCTACCGCAACACCTGCATTACCTGCATTACCACAAGCATGTGAGTGATGTGTTGCGATAGGACATTATGATAGCTACGATGTCGCTAGGCGATAGGAATTTTTCAGCTCAGTATTATTTTATGAGATCGCTGTCATATATGTGGTCCATTGTTGACCAAAACGTCATTGTGCAGTATATGACTGTATTATTAAATAGTAGGTTTTTCAGATTTCTAGACTATGGACTGGAAGTGAATAAAATAATTAGTATGCTAGAAAAGTATGGATCCCTTGTCTGAGTTAGAGTAGTATAGTTTCCTTTGAATATTGGCCCTATAAACCTTTAAGTTAGTTTTATTAACTCTTTACTTTGAAATAGTTACAGACTCACAGGACTTTGCAAAAATGTTACAGAGAGGTCCCTACCATTTACCCAGTTTCCCCCAGTGGTAACTTTTTACATAACTGTAGTATATACAGTATCAAAACCAGTAAATTGAAATAGGTATAATCCACATGATTTATTCCTATTTCACCAGTTTTACGCATACTTACTTGTGTGTGTTTTTCAAATTAGTTTTAAATAGCTGTTAGTATCTGATTGATATGAGATATTATAAATTGCATTTTACATTGAAGAGATGGGAATGAAAAATTATAAAATGGATTCTAGCCTGGAAGTTAAATTTTCATCTAAGTTCTAGTATTGACTTTCTTATTTTTATTTTTTTTAAATAATAGCCCCCCCCCCCCCACCATTTTACATAGAATACTAAATTTGGAAACTATAGAAAGTCATCATGAGGAAAATAAAAATTATAAACCCACATTCTAGTGTTAGCACTTTGGTATATTTCCTTCCACTATTTTTCTGCATATTGCATTATATATGCATGCAAGTCGCTGAACCTTTTTTGTTGCTGTTGTTGAATAAAGCACAGACACTAAAAACACTAATTAAACAAATGTGTAGCTTAATCTGTAGGAACATTGTACCCATCTTGTAACTACCATTCACACCAAGAAATAAAACTTTTCCTGTCACCCTGGAAGTCCTGTATGTGTCTCATCCCAATCTCATACATTTTTGTTTCCTTGAGTGTCCTATATATTACTGCATGTGTTTCTGTTGAAAGTTTGATGACTCAGTAATTGCCTTTTCATTAAAAGTCGCTTGGTCTTCCAGCCTGGCCAAGGTGGTGAAACCCCGTCTCTACTAAAAATACAAAAAAAGTAGCCGGGCCTGGTGGCACGTGCCTATAATCCTAGCTACTCAGGAGGCTGAGGCAGAGAATTGCTTGAACCTGGGAGGTGGAGGTTGCAGTGAGCTAAGATCGTGCCACTGCAATTCAGCCTGGGCTACAGAGGGAGACTCTGTCTCAAGAAAAAAAAAAGAGTCACTTGGTCTTCTTGTCTAGATGCCCAGAGGATTTTAACTTTTTCTTCCATGTATAGTAATTTTATCAAAATATATTTTGATTTTGATTGTTCTGGGTCAATATTCTCAGAAATACGGTATGTCTCTTAAATTACAGTTTTTAAATATTTTTTCTGTTCTTTTTGGTTTTCACTTTCATGTCCTCCTCGTCTACATACGTTTGATTTTCTTTGCCTTATATTCAATGTTGCCATTTTTTCCTTTCTTTTTTTTTTTTGAGACGGAGTTTTTGCTCGTTGCCCAGGTTGGAGTACAGTGGCATGATCTCGGCTCACTGCAACCTCTGTCCCCTGGGTTCAAGCAATTCTCCCACATCAGCCTCCCAAGTAGCTAGGATTACAGGCTACTGCCACCATGCCTGGCTAATTTCTATATTTTTAGTAGAGACAGGGTTTCACCATATTGGCCAGGCTGGTCTTGAACTCCTGATCTCGTGATCCGCCTGCCTTGGCCTCCGAAAGTGCTGGGATTACAGGCGTGAGCCACAACGCCCAGCTGCCATTTTATCTTGATTCTATATTATCTCTTTTTCCTTTCTTTTTTTAAGAGACGAGGTCCCACCATGTGCCAGGCTGGTCTTGAACTCAAGTGACCTTCCAGCCTCAGTTTCCCAAAATGCTGGGATTACAGGCATAAGCCACCACCCCCAACCCATTCTTTCTTTTTTTTTTTCTTTTTTTTTGTGATACGGAGTCTCACTCTGTCGCCCAGGCTGAAGTGCAGTGGCGTGATCTCGGCTCACTGCAAGCTCCGCCTCCCGGGTTCACGCCATTCTCCTACCTCAGCCTCCCGAGTAGCTGGGACTACAGGCACCCGCTACCACACCCAGCTAATTTTGTGTATTTTTAGTAGAGACAGGGTTTCACCATGTTAGTCAGGATGGTCTCGATCTCCTGAACTCGTGATCCGCCTGCTTCGGCCTCCCCAAATGTTGTGATTACAGGCATGAGCCACCGTGCCCCGCCTCTTTTTTATTTTTAAAAATATCCTCCTTTTTGCCTACTCTTTAAGACATTATTTGTTATGTTTATTCATCCTTGTATCTCTTATAGTGTAATTTTATTTTATGAAATGATTTTTAAAATGTCTAATTCTTTCCTGAGTTCTATTACCTTATTTTTGTGATTTTCAATTTTTTTTCTGTTGCTCTTTCACATCTTATATCGTTTTTTAAAAATGTCTAGCTCATTTGAGTTTTTTGCAGGGGGAGGAGAAGACAAAGTCTCACTCTGTCACCCAGGCTGGAGTGCAGTGGCACAGTGCTCACTGCAACCTCCGCCTCTCAGGTTTTAGCGTTCCTCCCTCCTCACCCTCCTGAGTAGGTGGGCTTACAGGCGGATGCTGCCAGGCCCAACTAATTTTCATGTTTTTAGTAGAGACAAGGTTTCACCATGTTGGCCAGGCTAGTCTGGAACTCCTGACCTCAAGTGATCTGCTTGCCTCAGCCTCCCAAAGTGCTGGGATTATGAGCGTGAGCCACCACGCCTGGCCATTTAGCTCATTTTGAAATGGTAGGCTCACACCCATAATCCCAGCACTTTGGGAGGTTGAGGTGAGCAGACCACTTGAGGTCAGGAGTTCCAGACTAGCATGGCCAACATGGTGAAATCCCGTCTCTACTAAAAACACAATTTAGCTGGGCCTAGCAGCATCTGCCTGTAATCCCAGGTACTCTGGAGGCTGAGGCAGGAGGATCGATTGAATCCTGGAGGCGGAGGTTGCAGTGAGCCAAGATTGCACCACTGCACTTCAGCCTGAGTGACAGAGCAGGACTCTGTCTTCAAAAAAAAAAAAGTAGATTATAATGGTCATATCTTTCTGGCATACATTATCTGAGATTTATCATTTTGCAGTTTTTTTTTTGTACAATAGATACTTTTCTTTCTCTTCTTTTCTTTTCTTTCAAGGCAGGGTCTCACTCTGTGACCCAGGCTAGAGTGCCATGGTGTGATCACAGCTCACTGCAGCTTTAAGCAATCCTCCCACCTTAGCCTCCAAAGTAGCTGGGACCACAGGCATACACCACCATGCCTGGTTTATTTTTTTTGTAGACAAAGTCACACTATGATGCCCAGGCTGGTTTTGAACTCCTGGGCTCAAGTAATCCTCCTGCCTTTGCCTTCCAAAGTGCTGGGATTACAGGCGTGAGCCACCACGCACAGTCAGTTATAATCCTTTTTATGTTGCCCATTTTTATGTGAAAATTATTTTCCTAAACTTAAAGAAAATATACTTGGGATAACTTTTCTTATATAGGGCTCCCTCTTCTGTTGTTTTGTATAATATTCCCCAAAAAGTGGCTTTTTTCAGAGATCTCCTGGCTCTTCTCTTCTGCTTTTTTCTGGTGCCTCTCTCTCTCCCCTCATCCTGCTCAATTTGGATTGTGTTCCCAAGATTTCTTCTCACTGTGGGACTTTGCACTGAAAGAAAGCTTTGGCTGGTTAGTTTTAAGAGGTCTTAGTGTCTAGATTACTCCAACCTCTTATGATTTTACAAAGAACTGCTTGTATTCACTTAGTATTAGAATGTATAACCCCTTATAGTTTCAGCTGCTTTTCTCCAGCATCTTGCTGTGCAGTCCAGTGAGTACCTTTTGGCTGTTTGGGTTTATTTTTTTTCTGGTTCATCAGATCAATTGTAGCTTTCCTCTGCCTTCTTACACATAGATGCCAATATAGTGCAAATCTTACAACTATTGATAGTTTGGCACTATAGGTTTTTTTTCGTATGTGTGTGTGTATGATGGAGTCACACTCTGTTGCCCAGGCTGGAGTGCAGTGGCACGATCTCGGCTCACTGCAACCTCCGCCTCCCAGGTTCAAGTGATTCTCCTGCCTCAGCCTCCCCAAATAGCTGGGACTACAGGTGCACAGCACCATGCCTGGCTAATTTTTTGTATTTTTTAGTAGAGACGGGATTTCACCATGTTGGCCAGGCTGGTCTCAAACTCCTGACCTGAAGTGGTCCACCCACCTCTGCCTCCCAAATTGCTGGGATTACAGGCGTGAGCCACCACGCCTGGCCTAGTTTTTGTTTTTTAAGTGGCTTATTTTTACTTTATAAATGCTTACTTACAATAAGGAAATAATGGTCTTTTTATGCCACAAACACTTCAGTAGCTATATAGAGATACATTAATTTTATTAGACTATAACAGCATCTCGGTCTTCTTTTTTTAATGACATAAAATTGTATGTATCATGTACAACGTGTTTTAAAGTATATATACATAATGGAATGATTAAATCTAGTTAATGAACAAATGCATTATTTTACATAGTTATTTTTTGTGATGAGAGTGCTTAACATTCACTCCCTATGTTTTTCAAGAATCCAATATATCATCATTAACTAGAATCACCATGTTGTGCAGTAGATCTCTTGAACTTATTCTTTCTATCTAACTGTAATTAGGCATCTTTTGGCTTTGGCCAATGTCTCCCCAAACTCCTCTCTCCTCTAACGCCCCCACCCAGCCTCTGGTAACACCATTCTTCTCTCTACTTCTGTGACATCAACACTTTTTAGAATTCACATATGAGTGAGATCATGCTGTATTTGTCTTTCTGGACCTGGCTTATTATAACACTTAACATGATGCCCTACAGGTTCATCTGTGTTGAAAATGACAGGATTTGCTCCTTTCAGTGGCTGAATAGTATTCCATTGTGTATATATATATCATATTTTCTTTTTTTACTCATCTGTGTTTTTTGTTTTTTTTTTACTTTTTACACATCTGTTTTTTAATTTTTTTTTTAAGCTAACATGCAAGAAATGAACACTTATCTGTTAATAGATACTTAGGTTGATTCCATATCTTGTATATTGTGAATAGTGCTGCAACAAACGTGGGCCTACAGGTATCTCTTCATCATACTGATTTCATTTCCTTTGGATATATACCCAGTAGTGGGATTGCTGGTAGTTCTTTTTTAAAAATTTTTTTTAAGGGGCCTCCATACTACTTTCCATAATGGCTTTACTAATTTATATTCCCACCAACAATGTGTACGGATTCCCTTTTCTTTATGTCTTTTGTCTGTTTGATGATAGCTATTGTAATAGGTATGAGGTGATACCTCATTGTGGTTTTGGTTTTTCATTTTCCTGTTGATTAGCGATATTGAGCATTTCTCATATACTGTTGGCTATTTTTATGTGTTCTTTTGAGAAATGTTTGTTCAGGTCTTTTGCCCATTTTTTAATTGGGCTATTTGTTTCCTTGCTATAAAGTTATTTGAGCTCTTTTTTTCTTTTTTCTTTTTCTTTTTTTTTTTTTTTTTTTGAGACAGGGTCTCGTTCTGTTGCCAAGGTTGTAGTGCAGTGGTGTAAACATGGCTCACTGCAGCCTTGAATTCATAGGGTCAAGTGATCCTGGAACTACAGATGCATGCCACCACACCAGCTAATTTTTAAATTTTTTTGTAGAGAGAGGATCTTGCCATGTTGCCCAGGCTGGTCTCGGACTCCTGGGCTCAAGCAGTCCTCCCACCTCTGCCTCCCAAAGTTCTGGGATTACAGATGTGAGCTACCACACCCAGCCAAATTGAGTTCCTTATATATCTTGTATATTACTCCCCTAGCAGATGTATAGTTGGTAAATATTTTCTCCCATTCTGTAAGTTGTCTCTTCACCCTGTTCATTGTTTCCTTGGCTGTGCAGAAGGATTTTAGTTTGATATAATCCCATTTGTCTGTTTTTGTTTTTGTTGCTTGTGCTGTTGAAGTTATATTCAAAAATTCAGTGCTCAGAACAATGTTGTGCAGCTTTTCTCTTGTTTTCTTCTAGTAGTTTTGGGTCTTACATTTAAATTGTTAATCCATTTTGAGTTGATTTTTGTGTAGGTCAGAGATAAGGGTTTAATTTTATTCTTTGGCGTGTTAATATCCAGTTTTTCCCAGCACCGTTTATTGAAAATACTGTCCTTTCCCCATTGTGTTTTCTTGGCACCTTTGTTGAAAATCAGTTGGTTGTAAATATTTTTTTTTCCCTGGGCTCTCTGATCTGTTTCATCAGTCTGTGTGTCTGTTTTCATATCAATACCATGCTGTTTTGGTTACTGTAGCTTCATAGAACTTTTTTGAAGTCAGGTAGTATAGTGCTTCCAGCCTTGTTCTTTTTTCTCAAGATTATTTTGGCTATTTAGGGTGTCCTTATGGTTTTTGTTATAGATATTGTCCATGGGTTTTTGGTTTTGCTATCTAGTTGCTTTATTATTAGAGAAATTTGATGAGATTCAACAATCATCCCACCGATATCTTTTTTTTTTAATTGTGTTACCCTAAATCTGTGTCTTTTTTGTCACTCACTGTTACAGAGTGTGGATCACTTTGCAGTGTTTCATTTATTAATCAAAAGTGTTATTTTAAATCACAGTATAATGTCATAGGTATGTATCATGAATTACTAAACCATTTACTAATAAATAGCATTTGTATTTATAAGTGAATGATTCAATAAATCATGCTAATATAATTAATGCTGTGATGAACATTCAGACATTCTTACTTTCTTTAATGGTTGCATTTTCAAAAGATTCAGCAGAAATGATAAGGCACCTATTTTTGTGTTTTAGCATGCTTCATGATGATCCAAGCAGAAGAATTCCTGCTGAAATGGCATTGTGCAGCCCATTCTTTAGCATTCCTTTTGGTAAGTTGTGTATTCTTTTATTTTTTTCTTGGTCATTTGACAGTCATACAAGACATCAGCACTAATTTATATTCACAAGTTCCTTTATCTGGTGTTCAACTTATTTGGGGGGATTTACATTTAACCATATTATGATGAATTTTAACAGCCCCTCATATTGAAGATCTGGTCATGCTTCCCACTCCAGTGCTAAGACTGCTGAATGTGCTGGATGATGATTATCTTGAGAATGAAGAGGAATATGAAGGTTAGTGTTTTCTAAATTATATTTTAATGTGTCTTTCTTAAATAAGTCTAGAATAAACATATCCGTAACATTTTCATATTTCTCAATTTATCTAATGAGAATATTGAACAATATGATCTCTAATATACTCTCACTTTTATCTTTTTGAGGCGGAGTTTCACTCTTGTTGCCCAGGCTGGAGTGCAGTGGCACGATCTCAGCTCACTGCAACCTCTGCCTCCTGGGTTCAAGCCTCAGCCCCCCAAGTAGCTGAGATTACAGGCATGTGCCACCAGACCTGGCTAATTTTGTATTTTTAGTAGGGACGGGGTTTCACCATATTGGTCAGCTGGTCTCGAACTCCTGTCCTCAGGTGATCCACCAACCTCAGCCTCTCAAAGTGCTGAGATTACAGGTGTGAGCCACTGTGCCCAGCCCTCTCACTTTTTAATTCATAATGTCCTTTTGACTCTTTTACGTTTCATCTTTACCCAGTTAATGAAGAAGATTAATTTTCCCAACAACTTCTATCTCTCTGGTCTGTCTCTTCTAGCCTTTCCCTATGCTTGCATTTCTCCATTTTAGCTCTCTTTTTTGCTTTTAACATTCATTCATTTAAGACATATTAACTGAGTATTTACTATGTGCTGTTGTGGGATTACTTCCCGTCTTTAGTATAGTAGGGGATACGGCTACATAAACAATTATAGTTGTGATAATCTGAAGATAGGGTACTATACAATGGCAGAAAGGACAAGTACTTAACCCAATCTTAGTAACTGGTGAATGCTTCTCTACAGACGTTATATCTGAGCTCAGTAATTTGGAGTTGCTTGACTAAAAGTTGAGGGGTTAGGAAGTAAGTAGCACAAACACATAGATATGAAAGTGTCAGAAAACAGCAAATTGGTATGACTGTATCTTAAGATATTTGTTGGGGAGCAATCAGTTAAAGCTAACGAGGTAGCCAGAGTACAGACGAGTTTGCTATGTTTAAGAATTTGGATTTTATCCGAGAGATAGTAACACCAAAATACAGATATGTGAAGAACTTTGCGTCAGGTATAGAATAATATCTAGTTTATGATTAAGTATTCAATACCTATCTGTTCTTTGTTGAATGCAGTAAGGAGTTTATTAAATAATTTTAAATTGGAGAATGACATAGTCAAACCTGTATTTTAGTAGGGACATTTTGGAAACAGAGAGGGAGTGGACTAAAACAGGGCCAAACTTAGACCAAGGACAACAGTTGTGAAGCATTTGCATCAACCTATTGTTACTAGTACTAGAGAGACAATTTTGTGTAGCGGTTAAGAGTGTAGGCTTAACAAAAATTAGCTGGACGTGGTGGCACATGCCTATAATCCCAGCTGCTCGGGAGGCTGAGGTGGGATAATCACTTGAACCCAGGAGGCAGAGGTTGCAGTGACCCGAGATTGCACCACTGCACTCCAGCCTGGGCAACAGAGTGAGACCATCTCTGGAAAAAAAAAAAAAAGAGGGTAGACTGAGTTTACATGATGTCTCTCACTTACTAGCTTCTTTGCAGTTTTTTGCAAAAGAAGGAAACTATAGTTTCCTCATCTATAAAATGGAGATAATAAATAGTACCTATCTTGTAGAGTTGTTGTGAAAATTAAATAATGTATAAACATTTCCTAGAACCATGCCTGGCAAATAGTAAACACTCAACAAATATTACCTATTATTAACCACTAGAATACAATCTGGTTTGTTTTGTTTATTGCTATATTAATAGCACTGACACACAGTAGGCACTCAAATATTTATTGTAGGAAGGAAGGAAAGAAGGAAGGAGAAATAATTTGCAAGGAGCCAATCTATCTAAATGCAGTGACTAAGTGGATATGAGAGCAAGAAGTGAGGCAGGTTGGGGTTTTGCATGAGGCATCTGAATTAAACCACTTGGCAGATGGTGGTCCTAGTTAAAGAGGTAAGGAATAAAAGAGAAAAAGCAGACCTTGGGGATTCATTTTGGACAAGAGGAATACCTCCTGTACTCACTGAAATAGGTTGGAAGAGAAAGAATTTTGGTGTGGCTGTATCTAAGTTACGTAAGTTATAAGTAAAAGTAGGTAGGAAGTTAGTGATGTTCCTGCATAGTAACCAAATGTTTTCTGTATATGTCCTTCAGCACTCAATTTTGGACTTCTCTAATTTTTTCCTATTATTTTATTTACTTTCAGGTCTTAACTATTATTTTGCTAACAAATGATGCTCAAATATCCTCTAGACTCTTGACCTATTTTTAATTTCTCTATCTTCTGCCCATAAATTATATCAGTTTTATGTCCTCTTAATATTTAAAATAGAAAAAAATTTAAAACAGCAAACAGAAAGCTTTATTTTATGTTTCCTTTTCCTTTTACTTTGTTTCTTGTTCTCTGGCTTAACACTTACTTTGTGCCTAGTACTTTATATATATTATTTGAGAGGTAGTAGTTATTTTTCCAGTTTATAGATAATGGAAGTAAACTTAGGTTTATTCACAAAGCTAGTAAATATTTTTAAAGCCAGATATTTAGGTCTGTATATCTCTAAAGCTCTTATTTTTCTATTTAAAAATATCAATTGCTTAATATTAAATATTCTCCTTGTAGAAAATTAAAATGTTACAGATAAGGCTAATTATATGACAGTACCTCTTGTAAATGATTTCATATCCCTACAGTGTAGTGAGAGAACTGTAATTTCTTTGAGTCTGTGACCATTTTAAGAGTCTTGAGTTTTCAGGTTGTCTGTCTGAAAGAAAGTCTTGCCCTCAGCATTGTTTCAGGTTACGAAGGTACAATGGCTCTGAATTTCTTGGAATCAGTTCAGAATACTACTTAGGTCCTTTTAGTCTTCGTCTTTGTAAAGACCTGCTGTCTTCATCACCTCATTCTGTCTACTCCTAATAATTTTTATCTCTTTAAAACTGAAGCTTGGCCGGGCGTGGTGGCTCATGCCTGTAATCCTAGCATTTTGGGAGGCCGAGGCGGATGGATCACGAGGTCAGGAGATCGAGACCATCCTGGTTAACATGGTGAAACCTGGTCTCTACTAAAAATACAAAAAATTAGCCGGGCGTGGTGGCGGGCGCCTGTAGTCCCAGCTACTCGGGAGGCTGAGGCAGGAGAATAGCATGAACCCGGGAGGCGGAGCTTGCAGTGAGCCGAGGTGGCACCACTGCACTCCAGCCTAGGCAACAGAGCGAGACTCCGTCTCAAAAAAAAAAAACAACAAAACTGAAGCTTGGCCTGTTTTTGAATAAACCTTTAGACAACCATATAACCCTCCTCCTCTATCTTGCTGTGACTTTTTTTCCACTTTTAAATACACGGAGTCTTTAAATTTTGTTTAAATGTTGCTATTGAATCTTAGTGTTTAAGAATCTGAAGTGAACCAAAGTGCAGCAGACAATACGGTACCATTAAATACCTTTGTTACTTCTGATGAACAGGGTCATCATGAAATAACAAGTTTCTTAGCTAGAAATTATGGTATGTGTTGGAACAGCTGTCTTGTAATCTTGATAGAGGCAGGGAAGGAAGTTAAACCTTACATTATAGACCAAATTAAATTTCAAATCAAGTATAGATTAAAATACTAAAACAAGGGAATGAAGTAGGGAGGAAGGGAAAAAAGAAAGGGATGAGGGAAGGAAGTAGGGCAGGTAGGAAGGAGATACTTTTTTAATATAAAAAGACATCGTAGAATTTTGTGTTTTAATATTCCTGAAGTTGGAAAGGCCTTTTTTGAATATGGCAAAAAACTCAGAAGCAGTATAATAAGCATTGAACAAAATCAACCCTGACAAAAATCACCCTAAGAAAGATTAAAAGACAAAGGATAGTTTAAAGAAAAAATATTTATAGTTTAAAGAAAAAATATTTATAGCTCTTATTACAGTTTATGGAAAAGGAAGTAGACAAGTATTTTACACATATGCTTTTACTCTCTATTATTATTGAAATGCTAATTAGAGCCAAACTGCAATATCTTTGTTACCCATCAAACACATTGACAGTGATGAAACATTTGATTATCCTCTTGTGGGTAAGGGTATAAGGAAACATTTTTGTACATTACTAGAGAAAGTTTACATTGGTAAACTTTTATGGAAAGCAAATTGGAAAAATTATAAATTTATGTCAATTTTGACCCAGCATTTCTATTTCTAGAATGTCAACTTAGAAATACACAAGTGAGGCTGGGCGCAGTGGCTCACGCCTGTAATCCCAACACTTTGGGAGGCCAAGGCAGATGGATCACCTGAGGTCAGGAGTTTGAGACCAGCCTGACCAACGTGGTGAAACCCTGTCTCTACTAAAAATGCAAAGATTAGCTGGGCATGGTGGCACATGCCTATAATCCAAGCTGCTTGAGAGGCTGAGGCAGGAGAATCACTTGAACCCGGGAGGTGGAGGTTGCAGTGAGCCGAGATCGTGCCACTACACTCCAGCCTGGGAACAGAGCAAGACTCCATCTCAAAAAACAAAAAGGAAAGAAAGAAATACACAAATGAAATGAGATATGCATAGGGGGGTTATCTATTGCAGTACTGTTTTTAATGGTAAAAGTTTGGAAATTGTCTAATCAGTACTGGACATAGTATATAATATATTGAATATTCATAGAATAAAATATTTCATAACCATTAAAACAAATGAGAAAATTTTATGTGATAATTTGGAAATATCTTAAAGGACATATTTAATATAAAAAGCAAGGTATTTTTATAATTTCATATTTGCTTGTATATAAGTTTATAATAATGGCAGAATACAGAAGAAATTGGCCAGGCGCAGTGGCTCACGCCTGTAATCCCAGCACTTTAGGAGGCTGAGGTGGGCGGATCACAAAACCAGGAGTTCGAGAACAGCCTGGCCAATATGGTGAAACCCCATCTCTACTAAACATACAAAAATTAGCTGGGTGTGGTGGTGCACGCCTGTAGTCCCAGCTACTCGGGAGGCTGAGGGAGAAGAATCGCTTGAACCCGAGAGGCGGAGGTTGCAGTGTCACGCCACTGCACTCCAGCCTGGGGGACAGCGAGACTCTGTCTAAAAAAAAAAAGAAAAGAAACTGATACTATGTGTTGCCTTCAAGGAGAGTAGAAGGTGGAAGACTATTATTTATAATTTTGAATCATTTGAATGTCAACTATTCAAGACATAAAATGACCTCATTACTAGTTATGTATTCCTGAATTCTTTGATGATTAAAAAATTTAAAATGTTGAATACTTGTTTATTATATCAGAGCAGTTACTGTTATGTGTTTTAATAATCAGATGTTGTAGAAGATGTAAAAGAGGAGTGTCAAAAATATGGACCAGTGGTATCTCTACTTGTTCCAAAGGAAAATCCTGGCAGAGGACAAGTAAGTGAATATTTTCATAATTGCAGATTACTCAGAGGTTATTAAAATTCTGTGTTAAATGTTTTAGTTCTGTAGGAAGATGTACAACAAAATTTTGCTAAGGATTATGAGTTTTGCATTTTAATGATTTTTATATTCTGACTTGTACTTTTTACTTCTTCTAAAAGTTCTATAATATGCTTGCATTTTTTTAGCACTTAAAATTTTTTTTTTTTTTAAATATTGGCTG
This sequence comes from Homo sapiens, assembly GCF_000001405.40. Lineage (NCBI taxonomy): Eukaryota > Metazoa > Chordata > Mammalia > Primates > Hominidae > Homo > Homo sapiens. The sequence continues at coordinate 162,518,420 of NC_000001.11, forward strand.
GGTGTGGTGGTTACGCCTGTAATCCCAGCACTTTGGGAGGCTGAGGTGGGTGGATTACTTGAGGTTAGGAGTTCAGAGATGGTGAAGCCCTGTCTCTACTGAAAATACAAAAGTTAGCCAGGCGTGGTGGCACATGCCTGTAATCCCAGCTCCTTGGGAGGCTGAGGCAGGAGAAACACTTGAACTCAGGAGGCAGAGGTTGCAGTGAGCCAAGATCCTGCCACTGCACTCCAGCCTGGGCCAGGAGAAATGAGTGAGACTTCATCTCAAAAAAAAAAACTACTTTTGGCTGGGCGCAGTGGCTCACGCCTATAATCCCAGCACTTTGGGAGGCCGAGGCAGGCGGATCACGAGATCAGGAGTTTGAGACCAGCCTGGCCAACATGGTGAACCCTTTTCTCTACTAAAAATACAAAAAATTAGCTGGGCATGGTGGCGCATGCCTCTAATCCCAGCTACTTGGAGGGGCTGAGGCAGGAGAATCGCTTGAACCTGGGAGGTGGAGGTTGTAGTGAGTGGAGGTCATGCCACTGCACTCCAGCCTGGGCAACAGTGTGAGACTCCATCTCAAAAAAAAAAAAAACTACTTTTGAGCCACTGTAAACAGTAACACCAGGCCAGGTGAGGTGGCTCATGCATGTAATCCTAGCACTTTGGGAGGCCGAGGCGTGTGGATCACCTGAGGTCAGGAGTTTGAGACCAGCCCGGCCAACGTGGTGAAACCCCCTCTCTACTAAAAATACCAAAAATTAGCCAGATGTGGTGGCAGGTGCCTATAGTCCCAGCTCTTCAGGGGGCTGAGCAGGAAATTTGCTTGAACTTGGGAGGCTGAGCTGCAGCAAGCTGAGATTGCTTTATGGCACTCCAGCCTGGGTGACAGAGCGAGACTCCATCTTAAAAAAAAAAAAAACAGTAACACCAACTGCTAAATCATGCTTTATTTCAGGTTCAGCTGGAGAAATGTTTTAGTCTAATTTTGTTCTAATTAGGTAGAGTTAGAAAGCCAATTAGGTTAGGTTCTAATTGTAATAGAAACTATCAGTGATAGTTTAAAGAAGGAAAGTGTGCTGGACTGAGAATTCTTGAACCTGAGTTCTAGCCTCAATATGATTAGCTTTGTGATGATCCTCATTTTCTTCATCTTTAAAATGTGTGGGCTAAAACTGTTATCACCGCATTTTCTTTAGAAACTCTAATTCCAAATTAAATTATATGACAAAGAATGTAAGAAGATATTTATTTGTAGTATTTTTATTTTTTGAGAGATAGAATTTTGGTTTGCTTTACCTTAGGGTTTCTCATTCTTGACACTATTGACATTGAGCCTGATAATTCTTTTGTTGGAGTAGCTGTCCTCTACACTATAGAACGTTTAACAGCTTTCCTGATTTCTACCCACTTTGAACAAAAAAAATGTCTCTAGACACTGCCAGATGTCTGTCCTCTAGGGGGTGAAGTCATCTCTGGTGGTGGATTATTTTATTGTATCTTTTTTTTGAGACAGGGTCTCACTCTGTTTCCCAGGCTAGAGTGCAGTGGTGCAGTCTCAGCTCTCTGCAACCTCTACCTTCCAGGCTCAAGTGATCCTTCTGCCTCAGCCTCCCGAGTAGCTGGAACTACAAGCACATGTGCCACCACACCTGGCTAATTTTTTGTAGAAACGAGGTTTTGCTATGTTGTCCAGGGCGGTCTTGAACACCTGAATTCAAGAGATCCAACCCGATTCAGTCTCCCTAAGTGCTGGGATTAAAGGCGTGAGCCACTGTGCCCAGCTATAATTTTATCTTAATAGCTTAGTATTATGAACATTCCTGACAACTGAAAAAATATGAAAACAAAAATATGAGCACAGTTTTATTCTAGTCCTAATGAAAAGTTATTGCCAAACTAGTGATAATAGTTTTACATTTAGTATCACGTACTGAATACTAATATGTATAATTGTATCCTTGCTGTTTAGTCATTTAACTGATATTTATTGAGCATTTATTATGTTCTAGGTACCCATTGTAAAAGTGGTCAAATCAGATTTTTAAAAGTGTGGTGATAAGTGCTAGGGAGAAAAACAGATTAAGGAAGAAACTTAAGGAGTGCTGGGGTAGGTAGGGTGGGTTGCACTTTTAAATGGGTTAGTAGGGAAGGACATCTGAGAAGGTCATATGAATCAAGATTTGAGGGAAGCGAGGAAGAGAATGTTAGGCAAAAGGAACAGCAAGATCCAAGGCCCTGAGTATTCCTGGCAGATTTGAGGAGGCCAATGTGGCTGTAGCAGAGTGAGAAAGAAGAATAGTAGGAGATTAGATCAGAGAGATTAGGGAGTGGTAGGGGGCTTATTAAGTAGAGTGAGCTGGGTAGAGTATTGAGATTACATTGGCTTTTATTCTGAACTAGGGCGAGGTATTGGAAGATTTCGAATGAAGGACTGACATGATCTGACTCAATATTAGCCCCAGTGGTCAAAATGAAGTGGAAGATACAGAATAGAGAGACAGGAGAAGTCTTTTCCAGAGAGAAGTATCCAGGTTTAAGATGATATGAAAAAAGTATCAGTGAGAGGAAAGTTGCTATTTTGAGAAGTTTTCACTGACATTTAAAGGAGAGTGAAAGCAGCTTTTGATAAACTCTTGGAATCACAGATTTAATCTATCTAGGCTTTTGAAAATGTCCATTACCTAGTTGTCGAAGCCATTCTTCATTTGAATTTTTAATTCAAGCAAACATGATTTTATAAGGAATGTTACAAAAAACACTGAAAAATAATGAATGCATCTGATAATGCAATTATAAAAATAATCAGAATTAAAATGATACAGCCCTATTAATTTCATAATTTATAAAAATAAGATGCCTTTCTTAGTGTGGGATGGTGTAGTATAGAAAAGTATAGCCTATCTGAAGCAAGGAGTATGATAGAAAACATGATATTCCTTCTATAAATGCATGTCTACTCATTTATCGAACTTTGCTCTATAGGTTTGGGCATAATTAAGAATCAGGTAAAAAAAAAATCAGGAATAGATTCATTATTCCTTTTTGGGGTGGGGTCAGGGAGGGGACAGGGTCTTGCTCTGTCACCCAGGCTGGAGCACATACAGTGTCGTGATCTTGGCTCATTGCAGCCTCGACTTCCTGAGCTCAAGTGATCCTCCCAACTCTGCCTCCCAAGTAGCTGGGATTACAGGCATGTGCTATCACGCCCAGTTAGATTTTGTTTGTTTGTTTTTGAGATGGAGTCTTGCTCTGTTGTTGCCCGGGCTGGAGTACAGTGGCGCAATCTCAGCTCCCTGCAACCTTCGCCTCCCGGGTTCAAGTGATTCTCCTGCCTCAGCCTCCTGGGTAGCTGGGATTACAGGTGTGTGCCACCTTGCCCAGCTAATTTTTGTATTTTTAGTAGAGACACGGTTTCACCGTGTTCGTCAGGCTGATCTCGAATTCCCGACCTCGTGATCCACCTGCCTTGGCCTCCCAAAGTGCTCAGATTACAGGAGTGAGCCCCTGCACCCAGCCAAATTGTACTTCCTAATAGGTGCAATTTCCAGCAGCTTTTGACCAATATTTTTTCCTTTTTCACTGCTAAAAGTACAGATTATCATCCAGGTACCATTGAAATGCAGTTGCTGTCTGAGCTATTCAGCCGTATCTTTGGCAGATGTCTAGTGTTATTCATCACTCCTGTAACGACCTTAGCAAAAGATTGTACATGATTCACACAACTTGTCCTTGAGAGATTTTTCAAAGTTGAGCTGAGTTGTGAGGAAGTATTCTAAACCTTGCTGTCCTGAAGTATAGTTCATAGACCAGCAGCATTGGCATCACCTGGAAGTTTGTTTAGAACAGAAACTCAGGCGACATCTCAGACCTAAGGAAGCAAAATCTGCATTTTAATAACATCTCCAGTTGATGTATATATATTAAAGGTGGTAAAGCACTGGTCTAAAACAATCTTGGTGGAAATGAAATGTTTTTTTCTCTGTCTTCTTTCAGGTCTTTGTTGAGTATGCAAATGCTGGTGATTCCAAAGCTGCGCAGAAATTACTGACTGGAAGGATGTTTGATGGGAAGTTTGTTGTGGCTACATTCTACCCGCTGAGTGCCTACAAGAGGGGATATCTGTATCAAACCTTGCTTTAATCAGTAACCTAAGGACTGTTTCCTTTTTCTCCTCTTCCATTTCTTGGGTTATTCCACATATGAATGCAGGACTACCCCCTTACCATTTTAAGAAGGTACTTTATACATTTATTTAATCCTACTAATGTGCAGCCATTGCCCAAGCAGTGACTGCGTTGCATACATTTGGCACTGAGTAGGACAAGACCTCTCAGCTATACATTGAGGGGTTTTAGAGCATCCATGTGGGCAACCCTTTTTTGTGCGGGAGAGCAGGTGTTGCTCTTCAGTATGTAGCCTAAAAAAATCTTAATTATTTCATGGATCATGAAGCAAGGATGAATAATATCATGTCTTGGTAAATACTAACAAATTTGTTAGGTTTGGTGACATCATTTACAGATTATTTCTTTATGTTGTCCAGTGGTTCTTCCTTATTGTTGATATCCATAAGCTGGCACTGGATGCTCTCAGTAATGTTAAGTAATTGTCAAGCAGCAGTTACCTACTGTGTTCTTAACACTGAGTTGTGAATTTTTTCTTAAAGCAGTACTGTAGTACTGAATATTCCTTTAAAGGAACTGCAGTGAGCCTATCTAAGTTTTTTTAAATTAAGGCTTTTAAAATAGAAAGCTGATGCTTGATCTTGCACAATTTTTATGTCTAGTATGTATGCTTGAGTGAATGTGCGAGTATGAATGATTAGAGAAAATTTGAGTCAGTGTACTTTATAGTGTGAATCCTGTGAGCTAATACAGTCTATACTTATTTCTTCCCTACCTGTTTCACATCCGTAAGATTTAAGATATACATTTTTTGAGAGGTAGTCTGTCTGATACAATGTAAATGACAAAACATAATTCCTGAGAGGCCCAGAACAAACTGGAGTCTAGCCTGGAGTTAAATTGAGACTTCTAAAATGATTGGAACAAAGACTAAGTTGTGCCAGATGTAAATCAACCCCTCTTTTAGTTTACTTTAGACTTTGTATTAGCTCATCTTTTTTGTAGTAAATCTATAGTTTTAAGGTTTCTCAAGATGTGGCTCTACCTACTATGATGAAAATTGAAGTGGGTCAAAAGAATTAGATGTACAGTGAAGGGAAAAGAAAAAAAATGGGCGAAGAGAGGGTGGAAAATAAAAGGATTCTTTTTTCTTCCTTTCTGTTTCTCGTATCCCTGCTCCCTTTTTCCTCCCCTTCCCTCATTCTTTGCCTCTATCCTTAGCTGAAGACAAACTAGAGGAGCAGCATCCCAGGTAGTTTGGCTTTTGACTGCAAGGTAGTTAAGAAAGGTGTAGATATAATGAGGTAGAAGTAGAAAGGAAGAAAAACTCAAAGAATTCTTAAAAGGATTCATAGCAACATAATGTGTCCCTGAGTAGAGGATGCTGCTATGCGTGAGTTCATGGACACAAGTTGATTACATGGTTTTTAGAATTATAATTATGGATTCTTCTTATTTCATGGTAGGTTGTCTTTAAAGATATAAAAATTAGGATGCCTTTATGAAGCACTGATTATACCAAAAAAAAAAGACAAGTTATATACAGGTTATTAATTTTTTTATTTATTTATTTTTTCCTAAGGAAAAAGTCTTCTATCTTTCCCTGCTGGAAGCCTCCTCATATTTCCTTATGTTTGCCATGCAGGTTGCTGAGAGTCCAGTTAGAATTTGCATTTTACAGAATGAAATACTTTACCCCATTCAAACAATTATTGTTTGACATTTTAGTTATTTATAATTGTCAAATTCAGGACTCTCCTTTAATGTTTATTATGAAACCAAATTTGGCATAAGGAGGCTGATTTATGAATTACCAAAGGGTCTTGTGGCATGTTCCCCAATACATGCCCTTAGAAGGAAGAACTATTATTTTTTATTTTGGCCCTTTCAGGAGTTGATTATAAATTGGTTTGTTTTCAAGTCAGAATTCAAGTGGGCAGAACCCGTATTGTGAAGACCTAAACTTTCCTAAATGTTCATATGGGTAGCAGATTTTGTGGTGATTAGAAACATCAGGTCCTTAAATACGATGAACATGGGATACAAAGGAATTCTTTATAAGGGCAAGTATCCTAAGTTAGCACATTTACTTTTCTCTCCCCTCCGCCCCCAAAAGAAAAATCCTTACAAATAAACTGCAGGTAGGCTTCTAAGCCTAGTCCTGCAGTATGCTGCTAACATCTTGATGCCAATCTTCACAGCATTCTTTGATTGTCATCTTATTGCTGATACATTCATACATATATTTAGTGCTTGACACTGTAGAATTTTGTTACAGAAGATGGTTACTAGATTTTAAGGGAGCTGAGGGAATAATTGATGAGCCTTGAATTAACCATGCATTTAATTAGATTTTTTGTTGTTGTTGTTGTTGTTTTGAGATGATGTCTTGCTCTGTTGCCCAGGCTGGAGTGCAGTGGCTCAATCTCGGCTCACTGCAACCTCTGCCTCGCAGGTTTGAGCGATTCTCCTGTCTCAGCCTCCCCAGTAGCTGGGTTTACAGGCGCTTGCCACCACACCTGGCTAGATGTTTTATATTAAAGCCAGAGAATTGAAAAAGAAATGCCTCCTGTGATTGAAATTATTTTATAGCTCTTAGCCCGTTCTACCAAAGATCACATTAGCAGATTACCCCTCCCTCCTGTGATATTATCTTTCTTAAACCTGAACCAAATATCAAAAGATACAAGTTTCATGATTAGGATGAAATATATACATAGGGATTTTGGTTTATTGAAGTTATTGAAAGACCTAGAAATTTTCTTTTTGAGAGAAAGGGTAAAGAGGTGAGGGTTCATGTCACTTAACCCCTACCCTTTTGGGCAAATTTTGTCTCAGGTAGTGTTTCATTCCCTAAATTAATACCTGTGCTTCCTTGCCTCTCACCTTCCCAGTTACTTCTTTGGGGTATTACTGTGGCACATTGTACACCCAGAAAAGGCACATACAGTGATTATTTTGTGGGAAATACTTGATTCTTTTGAAATATATTTGGAGGGGGTAGCTAGCTAGCCACTGTCAAAACTAATGCTGTATTTACAGGACAAAAACAAGTAGAGTTGGACACCTCAGTAAGAGACAGCATTAACTAAAAGTACTGACTGCCTTTTAAAGGAATTTTTAAAACTATTCTCTTGCAATAAGAGATCCGCATTTATTACCACTGGATGTCTTCCTTTTTTGTGGCCACCAATATAGCAGCTCTCTTTAGAGGGATTCCCTTTCTGCTATGCCTTGAGCCAAACTGGCTGCTTTTAGAACAAAAACCATAAGTATGGTTTTACTCGAACTTCTCTTTGTTTTTATTGAGAGAAATATTGCCTTCTTTTTGGTACTCCAGCTGCTAAAGAGTGCTGAGATATGTTAAATTATTTTTTAAAAGAAAATCTCCAAATACTTATTTAACTTGTCTTCTAGATTCATGTTGCTTATATTTTAACTATTGAGCAAGTTTATTATAAGGAATGCTGCCATATAGAGAAAGCTGAAGAGAAACCATGGGCAGAAGGCTTTTTTCTGTCTTATTACACTGGACCTTCACTCTGGTAAGGGCATCAGTTACTTTTCTGGAATAAAAGGCGGAGTTAGAGCACTTATCAGATGCTGTTTCATGGCTTGTTTTAGTTAATTTATCATGCAGATAACTAACATTTGGGTATCTTTTTGTTTTAGGTCTTATTTTCTGACTGTTAGGCCTATCTTACACATAAGTTCTACTATCAGTATACTTGGCAGCATGACTTTTTTTTTTTTTTACAGTTAATTTAATGAAAATCAGCACCATTGTAAATGATAGTAATTGTAACAACATAGTTACTGGGTGAAGGAGTAGGGGAGACACTCAGTAACCATCTATTTACCTAGACACTTATGCAGGGGTACATGCTAGGTGGCTTTATTCAGATTCGGGTACATTGGAATCACATCATGACTTTGAGTCTGATGGCTGTGTAGATAAAGATTTAAGCAAGTGCCTTGTGTTTGCTGGAAAATATTAAAACTCATTTGGGTGAAAGCTTCCCAGATGATGATAATTAATAGCACTTCTGCCTTTTTCCTGGAGTAACTTTTAGATTGAGTCACATATGATAGTATAAAAGTCCAAAATTTTCTGGGTTTACCTTTGTTTTATTTTTCATATATATATTCACTGTCTGCCTGGAAATAGCCTTGGTTTACCTTATTTTTTTGTATATGTAAAACTATTCATATTTGATTTTATTCCAATATTATATATGATGGAAAAGCCAGAATTGTCTGGCAGAATTTAATTCTTCCTTGGATCTCTAGTTCTGTTTTTAATATCAGGTTCCTTCATCAAATTTTACTACTGTAGCTCTGTGATATAATTTCATTTCTTGTCAATTATGGTCACATATAGACAAGTACTTGGTCACAATTAGCTCAAAAGAATCCCCATTTCTTAAGGTGCTCAGTCAATCACCTTTATTTTGAGATGGTAGTTTTTCAAGTTAGTATTACTTACTAGCTTTCTTGATGAATATAAAAATGTTGTCTCCATCATACAGAGCTGAGCCTCTTGTGGTATATTAAGATAAGTCCCATTCTTAATCACAGAAGAACATGGATATTTTAGTTTTTGGAGTACCCAGAATTGTAAAGATTTTGTTTCATTTTGTTTTAGGATAGCTTCTCTGCCTAATACTATAGGATATGTCATGTTCGTTATTGTAGCCACCTCCCTCAGATGTTTTTCACTATTTTTAAATTATATAATGACCAGTAGATTCACAGTAGCATGTACTTGACAAGTGCCATGGATATTTAAGAAGAAGGTAAATAATTTTAATATTTTTTGCTGTAATTTTATAGGAGCAGTGGACTGTAAGAGAAATATCTATAAATCAGAGAGTATTTAGGAAACTTTGTATTTTATAGGTGGTCATTAAAGTGATCTTCAGGATATAAGATAGTTTACACAAACTTTATTCTCCTGATAGGAAATTTTTATTCATTTTCCTACCACTCAGCACTTTTGTTCTGCCTTGTACTGCTTATGAGGATTAATGTTTTAAATTTGCTTTATTTGTGCTTTTCAGAGAGTTGTCATAATTGTGGCAGTTGTGTTTGTGGCACTGTAAATGCTGAAATTCATGGGAAACTTACCAAATGACTGCTTGAGTGTTATTTCCCATTAAATTGGGTAGCTGTCACAATAACCAGAAGAAATCTTGTGGCCCTTTTGAAGAAAGCCATGTATGTTTTGTTACCTAGGTTCATAGTATTTTAATTTAAAGGCAAAGAGAAGCATTCTACTTATTTGTCTTATAAACCATTAATCGTTTTTTGTGCAGAAGAGAGCTTATTTTGTTATACTGCTTTGTATAATGGAAATAAGTCACATTCTGGGGGAAAAAAACTGGAATTGTTTGTATTTTGTTTTTTTGGGGGGGGATCTTTATGTGAAAAATCAGAGCTACTTGTTACCATAAGCCCTTACTATCAACAAGATAATTATTTGTAATCACTTTTTTATCCCAGGTTGGAATTGCTTTCCCCTTCTAAGTTATCTTCCCTTAATAATATTTATGATACCAGGACAGTGAGGGTATAAGAGCAAATGTAGTGAGGTATTCAAAAATCCTGCATATATGGACTCAAAAGTTCTTTAGTTATTTGAATTATATATAGCTATATTATTTTATTAGCTTGGGTTGTCAGAAGATTGCCAATTTTAAGAGTAAAGAGGAGAGAGATAAGTAATAAAAATAGAGGAGGGGAAGAAAATGGCTCCCTTACTGGTCTTAGTAATCTTCTATATAGTTAATGAGCTAAAAAATGATACTTAAAGTTCCAGGTTTGGTACCGCTAGCATAGAAACATTGCCTTTCCTACACATTCCTCATCATTGTTTCCTCAGAAAATTATTTTAAGAGTTTGTGAAACCAGATTAAATATCTATATTCAGTTTGGCCTAATTTTTAAAAATAAATATTTATACTCCAGCTTTTGTGTATTTGGTGTACATCACCACTTATGCAAATCAAGGATCAGAAAACTGGAGGTTAGCCATCTCCATTATTTCCTTTTGCACATTGGGTACAGTGGGTGGCATTAGTATGCACTAGCTGCAAAGTCACAGCACCTTATGGAAATAAGTATGTTTATTATAATAAAAAAAAGTTAAGCTGCATCTCTGTAGATTATTTACTTTGCAGACTGTAAAGCTGCCCTATCTTTTCCAGCAGAATTTACTCTTCCATTCTTAATTCTTTTTTGAAATATCTTAAATAATTTAACATTCCTTTATAACTTCTTAACAGTGTCAAAACTGGGGTAGAAGGGATTTTATTTTTTCCCAAAAGGGTTCCATCTTTGCTATCTGTTGATCAGCCTTAGAAAATCTAAGTATGATCAATAAATTTTAATGGTTGATGGCATCCTGTGTCAGCTGGAGTAGTTGGTTGTGAATATTAAAACCTAGTACTATTTTCCCTCAGTAACATGTAATTGCTACATTTTTTATAAGAAGGTATGGTTAGAAAAAAATGTGAAAGATCACTTAAACCAAAGCCAGTTACAAGGAGTAATCTCTCCTGTTGGTTTACCTTCACCTCAGAACTACAAGAATATTACAATACATAGTGAATAGTTGTCTGTAACATTTCTACCAGTTGTTTCAGTAGCATATTGGTCTTGGCATTTCTTGGCACTGTGGTTCTGCTGTATTATTTGTGATGTCTTATTGTTTGTGAGCTTTTGTTTTTTTTTTAAAGAAAAAACAAAAACTAAGTGGGACTATGTATGTAGATGTGTGTCAGTACCAAAAAGTTATTTTCTCAAATCCCTAAATTTCTGATTTCCATTCAAGTCTTTTAAACTCTTTCCTGCTGAATAGCAAAGAACTTTTATTTTCCACTTTCCTATATTCCTAAAAAGTGTGAACAATGCGTTTCAGTTGACTGTATTGCATACTTTTTTGCTGAAGACTTTTTCTGTAAACACAATTGCCTTGTTCAGTTTTGTTGTAAACTGACTTACCATAAGATGCACTGTTGATAATGCTTTCTGATGTGTGTTTGATAAGAGTGATAAAATAAAAGCTTAAAAATAAAGGAGTTGCTTTTTAATTTCAACTTTTTCTATACTTAGTATAAATATTCAGATAACAGGTAAATATATTTATTTTCTGATTTAATTTTAACTAAAAGCTGCCAATAAAAATTTCCATGTAGCTTTAACCACCCATTTCTAAAGAATATGATTTTTCATTTTTGGAAATCTTGCATCATATTGGTAATACTGATATGTAATTTTTTATTTTGGAAAAGTGTTCTTGATATTATAGAAACAGCCAGGTCTAATGAAAAGAACCAGAGTTCAGAGTCAGGAAATTTGTGTTCTAATCTTGGCTGTTTTATCAACTTGGATATCTTTAATCCAGTGATTCTGCTTTGATAATAGCTGTATTTTTATGTTGTGAGGACCAAATGAGATAATAGGTGCAATAGTAATAAAACAGCCACAAATCATGAAGCATCAACTAGGTGATGGGTACCATTTTAGTTTATATCATGTTTAATGTTCCCTTTTTCCACATGGGAACTGAAACCCAAATAACCTGAGACCCAATTAACTGAGACAACAGAGACCCAATTAACCCAAATAAAGAGACTTGCCCGACATTTCATAAAACTGAGAGGTGGTATTTATATACTGGTCTGTCTGGGAGTGGCATTGGCATGTTGTTTTGGGAAGTCAGTGACAGATCTGGAAGATAAATTCAACAGGAAAATGTTGTTAGAAGGGACACCCTAAGAGACTGTTTTAATAACTTAGACTGGAGTTAAGAATATTTAAACCAGTAATTCTCATCCTTCAGCATATAACAGAATCACCTGGGAGGGCCTGTTAGGCTACCGACTGCTGGGCCCCGCCCCTAGAGTTTCTGACTAGTTCTTTGTGGGATTCGAGAATTTGCATTTCTAACAAGTTCTCAGGTGGGGCTGTTGCTGCTGCTAGGGTGGAGACTGCACTTTTAGAACCACTCATCTAAACAACGGGCATTGGTTAGGATTGAAAAGCAGAAGCAGGCCTTTATTCAAGGGCTACTTAGGAGTAGCTCAATCTCTTCATCTCCCTGATAGTAGAATAGTGACTAACTGAGCGTTATTTTGCACCAAACGTGCTAAATGCTTTTTGGTTAATCCTCCCAAGAAGCCTATTAGGAAGATATTAATGTTCACTTCATTTTATGGTTAAGGAAATGGATTGTTTAGCTTACTTCCTAGGGTTTACACAGTGGACAAATGAATATCTAACTTCAGAGTCACCAGTGTGCTAGGTTGCGTGCTAGTCAACCCAGTAATTCCTTCCAGATCCAGCTTCCCTTTTTCATTTCCTCAGATACTACTGGGTTTAGTCCTTGATCTTTTACTAGAGTTTCTTAGAAGATCCCTGTCTCCTGCCCTCTTGTCTCTTAATACTGCTAACAGTTTTCATTTTTAAAAAGAAGCCTGATCATGCTACTCATGTATAAAATTCTTCATTTTATTTCCTATTCTGCCCATTTGCCTTCAAAATTATGTCTAATTCTCTTGAATTGGCATATAAGACTTTTTACAATCTGGCTCCACCTGTCAATCATGCCTCCTATCTCTTTCCCTATTTATATTTCATGCTGCAGCTGCACCTACCTGTATTTCTGCAAAGTCCATCCTTTTTCCTCTTCTGATCCTCTTATTAAAATGCCATTCAGGCCAGGCACAGTGGCACACGCCTGTAATCCCAACATTTTGTGAGGCTGAGGTGGGTGGATCTCTTGAGCCAGGAGTTGGAGACCAACCTGGGAAACATGGTGAAACCCTGTCTATACAAAAAATAGAAAAATTAGCCTGGCATGGTGGCATACACCTGTAGTCCCAGCTACCTGGGAGGCTGAGGTGGGAGGATCACCTGCGCCCGGGAGGTCAAGGCTGCAGTGAGCTGTGATGACACCAACTGCGCTCCAGCCCAGATGACAGAGTGAGACCATGTCTCAAAAATAAAACAGAAAAAAATTAGCCAGGCATGGTGGCACGCGCCTGTAATCCCAACTACTCGGGAGGCTTAGGCATGAGAATTGCTTGAATCTAGGAGGCAGTGGTTGCAGTGAGCCGAGATTGCACCACTGCACTCCAGCCTGGGCGACAGAGCCAGGCTCCGTCTAAAAAAAAAGAAAAACAATAAATAAAACAAAGTTGCATTCAATTCCCTGCCTACCCATGCCCAGTTATCTGTGTGATAAAATCATATTGATCTTAAAACAGCTCAGTTGTTACTTTCTCTAGTTATCTTCCCTGTGCTCTTCCCTGTCAAATTGTTAGTAATTCTGTACCAAGTCTTTACTTTGTATGTATGCATTTCCTATATGACTAGATTTACCATTTTGTTTTGCCCCAAGTGTACTCCTTATCAGTAGTGGATCATCATATTCAGATCTGTATTCCTAGCACCTAGCCCCATGCCTGAGCTATAGTAATTGCTCAATAAATGTTTGTGGAGTTGAAAATGAATTCATAGAATCTGGCATCCAGTTGGATATGGATGACTCCAATATTTCAAAGAATGGCAGTTTAGTAGTTTATTTTATTTATTTATTTATTTATTTTTGAGACAGTTTTGCTCTTGTTGCCCAGGCTGGAGTGCAATGGCGCCATCTCGGCTCACTGCAACCTCCGCCTCCCAGGTTCAAGCAATTCTCCTGCCTCAGCCTCCCTAGTAGCTGGGATTACAGGCATGCACCACCACGCCTGGCTAATTTTGTATTTCTAGTAGAGACGGGGTTCCTTCATGTTGGTCAGGCTGGTCTTGAACTCCTGACCTCAGGTGATCTGCCCGCCTCTACCTCCCAAAGTGCTGGGATTACAGGTGTGAGCCACTGCACCTGGCCAGTAGTTTCTATTTTAGTTAACTCTATAGCAAAAGGAAATCATTATAATCTATTGATGTACAAATAACAAAATTGGCAATTTAATCAAATAACTTAGAAATTTAGAAAGGTAGACTTTGGATTTTAAAAATATAGCAGATTATGCCCAGTCACGGTGGCTCACACCTGTAATCCCAGCATTTTGGGAGGCCAAGGTGGGTGGATTCCTTGAGGTCAAGAGTTCAAGACCAGCCTGGCCAAGACAATGAAACCCCGTCTCTACAAAAAAAATACAAAAATTAGCTGGGCGTGGTGGCATACACCTGTAATCCCAGCTACTTGGGAGGCTGATGCACGAGAATCGCTTAAACCTGGGAGGCGGAGGTTGCAGTGAGCCAAGATTGCGCCACTGTACTCCAACCTGGGTGACAGAGACTCTCTCTCTCTCTCTTTCTCTCTCTCTATATATACATATATATGTATATATAGCAGATTATTTTTGTGGAACAGTTTTTAGTCCTAAATTGAAGGAATTAGGATTTTTCATTTCCTTCTGTTGCATAAAATTGTGTATCTGAACAACCAAAATCCTTGAGTTCTTCCTTAGCATGAGTATATTGAACTTGGCTAAGCAAATTTTCACTTTAAAAACGTGAGGTGTTTTATTGTGACTTGTAGTTCTCTCCACTATTCTGTAACTTTTAAGAATTCTTGACTTAATAGGTTGGAACATGAGCGAGTTGCTACACATAATTACTAAACCATTTCCAAAAGCCTATTTTTCATTAAGCATACAATATCATCTGCATATGTAATATTATATAGATGTCTATATGTATATTTCAATATCTTTACATATGAAATAAAAATAATGCTCAAAGGAAAATGGGTGACCGATGGCCGCATATTCAAATACCAGCTAAATAAAATGTCTTCCAGAGTTGTGCAGACCTGGGAAGAGGCTCTATGACAAGGACCATTGAACACCTGTTCAGTTGAGATTACTTTGTAAAGCAATGAGACGTTATTGATGTTTCTGTTGGAAACGATTTATTAGACTAGTAACAAAAGATTAGTACTATAGGCTGGGCGGTGGCTCATGGCTGTAATCCCAGCACTCTGGGAGGCCGAGGAGGACAGATCACTTGGGGTCAGGAATTCAAGACCAGCCTGGCCAACACAGTGAAATCCCATCTATACCAAACAATCCAAAATTAGCGAGGCATAGTGGCGCATGCCTGTGGTCCCAACTACTCAGGAGACTGAGGTGGGAGACTTGCTTGAACCCAGGAGGTAGAGGTTGCAGTGAGCCACTATACTCCAGCCTGGGTGTCAGAGTGAGACCGTCTCAAAAAAAAAAAAAAAATTACTGCTATAAAATTAGAACATTTACATTTTTAAGACCACACTCCTTTAAAGAAAAGAGGGATCAGGCTGGGCGCGGTGGCTTGCGCCTGTAATCTCAGCACTTGGGAGGCTGAGGTAGGTGGATCACTTGAGGTCAGGAGTTCAAGACCAGCCTGGCCAACATGGCAAAACCCTGTCTCTACTAAAAATACAAAAATTAGCTGGGCGTCGTGACATGCGCCTGTAGTTACAGCTACTCAGGAGACTAAGGCAGGAGAATCACTTAGGAGAACGAACTCAGGAGGTGGAGATTGCAGTGAGCCGAAATGGCGCTACTGCCGTCCAGCCTGGGCAACAGAGTGAGAATGAAAGCCAAAGCTAGGCCAGGCATGGTGGCTCACGCCTGTAATCCCAGCACTTTGGGAGGCCAAGGCGGGTGGATCACGAGGTCAGGAGATCGAGACCATCCTGGCTAACACAGTGAAACCCCGTCTCTACTAAAAATACAAAAAATTAGCCGGGCGTGGTGGTGGGCGCCTGTAGTCCCAGCTACTCGGGAGGCTGAGGCAGGAGAATGGCGTGAACCCGGGAGGCGGAGCTTGCAGTGAGCCGAGATCGTGCCACTGCACTCCAGTCTGGGCAACAGTGTGAGACTCCGTCTCAAAAAACAAACAAAAAAAAGCCAAAGCTTAGTTAAGCAGTCATTGAACAAGTTGAAGTTAGAGGAGAAGTGCTTATTAGTGTTTAGTACAGCATTTCCCAAACTGTATATCCTTGGAACATTAGCACTAGCATGCCGTATAATATTGAGAAGCCTGGAGGGGCTGGGTAGACCAGAAATATTCTATGGTTAAATATGTTTTGGATGTACTGCATACTTTTTCCCCAATTTTCTTAGAGAAGTTGGAGTCTATTTGGTCTATTTAAACCCACAGAAGAGTTGGAAGGATAGTAAGTTGATGCCAACATACCCTTCATCTACTGTCAATATTTTGTCACATATTGTTGGCCAGGCTGGTCTTGAACTCCTGACCTTGTGATCTGCCCACCTCAGCCTCCCAAAGTGCTGGGATTACAGGCATGAGCCACTGCGCCCAGCCTCAAAAGTGACTTTCTGTAGGCCCAATCACAAATTCCCAGAAGAGAATCTTTAATTGGCACAGTGTGTTTAAGTGTCCATGCTAGACCAATAAACTATGACAGATATTGATCCACATTGTACAAAGACTATTGTGCACTTTTCCTTTTCAGAGGGGGCTGTTCTTACAGAAGGGAGAATTGTTCATTAGCCAAGGAGATATCTCAAAACCTGCCTTGACTATATTCTTTTTTCAGGTAATAACCCATCTACTCAGTGACCAAAGTCAGAAACATGAAAGCCATTTAGTTCTCCTCCTCCCTCACTGTCAACATGCAATCAGTAAGCCTTTCCCATCCTAAATCTTAAATATCTCTTACATTTATTTCCTGAACTTCATATTCATCATCAGCTCTCTCTCTATATATATTAATAATAGAGATGGACCCTCACTATTTTGACCAGGATGGTCTCGAACTCTTGGCCTCAAGCAATCCTCCTTTCTCAGCCTCCCAAAGTGCTAGGATTACAGGTGTGAGCCACCATGCGTGGCCCATCAGCATATTTTGGACCATCATAATCTCTTACTTAAACTATTACAGTGATCTTCCTGCCTTCAGGCTCCACGCTGCCAAGAGAATTAAAAATTTTGATCAGATTCCTTCACTTCTTGAAATTCTTCAGTAGCTCCATATGCCCTGCCCACTCCTCCCCAACACCTGCCTGGATTTCAGACCGAGTGTTCCAATATCTGTTTTCAATAGCAGTACTTCCTCCATTTCTGTGTATCATTGCTTGGCAAGTATCTACTCATCCTTTAAGAATCAGCCCATGTATCCACATCTGTGTAAACCTGTGGTCTCTGGGCTGAATCAACTATTCCTTCCTTGATGTTTCCAACAAATTTTGTGAATATTTATAAATTCTTAACACTAAATAACATTTCTCTGTTTCTTCCCTTTGCATGTGAGATCTGTAAAAGCAGTGACCTCATCTTATTTATCTTACAGCTAAAAGGACATGTGTTATAATAAGAAGGCTACATTATTTCTGCCAGGGAATAAGAGAGCTAAAAAAATTATACTCCTCGCCTCTGAACCACGTCTTTTTTTTTTTTTTTTTTTGAGACAGTCTTGCTCTGTCGCCCAGGCTGGAGTGCAGTGGTGTGATCTCGGCTCACTACAACCTCCACCTCCCGGCTTCAAGCGATTCTCCTGCCTCAGCCTCCCGAGTAGCTGGGATTACAGGCACCCACTACCATGCCCAGCTAACTCTTTTGTATTTTTAGTAGAGATGGGGTTTCACCATGTTGGTCAGGCTGGTCTTGAACTCCCGACCTCAGGTGATCTGCCCGCCTCAGCCTCCCAAAGTGCTGGGATTACAGGGGTGAGTCACCGCTCCCGGCAGCACTCTATTTATTTATTTATTTATTTATTTATTTATTTATATGATCTTGCTCTGTTGCCTAGGCTGGAGTGCAGTGGCATGCTGATGGCTCATGCAGCCTCGACCTCCTGGGCTCAAGTGATTCTCCCACCTCAGCCTCCCTAGTAGCTGGGACTACAGGCATGCACGACCACGCCTGGCTAATTTTTTTTTTTTTTTGTATTTTATGTAGAGACAGGGTCTTGCCATGTTGCCCAGGCTGGTCTGAAACTCCTAGGCTCAAGTGATCCTCCCACCTTGGCCTCCCAAAGTGTTGGGATTACAGGCAAGAGCGACTGCACCCGGCCAGCACTCCCTTCTTATTATTGCTGCACATTCATCAAAGGCCTAAGCATCTGACTTTGCATTATAGCCAAGAAAGAGAATTTGGAGGTTGGGTCTGATGATAAATAACATATGCAGCTATGGCCCCTGAACTAGGCTGCCTGAAAGTGGTGTTGTGAGTCACTTTTATGGTTTTGGCAAACTGAAATTCTACCATTCAAAATGGCTTCCACCTACTTGTTCATGTGTCTGTTCATGTACATGACACAATTGTTTTCTTTGTTCCCAAAGAAACAGGCAAGGGAAATCAGCTAATTGGCTAACCCTTAAGCAGTAGGGAAGATATGGCAAGGGCTGGTTATGTTGCTACATTGGTTTGTATCACAAGTGGATATAGAGAGTCTGGGGTTAAGGAACAGAAGGTTCCATTTTAATGCCATATTTCGGCCAGGTGCGGTGGCTCACACCTGTAATGCCAGCACTTTGGGAGGCTGAGGCAGGTGGATCACGAGGTCAGCAGTTCAAGACCAACCTGGCCAACCTGGTGAAACCCCATCTCTACTAAAAATACAAAAATTAGCTGGGCGTGGTGGGTGCGCACCTGTAATCCCAGCTACTCGGGAGGCTGAGGCAGAAGAATCGCTTGAACCCAGGAGGCGGAGGTTGCAGTGAGCCGAGACTGTTACTGCACTCCAGCCTAGTGACAGAGCAAGACTCCGACTCCAAAAAAAAAAAAAACACCATATTTCTCCATTATCTTCATTGACAGAGCATCAGAACCAGTTGCCTGCTGACAAAGGCCAAGTTTAATTAGGGTAAAAGAGGTGAGATGCCAAATTTGTGTGTGTGAGAGAGAGAGAGAGAGAAAGAGAGAGAGAGAGAGAGAGAGAGGGAGAGAGAGAATTAGAGATTTCAGGACCAGGCAAAGGAGGCAGCTTGGAAATGAAAATAGAAAGGCAAGTTGGAGTGTTCCAGGGACTTATATGACTCTCCCTTGCACTCTCCAAGTTGGAGAGACTTCCTCACACAGTAACGATATGACCTTAGTAAGCTGCTTAAACTTTATAAGACTTGGTTTCCTCTTTTGTAACATAGAGATAATAATCATATTTACATTATAAAATTGCTGTGAAGACTAAATGAGCTTATTCACATGAAACACCTGTGAGGTGTCTTTCCCTCCCTTTTGTTCTCATCGTCATCCAAATTTCTCTTCTTATGTTGGGCTGCAAGTTGAGCATTTCAAAACATCTTCCCTTCAATGTTATGTCCATTTTTCTCATCATTTGGTGTTAGTGCCTAACTCATCCTGACCATTTTTGATGTAAGGAACCTCCCTCATAGCAGGATTTTTTTTTTTAGCATGCCCATACTTTTTGTTTCTAACAATTTTACATTTTGGAAAACTCATTTTTACTTGCAACTGTGGAAAAATATGTCATCTACAGTGGATCCAGAAACATAGTTATGAATGCTTTTTGCTTTTTTTCTATTATTACCATTATTATTTTTTTCATTAGGTGGTCAGGCACGGTGGCTTACATCTGTAATGCCTGCACTTTGGAGGCCGAGGTGGGTGGATCACTTGAGGTCAGGAGTTTGAGAGCAGTCTGGGCAACATGGTGAAACCCCATCTCTACTAAAAATACAAAAAATCAGCTGGGCTTGGTGGTGCACACTTGTAATCCCAGCTACTCGGGAAGCTGAGGCAGGAGAATTGTTTGAACCCAGGAGGCAGAGGTTGCAGGAAGCTGAGATCGTGCCACTGTACTCCAGCCTGGGTGACAGAGTGACACTTTGTCTCAAAAAAAAAAAAATTAGGTTATTAAGCTTGTCAAGGAATAATTAAATATAGACTATATTCTCTACCCTTTGATATTGTGGAGGAAAAATAATACTGCCACCATCAATATTTTTATTTCATATAAATATTATTATATATAATTTTTAACCTCCTTAATACAACTTTGCTTTCATATTTAAATGAAAATGGGGGGGTGGATTTTTGTCTGAGATTTTAACAATATCTTTTCCTTCCACAGATAACAAGATCTTAATTTCGCTTGTAGTTTATAGCTGTATGAATAGGTAAAAGGGGATTCTTACTCGGATGCAAAACTCAGTAAGTTGACTAATTAATTCATAAGGAATATTTTACTGTTAACATAGACGTGGGCTTATATGGGCCAATTGTTTCTTAATCTGTTTGTTTAATATGTCAGAAATAAGGTTTTGTGGCCGAATTCAAGCAGCCTATCCCCTGTGTCACCAGAATTTCAAGACTTAAATCTCTCTTTAATTATGCTTTTCACTACTGGCTTCAACAAAGCTGAATAATTTTGTGTATGTGCCTCACATACACATGCCCCATATAATAGGTAGACTACATTTCTTAGATAAAATACATACTTAACTCATTGCTCATGATATTTCTTTGAATTCCAGGAACATGACCAAAGACTAATTTTCTAGGTTGTACAGGAAAACAAAAACCACACATACAGGCTAATAATGACTGATCTCAGAGCATATGAATTGAATGACTCTGATTCTCAAACTTTCAGTTGCCTGAATTGAGAGGCCTTTTCTTATTCTTGCATCACTTCATATTAAGCCCTTCTGAAGTTCCTTCCTAACTTGAAGCAGCACCCTCTTTATGGAAAAATACAGTTCTCAATGAAGGTAAGTATGGCAACTATGATCTCTGTTAGAACAGCCCAACAAATGCTCAAAGCTCACGTACAGGAGAGGGCAGGTTTGCCTGACCACACTGGGTGAGCAGCAGAATTAAAAGCCAAGCCTGAACCAGGGGTGGTGACTCATGCCTGCAATCCCAGCACTTTGGGAGGCTGAGACAAGTGGATCCTTTGAGGTCAGGAGTTCAAGACCAGCCTGGGCAACATGAGGAAACTCTGTCTCTACTAAAAATACAAAAATTAGCTGGGCGTTGTGGCAGGTGCCTGTAATCCCAGCTACTCGGGAGGCTGAGGCAGGAGAATCGCTTGAACCCGGGAGGTGGAGGTTGCAGTGAACATAGATTTCGGCACTGATCTCCAGTCTGGGTGACAGAGCCCGATTCCATCTCAAAAAAAAAAAAAAAAAAAAAAAATGTCCAGCCTGAGCCTGCGGGATAACATACTTTTCTTTCTTGCCTACAGAATTTGTATTACATATGATTATTATATTTTTCTCATACAAAGACATTGTTCATAATAAACTGTACCAAATTTTAAAGAGAAATATTCTACATGAGATCATTAAGATCCTGACTATAAACTGTGAATAAGAAACCAGAAAACACCAGTGGCAGTGGCTAACACCTGTAATCCCACCACTTTGGGGGGCCGAGGTGGGCGGATCACCTGAGGTTGAGAGTTCGAGACCAGCCTGACCAACATGGAGAAACCCCGTCTCTACTAAAAATACAAAATTAGCTGGGCATGGTGGTGCATGCTGGTAATCCCAGCTACTTGGGAGGCTGAGGCAGGAGAATCACTTGAACCGGGGAGGCAGAGGATGCAGTGAGCCGAGATTGCGCCATTGCACTCCAGCCTGGGCAACAAGAGTGAAACTCTGTCTCAAAAAAAAAAAAAAAAAAAAAAAGCAGAAAATCTTTGTCATTTTAAAATGGTTTCTGGGTGGTAGTCGCAAATTGCAAAAATACTACAGTTTTACAAGGTGCATTTTATAGCTCCAGAGAGAATTCATCTTTTGTTTGGGGAAGCAATTCAACAGGTCTTTGGGTGATGTAAAGACAGTACTCACAGACTAGTGTGTGGAAATAAGAAGGGGCCAAACCGCTCCGTATATTAAAGATTTTGTTCCTTGGGTACAGAGACAATCAAGTGATTACCTGATTTTCTGCTTGTGGGGAATCCAAAGACATGAAATTGGAATTACTTTATTTTTTTGAGATGGAGTCTTGCTCTGTCGTCCAGGCTGGAGTGCAGTGGCGCAATCTCGGCTCTCTGCAAGCTCCGCCTCTCGGGTTCACGCCATTCTCCTGCCTCAGCCTCGCGAGTAGCTGGGACTACAGGCGCCCGCCACCACGTCTGGCTAATTTTTTTTTTGTATTTTTAGTAGAGACGGGGTTTCACTGTGTTAGCCAGGATGGTCTCGATCTCCTGACCTCGTGATCCGCCCGCCTCGGCCTCCCAAAGTGCTGGGATTACAGGCGTGAGCCACCGCGCCCGGCCGTAATTGGAATTATTTTATCTGGATAATAAAATACAGTGATCTCAGGATGCCAAAAATAAAAACAAACATCAACCAACTTGGTAAAGTTGGGGTACGTATTGGATTCATTTGAGACAGTTTGTTGTTGTTGTTGTTGTTGTTTTTACTATAGGTATTTATTTAAAGGAAAACGTGCAGACTAAATACTTTTCTTTTCTTTTCTTTTTTTTTTTTTTTCTGAGACGGAGTCTCACTCTGTCACCCAGGCTGGAGTGCAGTGGTGCGATCTCGGCTCACTGCAACTTTCGCCTCCCAGGTTCAAGCGATTCTCCTACCTCAGTCTCCCGAGTAGCTGGGATTACAAGTGCCCGCCACCACGCCCAACTAATTTTTGTATTTTTTAAAGTAGAGATAGGGTTTCGCTATGTTGGCCAGGCTGATCTTGAACTCTTGACTTCAGGTGATCCACCCGCCTCGGCCTCCCAAAGTGCTGGGATTACAGGTGTGAGCCACTGCGCCCGGCCTAAATAATTATTAAATTGTGTTTTGGCGTTAACCAACATCTTCATAAAAATACTTTGAGGACAGCTGCATCCATAGATTTCAACTGCATGATTACTTCTTTGCCCATTCTTTTCTCTCTTTTCTCTCCCAAGTAACCGCTTTCAGATACGGTTCAAGGTAGAATTTATCCTGTCATATTTGGTCCACTGTTCTTTAGGCGAGATCTGCTGCCTCATAGTCAGGTCCAGCGCAATCGATGTGAAACATCCTGTTATTATAAAGGTTCACAGGAGGGCTTCTTATGGCTTCTCTTACTTCTTCATCCTTATATATGGTATCATCTGGCATTAACCCCAGTTTATGGAATCCTGCAGCATTATAATACACTTACCAAAAACCATCCAGCCACTGATGCTGCAACAGCCGGCCTGCCAGCCATTTTGACCCTGAGATAGTTTGGAACCCTGGTACAGGATCTACATGCACCTTAGACTGGTACTTCCCCAAGGATTGCGTCACGAGCAACTACCAAATGGATTTTCAGAGTCCAGACTGTTCAATTAATCTCATCCACACACTCCCCTCTTCCCTCAGTTCTCTGTTCTCTTGCAGCCTCTGCCTTCAAAATCTGTCCAATGAGTGGCCCTATGGCCACTGTTCCTTGGGAAATTGTAATTCCAGCTAATGGGGAGGGATTTTTTTTCTTAGTCTCTTCATAAGCATTCAAGGGAAATGCCTCTGGCTTTGCTCAGATGCTGGCTCTCTTCCACTCAGTTCCTGTCAGCTCCTGGAGGAAGAGAAAGCAGCTATACTTTCTGGAGAGAAGATTATGAGGGAGTCGGGTGGGGCAGGTACTCCCTTTGCAATTCAGTTTACTCATCATTGAGAGCAGCAATGATTTCCTACGGACTTCACAGAAAATAAGTACAACTCATACTAACCAAGAAGGGCAATTTTTTTTTTTTTCCTTTTGGGACATTACATCTCAAAGTTAAGAAACAAAACATTAGAAATTGCTGATGGTTTGGCTGTTCCTTTTAAACAACACATCCTGGTCATTGAAGCATTTGCTCTTTCCTAGACCTGTCTTATATTATACCCTGGCCATACATTACTTTTTATTTCTCATGAAAAAAGGGAAACACCATCTCAAATTAGCATTCTTTTCTTTTGTATTCCAAATTTTCTCCTGATGGAAGGCTGTCCTACTGTCAAGAACAATTTTTAAGAGCAAAGCAATCTCAATTTGTATTTATATATATATTTTTAATTTTAGGTGGGGTACAGTGGCTCATGCTTGTAATCCCAGCTCTTTGGGAGGCTGAGGTGGGAGCATCACTTGAGCCCAGGAGTTCAGGACCAGCCTGGGCAACATAGTGAGACCCCATCTCTACAAAAGATACCAAAAAAAAAATAGTCAGATGTGGTGTCACGCATCTGTAGTCTCAGCTACTCAGGAGGGTGAGGCAAGAAGATTGCTTGAGCCTGGAAGGTTGAGGCTGAGGTGAGATGTGATTGTACTACTGCACTCCAGCCTGGGTGACAAAGTAAGATCCTGTTTCTCAAAAATAAAATAAAATAAAATAAAACAAAATATTTATTTAATTGGAGAATTCTGTCTGCCTAAATTCCCCTAACACATTTTCTGCTGGATAGAGGCCAGGAGAAGTAAATGGTAGGCCACTTTGACAGCCCCTAAAACACACACACACACACACACACACACACACACACACTAATATCCCTTACTCCCACTACATTTATTTGTTTTGACATGATATAAAGATAAGGAATATTTGAAAAAAATACTTCAGAGATGTAATGGCTCTTTTTCAAATATGTGCGGGGATTTCACTTCTTTAAGGAAGTATTTCTTGAACCACACCCTCCAAGTGATGTCAACTTCATAATTTGTACTACCATAGCATCATAGCAGTCTCAAAGTACAGATACGTACTTTGATTATAATTGTACCTTAACATTTATTAGTGTAATTACATTTGAATATGGCCTCTCCTCTAGCTTCATTTGATCATGAACTGTTTCTGGCTTGGTCACTATTATATCCCCTGTATCAAATATGCTGCCTGATACACAGTAAGAGCCCAATAATTATTTGTCAAGTGCATATGTAACCACCCAATGGGCTCATCTTGCCCACTGCCTAGATACAGCCAATTTATCAAGACAGGGGAATTGCAATAGAGAGAGTTTAATACACCTAGAGCCAGCTAAACAGAAGACCGGAGTTTTATTATTACTCAAATCAACCTCCCTGAAAACTCAAAAATTCAGAGGCTAGCGCTTCTCAAGCATAATTTAGTGGGCATGGGGCTTTAGAAGAGGGAATACTGATTGGTGAGGATGCAATCATAGGAGTGTAGGAAACGGTCTTTTTCTGAGTCTGCTTCTGGGTGGGGGCCACAGAGGAGCCCCTGGTCTAGGTGGGGCCATCTGGTTGTCAGAAATGCAAAAGTCTGAAAAGACATCTCAAAAGGCCAATCTTAGGTTCTACAGTACTGAAGTTATTTACAGGAGTGACTGGGGAAGTTGCAAATCTTATGACCTCCAGAATAATGGCTGGTAATCATTTAACTGTGCTTACATCTTAGCAGAATTCAGGCCCCTCTCATCCTTGTAATCTGGTGGACTTTCATTGTTTTTTTTTTTTTTTTTTTGAGATGGAGTCTCGCTCTATCACCCAGGCTGGAGTGCAGTGGAGCAATTTTGGCTCACTGCAGCCTCCACCTCCCGGGTTCAAGCGATTCTCCTGCCTCAGTCTCCCGAGTGGCTGGGATTACAGGTGAGTACCACTACGCCCAGCTAATTTTTGTATTTTTTTAGTAGAGACGGGGTTTCACCATGTTGGCCAGGCTGGTCTCAAACTCCTGACCTAGTGATCTGCCTGCCTCAGCCTCCCAAAGTATTGGGATTACAGGCGTGAGCCACCGCACCCGGCCTTTCATTGGTTTTACTAAACTGGTTTAGTTTAGGGAAGGGCTATTATAATTTAAACTATAAACTAAAATTCTCCCCAGATTAGCTTGGCCCATGCCCAGGAATGACCAAGGGCAGTTTGGAGGTTAAGGCAGGGTGGAGTTGGTTAGATCAGATCTCTTTTACTGTCATAATTTCTCACCGTTATGATTTTTGCAAAGGTGGTTTTAGAGAAAGGAATGGGTGGTTCAAGTGGTAGTATTCAGAAAAATGGGCAGAATCACAAGGGAGGCAGATATTCCACCCCCACCCCTCAGCTGTCCATACCCAAATCCCTGGAACCAAGGAACATGTTGCATTACATAGCAAAAGGGACTTTGCAGATCCAGCTAAGGTTATGAACTTTAAGATAGGGAGGTGATCCTGGATTATCCCTGGTGATGGGGATGTGGGGAACATTCAGTTACAGGAGCCCTTAAAGCAGAGAACTTTTTCTTTTTTCTTTCTTCTTCTTCTTCTTCTTCTTTTTTTTTTTTTTTTTTTTTTTTTTTTTGAGATGGAGTCTCACTCTTGTTGCCAGGTTAGAGTTCAATGGCACGATCTCGGCTCACCGCAACCTCCGCCGCCTCCTGGGTTCAAGCAATTCTCCTACCTCAGCCTCCCAAGTAGCTGGAATTACAGGCATGCGCCCCCATGCCTGGCTAATTTTTTTTATATTTTTAGTAGAGACAGGGTTTCTTCATGTTGGGTCAGGCTGGTCTTGAACTCTCGACCTCATGTCATCTGCTTGCCTTGGCCTCCCAAAGTTCTGGGATCACAGGCGTGAGCCACCGCACCTGGCAAAGCAGAGAACTTTTATGGCCGGCCGTGGTGGCTCATGCCTGTGATCCCAACACTTTGGGAGGCTAAGGGTGGCGGATCATGAGGTTGGGAGTTCGAGACCAGACTGGCCAATATGATGAAACCTTGTCTCTCCTAAAAATACAAAAATTAGCCAGGCGTGTTGGCGCACGCCTGTAGTCCCAGCTGTTCAGGAGGCTGAGGCAGAGTAGTTGCTTGAACCTGGGAGGCGGAGGTTGCAGTGAGCCAAGATTACGCTACTGCACTCCAGCCTGGGCGGCAGAGCATGACTCCGTCTCAAAAAAATAAAAATAACTGGAGTCTCTGACTCCAGCTGGAGTCAGAGAGAGGTGGCAGAAGGGAAAGTCAGAGATTCAAATCATGAGAAGAACTCTACTTGCCATTGTTGGAAGAGGCCACATGCAAAGCATGAAAATAAATGTGGGCACCCTCTAAGAGCAAAGCCTGGCCCTGGCCTGACGGCAGCAAGGAAACAGGGACCTCAAGAAACCGAATATGGCCAACAACTTGAACAAGTCTGGACGTGTATTCTTCCCCAGGGCTCCATTAAGGAGCACAGCCGTCTGCCAACACCTCGATTTAAGCATTTTCTTTTCCTTTTTTCTTTTTTTTTTTTTTTTTTTTGAGACAGAGTCTTGCTCTGTTGCCCAGGCTGAAGTGCAGTGGCGCAATCTTGGCTCACTGCAACCTCCACCTCCCGGGTTCAAGCTATTCTCCTGCCTCAGCCTCCCAAGTAGCTGGAATTACAGGTGCCTGTCACTATACCCAGCTAATTTTGTATTTTTAGTGGAGACAGGGTTTCACCATGTTGGCCAAGCTGGTCTCAAACTCCTGACCTCAGGTGATCCACCCACCTCGGCCTCCCAAAGTGCTGGGATTATAGGCGTCAGCCACTGCGTCCAGCTGATTTTTGCCTTTTTGTACCCTAAGTAAAGGACCCAATTGAACTTACCCAGCTTCCTGATCCAGAGAAACTGTGATATAACAAATTTGTGTGGCTTGAAGCCACTATGTTTGTAGTATTTGTTACAGCATCTATGTAAAATGAATACATCCATCCATAGAACAAAGGGATTTTATAACATTTCTATCTGACAATACCTAATTCGTGATTTCATTAGCTCTTTATCTGTCAGAGATGTTAAAGAAATGATTCATGCATTGGTTGGGAGGTAGGATATGATGACTTAGAAAGTTTCTTCCAGGGGCCCGGCACAGTGGGTCGCGCCTGTAATCTCAGCACTTTGGGAGGCCGAGGAGGGCAGATCACGAGGTCAAGAGATCGAGACCCTCCTGGCCAACATGGAGAAACCCCGTCTCTACTAAAAATACAAAATAAGTTCAAGCAATTCTCCTGCCTCAGCCTCCCGAGTAGCTGGGACTACAGGTGCATGGCACCATGTCCAGCTAATTTTTTGTATTTGTAGTAGAGATGGGGTTTCACCATATTGGCCAGGATGGTCTCCATTTCTTTACCTCGTGCTCCACCTGCCTCAGCCTCCCAAAGAGCTGGGATTACAGGTGTGAGCCATCCTGCCTGGCCCATTATTGTCTTTTTGAGATGTTACTCTGCAATATTTATCTAAATGGGTGCTGGACAGAGTATTTACTGTTTTGGAAAATAAATGGTTGGATATATGAATTCAGTGATTAAGAGTATGAAATTTGTAGTAAGAGAGATGTGTTCATATTCAAAATCTGCCACAGTTGAGACCTTGAAAAAGCTACTTGACATTTCTCAGCCTCAGTTTATTGAACTATAAGATGAAAATAATATCAGGGCAGGGTATGGTGGCTCATGCCTGTAATCCTAGCACTTTGGGAGGCTGAGGCAGGTGGATCAGGAGCTTGAGACCAACCTAGCCAACATGACGAAACCCTGTCTCTACTAAAAGGACAAAAATTAGCCGGGTGTGTTGGCGCACACCTGTAGTCCTAGCTACTTAGATGGCTGAGGCAAGAGAATTGCTTGAACCCAGGAGGCGGAGGTTGCAGTGAGCTGAGATCACACTCCTGCACACTGCACTCCAGCCTGCGTGACAGAGCAAGACTCTGTCTAAAACAAACAAACAAACAAACAAAAAAACAAAATAATTATTAGAAAATTACCTTAACTTTTGTGGTAAAAAAATTTAAGCACATAATTGAAAATATTTCACATTGTTAATTTAAATGTAGGCTTTCCTTATTCTAATAATTATCCAAATCAGCTATAATCAGGTGCTGTATCAAAGAGTCACTCCAGCCTGGGCAACAAAGCAATACCTTTCTTTACAAAAAATAAAAAAAATAAAAATTAGCCAGGCGTGGTGGCATGCACCTGGAGTCTCAGCTACTTGGGAGGGTGAGGTGGGAGGATCACTTGAGCCCAGGAGTTTGAGGCTGCAGTGAGCTGTAATTGAGTCACTGCACTCTGACATGGGCAATATAGAACAAGAAAAAAAAAATTCACAACTGCCATTTGGAAAGTTCCATTTACTATATATTTTCATATTCCTAAATTGCTTTTTAGCAGTTTACTATTGTGTACTAAATTGTGGCCTAAAGTCATGTTTTTCTATGGCTAATAATAAATAACAATTTTAGACAGTTATTTAAACAAAATGGCTACCTCCAAACAAACTATCACAACTTTTTTTTGGGAGTTACAGTAGAACCGCATAAAACCTAATACTAATGGAATAATGTTAAATGATAAATAAATAAAGGACAAATTGATTTTTAAAAATACAAACAAATGCCGGGTGCTGTGGCTCACGCCTGTAATCCCAGCACTTTGGGAGGCTGAGGTAGGCAGATCACGAGGTCAAGAGATCAAGACCATCCTGACCAACATGGTGAAACCCTGTCTCTACTAAAATTACAAATATTAGCTGTGTGTGGTGGCATGCACCTGTAGTCCCAGCTACTTGGGAGGCTGAGGTAGGAGAATTGCTTGAACCTGGGAGGCGGAGGTTGCAGTGAGCCGAGATCACGCCACTGCACTCCAGCCTGGCAACAGAGAGATTCTGTCTCAAAAACAAACAAACAAAAAAACAAACACCATATATATAAAAAAAATCTGTAGATTTCCATCATGATGTAATTTAATGAGATAATCTGGTGAGGAAAAGAAAAAAGTCTGTATGTTTATTTCAGTCAAAAGGATTTATTTTATTCTTGGGTGGCCTGTTTATATTTTATCATGCATTCATTTTAACTGTTGAGAATACAGTGCAATGAAATATATTCCGTCAAAAGAAGAATCTAAATTGTCTCTTTAAAACAGCCTTACGATCATGACAAATCTAGTCAGAAGTTACTTCAGTGAGATGCCAGAAAGGTCTGGGCTCATGAGCAAACCCCAGGGCGTCTTTTCAAAAACTTGTGGGTGAGAAATGAGCTCAACTGGGGCAGGGTGTGGTGTGCTACGTGAAGTCAAGATTTCAGAGAAGACACTGTTCCTCTCTCTCCCTGGGGAGGAACACTGCCAAGGATAGTAAATAGTCTTTTAAAAGTACTTAGACTTTCAACTCTATAAGGAAAAATACTACCTTTAATAGGAATTGTTTTATGTGCCAGGCCCAAAAGGTGGCCTTCCTTTCTTCCTTATTCCCCCTCCCTCCTTCCCTTCTTTCTCTCCTTTGTATGTTTCGAATTTTAATGTTTATAATATCTGTAAAATTAAAAAATAATCTATTTTTTTCTTTTGAAAATCCTAAAAGCTTCAGGTCTTTAACTGATTTTTTTTTTTTTGCTTTTAATCTTTCTTTCATCACAAAAAGGAAAATAAAAAAGGAGTCTCAAGTAACACCAGCTTGGCTACTAAGGGACCCTTTGTGCCCCTGCTGGGTCAGCAAGGCCAATCAGAACAGTTTTATCACATAAGGGGCTGGTATTGTAGGAGGTGCAGGCCTGTCATATTAACTGTCTGTATTTTGTCCCACTTTATAGGCAGAGAAGACAAAATGGAGGCTTTTAAAAACCCTTCAGGGGATCTGGCACAGTGGCTAACACCTGTAATCCCAGCACTTTGGGAGGCTGAGGTTGCAGTGAGTCGAGATCACACCACTGGACTCCAGCCTGGGCAACAGAGTGAGACTCTGTTTCAAAAAAGAAAAAACGAAAAAAAAAAACAAGAAAAAGAAAAACCCTTCAAGGACTCCTCACTGCCCTCAGGACAAATTCTAAGCTCCAGTGTGGCTGGAGTCTGGTGAATCAGGGCAGGCTATGGAGAACATAAAAGGGAGAAGTTAGAGAAGGAGCAGGCCAGGTGGAGTGGGACAGCATAGATGACCTTGTGGGTCATTTGATGATTTTGCATTTTATTCTGGTTGAGATAGGAAGCCATCAGAGTGTTTTGAGCACAAGGGTAATATAAATCCACAGATCATCATTCTGGCTATTGTATTGAGAATGGCTTTAAGAAGGGCAAGGGGGCCAGGTGTGGTCGTTGACGCCTGTAATCCCAGCACTTTGGGGGGCTGAAGCTGGAAGATCACTTGAGCCCAAGAGTTCGAAACGAGCCTGGGCAACAGTGAGACCCCATCTCAATTTTTTAAAAAAAAAGGAAGAAAGAAAAGAAAAGATAAAAACAAGGGCAAGGGTAGCAGCAAGACTCGTTTGGAGGCCGTTATGTAATCCAGGTAAGAAATGATGATGGGAGAAAGTGATATTGAGAATTGGTCAGATTCTAGATGTACTTTGAACATAGAGCCTATGGGATTTGCTGTAGATTGGATCTGGTATGAGAAAAAGGAGTGAAGGATGACCCTAAGATTTTTTTTTTTTTTTTTTTTTGAGACGTAATCTCGCTCTCTCGCCCATGCTGGAGTGCAGTGGCGCAATCTCGGCTCAATGCAAGCTCCGCCTCCCAGGTTCACGCCAGTCTCCTGCCTCAGCCTCCCCAGCAGCTGGGACTACAGGCACACACTGCCACGCCCAGCTAATTTTTTAATTTTTAGTAGAGACGGGGTTTCTCTGTGTTAGCCAGGATGATCTCGATCTCCTGACCTTGTGATCCTCCCGCCTCGGCCTCCCAAAGTGCTGGGATTACAGGCGTGAGCCACCGCGCCCGGCCGACTCTAAGATTTTTGGCCTGAGAAACCATAGAGATAGGGAAGACTGAGGGAGGGAAGCAGGTAGTTTTGGAGGTGTATAGGAATCATTTGGGAATTCAGTTAAAGACATGTTAATTGTGTAAGTAAGTATTCAAGGCCGGGCATGGTGGTTTACACTTGTAATCCCAGCACTTTGAGAGGATGAGGCAGGTGGATCACTTGAGACCAGCCTGGGCAACATGGCGAGACCCCGTCTCAATTAAATTTTAAAAAATTAAATAATTCAAGCCCCAGAACGATGTCCTTGAGTGGGCATGAAAGGATGGGATCTAGCACACAGGTAGAGGGGTTGAACCATGGACAGTTTATCCTAAGCACATAGAGATAAGATAAAAATATGGGTGCAGATACAAGTACATGGGAGGGTGTGGTGGTGGGAACTTGTAAAAGTTCTCTTCTGATTGCTTTTGTTTTCTCAATGAAAGAAGCAAGGTTATCTGTTGAGAGTGAGCATGGGGGAGAAGATTATAGAGGCCTGAAGAAAAAAAAAAGATGTGAAATAGTCATCTAGGAGGATGGTAAAATGATATTTCTCTAGAGTAGACTAGAGAAATATAGCATATCATATTTCTGTGGTGTTCATGAATTTAAAGTCAGACGAGTCAGCATGATTGCACGTTTTTCTCCAATATGTTCATCTACCTGAGTATTCTCGTTCAGGGTCTCTCACAAGGCTGCAATCAAGGTGTTGTTGGCCCCGGGCTTACCTGGGTTTTCTGCTTCAAGGTCCCACCAGACTGTAGTCAAGATGTCAGCTTCACTGCATTCTCACCTGGAGGCTTGACTGGAGAAGACTCCAATTCCAAGCTCCCTCTGTTTCCTTGCATTTGCAGGATTGCAAATTTCAGGGTTTTGTTGTTGTTGTTTTCTTATTGTTTGTTTGTGTTTTTGTTGGCTGGAGGCCACTCTCAGCTCCTAGAAGCTGCATGCAGTTCTCTGCCATGTGGTCCTCCACAGGCCATTCACAACATGGCAGCTGGTTTCCTCAAGGCCAGCCGAATTGTGAAAATAGTTTGTTGGCAAGAAGGAGTCTTACATAATGTAACATGATCTTGGGAGTGACATCTACTCACCTTTGTCAAATAGCATAAAGTGTTCAGGGGAGTGAGTATCTCCTTTTCCATATTCTGTTAGAAGCAAGTCATAGGTCCTGCCTGCACTCAAGGAGAGGGGTTACACAAACCCCCTCCAAATGCACACCATTCTATTCTCAATACTTGGCACTCACAAGGCCAAACTTAGCAAATATATGTGTGTGTGTGTGTTTGTGTATACACACACATACAGGATTTGTTTTATGTGCCAGGCCCAAAAGGTGATTTCCTTCCTTCCTTCCTTATTCCCTCTCTCCCTCCCTCCCTCCTTCCCGCCTTCCCTTCTTTCTCTCCTTTCTTTCCATCATGAAGTTTTGTATATATATATACACACTCACACACACATATTTGCTAAGTTTAGCTTTGTGAGTATATATATATATATATATATACACACACACATACACACATATATAGGTGTATATATATGTATATAGTGAGATGGAGTCTTGCTCTGTCGCCTAGGCTGGAGGGCAGTGGCACTATCTCGGCTCACTGCAGCCTCTGCCTCCAGGGTTCAAGCAATTCTCCTGCCTCAGCCTCCCAAATAGCTGGGACTACAGGCACCTGCCACCACGCCTGGCTAATTTTTGTATTTTCAGTAGAGACGGGGTTTCACCATGTTGGCCAGCCCGGTTTCGAACTCCTGACCTCAAGTGATCTGCCCACCTCGAAGTTCTGGGATTATAGACGTGAGCCACTGCACCCAGCCAACAAATATAATTTTTTAAACAAAAACTTACAGAGCTCTTATTCTGTGTCAGAAACTGCTCTAAACACTTTATAAATATTAATCTTCACGGCAACTCTAGTCGGTAGGTCTTTTTATTAAGTAGGTCTTATTTCTTTTTCTACATTAATTTTTTTTTTTTTTTTTGGAGAGACAGGGTCTCACTATGTTGCCCAGGCTAGCTCTCGGATTCCCAGGCTCAAGCAATTCTCCTGCCTCGGCCTACCGAAGTGCTGGGATTATGGGTGTGAGCCACCACGCCAGGCCTGATAGGTTTTATTTATGTCTGCATTTGGGAATCAAGGCATGGAGACATCAGTTAACTTGTTGAAGGTCATAGTAACTGCAGAGCCAAGACTCCAACTCTTGTAGTCTGGCTTCAGAGTTCATATTCTTACCTATTATGCTAAGCAGTTAATGACAAATTAAATGAATAAATAAATGCTTTGGGGGGACACAGGAAATAATTACCCAGCAGCTCTGAGAACCCAAGGAAGTTTTGAAACCACACTTTTGTAATTCAATTTTTTTCTTTTTTTGTTTTTGTAATTCAATTTTGATGTCAAGCCAGTTAGCACTGCCAGAGACTTTTGTTGCAACATCGGTTCTTTCTTCCACTAATATTCAGTAACACAGGCCAAGGGGAGATATGAGGTCTGGAGCAAAAAATGTTGAGGAAGTTTTTGCTGTGCCTAAGATATTACCTGGAAAATAAAAACAAAGTTAATTTGTTGTCTATTCATAAAGAAGGAATAGGTGACCAGGAGATATCTCCAACAAAAATAACTTGTGGTATATCGTATGTGTGAGAAGGATAAGAGATAAAATGCACAATAAATTCAGACATGTTCACTTAGAGTAGAGCTGAAAAACTATATTATGAAAATTGTATTCTGAGAAATCATCCACATCTGAGAAACCATCTTGTGGAAGGTCAACAGCCCAGCAGAGATGGATGGCTGAACAATGACCAAATAGGTGGAGAGCAGGTTTAGAATAAAGTATGCTGCCCTTCTGGTTTCAATGTAGGTCAGAGGCCATTCTAGGCTAGGTTTTTGAGGAATTTCCCTTGCAGAGAGTAACACTGTGTGGCTGCCTGCATTAGAAAGATCCAGCCAAGGCCGGGTGTGGTGGCTCACGCCTGTAATCTCAACACTTTGGGATGCCAAGGTGGGTGGATCGCTGGAGGCCAGGAGTTCGAGACCAGCCTGGACAACATGGCGAAACAGTCTCTACTAAAAATACAAAAAATTAGCTGGGCGTGGTGGCAGGCGCCTGTAATCCCAGCTACTTGAGAGGCTAAGACAGGAAAATTCCTTGAATCTGGGAGGCAGAATTTGCAGTGAGCTGAGACTGTGCCACTGCACTCCAGCCTGGGTGACAAAGTGAAAATCCATCTCAAAAAAAAAAAAAAAAAAAAAGAAAGATTCAGCCAAGTGGGCTCTCAAGAGTATGCATTAAGTATTTGACCTAGGACTCATAATGGTTACAAGCCATTTAGTTTTAAGAGAAGAAAATATATTGGAATAATTGATTATGGTGGTTGAGGTTTTTAATGACTGGATTATTTTTACACTCATTACCTTCAGAGGATCTCTGTTATATGGCAATAGATTGACTTCTGATCCTCCTGTTTTTTCTTAACTACTTGTTCTTTCCTTTAGTTAATCTCTTAACTTATGAGAAATTTTGTCTCCTTATCTATGAATTAAGGGAGGTGAACCAGGTAATTTCCAGTCAACAACACAGGAATAAAATTTCAAGTCCACTCCTCCACACTATAAAGACCATACCTCAGTGTGGAATCCTGTGGTTGTGTACCTCCTGTAATTATCACACATTGATACTCTCAATTTTTATTTCTTTTCTTTTTTTTTCTTTTTTTTTTTTTGAGACAGAGTCTGGCTCTGTTGCCCAGGCTGGAGTGCAGTGGTACAATCACGGCTCACTGCAGCCTCAAACTCCAGGGCTCAAGTGATCTTCCCACCTCAGCCTCTGGAGTAGCTGGGACCACAGGCATGTGCCATCATGCCTGGCTAATTTTTGTATTTTTTGTAGAGGCAGGGTTTTGCCATGTTGCCCAGGCAGGTCTCAAACTCCTGAGCTCCAGAGATTGGCCCGCCTTGACCTCCCAAAGTGCTGGGATTACAGGTATGAGCCACTGTACCTGGCACACCAATACTTTCTTGCCCACTTTCTCTCCTGTTCATTCCATTTTGTTATTTATGTGATTCTTAGGTTATAATCAGTTTTGAGAGGTTGTACATTTACTCATCTTTGTATATCATCCCCAGCATCCTACACACTGTAGATGCACAAATATTTTTCTGACAACTTAACCCTCTGAAGGACAGCATATACTTTTGGAGGGTGTGGGAAACACTGGGTAAAAAAAATAAATTTGTCATTTAATAGAGTGTACTCATCATTCCACAGAATTTCACAACACACTTTGAAGTACAGAAAATTTATAGGGTGGAAGAAGTGGTAAGCTAAGTCAGGATGATCTCTTGGGAGAATGAAGTAATGTCCTAGGAAACTGTCAAAAGGAAAGTCAAAACCCTAATCCCACCCCACCCATTTATTTGAAGGCTCTCAGAAACAGTGACCTCATGAATGCTCAGGCCTTGCCTTGAACAGAGCCTTGAGTTGAGCCAGACTTTCTCCTGGTGTGTTGTCTATACTGCTGGGAAATAATACGGACATTTGCAGAAGTTCAGTGGACTAGCTGAGGCCATTGCACTCAGGACAATGGAGGGAAGGCTCCTCTAGTGTATACTTGCTAATACCAGCCTACTGTTAAAAAATCTTGGTGGGGCAAGGCACAGTGGCTCACGCCTGTAATCCCAGCACTTTGGAAGGCAGAGGTGAGTGAATTACTTGAGGCCAGGAGTTCGTGGCCAGCCGGACAACATGGCAAAACGCACGTTTTCTACTAAAAATACAAAAATTAGCCATACATGGTGGCACATGTCTGTAACCCCAGTTACTTGGGAGGCTGAGGCATGAGAATCACTTGAACCCGGGAGGTGGAGGTTGCAGTGAGCTGAGATCATGCCACTGCACTCCAGCCTGGGCAAGAGATGGAGACCCTGTCTCAAAAACAAAACAAAACAAAACAAAAACAAAAAACCCTGGGTGATGGATCATTACTGGTTGTACTAAGCAAGAGAGTGTGGCCAGACTGGCACATATCTGTCATGACTTCAGAGAAGAACAATCAAGGAAGCAGCTTTTTAAGTTGTTAGCATGCCTGCTCTTCTGAAATTAAAAAAAAATTCTCCTAATTATAAAACAATTTCCTCTGTAGCATATTTAGAAAATAACCCCTCAAAATCATCCAAAAGAATATAAAAATCACCATAATTCTATCATCCCTAAAAGACAAAACACAAAACCTACTCTTGTATGTCTTGAATTTTTTAATTTGTTTGTAGTAATGGCCCACTTAAAACATCTCTCCTGTAATCGTGGTATGATTGTTTGTTTGTTTGTTTGTTTGTTTGTTTGAGACAGAGTTTCACTCTTGTTGCCCAGGCTGGAGTGCAATGGTGCAATCTTGGCTCACTGCAACCTCCGCCTCCTGGGTTCAAGCAACTCTCCTGCCTCAGCCTCCTAAGTAGCTGGTATTACAGGTGCTCACCACCACTCCTGGCTAATTTTTTGTATTTAGTAGAGACGGGGTTTCACCATGTTGGTCGGGTTGGTCTTGAACTCCTGACCTCAGGTGATCCACCCACCTTGGCCTCCCAAAGTGCTGGATTACAAGTGTGAGCCATCTAGCCCAGCCTGATTCTATATTTTTAATAGAGGACTATTCTATTTCACTTTTTTCTTTCTTTCCTTCTGTCTTTCATTTATTCACCTAACATTTATTTATTATTTATTTTATTTTATTTTATTTTATTATTTTTAGACAGAGTCTCGCTCTGTCACCTGGGCTAGAGTGCAATGGCACCATCTCAGCTCACTGCAACCTCCACCTCCCGAGTTCAAGTGATTCTCCTGCCTCAGCCTCCTGATTAGCTGGGATTACAGGCGTGCACCACCATGCCCAGCTAATTTTTGTATTTTTAGTAGAGACAGGGTTTCACCATGTTGGTCAGGCTGGTCTCGAACTCCTGACCTTGAATTCACCTAATATTTATTGAATAGCTACTGTGTGCTAGGCTTTTTCTCTTTTAATTCTCTTTCCAACTCCATATTTCAATTTTGTAGATGAGGAAACTGAAGTTCAGGGAATTTAGGTGATTTTTTTCCAGGTCTCACCGCTTCTATATACCTGTTTTATTTTATTTTATTTTATTTTTGAGATGTGGGTCTCACTCTGCCGTCCAGGCTGGAGTGCCGTGGTGTAATCTGGGCTCACTGCAACCTCTGCCTCCCAGCCTCAAGTGATTCTCCTGCCTCAGCCTCGCAAGTAGCTGGGACCAGAGGTGCACACCAGCACACCAGCTAAGTTTTTGTATTTTTGGTAGAGACAGGGTTTCTCCATGTTGCTTAGGCTGGTCTTGACCTCCTGGGCTCTGGCAATCCACCTGCCTCGGCCTTCCAAAATGCTTGGATTACAGGTGTGAGTCACCGTGCCCGGCTCTATCTATCTATCTCTCTGTCTATCTATCTATCTAGCAGATGAAATATTATCTTTTGGAAAACCAAGCTGAGATCATAATACACTGCTAAAAATACATACATTTTGGTAAATATTCCATTTTGGTGTTTCAAATTTTACAGTTTATTTAATAGCAACCCTTAAGTAGATATCTCACTTTTTTTTTTTTGAGACAGAGTTTTGCTCTTGTTGCCCAGGCTGGAGTGCAATGGCGCCATCTCAGCTCACCGCCACCTCTGCCTCCCGGGTTCAAGTGATTCTCCTGCCTCAGCCTCCAAAATAGCTGGGATTACAGGCATGTGCCACCATACCCGGCTAATTTTGTATTTGTAGTAGAGACAGGGTTTCTCCACGTTGGTAGGCTGGTCTCAAACTCCTGACCTCACGTGATCTGCCCGCCTCCGCCTCCCAAAGTGCTGGGATTACAGGCCTGAGCCACCGCGCCTGGCCAGATGTCTTACTTTCTAAGTTCTCAACCTGAGTACAAATTCCTTGGTCTTTTTCATTAAGGAGGCAGCAGGAGTTAGAGAAGGTGATGGTGTTACAAGGGGGGAAACACATGAAGGCCTCTATCCCCAAGGCTGCTTATAAAAGGGCAGCCTCCCATGAGGAGTGAGGCTGTCCCTTGCCTCCTGCCTCTTTCCCAAACCTTCTGGCTGTCCTTTTGGGAAACCTCTTCATTCCTTCATACTTTCCCTCCTCTGAGCTCTGAAATCCTTTATTTGTGCATTCACTATGGCGCTTATGACTCTCTGCATTGAAAAAGAAACCTCTTCTATCTCTATTATTGCACTATAAGCCATTAAGGACACAGAATCTTTTGATTCCCTAGAATGTCTATCACAAAGTCTAGCACAGAGCAGCCAAATAAACATATTTTGAGCAAACATCAGTTTGTTCTTTTTTGAATGCTGAAAACACGCCAGTTTGCGCTTAAGAGAATAGTTCAACTTCAGAGACATCCATATATAAACATGGAGGGATTTCAGGCAATGCCCGCTCTGTACAGGTTTCTGTGCTCTTCATCTAAGCCTCCACTGTATCCAACTAGAAGGCTGAGAATCACAGAAAAACATTTTCCTATCATTATTCCCGTACTAAGGAGGCACAGTTGCCACCATAAACAGCACTTACCGGTGGCATTTACAGCTTCTCAGGTGATGTGGCATTCTGACCAGATGCCAGAAGGCTTGTGACATGGTACAGATATGCTGTTCTGTACACTGTCACACCTTTCCTGGATCATTTTCCTTCAGAGCTGTGTGCTCTGTGGGTTAAAGATTTTCTTTTGTGTTGGACTGGTAATGAACAACTCCACTGTTGGTTGTATTTTAAAATTTTATGTAATTTCAATCTTACTTGAAGAACAGTATAAAGAAGTTCTAAATACCCTTTAAATTAACTGTGTTTTCCTCCATTTACTTTACTATTATTTACTTTGCCTCCCAAATTTCTTTCTTGCCTACCCCCATGTATTTATGCACATATATTTCTTTCTGAGCCTTTTATTTATTTATTTTTTGAGACAGGGTCTCACTCTGTCACCCATACTGCAGTGTAGTGGCATGATCACAGCTCACTGCAGCCTCAACCTCCTGGACTAAAGCGATCCTCCTGTTTCAGCCTTGGGAGTAGCTGGGTCCACAGGCACATACTACCATGCCCGGTTAATTTTTATGTTTTTTAATAAAGATGGGGTTTTGCCATGTTGCCCAGGCTAGTCTCAAATTCCTAGGCTCAAGTGATCCTCTCGCCTTGGCCTCCCAAAGTGTTGGGCTTACAGGCGTAAGCCATTGCTCCTCATCTTTCTGAGCCATTTAAGAATTACAGACATCATATTCTTTTACCCCTAAATATTTTAGTATGTCTTTCCTAGGAACATAAACATTCTTTTACATAACCACAGCACAATGACCAAAATCAATTTATTTAGTCATTTGTTCATATCCGCAACACACATGAAATAGCTCCAGAATTTTTTCATTTGATCAAATATCTTGTGTGGCTTTTAGGCATCTTTTATAACTCTCCTTACACAGATTTTGCACATTTTGCGCTAAATTTATACTTAATTTTTTTTGTTGCTGTTATAAATGGGATTTTCTCCACCATCGTGTCTTCTAAATGTTATAATGTGTGTATATGAGAGCTATTGATTTCTATATGTTCATTTTATAACTTGCTACCTTACTGATATGGTTTGTCTCTGTGTCCCCACCCAAATCTCACCTTGAATTGTA
Organism: Homo sapiens; assembly: GCF_000001405.40. Classification (NCBI taxonomy): domain Eukaryota; kingdom Metazoa; phylum Chordata; class Mammalia; order Primates; family Hominidae; genus Homo; species Homo sapiens. The sequence goes on from NC_000001.11 coordinate 162,558,794, forward strand.
ATAATCTTCATGTGTCAAGGGCCAGACCAGGTGGAGATAATTGAATCACTGGCGTGGTTTCTGCCATAGTGTTCTCGTGATAGTGAGTTCTCATTAGATCTGTTTTTTTTTTTTTTTTTTTGAGACAGTCTCGCTCTGTCATCCAGGCTGGAGTGCAGTGGTGAAATCTAGGCTCACTGCAACCTCCGCCTCCCAGGTTTAAGCGATTCTCCTGCCTCAACCTCCTAAGTAGCTGGGACTACAGGTGCGTGCCACCACACCCAGCTAATTTTTGTATTTTTAATAGAGACAGGGTTTCACTATGTTGGCCAGGCTGATCTCAAACTCTTGACCTCGTGATTTGCCCGCCTCAGCCTCCAAAGTGCTGGGATTACAGGCGTGAGCCACCGCGCCTGGCAGATATGATGGTTTTGTAAGGGGCTTCCCCCTTTGCTCAGCACTCATTCTCTCTCCTGCTGCCCTGTGAAGAGGTGCCTTCCACCAGGATAGTAAGTTGCCTGAGGCCTCTGCAGCCATGCAGAACTGTGAGTCAATTAAACCTCTTTTCTTTATAAATTACCCAGTCTTGGGTATCTCTTGATAGCAGTGTGAAAACGGACTAATACACTAACCAAAATTTTTCTGTGGTTTGTTAGTCTTATTGTTGACTCTCAAGGGCTTTCCAGGTATTCTCTCTTGTCATTTGCAAGTCGAAGTAGTTTTATGACTTTTTAAAATTCTTAAAAAATAATTTTTTAATTCTTATATATTTTTTCTAATTTATAAGCCTCTTAGGATTTCTGTTGTCTAACTTCATTAGCTGATACCTTTGGTGTAATGTCAAAAAATCATAGGTAGTGTGAACATCGTTGCCTTGTTTTCTTCAATCAGCTCTTAAAAGACCATGTATATAAAAAGTATTTCGAAGGACAGAAATAACTCTAGTGTTAGACATTTCTGGACATTTAGCTGGCAAGATGAGATTATGGCCCCTCTTATGCCTAGTAACCAGAATAACAAACAAATGAAACTTCAGCAAAAAAGGGTAAAAGTACAAATGTGATTTTATAGTAGTTCATTAAAAACATTGAGCTGGACCTCAGTTCTATCTTTTTTCTTTAAAGGATTGCTAACTAATAATTTTGCTCTTTACTCAGTCATTCATCTATGACTTATAGAATGCCTATAATATTCCAGACATTATCTTAGGTTCTTTCTCATTTTTTACTATACCCATGTGAAATAGGTATTAGCTTCATTTCATAAAAGGACATTGGAGTTTGGAGTGGTTAAATGACTTACCCAAAGTCACACAGTTAGTAAGCGTAGACTGATTTTGAATCTGGGTCTCCTAGTTTGAATTAATAAGTGCTCAATAATAAATAATAACTAAAGGTTATTTAGTGTTTACTGTTTTACATACTTCATTTATATCGATTGGTTTAATACAACCACCAAATGGCATTTTCATCTTTATTGTCTGTTTTTTATAGATGAGAAAACTGATAGCACAAGTAGCTTGCCAAAGATCACAAGCAATAAAGCTGAAATTGTCTTCAGATCCCATGATTAAGAAACCAATCACTACACTATAAACCAATCACTACACTATTCTTCTTTCAAAGAAACGAAGGAAGTTCTAGGATCATGAGAGATGGAGAGTATTCAATCTCCTGAATGTAAATCTACCAGCATTACTTACCAAGTTTAAGTTTTTCTGTTGTTACTTGAGGCAGTGGGTGATTATGCAATTGGTAAAGGGAATGAAAAGGCCTTTGCACCCAAGAAAGTAGAAGAAAGGCGCCTGAATCTCTTTATGATAGGTGGTATGTTAAATCTAGGTATTTTCGTATTTCAACATATTCCACTTCTTGCAAAAGCTGCAAAATGCAACACAACTTTAAATGTAAACATAGCTTCCAAGGGCACAGTGCTGAACATATAATAACCTGTGTGTGCACACCCACACTAGGTTATGTAACAGGACTGTAAACACTGGTCCTGGAATGGCCTGGGAGGTCATCTAGGTCCTCCACCATCTTTCTGCAGAGTACTGAGGCCTAGCGACGTTAAGTCTGCAAACTCACAAAGATGACCCCGGGCTTATACTACCTTAGGTTACCTACTACCTTTGCTTGCATTTCCTCTCTCCTTTCCTGTCTGTTTGTGCAAAAGAAAAAAGGCCTGGCTTCGCCTTCTTGGGAGCCAAAACACAACCAAACAGAGAGCGAGTTTGGAGCCCGGCCAGGCATCTTGTGAACTGCACACAAAATAACTAGCCCAAGGTCAGAGAGCGCGCCAGGCCCGCCCTGAAAGTTTCTCCGCAGGAAAATCCACCGCCCTTTCCCAACCACCCGCGTGGGTGGCTCGGAAATCCGCCACCCTGGGGACACAGCTCCCTGCCCATCTCTGTGGCCCGCTTGTGCCCCGTGCCGCTGGGCCGACTAAGAGCCTCGGGCTCGCACCTCCCAGTACAACCTAGGGACGTCAGGGGTCCTGGGACCCACGAGCCGCTCTCTGCCGGCCGGCTCCTGGCCCCTCCTAGCAGACCCAACCGACATCCTTCACCCTCAGTTAGTGCGCAGGAGGGACCGGGACGCCAGCCGACTGCGCTCCAGAACTATTCCCATTGGGCCAGAGAATGAGTGACGCACTAGGCCCCGCCCCGGCCCGGTGGGTTACTCCTTTCATGCCCGGCCCCCATCCCTAGCCCCGCCCCGGCGCCCCGGGCCGCGGCCGCCTCCGCGTCCGCGTCGTCGTCTGTGCTCCCGGCGCTGACGTGTCTGGGCGGTCGGCTTCCACTCCTTCAGGCGTCGGCAGCCACTAGTCGTGGCGAGAGGGGCGGGGTGGCCGGGGCTGGCGCTCCACTTGGCCCCCGCTCCCGGCCCGCCCCGCCGCCGCGGCCCCCCGGATGAGGGTATATATTCGGAGCGAGCGCGGGACGCCGATGAGTGGCCGCGCGGAAGGAGCTGGAGACGGTCGTAGCTGCGGTCGCGCCGAGAAAGGTGAGGGGCTCCCAGCCCAGCGAGGAGACGGCGGGGCTCGGGACCCGGGCGGGCGGAGGGCCTGGCCCCACCGCACACACGGCCACGCGCTCAGACGTGGACACGCGTCGCACGAACGTGCACAGCGCGGGCAGCCGAGCACACGCCGAGGAGCCTCCCGCTCGCCCGCAGACACACACCCCAGCCCGTGCGCCCCGCAGTCGCACCCCATCCTCCGCCACCCCGCGAGAGGGTGTGTGGGCTGGGCAGCCGGGTGGATGGCGGGGCCAGGGATGGAATGAGCGCGCCCCAGATGGACTGGGGGCGTTGTGGGAGGAGGTCTGGGCCAGTGTCTGAGTCCGAGGGGGTCGTGTAGGCGTGTGGGGTTGGGAGTGGGGCCTCTCCCGGGTGGGCAGTAGAGACCTCGAGGCTCTCAGGCTAGGGCCTTGTGGACAGTTATACCAAGTGTGGGGGCCTGTAGTGGGACAGGAGATCGTTGGCACTGTCAGGTGGAAGCGAGTTGGTGTGTCTTGAATATATGAGGAAAAGATTTGAGAGGTCTGACAAAGACAGGGGATACATTTGGAGGACAGGACAGTGGGACAAAACCTGTTTGCTTGCCACTTTTTTCTTTCTTTTTTTTGGTTTGGTTTGCCATGATACTGGTAGTGAGAGAGAATTGAAATTTCTGGGTTTCCCCTCTCTTGGCCAAGCAGAAGGATGGTATTGGAGGGCTGAGCACACGTATGCTGAACATATGGCTGCTTGAACTTTGGCCTGTCGCTGTGCTACACTTACTTCTACATGGTTTATGAAATCTGAAATCAGGTAATAGGATTATGATCATATGTGTGTGTCATTTGGTATTGCAAAAGTTTAAGGACTTTTAGGTGAAATTCACTGGGTGTGGATCCAAGAGTTCGCCGGAAACTCAAGGCAGTTGTCTATTCCTTCACGGTTAGTCAGTTGGCTCACTTAGCTGGAGCAAAGAAAGACTTCATAGGCTGTGCTGCCAAGCATTTATAGGATTCAGTTGGTGGTTATGTCTCAACTCTGATACTGTTTTTCAAAAGCTTTAAGAGGTTTACTTATTCATTTCGAGGGCATACGTATACCAGCAGAGATAGGGGCTGGGTGGGGGAAGCCAGAAAAGGAGGGAGAAATACTGGATTTCTTTAATACTGGTATTTAAATTCTAATAAAAATATATTTGATAATGGTAGATTATTACCAAATTTTTCATATATTTTGATGCAGATGGATTAGGCTGTGGGCATGTACCAAGTTTTGTCATAATTTCTCGAGCAGATTTTCAACTTTTTCAGATTTCGGTTGTCAAAATAAAAATCCATATCTTTTAACTCTTCTGTTAATTGCTGCTTACCATTACACGTGCCTCTAAACATCGTTAATGGGAAACATGCTACTATTTTTGTGGCATGAAGGTGCTTATATCTGCCTCAAATAAATATAATAGATGAATTGTGCTTGTCCAAAACTCAAGTATGGTCGTTACATTATGAACATTATACAACATGTAGATGAACACATGTTACCAGTGGTTTACGCCCAGATATCAAAGTTTAACCTATGAGGTACCCTTTTTTTTTTTATTTTTATTTTTTGAGACGGAGAGTCTCACTCTGTCGCCAGGCTGGAGTTCAGTGGCGTGATGTCGGCTTACTACAACCTCCGCCTCCCCGGTTCAGGCGATTCTCCTGCCTCAGCCTCCTGAGTAGCTGGGACTACAGGCGCGTGCCACCATGCCCAGCTAATTTTTGTATTTTTAGTGGAGATGGGGTTTCACCATGTTGGCCAGAATGGTCTCCATCTCTTGACCTCATGATCCGCCCGCCTCGGCCTCCCAAAGTACTGGAATTACAGGCGTGAGCCACCGCGCCCGGCCCTATGAGGTATCTTATTTGCATGGATTCATTTTCCCAAGTGTCTGAAGGTGGAGGAGTATCTAATGATCTTTTAGGAAAAGTTTGGTTTATATCTTAAAATGTTATAGTAATATGTTTGTGTATGCCTTTTATCAGACAGAGCACTCTTTACTCTTGACTATCTTGAAGGCATGTGAGAAAGGTTGGTTGTCTTATATTCATGAGGAAATCTATGCACAGGGAGGTAAAATGATTGCATAGAATCAAATGATAGAGAAGGACCAAGAACAGGGACTTCCTATTCTTTGGTTATCTGGTTCCTTGCTGATCTTCCTACTACAATGTACTCCCTTAAATCAGAGGCAAAGCAGCAGCATAAATAAGGTCTTGGGAAAGACTACATTCCTTGGAAAATAATTTAATATAAATCTGTTCCTCTCAAGTGTCTTTTTTAATGTGATTTTTTAAAATTAAAAAATAATAGCATCATGACTCTTGAAACCTATATAAATCAATAGGAATGCCTTTTAATACCATAATGAACATTGAAAGCTGAGTGTTGTTATTACCACCTCAGGGAACACACAGATGTAGGTTCTCTAGACCTGAGCTTGTAAATGGAGTTTGATGTTTAATGATCCTGGTGAGGTAGATACTATTATTAATCTCATTTTACAGATAAGGTAACCGAGGCATGGGGAAATTAAGTGGCTCAGCTTAGCCTAGAATTGTGCTCTGAACTACCATGTGTATTACTTTTCACTGTTCTTATAGGAAGAGAAGATAAGTGTCTTTAGAACCTACTTTTAACCTCTGTCTCTCACATCGAAGCAATTATAATGCAGTGATGATTCTTTACAGTGACCCTCAAATTTATTCCTTTCACTCTCATTTTCTCTGCCACTAATCTGGTTCAGACCTTTGGTATTTCATACCTGCAGTTGTCTTTTAACTTCTTTTCCTGCTTCTAGTTGTCCCTCCTTACAATCTATTGTATCCATTGCTCCTTTCTCTCATCTCTTTAAAGCATGGTAACACTGCCCTGTTTGAGAATCTACTGTTCGCTTTCTATTACTTATTCTCTGAAGTCTAAATTCTTTTGGTTAGTTTTCAGGCTTTTCATGATCTAGCCCTACCCCAGGCCATTTTATATCATTTGTCATACGTTAACCTTCTTACTGCTTTCCATCCCACACGTGCTTGCTCATCATGGCCACCAGGCTCTGCTTGTTTCCTAATCTTTTATTTTTTTGAGATAGAATTTCCTGTTGCTGAGGCTGGAGTGACATGATTACGCCTCATTGTAGCCTCGACCTTCCGAATTCAGGTGTTCCTCCCACCTCAGCCTTCCAAGTAGCTGGGACTACAGGCATATGTTACCACATCTGGCTAATTTTTGTGTTTTTTGTAGGGGTGGGGTTTTGCCATGTTGCCCAGGTTGGTCTTGAACTCCTGAGCCCAGGCCTGTGCTGGGATTACAGGTGTGAGCTACCATGCCTGGCCTCTAATCTTATCTATGTAGTCTGCCCAACCCTTAACACATGGCTAGATTGTGCCTGTTTGTGAACTTTCTAGACAGCACCTATCTCCTGTTGCATTTGTCTGTATTGGGCAAGTAGATTAAATATTTCCCCATTTTCTTATTTTTTAGCACTATGAAGTTTAACATTTTACTATATTATCACAGAATATAGCTCTTTAGAAAACATTTGTCTTATTCACTGATTGTTATATGTGTATTGCTTGTCTCTTTAAGGAGGATCCAAGTTTTTAATGAGTAGAGAAAATAGATGTGTTATTGCTTCTTTGCAGAAGTTGCTAATGAAATGAAATGTATTTTTCCTTATTATAGGTTGTTCTGTCTTCCTGAATATTTCATTATACTGACTACAACAACACATGATAGTATTTCTATCATTAGAGATACAAGGAAAACATTTAAATATTAAGCAGTCAGGTGTTCTTTCAGTGGTAGCTTAGTGGTCAGAGGACTAATACAGAGACAACTAAGTGTGGTAGAGAGTGTGAACCATGTCATCAGGCTGCCTGGGTTCCTGTCCCAGCTCCACTCACTGGTTAGGTTACTTAGCCTCTCTGCCTGTCTTCTCAGCTGTAAAAGAGTGGTAATAATAGTGCCTATGCCATAGTGTTGTTGAAAATTAAACAAGACCATGAAGGTAAAGTACTTAGAAGTGCCTGGTACATATTATTGTCTTACAGGTTTGATCTCTTACAAATATTGAGTGATGGAAAAGCAGAAGTTAATTTTTTTAACATCGTTTTGAAATATTCTTATTTTTAGAGGGGAAAAAAGCCCTCAATTTTGGAGGTTGGATTTTGACATGCCATTAATTACTTTTCTCTTTTAGGTTTACAGGTACATACATTACACCCCTATTTCTACAAAGCTTGGCTATTAGAGCATTATGAACATTAATGACCTCAAACTCACGTTGTCCAAAGCTGGGCAAGAGCACCTACTACGTTTCTGGAATGAGCTTGAAGAAGCCCAACAGGTAGAACTTTATGCAGAGCTCCAGGCCATGAACTTTGAGGAGCTGAACTTCTTTTTCCAAAAGGCCATTGAAGGTTTTAACCAGTCTTCTCACCAAAAGAATGTGGATGCACGAATGGAACCTGTGCCTCGAGAGGTATTAGGCAGTGCTACAAGGGATCAAGATCAGCTCCAGGCCTGGGAAAGTGAAGGTACTGGGCATGTACATATTTCTTACTGAAGTTTATTTGAGATATACTAAAATTGTTCAGGTAGCTGGATCATGTCACTAATATTTTGATTCATACTACATTAAACCAGGTGACCTAGCAGAAAGTGACAAAATTGTCTTTTTATTTTTGATGCTCCATTTAAGGCTTCTCTCATTCAAGTCTTAATTTGCCTCCAGTCTCTTTCCCTCCTCAATTTCCATACTTCTGCTAGATTTCTTTTCCTGAAGCACAAGTTAAATACTTAAGTTTAAGCTGGCTTAATTTTTTTTTTTTTTAAGACAGAGTCTCACTCTGTTGCCCAGGCTGGAGTGCAGTGGGGCGATCTCTGCTTACTGCAACCTCCACCTCCTGGGCTCAAGTGATTCTCCTGCCTCAGCCTCCCAAGTAGCTGGGATTATAGGCATGCACTACCACGCCTGGCTAATTTTTGTATTTTTAGTATAGATAGGGTTTCGCCATGTTGGCCAGCATGGTCTTGAACTCCTGACCTCAAGTGATTTCGCCTGCCTTGGCCTCCCAAAGTGTTGGGGTTACAGGTGTGAGCCACTGCACCCAGCCCAGCTGGCTTAATCTTTAAACCTGCCCTAACCTGATCCTAACCCATATTTCCAATCAACATTTTAGCTGAACCAAATAATTCACCTTTCCCTGAACATGATACCATGCCTTCCCTGCTTTTGCTCATGTTTATCCTTAGCTTGATGTGCCCTTTGCCCTTTCTCTACCTAGCTAGGTCACCTTGTAAGGTCATTTCTTGCAGTTGTGCAGTGCAGTAGTTCTGCCAGTTGGGGAACTTACACTCATTCATTAAGGTTTACCACACATAATATTTTATCTATGACCTTTTCTTTTGTGTCCCAAGTTAGAATTAGTTGTTCATGCTTTTATTTCATTCTAGCTTATCATAAGAGTTCTTCCTCAATAAATTGTAAATTCTTGAAGAACAGCCCATGTACTAGTTGTCTCTGCATGTTACGTAGCATTTAGAACAAGAGTTTTATAGTTATAAGTTGATCAATAAGTGTTTGTTGAATTGCCCCAATGCTTTTCATTCTAAAGCATGTAAAAAAATCTTTCCCCTTAACCTAATACTAATTTGTGCTTTTGAGAATGGCAAAATAGCTCAACTGTAGCTTTTGGTGGAGTTGAAAGCTGTGTTTTTTATAATCTATTACTCCTCTGTAAGTAAAATGTTGACTAAATATTGTAGCTGATTCCCTCAGTGTTGGTACGTGATCCTTGTCAAATCTGGGCCTCATTTTCTCAACTGTGAATGAGAACTTGGGCAAATACTTTCCTTAGCTTTTTAAGACATTATTTTATTGCAAAAATAATATTGAAATAACAGATTGCCCATAATCTCATCAAAGCTATATTTTTATTTGCTCACATTACCACCCAGTACTTGATTGTGTACATATTTTTTTGTTTCTTTGTGGTTTTTTTTGAGACAGCCTCGCTTTGTTGCCCAGGCTGGAGTGCAGTGGTGTGATCCTCACTCACTGCAACTTCGCCTCTTAGGCTTAAGCAATACTCCTGCCTCAGCTTCCCGAGTAGCTGGGATTACAGGTTCGTACCACCATGCCCGGCTAAGTTTTTGGTATTTTTAGTAGAGATGGGGTTTCACCATGTTGGCCAGACTGGTCTCGAACTCCTGACCTCAAGTGATCCGCCCACCTGGGCTTCTCCAAGTACTGCGATTACAGGTATGAGCCACCGTGCCCGGGCAGATTGTATATATATTTGATTTCATAGATGTGTAGTAATACTATACATACAATCTTATAGTCTATATTTACAACATGGCTATTTTTATTTTGTTTTCCACTCTTTGGCATCCCCTTACCCCCTGTAAAAAGAAAGATTACTGGCATTATCAACCTGCTGTATACCTCTCTCTGTCTTTCTCCAGGCTGACAAATTTACTGATTTTCAAAGGGTGTTCCAAAGAACCCAAGGGTTTTCACTGTTGGGGAAGCTGCCTCTTATAGGGAGGGAGGGAGCAGATACTAAACTGGTAGGTCTCCAACCCCTTTATCCTCTACTATGAGTAGTTCTGCCTTTTTCTGTTCTGTGTGTTTGATCTTTACATGAGGTTTTATTTAAAAGAGTTTAGAAGTTTAAAAACAGTTTGAAAATAATTGGATCTTCTTCAAGGAGGTGCTTTTCAGATGTAAAATGCTTGGTAGTAGCTAACCTAGCTTTTTACTTAGGATAGGGCTCTGCCACTAAGATGTGAGAGAATGATGCCTAGGTATGTCCTTGTGAATGAAGAGTTTGATACCATGACTTCTATTACTTTGGATTCACTAATCCTTCCCTTCTTCCCTGGGTTTCAAAAAGGCTACTATTCCAAACCAAAAGCCACACAGGCCTTTCTTTACCCTCTAGTATCCCAGTTGCCTATATTTTTCCTGGGGATTTTAAGGGGATGAAGTCTTAGTAGTAACTCTTATGGAAAGTCAACACTTTGACCTTGTTGGGGAACATAAGCCACAATTAAGGTATCCTATAATTTGAGTCTTCTTTATGTCCTTTTTGTTGGACTATGTGGAGCTAGTCTACATTTATGACTTTTCATGTAAACTAAAATCCGGAACTATTAGAACCAAGTATAGCATAACACGGTGCAAACTTCCTTTTGGCTTAGTGTCAAAGGAAAGATATTTATCTGTAGCTTAAACAGTAAGGGTGGAGAAGGAGACTTTATGTTGACATTATATCCTTTTCACTTAGCCAGAAACTACCGTGTGTCTGCAAATTCATAACAAAATGAAGTTTCTGCAGTAAGTTATCAAAGCGAAGAGAAGCCATTGTGAAGATCATGGCATTGTATTTCAGGTAGTAGGAAGATCCTGGTAATTGTATCAGGGACAGTTTTTACTTCCCCACACCCCCACCTCCTCAGAATGGGGGAATGAAAGCATTGTCCAGTAATTGCAAAGTATCTGGTGGTTATTCAGATGATAATGGACATTTTTACAACTGGAGTGGAAAATTATTTATTTCTGAAGGTCGAATATAAGTGACCACTGTACTCCTTGTTGAAGAGAGATCTTGCTTTATTTCTTGAAGTTTTCTGGGCAGTTGTAGAAAATGGAATGTAAAGGAGCAACTAGAAAATCTTTATTTTACAAAGCTGAGATCTTGAAAGAGAAGTAATTATAAGCTTTGAGAATGCTGTATTAGTAAAGATACACTGGGAAAACCTGTTTGCTTGATAAAAATTCCCATTCTTTATTAAAACAAATGCATGCTTATTTGAACACAGATCTACCAATTTTATATTACAATATCTAATTAGTATTCAGTCTTAGCTTTTTTTGCCTATGAGACATTTTCCTATTAATCATAATGGTGCTTCTCTACCATATAGCACTATAGTAAAGTAAGTGGATTATTTAGAAGAAATGCATTCTTAACATTATCTCCTCTACATTTTTTGAAATCTAGGGTACTGATGTTTTTAATAGATTTGTTTTATTTTAAAAGTAATACAGCCGGGCATGGTGGCTCATGCCTGTAATCCCAGCACTTTGGGAGGCCAAGGCAGGAGGATCATGAGGTCAGGAGATCGAGACCATCCTGGCTAACACGATGAAACCCCGTCTGTACTAAAAATACAAAAAATTAGCCAGGTGTGGTGGCAGGTGCTTGTAGTCCCAGCTACTCGGGAGGCTGAGGCAGGAGGATGGTGTAAACCCAGGAGGCGGAGCTTGCAGTGAGCCAAGATCGTGCCACTGTACTCCAGCCTGGTTGACAGAGCGAGACTCCGTCTCAAAAAAAAAAAAAAAATACTTATTTTAGAGAAATTGGAAAATACTAAAAATTACAAAGGAAAAAATACTAATCTCTCTGATTCCACCATACAGAGATACTCACTAGTAATATTTTACAGTCTTTTCTTTCACACACACACATATGCATATATTGGGATTGTGTATAGTTTTGTAGCCTGCACAAGAATTTATCATGAAAAATGTCAAGGATATTTTGAAACAAATATTTAGTGGCAAATTTAGTATAGTGAACCCCCACATAAGCCCCCTTGATTAAAAATTATGAAAGTTTTGCTCCTTTTGCTTTCTCTCTCCCTCTTTTTTTTCCCCTTTGCTGCAGTATTTTAAGGCAAATCCCAAACATCATGTTATTTTTATCCTCATATAGTTTGGTATCTATGTCTAAATATATGGGTGTTTTCTTACTAATCACATGCCATTATTATACCTAATGAAATTCATCTAATGTAATCTCTGCTATCAAAAACTGGTTCAGATAGAGATTTTCCTGATTAGTCTGCTTTTTGTGCTTACTATTTTGGGGAAATATTGTAGTTTCTTTCAGCTATAACGTGATTAAAAATTAAAGACTTAAATTATTCTCTCTAACTTTCTTGGATAGCTTTCCTTTATTCCTACCAGTTGAGTAGCCTGTTTACCCAACTCCACTCATCCTGGAGTTCTGATAATTTAAATGAAAGTTCTGACAGTGCTTTACTTCAAAAGGACCTGTGCTATCTTCCTTGTTAAAGTGTATAGGAGGAACTAGTCTAAGTAGGAAGTTATCCAGGAAGCATTTGACCTCTGACAGGCCACTGTAAACTTTTCTCTCTGTTTCTTGTGAATGTTATCAGAAAAAGTGCTTAGATTCTCTTGGGCCCACAATGCATGACTCTCCAAGGAGAGAGATACTCCAGCCCTAGAAATGTGTCAGTCTGGCTTTCTTTTTTTTTTTTTTTTTCTAACTTCTGATTTTTTTGTTTGTTTGTTTGTTTTTTGAGGCGGAGTCTCACTCCGTTGCCCAGGCTGGAGTGCAATGGCATGATCTCGGCTCACTGCAACCTCTGCCTCCCAGGTTCAAGCCATTCTCCTGTCTCAGCCTCCCCAGTAGCTGAGATTATAGGCGCCTGCCACCACACCCAGCCAATTTTTGTATTTTTAGTAGAGACGGGGGTTTCAACATGTTGGCCCGGCTGGTCTTGAACTCCTGACCTCAAGTGATTTGCCTGCCTTGGCCTCCCAAGTGCTGGAATTACAGGTGTGAGCCACTGCACCTGGCCGCTTTTTAAAATTTCAATTTCAGTTTTGCCTGTGTTGAGTTCCCTTGTGTAGGAAAATTATTAACCCTTATGTCTTATCATGGAGAGATAGAAAGGGTGATACAGTGTTGAACTTTTCAGTGTTTTTCAGTATTTCTGCAGAGGTAGCTTTAGGATAGAAATTTATAATTTCCTAATTGTCACATGGGTTTAAATACATTTATATTTAGTTAACATTTTTCAGGTAGGTGCTGTGCTGCCCATATAAAATTTATGTTATGACAAAAGCAGTCCCAAAAAGCTTATTGAATTTTATTGGGCCACTTAATTCAAAACAGCATTTTATCTGTCATCATAAGACAGATACTAATTTATGTGTTACATACTTTTGATAAACATTGCAACTTTATCGTAGTAACAGCTGAAGTAGATGAGTACTGAGTACTTCAGCCAGTGTACACACAATTTGATACTGTGAACAATAGCTGTAGCTGCATTTCATTTGTGAATTACAGCTGGCCTTGATTCTCCAGGAACTGCTGCCTTTTCTCTTGTTTTTCACTGTTTGCTCATAAGTGAGATGTGTAAACAGGAAGAAGTTAATGAAAAGCCTTTTTATTGCAAATATATGTGGATTGTGTTATAATTCATTATAATAGTTGTGGTTAAATAGAGATGAGATGTAAATGGATATCTACCTGGTAGTGTACATCTGATTGGCATCATCTCAGTGCCACTGTTAATTGGTGACTTGACTGGTTATCAGGTTCGGAGATGGAAAGAAGCACTAAAGAGCGAACAGGAGTTTAGGAAACAAACACATGCCATTTATCTGAATAAAGAATGAGGCCACTGTGAGCTGCTGGTTAGCAAAACTTTAAATGTGAAACAACTGGAGAGTAGGAATGAAGCAGTAATTTAGGGAACCCATCTAAGGAAGAGAAAAGTTTATACAGGGCTATTTTCATACCTGGTTAGACCTATAGAAAGCACTGAATTGATGTTGAATGCCATCAGGTGAGCAGGAGCTGAGACATGGAGCTGGCTCTGGGAGTGTAGCTTTTACCTTTTTCAGGTCAGTTAGCTGAGGGAAATAACTTTCCTGGGACTGAGAGTGAAAGTAAGAAGTCAGGAAGAAGGTTGGCACCATGTTAAGAGTAAAACAACTTAAAACACATGTGCCATATGAAGAAAATGTACTGTATAAAAAGAACAGAGATCTCTGTGTCCAAAATGTAGGTATTTGGCACTTCTTTTGAAGATGTTCAGAAATATTTTTTATTATAACACCTTTGATGGTATGCAAGTGTCCAGACAGGAGTTCTTTATCTGCATTTCGAAAATGGTACAAAACCTGACCTGAATAGACATGACTATTTGTCAACTTTATTTATCCCACTTAATGTGATTATAGGGTGCTGTTTCATATCTGCTGGGGACATATATAATTATAATATAGCATTTTATATATGTACTATAGTCCTTTTATAAATTTTGAAGAGTTCTGCGTTCTGAAACAAATCTGACCCATGGGTTTAGGTAAGAGATTGTGGACTCATATTTTAAAACAATGCTTTGTAGGTGACAGCAGAATTAAATTTATTTTCTAGAAACCATAGTTTATTTGATATAATTCAGGGAATAACCAAATATAAAACAGTTTTCAAATGTCTTGAAAGGTTCCCTGTTCCCTTTAAATTTCTTCATCTCAGTTTTTGTTATATAGTGGTTTATGGGTCTTGCTTAAGGCACATACAAACTCAGAATGGCTGTTAAAAATTTCAGTGTTTGGGAAGTTTTGGAGAATGTTGGCTCTTCTTGCTCAACAGTTTTTTCATTTAGGATGGTGGGTAAGACAGACTAAAAAAAAAAGGCAGCACAACCTCTGGTGGCAGGGTGGTGTGGTGGTGAAGAGGCCCTGGAGTCAGGTCCTAATCCTGATTCACATTTACTAGCTATGTGACCCTGGGCGAGACTCTTAACTTCTCTGAGTTCATTATCTCTAAAGTGGTGAAAATTACACAGTAACTGCCTCTTAGATTATAGTTACTATTTTGGGTTCTATTTTGGTACACCTGATTTTATGTTCTTATTTTCAAACTCTGATGAGGTACAATTAAATGCTATGGAGTTAATGAGGACAATTCTGGTTTTAGGGAAGGAAGAAAGAAGATTTAACTCTCAGGTAGCTAAGGTCAGCTTCATATCAAAGGTGAAAATTATGAAAATACATAATGTGCTGTTGGGTTTTTAAATTGAAAAAATAGCAGGAATAGGCTGGGCAGGGTGGCTCATATCTGTAATCCCAGCACTTTGGGAGGCTGAGGTGGGCAGATCACTTGAGCCCAGGAGTTCGAGACCAGCCTGGGCAACATGGTGAGACCCCTGTCTACTAAAAATACAAAAATTAGCTAAGTGCGCTGGTGTGCACCTGTAGTCTCAGCTGCATAGGAGGCTGGGGTGGGAGGATCACTCGAACCCAGGAGGCAGAGGTTGCAGTAAGCCAAGGTTGTGCCACTGCACTCCAGCCTGGGTGACAGTGTGAGACTCTGTCTCAAAAAAAAAAAGAAGAAATAGCTGGAATGATTGCTGAATAATGTTCTTGGACTATACTTACTAATAAAGGAAAAATAGAGTCAGAACTGGCTCTAAATTTATAATGGAGTTATTTTTTTCTTTTCTTTTCTTTTTTTTTTTTTTTTTGAGACGGAGTCTCACTTTGTTGCCCAAGCTGGAATGCAGTGGCACGATCTCAGCTCACTGCAGCCTCCGCCTCCTGGGTTCAAGCAGTTCATCTGCCTCAGCCTCCTGAGCAGCTGGGATTACAGGCATGCACCACCACACCCAGCTAATTTTTGTATTTTCAGTAGAGACGGGGTTTCACCATGTTGGCCAGGCTGGTCTTGAACTCCTGACCTCAGGTGATTTACCCACCTTGGCCTTCCAAAGTGTTGAGATTACAGGTGTGAGCCACTGCACCTGGCCGGGTTTATTTTTCTTTATGTTGTTGACCTACTAGTGTATTAGCTTTAAGAAAACCCAATATGTCAAAAACAAAGCACAAAGTTGGTAAATGAAATAAACCCACATTACCTAAGGATTTTAAAATAATTGATAGTTGCCATCACTGACTGCGTCGTCTGGCTTAGCCTATAATTGTGGCCAGTGGCCAGGTTTGTTCACAGAATTTCTAAGAATTCTAATGAAAGTATGAAACTCAGAAAACAAGAACGAAACTGTTTACCATGGTTTTAATTTTATAGTTTTTCTAGCTTGCCAGAGACCCAATTTCCACATAGCCTCTTCTCACAAGCTACTCTGCCTTATGGTACTGAGACTGTCCACTTTTGAATAATAAGATGGGTCTTAGGAATGGATTATGGCAAGATTTTTTTTTTTTTAATTCAGACTGAGAGCTCTTTTGTAGCTTTTATAGTTACATTTATTTGCATTTGGATCTCAAATCATCTTGAATTTATTTTGGTTTGAAGAATAACATTTTTATTCAAACATTATGCTTGATGACTATTTATTGCTGAATATTCAACTGGCAAAAATTGACAGGCTTCCAGACCAAAGAAATAAATCAGTAATGAAGATAGTCTGAGTCTTACATTCTTCTTAGCTGGTATAGATGGCCCATTTTTTAAAAAGGCATTTTATTTATTTATTTATTTTTGAGACAGAGTCCCGCTGTGTTGCCCAGGCTAGGGTGCAGTGGCACGATCTCAGCTCACTGCAGCCTCCGTCTCCCAGGTTCAAGTGATTCTCCTGCCTCAGCCTCCTGAGTAGCTGGGATTACAGGTGCTTGCCACCGTGCCTGGCTAATTTTTGTATTTTTAGTAGAGATGGGATTTCGCCATGTTGGTCAGGCTGGTCTTGAACTCCTGACCTCGGGTAATCCTCCCGCCTTGGCCTTCCAAAGTGCTGGGATTACAGGCGTGAGCCACTGTGCCCAGCCTACAAAAGGCGTTTTAATAAATTAATATATATTTACATATAATAAAATGCATTAGTTGTACCTTTTGATTTTGTTTTGTTTTTGAGAAAGAGTTTTACTGTCACCCAGGCTGGAGTGCAGTGGTGCAGTCTTAGCTCACTGCAACCTCTGCCTCCTAGGTTCAAGCAATTCTCATGCCTCAGCCTCCTGAGTAGCTGGGATTACAGGCATGCACCACCATGCCTGGCTAATTTTTGTATTTTTAGTAGAGATGGAGTTTCGCCATGTTGGCCAGCCTGGTGTGGTCTGGAACTCCTGGCTTCATGTGATCTGCCTGTCTCGTAGTTTTATGTTTTTGTATTTTGTTTTTTTTTTTTGAGTCTCGCTCTGTCACCCAGGCTGGAGTGCAGTGGCGCGATCTCGGCTCACTGCAACCTCCGCCTTCTGGGTTCAAGCAATTCTCCTGTTTCAGCCTACAGGTGTGTGCCACCATGCCTGGCTAATTTTTATATTTTTAGTAGAGACAGGTTTCGCTATGTTGGCCAGACTGCTCTCAAACTCCTGACCTCAGGTGATCCACCTGCCGCGGCCTCCCAAAGTGCTGGAGTGAGCCACTGTCCAGCCAATTTTATGTTTTAACAAATGTATACTCACGTAGCTACCATCCCAATCAACATAAGCACATTTCCATCACCATACAAAGACTTCTGATGCCCTTTGCAGGTGATACCCCAAGCGCATTCTGTTGAGTTGGGTTTCAAACCAGAAATCCTAACTTCAGAGCCTGAGTTCTCGCCCATTATACTTTACTACTTTCCTAACTGAAGATTTATTTTCTTTATGTAGCTTACCTGCTATATTTGCATGCTCATTGATTATTTATTATAGGCTGGAGGTAATTTGATAGTGTCATCATTCATCCCGAAACTTTGGTATTTTCTTTACTCTGTCTTTTTTTTGACTTGCCACATCAATTAGTCATCAAATTTTTGCGAAACATTTATTATATCTCTCGGTTCTTACCTCCTGACATTATCAGCAAAAAATATTTAGTTCACTAAAATGCATCGTTCATTGTTTGGTGTTCGGTTGGGTTATATAAATTTAATTGTTTTAATAATAGAAATGTTTTTATTAGCAAGGTAGTCATCCACGATTCTATGTAGATTCTGTATTCTCTGTGCCTTACGTTGATAAGCCCCTATCTTGTTATTTCAGTCCCATGTGATCAATAAAAGCAGCAAGCAGGCTTTGGTCCAAGCCAGATTCTCCACCACTAGCCTGTACCCAAAATCAGCAAATGGCCTCAGGACAAGACAGCTGTATAGCCTTACTTCCTTTTTGATGAGTCTTTGCTGCTACCTATGTATATTTAATACTAAAGTGTTGAATTGTAGAGGTTTTGTGATACAAGTGTTTTCTTTTCTAGGACTTTTCCAGATTTCTCAGAATAAAGTAGCAGTTCTTCTTCTAGCTGGTGGGCAGGGGACAAGACTCGGCGTTGCATATCCTAAGGGGATGTATGATGTTGGTTTGCCATCCCGTAAGACACTTTTTCAGATTCAAGCAGAGCGTATCCTGAAGCTACAGCAGGTTGCTGAAAAATATTATGGCAACAAATGCATTATTCCATGGTAAGATACGTCTCATTATTGGAGTGTGTCTGAACATATATTGTTTTATAATATTCAAAATGCATATATACTTTATGCACTCACAGACATATTTCTTGTTACTGTTGATTTTCTTGGGAGGTATAATTTACTATATATGTTAAAAGTGCTATATATTATTGCTTGATAGATGACCACTATTGACTTAATAAGCAATATATACTCACCGCCAACTTTTACATTCCTGACTGAGTACCTTAAAGTACTCAGTGAGCTCTCTGCATCTAGAAACTCATATTTTCAGGTACCAGGTTATTTAGCTCTCCCACACCCATGCGCCTCTTCCGCATACACACCAGGTGAAAGCTGCACTGACTTCTGTGCTATGGGCCATACTTGTGTCCTCAGCCTCTACTAGTATGCTGTATTCTCAGGTTCTCAGGGGCTCCACCTTGGTCAGTGTTAGTTCCTTCCCTTTTTTTTTTTTTTTTTTTTTTTTTTTTTTTGAGACAGGGTCTGTCTCGGTCACCCAGGCTGGAGTGCAGTAGTGCAGTCTTAGCTGACCGTCACCTTTGCCTTCTGGTCTCAAGCCATCCTCCTACCTCAGCCTCCCCAGTAGCTGGGAATACAGGCACCTGCCACCATGCCTGGCTAATTTTTTTTTCTTTTTGAGAGGGAGTCTTACTTTGTCCCCAGGCTGGAGTGCAGTGGCGCGATTTCGGCCCACTGCAACCCCTGCCTCCCGGGTTCAAGCGGTTCTCCTGCCTCAGCCTCCTGAGTAGCTGGCATTACAGGCACACACCACCACACCTGGCTAATTTTTGTATTTTTAGTAGAGATGGAGTTTCACCATGTTGGTCAAGCTGGTCTTGAACTCCTGACCTTGTGATCTGCCCGTCTCAGCATCTCAAAGTGCTGAGATTACAGGCATGAGCCACCGCACCCGGCTATTTTTTTTTGTTTTTTTTATAGAGACAGGGTTCTGGTCTCAAATTCCTGAGCTCAAGTGAGCTGCCCCCCTCGACCTCCCAAAATGCTGAGATTACAGGTGTGAGCCACTATGTCCAGCCAGTGTTAGTTTCCTAAGGACCAAGAGATTACAGAAGATCCTGCTCTGCTTTTTATAAGTTTTTGGTTCAGCTCTTTAGTCTCTTTCCCCGAGCAGTTTTGGAAGTTAGCATGTTTTGAGGGGAAAATCAGCTGTGTGTTTGAGGTCCCCCAAGTCCCTATCTTGTTATTTCAGTCCCATGTGATCAACAAAAGCTCTACTAGTTTCTGTCCCCGAGCAGCAGCCTTTGGTCCAAGCCATATTCACCACTAGCCTGTACCCCAAGTCAGCAGGTGCCCTCAGGACAAGGCAGCTGTATAGCCTCAGTTCCCTTTTGAAAGATTCTGTCTCTGGACTTACAATCTATTTTGCCTCTGAAGTTCTCTGATGCCTTTAAAAAACTGCTTTTTGTAATTTTCGTAGCTCTTCTAGCTCTTCTCACCACGAGTACTGGCCTGCTGTGAACTGTTTTGTTCATCTTGATGCCTGTGGGGAATTTGGAGGAACATCTGTGTTCTAAGTGGCCAACATTCTACTTACAGCCCTGGCCTCCTACTATCATGTTGAATTTTCTTCTCTCTCTTTCTTCCATCTCTTCACAACTCAATTTCTGTTCTTATGCAGAGAAGTTTAGCCACTTCTTCTGTCATCTTCTAAATATATCCAAACCTTTTGTACCTAAAGTTCAAAATATCCAGGATAATTTGTTAAACAGACAGATACCTCCTGTGGTATGAAATTATACCATTTTGTTTATTCATTTAACAAATATTAATTGAGTGTCTTTTTCTAGGTATTGAGGATAAATCAGTAACCCAAACAGGCAAAAATCCCTTCTTATATGTAGTTTACATTCTAGTAAGGGCAAAAGCTACCACAGTCACTAATTATAGTTTTAGAAATAATTTTTTTCTTTTTTGCCACACTAGCATGGGTTGGATTTTTGTGACAACAGAAAGTATAATTATACTTTTATGATTTTTAAATGGAGGGTTAGCAGAGCCCAGACTGCATTTCAGATTTCAATAAAAAGAACCCCAAGAGATCATTAAACTGTATTGCAGTTACCCTTTTCTTCCTGTTTATTCAGAATAGGCATTTCAAATTTAAAATACACTTTCACAGAGTTCTAAAATGTTTACTTAAGCCATTTTATAGGTTCTCTTGAAGGAGGTGTGTTTAGTATGTTTAATATTGTAAGTAGATTTATTTCATACGTAAGAGTTGATGAAATTACTGAAAGAAATTCCCCTTGGGTAACAGCTAATGAATGTGTCTTACCCAGGAAAAATATGAAGGAAGTCAAAATAATAAGCAAGTGCTTTCAAAGATATCTTTAGCTTAGGAAATAGACGAAACTTTATTTTGCCCTAGTCCACCTAGCACGGTTGCTTAGAAGATCTGATTTTCTCTTGTAAGGTATATAATGACCAGTGGCAGAACAATGGAATCTACAAAGGAGTTCTTCACCAAGCACAAGTACTTTGGTTTAAAAAAAGAGAATGTAATCTTTTTTCAGCAAGGAATGCTCCCCGCCATGAGTTTTGATGGGAAAATTATTTTGGAAGAGAAGAACAAAGTTTCTATGGCTCCAGGTTTGTAATCATCCTTATTTAATGGTGACTAGAAAGGATAACAACATAAATCATCAAATGTTGATTTTCTTTTTAACATGGTGATTTTGATATTTAAACATTAATATATATGTGTTTTTTGCAGCTTGGAAATGATTTAAAAAGATGAAAATGCCCGTTGGTGTAATGGATACACTTTTATGCTTGTTGTGGGTGTCTGCTCTATGGAGCAATTTGAGGAGCATTCAGGGTATTCTTTCTCTATAACAAGTATTTTATTTTTTATTTTTTACAATTTTTGAGACAGAGTCTCACTCTGTTGCCCAGGCTGGAGTACAGTGGCGCAATCTCGGCTCACTGCAACCTCTGCCTACTGGGTTCAAGTGATTCTCCTGCCTCAGCCTCCTGAGTAGCTGGGATTACAGGCACGCGCCACCATGCCCAGCTAAGTTTTTGTATTTTTTTGTAGAGAAGGGCTTTCGCCATGTTGGCTAGGCTGGTCTCAAACTCCTGACCTCAAATGATGTACCTGCCTTGGCCTCCCAAAGTGCTGGAATTACAGCCGTGAGCCACCGCGCCCAGCCATATAGCAAATATTTTATGTATACTGCAATGTTCATGGCTACATTGTTTATTATAGTGAAAACTTGGAAACCATATGCTATTTAATAAATGAGAGGCTAAATTATAGTTTAAAAATAGCATTAATTCTTAAATAGCATTAAAATAATTGGTGGCATTAAATTCTAAACATTATTTCAGCAAGTTAAGTAAGAGAATGCAAAATGAAAAACTGCATACAGTCTATGATTAGGGCCACTGCTTTGCACAATTCCAGGTAGTGCATACACATCATGGTTTGTTAATGGGACCCACTAGAATTGGACAGTGTATTGCCTGTGTAGCCACATTCAGTGACCCTGAGTACAACCTCAGTCTATAAAAATAGACCTACTGACAGATTTATGTTTATGAGAATCTGTACTTGGAGGAAAGGCTGAAAAGAAATTAATAGTATTAACAGTGGTGCTCTCTAGATGTAGGCTTTTATTTCATCTTAATTATTTTGGTTAATGGAAGAGTTACTATTCTTAGCTGTATTTTGTGAAGTTGTCTAATTTTTCATCACTTAAGCTATGGTTAAGGTTGTTATTGGACAAAGTACATTAAAGCAGCATTATAAATAGATGGAGAAAGAAGAGGCTTTATTTATATCTCGTTTAAATCACCTTAGGCCTCCATATCAATCTGTTTTTTTAACAAATGATTTGATACAAAATACTTACGTATTTTTGAGATGGGTGAAATTGTCAGCATTGGGGTTATAAATACAGAGCTAACTTGAATCATACAAATGTTAATGAAACTTGAAATGTTATGAAATAATCATTGCCTGATAAAGGATTTTATATCATACAATATATTACTAAAAGGGGCTGAGTTAAAAAGAAAGATATGGTTTTTGGGGTTGCCTGATCTTACATTGATAGTGTTATTCTCTGGATAGTTAATGCTAAGTAACCTTCAAAATCCTATAGTTCAATTTTTTTGACACCTGATTCCTTCCTTATGGATATTCAGTTTTCTTGCCTTTGTAAAGCGAATTTTGTTTTTTAGGGATCTTAACCCTAGTTTGGAAACAATCTTTGTGTTACCTTTATGATGGATTTTGATATGCTACTAATGGGCTATTTTGTTTTCCAGATGGGAATGGTGGTCTTTATCGGGCACTTGCAGCCCAGAATATTGTGGAGGATATGGAGCAAAGAGGCATTTGGAGCATTCATGTCTATTGTGTTGACAACATATTAGTAAAAGTGGCAGACCCACGGTTCATTGGATTTTGCATTCAGAAAGGAGCAGACTGTGGAGCAAAGGTAATGCCTTTCTCAACTATGGTGAGGCTTTTGATGGTCTTGCTCTGTCATATACGCATTCCAGAAGTCAAACCAAGTTTATTAGGGTGATTTGAATATTTTAGAACCATTTATCTCTCTAAAGTAACTAAACGGTCCCACACCCACTTTTTTTCTTAAATTGGCAAGACTTGATTCTAGATGTAATGTTGTATACTTATCACAGGTAAGAGTTTAAACTATGTGAGGAGGATTTGTAAGTACTTCGGAAAGTGGTCATCACTAGACCTGGGTTGGATTCATTAATATCAAATTGTGTTCAATCAGATTAACCCAACTTTTTTCCTGTGACAAAGTTATTGGAGTAGGTAAGGAAAATGTGGTAGAAATAACAGATTTAGACTTCCTAAGTCAGGTGACAAGGTATCTTACGATGTTCTTTCGAATAAGATAGAAATATGCAAGTTGGGCATAAGGACAATTAAAGAGGTGAATAACTGCTTGAATGACCACACACAGACTGATACTAAGTTGGAGGGAGGTTTGTAATGATATGTAATGAGTCTGTTCTTGGCATTGTACTTTTCAACACGTTTTTAGTTGTATAGGTGATGGCATGTCTTTATGGTAGCAAAAAATATATATATTATAGCTAGAAATAAAATAGACAGCAAACATGCAAACCTTTAAAAACACTTTGGAAGACCTAAAAATACTGATATAAACATTACTAGAAGTCTGTATAGGTATCCATTCTCATCAAAAACAGTGTAATAAAAGCCCAGTCAAAATCTCAGTGAGACTATTTTGGGGACACTTGACAGAATGATTGCAAAGTTTAGAATAAACATGTAAAGGTGGCCAGGAAAATGTTGAAAAAGGATGAAGATAAGGGAGGAAAGGGGGCCGAAGACCATCTATCAAGCATTAAAAGGAATTGTAAATTAAAAGAGTGTGGTACTGGAACCAGAATAGAATGACAGATTAATGAAAATAGAGTAGGTCAGTCAGAAACACATCTGTGTATGTATAAGAAGAACACATTTTATAAAATATGGCATTTTGACTCAGTGGAGGAAATGAATGAAATAACTGGCTAACAATAAAGTAAGATCTCTCTGTCAAAGCTCATACAAATATCAGTTTTAGGTGGATTACACAGTTAAATATTTAAAAATGAAATCATAAAGGTATTAGAAGAAAATTAGAAGAATTTTATAATTGTGATGCAAAAGGAAGACCTTTCTACTGAAAGCAGTAACCATATAGGCTTCTGACAAAAACAAATTCGATTTCAAATTATTTTGAAATATCTGTATTTAAAAAGAAGATCTGCCAAAGAAGTTATTTCTCTCAAAGTTAATCTAGAAATTTTATGCAAAGTCTCATTGGAAGCCGAAATCTTAAATTTACTGATACAAGTTTTGAGAGATTAAGCTGATAGACCTAATAAGCCTCCTCTGGACTCTGAAAATAAGTGTTGGTTTAGTTCAGTTATTTAAGACTTCTATCTGTTCCAATACTCTGTGAGTATCTGAACTGTATTTTTTTTTTTTTTAGCCACAGACTCACTATGTCATCTAGGCTGGTGTGCAGTGGCAGGATCTCGGCTCACTGCAACCTTTGCCTCCTGGGTTCAGTGATTCTCCTGCCTCACCCTCCCCAGTAGCTGGGATTATAGGCACACGCCTTCCACTTGGTGTCACTCTTTTTTTTTTTTTTTTTTTTTTTTGAGACGCAGTCTTGCACTGTCGCCTGGGCCGGAGTGCAGTGGCATGATCTTGGCTCACTGCAACCTCCGTCTCCCAGGTTCAAGCAATTCTCCTGCCTCAGCCTCCTGAGTAGCTGGGATTATAGGCACCCACCACCAGGCCCAGATAATTTTTTTGTATTTTTAGTACAGACGGGGTTTCACTATGTTGGCCAGGCTGGTCTCGAACGCCTGACCTCATGATCCACACACCTCAGCCTCCCAAAGTGCTGGGATTACAGGCGTGAGCCACCGTGCCCAGCTGGTGTCACTCTTTTTTCCTAAAATAGAAACTTAAAATTGTACTGTTACGAGCTTCAGAACCAATTTAAACTTTATGCAATCAGAGAGTGTTCAACCTGGAAGGGACCCCAGAGATCATCTGGTCAACCCCTTTGATCTCAGAAATGAGAATCCTGAGTTCTAGTACTTTGTTTGTTTATTTATTTATTTATTTATTTGACAGGGTCTGGCTCTGTTGCCTAGGCTGGATTGCAGTGATGTGATCTTGGCTCACTGCAACTTCTGCCTCCAGGCTCAGCAATTCTCCTGCCTCAGCCTCTGGAGTAGCTGGTACCACAGGCGTGCACCACCACACCTGGTTAATTTTTCTGGGTCTTTTTGTATTTTTAGTAGAGACAGGGTTTCACTGTGTTGCCTAGGCTGGTCTTGAACTTCTGACCTCAGGTGATCTACCTGCTTTGGCCTCCCAAAGTGCTGGGATTACAGGCGTGAGCCACTGCACCCGGCCAGAGTTCTAGTACTTTATAAGACTCAGGCTCAAGGTTCTTTATCACATTAACAGAGCCAGGATTAGAGTTCATGTTTCCCAACTTCCTAGTCTTATATTATATTACATTATAGAACCATACTCTTCAGATTAGTTTTTGCTGACAGTTCAAAAATCTTTAAACTGGTGTGCTAACTTTTGTGAGTACACTAATCATGCAAAGATGCAAGTGTTAAGTCACTCCTCTCCATTACCTGTGGGCTCTGTAGGATAAATCCAGACTCAGTCTTCCTTGCAAAGACACTCACTGTTTAGTCCTGTGTCTGGCATGTAATGTAGTAGTCATTCAGTGAATGAATAAGTAAATATTCAGATGGAACCAAAACATGACTAGACTGGCATATATTAAAATCTTTTAGAAATGTTAGAAGCCGTTTACATAATTGCTCCCCTGCCCTTTTAAAATAAGAAAATCAAAGCATTAAAATATGTATCTTAAAGCACCTAAGTTAGGGGATGATTCATACTGTGGTAGTAGAATTATTTGCAGTACTTTATTTTTATTGTATTTATTTATTCTGAGACAGGATCTCACTCTGCCACCCAGGCTGGATATGCAGTGGCATTATCATGGCTTCACTGCAGCCTCGACCTCCTGGGTTCAGGTGATCCTCTCACCTCAGCCTCCTGAGTAGCTGAGACTACAGGCACCCAGCACCATGCCTGGCTAATTTTTGTATTTTTTGTAGAGGTGGGGTTTTGCTACATTGCCCAGGCTGGTCTTGAAATCCTGGGCTCAGGTGATCTGCCTGCCTGAGCCTTCCAAAGTGCTGGGATTACAGGTGTGAACCACTATGCCTGGCCTGCAGTACTTTAATAGGCCCCTGTCTTGGTGCATTAAGTATTTTTTATGGAGTGAAGAACATGAGAAAAGACTGAAAGAGTGAGGTAGTTTGCAAAAGTACAAAGTTAAAAAGGTAGGAACCATTGTTAACTGAAGATCATTTTGTAAAGCAATTATAGTAACTCTGAGGTTAAAGTGTTATTTTGGACTCAGCTTTTCTCTCAGCTCACTGCAACCTCTGCCTACTGGGTTCAAGTGATCCTCCTGCTCAGCCTCCCAAGTAGCTGGGATTACAGGCATGTGCCACCACACCTGGCTAATTTACCATGTTGGCCAGGCTGGTCTCTTAACTCCTGACCTCAAGTGATCCACCTGCCTTGGCCTCCCGGAGTGCTGGGATTATAGGTGTAAGCTACTGTGCCTGGCCCTGGACTCAGTTTTTCTGGATTAAACTTATGAAATATTGAGTACACCTTTTAAGTTTATACTGTATATCTTTTTTTTTTTTTCTGAGATAAGAGTCTTTCTCTTGTTGCCCCAGCTGGAGCGCAATGGCGCAATCTTGGCTCACTGCAATCTCTGCCTCCCAGGTTCAAGTGATTCTGCTGCCTCAGCCTCCTGAATCGCTGGGATTACAGTGCCTACCACCATGCCTGGCTAATTTTTTTTTTTAATTTTCAGTAGAGATGGGGTTTCACCATGTTGGCCAGGCTGGTCTTGAACTCCTGACCTCAGATGATACACCCACCTCAGCCTCCCAAAGTGCTGAGATTATAGGTGTGAGCTACCACGCCCGTTCTATACTTTATATCTTTTCTGTATAATATAAATGGATTCCCACTTCATTCAGTTTACAAATGCTTTCTTCTGTAATGTAGACTTTTAAAATATTTAGAGGTTAATAGTTGCCATAGAAGTAAACCTTTGGGAAATGTAAAATGTGAATATGTATATTTTTATTTTTATGGCTGGTTGGGAGTAGGAGTATATAGTGGTGACTGGAAAATAAACCTGTGTGCGTTAAAAAAAAAAAAGAGAGAGAATAAGGGGAATCTATCCCAAATTCCCTGCCTAGTAAGATACCCACTGTAGGTAGAGTACATGAAGTAAGAGATGGTGATGGGTTGGTAGATAAGAATTGTAAATAGGCCCATGATTGATTTAAATAATTTGCTGCATAATGTTCCCCTTCAGTTTAATCTACTTCCTCGGTAGAAAGTTTCTTTTCATTAAGAACTGTGTTCCTTTCAGGGTGGCAAACAGTGAACCACACAACAGGCTTACTTATCCAGCAGTCCTGCCTCACTGAGCTGGACTCAGTGCCTATATCTCTAATTGCTGTGTAAATGAAGTTCTCAATAGTGGCTTTAGTTTTCTGGATGAGACTGTTACTGACTGTATTTATTTTAAGAAATCAGTTGTTGAAGAAAAGTCTTAACTTTATTAATATAATTTCATGTCTACTTAGGATAGACTTGTCAAATTGGGGACAGAGTTTTAAACATATTTTGAAGCATGCTGAATTGATAATTAGACTGGACAAACAAAACAATACCTTCAAATAGATAGGGATTTTTGAGACAGGGTCTTACTCTGTTGCCCAGGCTCGAGTGGAGTGCAGTGGTGCAATCACGTTTCACTGTAGCCTCAACCTCCCCAGACTCAGGTGATCCTCTTTCCTCAGTCTCCCTAGTAGCTGAGACTCCAGCATGCCACCACGCCTGGCTAATTTTTTTATTTTTTAAATAGAAGCCAGGGTTTCACCTTGTTGCCTAGGTTGACAAATATTTTTTATTGTTTGTTTCTTCGGTTGGATATTTATCTTATCTGAACCTTGATTTTATATTAGTGCATTGCATATAGTTCTTTTATAATTTTCTTCTAAACACTTAAGTCAGTGATGTGTGGGATTAGTGTGGTGGCATACCAAAATCACTTGTGAGGTTTTTAAAAATTACATATTCTTAATTTTCCCTCTGATTTTAGTATACCCTCTTTTCTCAGCTCCCCATCAGCCCAGAGCCATTGATAAATTATCACATCACTGGTTTTCAGAATTATTTTTTTGAAGTATAGAATCACTTATTTCAAACAAAATTGAGTATACAAAACAGATAAATATGGGTGGGTTTTCTAATTAAAGTTGGAGTGGGAGGCTAGTGACCTGCCTGCTCTAAACCCCTTTACCTCCTACTCAGGTCCCTGAAACACAAGGAAAATGCCAAAATTAAAGAAATGCTTTTTTCAAATGAAATATCGGGCAATAGAAAATGAGAGACAAAATGCCTAACTTAGGTCTTTTGTCTTGTGAATCCCAGAGAAATTTCATTTTATTTATTATGAAAGTAATTGAGGTGGTTAAGGATAAATTAAATAAAAAGTACAAGATACATGGGGGATGTTGACTCCTGATGTAATTATTCCCACTCCAATGTGATTTACTCTGTGCTAGATATATGTATATGATGGAATTTCTAGCCCAAGGTTTAGTTAGGTGATAAATAGGAAGGAAATAATATACCTCATTTCCAGTTGGAAAGTGCCTGTCAAGGTATATAAAGATGGATAGTTGATTGTCTAAAGTTAAAGATTCTTCTTGGCTTTATACCTTTTAGTGTAAGCAAAGTTGTAAATGTCATCTTTGACAATGGCAAATCTCCAAAGAAACATTTAATTCAATTTCCTCCTCTACTGTTTTTCTCTGGTGGACAGGTGGTAGAGAAAACGAACCCTACAGAACCAGTTGGAGTGGTTTGCCGAGTGGATGGAGTTTACCAGGTGGTAGAATATAGTGAGATTTCCCTGGCAACAGCTCAAAAACGAAGCTCAGACGGACGACTGCTGTTCAATGCGGGGAACATTGCCAACCATTTCTTCACTGTACCATTTCTGAGAGATGTTGTCAAGTATGGGCAAGATGGGGGCCTTTTAAAATTATATTTATTGTTAATCAGAAACTAAGACACTTGAGAGGGATGCAGACACCCCAAGTCCATATCCCACAGAATTCATCTTTCCTGAGGATCACTTATCAAATGGACATTTATCTCATGTTGTGATTGTTTTTAGTAAGATGTATTGTAAGGTGGGAATCATCGGAGCCCATTCCCCAGCGCATTAATGGGAGGCCAAAGCATTTCTCCCTTCTCACCCTCCCACCCCCAACTATGTGCTAGGTTCTGTTGAAGCAAAGCATAAGAAATGAAACTTTCTTTACCACAGCTGTGAGCTTTTTAAAAATACAGATGTTCACCTTACACCAACTGAATTAGAATTTCAGGAGGTGGGTTCGGGGCATCTATATTTTTAGAAAGCTGCCCACAAAGTTCTAATTCAGCTGATTCCCAGGCTGGCATTTAGAAACTAGTGTGCTAAAGAGTGAAGAAATTACTTGACACCTGCATGAAAATTAGCGGGTAGTGCTACAAAGGATAAAATAAGAGCTATTTTATCCCACCATAGTTTTAAATGAAGGACATTCTCACTATCGATTTCACTTAGCTTTTAGACATTCAAGATGACTTGTCTACTTTTTAAAAAGTTAATATGCATTACTTTAGAATATCAACTCCAGTTCCAAAATATTTCCCATTCTATGCCATTTGTAGCTGTGTTACTGTTTCATCCATAGTAACTTAATGCGTTTTTTAATGTACATATATACAGTTTTAAGGCATTTGTAATGAATACAGTTTTAATGCACACGTACACAGTTTTAGTGGAGACTGTTATTTGATTTTTTTTTAAATATAAAGAGATGATTGGGGGAAAGCTATTCATTTACTATTTAAATATGAACTGAAACTTAAATGCTCTTCACTTTGAAAATCTTAGTATTGGTTGTTGACACATTTGCTCCTGAATGTTGTAAGATTTTCTGGCATTTTAAATCTGGAACGTGATTATATCTTTTCTCCTCCTGCTTCTTAGTGTTTATGAACCTCAGTTGCAGCACCATGTGGCTCAAAAGAAGATTCCTTATGTGGATACCCAAGGACAGTTAATTAAGCCAGACAAACCCAATGGAATAAAGATGGAAAAATTTGTCTTTGACATCTTCCAGTTTGCAAAGTATGCTTTGAATAGTACCAATAAGGTTAAATAAATGTCTTAAAATGCTGCTTTTCACTCTCTTAGGCATGAAACTGTTTTCAGGAAACATTTGATAGCACATATCTCACATGGCATTTTGATTGTGAGTATGTAGTCTAGATTCATTATAGTTCTCTGGAATAAAACCAGGAGTGTGATCTGAGTTGCCTATGAGTACAACTTTTTTTTTTTTTAAATCAACTAGTTTCTGGCTCCTATAAAGTTTTTTTCATATGTATATTAAATATATATATTATATATATATTTTATATATATAATTTATATATTTATATAATATATATTATATATAATATATAAATATTATATATAATATATATTATATATTATATTTAAATATATATAATATTTATATATTATATATAAATTTATAGTTATATATAAATATATATTTATTTATAATATATATAAATATATATTGTTTATATTATATATATAAATAAATATATATTTATTTATTAAATGTGATGGGGTCTTGCTATGTTGAGCAGGCGGGTCTCAAACTTGTGGCCTCAAGCGATCTTCCCATCTCGGCCGCCCAAAGTGCTGGGATTATAGGCTTGAGCCACTACGCCCCGCCTTGGTCTCCTGTAAAGTTGTTAAAGTCATTTATTTTGGATGAGAAACTGAAAAGGTTAAGATAAAGAGTTGTCTCGTTTTGTATTTAGGATATCTTCTTACTGCCCTGTGAATAGATGTTTCAGTAAACATGTTTTTAGATTATATAGCTCTCTATAAAGATCACATTTGATGTTGAGATGCTTGTCTCAGAATTTGACGAGTGCAAAAATGAGAAAGACAAATAAGCTGTATAAAATTAATGCGTGGTGGCTCATGCCTGTAATTCCAGCAGTTTGGGAGGCTGAGGCGGGTGGATGACTTGAGGCCAAGGAGTTGGATACCAGCCTGGCCAACATGGTGAAACCCTGTCTCTACTAACAGTACAAAAATTAGGTGGGCGTGGTGGTGCATGCCTGAAGTCCCAGCTACTCAGGAGGCTGAGGTGAGAGAATCTCTTGAACCCAGGAGGAGAGGTTGCAGTGAGCTGAGATTGTGCCACTGCACTCCAGCCTGGGTGACAGAGTGAGACTCCGTCTCAAAAAAATAAATAAATAAAATGAAATTAATCTTTCCATTTCTAAATCATTTTTTTTGCCTGTTTTTTTTTTTTTCCAGAACAGATACTAATGTGATCTTTGTACATTAAGATTTCTAATCTTTCCGACTTAAGATGAACTGTTCTATAGTTGAGGGGGGAAATGATTTCTCATTTTGCATTGAAAAAGAAAATTTCAGCTTTCTTTAGTCCAAGGGTGAGCAATATTTTATTCATCATTCAGATTGGAATAGGAAAGCCTATTGTTGAGACCAAAGCCTTAGCTATGTTAAAGGGTTAGAAGCTGTGTATGCAGTTTCATAATAAAGAGGTCTTTATATGGTTTCGCTCTAGGAAGTTTGTGGTATATGAAGTATTGCGAGAAGATGAGTTTTCCCCACTAAAGAATGCTGATAGTCAGAATGGGAAAGACAACCCTACTACTGCAAGGCATGCTTTGATGTCCCTTCATCATTGCTGGGTCCTCAATGCAGGGGGCCATTTCATAGATGAAAATGGCTCTCGCCTTCCAGCAATTCCCCGGTAAGTCAGTATCTTTTCTCTTTTGTATGAATCCTTTCTTGGACTTTTCCTCTTGGACTTCTCTCTCTCTCTCTCTCTCTGTATTCCTAGATCTTTTTTAAAAAGCAAAGTTTTGATGTGTGAACAGTTCCTGATGTGAAATAACAGTAGCTTTGCCTATTATAAAGAGAATGATTGTTTTACTTTCTTGTGAAGAGGAGTCTTTCAGATCTCTCTTTTTTTAATTTTTATTTTTTGGAAACATTGCCACCATGACAGCAAAAAGACTTCTACTAAATAATGATCAGAAGATTTTTTTTTTTTTGGTGTGCCATATGGTTAAAGCCCATCAGTAACACACTATACCACAGGGCAAGTCCTTCAGCCACAGAGGATTGTTTGTTGTTGCCCATATATCTGTGGCCTCACCACTATTTTTTTTTTTTTTTTTTGAGACAGAGTCTTGCTTTGTCACCAGGTTGGAGTGCAGTGGCACAGTCTCAGCTCACTGCAGCCTCCACCTCCCGTGTTCAAATCGATTCTCCTACCTCAGCCTCCCAAGTAGCAGGGACTATACAGGCACATGCCACCACACCCAGCTAATTTTTATATTTTTAGTAGAGATGGGCTTTCACTATGTTGACCAGAGTGCTCTCGATCTCCTGACCTTGTGATCCACCCGCCTTGGCCTCCCAAAATGCTGGGATTACAGGTGTGAGCCACTGGGCCCGGCTGACCTCACTACTGTTAATAGTACTGTCTGTGAGACCCACTCATAGCTCCACCACCCCCAGGCTACCTACAAATTGTAGTCCAATGGCAGTTTTCACTGTAGCACTTTCAGGTCACTGAGGAAGGTGTCTAGAAGAGAAGTAAATGTCAGTTACATTCACTGATACTTAGAAATGGCTTTGGTTTTGAGAAGTTAAAAAAAGAAGGTATTGTAGTTATTTAAATCCAAGATAAAGTACTTTTCAGCTAAATCTGTTTTTTTGTTTGTTTGTTTGTTTTTTGGAGACAGTTTCACTCTTGTCACCCAGGCTGGAGTGCAATGGCACAATCTCTGCCCACTGCAACCTCTGCCTCCTGGGTTCATGTGATTCTCCTGCCTCAGCCTCCCAAGTAGCTGGGGTTACACTCGCCTGCCATAAAGCCCAGCTAATTTTTGTATTTTTAGTAGAGACAGGATTTCACCATGTTGGTCAGGCTAGTCCCGAAATCCTGACCTCAGGTGATCCGCCCGCTTTGGCCTCCCAAAGTGCTGGGATTACAGGCGTGAGCCGCCATGTCTGGCCAATCTTTTTTTTTTTTTAAGACAAGGTCTTGCTCTGTCACCCAGGCTGGAGTGCAGTGGCGCGATCTTGGCTCACTGCAACCTTCACTTCCTGGGCTTAAACAATACACCCGCCTTGGCCACCCAAAGTGCTGGGATTACAGGTGTGAGCTATTGTGCTCAGCCTAAATCTTGTATTTTATGATGAAACCTTCACTGGCACCTAGAATTTCCCTTTCTGAATCATCTGGTATATCCGTACTTATGTAAAAAGCATTCTGGCATTTAATTTATATTCCTAACGGATAAGATGGCTGGCTGCAAGAATGCCTCAATAAATGGTAAAATATTGGGCTGGACACGGTGGTTTGTGCCTGTAATCCCAGTATTTTGGGAGACTGAGGCAGGCAGATTACCTGAGGTTCAAGACCAGCCTGGCCAACATGGTGAAACCCTGTCTCTACTAAATATACAAAATTAGCTGGGCATGGTAGCGCATGCCTGTATCCCAGCTACTTGGGTGGCTGAGGCAGGAGAATTGCTTGAACCCGGGAGGGAGAAGTTTCAGTGAGCTGAGACTGTACCACTGCACTCCGGCCTGGGTGACAGAGTGAGACTCCATCTCAAGAAAAATAATAAAATGTTAGAGAACACTGAACATTGGAATTTACTGGTACATAACTGGTTTTACAAGAAGCAGCAGTGGTAGCTTTCATCTCCCAGTCCAAGGCCACTTTTGGGCTCTGTATTGTCAACAAGCTTGCTCTTGGCATGTCACATTGTCCTCATGTTTCATCTTTGGCCATTGAGTTTTATTTTTATTTTTTTACCCCCTTTTGGTCTCTTGGGACGAATTTATGATTTACCATAAATACATACCATTCAATCAAGTATATTTTGCAACTCCATTTCATTGTTATTGTTTGATTTGCTTCCATTCCCATTAATCCTTATTTATTCCCACATAGCAGTGCTACAAATGGGAAGTCAGAGACCATCACAGCTGATGTCAATCACAAGTAAATATACCAGCCTGCCTACAGTGCATGGTGATGGGGCTGTGCTTCCCTCCATACTAACTGGCATCGTAGTTTAGTGCTCTGCCTTTTGGGGGTCTGGAGGGAGGATGGTTGAAACTTTGGTGTGGGTGCACTGCTTACTTGGTGGCAGGTATCTCTCTGGATGACACTAACTCAGAATCTTGTTGCATGCTGGAAATGGAGAGCATGCTTTACTAAAGAATCTGACCACAGGTGTTAGAGCTGGAACTGACAGATTTTCAGATGATAGGTAAGATCCAGAGCAGGTTACAGGTCAGGGAGAACACATTTTGCACCTTTAACATAAGCTTATACGGGGTTAAAAATACCATTCTGAAGATGTGTCTTGTGGAATTGGGTGTATGCTCTCAGTATACAGGCTGATTGTTCCTGTCATATTTGATGGCCCTTAATATGGAGAAAACTGTTCTGTTGATTTATTCTCACACTAACAGCTCTCCTTTTTGGTCACTGCATTAATTTTAGTCAGTTACTTTCTTGCTTCTAAAGAATCTTTTTATCTTAATGGCAGATCATTTTTAGTTAGAAGTAACACATATCCTCTCCCATCTGGGTACTGACAGAGTTTGGAAAAGCCATTATCTTTATAGTTTAAGAGACAGCTTGATGTTATTGTTACACTTTGAAAGTTAAAGTTTTTAAGGTTGGGTGCGGTGGCTCACACCTGTAATCCCAGCACTTTGGGAGGCCAAGGCAGGCAGATTACCTGAGGTCAGGAGTTCGAGACTAGCCTGGCAAACATGGCGAAACCTCATCTCTACTAAAAATACAAAAATTAGCTGGTGTGGTCATGCACGCTTGTAGTCCCAGCTACTCAGGAGGCTCAGGTGGGAGAATCACTTGAGCCTGGGAGGCAGAGGTTGCAGTGAGCTGAGATCGCACCATTGCACTCCAGCCTTGGTGACAGAGCAAGACTCCATCTCAAAAAAAAAAAAAAGAAAGAAAGAAAAAGTTTTTAAGGTAATTTGGGAAATATATGCAGGGCAAAAGATCTGGAGATGGAAGTTATCTCAGAAATAGAGTAGCACCTTCATCAGTGTCACCCACGTGCTTTTTCCTGTCTGTGCCATTCCTCTGCCCAGACAAATTCCTGTGAGTGTCAGTGTTTCTGGGATGTGATTCTGTAAACAAGGAAGTGGACTCAAAGATCTGATCAATTTCTTATAGGTGCTGTAGATCAGCGGTCTCCAACCTATTTTGGCACCAGGGACTGGCTTTGTGGAAGACAATTTTTCCACAGACTTGGGGTGGTGAGGGTGGTTTCAGGATGATTCAAGCATGTTACATTTATAGTACACTTTATTTCTATTATTATTACATTGTAATGAAATAATTATACAACTCACTGTAATGTATAGAATCAGTGGGAGCCCTGAGCTTGTTTTCCTGCACCTAGGTGGTCCCATTTGGGGATGATGGGAGACATCATCAGGCATTAGACTCTCATAAGGAGCACACAACCTAGATCCCTTACATGGGCAGTTCACGATAGTGTTCACATTCTTAAGAGAATCTGTTGCGGCCACTGATCTGACAGGAGGTGGAGCTCAGGCAGTAATGTGAGTGGTGGGGAGCATCTGTAAATACAGATGAAGCTTTACTCACTTGCCCACTGCTCATCTCCTGGTGTGTGATCCAGGTCCTAACAGGCCACAGAGTAGTACCGGTCCATGGCCCAGGGGTTGGGGACCGCTGCCATAGATGACTGTTGTCTCTCCTGCCTTGGGAACTGGGATGCAGAGCCCTTTATCACTTTCTGTCTCATCCACCATTTTTAATATATGGAAGCAAGCTGCTTTTATATTTAAGAAATAAAACTTTGATTAAATTTCTTTGTCATTGAACCATAGCTTTTAACCTAACAGTGTAATAGATTGTTAATTATATAACTGAAGACAGCATCTAGCTATCTTAGTTAAGATACAAAAAGCTTTAAACATTATTCTTACTCTTTTGTTTAATATCCCCCATCGCCCAGTTTACTTCATTTTAGCCATTTATAGAATAATTAAAGTGAAATCAAAGTTTGGCTTTAAATGATACCATGCACTGAAAAAGAGTTCCTGCGTAATCCTTAGCACCAAAGGATGACCTTACACAGCTGAAGAACATCATGTAATTGTGAGAGATGAAAAGGAAGTATATTATGTAAAAGAGGGAAGAAGCAACTAGGAGGTATTCTGAAAGAATGGAAACAACCATGCTGAGTTTTGACTCGATATTATTTTTATTTCTCACCTTAATGCTTACTGAATAGTGTTAGCTACCAAAAGGATGCATGGCTAAAGAATTGTGGGGCAGTAGGTTTATTGGGCTAATTTGCTTATATCCTGAGATTTTACATTTGGTGATGGTAGCTTCTGTTTTCCCTCCTTCAGGGCATCCAATTTTGTTTACTGAAGTTCACTCCTTAGTTTCTTGGGGTATCTTTGTGGTAGTAGAATGGAAGTTACATATTCAGGCCAGCTGTATATGTGTTTCTTGGGTTCACAACCACCTTCTGTTCCTGCTACACTGAATCCTTCAGGGGTTTAGGTGGGACTGGGCTATATACATCTTAATGGGGTGGGCCCTCATTTTTTCCTTTTTTTTTCCTCGGCATGCCTACTCAAGATTCATTTGGTTTTGTATGACTTTGAGTTGCCCCAGAAGGTCTGGACTAGACCTCTTGAGCTCTTGTGGTAGAATCTGGCATGTATGTAGAGAGGTGTGTGCCCCACTATGCCTCCTCTTTTCCCTTCATTAGTTTGTCATCATTTTCATAGTGTTATTTGTTCAGACAACAAGCATTCGTAGGCCTGCTCATAGGTTTATAGGTGCTATTAGTATCCTAGGTGCTGAAGTATCTTATACAAGAGAAATAAGTCACTTCTTACAGACTACTGGGATGTTCAAGATGCACATACATAAAAGTTAAGTAACATTTTCAGGCAGTATGTGATTATGTGCTAAATGTGTGCTATAGCAATAATTACTCTGGGAGGCAGTGACTTAGCAGGTGTCTAATACATTTATTTTTTATTTATTATTGTTATTATTATTTTTGAGACAGTGTCTTGCTCTGTTGCCCAGGCTGGAGTGCAGTGGAGCGATCTCAGCTCATTGCAACCTTCACCTCCTGGGCTCAAGCGATTCTCCTGCCTCAGCCTCCTGAGTAGCTGGGATTACAGATGCTCGCCTCCAAGCCCAGCTAATTTTTTGTATTGTTAGTAGAGATGGGGTTTCACCATGTTGGCCAGGCTGGTCTCGAATTCCTGACCTCAAGTGATCTGCCCACCTTGGCCTCTCAAAGTGCTGAGATTATAGGCATGAGCCACCACACCCGGCCACATTAATTAAATTAATTAATTAATGTATTTATTTATTTTCGAGACAGAGTCTCGCTCTGTCACCCCGGCTAGAGTGCAATGGTGCAATCTCGGCTCACTGCAACCTCTGCCTCTTGGGTTCTAGCGATTCTCCTGCCTCAGCCTCCGGAGTAGCTGGCTTTACAGGTACGCGCCACCACACCCGGCTAATTTTGTATTTTTATTAGAGACAGGGTTTCACCATGTTAGCCAGGCTGGTCTCAAACTCCTGACCTCAGGTGATCCACCCACCGCGGCCTCCCAAAGTGCTGGGATTACAGGTGTGAGCCACTGCACCCAGCCACATTTATTTTTTATATGAATAAATGGATGGAGACAATCACTATGAAATGCAGTGGTCAAGAGAAGATTGGGGCTTGAGCCAAATCTTGGAGGATGAGTATGGTTTTTATGGGACCATAGTTGAGAATGACTTGGAATAATCCAAAGAGTGTGACTGATCTGGTTTGAGTGGAGAGTCTCAGGATAAGTAAGGTGAAGTAGGATAGAGAGTGCTTTGAATGCTAGAGAAAGGTTGACCTGTAGCTAAACTCAGAAGCCCTCTGATTTTTATTGACTCCAGCAAAGTTTGAGACTACGTACTTGGGGAAAGCACAGAAAGAGCTATGGTTTGACAAGAGACTAATATTTTTGTGCCCTGTGTCTTATTGGTAAGATTCTTGAAGTGGCAAATAACAAAGAGGTCTAATGACT
The DNA here is from genome assembly GCF_000001405.40 of Homo sapiens. Lineage (NCBI taxonomy): Eukaryota > Metazoa > Chordata > Mammalia > Primates > Hominidae > Homo > Homo sapiens. The sequence goes on from NC_000001.11 coordinate 162,596,886, forward strand.
GCAAACTCATTGACTATTTATTGACTTTTGTGTTAGATAACTTAGAAATTCAGAATTGCTGTAAATGTTAGGTTGTGACCTAGATGAAACAAATAGGGACTTTGACCTTGCCTTCGCTTGAGTGCATTCTGCCTTAGCTCTTTAAAAAGGGACTTTTGGTAACAGAGAAGTACTTTGAAACATATTGAATAAATTAGCTCAGCTAATCTAGGACATTTGGGTTGTACAGAAAAAACATGTACTGGGAAATAATTTAACTGTCTGATAGAACTTTCTGCAGTGAAGGAAATGTTGCATATCTTTGTTGTCCAGTTTTGTAGTCATTGGCCATTCATGGCTTCTGAACACTCGAAGTGTGATTATTATGACTGAGAAACTGAATTTTAAATTTTAAATTAGTTTTAAAAATTTTAATTAAATTTAAGTAGCCCTGTGCAGCTATTGGCTTCTGTATTGGATAGTACAGCTTTAGAATGTTTGTCAACATTAATAGTACCAAGGTAGTGGTGAAGATTAAAATGCAATATGAAGGCTTCAGAGCACCTAGCATTGGGCTTGGCATATAGTATATACCTAGTAAGTAGTCACCTTTTTATCAAATTGAAACTTGGAAATGGTTAAAAATGAGATGTATGTAAGGGGACAGTGTGTAAAAACTAGTGAAGTGCTGTAAAGAGCTACCAGTAATTATTGGCACTTGCCCCAAATAGTGTCCTTCTGACCTGAGAATTTCATATTAACTTAATCCTCAGGGAATTTAGTGATCATCAGGGTAGCATCTATTCCATTTGTTTAACTGGAAGAATTATCTGCAAGCTTCTCAGAGGAAAGTTATGGTTTGTACTTTTGCTCTGGCAAGTAACATGGGAAGCAAAGTCTTTAACACATACTTGTTTTTTTTCTTAGCTTGAAGGATGCCAATGATGTACCAATCCAATGTGAAATCTCTCCTCTTATCTCCTATGCTGGAGAAGTAAGTCTGCTTTACTTTTTCCTCTATTCTTTTACAAAGCTTTGTATATTTCAAAATAATGAAAAAGTGGATTTTAAATGTTCTCACCATAAAGAAAGGATAAGTATTTGAGGTGATAGATATGTTAATTGGCTTTATTTGATTATTCGACAGTGTATATATGCATTGAATCATCACATTGTATCTGAAAAATATATACAATTATTGTCAATTAAAAATGAAATAAGGTTGGGCACAGTGGCTCACTCCTGTAATCCCAGTACTTTGGGAGGCTGAGGCAAGAGGATTGCTTGAGCTCAGGAGTTTGAGACCAGCCTGGGCAATATAGTGAGACCTGTCTTTATAAAGAAAAAAAAAATTACAAAAAAAGAAATAAAACTTTTTTAAAAAGTAGAATTCTGGCATTGTTTTATGTTTAAGTAGGGATGTCCTTAGAGAAGATGCAGCATTTTCTGATGGTCCTGCCCTGAGGAGCTCTTCCTGGGAACAAGTTGAGAAGCTGCATTTGTTCTGAATTCTTCTCTTTGAGAATTCGTGTTATGGCTTTGCATCTATCCCATAAGTGGGTTAGTTGCCATTAACAGACATCTGCAATATCTAGTCCATTTCACCTACTCATTGAAATGTAGTAGGCTTTTGAAAAATATATAATCAGCCTTGTTTTTTAGATGAATCACCTGGCTTTTTTTAAATGCAATGTAAGTTTTCTTTCAAGGATTCTAGTTTGTTCAAGTACTTAGTACTGTCACTTTTAAAACTTGGGGATTTAGAGGTCTCTACTCTTTTACTTATGTAATATTTTTCCTGGAGATCTTTGTATTGCTTTGTTGTAGCATTAGAGATAGCTTTCTTGCTTAGAAAGTTAACTCTACTGGCCGCTTGCAGTGGCTCATGCCTGTAATCCCAGCGCTTTGGGAGGCCAAGGCAGGTAGATCATTTGAGGTCAGGAGTTCGAGACCAGCCTGGCCAACATGATGAAGCCCTGTTTCTACTAAAAAATACAAAAACTTAGACGGGTGTGATGGCAGGCGCCTGTAGTTCCACCTACTTAGGAGGCTGAGGCACGAGAATTGCTTGAAACTGGGAGGTGGGGGTTGCAGTGAGCATAGGGGTGAGACTACTCCGTCTCAAAAAAAAAAAGTTAACTCTGTGAGAGATGATTATAGGAAAAATGTTTATCTTATTAACTGTAGAAATGATCAGAGTAATTTTCTTTTTATATTTTTGTTTTATGCTTTTACAAGTCAGTCATTAAGTCTACTCTAAAATGTCTATTAAATAGATTTTGACTTTTATATTCTGCATCTCAACCTTTTTTGGCATTTGTGCTTTAAATCATCATTATAGCAAGTCCAGCACTGCATGACAAGTGCAAATTTTCTAATTGTGTTTCATTTCAATCCTCTTTTTAGGGATTAGAAAGTTATGTGGCAGATAAAGAATTCCATGCACCTCTAATCATCGATGAGAATGGAGTTCATGAGCTGGTGAAAAATGGTATTTGAACCAGATACCAAGTTTTGTTTGCCACGATAGGAATAGCTTTTATTTTTGATAGACCAACTGTGAACCTACAAGACGTCTTGGACAACTGAAGTTTAAATATCCACAGGGTTTTATTTTGCTTGTTGAACTCTTAGAGCTATTGCAAACTTCCCAAGATCCAGATGACTGAATTTCAGATAGCATTTTTATGATTCCCAACTCATTGAAGGTCTTATTTATATAATTTTTTCCAAGCCAAGGAGACCATTGGCCATCCAGGAAATTTCGTACAGCTGAAATATAGGCAGGATGTTCAACATCAGTTTACTTGCAGCTGGAAGCATTTGTTTTTGAAGTTGTACATAGTAATAATATGTCATTGTACATGTTGAAAGGTTTCTATGGTACTAAAAGTTTGTTTTATTTTATCAAACATTAAGCTTTTTTAAGAAAATAATTGGGCAGTGAAATAAATGTATCTTCTTGTCTCTGGAGTGTCATTTGTACTTGAAGAAATTATTTCATTGAGAAAATATGAAACTTGGGAGAAACTTTAAGATAATGCATAAAAACAAATTGATGCTTCAGTGAGGTTGCAGAGTCATAGAACTTCTTTCAGTGAATATCTAACTTTGGGCTTTATCTTCTTATCACTTTATAATAGTAGCTCTCACCCAAAGATTATTTTGTCCTCCACCCAAAGGGGCATTTGGCAATGTCTGGAGATATTTTTGGTTGTGACAAGTGGGAAAGTGAAGTGGTACCACTGGCATCTAATAGGGATTAGGGATGTCACTAAACATCCTACAATGCACAGGATGGTCTCCTACGACAAAGAGTTATCTGGCCTAAAGTGTCAATGGTGTCAAGGTCGAGAAGCCTTGTTTCAAATTATTCATTTACTCTGTTTTGCCCAAATATTTGGTGGCACTTAGGAATTCAAAAGAATGTAGTTTCTGAATTTTCTCTGGTAGGCTATTCCAGTTTTTTGTTATTGTTGTTGTTATTTTAGAGGATTAAAAAAATAAAAAGACAAAGGTGGTTCTTTAAATATGGGCCATAGATCATTGGTCATTAGTAAGGGTTCTCTGTGTCTAAAATGCTGTTTGCATGAAAAGACTGAGCTTTATAAATGCATCTTAAATAATATTTAAGTATTGACCAAAAGTATAAAAAGGAACATCTGGATAAATGATTCTAAAAATTATATCTAGAAAAGAGATGAATAAATTTCATTTTCCGCTAACAAGTTGTCACAAGATAGGATGTCATTCATGGGGTGGGTCTTTTGTTTAAGGATCACTTTTTTTTTTTTTTGAAGAGCATGTGATGTTCATATCCATCAATCTTACCTATTTTTTTTTTAACTAAGGCCTAAATCATTCATTTAGCATATTTTCTATTTTATTTCAATAACAGCTCAATTTTGCTATTGTTATCTATTCCAGTTTTCAAAAAGATTAGTGAAGTTTGACTTCTCATTGAAATGAGCTCCAAATGGGTTGTAAGAATGGAATTGCAGAGTCTTTAGCTCCTGAATGCCAAAAACTGATACTAATGGTATGATCCGTTTCTTTTTTTCTTGAACCTTGCTATTTCCTCTGCTATTTCCACCTGCTATTTATTCTTCTCCTGTTGTAAGAAAATACTAGTGATGCTAGGAAAAGGGAAGAATGGAAATGGGATTGTGTAGTGGTTTTGTTGGAGAGGAGCGATGGCTGGGGAACATTGGGTAGTTAAGAGCAAACTCTGAGAGCCTCTGAGCCATGAAATGATAAGGTGATAGCATTATGTATTTTTATGAGTTCTTGTTAAATAATTGTTATAATTCAGAAAATACAGAATTGGGTAAAATGTTTATGAAAATAAAAGCTAGAATAATTTGGCAGTAACAGTATAGAATTTATGTGACAGTTGATAGTCATTTTGAGTCTGGCTTGATCGACTGGCTGTGATTTAATAACTTTTTTGATAGTCACAAGTGAACATATAAGCCCAATGGGTATGTTACTTGAATATTTGATTTTTGTTCAATTTCCCTCTTAACCTCTCTAATTTAATCCAGTTTTGATGTCCACAAAGGAATTTTTAGTGACGTCTATTGGAAGATAAAGAAAAATTCAGTTTTCAACTTCTACCTCTTCTATTCCTGGAAGTTTTGGCTTTTATTGGTAATTTTGATTTTATTTCTAATTCCAGCTTACTATTGCTAGCACTTCCTCTTTATTCATCACAGTACAGTCAGATTTCAGTTATCCAGGTAAAAAGAGGCAAGGAAAAAGCATGCATACTCTTAGAAGAGTGACTAAAACACAAATCATTCAGTTAGTTTGGAAATCTGTTTTTCTGTTGGCCAACGTGGACATTTTTGCAATTCATGGTCCTGTTTTGAGCCCTGGTTTAGGAAATACATATTGGGAAGTGATGAATGAATGAGTTAGCCAGTAAGGACTGAGTGCTTGTCACGTGGCCAGCAATATTAGATGGGGTATAAAAAGTATAACACAGAGACTTGTCCTTAAAAAACTTACATTCTGGTTAAAGGGACAAAATTAACCCACGTAACAATGAAAAGATAATTTATTACTAAAATGTAAGGAATTAAGCTCAGTAAGAGTTAAACAAAGGTAATCATAAATTGGAGTTTATCGTGTCCTCATCGAAGGATCTCATTGTATTAGGATTCTCCAGAAAAACAGAACTGATAGGATATTAAAAGTAATGGGAAAAACTGCAATTACTTTTGCACCAGCTGAAATATGTAGATATATAGAAAGACTTATTTTGAGGAATTGGCTTATGATTATGGAGGCTAAGTCCCATGATCTGCCCTCTGCAAGCTGGTGGTGTGGTTCCAGTCCAAACCCGAAGGCCTGAGAACCAGGGGAGCCAATGGTGTAAGTCCTAGTCTGAGTCTGCAGGCTGGAGAACCAGGAGTGCAGATGTCCAAGGGCAGGAGAAGATGGATGTCCCAGCTCAAGCAGAGCCAGTTGACCCTTCCTCTGCCCTTTCATTTTATTCAGGCCCTCAATGTATTGGATTGCCCACACTGATGAAGGCAATCTTCTTTACTCAGTCTCCTGACTCAAATGTTAATATCTTCTAGAAACACCCTCAAAGACATACCTAGGAATAATGTTTTACCAGCTGTCTGGGCATGCCTTAACCCAGTCAAGCTGACACATAAAATTAACTATCACACCCATCATTTTGAGAGTAGAGCTATTTCCTTCTCAAATTGGGGTTAGATGTTTATTTTTATTTATTTTTTTGAGACGGAGTTTCACTCTTGTTGCCCAGGCTGGAGTGCAATGGCATGATCTTGGCTCCCTGCAACCTCTGCTTCCCGGGTTCAAGCAATTCTACTGTCTCAGACTCCCTAGTAGCTGGGATTACAGGCGCCTGCCACCATGCCCAGCTAATTTTTTAGTAGAGACGGGGTTTCACCATGTTGGCCAGGCTGGTTTTGAAATCCTGACCTCAGGTGATCTGCCCGCCTTGGCTTCCCAAAGTGTTGAGATTACAGGCATGAGCCATGGTGCCTGGCCAGATTTAATTACCTCTAAGTGCAAATGTGTATTGTGATTTAGAAGTGGATCATGAAAGGAAGATTTATAATTATTTTGGGGAGGAAAGGGGTCCCTTAACTGCATCAAGTTGCCAGGTGATTCATGCCCAAAATATGGGGTTAATTAGGAAATCTATAACTGATATTTCTAAGTGTGGTCGCCTGAACCAGGTACATCAGCATCACCTGGAAACTTAGAAATACAGATTCTCAGAATAACTACATTATGCATATGGGGGTGCAGCCTAGAAATGTGTGTTTTAACAAGCCATCTGCATGATTTTGGTGTACACTAAGGCTTGAGAATGGTCACTGTAAGAGAATTTGGGGAGGCTGACTGAAAGTTCAGAGATGTTCCTGTGTTGATTTGTTTAAGATAATGGCCTCCAGCTGCATCCGTGTTACTGCAAAGGACATGATTTCATTCTTTTTTATGGCTGCATAGTATTCCATGGTGTATATGTACCACATTTTCTTTATCCAGTCCACCTTTGATGGGCACCTAACTGGATTCCATGTCTTTGCTATTGTGAATAGTGCTGTGATGAACATACAAGTACATGTGTCTTTTTGGGTGAACGATTTATACATTTTTTTAGTTATATGCACAGTAATGGGATTGCTGGACCAAATGCCACATGTTTTCACTTATAAGTGGGAGCTAAACATTGGGTACTCGTGAACATAAAGATAGCAACGATAGAGACTGGGGACTGCTTGAGAGGGGAAAGAAAGGGTTGGAAAACCAATAGTTTTTCACCAGTAGTTGAAAAGCTATGCTTACTACCTGGGTGACAGAATCAATTGTACCCCAAGCCTCAGCATCACACAATATATTCATGTAACAAACCTGCACAGGTACTGCCTGAATCAAGAATAAAAGTTGAAATTATTAAAAAATGTTCAGGGATGGTACTAAAAAGGAAACATAAATTAGGGAGAGAGACTGAGAGGCCAGTGTTTCCAGAGCAATAATAAATTAAGCTAGAAACCAAATAGATAAATCTTATGTGAGCTTTGTTCTTTCAAACACCCGAGGGGGCGGTACTGATCGTGGTAAAAGAATGAAAGATGGGCTGCGTGCGGTGACTCACGCCTGTAATCCTAGCACTTTGGGAGGCCGAGGGGAGCGGATCACGACAGGAGTTCGAGACCAGCCTGACCAACATGGTGAAACTATGTTGGTCTCTACTAAAAAGACAAAAATTAGCCAGGTGTGGTGGCGTGTGCCTGTAATCCCAGCTACTCAGGAGGCTGAGGCAGGAGAATTGCTTGAACCCGGGAGGCGGAGGTTGCAGTGAGCAGAGATCATGCCACTGCACTCCAGCCTGGGCGACTCCGTCTCAAAAAAACAAACAAACAAAAAAACTAGCAAGACATGACCAGGAGAATTGTAATTACTAGAACAATGGTTTCCAACCCTTAGGATCCTCTGAATTACTTGGAGAGATTTTTGAAAAATCTTGCAAGTTTTTGACTTCAATCCTAGAGATTATGATTCTCAGTCTGGTAGAAGGCCAGAGCATCTAATTTATAAAAAGCATTAGATGATTCCAAAAGGCAGCTAGGAGTGAGAATTACTGACTTGGAGGCATAGACTTAGCTTAGAAATCAACAACCAAGGATGAGAGGGAAGAGACTGGATGTGTTCTGGCTTTGAAAGCTTAGACGAGGAGAAGAGTGAAGAACATTTCACTTGAGAACAGTACAAGCAAAAGATGAATACAGGCATTCTGGGGATAATTCCACTTTGCAAATATCTCAGACTGCTAGAAACAACCAGCCTAAATGGGGGTCTTTCTAAATTTTATCCCTGTCTGACTCAACATCTTCTGAAATGGGAATCAGGGTGGTAGGCAGGGAAGAGAAAGAGGAAAGTTAGTGAACAGTTTGGTTTAAAAATATTACAGGCACTTCTTTCGGGCTGAATGAGAAGTAAAAAGTATAATAATGTGTTAAGGCCAGGCGTGATGGCTCACACCTGTAATCCCAGCACTTTGGGAGGCTGAGGCAGGTGGGTCACCTGAGGTCAGGAGTTCAAGACCAGCCTGGGTAACATAGAGAAACCCCATCTCTACTAAAAATACAAATATTAGCCAGGCGTGGTGGCACACGCCTGTAATCCCAGCTACTCGGGAGGCTGAGGCAGGAGAATCATTTGAACCCAGGAGGCAGGGGGTACAGTGAGCTGAGATTGCACCGCTGCACTCCAGCCTGAGCCACAGAGCGACGCTCTGTCTCAAAAAAAAAAAAAAAAAAAAAAGGTGTTAAGGTGATGACGTTATGGGTGGGTTTTTTTCTCTCTATAAATTTTTGGACAATACATTCTTAATTTTATGATTAAAAAGCTTTATCTTTTATAAAGGCTCAAAGGAAAAATTAACCAAAGGTGTTCACATTAGCCACTTTGGTACAGCTGTGAAGGAAATCTGAGGTAAAATTGGCTGTGGTGCAGTTGAGGTGGAGGATGTAAACATACTTTCAGAGAGCGGAATGTGCATTGTTGCAGTATAAGAAAGCGTAGTCTCCATTATGCTATTGTCTTTGGCATTGGGCATTTAATAGAGTCTTCATTTGTGAAATATGATAATGCCTTATGATTCAGAGGAATATACGAAGGAAATATATAGAAATTTAAGGTAATGCAGTTTGAGGTAAAGCTTTTTTTCAAGAGGTTTAATATGAGCCCTCTGATGGAATGTATACATTCAGTATTATGTCTTTAAAGCTGAAAGGTCTAAAAGGCTTGCCAAAAAACTCAGTGAGTCAGTGGTGACAATATGTTTATGTGAACAGTGTTTTCCAAATTATCAACAAAGTTAGGACACCATAAGAACAAAAAGTCTATCCTTGTAGCTTCATGACTCATCTTTTCCACATCAGTTCTTCAATTTCTCTCTCAGTGATTCCACTTCCCAGGAAATGATCCTTCCCACAAATCTCAGATTTTATTCTGGTAGGCAAAGTTTTTTTTTTTCTTCTTACAAAACCATGTGTACAACTCATGTTGTATTTTATAGAGTAAAATATATAACATAATATGGATAAGATTGAAATGAGACAATCGATTTTCTTTTAAAGTTTAAAATATACATTTTATTTTATTTTTTAAAATAAATTCCTCACTTTTTTTTTTTTTTAATTGGAGACAGGTTCTCACCCTGTTGCCCAGGCTGGGGTGCAGTGGCTCAATCATAACTCACTGTAGTCTCAAAATTGTGGGCTCAAGGGATCTTCCTACTTCAGCTTTCCAAGTAGCTAGGACTATAGGCATGCAGCACCATGCCCAGCTAATTTTTTTTTTTTTTTGAGACGGAGTTTCACTCCTGTTGCCCAGGCTGGAGTACAATGGCGTGATCTTGGCTCACCGAAACTTCTGCCTCCCAGGTTCAAGCGATTCTCCTGCCTCAGCCTTCTGAGTATGTAATCCCTCCTGGGATTACAGACATGCACCACCACGCCTGGCTAATTTTGTGTTTTTAGTAGAGACGGGGTTTCTCCATATTGGTCAGGCTGGTCTTGAACTCCTGACCTCAGGTGATCTGCCTGTCTCGGCCTCCCCCCGCTAATTTTTTATTTTAATTTTTGGTAAAGATGGTCTCACTATGTTGCCCAGGCTGGTCTCGAACTCCAGGGCTCAAGAAATCCTTCCACCTTGGCCTCCCAAAGTGCTGGGAATACAGGCATGTGTGACCACATCTGGCTTATTTTATAGACTTCTAAAAGGTCTGAAATGTGATAAAGGAGAGATTAACTGTCACACGAATATAAAGTAAATATTCAGTAAGGATAACTATGGCTAACATATTCTAACACTTAACCATGTGTCAGGCATTGCACTAAGCACTTTACATACATTATCTCATTTAATCCTTATTACTTTCCTATGAAGTGGGAACTTTTATTGTCCAGTACACAGGGAAACTGAGGCATAGAGGTTAAGTAAATTGTTTAAGATTATATACCTCATAAGAAGCAAAGCTGAGAATTGAACCCAGAGTCTAAATCCAGAGGCCCATACTTTTTGTCTACTTAAAATAAATTCAAACATACACAATAGAACAGAGTAATAAGCCTCTATTACTTAGTTTCTAACAATTAATTGTGGTTAGTCTTGGTTCATTTATTTCTCACTTTCCCTCTACACCCCACCCACCCACTGAATTACTTTAAAATCAGTTCAACATCTTGGTTGTAATACTTCATTGTATCAGTGTATATTGGAGTGATAAAATAACCAGTGTATGTGTGTGTTTATATATATGAATATATATATGTATTTAGACCAGGTCTCACTCTGTCACCCAGGCTGGAGTACAGTGGCATGAACATGGCTCACTGCAGCCCCGAACTCCTGGGCTCAAGTGATCCCCCAACCTTAGCTTCCCAAGTAGCTGGTACTACAGGCACATGCCACTGGTCCAGGTAATTTATTTTGTAGAGACGAGGTCTTGCCATGTTGCCCAGGCTGTTCCCAAACTCCTGGGCGCAAGTGATCCTCCCACCTCAGCTTCTCAAAGTGTTGGGATTACAGGCGTGAGCCACAATGCCCACCCCATGATATTTTTAAAACCTTAATAATTAACAATCATGCCTTAATATCATGTAGTATCCAGCCAGTGTTTGAACTTCCCCAAGTGTCTCATAAATATCTTTTTTTTTTTTTTTTCTGAGACAGGGTCTCACTTTGTCGCCCAGGCTGGAGTGCAGTGGCAAGATCTTGGCTTACTGCAGCCTCAACCTCCTGGGCTCAAGTGATTCTCCTGCTTCAGCCCCTCAAGTTGCTGGGACTACAGGTGCACACCACCATGTCGGCTAAATTTTTGTTTTTTTTTGTAGAGAGGGAGTTTCACCATGTAGCCCAGGCTGGTCTTGAACTCCTGAGTTCAAGCTATCCCCCTTCCTTGGCTCCCAAGGTGCTAGGATTACAGGTGTGAGCCTCTGTGCCCAGCCCCCAGTGTCTCATAAATATATATTTTTTATGTTGCATTATTTGAATCAGGCTCTACAGTCAATTTATTGCCTTTGACTAATATGTCTTTTAAATATTCCCTTAAATATTTAAAAATATATGCAGGTCCTCCTTCCTCTTCTTTTTTTTTTTTGTTTGATATTTATTTGTTAGAAAAAACTGGTTACTTTTTCAACATAGATTTGCAGATTTTGGGTTTCATTTCCATGATGTCCTTTAACTTGCTCCTCTAGCCTCCATATTTCCTGAAAATTATAGTTATAGCTGAAGCTTGATGAAATTCAAGGTCAATTTTTTTTTTTTTTTTGGGGGGGGCGGAATCTCACTGTTGCTCAGGCTGGAGTGCAGTGGCATGATCTTGGCTCACTGCAAGCTCTGCCTCTTGGGTTCACGCCATTCTTCTGCCTCAGTCTCCCCAGTAGCTGGGACTATAGGCACCCACCACCATGCCCAGCTAATTTTTTGTATTTTTTAGTAGAGACGGGGTTTCACTGTGTTAGCCAGGATGGTCTTGATCTCCTGACCTCGTGATATGCCCGCTTTGGCCTCCCAAAGTGCTGGGATTACAGGCGTGAGCCACTGTAATCAATTTTGTAAAGTTAAAAATATTTCATAGGCTGGGCACAGTGGCTCACACTAGTAATTCCAGCACTTTGGGAGGCCAAGGGGGGCAGATCACTTGAGGTCAGAAGTTTGAGACCAGCCTAGCCAACATGGTAAAACCCTGTCTCTACTAAAAATATAACAATTAGCCAGGCGTGGTGGTGTAGGCCTGTAGTCCCAGCTACTTGGGAGGCTGAAACAGGGAATCACTTGAACCCAGGAGGCAGAGGTTGCAGTGAGCCGAAATTGCACCACTGCATTCCAGCCTGGGCAACAGAGCAAGACTCTGTCTAATCAAAACAAAACAGAAACAAACCCAAAAAACTTCATAGATAGTGTGCATACTTCATGTTAATCTCATTAGAGGCACATAAATTCAGTTCTTGTTCAGCCTAACAAGATAAAGAGTATCTCTGTGTTCTTATAAAGATATTTTAAAATCAGTCCTCTGAAAATAGATTAATAAAATATTAAAATCACCTAGGGTCACTATGGAATAAAGAAATCCTAATTTAAAGAGGAAATAGTGGCCCTTGATCCAACTATTTAATATGGCCTTAGTAGAATTAGCTGTATTTAGGGCAAGTCAGACTTTATTGTGAAATGTAATAGGTGTCTGCATTCTCTTCATTTTAATCAAAGAAACTTAAATGGCTTCTTTTCTTCCACATGTCCTATCCTTGACAAGATGGGCAATATCACTAAGGGGCCTGGTTTTCTATTATCTGATGCTAGGAAGTATAAACTTGTACTTACTGTTCTTGTTTCTCTTTTATCTGTGTATCTTTGCCATTCTGTTTTCTCAATGAATAGTATGTTCTCTCCCATTCAGGTACCTTAATGGTGTCTATTTTATTTTATTGCTGCATAACACCACATATTTATTTTTTAGTTTCTAAAGATTAGTAATCCAGGAGTGGCTTAGCTGGATAGTTCTGTCTCTGGTTCTCTCATGAGGTTGGAGTCAAGCCATCAGCCAAGGCAGAAGTCATCCAGACTGCACTGGGGCTGAAGACCGTGATGCCAAGCTCACTCACGTGGCCTTTGGTAAAAGGCCTCAGTCCTGTGCCATATGGACCTCTCCATAGGACCTCATGACAAGGAAGCTGGCTTTCCTCAGCACAAGTGACCCAAGCAAGAGAGACAGCAGCAAGATAGAAGCCAGTGTCTTTTATAATTAACCTCAGAAGTGACATAGCATCATGTCTATAATACCATATTGGTCAACTATTGTACAATAAGTGACTACTCAAGGGTATAAATACTGGAAGGCAGAGATTATGGGGACCCATCTTAAAGGCTGGCTTCCACAAACTTAGGTGTAAAATTCTTAACACAATTTTAGCAAATAGAATTCAACAATATATTAGATGGATAATATAACAAAGTGGGGTGTAGCCCAGGAATGCATGGTTGGCTTAACATTTGAAAATTAATAAGGAGAATTCAATATATTAACAGACAAAAAGACAAATTATAGATTTAGGAAATACATTTCTCAAAATCCAACATCCTTTCCTTATAAAATTTTAGTCTCATGACACTAGGGATAGAAGGAATAGATGTGATAAACAAAGGTCATGTTTGCAAACCTACATTTTACTATCACACTTAATGGTAAAAGACTTGTGTATTTCCCCCCCAAAATCAGGAACAAGGCAGTATGTTCTTTTTTGCTACCTCTATTCAATGTTGTATAGAAGTTATACCCAGTAAAATAAGGCAAGAAAAACATATAGGTATCTACATTGGAAAGGAATAAATAAATCTGTCTATTTGAAGATGACATGATTATCTACCTTGAAAATCCTGTGGGATCTGCATGCAAGTTATCAGAGCTAATAAGTTTAACAAGGTTGTGGGATACAAGATCAACATACAAAAATCATTTGTATTTCTATATTCTAGCAACAAATAATTAGACATTAAAATTTAGAAAATCAACATCATTTATAGTAATGTTAAAACATGAAATGCTTATGGGTAAATCTGACTAATATGTGAAGGACCTGTACATTGAAAAGTACAAAATGTTGTTGAGTAAAATTACAGAAGTAGATGAGAAGATTTGGTGTTAAGATGTCAGTTCTCCCCAAAATGATCTATAGATGACAAGGTAGACAAATATATCAATGAGACAGAATAGATAATCGATAAATAGACTAATCTAGAAATAGACAATACATATATTGTCAATTTGAGTCCGGGCGTGGTGGCTCACGCCTATAATCTCAAGATTTTGGGAAGCTGAGGTAGGAGGATCACTTGAAGCCGGGAATTCAAGATCAGCCTGGTCAACATAGTGAGACCCCCCATCTCAGAAAAGAAAAAGAAAGGAAAGAAAGGAAGAAGGAAGGAAGGAAAAGAGGGAGGAAGGGAGGGAAAGGAAGGAAAGGAAGAAATAAGTATATTGTCAATTCATTTTCAACTAAGGTGCAGAGACATTTCAATGGAGAAAAATAGTATTTTCAACAAACGGTGCTGAAACAATTAGATATCCATCTTCAAGAAAGTAAACTTATACATACCTTGCACCAAATATAAAAAGTAATTTGAAATAAAGCATAGACCTAAATGTAAAACCTAAAACTATATAAAACTTCTAGAAGAGGCTGGGCGTGGTGGCTCATGCCTGTAATCCCAGCACTTTGGGAGGCCGAGGGGGGTGGATCACGAGGTCAGGAGATCAAGACCATGCTGGCTAACATGGTTAAACCCTGTCTCTACTAAAAAAATACAAAAATTAGCCTGACGTGGTGGCATGTGCCTGTAGTCCCAGCTACTCGGGAGGCTGAGGCAGGAGAATTGCTTGGACCTGGGAGGCAGAGGTTGCAGTGAGCTGAGATCGTGCCACTGCACTCCAGCCTGGGCTACAGAATGAGACTCTGTCTCAAATAAATAAATTAAAAAAAAAAAAAAATAGAAGATTTGTATAGGTACTTCAATAAAGAAGGTAAGCTGATAGCAAATGAGCACACAAAAAGATGCTAAACGTCATTAGGGAAATGGAAATGCAAACCATGATGATGAGGTACCCTGACACATCTATTAAAATGTGTAGAATTAAAAGGACTGATCATACAAGGCGTTGACCAGGATACAGAACTCTCACAGATTGTTGGTGCCAAGATAAAATGGCATAGCCATGTTGAAAAGAAGTTTGGCAGTCCCTTAAAAGTTAAATATAAATTTGGCAGCCAGGTGCGGTGGTTCACGCCTGTAATCCCAGCACTTTGGGAGGCCGAGGCTGGTGGATTACCTGAGGTCAGGAGTTCGAGACCAGTCTGGCCAACATGGCGAAACCCCATCTTTACTAAAAATACAAAAAAATTAGCCAGGCATGGTGGTGCATGCCTGTAATTCCAGCTACTCGAGAGGCTGAGGCAGGAGAATCACTTGAACCTGGGAAGTGGAGGTTGCAGTGAGCAGAGATTGCGGCACTGCACTCCAGCCTGGGTAAGAGTGAGACTCCATCTTGAAAAAAAAATTTGCATCTTGCCTAGCAATAATATTGGAAGAAAAGCCAGGCACAAAAGAGTATCCATTTCATTATTCCATATATATGATCAAGAATTGGCAAAACTAATCTATGATGGAAAAGGCTAGAAGAGTCAAGTTCTATGGAAGGGGTATCTATTGAGGGAGAACCACAAGGGAGCCTCCTGAGTGCTGGATATATCTGTATTTTTATCAGCTGTGGCAACAGATACATTTCTAAAAATTAGGCTGAACACTTAAAATTTGTTTTTAATGTTATGCCTCAATTAAAAAGAAAAAAGTATATGCATTTTGAAGTTTGAAAATATATTTTAAAATAATTAATTGATTAAAGAGAGAGTTTAAATAACTTATTCAAGACTTCATAACTAGCGGATGGTGAGTGAGGATTAAAATCCAGGTCTGTCTGGCTCTGAGATCCCTGCTTTGAATTATTAGGCTGGTGCAAAAGTAATTGTGGTTTTTGCCATTGAAAGTAATGGCAAAATACTACCATTGTTGCAATTAATACTATGCTATGCTGCTACCCACCACACCTTCTAATCCCAACAACATTCTGAAAAATGCTATACATACCAACCATGGCTTTTGAAAGAGTAAAGGTATAAAATAGTTGGGTTTATAATTTTTAAGCTATCAGAATTGAGGAGCAATGGAAAATAACTATGAATGAAGAGAGAGCAAATATTTTTAGTGAATTTCACAATTAGCAGTTTGGGAAAAGGGCCCATTGGTATGAGACGGCTCAGCCTGTGGTATCCGAGGAGGAAGGGTCAAAAGCACAAAGAGAGAGAGTGCCAGATGGTGATCAGGGCCAGATGGCTGTCGCCAGGGTCATGCTCAAGCTAGTGCGAATTAAGAAGAATCACAATAAGCTTATGCAACACCAGCCCAAAGCCAATTATTGTTCTTGGACTTAGGGTATATTTCCTCTTTATTTATAGGAAAGTGTATGTTTGTATGTGTGTGTTTGTATATGGGGGGGTTGTGTTTGCAGGGGATGGCAAAGAGCAGTTCTGGGAATAATGAATCAACATTTGAAAGTAGAGTTGGGCTATACTTAGGTGAGTGTAATTGTTTCAGTGGAAAAGTTTTTCTCACATTCTTTCCCTTCCCTTTATTATATTCTCGTAACATACTGAAGGGCAGTGCATTTGGCAGGCTGAATTTGGCACTGCTCAGACAGCCTCAGTAGAGCAAAGGGCCTGAGGACACTAAATTCTATCCGGTCCCATTTACAGAGCTGTTGGGCAATGAAATGGTGCTCTTGATAACTTGCTTCCAGGGGGTGAGAAGCAGAAAACCACAACCTACGGTTCCTGTCTTGGGTTGCAGGTGGAAGTTGAGAGCCCTACCCCTGCATAACAAAGTTGTAAGACTAACTGCTTTGCTTATTGGCGTATTCTTAATCAGAGACAAGAATATCCAAATAGTGATCAAATTAAAGGCCCATAGTACTCTTTGGTTAACGTTTATTAGTAGCAAGCTATTTTTGTCTCACTCTTCTATCCTCGTAACCAAATTTGGTTGGGCTTCCAAAAATGATACTCCAGGGTCTTGTTTCTGGAGCTGTCTGGAATCCTCTGGAATGTGGCAGCAGCCCTCAGCCCCACTGCCTGTCCTACCCTAATCTGCCCTGCTGTCAGGGGGGCTTGCATAAGCATAAGTTGAGGGTAATGATGAGCTAATATCTGAAGCCATGGAGCAGAATGTATTTGCTTAAGCCGGGTTTTATAGCTTGATTTTTCACTTATTTTCTGAGTGTATTATAGGCTAGTTTCTGTGAGTCGGCTGCCTTCCTGGGGGCCTTGTCCCGGCTGGGCATGTTTAACTGTTTTTTGTAGCCTTTCCCGCAAGGCTATTTCTGTGCAGTAGAGGGCAGTATTTTCAAATGCTCAGGTATTAGCGCCTCAGCCTTAGGAGAATGTTTAGCCCAGGTCCAAGTTACACAGGGTTGAGTAAAAGCCCACCTGCTTGACCGTCTGAGAAATGCTGACATCATCCATACCTCGATCCTCTGTGTCCTACCAGCAGATGAAGGGCACCCAGGTTCATTAATAGAAACTTGGAAATGCAGAGAAATAGCATATTTAAAATGACCTCTTTTCGAATGCAGCTGCTATTGTTTCTGTGTATTTTTCTCTTAGGTATTTCTTTTCTATGTACCTTAAAGAGTGCATAAATAGCCGGGCGCGGTGGCTCACGCCTGTAATCCCAGCACTTTGGGAGGCAGAGGGGGGCAGATCACCTGAGGTCGGCAGTTCAAGACCAGCCTGACCAACATGGAGAAACCCCGTCTCTACTAAAAATACAAAATTAGCCGGGGTGGTGGCACATGCCTGTAATCCCAGCTACTCGGGAGGCTGAGGCAGGAGAATCACTTGAACCCGGGAGGCGGAGGTTGCGGTGAGCTGAGATCGCGCCATTGCACTCCAGCCTGGGCAACAAAAGCGAAACTCTGTCTCAAAAAAAAAAAAAAAAAGTGTTTAAATAGTTAACAGTATAGCAAAAACATTTCCTCATATTGTGTAATTAATATTTATAAGTCTACTTTTTATTTGCTGAATCATGTTTATTCAGGTGGATTTGTTAACCTTTTACTTAGTGTTGAACATTAATTTTTTTCTTCCAGCTTTTTGATAATATAAATAATGCTGTGACAAATATTTTTTAATAAGAGGCTTTCCATATTTATAAGTATTTCCTGAGTATGGATTCCCAGACATAGAATTATTTGGTCAAAGAATATAAATATTCTTAAAGCTCTGATTACTGTTTTTTTTTGCATTGCTAGGGAATTTTACTAATTTATACTTTTGCCAGTTGTCTTAGTTTTTTTTTATTGCTGCCATAACAAATTACCACAAACTTAGTGGTTTAAACTACACAAACTTAATTATCTTATATTTTTGCAGGTCAGAAGTCTGGTACAGGTCCCATCAGGCTAAAATCAGGTTGTTGTCAGGGCTGAGTTTCTTCCCATAGGCTCTAGGGAAGGAAGAATCCGTTTTTTTTTTTTTTCGCTGATTCAGGTGGCAGCATGGAGTTCCATGGGGTTGTGGGACTGAGGCTCCTGTTTCCTTGTTGGCTGTTAGTTGGGGCTGTCCGTAGCTCCCCCACGCCGCTCTCTGGTCCTTGCAGATGGCGCCTACATCTCAGAACCAGTAATAGGGTATTGAATCCTTCTCATGCTGCCATTTTCAGACTCATTCTGTTGCTTTTGGTTGTTGTATCTCTCTGACCCAGCGGGAAAGGTTCTACGTTTTTAAGGGCTCATGGGATTAGACAGGACCACTCAGATAACCAACGATAATCTTCCTATTTTAGGGGCCTTACGCTTAATCCCATCAGCAGAGTCCCTATTGCCATGCAAGGTAACATATTCTCAGGTTCTGGGGATTAGGACATGGATAACTCTGGGGGCCATTATTCTTCCTACCCCACCAACAATACACAATTTTTTATTTCACCAAATCTTAACTTCACCAGATATTATAAACACTTGTGTAATAATTTGATAGACAAAAAGATTTAAATAAGAATTTAAACATGTATTTTTGTTTAGTTGTGAAGATGAACATTTTTTGTGCTTTACACAGTTACTTTTGTTTATGTCTTTCTTGTTGACAGAAGAAACATATCTTTTCTGTCATTTCCCTGCCAGTTCTACTTATTGCTTGGACTTTAATACATTTTTTCTTCTTGAAATCACATTTGCCTCTTTTTTGTTTATTCTTCATTTGCTTCAATCATCCTCAAACAATGTCCCACAAAGGGAGAATGAAAACCAAATTTCCTGAGTTCTTGGAAACTTTATTCTCATATTTGATAGATATTTTGACAGGGTAGATACTTTTAAGTTTAGGAGAATTTTTCTTTAGGAGTTTAATGGTCTTGCTTCATTGGCTCCAAGCATCCATTATTGTTCATGAAAAGCCTGATGCTAGTCTGATTCCTATTTGTAGGTAAACTATTTTTTCCTTCTCTGGAAGGCTTAAGAATCTTTTCTGTATCTTGGGAGACATGAAATTTCACAATGATATTCCTAACAGAGAGTGTGTACTCTGATAGCCCCCCTTCTTTTTCTGATAGATTCTTCTGATATTAACTAATTAATGTAAATGTTTTTATTATGGAAAATTTAAAGCACATGCAAAAGAAGATAAAATAGTGTAATAAACCTACATACATTATGTATCACTCACCCAACCTCGATAATGATCAATTTATTGCCAGTCTTGTTTCATCTCAACCATTTGCTGCCCTTACTAACCCAGTACCTTTTTTTTTTTTTTTTTTTTTTTTTGAGATGGAGTCTCGCTCTGTCACCCAGGCTAGAGTGCAATGGTATGATCTTGGCTCACTGCAACCTCCGCCTCCCAGGTTCAAGCGATTCTCCTGCCTCAGCCTCCTGAGTAGCTGGGATTAGCAATTAATTATTTCAGTTTTAAGAACTCTGGTAATATCTTAATTTCTTCTTCATTATGAAGGATAGTTTTGCTGACATGGAATTCTCAATTGACATTCTTTTTCTTTCAGCACCTTGAATATGTTATACCACTGCCTTCTGACCTCCATGGTATCTGATGAGGAGTCAGTATTTAGTGTTATTGAGGATATCCTTTATCATTTTATCATGCATGGTTTTTTTTTTTTTTTTTTTTTTTTAGGAGTTTCGCTCTTGTTGCCCAAACTGGAGTGGAATGGGGCAATCTTGGCTCTCTACAACCTCCACCTCCCTGGTTCAAGCAATTCTCCTGCCTCAGCCTTCTGAGCAGCTGGGATCATTGTTCTCATGATGCTTTCAAAATTATCTTTTAGTTTTGGGCATTTAATAATTTGACTATAATGGCTCTAGGTTTAGATCTTTTAAATTTATTCTACTTGGAGTTCATTGAGCTTCTTGGATGTGAAGAATAATATTTTTAATTAAATATCAAATTTTCTTGGGCATTATTTTCTTATGCATTCTTCCTGCCCTATTTTCTCTCTTCTTCCAGGACTCCCATTATACATATGTTGGTATGCTTGATGGTATCCCACAGACCACCATTTATAATAGCTTATTTAAGGTCTTGACTAGTAAGTTCGATATCTGGGTTTTCTCAAGGACAGTTTTTTTAACCAGTTTGTTTCTCTTGTGGGAGCCATACTTTCCTTCTTGTAAGCATGTTTCTTTTCTTTTGTTTTTTTTAAACTGGACAATTTGAATGATACATTGTGGCAATCCTGAAAATCAGGTTTTCCCTCTCCTCAGAGCTTGTTGTTGTTGCTGTTTGTATATTTAGTGACTTTTCTTGATTAATTTTGCAGTCTGAACTCTTTGCATGTGCAGCCACTGAAATTTCTGCTATGGTAACTTAGTGGTCAGCTAATGACTGGACAGATTTTCTTAAATATTTTGAACCAAAAATTCTCCACTCTTTGCTGAGGGGTTCTCTGTGTGTTTTGGGGTGCACCTCCAATGCATTGGCCAGAAATTTACAACTGTTTTTTAGTCTTCACTTTCTGCTTGCACAGAGCCTAAAGGTCAGAGGTGAGAGCATAGGTCCTTTTCAGGTCTTTTCTGGACAGACTCATGGACTTGTACATGTTTATGGCCTTCTAGATTACCAAGAATATGTAGGACCTTTTCAAAGTCCTCTATGGCTGTATAAATATCCAGCTTTTTCTTTTAAGTTTTTTGGCCAACTTCTTGCTTGCCCCAACTGGTATTGCTGCCCTAGGCCACTGCAGTTTTAAACCATTGCCACTGATTGTTTTTGACAAACATCTTGGGGATAAGACTTTTTACTAAGTGAGATCTGAATCAGGTTAAATAGAGACAAGCCCTGAGGGGAGACAGGTAAAATAGTAATAATTTTCTGGGGATAGTATTTTAGGGGAGCTCCGAACCTTCTTCCACCTCTCATGGCTGTTAAGTGACTGTTTTTTTTTTTTTTCCCAAGCTATCATGTTTTTGAGGCTGCTGTAGAGCTGGGCAGAAGGGGATGAGAATAGACCAAGTTAAAACTTCATAAAGCTCATTGTTTTTACCTAGTTTCAGCTGTTTTTCTTTAATAAATTCTCCTCAGTTTGTTGCAAGCCTTTAGTTAACATTCAGAGTTCTAAATAAGTTTATTTTGATAATTTCTTCAGTGTTTTTTTTTTGTTTTGTTTTGTGGAGGAATAGATTTTCAGAGGTGCTTACTCCAGCATCCTGGAGGCGCTTCTCCTTTTGGTGACATTTAAATGCAATCTCATGTGGAAGGAGGTAAAAATGCATGTAAATATGATATCTTGAAATGACTAATTTTTAAAAACTGTATTTTCATATTTCTTTTATTCCTGTGAGATACTAGCTACAACACATCTCACACAGGCAAATTATTTTATAGTTATGGTTCAAGGTTTGCAAACATGGAGTGTTAGCTTAAAAAAGAACGCATCTCATGATGTATTTTGAAAAAAAACAAAAGTTAGTGGATGGTCATACACCCATATGCCCTTTTATCAAAGGATGCCATTTAGAAGACACAAATATTTTTCTCTCTTGACAATTTTTTTTTGATCACACACAGGAATTATCATTATAGGGTTTTATTTTTATTGGTGGACAAAACCAAGCATCAAATTTTATGGTTCAGATTAAATAATTATAACCAATGGTTATCTGAGAACCGTGATTCTTTTAACCTTTGTTTATCCTACTTGATTTAGGTGAATGAACCAAAAAGGATTTAATAAGTGATGAAGTTGGACCCAGCACTTTACTGTACCCTTGTAGGAATACAAGAGATGAGGCCCAGAGGCCCCAGTCTTTGCTGTCTTTTAAAAATCTCCTAACATATTCTGTCTTTTCTTATTCCCCATGATCTTCAGAATATTCTCTACAGAAAAAAGCAGTTTAACTTATGAAGAAAAACTCTACCTAGTATTTACAAATCAGCCCTTGACTGAAAGCATAATAAAAATATCAATTTTCAGTTGGCAGACCAAATAAAAGTTCTATTTTTGACATTTTTCCTTATGTTTTTCAAATGTGCAACTAAAATTGTTATGATAGTTTCACATTTCCATAATCCATTTCTTTCTTTTTTTATATTGGATCTGTTTAGGTCCCCAAACCCAGAATACCAATTTTATTTTCATCTGATTCCTCTTTTTTTCAAGAAAACTGCAAATTAAGTCCTTTTATTTTATTCCAAAAACCAGCTTCCTTTCTTTCCTCCATCCCTGGTTTCTCAAATAATTGCTCCTTTGTGAAGAACCGAACAATAGCAAACCACTGGTAATCTGTTACTGGTTTAAGTCCTATATTTAACCAGCAAATTGTTTAATCAGAAACATAATCTGACCTATTGGGTAACCAAGTTTTGTTTAATATATCTGAGAATAATGCGTTCTTGTTTAGCTTTCCATACACAATGGAGGACTTTTAGTATAAAATCGGATGCACCAAAATTATATCATTTGATAACATATGAAAGTGGAAAATTAGAAGTTTAACCAAAATTTGACTTTTATTTTTATCATTCCACAGAGAAATGGTTCCCTTTTCTACTTCTCCCAATTTTTTTTGAAGCTCAGAATTCTTCATTATTGCCAAATGTACATTTTGGATATGCTCATGATTATATAATATTGTGTTTCAGAATTGAATACTTTGTGGGTTCTTTCTAGAGACACTGTCTTTTAAACTAATTCCAAAGTAGAAATAAAAATGCTGAAAATTTGGGATTTTGAGATAGGAGCCCAGTTCAATGCAGTTGCTCCTGGGCAGTCTTCATCCCTTACCTTGGATGGGTCTCCCTTTTATTCTATTAACCCTTTGATAAATCACTTCAGATTTTGAGCAACTTGTTGGGTTCTCTTTACAACATTTTCTATGAAATGGTTGCTCTGCACTGGATTGAGAAATAAGGTACCTGGGTTTTCATCCAACCTAGTTATTAACTAGAGTAACTTGAGGCCAGTCATTTATTTTTGAGCCTGTTTCTTTCTCTATAGAATGGAGCAGAGAGTGTGTATGTGTTGGAAGGGGGAAGGTGTTGGGCTCAATGAGCTTCAAGACTTCTTTAGGCTCTTATTTTCTATTTTTCTGTGGCTCAAAGCAGAAATATTTCTGGCTATTCAATAGAAGCCTTAATTTATCTAGTGCTTTTGACTTTTCCTGATAGTCATCATCTTTCTATATATTTCCACATGTATATTTACGTTTAATATATATGTATACACACATATATGTGTATGTATACATATTCTGTCTTCTATATTCTAGCTAGTTAACATTTATTGAGTGGTTAGTATGAGGCAGATACTATGGTAACAGCTTTATGTTTATAAACTTACGTAATCCTCACAATAATCACCCAGGATATGTATCAGGGAAAAGAGGCACAGAGAGGTTAAATAACTTGCTCAAGATCACCCTGATAGCAAGTAGCTGAACTACGATTAAAACTCAAGTAGCCAGTACCAGAATCGTGTTCTTAATCATTGCACTATACCTTATAATTCTGTGTAAGAATCCTATGTTCCATCTTAATGTAGCTCCAAGCTGCTTTTTATTCTTTGCCTTTCACTGTAAAATTGTATAAACTATTATTTCTCACTCACTGTTTCTCCATTCCTTCACACGCTAATTTCTCAACACCTTACAAACTGGCTGCTCTTTCTCATTATCAAGGATCGTAGCACCTAATTCAGCATCTCTCTCTTCCACATCCTTTTGTTATAGTCTCTGACTACAAGTAGATACTTGATTCTCCTTTTTGCTCTACTTATCAACACTAAATGCCTTCGTCTCTTCTTTACTTCAGTTGTACACAGGTACCAGTGTTTGGGACCTTGTCACCATTTGTTTTGTTTCTACAACATGGTCTGCACTTTCTGGCCTTGACATCTTTGCTGACTTGGTTCTCTTTACCTGGAATTCCAAGTTGTATTTGTTCTTCAAGACCTGGCAAAATGTGATTTTCTCTATGAATGGATGGATCTCACTTTGTGATCCATCCAACAAGAAGTCCTCTTTTCTTCCTCTAAAATCCCATAACACTTGATCTAAATCTCACTGATGGCATCAAATTTTTTGTTTTTTTATTTTTTACCATGTATTATAGTTATTCTAGCATGGGTTGAAACTACTACTATGGGCTGTAGATTCTGGGGATACAAAGTGAAGACATAATTCCAACTTTCAAGAAGTTTTGAGGCTGGTGGAAGAGATATTTATTTAAATATTCAACAGGGAGAGGAGGAAGAAGGGGTGAAAGGGCCATGCCAGCTAGGGGTCCTGCAACTGACAGTGTACTGCAAATGTGACTCTTCAGGGGCTTTGCTGGAGAGACTGATGGGTTCTGGGGAGTTATCATCCTCTGCAACTGCACAGAGGATCTTTATTTTCTTTCTCTGGGAAATTTCTGGCAGAGGCACTTGAGGCCTGCTGTAATCATTTAGGAGTGTAACTGTTAGTAGTTTCTGGGTGACAGCAGATAATGATTGAGAGGGTATCAAGATACTCTGATGAAAGTAGATCTGGGTAGGGTTGAAGGAAATTGTAGATGGGAGTCTGGAGTAAGCAGAAGACCATTAAAGTTAGGTTAGTTAGTTAGGTTAGCTAAGCATACATTTAAGAAAAATAATTCTAATTATAATGGTAATAAGGCTAATATTAATGGAAGATTTACTATCTTCAGCACTATCCTAAACTCTCCAAGTATATTAACTCATTTATACCTTTCAACATTTCCACAGGTTAAATACTATTAATATCCCTATTTTACAGATGAGAAAACTGAAATACAGAAAATTTAGGTCATGGATGGAAGGGCTTCCTTTTTAGTTACGTTGTATGGGATTCTAGAAAGAAAACTTATTTTGTTGGTTGTGAGAATGTGGAGAAATCTTGCCCAGAATCTCATGGTCAATAAGTAGCAGAACATGGATTAAAGTCCTGTAATTCTGACTTTTTTTTTTTTTTTTTTTTTTTGAGACAGTCTCGCTTTGTCGCCCAGGCTGGAGTGCAGTGGCATGATTTTGGCTCACTGCAACCTCCACCTCCCGGGTTCAAGTGATTCTCCTGCCTCAGCCTCCCTAGTAGCTGGGATTACAGGTGCCCGCCACCACATCCAGCTAATTTTTGTATTTTTAGTAGAGACGGGGTTTCACCATGTTGGCCAGGCTGGTCTCGAACTCCTAACCTCAGGTGATCCACCCACCTTGGCCTCCCAAATGCTGGGATTACAGGCGTGAATCACTTCTCCAAGCCTGTAATTCTGACTTCTTATCCTACTGTCATACTGTTCACTTCCCTAATTCGTGAGTTCTTGCTGATGGTGAAGTAAGGAGATTTCCCAGTGTAACACAGCCACCAGCTTTTATTCCTCCCTGGTCAGGATGCATTGGCAGGTAGAACAGCTGGGTGGAGTTTTGGGAGGCAGAGAAGGGAAAGACAAGCAGGATCCAGAGACACAGGATACCCTGAGCCCTCTCAGGAAAGTATTAGGACCAGACTGGCCCTTAGTTTGGGTTCTTCCATCCCTGGGAGTCTCAGTTACTGGCATAAGGTTGGCCCTCCCTGATCACTGCTGGAATTTTAGGCCACACGAGCACCATGTTTCTCCTCCAGCCATCATGTCTCACCCTCCAGTGGCAGAGGTAGATCAGGGTGAATGATGTCTGGAACTCTCCATTCCTCAATGTAAAAATCATATTCTCTCTACCCATGGAGGAATAACTTTTTTGGAGGACAAGGATCAAAGCTCATTGCTACCCTACCCTTAGTCTGGGCTGGGAATTTTTTGAAGGATGGATGCCGTGTTGCCTGTCAAGACCCAAAGTCCCTATCCCCTCTACATCCTGATGTCCCACTGTTTCCATCCTGCCACTTACATGCCTCCACTTCATCCTTTAGCAATTTATCTTTCTCTACTGTGAGATTTAGACACCTCCTGCTGCATTAGCTACAGTTCCTTCAGCTTATTGGAGTAAGAACTGCTGAAAGAGCTGGGCACCCATGGTCCACTGCATTTCCCCACTTGGTTCTTTTTATTCTTCCTCCCACAATGGCCCTGAGAACTCAACGAGCTTTTGTGTTCATATTTCCCCAGTCGACTCCTAAAGGTGACTTCCAGGGCAGGCAAGGGATATTCTCTCTAGTCTCCTTCTGTCTTCTTTGTTTAGGACGCTGACATTTCCAGCCTTCTCAGGTAGGTTTTATCTCAGGTATTCATTCATTCATTCCACATTTAACAAATATTTTATAAATCCCTACTATATGCTAAGAACAGTTGTAGACACTTGGAGATATGCTAGTAAACAATATAATAGTGCTTACCTTCTAGGGGGTATAAATAAATAAACTATATAGTTTTTTTTTCTTTGAGACAGGATCTTGCTCTGTTGCCTAGGCTGGAGTGCAGTGGTGTGATCATAGCTCATTGCAGCCTCAAACTTCTGGGCTAAAGCGACCCTCCTCCCTTCACCTCCTGAATAGCTAGGACTATAAGCATGTTCCCCCATGTGGCCTTTTTTTTTTTTTTTTTTTTGATAGAGACAAAGTCTGTGTTGCCCAGGCTGGTCTCAAACTCCTGGCCTCAAGGTATCCTCCCACCTCAGCCTTCCAAAGTGTTGGGATTATTGGCGTGAGCCACCATGCCTGGCCTGCAGTGTGTTAATAAGCTCTAACATGAAACAAAAGATGAGAAAGGGGGATAGAAAATGGTAATGGAGATAAAATACTAGAAAGGGACACCAGATTTCACTGGTAAGGTCCTTTAGGAAGGAAGGGAACAATGTAGGTGGCTACATGGGGAAGAGTAGCCCATGTAGAGGGGGCAGCAAGTGCCAAGGCCCTGGGGTTGGTTGTCCGATCTGAGGAGGTGTATTGGCATAATCTGATTAGTAGGAGCAGGTTGGAGCTGCCTGAATAGGGCTATAGTTTAGAAATACCCTGTAGAGAGGAAGTGGTGCCTGGTATACTGTACCAGGTACGGCAACTGAAAGAAGATTTAGTTGGCATTGCAAAGCCTGGAATCTAAGGAGAGAGGACACATATAGGTGGCAATCTGTGCCAGAGGTCAGTAATGGGTGGAGAGAATGTATTTAATGAGTGGATAGCAAGAGTGGTGGGAATTTGCCTATTGTCGGCTCTAAATATTCTATGCTGTGCTCTGTGATGTCAGATCTGAGGCTCTGCAAACTGCAGTCAGAGATTCCTTTACCAATAGGCTTCCTCTTAGGTTCTGTCAAGAGGAGGCAGAAGATGAAGACTGAAAGTCAGGAGGAGGAGAGAAGAGAGTAATTTTCTATTTCTTGATATCAATGTCATTGCTCCAGAAGTGGCACTTTGCCCCAGCAGTGGCATTTCATATCACTGTGGCAGTTTATTATGGCTTCCAGCTTCTTTCCGCATTCCCAGAACCAGCCTCAACTTCCTTCCTCAATGGTACCAGCACCGTTCAATGTTATGAACCATCTCAAAGGTCAGAGCCCTAGCTTCACGGTGCCCACTTCTTCTAGTGCCTAAGTTCTGATAGCCCCAACCCTCACCTTTTCATCCCCCAGCCTTGGGATGGTAATTGCTTTCTGCTTTATGCAGTTATTAAATTTCCGCTCAGTCAGCTCTCCAACACCTGTGTGATCAATCAATTCCTTATTAAATCCATGCTCTTGAAATACCTAATATGGTGTCTACTTTCCTGACCGGATCTTGACTCTGTCTACTTGTTGACCAAGTACTTGCCTGGATTTCTGAGTAATACCTCCCTGTGGATTCCGTGCTCTGGGCTCTACTCCTACATCAAAGAGTTACTGGGAATGCCAACATGCGTCTCTGAGTGGTTTCCTTGTCTGTCATAATTGGAATAACAATACCCATCTTCTATTCTGGTAGCAGTGTTAGTTAATTTACTAGAAAAGGCACCTGTACAGAGACCTGAAAAGGGCATGACTTCAAATCACAGAAGCCTGTTTGATGCAGTTTAAGCAGCAAATGGGAACACAGTATATGGACACTAGTGTCATATGGAATCCAAGAGCAGGAAGAGCATCTCGACCTTGGGAAGAGCTTGCAACTGAGAACTCGAAAACTGCCAGGAGTCTAACTTGCCTTTGCTTTTTTCTGCACATTGACTTCATTCTTTTTTCCCTGCTGGCCAGGTCTATAGGGGAGGGAGCAGTACCAAGGTCACTGTAGACTGAGAAGACCTACAAACACCTACTCTCCTGGGCCTCAGTAATGCCAATGAAACTTGGAATTGGGGTCCAGATGAGATGTAGGTCTTTAATCCCAAATGGACTAGCTGCTACTGAACAGATCCCCCTATCTCAGGCTTAGATTGATTCTAAGGAGGTGGGGAGGGATGAGACTGAGTCTGCAGATGAGGATCCAGGGGTCTCGGTTGCAGGAAGTGAGAGAGATGCAGACTCAGGACCCATCTCTCCATTCACTTCTGCCAGTTCTCTCAAGTGTATTCCAGATTTCTCGTGAAAAAGAAAAAAATTCTACCTCCAATCTTCATTCTGTTGAAGAAACTGGGGCTCCCCATGGGCTAAGCAAAGAATGAAAGATTTCAGGGCTTGATCTGTGTTCTCAGAGATTACTGACATCCCATAGGGTGATCTTGTCTAGATTCCATCCCCCTCAAACCACTCCCCTGACCCCTGATTGGTTTTGGGGTGCTTTGCCTATTTATTTTTTCTATTTGTTTTATTCACCTCAAATCTCTTAAATGTTTAAAATGAAAACAGTTTATGCACCTGTGTTCTTCTCTGGGACATGGAGGACCTTAAAGAACACAGATTCCATCCATAAGATAAACATCTGAGCCTTCCCAGAAACAGACAAGGATTACAGAGAATCAGAATCTGGTCTTTATCTCGAAAGGCAATTTGAGTGCTGCTGGACATTGCAAACTGGAATTGTACATGGAAAAATAACATTGGTGCTATAAATTCCTTTCTGCTTTGAAATATGTTGTGTGTTAGAAACAGAGAGGTAATGTTTATGGTGTAACTCAGAATACTGGGATAGAGTTATGCATTAAGAGTGGGACGATAGGACATTATGCAAACAGAGTCCCTAAAGAGAGATGTTTTAGTGGGTAAAATAATTTTTAAGAATTATTTAGATACTCCCTACCAATAAGTACTCACAGATATTAACCTCCCAGACTTCCACTGTCCTCCAGAGATCGATGGGAAAAGAGGAATGAATCACTAAAAATAAAGCTCAATAACTAAAAGAGCTTTATCCTCCAAACTTCTTGGATCAGTACAGTCAGTGGGGACTATGTTGATTCTCTCATGGATGCTGGAGAGACTCCAGCCTGGAAGCAAGGCAGCTGAGAGTCTTTAAGTTTCATAAGAAGGGTTACTATTAAGTATAAGATGATTCCTGAAAACTGGGCCTGAGCATGGAAAAGTAACACTGCTTCTCCAAGTTCACTCTGCTTGGACACAGGGGTGCAAGAGGTGCTGGGAGATGGTTCAGCTAGCCGAGGGTTGTTTCCACAGAGTACAGACAAGGATAGGGTTCAAATGGCAGTGGGGAGATTCAGGATACATAAAGCAGAACTTTTGACACTGAGTGTTGATAAACACTGAGGACTGTCGAGAGATCCTGTTTTCTGGAGATGCTTAAAAGAAGGTTGCTATCTTATCTGACAGGGATGGTTTAGGGTGCCGGACTGTAGCCTGGAGAAGGGTTTATATCCTTGATCATTATATAAAATAAGTCATTTAAAAAACTTTTTGTAGCCTCACTCTCTTCAAGGAAGCTAAAGCTGAGTTACAATTCTGAGATTTCTGTGTCTATTTCTTCACCTCTCATCTTAGAATTTCTGCCGAGGCAAGTAATTGCTATTCTTTCTCTACAATGAAAAAGAAAATGAAAGAACAGCAAAGCAGGCAGGGAGACCAGATAACCTCGTGCTCCAGAATTGAGTGTAAATTAAGAGTCTAGAGGCTCTGAGGTTTGTTATTGATGCCAAATGGGCAGGAGGAGCACTGAGAATCACAAGAACTGGATTCAAACTCAGATTCTGTTACTTAACAGCAAAAAACCTCAACTAAGTTACCAAGTCCCTGAGCTTCATTTTCCTTCCCTTGAAGTGAGGATATTAATATCTGCACTGAGTACATATTGGGGCTGTCTGAGGATCAGATGAAGTCATGTCTGTGAAAGCACTCCTTGAACTGTGAAATATTGTATGTGGCATTGTTAGAAACAGACAAATAAGAATCTTATTTTGGCCATTAACCTTAACTTTCTCTTAACTTTTCCGTTCATCCGTGGGAGAGTCACCAGATGGACTGATTTGAATTTTCCTTTTTTGATTTCTCATCTCTCTCTCTGGTGGACGTGCTAAGGGGTAGGAACATAATCATTGATGGGCTTCAGGAGGGCAAAGGATGGGGAAAAAAAGGACATCGATGATTTTCCATATGGATAACAAGACTTCAAACTCTGAAAAACTAAGAATTAACTATTTCCTAACTGCTCTGAAATTTTTCCTGTACACTACAGAAACACACAGCATATTATTGTCACACAGACACACATTTTGTTGTCACACATACACACACGTGTTCTAGCTCTGGCAGGTATGATCTTGGGCAAATTAACTTCTCTGTGCATTGGTTTTCTCATATGGCCATTGGGAAAATAATAGTACCCATCCCATAAAATTCTTGTGAGTGTTAAATGAAATAATAAATGTGGAATTCTTATAACAGTGTCTGGTATACAGTGTCAGAAGTTTTATATGTCAAAAGTTCTGCTTTATATATCCTGAATCTCCCCTCCTGCTAATTGTACTCAATAAATTATTATTTCTGGATCTTATTTGATCTTCACAACCCTGTGAATTTTCAGTTCATATTGTCCCCCATTTTACAATTAGAAACGTGAATGACTTGTTCAAGGTGACTCTGCCCCCTAGGGGTTTGTAATTGGATCACTTTCCATGAAAGTGTCCAACAGGAGAACAGCACCTAGTAGTGTGCAGGGTTAGGACCCAGAAGATAAAGTGAACACTCTCTTAGAGTTAAAATTATCTTTGAAAGACCTTTAAATCACTTACAGTATACATACTTCTGTGGATATGACTTCATAGGATAATTCTTAAGGACACTAAAATTCGAGAATCGTGGGGTAAATTCAGGAAGACACTAAAAGCAAGTCTATATGCAGCTGTCTGAACATTCAGACTATTTTGCTTTTTAGAAAACTAAGGTGTTTCTATTGTCTACAAGAGTTCCTCCACACTGATTTTTAAAGACTATTAAGCCTTTATGCCTTAATATATGTCAATGGATTTGTCTATTATGGATAGAACAACCAGGAACAGGGAGTCTTAAGAATTAGGTTCTAAAATTGGAGGCCGGGCGCGGTGGCTCATGCTTGTAATCCTAGCACTGTGGGAGGCTGAGGCGGGTGGATCACTTGAGGTCAGCGGTTTGAGAGCAGCCTGGCCAGCATGGTGAAACACCGTCTCTACTAAAAATACAAAAATTTGCTGGGCGTGGTGGTGTGCACCTGTAATCCCAGCTACTCAGGAGGCTGAGGCAGGAGAATCTCTTGAACCTGGGAGGCAGAGGTTGCTGTGAGCCAAGAACGTGCCATTGCACTCCAGCCTGGGCGACAAGAGCGAAACTGTCTCAAAAATAAATAAATAAATAAATAAAAATAAAAGAAAAAAGAAAAAGAATTAGGTTCTAAAATTGGTGCTTAAGTTAAATGTGTGCAGAATATAACTCCAAAGTACACAATATTCTCTGCTTTTGTGTTAGTAAGGCATAATTTCTTTAAAATCCAGGGATTGCCATGCTTGTCTAATTATTGGTGTAACAGACAATTTTGGGGTGTCTTCTAATGTATGACATCCCTTTTCTGAGAATTGATTCATGTATGCGTATGAGCTCTTGGAGCCATATTCATATTATATGATCCATTGCCCTCTACAGTTTAGAGATAGAGGATGCACATAAGAAACACATTTGACCAGTAAAATTCTCCATCCCAGCATTCTAGAACTGGACTCCCATAATATCTGTCATTCTCTCATGATCGTTTGAAGCAAGGAGAGATAAATTTGAGAACTAAGGCACTGTTACAGGCGCCTGCTATAACCAGCTATAATATTATGCGAAAATAAGCAGAAAAGGCTGGTTTACTGAAAGAGAATGGGCTAAAGCAAAATGAGCAGCGGTAAGCAGAGGAGAGAGACAAGAAATGAATGAGAGAGAGAAGAAATAAGAGAATGAGAGGAGAAGAAAAGAGGAGAGGAAAGAAGAGAAGAGAGGAGGAAAGGAGAAGAGAAGACAGGACAGGACAGGAGAGAAGAAAAACCTGTTGACTAAGTTACTGGTGGTGGCTAATTTGTGGCTTAAATTCCTTGTGAAGTTAAATGTACCACATGGGTTTGGTTTGTGTGAATATCCATGTATCCTTTTAAGGTATGTGTGTGTTTCTCAAACTAAGTTAAGTTAATTCATTTTACTTTCATCCTTCATTTTATGTCCTGAGGCATCACAAAAGCATCCAGCTCATAGCTATTTAGAGACAGAAATATTATAGTTATTTCAATGCTCAACTTTTGTATTTACTTGAACCTTGGTTTGTAGACTAGAAAAGGTCTTGAAAAGTCATCTTGCACATCTTACTTCTAATTAACACTGCATCTTGACCATTCCGGATAGATCTGTCCTATTTTTGTAAAATCCCAGTAATGGAATTCTATATTGTTTTTCAGTCATTTGTTTTCAGTGTAAAACAGTCCTCATAACAAAAATACATTACTTCCTATGGAACAGAAATAATTCTGAATGCAGTGACTCACATTTCCCAAGCCAGACCAACCAGGGGGTAAAATCTGTTCACAGAAGAGTAATAAAATGGTATTTCTCCACATCTGTTCCTGCAATATTAGGAATTCCAGTCTTACTCAAAACTCTACCAAATAGCTCTGAGAGTTCCCAGGACATTTCTTCTGTGTGTTCCATGGGTTAGTCCCGTCAGCTTTGAAGTTAGCATTTGCCATTTTCTTACTTTCCAGCTCTGGCTTCCTACAGCAGTGGCTGGTGTCAAGGCTGAACACTGGTTGTCACTCAATCAGAGTTGTCTCTGAAAACTGAGGCTTCAATCTAATGAATCCTCCTCATGCTTTAAATATCCCTGAAGTATTTTAGTAAAATATCACTTTCAGCTTTTCCTTGCTCTTTTCTTTGTAGAACCTTCTTCCTAGAGTTCAAGATTAGACCCCAGCTTTGGCTGAGAATAGCCTGAGTGATGGAGATGGTGTTTTGAGTGATTGATAGACATGCTATTTTCCTTTGAGCTACTCCTTACTGTTGACGTAGCTTAGTTTTTCTTGGGACTTTTATCCCTTGGTCCTTTCTGTGTTCAGTGAGTTCTTCCCCAGAAGTGTCCTGGTCTATATACAAATAGACTCTTGACTGCCTAGTCCGCCTCAGACAAACCCAGGTGTGTCTGGGTTTTGCAGTCTACATCACTGGCTCAGTCCTGGCTCAATTAAGACTACAACTTGAGTTCTAATTATACATACACAGAGAAAAAACAATCTCACCTATGGAGTAGAACCACCTTAAAATGAAAAAGGAAAACACATACCTATATGTACAGGCCCTGTCCTTTATCAGGCTCAGTCTGGTTTTATGAAGTTGTTACTGTTTTCCACATTTGACCTATAGTATCACCAAATCTGTGAAATCACAGATTGTATTTTTGGTACATTCTTTATAGTAATGCCAAAGAGGTGAACTACTACAGGCATGGACATTTGAGGAGGATTTCTAGTTGTCTCTGGCAAGCACCCAGTAAAGTGCCTGATAAGAGCCCAACACATATTTATTGAGTTGAGCTGCATGTCTGGCCTGAGTCACCCTCAGGCCTGACTTCAGATGCTGTAAGTTATTTGAAGAGTCTTCTTAATAAGTTGATCTCTGCAGTGTCTTTTCTCTTCATAAACTAACCCTAGTTCTAGTTTTTTCTCTAAGGTCTTGCTTGCTGCCTTTAATCATTTCCATGGCTGCCCTCTGAACCATTCCCATGTTCTCCGTGTCCTTTTCTGTAACAGCTGTGAGGCACAGATGTTAACGGCTGCTTTCTGACCCTCAGACTGGTGCTGAGCTTATGAGACTTTTAGGGACTTAACACTGACTCAACACTAGCTCTCAGTTTCATGGCCACCCTCATTGTGTGTGTGTGTGTGTGTGTGTGTGTGTGTGTGTGTGTGTGTGCGCTTTTCCATTCCCCTTATGAAACATCTCCTGCCCCTAACTTACTATGGGAACGTTCCTCCATGATCTCTTTCCATCCTCCCTTTCCTGTTTGCTCACTTCTTTTCTTGCTCATCTTGGAGACTGTGCAATCCCAGATTAACTACAAACAGAGAAGAGCTGGTGATAGCTCCAGAGCTCAGAGAAAGGAGGTCTCTTTACAAGAAGTCTGGCTCTCAAAGGTAAGCTCGGTCTTCTTGACCTGCCTTTTGCCATCTACCTCTCTCTTTGGATCTCCTGCCCCTGGGTCCCTGCTTGCCCTGCATTCTCCATACTCACGGAGAATCAGGACCTCCAGAACAGCCCAGCGTGGGCTTGGTCAGGAATGATCCAGGCTCTGAAGGGTTAAGGCTGGAGCCTGGATGGATGGAGAGGGTTATTAGTTATCGTTTGGAGAGTGGAGTGAAGGCTCCTCCCCTGTTGCCTACCCGCCCCTTTCACATGATCTCTGACTATAGCTGTGGAAGCGGGGAGAAGATAAAGGAGGGAAAAAAAAGTTCACAAAATAATTTAGAAAGTCCTTATAAATGCTTGTGTTTTCATTTAGCAGCATGAATCCAGGACAGCAACAGACCCTCAGAGGCAGCAGCCAACTGGGAATTGAGTGGAAAAAAATAGGAATCCTGGATTCTGGCAGTTTCCAGTTGTTTTCTTGGTGGGGGGAGCCGTGGTGGGAAGGGATTAAATCAAATCTTTCGGGGGAGAGCTCAGCTCTAGGCTTTCATGGTCAAAATACTAAAGGTCAGCTCCGCGTGTGTGCCCCAACTGTCCTGGAAGCTTCAATTGGAAAACTCCAAACTTTAAGTTTTGCTTATAGCTTCAGCTCAAGTAAGAAAAATGAGGTGTGGGGTAGGCGGCGGGGGGGTGGGGATCACAGGAAGGGGATCAAGTCTTAGATGGAGGGGAAGGAAGTGGAGATGGATATGGGTGGGAATAAGGCAGAAGGGAGCGGTGTCTTTAAGTCTGTCCTATGGTTATACATATTTTTTCTTCTATGAATGGGTTTTGCTGTAAATTATAGCTTTGCCCATAGTCCCTTGGGTCAAAAGAAATAGTCTCCAAACAGAAAACAGCTCTGATTGGTGACTTTCCTTCTTCCCTCCCCAACCCCCTTCCTAATTGAAACCAAATGTGCAATATATTGGATGCTGGGATCCCTGGCGCTTTCCCAGGAATCCTCAGAATGTGAGGTTTCTCTCAAAGGCATCTTGCATCAGCCTGTGGATGTATGCCTACCACCGGGCTCCTTCACCAGCAAAGTGGAAAAAGAAGCGTTTCACAACAAATTCTTCTTTTTGGGTTGGGGAAACGCAGTGGATTATAGCTCTGTTTTCTTCTTTCCAAAACTGTGCACCCCTGGATGAAAGTAAGTTATGTGGGTCTTTTTTCTTTATTATTTTTTCTTTTTTGAAAATGAAAGCTCCGCATATACTTCTTTTGGTGTTTCAGGAAAAGTTTTAAAAAGGAAACAGAAGGGCGTTTTAAGTCAGACAAGGAAGGGAACGTAATGAGGCACCACAGACTCGAGAAATCAGATCCCATGTTTTTGGGGGTCTGGATTTATGCTATGAAGGGAAGAATAAAGAGCAGTAATAACCAAAGAAGCCTGAAGCAAAATAAATGAATCTATAGCAGCTGCAAGATACAATAAACAGTGTTAGCAGAGTTGAAATTGTTGGCAGGCAAGACAGGCCGATTGCAGAGTTAGTTTCAGGATGAAGAAGGCAGAGCAGGAGAGCTAAGTTTTTAGACATTTAGTAGTGGTGTTAGAAGGTCCTGAGTTTTGGAGATAGTGTAGACCAAGCACTTTTTGTTTTTCAGGGGAGTTGCTGATTTACTTGTGAGAAGGGTAACTTTGGATGAGGGGTGGCTTCCCCCTGAGATTTGGGGTGGCTAGGGGGAGGCTGGGTGCATGGAAGATTTTTCAGTTGTGACAGTGAAATACAGCTTCCCAGACTCATCTCCTCGCTGGCTCTGGGTGCCTTTCCCTTTGTTATGGAATGACTGGGGCTGTTTTCATTTGGGACCTCTGAGTCCTGGCCTAGGTTCAAGAGTCCCATCCAAAGGGAAAGAGAACTGTTCCCAGTGGCTGAAACTCTCAGACCAGCCATTTGAGGCAAGAGTTCGTACTGTTCAAGCCAGTAGGGGGTTCAGCACCATTTTGCCGATCATTGGCTTCCTACAACACAGAGTTAAGAGTCCTGAAAAGGGCCTTAGGCCTCTCATCTAACCCCTTCGCTCCACAGATGTAAAAAATGATAGGAAGGGGACCGACCTGTTCAAGTCCCACAGCACATCTGTAGTGGAGCTGAAAATGAAATTGAGATTCTCTCTACTGCTAGTCCAGTGTTCTTTCCACTCCATACCTCTGCTTTCATTTCCTTTTTAAGGCTTATTCTGGCTGAGACAATAGAGGCAGTATGATGAGCAAGTCACCACAAGGACGTTAATTATCAGTAATAGAGAGGACGCCAATGGCGGCTCATCAGCTAATGATGTCTATGGTTATATTTGTGTGTGTGTGTAAAATAAAAAGAAGCTAAATTCTGAGTATTTTCTATGCAGCAGGCTCAAAATAATACATAATTCATGCTCAGAGCTCTTCATACATAATTTGATTGACTCTCACAGCTATGTAAGGCATTATTTCTATCGTACATGTAAGGACATTAACGCTTAGAGAAGCGAAATGAGTTGCTCAAGGAAAGGTAGCTAATACATTTGAAACTCATGTATATCTGACTCTAAAACCTATGCTTGGAATCACTATTCAATGATACTCCCCTCATCTCCCTTGCATTTGGTTACTTTTGGGGTCAAATTCCATATTTCACTGGCTGATCAGGAGGTGAAGGTGTCAGGCTATGGGAGCAGTATGGATTCTCTCTCAGAGGCCACTTCTGCACTTGGCTGAACATTTGTCTGGATATCAGATGTGGGGTTGATTTCTGGGTCTTTGGTATATACTTACCTTTGTTATGCAAAGAGCCTGGGACTTAGAGTCAGAAGATTCAGGATAAGTTCTGGCTCTACCTTTTACTACTTAGCAAAGTTGCTTTGCCTTTCTGCACCTTGACTTCTGTATTTATTATATGGGAACAATTGCAGTACCTTTCAGTGTGATTGCTGCAAGAGGTATTGGACATGCATGCATGCTGAAGGCTATCAAGGGCTTACCCATATCAGCTCTTTCGATTAGGATCGGTAAACACAGAACGTCATATGAGGCAGCCCCTGTGGTGCTGGGTCTGGCAGTTGGTGCTGATGCTGGCAGGAGGGCAGATGGATTTGGATGTGTGTGAAACTCTGAAATGGGTGGCCTCAGTCTTAGTGCCCATCTCCTTTGAATGGAAGCAGGCCTTCCTCCCTCCCGGGGGAATATTCCTGAGGGCTCTGTCTTAAATTCTGTCTCTTAAATTCTCCTCCACTGGCCTGGTTTGATATGATTCCTTGCCCAAAGCAGTGCAGGCTGAAGGACACTGTGCTTGGTGAAGCATCCCCTGTCTCTGAAAAGGAAGTGTTTAGTCAGGACCAGTCCCCTGATTGCTCCTCAGACAAGACTGACATTTGAGGAGCTTCGTATCTAGCTGAGGGCAGATCCTTGACCCAGGACCTTCTTGTCACTGGCAGGCACATCTCCCTTCATCCTTTCCCTGGCATTCCCTATTCTGTGCCTGCAGTCAGAAGGGAGGCTGCTGCTCCTGGGGTGGGGGTGGAGAGCCAGCCTGCAGTGGGGAGGCCTCAGCCTCTGTTTCTGGGTAAGATCCATTTGCTTTAGAAACCTTAAATGTAAGGGAAGTGGGTAAGGTGTTTCCGGAATGCCTTTCACTTAGATTCCTCAACAGAGTCTCCATGTCCAAGCACAGGACCTTATCACCTGCTTATTCTCCCCTAGCCACTCTGTGAACTCGCACTTTTCTTTCCTTCTTGTATAATTGCTCCCCAGTCTTGAAGTCATCTGAATTCTCTATCACACACAGTGAATTTACTTCAAACCTTTCCATGTATTTGCATTTTTAATAGACACATGAAAAAATTGGAGCGGCCACCCCCCATACATTCATGTCACACCATTTTCAATTCGCATGAGCTCTCAGATATCCTTCCCAAGCTCCCTTACAAGATCTGCTTTCAGGCACTTCACATCACCCTCACCTCAAACACACAATCCAAACACATGTCTCGCAGGCATCCAAAAAGCAAACACACGTCTAAAAGTGGACCTCCACAGACATGCTAACATTCTTGTGCCAGCTCACATAAATGGTGACCTGTCCGCAACACAGACACACTGGACTCTTTATACCTCTTGCCCTGTTTGAAGCTGTGCAACATATGAATTGATCGACTCTGTCCCAACAATGACTAGTCAGTCCAGAAATGTGTCCAGCATCCCCAGGCATCCCAGGGCTTCTCTGAATGCAGCAACCATCCATAATGAGGACTGTTCACCAGGAAATTAGAAACCCCAGGTAGACCTTAAAAGATTTTCAGACCAATCAAATCAGAATATCTGAGGTTGGAGATTGGGAATCAGTACTTTGAACTGCTCCCCAGGTGATTCTGATGTGAAACAGAATTAAGTACCTCTGCTGATAAATCTCCAACTGTGTTGTCTTTGGCAATTCAATTTTATTCCATTTGATTTAGTTCTATTCATCAAAGATTTAGTAACACTGTGCTAATAACATAGTTTAGTAAAGAAGCTGAGATGTCCAGATACCTGTCAAGGATATTTATTGGAACATCAATCACCTCGTGTCTAAAGTGATGATCTCTGTAAATTTTTCTCTCTTTTAATTATATTTGTATATGTTTAAATGTGCTATTATTAAGCCTGCATTATTCATGTACGATTTGGCTAAAAATGGTTCTCTTATTTTCTAATTGTTTTGCATAGATATATTTGATGTTTCCTAATTTTATAAACCCCAGCATTTGGCAAATTGTGTACTTATTAGCTGGAATCTTACTTTGGCTTTGAAATGCTGAAGAAGGTCAGTTTTGAGCCAGCCCAAGAGTTGCTAAGGCCTGGAAGGGCAATGCAAAGGTAGAGGAATTCTAAACATGGGTTTGGACTCACTACACAGCTCCTGAGTTTAGCTGGGCTTCTCCTGGAAATTGGATATTGTCTGTAATGGATCCACTCATTAAGTCGTCTGTGGCTTGTGATTTGTGCCTAAAAGAACCCCACAAAAATCTGTGAGGGGCCCTTTGGATCTATAGCTCCGAGGTTAGTGCTGGCTGGTGCTCTGTAGTGTGAGTGAGAGGGAGAGGGCATGTGATAAATAGAACTTCAGATGCGTGATGTAGTGAAAAGAACATGTAGTGAGGCTCTAGTCCCACCACCATCATTTTCTAGGGTTTCGACCTCAGAGGAGTTTTTTAACTTCATTGGTCCTCAATTTCCCCTTGAGTTTTTATCCCCTTCATTTGAGTTTAGATAAGATAATGTATAGGAAACTGGAAAGCACTGTACCTGTGAAGATGGTAGGTAATGCAAGATAATCCTTAGGGCCTTAATAGCTTAGGTAGCCAAAATAATTGAGATGGGAGATGGATTAAAAATGAGGGCAAATAATCTAGCATTTTTGCATTTTTTCCTTTTAAAATTTGAATGCTCTTATGAATCCAAAAAAACATGAAACAATACAAATCTCAGTGAACTCTCATGTCTAAGATAGTTTTCCACTGATTTTATTTTTCTCTTGAATAGTGGTGATTTAAAAAAAAATCGCAGGTATATTTTTTATCTATTAAAAATATCATAGCATCCTGGTAAACTCTGTCATAATTTTGTTTTGCTGTATTTATTTATTTACTCCTCAGTAAGTAGTTATTGGATGCCTAGTCTCTGCTGGACACTGTTCTATGTTTTATGATGAACAAACCCCATGAAGTTACAAGCATTTATAAGCATTCATTGCTTTAGGTTCTAGGGAGTATAATATGAATTTGACTGTGTGAAACTTGATTTAGAAAATTGGTATCCACATTGGGTTAATAAAATTTAGTTTTTAAAGTTTACTGAACTGTAATTTAAAAATAATACAGAAATAGTTATTAAATGGTGATTTTCAGTGGAGCAGGTGTTATGCCATAAATAGGACCCCAAATTTTATATTTTTTATAATTTTTAAAAATTATAGAGCAACTTTAGCTTTACAGAAAAACTGAGAACAAAATGCAGAGTTCTCATGAATTCCTTCTACCCTTTGCACAATTTCTCTATTATTACAACCTTGTATTAGTATTATGTTTTATTTGCTATCAGTTACTCAATGTGTATTTATTAAACATAACAAAATAATAAATAAATTTATTATTTATGCCCTATTTGTTATTATGAAAAGAATACATCATATTGCTGCCTCTCAAGCTGTTTATAATGTTATGTAGCTACAGTTTGAGGTTTCTCATTTATTAGAAAAATTTTTTTTCTGTGCACTTAGTGCATGCCTTATTCAGTGCTAGGGCTTAACACATTATCTGGACATAGTAGACATTTAATAAAATATCTGCTGAGTATACAGACAAATGAAATGAAGGATCCAGAAGTAAAAGACGCAATTCTTGTCCTTAGGAACTTAGGAAACAACAGACACACATAGCAGTGACTGGAGAAAATTTCAGAAATACATAAAATATGATTAAATCTCTGATAAAGGAGACATTGGTATAGGCAAATGAGGCATAAAGCCATTAACAAGAGCCCCATCCTCTTTTTCCTCCTTTTTGGGACTGTACTTTTTTTTAATTTTTTTTATTTGTTTGAGACGGAGTCTCACTCTGTCACCCAGGCTGGAGTGCAATGGTGCGATCTTGGCTCACTGCACCCTCTGCCTCCTGGGTTCAAGTGATTCTCCTGCCTCAGCCTCCTGAGTAGCTGGGATTACAGACACCCGCCACCAAGCCCAGCAAATTTTTGTATTTTTAGTAGAGTTGGGGTTTCACCAGGTTGGCCAGGCTGGTCTCAAACTCCTGACCTCAGGTGATCCACCTGCCTCGGCCTCCCAAAGTGTTGGGATTACAGGCATGAGCCACTGCGCCCGGCCTGGGACTGTACTTCTTATCATCACCATTGTCTTTGTTGCCATGGTCTTCATTATTATCATCATAATTATGGCTATCGTTCTATGTCTAAATCCAAGCATTAAAGAACAAACTCCCATATCCCCATGGTAAGGTTGGAGAAGTGCGTGCAAGTGTGTCTATGTGTGTTTTTGGCAATTTTAAAGTACAGTCACACCAATATATGCCACTTCCATTTCTTGCTGGAAGTAAAATGAGTGACTACTTGGGCTTTGTAAAAGAAAATCGCACTTTGGAAGTCCTTGTGGGAGCCATACCAAAATGCCTTGCAGTACTGTAACTTCTCAGAGGCATGTAAAAGTTAGAGGATTGGTGAAGTTTTCAAAAGCTACTGGCACTTGTCCTTCAGGATGAACCCTCTTGAGATGCAGGGGAGCAAATTGACCTCAATAAGAGAGTAGTGGGAGCTAAATTCACTCAAGAATAGCAATCTGTTCCTCAGACAGATGCAGTTGTAATTTTAGAATGTGTACATAACAGACAGTTTAAAATGGACATAATAACGCTAAAATAGTATCAATGGAAATTAAAAATAAGTCCTAATCCCAACCAAAATTCTAGCAAGTTGTTTTGTGGATATCAACGAACTGATTCTTTTTTTTTTTCTTTTTTCTTTTTCTATCTTTGAGACGGAGTCTTGCTCTGTTGCCCAGACTGGAGTGCAGTGGCGCAATCTCGGCTCAGTGCAACCTCCACCTCCCAGGTCCAAGTGATTCTCCTGTCTCAGCCTCCTGAGTAGCTGGGATTACAGACATGCACCACCATGACTGGCCTCAACCAGCTGATTCTAAAGTTTATATAGACAGTTAAAAGACCAGATTAGCTACTGCAATATTGAATGAGAACAAAGTCAAAGGACTGACAGTACCTGACTTCAAGGCTTACTGTAAAGCTCTGGTAATCAATACATTGTGGTACTGGTGAAAAAATAAACAAATAGATCAAGAAAACAGAATAGAGAGCCCAGATAGACCCATATAATGTAGCCAACTGTTCTTTGACAAAGGAGCAAAGGCAATCTGATGGAGAAAAGGTAGTATTTTCAACAAATGGTGCTGGAACAATTGGACATCCACATGCAAAAATAATGAATCTTAGGTATAAACCTTACATCCTTCACAAAAGCAACTCAAAGTGGATCATAGACCAAAATGTAAATGCAAAACAATGAAACTCATAGAAAATAACATAGGAAAAAATCTCAGTAATCTTGGATATTGTGATGACTTTTTAGTTACAGCACCAAAGGCACTATCTGTGAAAGAAATCCCTGATTAGCTGGACTTCATTAAAATTG
Organism: Homo sapiens; assembly: GCF_000001405.40. Taxonomy (NCBI): domain Eukaryota; kingdom Metazoa; phylum Chordata; class Mammalia; order Primates; family Hominidae; genus Homo; species Homo sapiens. The sequence goes on from NC_000001.11 coordinate 162,639,655, forward strand.
TAAACTTCCACTCTGTGAAAGACAATGTCAAGAGAATGAGAATACAAACCACAGGTTGAGAAAAATACAGATGGTGCTGACTTAAAACGGTTCAACTTACGATTTTTCAACTTTACGACAGTGCAAAAGTGATACTCATTCAGTAGAAATAGTACTTCGAATTCTGAATTTCATTGGACAAAACTATGGAAACAGTAAAAACTATTCGTAGTTGCCAGGAATTAGGGGTGAGGGAGGGATAAATTGAACACAGAGGATTTTTAGGGTAGTGAAACTGTTCTGTGGTTACTACAATGGTGGATGTATGTCATTATACCTTTGTCAAAACCCATAGAATGTACAACACTGAGAGTGAACCCTAAGACAAACAATGTACTTTGGGTGAAATGATTTTTTTTTTTTTTTGAGATGAAGTCTTGCTCTGTCGCCCAGGCTGGAGTGCAGTGGTGTGATCTCGGCTCACTGCAACCTCTGCCTCCTGGGTTCAAGCGATTTTCCTGCCTCAGCCTCCTGAGTAGCTGGGATTACAGGCGTGTGCTATCACGCCCAACTAATTTTTGTATTTTTAGTACAGACAGGGTTTCACCATGTTGGCCAGGCTGGTTTCGAACTCCTGACCTCATGATCTGCCCCCCTCAGCCTCCCAACGTGCTGGGATTGCAAGTGTGAGCCACCGCGCCCAGCTGAAAATGATGTGTTGATATCACAGACCATTAGGTTTATTGATAGGCTTATTGATTGTAATAAATGTGCCAATGTCGTGAGGGATGTCAATAGTGAGGGAGGTTTTGTAGCAGAGGACAAGGGTGTATATGGGAACAATCTGTACTTTCTGCTTAATTTTGCTGTGAACCTACAACTGCTTTAAAAAGAATTAAAGTTTAATTTAAAAAATCTGCCCAATCTCCAAATTCTAATACTTTGATTCCATCTTGGCTACTTCTTTCTTATTTGAAGGCAGTCATTGTAATATAGTTATAATCATGAGCATCTGTATTTTAAAATGCTTAATTTTGTTTTTCAGATAAGTACCCTAAACTTAAATGATATTATTTTATTTATTAAAGCTACCTGAGGCAGAAATGTTTCAAAATCTTGAAAAAGACTAATTCAATAGGTTAATAGCAGATAAGTAGGTATTTTTGTGTCATACTCTTCAAATTATAATAACTATCACTTAAAGAATAGTCATTTTTGTTCGTTTGTGATCCTTCCACCTCAGCCCCTCGACTAGCTGGGACTATATGTGCGTACTACCACACCTGGCTAACTGTTGTTTTTTGTAGAGATGAGGTTTCACTATGTTCTTCAGGCAGGTCTCAAACTCCTGGGCTCAAGCAATCCTCCCACCTTGGCTTCTCAAAATGCTAGTATTACAAACATGAGCCACTGGACCCACCCTCATTGAGCTGTTTTAACTACAACTTGGTATGGTAGAAAGAGTGATGGGCCAAGGGTTAATAGGGTGAGATTCTAATTTTAACTTTGCCACCTACAAGCAGTGGGACTTTGTGCAACAATGTTTTAAATCTTTCTGCATTTAAATTTTTCTCATCTGTAAAGGGCAATATACAATTTCTGTATTCTCCAGTTCAGTTATGCTAATCGCTGTCCTGTCAGCACCCACATCCCCATATTCACTTTCACAGATAAGACTTGAGTCGCTATGATCTTCACCCTAGTTGTCACCCTGTCCCCATACTCTCTGAATATGCTCCTCTCTCCTCTCATTTTAGCCAAATACCACTCTTCTTTGAAGGCCAGCTTAAGTTTCAGATCCTCCATCCATCCCAGATCTTCTTGGAATCCCTAGTTCTTTTGGTCAGTATCACTTAGTTTAGCAAAGACCATGTCTTAGGTGATTGCTCTAACTCACCTTATAGCATTAACCCATAAGTGAGTACTTACTGAACTCTCACTGTATATTAGATTAAGGGCTTATTTTATATGCCTGGCACAGTTCTTATTTGTTGTTGGAAAAATTTTTAGAGGGCAGTAATTGAAATGTCATATACTATAGTCTTTGAGGATGGAAAAGAGCTCAGTAAGTTTCTATTAATTGGTTATGCCGTTAAGATCAGCATCTAAAGAGAGCTAGGTCATGGAAAAAATGGCCTAAGTACTGGACTTACTATCAGAAGTACTGGACTTAAATTTTAATTCTTATGATTTGTGAACATTGTAGAAATATACTAATGTCTTTGTGAGTACAGATAAGGAGGAACAGATAAGCTTATGTGAAAACTCGGTTTGTATTGGGTCTATATTATATACAGGGCTATTTTATTTTATTTATATTTATTTATTTATTTTTGAGACAGAGTCTCTCCCTGTCGCCCAGGCTAGAGTGCAGTGGCGGGATCTCGGATCACTGCAACCTCTGCCTCCTGGGTTCAAGCCATTCTCCATCCTCCTGCCTCAGCCTCCGAAGTAGCTGGGATTACAGGCACCCACACCACGCCCAGCTAATTTTTGTATTTTTAGTAGAGACAGGGTTTCACCATGTTGGCCAGGCTGGTCTTGAACTCCTGACCTCAGGTGATCCACCCGCCATGGCTTCCCAAAGTGTTGGGATTACAGGCGTAAGCCACCATGCCTGGCCTATTTTATTTATTTATCTATCTATCTATTTTTTGAGGTGGAATTTCGCTCTTGTTTCCCAGGCTGGAGTGCAATGGCGCCATCCTGGCTCACCACAACCTCCACCTCCCAGGTTCAAGCGATTGTCCTGCCTCAGCCTCCCGAGTAGCTGGGATTACAGGCATGCGTCACCATGCCCGGCTAATTTTCTGTGTTTTTTTTTTTTTTTTCTTTCAGTAGAGATGGGGTTTTTTCATGTTGATTAGGCTGGTCTTGAATTCTCGACCTCAGGTGATCTACCCGCCTCAGCCTCCCAAAATGCTGGGATTACAGGCGTGAGCCACCGTGCCTGGCCTGTTTTATTTTATTTTAACAACAAATAGAAGGTGGTTATTCCAGGAGGGTTTCAGAATACTACCCCAGATTTGGTTTCTCCTGGTTTGACTACAGGCAGTGCTGGTGTCTTTCTCTTGATCATACTCCTTTCCTCATGGGTGTGTTCAGTCCTCTGATGATAGAAGTGCTTACCTTTATTTAACCTTTCCCTCTCTCACTGAGTGTTCTCTCTTTCCTGAAATACTTTTCATTTGTTAAAGCTTTTAAGAAATTCTTATTTGAACATTCAGTGTTATGTAAAAAACAAATTAACTGCTGCTTAATATCATGTTTGGAGGTGAAAAATTTTCTAAGCCTTTTGCTTAGCCATTTATTACCAAAGGGGTATCAAGCTTGGATGTCAAGCTAGGATGTAAATTCTAGACCTATACAATTCCTTCAAGGGCGGCTGAAAAGTTGCTTTCTAATCCTTTTGCTATATTTTGGTGGCAAGCTTTGTTTTCACAGTTTAAAGAGGATTGATGGTTTTCCTATTGTCTTTCCTTCACAACTTTCTGAAGTTCACTTGCCTGTTTCATTTTCATGACTTAAGGTACCAGCTTCTTCTGCCCCTCTCCTAGATCCACCAGCGCCCCCCATGCTCCAGAAAAATTGAGCTACACTGTGCCTTTCCCTGAGCTGTAGAAAGTTCCACCTCTAGGTTTCCAGGTGCTTCTGATCATCATTTTTCAATGGATTGAGTTGCCAACATCTACAAAATATATTCTAACAAAGATGCTCAGAATGTCTGGTGTTGACCTATCTATACAGGTAAACTTCAATGACTCTGCATTTCCCTTTCACTGCTGACCTCATGCCTTTTGCAGAAGTAATATAGGAAAGAAGAGCATTGAAATAGGGCAGAAGATCTAATTTTCTTTTTCTTTCTTGAGATGGAGTCTCGCTCTGTCACCCAGGCTGGAGTGCAGAGGCTCGGTCTTGGCTCACTGTAACTCCGCCTCCCCGGCTCAGGTGATTCTCCTGCCTCAGCCTTCCGAGTAGCTGGGATTACAGGCACCCACCACCATGCCCAGCTAATTTTTGTATTTTTAGTAGAGACGAAGCTTTGCCCTGTTGGCCAGTCTGGTCTCGAACTCCTGACCTCAGGTGATCCACCTGCCTCGGCCTCCCAAAGTGCTGGGATTACAGGTGTGAGCCACTGCACCCGGCCAGAAGATCTAATTTTCTAACTTACAATGTACTCGAATATTGAAAGGAATTTCATATTTTTAGAACTAAGCCCTCATTGGGGTTGGGTACGGTTAGGGCAAGGAGAAGCCTGGGAAGGAGTTCTTGGGTAGTTAAATTGGAAAAAGAGAGTCTGGCACATTCAGAATGGCTCCATATTTGTTACCCGCAGACTGTACATAAGAAATGAGACCTGGCTATTAAGAGATATGATGCCTGTGAAAACCCTGGATACACTTGCAACTTGCTTTTTCCCAAGTGTTTAGGACTCTAGTAGGGACACCTCCAGTTCCTTTTGGAAATAAGCTAATATTTGGTTTCCAAAAATGTATTGAAGTAGTCTTAATGAGACAAATAGAAAATAGAAATTTGATTGAATGTTCTTACATTCTTAAAAATGCTACTTTTTAGCATTTTTAAAAATAATGAAGTACATGTTGGGGTGGGAGTGGAGAAGAGACTGTAATATTTCTGTATCTGAAGCCTCCATAAGGTCTTAATCCAGCCCTCCATAGGAACATAAGCCATAATTGTCATCTACAACTTGTTCCTAAATTTACTCAGCTACAGTTTCTCAGAGCTATTGAGGGAAGTACTACGATGCTATTTAAAAATACTTTCAAATCCATCCTTATGATGATGAAGTTATTATAGTTACAAATGCATGATTCAGCAATAGGCATTAGGAAAACATATCCACCAGACAGCCTGATGATCATGGTGTATGACACTTTCTTCTGAATACATGAGGGTTAGATGAAAGTGGTGACAAACGATTGAGATATCTAGATCCACATTATTTACCTTTTTTTTTTTTTTGAGACAGAGTCTCGCTCTGTTGCCCAGGCTGGATTGCAATGACACACTTGGCTTATTGCAACCTCTGCCTCCTGGGTTCAAGTGATTCTCCTGCCTCAGCCTCCTGAATAGCTGGGATTACAGGCATGCACTACCACACCTGGCTAATTTTGTATTTTTAGCAGACAGGGGGTTTCACTCTGTTGGCCAGGCTGGTCTCGAACTCCTGACCTCAGGTTATCTGCCCACCTCAGCCTCCCAAAGTGCTGGGATTACAGGCATGAGTCACCACGCCCAGCCAACCACACTTCTTAAGGCTAGATAAATACATAGCTTTAAGTGTAGAGTAAATGGTGTCTCACTTGCAAAGAAGAGGATCTCTTGGTCCTCTCCTTTCCCCAACCCCAAATAATGGCTTTGCTATTGGCAATGTAAGGTGGGTCGGAAAGTTTGTGAAGCAATGGCCAAGGGCCTTATGGAACAGGCATACTGCAGGGGTGGCGTGGTCATAAGTTGCTGATGAAGCAGATTCTCTGTCACTCATGCCTGGTGAACAGGCGGGGACTCCCTTCTTCAAGAGAGACAGGTGATGATAGAAGAGTAGACAGCCCTGAACAAACCTTTCCTCAGGATTGTCCCTTTTGGTATTACTCAGACCTGAATAATACATGGACATGTTTTATAGGGAATTTTTTTTCAGCTTTTTGGGTGATCTATTATTAGGATCTTATTAAAATATGTATAATTTTAAAACTAGGTATACACTTCTTATGCTTATAGTTCTTATGCAACTATAGAGCCAAAACAAATTAATAAATGAAATCAACTATATCTGAGCAGACCTCAGGATTTGAGAGAGAGAGAGAAAAAGAAATCAAATATAACTATGAAACCCAATAAAATTTAAATTATTTTAATGTGATAGATAATGTGGTTTTGTTGAAACTAATCACTAGTGTGGAACTTAAAGATAGACACAGTAGAACCATGTATCCTCAGGGTCTGGTCTATGTTTAAATCTGTTATTTAAATGTATTAATTTCATGCAAAGCATGCCTGTTAGTGTAAGTATGTTGAACAAATTGTTATTAATAGCTTTGAGGGTTCATAAGTTCAGGAAAATAAGATCTTAACCCAAACTCTGTAGTAAGCAATCATCGAATGTCAGTTTCTATGAGGTGTCATTTGATAATTTTTTAAATTGTTTACTCACTTGAAGATAGGGTTAGCATTGTGTTGATATTAAAATTGGTACTAAATGGATATCTAATCCATTTACTAACAGAATCAGGGACAGAACCATTCTTCTTTGTGTGTTTATGCCTCAAGTTTCTGCTTATAAGCTGGTATGTGTTAGTATGTAAAAAGCCAAAGTCCCCATAGCACATCTGCTCACAGCGTGAAGATGGCATCGAATCCTATGGCTGAGTAGATTGAACTGCCTCATGCCATGCAACGACTCAGTTTTCCCAACATTTCCTCTATGTCCAGATTGATCCTTGACTTCATCTGGCTTTCACTGGGCATTTGTGCAATTGTAAACACCAATGAAAAGCCAGGCAGTGAAATTGCATGATGGTTACTGCTTGTATTAAAATGTTAAATTATAATCGAAGACAGAAAATTTTTTAAATCCTAGAACTCTTGTGGACTGCAAGATATTTATCCTTTGAGACAAACTGCTTTAAAATTAAATTTGGGCTCCACGGTTCTCAGGAAAACTTTTCTCATTTGTGGTCTTTCCTTTAAGTTCCATTAATAATTAAAAATGACAATTGTGAGGACTTCTGAGTAATGAGTGTTTATTATGCTCTAAAATTTAAGATAAGCACTTTACATATGTAATCTCATGAAAACCTTGTAATTGGTGTGAGGTGAGTGCTTTGGCTATTTTACATGTGAGGACACATGACACCAAGAAAAGGTCAATCACATGACAAGTAAGTGGCAGCAGCGGAATTTGAACCTATATCTTTCTCATTGCAACGCCCAAGCCTTACACACTAAAGCCTCTTCTTATGTCTCCATTTCACATTGTGAAAACCTGTTTAACTGCAACTAGGAACCAGTGCTCTACAATTATCCTCTTACATTCCTGTCTTTTCCATTGGGCCAGTGGGTCTCAATCTTTAATATGCATCAGAATCACCTGGAGTGCTTTTTGAAAAATGCAGGTCCCAGATGCCACTCCGAATTTACTGAATAAGAAATTGTCTGTGCAAATGTCCAGGGGGCCTGAATCTTTTAAAACAACCTCCCTCAGGTGATTCTGTTGCAGGTGTCTGTCTGATCACATTTTGTGTAAAACTGCATTAGACTGTGGATGCCTCAAGAACCATGACTTTTGAAAAAATCCATCCTTGTACCTCAAGGACTCACTCACTAAATGCTTGTCAAATAAGTAAAAGAATGAATGAAGGGGCAATTGTCAAGAAAGATGTGTTCTTGGGAAGAATACGCTTTTGGCCAGACCCTTGGAAAATTTAGAGATGCATGTTTAAATATCACTTAATATACTCGGTCTAGACTCTCCTTCCTGGAGGCCAAGCATGGCAAAGAGCCGATGAGAGGGTGGTAGAAAGTACAAATCTATCTATAAAAAAAAGAATGAAAATGCTCCTGACCATCCAGGATGAGATAGAATAAATCTTCCCCTGCGTTTCTAAAACTAAAGTCAATTGAACTAGAAATATTTAAATGCACTTGAGGCCCAGAAAGAGATTCATTTCCTTAATGTTTTGTGGACTTGACGTTTTCTACTTAAATCATAGCTCTAAGGTCAATATGGATTTGTTACCGGCAAGGGGTCCCAATCTACACCCCAAGAGAGGGTTCTTAGACCTCACGTGAGAAAGAGTTCTGGGCAAGTCTATAAAGTGAAAGCAAGTTTATTAGAGAAGGAAAGAAACAAAAGAATGGCTACTCCATAGGCAGAGCAGTGGCATGAGCTGCTCAATTGGGTATACTTGTAGTTATTTCTTGATTATATGCTAAATAAGGAGTGGATAATTCGTGAGTTTTCTGGAAAAGGGGCAGGGATTTCCTTTGGAACTGAGGATCCCTACCCTTTTTAGACTATATGAGGTAACTTCCAGATGTTGCCATGGCATTTGTAAACTGTTATAGCGCTGGTGGGAATGTCTTTTAGCATGTTAATGCATTATAATTAGCGTCTAATGAGCAGTGAGGATGACCACAGGTCACTTTCATCACCATCTTGGTTTTGGTGGGATTTGGTAGGTTTCTTTACTGCATCCTGCTTTATCAGCAGGGTCTTTGTGACCTGTATGTGTCTTGTGCCAACGTCCTGTCTCATCCTGGGACTAAGAATGCCTTAACCTCCTGGGAATGCCACCCAGCAGGTCTCAGTCTCATTTTACCCAGTCCCTATTCAAGATGGAGTTGCTCTGGTTCAAATGCCTCTGACAGATTCATTCCTGTATTTAGCAAGAGGTTTTTTCCTTTTTTTTTTTTTTGAGTACTTACTAAGAGTCTTGTATTTAATAAGACATAGTCCTTTCCCTTTCTGAGTTTATTTTCAGTTAGAAAATTCCGGGAGCAGTAAAAGAGCAATGCAAGTAAATGGGGGGCTAGTTGCTCAGAATCTGCAAATGTAAGAGTGCATGGAAGGGTTTGTATAGCCAGGGGACTGGTGCTGGATGCTGCAAATTGAATAAGAATTGGAATAAATTGGATAGCCAGGTAGCAAAGAGCAGTGGAACAGACACTTGGCAGTCAGATTGCTTATGGCTGGCTGGTTCAGTTAACAGTGAGGACAGGAGCCTAGGGTGGTGGGATATTTGCCTTGGGGAGCATGGGGAAATAACATTGCATAGATGGGTTTTCTGACATTAAATAGAGCTTTGGATGTTGTGGAATTTTGAACATTTCCTTTATCTGAAAGCCGGTGAAGTGTTGTCTTAAGATGTGACAGCAGTATGTAAGCAAATTGCAGGGGATAAGAAATCAAGTCAGGGAGACCCATTAGAGGGCTGCATTCTCAGAACAAGGAGCACTGAGGAAAAAATTAAAAAACAAACAAACAAAAACAAAAAAAGAAGGTTGCTTTCGGTAGTCCAGATGTGAAGGGACAGGGTTTAGACCAGGGTGGTGGAGTGCAGAAAGAAAAGCCAGAGGGATGTGGAAGGACAAGATGGCATGACCACGAATGGTGGCAAAGGCAGCGTGGAACAAGCACATCAGCTGATGTGGAATGTATGAGAACAAAAACACTCATTTTCCCACCAGAACCCTTAGTAGGAGAAAGTGCCTTAAGCTTACAGTGAGGATTCCAAATTGAAATTGCTCAGTAGCTGTTTCACCCTTTGTTACTGGCAGAGCAGATGGCTCTGGAAGAGACTAGGACTACTTGTTGCTTCTCTTTCCCATCTCTCACCACTCCCCAACCTTATCCCATAGTGAGGACCACTCACTAGTGACATTTCTGCTTGAGACCTACAAAGCAAGTCTTGCTAATGAGACTTAGGCACTTTTTCCCAAAGTGCAATTCTTGGAAATCTGTGGGTTTTAAGTAGATTACAGGGCCACAGTTCCGTGGTCAAATTAGTTCAAAAAATATTGTTAGAGAATTAAGCAAGTTTCTTTACTGCAGGATGTCCCACAGTCTTTAATATGGTAATCAACATTTTGACTATCCAAGAGAGGGCGAGCTTAGAGCACTCCACAAACTTTTTGGATCATGGAGCTCTTTTTAAAAGAAGCACCTTGAGAGAAGAGGATGGCACAGCATATATTTAAAGAAATTAGGGACTAGAAAGTTTGTCTCTTGCACTAGAGGTTGGTAGTGTCATGCAAAGAAACAAGAGTTGGGATTTGGGTCCAGGCTTTGCCACTAACTGGTGATCTTGGGTAAGTCATTGAATGTCTCTGAGCCTCAGTTTCCCCAGGGGTTATGTTCATTCTAAATGAACTCTTCAGCTCCTTTCAAAAGTCTGTCTTCATATTCAAAAAGGAAAATAATCTGCAATTTCTCTACTCTGCAATAACTCTGGTGGTGGAGGCAGTGGTAGGAAAAGAGAGAGTAGAGCGGACAGTGACAAGAAGATGAATAAGATACGGTCTGAACCCCTGCACTGATTAGACTGTTGGGCACAATTACAGTGCTGGGCTGATGTAACAAAGATAAATGAAGTTTGTAGTGTGTTCTCAAGCTTCTCTGACTCCAACCACATCATGTGATATACAGCAACTAGTTCAGTTGCTAAGCAACACTAATTCCCAATGGTCACTTAATCCATCTAGTCTCAGTTCTGCTACTAAGAAGCTGTGAGGCCTTGGATAAATCAGTTAACCCTTTGGGTTTGGGTTTTCTTCATCCGTAAAATAAGGAAGTTGGGTTAGGTCTGGAACCATTTTTAAGTTGACCTGAGTCTTACCTGGAAGAAGGTAAAGGAAACACAGCTATTCTCCTCTCACCCACCCCATGCAGATGAGCCCCAACATTCTGTCTTCGCTTTTCTTCTCTTCCTTCCTCCTGGATCACTTAATCTGTCTCAGACTTTAATTATTGCATTTATGTAGTTGAAGTTCAAATGTGGATCTCTAAGACCAACCCTTCTCTTGAATGCCAAAATCAAGATGTGTCTACCTGTTTTCATTCTAAGGAAACCAAATTACTTATGTTTCAAACCAAACTCACAATCTCCCCTTACAAACCAATTCCTCCTCCACGTTAAAAAAAAAATAATAATAATAACAGGCCAGGTGTGGTGGCTCACGCCTGTAATCCCAACATTTTGGGAGGCCAAGGAAGGCAGATCACTTGAGGTCAGGAGTTCGAGAACAGCCTGGCCAACATGGTGAAAGCCCATCTCTACTAAAAGTACAAAAATTAGCAGGGTAGGGTGGTGCGCACCTGTAATCTCAGCTACTCAGGAGGCTGAGGCAGGAGAATCGCTTGAACCTGGGAGGCAGAGGTTGCAGTGAACTAAGACTGCACCACTGCCCTCCAGCCTGGGCAACAGAGTGAGACTCCATCTCAAAAATAAATACATAAATAAATAAATAACTATGTGCTCCTGGTCACATGCAGCCCAGACTCCCAGGCTTTTCGACTCCCTCCTTCTTCCCTCCTGTGCTAGTCATTGGTCAATTCTCAATCCTCTCCACATTATTATTATTATTTTTTGAGACAGAGTCTTGCTCTGTTACCCTGGCTGTAGTGCAGTGGCTCGATCTCAGCTCACTGCAGCCTAAGCCTTCCAGGTTCAAGTAATTCTCATGTCTCAGCCTCCCAAGTAGCTGAGATTACAGTGGATGTGTGCCACCATGCCCAGCTAATTTTTGTATTTTTAGTAGAGACATGTTTTCATCATGTTGGCCAAGGTGGTCTTGAACTCCTGGCCTCAAGTGATCCACCTGCCTTGGCCTCCCAAAGTGCTGGGATTACAGGCATGAACCACCGCACCCAGCCCCTCTCCACATTATTATATGTCCACATTATTTATTTCCCTTTCCTGATGTCATTATTGTACATCAGGCTTTCATTGGTCATCCTGCCCCAGGTCTCTCCTCCAAAGCAACCCACATGCCAGGTTCAGCCTCACAGAGCTTCTCTGAGCCTGCCATCCCACTCTCCAAAGCCTTTCCCGGCTCTCTTGTGCTCACTCCTTGCTGGCATTTGGAGCCCTGCGTTTTCCCACCTCAATCATCTTCCAGCTTCCAGCTTTGTCTTCGATTACCTGTGTGTTCCTGTCCTCCCACCAACTATTTATTAATCTTCTTATCCCATAACTTGCCCATTCAAATTGTTCCCTTTTCTTAGACTTTTGTCTGCATTCTTTCTATCTGACAAAATCCTAGTGATATTTCAAGAGTCAGCTCAAATAATGGCTCCTCACTCCAACAAATCTTTAGGGAACACTCAACTGGCTTGATTTCTCCTTCTTTTAGCACCTTGTTCTTTCCTTTCTTACTACCTTACCAACCCAGACATATATATCTACTATATCTTGTAATATCCATTATATCTTTTTTGAGGCCAAGGAACATGTTTCCTTCATCTTTCTATCAACTATAGTACATATTACATACTAGGAACTCAGAAACGTGGTTGAACAAATTACTATTAAATTATTAAGCTATTAAAACAATAATCTATTGAAATAATGTAATAATCTTAATCTCCTAACAAAATACTAATAAAATTTAAGTAAAATAAATAATCTACAATAATCCAAAAATGAGTCGAATCTTGGTTTACTCTTTGGTGTTTTGTCATTCTACTTTCGTGTCAAGCTTAGAAATAATTTTCTGAAGAATTTTGATTTTGATTTTAGTTATAACTTTGCGTTAGTAAGACCATCAGCCTACGGTTAAGGATATTTGTCTCACCTGTGAAATCTCACTATCTCCATGAAACCGACTGGCTTCGCTACATCATGGGAAGGGTGTTATCTTTCCTAGTTGGAGCATCATATGATGATGTGGTTGAAAACATGCACTTTGGCATAAGACAGACTTGGTTTGGAATTCTGACTCTGCCCTTGTTGGGGCTGCTTGGGGAATTTAGTTAGCATCTCTAAATATTAGTTTGCTCATTTGTAAATGGAGGATGTAATTGCAGGTGCTGGTTCTACTCTTGGAAGGATTCAAAAATTGTCATGCTTACCCGAGGGGCTCCTCCAAACCTGGGCGGGGTTTTCTGTATGCCTTATGGACCTACAAATGCAAACCACACTGACCATGTAATTTTGGGGGCAGATTGGAAAGCTGAAACAGAAGTGCAGGGACTGTTGGTGCCCATCTTCCTGGCCTGGTGGGGAGGAATGTAGGAAAGCAGACTCGTGCTTCTCATCTTGAATCAGACAGACGACAGACACTCCAGGAAATTCCTTTTGTTTGGAAAAGAAAAATGCTCTGCCATCTTCTCTTACCCCAGTTTTCTACATTCCCAGACTTCCTAAAAGAGTAGACCACTGGGGTTCCCTGAAAAGCCAGCTAAGTCCAGCACATACGATCAGCCCCACAGCTCATTTTGGTTCACAGACAATAAGGAGAGAGGACTTAACAATTACTGAGTGCTGAGTACCCACTATGTGGTAGGAACATTTTGTACATAATTACAATTATGCATCCTCATAACTTTATCACATAAGTATCATCTCTATTTTACAAGTAGACACTAAGCAACCTCCCAAGATTGTACAGCTAGTAAATCTGAGTGAGGAAGTGAACTCAGATGGTCTACAAAACTTTTAGCATTTGTGGCCAGGCATGGTGGCTTACACCTCTAATCCCAGCACTTTGGGAGGCTGAGGTGGGAGGATTGCTTGAACTCAGGAGTTAGAGATCAGCCTGGGCTACAATGGCAAAACCTTGTCTGTACAAAAAATACAAAAGTTAGCTGGGCGTGGTGGCACACACCTGCAGTCCCAGCTACTTGGGAGGCTGAGGTAGGAGGATCACTTGAACCAAGAGGTGGAGGTTGCAGTGAGCCATGATCACGCCACTGCACTCCAGCCTGTGTGACAGAACAAGGCCCTGTCTTAAAAAACAAACAAGCAAACAAACAAACAAAGAAACTTTTAGCATTTGAGACCTTCAGTGTGATCAAAGCAAATTAGCTTTGTGAGGTGGGGTTTCCTTTAGCTTCTACGTCAGCAAAATTGTGAACCAACAGGATTAACCTTTTGCCGTCTTAGTACTGCAGGGAACTAGCTTTCAGAAAATTGTTTGGGGGCCGGGCATGGTGGCTTGTGCCTGTAATCCCAGCACTTTGGGAGGCCAAGGTGAGTGGATTGCCTGAGGTCAGGAGTTTGAGACCAGCCTGGGCAACATGTCGAAACCCTGTCTCTACTAAAAATATAAAAACTAGCCAGGCATGGTGGCGAGTGCCTGTAATCCCAGGTACTTAGGAAGCTGAGGCATGAGAATCGCTTGAACCCGAGAGGCGGAGGTTGCAGTGGCTGAGATCATGGATCGTGCCACTGCACTCCAGCCTGGATGATAGAATGAGACTCTGTCTCAAAAAAAAAAAAATACTGTTTGGGGACATTTGGGTCCTATTTTCTTCCCTGATGCTGATGTGATGCTGATGATAGTGAGTGTTTCAAGAACCAGGAGAGGCTGGTTGTTGTAAACATTCCTATAAACGTTGGCTCAGAGATTGTTAATGTAAGTTTTTCTGGAGCAGTGAGGTAAGCCCCAAGTAGAAAAGGGCAGAAGTATAGTAAAATTTGGTTGTTTTGTCAACTTTGTAAGACTTCAGCTGCATACCTTGTTAGGAAACTAGAAGCCGGAGGAAAGTTGTGCTGAGATGTGTAGCATTTGTTCTTGCTTTGTGTGGCCATTTTATTCCCATTAAGTACTGTATCCTTCACTAAAGAAATGGGCCATTCAGCAGCCCGCCTGAACACTGTGGCACTGTATATTGTTATAGAGAGTTATATCCATTCAGAGGGACACAACAGATCAGAGGAAAGGAAAGAGGTAACCATGTATGCAGACGTGGAACTGTCCCCAACATGTATAATAGACAAGCCAAGGTGAAATGTATAGCATACTAATATTCAACTTTTTAAATTTAAAAAACTATGCATCTCAAGGCATGGTGGCTCACATCTATAATCCCAGCACTTTGTGAGGCCGAGGTGGGAGGATCGCTTGATTGCCTGAAGCCAGGAGTTGGAGACCAGCTTGGGCAACATAGCAAGACCTGGTCTCTACAAAAAATACAAAAATTAGCTGGGCATGGTGGTGTGTGCCTGTAGTCCTAGCTACTTAAAAGGCCGAGGCAAAAGGATCACTTGAGCCTGGGGGTTCAAGGCTGTAGTGAGCTATGATCACTCCACTGCACTCCAGCCTGGGCAACAAAGCAACACCCTGTCTAAAGAATACAACAGCAAACAAACAAACAAAAAACCAAAAACCCTCAAACACTATAAATCCATAGTTTTTATATATGTGTAAACTATTTCTAGAAAATTACTCAAGTAACTGATAATTAGTTATATCTGAAGGAGGGTGATGGTGCGGTGGAAATGAGACTCACTTTTCATCGTGTGGAGCAGTGATTCCCAGTGTGTTCTGGGATTCTGGGGAGTCCTTGAGACCCTTTCAGGAGATCCATAGATCAAAATTATTTTAATAATAATACTAAGTTGTTTTTATTCTCATTCTCTCACGAGTGTACGGTGGAGTTTTCCAGAGGCTCAGTGACATGTGCCATTGCAGCACATTGAATCCAGAAGCAGATACGATAATCCAACTGTGTCTGGTCAAGCCAAATATTTAAGAGATTTTAAAAAATGTAAAATGATGTCATTCTTCTCATGTTGAAGATAAAGTTATTTTTATAACAATTTTGAAGATAAAGTTATTTTTATAACAATTATTATTCAACAAAATTACTATTATTTAATGAGTTAATACACAATAAATTTCAAATTCTCAGTTTTAATTTCTTAACTGGGCAAGTATCAGTTTAGGTATAAACAACATCCCTCCGAGATCCTCTGGGATACATCCAATTCCTTTAGTGCCTGGTGTGCTTGGAAGGTTTCTGTTGCACGGCGCTGGACAGGAGTGCCAAAGAGGAAAGAAATGTGAATGGAACCAAAGTCTATAATAAAATATTGCTTTCTCTTTTTCCCAGCCTCCATCAAGGGAGACCTGCAAGTTGCCTGGGGTTCAGTGCTCTAGAAAGTTCCAAGGTTTGTGGCTTGAATTATTCTAAAGAAGCTGAAATAATTGAAGAGAAGCAGAGGCCAGCTGTTTTTGAGGATCCTGCTCCACAGAGAATGCTCTGCACCCGTTGATGTAAGTAGGTCCAGTCACTGAGGCTCTGTTACCACATGAGATTGGGAGTGGTGTGGCTCACATTGAATCCCCCCACTTATCCTGCCTGGTGTCACAGGGAAAGTTGAACACTTGGTTTCTGTGCCTAGAGCTGCTATCAGATGAGAAGACAATGTATTTGACTATATAGGAAATCTGTTGTGGACTGTCAATTAACTCATTTTCACTTCCGTTGATTTGGTTGTGACCAGCCCTAGATTAGAGGGCAGTTTTAGAGTGTCCTGGCCTAGAATGTCTTCCTCAGTTTTGAGTAAGCCAGGGTACCTGGCCTCTTTCTGGGACTTCTCTGCCCTTACAGGACCCACTGGAATCTGTAGGGTTCCAGCGTCAATCTGTGTTTTCTAATATTACAATTTGTTTTTATTTTTTATTTTTAACAATTATTTTATAAGTTGTTTTCTTCTGGGAATAATTTGAGGTGATTTAGAGTAAAACAATACTTAATAGAAGCACTACAACCAGGATAATAGTACAAGAGTCCTGTAATTATATTTTGGGGGAATTAAATGTAAGAAAACCTAGCCCAGGGATACTGATTGCAGATTCATACAGCGCTTAGCTGGGACTCAAGGCAAAAAGAGAAGCATGCTATATTGCAGAACTTTTATTAGGAAACCATTTCCACATATCAAGGTGGTCTGCTGCAGGTGAATTTTGGTCTGAATGGGACTTCTCAGTTCATCCTTTGGCAGGCTAAAATCCCACTGAGGATCTAGAACTGTAGCAATTTCTAGATTGTGTCTGAGACCTTCCCAGCCTGGAGCTCCATATCTCCTTCATGCCTGTGCCTCTAGCATCTAGCACAGGGTCTGACACATGGAGGATGCTCAGCGAGAGCCCTCAGATTCAACTTAGGCTTTACTGTATTCTGCACAGCTTCTGGAATGAGTGCTGAATGAATGAATGAGTGAGTAAATAATGTGAATGATTATTGGGATAAGGGTGGGGCTAAAGTGGTATTTTCTTACATTCCCCAGAAGATTTCTTCTCCCTGTCAAGATGCTTTTTGGATTATCTCTTCCTTTCTGTTTATTATCTAGGGAATGCCTCGCTGCTCTTTAGCTTCCTGGTGGTAATAATTCACTTCATAGTTTAATGTCTTAGGTTTCCTTCTTCCCACAGATTGCCTTCAAATTTGCCTTTTCTTCCTCCCTCCCTTTCTTCCTTCCTCCCTCCTTTCCTTCCTCTTTTCCTTCCTTATGATAGACTCTTGGTATGGGGGAGTTAAGAGGTCTTAACTTGAGCCTTCACAGTGTATATTTTAGAATGAATAATTCATTGCTATGCTTCACCACCAACCAGAAATTATTACAGGGTTTCTCTATTACATGAGATTTTTCAAACATTATTTATCTATGATTTGTTCCGCTTTACCTTTCAGAAACTATCACTGTGGTCTTTTCTTCCCCTGCCACTGGAGTTTTTTTTTTTTTTTTATTTTTTTTGTTAACAGGGTTTTGCTCTGTCACCCAGGCTGGAGAGTAGCAGTGTAATCTTGTGCAATCTTGGCTCACTGCAACCTCTGCCTCCAGGCTCAAATTATCCTCCCACCTCAGCCTCCCAAGTAGCTGGAAATACAGGCACACGCCACCACTTTGTATTTTTTGTGGAGATGAGGGTCTCACTATGTTGTCCAGGCTGGTCTTGAACTCCTGAGCTCAAGCAATCCTACCACCGTGCCCTCCTAAAGTGCTGGGATTACAGGCGTGAGCCACCATGCCTGGGCACCAATCTTAAACAATGATTTCCATAAATTACTATTAGAATATTCAAGGCATATGCTATATATAGCCTTGTCCTGTGAAGCCTGATTTTGGTGCACTCCTCCACCCCCACTGTCATATTATCCCTGGAACTATCTCAAACACCTTGGCTCCTCCAGGAAGAGTCCTTCTGGTCACCAATTCAGGCTCATTCTCTTTCTGGGAACGATCAGACTGAGTTTTTCAATCTGTTTAGAGATTTACTAAGTTTTAGTTTCTTGTGTTTCTTATTAATAGGGAGACCAAATAATTCAGCATCCAATCTGGAGAACTAATGAGGACAGGAGAAGTTATTAATAGGTAATCTGGAACATAAGGCATACTCTGGATGGGTAGCCACCTGCTTTTCAAAGATCTTGCCTCTTTAATGGGTACTGAGAGCAGAAGGGTAACAACAGCCTTTGGAGATTGAACTCCTGAATTCTGTTCAGTTGTCTGGGGCTAGGGAACTCTGACACAGATATTGTAGCACTGAGTATTTCTAACAAGCTGTGGGGGGCCTGTCCCCTAGTGGATGTTAGAGTTCCCAGAGGGAGAAGTCAAGACCACTGCAGCACCGACGGCCCCGTGCTTATGAGATCCAGTGGTGGTACCCCTAGTCAGTCTTCCTCCACCCTCTCCTTCCTCTTTTCCCTTCTCCTCCCCTTCTTCCCTTCCCCTCCCCACTCCCCAGTCTGCTCCCTTCTCTTTTTGATCCTTATTCTCTCCCTCTCCCTTCCAACGCCCCCACCTCGGCTCCCTCTTGTTTTGTTTTCTCTTTCCATCGCCTTCTCTTTCTCCATTTTCTTCTCTCCCTTTGCCATTCACAGTGTCTTCCTTTCCTTTTCTCTTCTAAAATGGCTCTTCCAAAATCACTGGAGGGCAGCTCAAAAGAGCAACTCTGCCAATATTAATTTCTCCTTGAAAGGGAAAAGCCTGCATTTCCAATTATGACTTAGTCTTCATTAGTTAGAAACTGTCTTTTTTCCACAGCAAGTGGCCTAGGAATGGTGTGTTTCTCGCAAGTCTCTGGTCGGAGGTCCTGGTTTTATGTATTCTGCTGTGCACGCTTTCTAGGGCATGAAGACAGGGCAGGCTGGGCCATTGGAGGTGGGGGTGGCAGTGAGGATGGCGGTCTGGCTGTGACAGGAACACACCTGGAAATGTCTGCTTGTCACAGAATGGATTGCAGCTGAAGTAAACAAAACTCTGTGATCATGTTGCTGCATAAACCTCGATGTCTGAAATTTGGGACGATGGCTGTGCCAGGATTATTTTAGAAAGGCAAGCTCAGGATCAGTGTTCAACTAACCAGAGAATCTACAGCTGCTGTGGATGTCCCTCCACCAGAGAGAGAGAGAGCCTAGCAGAAACTGAGGAGAGAAGCTCTTCAGGCCGCTCAATGGCTCACGTCTGTAGTCCCAGCACTTTGGGAGGCCGAGGAGGAAGGATCACTTGAGCCAGGTTGGAGAGCAGCTTGGGCAACGTGGCAAGACCTTGTCTGTACAAAAAAAAAAAAAAAAAATGCCAGGTATGATGGGGCCTGCCTGTCGTTCCAGCTACTGGGGAGGCTGAGGCTGAAGAATGGTTTGAGCCTGGGAGGTTGAGGCATGGTAAGCCCTGTTCACATCATTGCACTCCAGCCTGGGTGACAGAATGAGACCCTGTCTCAAAAAATAAATAAATAAATAAATAAAAGTTCTTCAAAGAGGAATGGAGGGGAGGAACCAAGGGCTGACATGGACAATTCTAGGTAAACAGGGCTCCAGAAACATTCTGAAAAGCATAAGCTGAGAGCAGACTTCAGTAACATGAAGAAAGAACTGGGGAGGAGGGGAGCGGTCTAGAGAATAACATGCTCTTATTTGTTCATGGGATTCATAAACTGTGGACAATATTTTTATTTACCAAAAAGGTAACAAAGTTTATTGAGCACCTGTGATGTGTAAGGGACTCTGGAAGTATTTTGAAGGGATACAAATATAAATAAGAGATAACTCCAGCCTTGGTTTCTCATGGGCTAATAGGAAAGGAAAGGAATGAAAAAGAGAATTACACTCAAGGGAGGTAAGCATGAGTCAGGACCTGACAAATGGTTGAAGGAAGGAAAGGACACTTGTAGCTGGGATGTTCAAGGAACACATGCTTTGAATATGGAGGGTGTGGAGCTTGACCTAAGCCTTGGGGGCTAGGAAGGAATTTGATATGCAGAAGGAAAGATGTGGGTCATTATCCTTGGAGCTGACCTAGGCAGTGAGGACCCAGAGTGATCTGGCGAACACAGACTGTGCTGGGCATGTGGAGTGGAGGGGAGGTAGGAAACGGCTGTCTACTTGGGGCAGAGGATTGGGTTGAGGAGTGGTGGAAGATAATACTGGAAAAGAGGACACTTGCCAGAATGTGGAAAGCCCTGACTGTTGGCTGGGCTAAGACATCTGGACAGTCTGGACACCATTTTAGGGATTCAGCACGTGCGTTTTACGTGCTCTAGCAGGGAAGGATGACTTTACTGTTAGAGATGCTCATTTCTGATGTCCCTCTCGCTGAGTGTGAGTGCAGTCCTGAATAAGATTAAAGGTGTCATAACTATAAACCATTTGGAAAATGTAAAAATATATATGCATGAGACACTTGGAGCAAGGATTTTCTAAGGTCTCAATTTCTTGTTTTTGCTTTGATTGTTATAGCTTATAAGAGTAGATTTAAGGGTTAGCCACAAACTCTATTACTGTCAGAGCAGATTTGGGCTGCTAGGTAGAATCTTATTTTCACTGTTTCAATTCTCATTTCTTTGTAATTTTTTGTATTATACTACATATTTTAGCCCCAAATTGTGGGCTGCAGGAACAACGTTAAGTATTTCTTGCTGGCTGTGTTCACTGAATTGCTTCCTGAGCCTGAACTTGCTCAAACTTCCTGTTTTTTGGGCACAGAACTCCTGGTTTCTCCATTTATGATGGATGAGAGGGGTTTGGAGTCTCTCTTCTAGACTTTCATAGCATGTTTCAGGATTTCTCACTGATATCTAATTGTCTTATAAGAGACATTAAATTTTTTTCACACTCAAAAATCCATGATCCCCTCTAGGTAAGGTCTGAGTCTCTGTCAAACATTTTCGCTTTTGTGTAACATTTAGCACAGTATTTATCAGGCATTATTTTGTTTGGGGGTAGAGGAGGTAGGCGGCGGTGGGCAGTTGGGACCCCCCGTACTTATGTTCTGCTCCAATATTGTCTTGTAGAAAATGGTCTAAAATAGATCTTTACTATCTGAAATATCATCTAGTGAGAGCATTGGCATCATCAAAGAGCTTGTTAAAAATGCAGGATCTAGGACCTCAGACTAAATCAGAATCTGTAATTTGATTGGCCTTTGAGACTTGCTGGTCTCCAGATGTAATGTATACACATCACCTAGGGATCATGTTAAATGCAGGTTCTGACACTCAATTACTTAGGTAATGATCAAACAACCAGATCTTGAAGTTTTCTAACATCAAAGCAGCAACTTCCTTTCTAGAGTTGTCACCGGACACCTTCCCTCCTGAGAGTGACACTTCTGCACAGAACAGATGGTTTATGACAGGAGTTGGAAAACTGTGGCCTGCTGGTGGCATCCAGCCTGCCACCTCTTTTTGCAAAGAAAGTTTTATTAGATCACAGTGACGCTCATGTATTTACATATTGTCTGTGGCTTCTTTTGTGCTGTACTGACTGAGTTGAATAGTTGTAAAGGAGACTGCATGACACACAAAGCCAAAAGTATTTACTATCTGGGACTTTATAGAAAACAGTTTGCTGACCCTGGCTTATGTGAGTGACTCTAAATATTTCCTTAAAGAATCAAATAGCTATACTCTCTTGCCCCAGTGGCAAACTTCGCAAGCCCATCTGAATCCATGGCTATTCATAGAGAAGCTGAACCATAAACCGTCATTCCCAGGCAACCCACAAAGGGTCTTGAGCCTAAAATTGGTCTGGATAATGGTACCACAGAGCCTGTGACTTTCCAAAATCCATTTAATATGTCCCTCCTCAAAGAAATGGTTATAATTTTATATAATTTTATTGAGCTGACTCCCTCCTCCACAAATTGATTTCATTAATTGTTCAACATAAGTCTGACTTTCCCCAAGAATTGGAATCAAAAGGAAATTCTGAGTAAAAATATATCTGGGACCAAGGAAATAAAAAGACTTGTACAAGTTGGTTATAATACACATTTTACTCCTAAAAAGGTAGCGTTGGTTTTGGCCCCACTCTGGCCTATTCACTGGGCAGACTGTATGGGCTTGGAGTCCTTCTTTTAATTCCCTTGGAGAATCCCACCACCTGTCTCTTATTTGGGTTTTTGAATTGTGAAATGATGGCACACACAAGCTCCAAGAATAGCTGCGTGTGTACACCAAGCATACAGAGACAGAAGGCAGAGACTTAGGCCAAGGATCAGGAAATACAGAAGAGAAGCTGGCATGGAGGCATCTGCTCCACAAACACAGTGAAGCCGGAGGTTGTAGGAGGAGGGAGGTGGGACCCGTGTAATCACTGGAGGATGTGGGCACTCTGCTCTGCTCTGCAAGTCTTGGAGATCTTGGTTTTCTTTCCAGAACCAAATTTCAGAGGAGGTGGGTGTAGGAGAATTGAGATTCTTTTTCCTCATCCAGAGTTATCTGGGGCCAAAGAGGTTTAGGGTGAGATTCTGTGGGAATCTTTGCTGTAGCTCCAGAAGCTTTATTCTTACTTAGTTCCTTTTCCCTTTGTCTGCATAGTCCAGGACACTAAAAGGGTTTGTGAAGAGTCCGGGTAGACATAAGTGGAGAGTCTTCTCCTTAATTCTAGAGTCTATCTTGACTTCAACCAATTAAAGATTGTAGGAGTGAATTAGAGCCCCTTATGTTAAACCTTGTTTCTTGGAAGCCCTCCTGGAATTCCCTAAGATGCAGAGCTGATTAGCTTAGCTGGTCAGAATGTGAAGGTTTTAAAGCCAAAGTTATTATTTGGGCTGATATTTTAGACATTCTCTTCATTGGAAGAAGTACAATGTATTCATTCATTCATTCATTCACTCATTCATTCATTCACTCAGTGAATATCCATTGAAAACCTATTGTGTAACAGGATGCAGGAAAAACCTGAACTGGAGAGTCAGACACATCTGAGTTCAAATTCTAGTTTCTTGATCTGTGAGCTAACTAACACCTCATTCAGCTTTCCATCCAGGTGACATAACCACCCCAGCTTCCTTCCCTGAATCTGCAGGTTAGGTTGGACATTTACTTCTCTGCTTTTGCAGCAACTTCTACACCGTCTGTTCTCATACCACATTATATGGAAATTATCCATTTGCAGTCTGTCTCTCTCTCCAGATTGTAAAGTCATTGATAGAAAAGAGCTTCATTTCACATACTTTTTTACCCTTAGTGCCTGACATATATTAGAAATTAGACATATGTTTATTGCACTGAAAAGAACCTAATTGTGTGGCTTAATTTCCCTAAAGCATGTGTTTCTCATCTGTAAAATGAAGGTGATAAAAACATGCCTTGTGAGTTTTTTGTGAAGATCAAATCAGATAATGTTTGAATGAGTGTTTTATAAATATGAAGTGCTTGCAAATACTAATAGTTGTTCTAATATCTGGATTGATTGCGATTCAGTAGAAAACAAGCAGAAGAGAATCAAGAAAGTATGTGGAGGTGTCCTAGTCCACTTTTTCTAAACTGAATAACTGAACGAGGGGGATCTGGAGACTTCAGCTTCTGAGGCACAGTTTGGGTGTGTGGGGTTGACACGGGACAGAGGACCCTTTCCAGCAAGCTCGATGTCTCTGCCATTAGATTATATACTCATAACAGTGGGGATATGTTTTATTAATTTCATTGCCCCTTTATTCACCCTAAGCATAACTAAGAAAGTGAATATGTAATAATTGGATTTCAATGGGCATTGCAAGGCCAAAGTCTCCTGCCCCCCAAATCTCCCAGTATCCCTGGCCTGTATGTATCTTTTCTTGAGAACCTGAATAATGGAACCATTAGATTGAAAACATAGATTGGGGAGAAGAGAGTGAGTTGAATTTGAAAAATGTTGAGTGTGACATCTGGCAGTCAAATATGCAGGGCTGACTCATTTCACTTTTCATGTGTCTGTTTTAGCTCACAAACTAGACATAGAGCTCATTGTACAGATTCCATAGTGCTTAATGCACTGGCTACCCCTTAAAAAACCTATAGAGCTTGCTGGAGGGGGTCCCCTATCTCATGTCAACTCAATAAATAAATATGTATGGATTTGTTGCAAAATATTGGATTTTCTTTTCCATGTAAGTAACAAAGAACTGCTGCAGATATTTGAGCAGAGTTGTAAAATGATATGAATTTTGCTGTGAGAAAACTTGATCTTGCTGTAATGTATGAAAAAGACTAGAAGGGAAAGAAGTTGAGGGTGGAGAGTCTTGTTAGGAGGGCCAGGATAAGAGCAGGTGGGCGGTGAAGGAGGCTGCGGCAGAACCATGCCAAGCAGAATGGAGTGGAGGGGACTTGACTACACAAGAGGCTGGTGACTCAGCTTTCTGCCTAGTATTAGTCCTAGAGAAGTCTCCCTGCTCTGGGAAGACCGGTGTCTAGCCTCATGTGGCTTCGGAACAAAAGCCAGTGATTGCATCCAAGGGAAGATAATGAGAAACACACAGGCCGTGAAAATCAGGAAAGCACCACTAATCTTTTTGTTGCAAAACTTTACTTTTCAAAGTCCTGGGGAAGGGTGCAGAAGCCTCAGCACGTGGACTTGAGCCCTGTACTCGGAAATGCAAAATGGAAACCCCCTAATAGATCACAGAACTGAAAATATCCAAGAGTCTGAGAGGCTGGGGGAGGACAGGAGTGAGAAAAGGAAGGGGGCTGGAGTACTGATCAGAAGATAGGAGAAAGCAACAGTGCAAAATGCGGGGAAGGGCTGAGTAGACATTCAATTTAATCTGGACTTTTATTTTGCTACAAACTAATTTTATGAAGACTTTTTTTGCCCAAATATTAAATATTTATTAATTAAAGATATTAAAACAGGAAAAACTGCTTTCATTCAATAAAAACTCTAGTAATTCTTCCTAACTCCAGAATTGTATGTATATGTTTTACCTATTAAATAATCAGAAATAGAAACAAATTAGACAAGATACGTGAATAACCTTAAAAATTTTCCATAATATTTGACTTAGGAACTTTAGTTTTATGAATGTACTCTAAGGAATACCCTGAAAAGGACAAAATCTATACACAAAGATTATACACAAATTTATTATAGAATTATGTACTAAAAAACCCTAAATGACCAGCCTTGAGTATATGGTTAAATATATAAGTTATAAGCCTTTGGGTTTTGAGAGTTTTAGATAACACAAGAAGGTATTTATGATATTATATTAAATCAAGATAAAAGTCACAATGTAATATAAAGATATACAATCAATGATGTAAAAGTACATAGAAGAAAACTCTAATGAAAATATGCCAAATTGTTAACTATGATGACTTTTAGGTTACGGAATTATGGGACCATTTTTGTTTCCTTATGCAATTGAAAAGTCATAAATGAGCATGCATCACTTTTTCATCAGAAAAATAAATGAGTTACATATTTTTTTAAAGGGAAGATATTGTAAAGGAATATTTGTTGACAGAATGCATTAAAAAACCTAGGTAATTTCCTTATTTCCCTGGGATTCTGAGAATTTTTTTACTCTTGGGAATATCTTTCCTTGCTCTTAGTTATTTTCATATGTTAGTCTTGTTCCTGGGGATAAAAAATGGTAAGTTTGCTATTTGAGCTCTGCTCGAACATATGGAGTAGTTCTCTCTTACATATACAGAATTGGTTTGACATTCAAGGTCTTTCAGAGTCAAATCCCAATTGATCTTCCCAATTTCACTTCCCTTAGTTTCCTACGTATATTTTCTACACAAATCAAAAACCTTTTCAGACTTCCTATTTCTTGTACATGTCCATAACCTCCCCTTTCTGAAACTCTACTTGTTCCTGGGGACAGAATGTTCACAGAGCATGCGTTAAACATCATAAAGTGGATCGGGAGCCTCTTTTAACATAAGGCTGTGTGATTTTGACAAGGCAGTTAGCTCACCCTCTAGATCTCAGATGGAACACCTGTAAAACAAGGGACTATGTTGTAGATGGTTGCCAACATTCCTTGCAGTGCTACAGCTGAGTGAACCTTGTTCCCTCATGGCCCTAGGTGTGCTCATTCATCTGCCTGCACCTTGTCTCAGGTTCCCACTGCATCTTAAGTGGCCCCTGCCCACCCCACTGTCAAATTTGACCCTTCCTAGCTCATGTACCATTTCCTTTATAATGCCGTCCTCAGTGATTCTGATTAACAGGGACTTGCATGTATGATTTTTTTTTTTTTTTTGCCACTCATACAGGCTGCCTTTTATCAAAACTATGGCACATGTCAATGATATAACAGATAATATCATTTGAATAAAAAGTCAACTCCATGGGGAGGAAAAAAACCTACTTAAGTGAGCTTTAGAGATAAAGGTGAACACTTCTCTAAATCCTTTGTTTATGGTCTGTTAATCAATAAAGTCCAATCTGTGATCCCCAGATACATAAGAGGAGAAGGATATGTAGACTATTTATGATATTTCTGAAAATCCTAAGAAAAATCACACACAGGCCCACAGTAAGTCTATGTTTCTTTATTTTGAGTCAGAGGATTTCTTTTTTCCATTTTTAACCAGTATAAATTGGTTTAAACTTCATCTCTTGAATAACTCCTAACATGACCAGAGCCCTTTTCTTCCTTCAAATTTCCACAAATGCATTGCTCCCCTTTTTTCTTTTCACCACCCATATGTCCATGTTGGACAAAAACCATGAAGGAAGGAGGTTGAGAAACTGTGTACCAAAACGCCAAGAGCATCTTTGCCATGTTCCAGCACAAAGGGCACTGTTAGAAGGAGGTGATCAGAGTCATCTTCTGACTCAACCTCACAAGAGGAGTCAGGTTAGATGAACAGTTCCCAACTATTTACTCTCCTCTCTCTCTCATTCTCTCTCTCGCATTCTTTTTCCTTCTGTTTTTTATTAGCAGCACAAAAGATTTTGAAGTGCTTAAGGGCAGAAAGCTTGCCTTGTTCATCTATGCAGCTCTTGCTGGGACCAAGTATGGTGCTAAACACACGGTAGACATTCAGTAAGTATTTGTGGAATGAATGAATGAGCAAATGAAGGACAGGTGTGGCTTCGATGGCAATGGGTCAGTGTGAACTCCGGAAAGAGTATGCAGAGTTATAGTCAAAGTGGATGATGGATCATTGCTCTGACTTACTAGTTATGTAATCTTGAGTAAACCCCTTTATCACTGTGGGATTAATTTCCCCAGCTGTTGAAAAAATGTGTGTGGGGGAAAGGGGGAGGGTTAGTGATTAAAAATGTGTTCCATAAGGAGCATGTATGTAAAATCATCTGGCACATGGTTGCAGCTGAATAGCTGGCATTTATGTAGCACTTTATTTTTTCTGCATTTTTTAAAAATTAAAAACCTGAAAATTGTTAAGTTGTACTAACCTCAAATCTCACCACTTAAGAATTATATAAAATAAGAAGTAAAATTTCTCTTCCCAGCCAACTTTTCTAATTCCCCAGAGATAACTACTTTTCTTAACATTTAAGTTTGATGTTTATCCTTCTTGACATTTTTCTAAAGTTTCATATATATATATTTTTTATAATTATTTAATATATATGTAAACTCATGAATATATATATGCAAACTCATAAATATATATATATATATCTCCATGCAACTTTGGATGGAGATATATATACACACATATCATTTTCAAAATGGAACTATTCATATATGTCTATCTATCTATCTATCTATCAATCATCTATCTATCTCCAAGTCAATTATTTTTGAATGATGGCAGAATCATTTGTTGTTTGAATATACCATATTTTGCTGCCAGTCACCCAGTTCCAGTGTTTTGTGATTACAAACAATAATGCAAGGGTCTTCCTTGTACATCTATATCTGTAAGCTTTTGTACAGTACTTACTTTAGTAATAAGGCACTTGAACACTTATTATTCTCTTTACTCATAACCACCACAAGAAGAAAGGACAGAAATTGTTATTCTGTGTTACAGATGAAGAAAAAGGAGAGCTAAAGGGGGCAACTGGCTTGGCCAGAGACCCACACAGATAGACTATGGCAGACCCCGTGTTTCCCAGTGGCTTGAATTTTTGTCCAGAGCTCTTTTTGTCACACTGCAATAAAGCACAAGTCAACAGGAAACCTTTACAACCAGGCAGAGAAGCTTGGATCAGGGAGCAGGCAGTCACACTAAATTGTAGAAAAGAACAAACACACACACACAAACAAGAAGCTCGAGGCCAAACACATTTAAAGGATATTATTTGGAAGAAATGCACTGGTGGTGAGTGAGGGACCAGCATAAGAAGAGCTGTCCTTTAACTAGTTACCATGTTTTATGCAATGTTCTCAATATGATATCCAAATGATTAGGATGGCTTAGATTGCATAAATGAGGCAGGAGAATGACAAAGGACACCCCCACAACCCCAACAATGACACTACCCCTCTCCCTCAAGGGAAGTGTCTAGGGAAGGCCAGTCAGCATCTGGTTAGGCTTGGCCTTAATTGTCATCTTCCTCAATTATCTGCAGGAAATATTAGCTGTTATTAAAATTTGCAGATGCAGTCAATTGTCAGAGTCACTGGAGACCAAGAATTATTACTCAGAGCATTGGAGAGAGGCTGGAAAGAAAAAGAACAATTCAGCCTGGAAAAATGTAAACTAATGGATAAAGTGAGGTAGGGGGAGTGGGGGAAGAATTTAGAGGGATAAGGCCAGTAGTAGGGTGAGGCAGTGAAGCACTCCCCTGGAGTACAAACTTTAAGGGGATGCCAAAAACTCAGCTATCAAGATAAATAAAATTTTAATTCAATATTGAAAAAAATCAAGTTGGCAAATGACAGCCTGTGGGCCAGCAGCCTGTTTGTAAATACAATTTTATTGGAAAGCCACTGGAAGTAAAGGTACTGTGGCAGGGGAGATCCAGGCTAATTCTTTGATGTGAAAACCCTGGTTAGGCTTGTGAATGTTAGACACATTAGACCTTAGCTTGTGATTGATGGGAAAAATATTTCTGAAGAAAAGGAATAATGGATCTGACTGCTTTTATGGGTTTCCTGGGGTTACTGTAACAAGTGATCACAAACTGGGTGGCTTAGGACAACAGATATTGATTGTCTCACAGTTCTGGAGGCTAGAAGTCCAAGATCAAGGTGTCAGCAGGGCCATATTCCCTCTGAAGGTTCTAGAGAAGCATCTTTCTTTGACATCTAATTTTTGATGGCTCTTGCAATCACTCCAATCTCTGCCTTGATGTTTACATACTCTTCATTGTGTATGTCTCTCTGTCTTTGTGTCCGTCTCTCTGTCTTTGTGTCCACATCTTTTTCTCCTTTCCCTTAGATCCTAGTCATTGGGTGACATCCCAATCCAGATAACCTCATTTTAACTTGGTAACATCTGCAAAGACCCTAGTTTCAAATAAGATTACATTCCTAAGATTACCTATGAATATAACCTTAACTCTTTGGTTCCTTATTTGGAAATAGGGTCTTTCTTGGACACGATTCAACCCACCACACTGTTAAAGATATCTTTCTAGGACACAATTCAACCCACCATGCTATTAAATAGGTAGGGATGTGGAGAGATTTGACTTAGGCGCAGCAGAAACATTATCCATTCACAGAAATCTGGCAGCGGAGTCAGGGGCAGACTCCTGACATGATTTAAATACCTAAGAAAATATTTAAGGAAAAGTACTTTAGTTCCTTTGGGGCGCAAATATTATAACCTTTGCTCATGTCACATGGTGACAAATACATGCAGGATTTTTAAGGGTAGTTCTGATTTCAAACATGCAAACAATAGTGACTGGAAATATTTTTACTAAATTTTATATTCCTTTTGTTACTATTTTATTCTTCTCAATGTAAGCAACTTATTAAATTATTACTATAACCGAATATAACAACTTTTAGATATTTTTCACAAAAATTCACCAACCGGGGAAAAACGTTGTTTGTAAAATGCAGTATTCTGATTTTTAATTTATGAAATATGGCTGTTATGCTTCTGAAGCCTGTTCAAAGGCTATGAAACAATGGAGATGATCGAATACCATTAGAATTTTAAGTAAGTTGAAATGTAAATGGGAAACAAATCTATTTTCTCCCATTTTCCAAACACATCACAGTCAAGTCCAAAAATTTGAATGTTACATGGCTTTTTAGTGAACACTTTTGTTATAAACATGCGTGTGTAGGTATACTTAATTGTATCAGCAACAATAACATTAGTTATTTTAATTATTGTATCACCAATCCTAATCACTAATCAATAAATGTATACTCATTAATTAATAATTCAATAATAATGGCTAATATTTATGAAGTGCTTATGTGCTAGACAGAAGAATTGATCCCTTTATGTGAATTATTTAATTTATGAATACAGTAATTCTTCCT
The DNA here is from genome assembly GCF_000001405.40 of Homo sapiens. Lineage (NCBI taxonomy): Eukaryota > Metazoa > Chordata > Mammalia > Primates > Hominidae > Homo > Homo sapiens. The sequence goes on from NC_000001.11 coordinate 162,669,744, forward strand.
TAGAATTGGTATTCTGTTTATTTGGGCTTGAAATGTTCTACATATTATTTTTCCTGCTTTTGGTCAGGAGTCACCAGCCCATTTAAAGAGAGACAGCTGTATCTTTCTGTAACTGGGCTATTTTCTCTATGAGTGCATTAATGTTAACAGAGAAGCATGGCCAGCAAGGGCTGCTAGCACAAAGTGAAGGGCCCTGCTGTGATGAACAGAGAAATTGGGAACTTTATCATTGCTGCTATAGACATTATCAACTAATAACACGTTTTTAAAATTCCTGAAAAGAGTTTGCTTTCTAAAGGTTAAAAAGGTTTAAGTTCTCCCTGTAATTTTGTTTATATAGATGATTTGCTTTGTAAACATTTGTTTTGTTTGTTTGTTTGTTTTTGAGACAGAGTCTTGCTCTGTCGCCCAGGCTGGAGTGCAGTGGCACGATCTCAGCTCACTGCGACCTCTGCCTCCTGGGTTCAAGCAATTCTCCTGTCTCAGCCTCCCCAGTAGCTGGGATTACAGGCATGCGCCACCATGCCTGGCTAATTTTTGTATTTTTAGTAGAGACGCTTCACCATGTTGGCCAGGCTGGTCTGGAACTCCTGACCTCGTGATCTGCCTGCCTTGGCCTCCCAAGGTACTGGGATTACAGGCGTGAGCCATTGTGCCTGGCACAGCTCTCCATTTTAAGGCTTTGCAATTGATTGAATCAGGCTCGTTCAGGTTACCTAGGATGATCTTCCTCACGTAAAGTCAACCCATGATGGATTCTAATCGGTCTACAGAACTTCTTCACAGCAACACCTAGATCAGTGTTTCAGTAACTGGGGTCTACAGCCTAGCCAAGCTGACAGATCAGAAGAGCCATGACAACAATGATAAAAGAAACTGTTGCCCTCTAGTTTCCTCCTGGGCATTAATAATTTAGCTAATATAAACCCAATACTTTGGATACGATTGACTGAATTCAGCTTTGCTGATGCCTCTGATTTCAGTTGCTTTAACCAAATGCAAACCCCTAGTGCTTCTGTTGTCTGTTGATACCCAGAGGCTCATGTGATCTGGAAGGGTAAGTGGCTTCTCTCTGATTTGCCAGAAGAAAGTGGTTATGTTAGCTGAGGAGCCAGAACACTAATTTCAGTGATTTGACTCTGGTACAAGTGGTGGGAGGCCCGAGGGTGGGATGCTGCTTTTTCCTTTGGCCCTGGTAAACATTTTATGCTTGTTATGGTGGTTGAAATGCTGTATTTAACCTTTTCTTCATGTGCCAGGAGGTTCACAGTAAATGAGGGGTGTGGTCTGTGAAGGGAAAAGTGGCTGTGGCTTGGCCTCTTTGTACCCTGTCAGCACACATACACGCATGGTCTGTAACATGTGAACCTATCACGTGGGAACTCATTACTGAGCTGTGAGGGCTGCCCCTGAGGAGCTGGGGGCAGTGGTCGGGAGAGGAGAAGGTCGTGGGGCACAGTAGAAATGGCACCGGACTGGGAATGAGTTCCTACTGCCAACTTCTCATCAGCTCAGTTCCTACAGTCCTCTACTTACTCCTTCGTTGCCCAGGACATTTATTTAATGCCAGGCTAAGCACAAGGCTTCCAGGATTCAGCAGTGAACAAGACAGATGCTACCCTTGCCCTTTTGGAGCTGACTGTTGAGCAATTTTAATAAATAGCAATGATCATATCATTAGCATTTCCCGAGGGTTACCATGTCCCAAATGTGTGAGTTATGATAGAGGAAGATGGGGTTATTCTAGGTGAAGGCCGAGAAGCTTCTGGGAGGCAGTGACTAATAACTACTGCCTTTTTTACTTTGGAGTCATGTCCTTTCTGTGACTCCCCTTTCCTTCTCCTCTGTGTTCTCTCCCTTGGCCTTGTCAGGCTGCCCCTGGCTTTGGTTCTCTCTTCCTAGTCTCCTTTCTAATTAGCCTTTCTAGCCCAATAAATTAAGCTCTTGTCTGGAATCTCTAGCTCCCTGATGGACACCTCCTCGTGAAAGCCCTCAGTATCTCAAAGACACAACATCTGTGAAGAACTCAACTCTTCCATTGTATTCTTCCTTCCCTTTCCTGTCTCTGATAATGTTATCACAATTCGTTTTGTCATTTAGGTCAAAAACATAGTCATCTTTGACCTACCTTCCCTATCATACCTACCAGTCACTCAGCCCTACCCTGTCTATTCCCATGATGTCTCTCATCTCTCCCTCCATTTGTTTGTCACTCTCAATGGTCAGACTGTCTTGGTCACTTTTCTGGGCAATTGCTATAGTTTAATGCTTGCAGTTTTCCCTCAACTTTAGTTCATCCTCTTTAGAGCTACCAGAGCACATACTCTTGATACATCTTCTTGCGTCACTCTGTTGCTCAAAAGCCTTCAGTGGACCACTGCTGGGCTCTGCAGCCAGGTGCTTGTGTTCTAAACCTGGCTCTGTCACTTACCAGCTTGGTAACTGGAAAATTATTAACCATTCTGTGCTTCTATTATTTCATCTATAAAACAATTGTGTCTGTCTCATAGAGTTGTGATGGGGATTAAATGAGTCAACATGTAAGTAGTGCTTATAAAAAAAAGTCTGACATAATTTTAGCATTCCGTCCAGGTAGATGCTCTGGCTCCTGGTCCTCCACATTTTCCCTCTTGTGCCTTGACTTTTTGCGTTTCTAACTTTTCCCTGTTATATTTCTGAATAGTTTTTTGCAAAGTAGTGCACAAATTAGTGCCTGGATCTACACAAACTACATCATACATGATGCTCTTGTCTTTCTTCATATTCTTTTAAAGACTATATGTTATATATTTAAACACATATGCATATTTATACTAAACTAAGTATATATATGTATACACATATATACATATAGATTCATGTATACTTTATTGTTTCTTCATTAATTGACCAAATGTTTTGATGGTGCCTCTAAATAAGTAGTACTTAGGCAAATCTCCACTCATAGTATTGTGGTAAAAGATTAACTTTTGAAAACTGCCCAGAGAACAGCTTTCTATCACATTAATCATGAGATACAGTTTTGTTTTTTCCAATGTTCTGGCGGCCATTCTCATGAGGATGGACTGTGCTGACTGATCTCAGTGAAAGTTACCAGTGGGCATGTTCTCGGGGCCTCTCTGTCCCCATGAAGCATCCCCACTCAGAGACATGGAAAACCTGTGAGATGAGCTCATACAAATGATTTCTGGGATGAAAATAGCAATGTGAGATAGTGCCAGGAACTTCAGGTTCACAGAGTATAATTAAGATTTTTCCTGAATCATTGCACACTGTAATTTCATCACATCATTATGTACGTTCTTTAATTATGGGCTCTAATTGCCCATTTTAGTTCTGTAATTAGACATAAAGACATTAATTTTGTAGGTATAACAATCAGCTCAAATGTACTTCCAAATTCTTTCCCCTACCTTTCAAGAAAAATTAATACATCATTAAAAAGTTTGTGCACAGAAGAGCCTCTTAGAGGGCAGCTTTTGGGAGCCAGTTGGTGTTCTCAAAGGTGGGGCCCCAGTTCAGAAAGGGTATGGGAACATCACCCTCTTATATTCCCCATAAACTGTGTTGCTTCATGTCAGATAGACCCTACTGGGTCCAGGGCAGGGAAGAGCTCCATTAATTCACATAGGGCCGATTTCTCTTAATCGTAAAATTTTAAGGTGACATCAATGCTTAATGAGTCATGGGAGAGGAATGAACTAATGTTAGGGCAACTCTGGCTTTTTATTTCTCTTGTGTCCTATTAAAAGATGAGAAGATGAAGCATTTTAGGCTCATGGGGTTTGTATTTTTCATTTGTGCATGGGTAGCTGATTATCATCTGTCATTATGTGCGTGTGTGTGTGTGTATGTGTGTGTGTGTGAGAGAGAGAGAGAGAGAGAGAGAGAGAGAGAGAGAGACAGCAAGAGAGAGCCAGAATCTGTTTTTTAAGAACTCTCAATGATTCAGATCTCCATTTTTTCCCTTCACCTACAGCACTTTAGTTAAAACAAAACAAAACAAAACAAAACAAAAAAACCGACGAGTTCCAGCATTTCCCCCCATGGACCATGCTATGTCCATTTCAGCCGACACATTTTACATGTGTATCTATTTGCCTCCACTTACAAATCCAAGGAAAAAAAGGCAGTGTGGTAGAGTAGAAAGAGCCTTAGTAAGGGTCCTGGCCCCTTTTTCTTCCCTTTTTACACATACTCTCTCTCTAGGTAATCTCTCTATTCTCGTCCTTAAAGGCCGTTTATATGCTTTTGTCCCTCCAATTTATATCTCTAGCTCAGGCCTCATCTCTGAGCTCCAGATTAGATAACAATCAGAATGCTTATTTCTACTTGGATGATTTACAGATAATTTAAGCTTGCTGTGTTCAAAGCTGGGTTTACTTTCCTCCAAATGTATTGCTTTTCTATTCTTCCCAAACTCAATAAATGGCAAAACCATCCATTCAAGTACTCAAGCTGAGTCATCCTTGATTATTCTTTCGACATATGAGCCATCAGCAAGGCTTGTTTCACCCTCCAGAACCTATCTTCAATCTGTCTGTTTCCCTCTCCCTCAATTCAGGCTGCAATCCCAATGCAGAGTGTTCAGTAAAGCAAAAGGGGTGGTCTGCTCTCACCAAAAGCAATTTGCATGCTCTTAATTCACGGATGGATTACCTAGCACTTAACACAGACCCAGATATATTTGGTACTCAGTAATATACACTGAAGAATGAATGAGTGAGTTAATGAATTAATGAATGAATAACAGAAACTCTACCTCCTAGGACTTAATAATACAGAGCAGGATTAACCTGCTTTCATAAGTAATCAGTGAACCTGGTAAAGTGTGACATTTATCTTTTGGTGAAAGCAGCTCACCCCTTTTGCTTTACTGTTTCACCAGCAATCTCTGTTTTATTTTTACCTGTTCTTTTGGACACACAATTTAGTCAGAAATTTGCACCTGAGTCTTACTTCTGCCACCTGCTAGTATAAAGATCAACTGGTGCAGAGCACTATACAGAGATTATTTATTGTTTGCTACAATGTTGGATATAGAGTTTCCTCTCTAGGACCTCTTTAACTGGGAGGGATAAAAATGGCACAACTAAATTTTCATGATTTGGATAAGAAGAGAAACATTGGGTGGGCATGGTGGCTCATGCCTGTAATCCCAGCACTTTGAGGGGCTGAGGCGGGTGGATCACCTGAGGTCAGGAATTTGAGACCAGCCTGGCCAACATAGGGAAACCCTGTCTCTACTAAAAGTACAAAAAAAAACTAGCCGGGCATGGTGGTGGGCACCTGTAATTTCAACTACTAGGGAGCCTGAGGCAGGAGAATGCTTGGACTCGGGAGGTGGAGGTTGCAGTGAGTCAAGATCATGCTATTGCGTTCCAGCCTGGCCAACAAGAGTGAAACTCCATCTCAAAAAAAAAAAGTAGAGGAGAAACATTGCTTCATTCAGAAAGTGCTTCCTAAGAGATTCCCATGGTCCAGGGATGATGCTGGATGGTGGAGATGTAGAATAATGTAGAGATTACAGGGTAGCAGGGATGGGGATGCACTTGTAAGCCAATGAGTAGAAGAAAGGGGTTCTGGCGGTGGCACAGCAGCAACCACAGGACGAAAGCAACTGCAGAGGACATGTGCTCAATTCTGTGAGGGGACGATGGCGGGACATGGAAGGGTCCTGATCATGTCGATGTTGATGGCAAGTCTACCAGTCAAAAGGAACAGGTGAGCAAGGGCCTGTAGCCTGGAGGTGGCTTGGGGCTTTCAAGGAACCACTTTGTTAGACCTGCTAAAGCATGTGTTTCAAAGAGAATGTACCCAGCTCGAAGACTTGCACATTGTAGGCACTTAGCTAATATCTGTTTAATAAATGGATAAGTGAATATAAGTGGCAGAAAGACAGCTGAGTTGCTGGGACAGGTGAGATCATGGAAGGCCTTGTGTATCATGCTAGGATCAGTAATGGGAAGTAGAGAAGTGGTCAATGAAGTTTTATTTAAGCAGAAAAGAGACCCTATTGGGTTGAGTTTTAGAAAAATCCCTGTGGCTGCAGAAAAGAGGATGGTTTGGTGGGAATGAGACTGAAGTCATGAGCACAGACAGGAAGGGTAACTGAACATTTTGAGAGAGCTGAAAGTGTAGACAGGAAGGGTGTTCAAAGATTGTTGGAGTTCAGAGAGAAGTCCTCGGCCTGGCCTAGCAGTGTAGACAGCCAAAGACAGACAAGTAGTGGAATGTCACATTCTAGTAACTGATTGAAATGTGTGTGTGTTTATAGGCAAGTGAGTTGAAAACTGTGTGTGTGCTTAAGTTGGAATGTACATGTGCATATATGAAGGTGATTTGAAGTGTGTGTGTGTGTGAATGCAGTGTGTGGTAGTGCATTGGAACGTGTGTGTGTTTACATGAGTGCAAGTGGACAGTCAAGAATGGTGTCTAACACTTACCTATTTGGTCTAAAGGCTCATAAAACTTCTGCCTTACTCCTGGTCACATGCTCCAAGTCACAAGCAGAAATGGGCAGAACAGCTCGGCCTTGTAATTCCAGCCTGACTCACACTAAGCTGTTTCCAACCAAGTGAATTAATTTCTCCCTCCTTATGCCCACACAGCACTTTCCTCTACAACAATTGTTACACCACTGTTGTTATTAGTTTATATAATACTTTACCCCCTGCTAGGCTGTGAAATCCTGAAGGAGGAGAAAATATGTTATGTATCATTTATCTCCAGAGTCTAGCTCATTCAGGCACATGCTAAGTTCTCAGCTAATGTCTGTTGAACGAACTAAAAGAATAGGCACACTTTTATAGCTTATTAAGCTCAAACATAGACTCCAAAGCAAAATCTCATCATTGCCTCTTGCACATTTTGGAAACAACAGCAATAATAGTTACCATTTCTTGAGAACCTACTGTGTGCAAGGCACAGTGCCAAATACTTTGGGGGAGCCAGTGATTTTATGTGCAATGTTTTTAAAAGTCCCTGGAGTTAAAAAATTCCTAGGAGGTAAATATTATCCACCCCTTCCACAGATGACGGAAGTGAGGCTCACTAAGGATAAGTAACCTGCCAAGTTGCACAGCTAGAAAGTAGAGAGCTGAAACAGGAACTCAAAGCCTGGGCTCCGAACAAGCACGCCCTGCAGACTTCCCTTCCCTGTGATGCCCCATGCTCAGTTTTCTATTTTCTTTATAGTGGAAAAGTCAATGCCCTTCCTATGAGAAATAAAAGGGTTTAAAGTGGTCAAAAGGAAACAGTGTTTCCTCTGTGCTCACGGGGTTTTGGCCAATCACAGAGGGTGAACCAAAAACAATATTATGCGAGATGTGGCCAGTTTGGGTTGATTCCAGCTTTGGATGCTGTGAGCTGGATCCCAGGAGCACACGAGGAAAAACGATAATAGCATACTTGAGATCCAAGCCCATGTTGGGGTGAGGATAGAGGTTTTGCTTTCCTCAAACTATTGCATTTTTCTTTTCCTCCCTAAGGGTCCGGGCAGGATGCTTCCTACCCCAGGGGGCCACTTCCAAATGCTGCTCTGTCACTTGGTGGAAAACTTCAAATTTACTGAGGGTTTACTGTGGAAGACTTAGTCAAGAGGGCAAGTACCCTATATCTCCAGATTGCTTTGCACATGTTGGCATTCAATTAATATTTTATTTGTCAATGGATTTAATAGCTGATTACAGTTTGCAATGCTCTACTCATGGATAAATCAGTTGATCTTCTCAGGCTTCTTATGCCTTTTCCCAGTGGATTTTTCATTGTCGTGGATAACCCCAGGAAAAAGAGGAGGCACAGAGGAACCTCTCTTACATGAATAGGTGGGGGGATGCAAGGGAGGACTTCTAGCTTTTCTTCTCCTGACTTTTCTACATTCCCCAGGTTGAGTGACTCGTCTCCATCTTTTAATTTAGCATCTTGGAACTGAACAGCACCTCCCAAGCAACCCTCACCTGGGAACCAGGCAGAAACAAGTGAAAATGTGGAGGAGGTGTTTATGAATTTTTGGGCAGTCAGTGATTTCAGGGATCCAGGAAGTTATTCTACTTTCTAAACCACTTCCCCACCTGCTGGATATGAATGTAACTCCCTCAGCTTTCAGCTTTCACATCTACTTTATATACAATTCTATACTGCCTCTCCCATTTTATATTATTTATACCTATGTGCTGGGACTTGAGCAAAGGTTTTTTTATTTTTTATTTTTTTTTATTTTTTAAACTTTGTACAAGGGAAGCCATAAAGAATTTGGGCAACTTGTAGGGAAGAGGGAGAGTGAATTTGGTGAAACCGAAAGTCAGTAAAGGTCACATGGGAGATGCTGAGCTCTGCAGACAGATCTTTCAACGTGAAGCAGCAGTGAAGAACATGGCTCTGGAGTCAAACTGGCTGAGCTAAAGAGTTGACTTTGTTACCTACTAGTTACCTATTGGTAGTTACCTACTAGTTATCTACTAGTTACCTACCTCTGTTACCTACTAGTGTGACCTTGGGCAGGTTAAGTAACTTTTTGAACTTAGTTTACTGATACATAAATTAGTGATAATAATAATTCCTGTCTCATAAAGTTACCGTGAAGATTAAGTGAGGCAATGTATGTGGAGTGTTAAAACAGTGCATGACGCAGAGTAAACACGTTAAAATGAGCTGTTATTAATATTTGGTTGCTAAAGGTCTGTCCTACCTGATGTGTCTATCTCTTTCAAATACATCCTCTGGGATTTAGCACTAGAAACAGTCTTGCAGAAAGTTAGAGCAGGGAGGAACCCTCAAGATCATCTAATCCAAAGTCCTCTTTTGTAAATGAGGAATCACTGGCCCAAGGTCACGGAGTAAGTCACTGAGTAATCCCTCTGGTCTGTTGCCCAGAATGCATTCCTTCCCACAAATCTGGCCATGCTTGTCCTGGAGGGCAGATAGACTAGCCTTCCCCAGGTAACCTTGTATCTTCCCGTAAAACCGTCTGTCCTCACAAAGTGGCACAATTTCTAAGGCTCCCTCGGGCAACAAAGTAGGTTGTGTTCAGAGACCAGTGAGGTGGAGAAACTGCCCAGCCACTGAACTCCAGGCTGGACTTGGTGAGTGGCACTCAGTGGAGTCAGAGTCCTGGAGACCTGCACATCAGGGAGAGGGTCCTGAAGAGGTCTTGAAATAATTTGACATGGAAAGAGAAAATACAAATTTTCAGAGACACAGATAAGCATCATATTTTTAAGCCAAGAACTCAGTTATATTTTTGACAGTGTGGTGTCTACAGTACTAAGGCATGTTCTTACAAGAGTGACACTCACTAGCTCTTTTTTTTTTTTAACTTTCATTTTAGTTTCAGTGGTATCTGTGCAGGTTTGTCATATAGTAATGGGGATTTGGTGTACAGGTAATTTTGTCACCTGGGTAATAAGCACAGTACCCAATAGGTTTTTTTTTTCTGATTCTCTCCCTCCTCCCACTGACCATCCTCAAGTAGGCCCCAGAGTCTGTTGTTCCACTCCTAGCATCCGTGTGTTTTCCTTGTTTAGCTCCTACTTGTAAGTGAGAACATGCGATATTTGGTTTTCTGTTCCTGTGTTAATTTGCTTAGGATAATGAGATCATGTTCTCTGACATGGAAAGAGAAACACACAAATTTTCAGAGACACAGATGACCATCATATTTTTAAGTCAAGAACTCAGTTATATTTTTGACAGTATGGAGCCTCCAGCTCCATCCATGTTGCTGCAAAGGACATGATCTCATTCTTTTTTATGGCTGCATAGTATTCCATGGTGTGTATGTACTATGTTTTCTTTATTCAGTCTACCATTAATGGGCATTTAGTTTGATTCCATGTCTTTGCTATTGTGGATAGTGCTGCAATGAACATGTGTCTTTATGGTAGAACAATTTATAGCCCTTTGGGTATATACCCAATAATAAGATTGCTGGGTCAAACGGTAATTCTCCTTTTAGTTCTTTGAGGAATCACCACACTGCCTTCCACAATCGCTGAACTAATTTGCACTCCCACCAGCAGATTATGTGTTTTTTTTTCAACCTTGCCAACATCTGTTTTGTTTTGTTTTTTAATAATAGCTATTCTGATGAGTATGAGATGGTATCTTATTATGGTTTTGATTTGCAGTGCTCTAATGATTAGTGATGTCAAGTATTTTTTTCGTATGCCTGTTGGCCGCATGTACGTCTTTTTTTGAAAATGTCTGTTCATGTTCTTTGCCCACTTTTTAATGGGGTTGTTTGGTTTTTCCTTGTAAATTTGTTCAAGTTCCTTATAGATTCTGGACATTAAGTCTTTGTCTGTTGTTCCCCTCCTAGTTTGCAAATATTTTCTCCCATTCTGTAGGTTATTTACTGTTAATAGTATCTTTTGCTGTGCAAAATCTTTTTAATTAGTTCTCATTGGTAAATTTCTGTTTTTGTTGCAATTGCTTTTGGTGTCTTCATCACGAAATCTTTGCCAAGTCCTATGTCCAGAATGGTATTTCCTAGGTTATCTTCCAAAGTTTCTATGGTTTTAGGTTTTACATTTAAGTCTTTAATCCATCTTGAGTTGATTTTCGTATGTGGTATATAAGATAGGGGTCCAGTTTCAATCTTCTGCATATGGCTAGCCAGCTATCTCAATATCATTTATTGAATGGAGAGTCCTTTTCCTAGTGCTTGGTTTTGTTGATTTTGTTGAAGATCAGATGGTTGTAAGTATGCAGCATTATTTCTGGGCTCTCTATTCAATTACATTGGTCTATATGTCTGTTTCTGTATCAGCACCATGCTGTTTTGGTTACTACAGCCCTGCAGTATACTTTGAAGTTAAGTCGAGTAACATGATACCTCCTGGTTTGTTCAGCTCATTTCTTTCTTGTTGAAGACTTCAGTTCAATGGCCTTAGTCATCTTTGGAATGGCATTTAGGATTCAGTTCAATGACCTTAGTCATCTTTAGAATGGCATTTAGGAAAATGGACTCCTTTACCAAAAAGGTGAAAAAGAAAATAATATAACCCAACCTTAAAGACTATTTTTTTAAGGGGAGAGGGAGAGGACTTTATTCATAATCCTATCAGCTGAACACATTCCAGTCTTCTTCTATAAAAACACAATTTTTTATAAAGTTGAAATTATGGAGCTAAGACATTTCTAAGAAGACTTAATTTCAGTTAGGGACTTGCTGATTATCTTTGGGTAAGTCAGTCTGGCTTCTTTTCTGGGAGGAGTGTTGTGTCCATAGAGACGTGAACATCGACGTCTGCTTGTTTTTGTGAGGAAGCATGGTAGAATGAAGAGAACGCTGTCTGGAGCCAAAAGATCCAGATTGAAACCAGACTTTAAGCCTGGGCTCTGCTTCCCCTTTTGCTGGATGACCTTGAGACAGTGTCTTAACCTTCCTGGATCTGTTTTTTAGCTTTTATAAAATAGATCACTGGCATATCAGCTTGTTAACGTGCACTGTACTCAGCCTTGACACACGGGAGAAAGGTTTTCAGGGACAGGGTGAAGATTTCATCTATATGACCTTTGACTGCAGTTTGGTTGGTTGGGTTACACAATCTACAATTGTAGATTGATTGAGAGTCTTTTGAAATATGTTTTTCTTTATGCTAGTTACCCAGGTCCTCTCCTCTCTGGTGACAGTGGTAATTTACCAGGGCATTGTGTCCTCTTTTCATTAATTAGGCCACTCAGGCCTACCCGAATCCCAAGAGACCATTTATGGATGATGAAGGTGGTAAGATAGGGTTGTAGTATGTTGGACCTGCTGTCACAAACTACCATATGCAGGGTGACTTATAATTAAGAGAAATTTATTTTTCACAATTCTGGAGGCTGGGAAATCCTAGATCAAAGTGCCAGCAGATTTGGTGTCTGGTTAGGCCTGCTTGCTGGTTCAGAGATAACTGTTTTCTTGCTGTGTTGTCACATGGCAGAAGGGGGAAGAGAACTCTCTGGGGTCCTTAGTATAAGGGTACTAGTCTTATCCACAAGAGCTCTGTCCTCATGATCTAATCACCCCACAAAGGCTTCAACTCCAAATGCCATGACTTTGGGGGTCAGATTTAAACATAGGAATTTTAAGGGGACACAAACATTCAGTTTATAGCAGAGAGTGTATGTTCACAGCACAGGAAGGTTCACAGCAGAAGGGAGCCATTAATTGTGTATAGACTTTCATGTCTCTGCTCTGATTCATTGTATAATCTGCTTCATTCAAAGGAAGAAGGTAAATTTTGGGTCCCTCTTGGAACATTTAGGTGACTCCCACCAAATACAGGATAGCTTTGAGTTATAACCTCATGAAGTCCCTGGTCATGTCTGTGTGTTTGCTTTGGACCAGACCCAAGGGCCTGTCCTGTGTCCTGCCCGGGCTCCTCCCACCTCTTTCCTGGAGAAACCCACAGTGAGAGTGGAGGGTGGGGGTCCATGTTTATCTTGGTGGGCCTCACTGGAGCTGGACACTGCTGCTCTGTTTGCCCAGGCTTAAGTATGCATCTCCTTTTTTAACTGGCCAGGGACTTTCCCCCAGTCACTTGGCCTGCCATTGATTTGGGACTTTTCTGCCTAAAACTTCTAGGATGATAAGGAGAGCACTATTACCCACTGCCTGCCCAAACCTAGTAGCAACAGCAGCTAGTCATGACCAGCATTCATGGCTGCAAGTACTGTCAGGCCAGGGGCCTGACCAGTGAACTGGAACTTTACTTCTCTCCCAAGTGGGATTAGAGTTCACTGAGTAGGTGGCCCTATTAAAATATGTATAGCCTGTGCTAAAGTTAATTCTAGGGGTGAGAATGAGGCAGCTCTGCTTGCTGGCTAGCCCAGGCTGGCAAAGAATAATGGGTGCAAGCAAGAATACCAGAGCCAGATTGGGTTCAAATTCCAATTCTATTGCTTCCTAGGTATACTGACTTAGGCAAGTACTTCTATTTCTCTGTGTCTCAGTTTCTTCACTTGTGAAATTTTCATATTTTAAGGATTTTGAAGATATCATTTTGAGGCTTAAAACAATGTATTTACTTATGTTTAACACATGTAATTACTGATGTTTAACTTTTTTGGACTTATAAAAATGACAATGTTTAGCAGAGTGCTTTAAAAACATGACCCAACTATGTGCTTTCTATAAGAAGCCCCTTTGAATATAATGATATAGCCATGTTCAAAGAAAAAGGATGAAGAAAGCTATATTATATAAACATTAATTGAATGAAAGCAGGAGTAGCTATATTAATACATGTGAAAATCCTCTACAAGATATTAGCAAATTGAATACAACCATGTACAAAAAGAATTACACATCATATCAAATTAGATTTATTCTAAGTATGCAAGACTGGTTCAATATTTTAAAATCATGTGATTATATTAATTGATGCAGAAAATTATTTGACAAAATTCAATATTCATTCATGACTTAAAAAAAACTCTCGGCAAGTTAGGAATAGAATAATTACCTCAATTAAAAAGTTTACAGCTAACATCATACTTTGTGAAGAAGGACTTAATGTTTTCTCCCTAAGACAGGGATCAAGGCAAGAATATCTGCTCCTGCCACTCCTATTCAACATAGCACTGGAAATTCTAGCCATTATAGAAAAGAAATTAAAGGCATACAGATTGGAAAGGAGGAAATAAAACTATATTTGAAGATGACATGATTGCCTACAGAAAAAAATACCAACACATTTACAAAAAACTCTCCTAGAACTAATAAATTCTCCTAGAACTAATAAGAGACCACAGGATACAGGCTCAACAAGCTCACCGGATACAAAAATCAATTGTACGTCTACATACCTATAATGAACATGCTGACACCAGAATAAGAAATATAGTGCTAATTTTAATCACTCAAAAATAATAAGTGTAAGTACATTTAAATATATTATATTTGTAATGTATATTATGTAAGTTTAAATATAATAAAACATACATAGGACTTGTATGTTGAAGGCTACAAAGACTGATGAAAGAAATAAAAAGATCTAAATAAACAGAGAGACATACTATGTTCATGGAAGTACTTGACATAGTAAAGACACAATATACTAAAGATGGCAATTCTCCCCAAATCAATATATACATTTAATATAATTCCTACCCAAATCTCAGCAACGTTGTTTTTTTTAAAATAGATAGAAAGAGGATTATTCTAAAATTTTGACTAAAGGCTGAGGAACCATAATAGCTAGAACAATTTTTAAAACAAACTAAGTGGGAGGAATCAGTCTACCCTATTTGAAGACTTATTATATAGCTGTAGTAATCAAGGCTGTGTGGTATTGACAGAAGTACAGACATAGATCAAAGGAATGCAATAAAGAATTCAGAAATAGACCCACACAAATACACCTCTGTGTTGCCTTATTTTTCAGAAAAGCTCTAGACTCAGAGTCAGGAAGCCCAGGTTTAGGTCCTTGGCCTTGCACAAGTGAGTTCTTCCAGTTATAAAACTTTGATTTTCTGGGTCTAAATCACTTAAACTTTTCTATCTCAGTTTTCTTTTCTGTTTAAGGGAACATCCTTCCTTCTTCCTTCCAAGCCTCTATTTGACAAGGATGATAAAATATCTTTCTTTTTTAAGCATAAGGAATTCTACAAACCAAAAGAATTATTACATTGGTTGATGTGAATAACACATCTCAACACCATGAGGCCCTGACTCCGCAAACCTGAAGTCAAATGCCAAGAACTTTCATGAAATTTATTAATTTATTTTTTCTTCCCAACTAACACCACTAATTCTTTATTTGGACTCCTTAAGGAGCATGAAGAATGGGACTCATTCTTGCAGAACTGTTTTTAGAGTTTGCTACTGCTCAAAGCTCAGAGTTTGGCCATGTGAACTTCTGAGAAGTCTGTGAATAAGAGATTTTACAGCAATTTAACAGTGGTTCAAAGATAGATGCTCTGTCTCCCAGTAGAATACTTGTGCTTGTGTGGGCAGAAAATTCTTAAAATGATTCAAACCAACCACCCAAAGAGGATTATATGTAAATTCATATTGTGTGGGTCCTGGGAGCTTTGAAAACCACATACACAGAGCACAGAAACACACAAACACACCCACCAACACACACACACACACACACACACACACACACACACACACACATACATGAATAGCACCCTTAGCACCATTGCTACCTTATGTGATTCCTACCATGAAAATCTGCACTTTAAAAAGCAGGAAAATTTGAAATCTACAGATGTGGATAACACTCAAACTTGAATTGGGACACAAGAACTTTTCCCTCTCGGGCTAGTGAGATAGTACGGCCTAGTGGCTACAAGGGTGAATTCTGGAGATAAATTTTCTGGGTTTAAATCACAATTTTACCTTTCATTAACTGTGATTTGGGGCATGTTTTTTAACTATTGGGTGCCTTGGTTTGCTCTTCAGTATGATTGGAATAATTATATACAAAATATACAATATCTATCTCACAGTATTGCTGTGAGGATTTGAAGAAATCATTTATACTAAGCTTTTATGCATGAAATATATTTAGAACAGAGTGAAGCAGAAGTATCTGTGTTCTTTCATAGAATGTATGAATGAAATGGGACAGTGGGTGGTCACTGCCTTAAAATACTATACCATATATTTTGTCATGGTGCTATTGCAACAATACTCCTAACATTATGTATTTCTTTATTTGAGTCACTGAAATACAAATATGTTCTGAGAAGAGTCAGCAGAGTGATTTACAAACTAGCTTTTTAGACTGGGAGGCACACTGGAGATCCAGGTTGGGGGCCTGGGTCTAATCTCAGGGCTCTACTTTTTTAACAAGGTATATAATTGTGGACAAGTCAACTGGTGTTCCTGAACCTCATTCTTACCTGCACACTGAGGAGGCTGAACTGGGTGATCTCGGAGGTCCTTTCTGGCTGTAATATCCTAAGAGACTGGATGCTCCCTAGGCAAGGAAACTGTTTTATCGACGTACATACTGTGGAAGCTTACTAATGCAAGTCTTTATTAAGTAGTTTTTCTGTAGCAGCCGCTTTTCTAAGCCCTTTGACCTATTTAACCCTTGCAGCAATCCTATGAAGAAGGATTTATCATTATCCCCATTTTACAGATAAGGAAACTGAAGCAGACAGAGGCTAAGTGATTTGCCCAAAGACCATATGGCTATTAAGTGGCAGGGCTGAGATTCATAATCCAGTAAGTTGAGGTACGCACACCAGGCATTCTATTCAGCATCAGACAGTGCTAGGCAAAGAATAACCGAAGAAGAGGGACTGTGTTCTATTCACTTTGTTTTCCCCACAGATCTGTAAGAGTGCCTGGAGCTTTTTATAGGTTCTGAATAGATATTTATCATTCTTGCAGTGGCTTGATCTTGGCTCACTGCAACCTCCGCCTCTTGGGTTCAAGCGATTCTCCTACTTTATCCTCTGGAGTAGCTGGGATTACAGGTGCCCGGCACCATGCCCAGCTAATTTTTGTATTTTTTTTTTAAATTTTATTTTAAGTTCTGGGATACATGTGCAGAACGTGCAGGTTTGTTGCATAGGCATGCATGTGCCATAGTGGTTTGCTGCACTTATCAACCCACCATCTAGGTTTTAAGCCCTGCATGCATTAGGTATTTGTCCTAATGCTCTCCTTCCCCTTGCCCCCCACCCCGTGACAGGCCCTGGTGTGTGATATCCCACTCCCTGTGTCCATGTGTCCTCATTGTTCAACTCCCACTTATGAGTGAGAATATGCGGTGTTTGGTTTTGTGTTCCTGTGTTAGTTTGCTGAGAATGATGGCTTCCAGCTTCATCCATGCCCCTGCAAAGGATATGAACTCATTGTTTTTTATGGCTGCGTAGTATTCCATGGTATATATGTGCCACATTTTCTTTATCCAGTCTATCATTGATGGACATTTGGGTTGATTCCAAGTTTTTGCTATTGTAAATAGTGCTGCAGTAAACATACGTGTGCATGTGCCTTTATAGTAGAATGATTTATAATCCTTTCGATATATACCCAGTAATGGGAATTTTTTGTATTTTTAGTAGAAATGGGGTTTTGCCATATTGGCCAGGCTGGTCTTGAACTCCTAACCTCAGGTTATCTGCCCGCCTTGGCCTCCCAAAGTACTGGGATTACAGGCATGAGCCACCACGCCTGGCCTATCATTCTTGTTTTTGTTGACGACAAAAAGTTGTTGGATTAAATTGCTTTCAGCCTTCTGGGTTGCTAAGTGTTGCAGAGTTGGCTGTGTTAAATTTCATTTTCTTTTGTTAATGTTACCCACACAAGGTGAAGGTTTTGGTTGGGGCTCAGGAGGGCTCCTGACTGGGGAGAAAGTGGGAAGATCCAGAGCAAGGAGAAGACAATGAGGCTGCCAGGCTTTGGGCTGCTCTGGCCTCTCTGCTGCCTGCCACTGTCTTCATGTCCAGCCTCGCTGTGTTTCTATAAAGGTGGAGTTGTACCTCTCTGATTTCCCCTAAAGGTGGCCTGGATGTGGTAGAAGAAAGAGGAGGCAAGGCATTACCTGCACCTGGAATACTGATGAGTGGTTTGCTCTTTCTTGTATGCCCAGTGGCCTGGTCTTAAGCCTAGGAATAAATGTAGTCACCATGGCCATAAAACGGCCCCACTGCTGGGCTTGCTTTCCCTGGCCTCTGTGAGTTCCATGCTCATTATATGGACTCCCCATAGCAACGTTGAGAGCTTGCTTATCATTTCCAGAAGTGACCATGGCAGATTAGGAATATATGTTTATTTTGAAGTGGGTTTTTTTCTTTTTAAATTTTACACATTGTTGGATGAACATAACATCAAGGGCTGCTTTCCCAACTGTCTTAGGAAAAGAGCTCTAATGTTGGAGCCAGTAGCCCTGCGTGTTCTCATCCCAGTTTTGATTATAACTGACTATAATACTGTAATGACACTCTGACCTGTGTTCTTTTATGACTGAGATTTCCGGTGGGGATGGAGGAGGTGTCTGATGTACAGAACCAGGGGGATGCTGCCTGAGCCAGGTTGGGGACGGAGAGAAGAGGCTGAATTTCAAGACACTGACATCATCAGTACTGGCCCTAGTGCAGTTACATACCTGGTCCTGCAACAAATAATGAGTATTTAGGGCACATATGCCAAGCATTAATGGGGTCACGAGGTGGATCGTTCTTTTGGGTGCCCTTTTATATGCCGCTGCAATCAGAGAAGCAGGACACCATGTAGGTGAGCATCTGCTGTTTTCACAGCTATTTGAAGCTGCAACCCAGTGTACTAAAAGTTTCCAGGCTGACTCAGTCCAAAGGTGACTGTTTTGGAAACTTTGAATGAGATTGGTTCGGCAACTTCAGTGTTATGTAAGTAAAAGGATGAGAGCAGTTGAAAGAGCCACTGCTCTGGACATGTTCTAAGTGGCTTCTACCAATGGGAATACGTGAGCGTGCATTAAGAATGTAGCAAGTGAGACTGACATGTCTCCAGTACAAGCACAGCACGTACAAGGACACAACTTCATGTTTGGTTCAATGTGAGACTTCTCTGTGGCTCCTTTCTCTTCATTTGCACAGATATCTGTACCACCCAGTATAAGTGGTATACTAATCGTAGCTAGCCTGTGCTGCATGCCTGCTATTTTCTGGGTAATTCCCATGTGTTTTACACAGGTTAACTCTACTTCCTCTCATGGAAACTACTTGTTGTCGAAATAATGGTTATATTTTACCAATATGGCAACTGAGGCACAGAGATGTTAAGTGTTTCAGCCCAGGTAAATAAGTGGTTCAATCAGGATTTGAACTCAAGCAGCACCTACCTTGGAGCCTAAGCTCTTAACCACAGCACTTCACTGAACCTATAAAATACATGTTTATTGGTTTTAAGCTCTGCTAGTTGAAGAACATTTATACATGTCTCTATTAAAAATTCACTTGTGTGTGGGTTATGAATTCACCCATAAAGAAGACTGCCATGACGCACGGAGGAGGGATGTCTGTGGAGCTTCAGGAGACGTGATAATCCACAAACTGTCCTGGGTTGAACTTAGCTATTATTCTGCCAGGAAACTGTCTGGAGAAGGTCCAGGAAAGTACCAAGAAGTAAAGAAGTACCTGAGAGTGCTCAGCTCCCAGTGTGTCCCTTGGCACCTGCCAGTCACAGCTTGGTTGGTTCTGGCTGTGGGGCCGGCCTTCCTGAGACCCTTGTCAGGGGGCTCATACCCTGGTGCTCTGTTTTCACTGATGATGAAGCCTCAGAGCCCTTGGTCCCCTCATGATGTTCTGCGGGAAAATTGTGCACACTTTTGTTGTGTGACTTAGGTTCTTTAACTCAGGCTGGTTGACATGGAGCTTGGTTCCAGTGATCAGTGCTGGCTTTAGATATGATTTGCGCATCTCTGCAGGCTAGTGTCACGCTGCACTGTGGATCTGGACTGTGGCTCGGGTGCCAGTTGCAACATAGTCTTCAAGGATAGCCAATGGCGAGACAACAGCACTCTGTCATGCAGCTGAAGTTATGGAAACACATGATGTCACATGAATGTCTATTGTGTGAGGTGATGGTTAATACCTGTGTTTCCAAGAAAGTGCCAGGTACTGGCTAGTCCTCACCACAACCCTATATGTGGTAAGGGCAGTTATTAAGCTTATTTTATAACTGAAGAAGCATTAGCACCAACAGAGAAGATAACTTGCCCAAGGTCATACATGAAAACCAATGGAGAAATTAAGGTTTCAACCTAGGCAGTTAAGGCCTAAAGTCTGTGCTCGTGACCACCAAGCTATCTCACCGGTCCCCTGTCAGGCTTTTTAGGGGATAAAGTACAGAGTAAAGTAGAACTTTCCTCAAAGACTGTCTTATTGGTCTCACTTATTTTTTTTTTTTGTTAGTCTTTGGGTTTACTTTAAATTGATGGGCTGCTGGAAAAAATGTAAATTGTCATTTAAAAAGAAGGCATCAAGGTTTTGTCTTAGGTTAATTTTTCAAAGGGCTTACCAAGAACACAGAAGACAGAATGCCAGCTGGGTGCCGTGGCTCACGCCTGTAATCCCAGCACTTTGGGAGGCCAAGGCAGGCAGATCACTTGAGGCCAGGAGTTTGAGACCAGCCTGGCCAACATGGTGAAACCCCATCTCTACTTAAAAAAAAAAAAAAAAAAAAAAAAATAGCCAGGTGTGGTGGTGCATGCCTGTAACCCTAGCTGCTTGGGAGGCTGAGTTGGGAGGATCCCTTGAACCTGGGAGGCAGAGATTGCAGTAAGCTGAGATCATGACACTGCACTATAGCCTGGGTGACAAGGCAAGACAATGTCAAAAAAAAAAAAAAAGACAGAATGCTGAGCAATTAAGAACTACTTTATTTAGTCCTGTCTTATCATTTGTGGCCTTTGTGTATTGAGCACGTCCTGAGAGCTGGGCACTTTCTAAATACTTTACATGTGTTTCCTCACTTTATGCTTGTAACTGCTTTCTGGAAGCAGGACTGTGATTATTCCCATTTTATGGAAGAAGGAAATGAGGTTCACGAATATTACATAATCTGCTCATAGTCACAAAGCTAGCAGGTGGTGGGGCTGGCGTAGAAACCCAGGCAGTCTGGCTCCAGAGTCCATGTTCTTAATTAACCACTCCTCTAGGGTGGAAAGCTCACTGGTTTTGGGGTTAGGACACTCATGCCAGCTCTGCCAAAATGTCAACATGTGTGACACTGGCCAAGTCATATCTCCTCTTGGGTTCTCATTCATTTATTTACTGATTCATTCAGCAGCTCTTTCCAGCATACCTACCATGTGCTAGGCATTGTTAGTACTAGATACATAACGGGTGATAAGATAGATTTCCTCGATGCTTCTGTAGAGTTTACAGATGGATTTTCAGTTTCCTCATCTGTAAAAGATGAGAATTAAAATATATGAATGTTTCTCATCCTTTACAAAACCCACACATCTTTTTATAAACATAAAAAGTTATGCCTTCCCTAATGTTATTTGAAATTTCTGAGTAAATAACCATGACTAAAAATAAATTAAAGCAATTATAATAGTGAGTAATTTTTGTTTGAATCACACAAGCCCTCATGCCTGTTCCTGAGGAGATTCTCCTGCGCTGGCCCTCTGAGCCCTGGGCATTCTTTCGGTTAAGAATCATGGGAATAGTATTCTTGCTCTAAAAACGGACCTACAGTTATATTTTTTAATTGCTTTGAAATGCTGGAGTTGTGTCTATTTAATTTGTATTCATTCTTTCACCAAGTTTTGGCTCTTGGGTTTGTATGGCAGATAAAACTTTACTCATTCCTTTTACTGAAAACCTCTTTCCCCCCCAGGGTATAGTCGTGAGTCACGAGCTCTCTCACCAACTGACATTTCCCCATCCTGTTTTTGGAGGGAACAACAAAGGACATGCCTGGTGCCTGACACAGCGGGCCCACAGGCTGCTCCTTTAGTGGCCTTGTGAGTTCGATGAGCTTTTGGCTCTAGGAAGTGCCTGGGCTGCTATTACTCTGTGAATCTCATGAGATTCACAGACCTCTTAGGAGCACCAGCCAGGTTGTAAAGATCTCTTGAGGACTGGGCTCTGGAAGGACTGGCCACTCCAACACCCTGCCTTGCCCTTAATTGTGCATTGCCTGGTGTTCTTTAATTGCCTCACAAATGCCCTTGAAAACTCTCAGGGATGGCCTCACTGTGCATGACAAAGGAATGCAACCTACTGTCTGGTTGTACTGAAGGAGCAGAGAGCAGGATTCTCATAATGATTGTTCAAAGAATTTATTTATGTGGAGTCCTAAAAGGAGTGATAGGTGTGAAAAAATGCAATTTAATTCAACAAACATTGATGCAAACGCTGTGCTTGGTGACAGCAATATAGAGATGAATAAGACCAGTGTCTAGTGACGTGCTGGCAAGTACAACTGGCTCTGTGGGGAGGCGGTACCCTGATTTGTACCTTTTGCTGATTTCCATTGAGTAAATACTCTTGCCATGTTTGATTTCAAGCTACCAACATGGTGTCAATTGGCTCACAGAAGCCCTGAAAATTTAATAATCAGCTCTTATGAGCCTGTACAAACTGAACTTGCATTCTGCTACCAATATCTACTTTTGAAGTTGTCAGTTTAGATTGGAAGATACATAAATTGCCATGCAGTCTGATAAAGACAGAAATAGAAGTATGTAGAAGGTAGAAAGGTATCACAAGGGACACTGGTTCAATTCTGCGGTGGGCATATCCACATGGTAGGCTGCAAACAAAGACAGGCAAGGCCTGTAGGTGGGTGGAGACAGAGACCTTCAGAGCATCCTCAGTGCCTTCAGGTCATGGGGAAATGCCTTGGCCTGCCTTAAGGTCCCGTGCAGTCTAGCCTCACCTTACCTGGCTGAACATTCTCCCACATTTACTGACACAAACCTTCTGCTCTAGTGAGTCCAGCCCAGTGTTTTCAGTCTTGAGAGCACATCCCTGCCTTGGCTGACACCCACCTCCTCCCACCACCGTTTAGAAAGTGCCTTCCCTCCACCTCCACTTCCCTGCTCTACTCATCCTTCTTTATGAATGCTTCCTACAACAGCTCCAAGCCACAGAAAGCACTGACAGAAAGGGAAAGATTGATCACGTGAATTCCATTAAAGTGAAGAATTTATGTTTATCAAAAGTCACTGTTAAGAAAGGAAAAGGCAAACAATGGAGTCAGAGGAACTGTTTGGAACACTTATGACCAATCGAGGATTTGTATTCAGGACATGTAAGGACCTCTCACAAATCAATAAGAAAAAGACAAGAAAAGGGAAAAGAGACCAGAACAGGAACTTCACAAGAATGGATATCCAAATGACATGAAAAGAAGCTTGCCTTCACTCCACCTTTACCTCAGTCACTAGGGAAATGTGATGCCACTACATACCCACTAAAGTGGCTGAAACCAAATAGACTTGTATTACCAAGCATTGTTGAAGACTTGAAAGAGTGGGAAATAATGTATACTGCTGGTAAGAATCAGACATGGTATAACCTATTTGAAAAACAGTTTGGCAATATTTATTAAAATGGAACATTTGCATACTCTATGACCCAGCATATAATCTGACCATACTCTATGACCCAGCATATGATATGACCTAGCTATAATCCAATGAAAATGTATATCCATATGTTTACCTAAAAGTATGTACTGGAATGTTGATACAGCATCATTAGTTATGGCTCCAAATTGGAAATACCCAGACATTCATCAATAGTAAAAAATAAATTATAGGCTATTTGTGAAGTGGAATCTTTTTAAACTATGAAAAAGCATGACATACTGCTCCATAGAACTACATGGATGAACCTCACAAACCTAATTTTGAGCGAAAGGGGCCAAACAAAAAAGAAAACAAATGGAGTTATTATATTTATATAAAGTTCAAAAACAGACAAAACTATATGAGGTTAGACATCAGTTTACCTGATACCTTTGGGGAAGAGCAAGAGGTTAGTGACTGGGAGGGCTGTGTTGGGGGCTTCTGAGTTGCTGAGGTTGTTATATTTCTGGCCCTGAGTGGTGATAACACAGGTATGTTCACTTTGTCATTGAGCTTTACGTGTGCAATTTGTGTACTTTTCTGTATATCTTACATTTTTATTAGCTAAAAAGCAAAGGAGCTTCTGCATGAAAGTATTAGAACTAGTGCTGGAAAGTGAGGGAGTGTTTCTGAACCGCCTTTGTGTTTTTCTTTTGACGTTTTCTATCTTTATGAGTTTATTCATCAAACAAAGACATTTTGAGAGTGACAATGTGCCGGGAACTATTTTAGGTACTGAGAGTGAAACAAAATAGAAACAACTGCTGCTTTCATGGAGCTTACATTCTCAAGGGGACAGCAAGGTCCTTGAACAGACAAATGTATAACAAGTCAGGGGATAAGAAATACTCTGAAGTGGTATTAGGGGATAAGAGGATAAAGAATAATGGAGCTGGGCTGAGGGTTTGGGCACTGACTAGGTGTTGTTTTATATGGGGTGGTCGAAGAGGACCTCTGACCAGGCAGCCTTGGAGCCAGAGCCTGGATGAAGTGAGTAAGGGAGGCTGACAGGTATGTGAAGAACATTCCAGGCAGAGAGGGCAGTAAGCGCAAAGGCCCTGCATTGGGATCCTTGGCCTCCGAAGCAGGAAACTCAGCATCATTCTTGGCTTCTCTCTCTCTTCTTCACCTTCATATTTGAATCAAATCATGATCCATTTGATTTCATAGCTAAATCTCTCATAGTTTGCAACCTCTGCCTCCCAGGCTCAAGCGCTTCTTCTGCCTCAGCCTCTCGAGTAGCTGGGATTACAGGAACATGCCAGCACACCCAGCTAATTTTTGTATTTTTAGTAGAGATGGGGTTTCACCATGTTGGCCAGGGTGGTCTCAAACTCCTGGTTTGTCTCCATCCCCTCCATTGTTGCCTATTTGGGTAATAGTTTCTTAACTCTGCCTTCCCGTTTCCATTTTTTTCTCTTCTGATTTTAAGTCACTGACTGGATATGCCACTCCTCTGCCTAAAAGCCCTCCAGTGGCTCTGCTTTGCTCTCAGAGTAAATGCCCTACAAGGTTTTGGTTTTCCTCACTGGTCTCATATCTTTCTGCTTTGCCGTACACTCCGTGCTTGAGCCACACCAAGGCGATTCCATGTTTCCCACATTCCCTCTGAGGAAAGGCCCTTTAGTCTCTGGGTCTTTCTTTATGAGGGTGCATCTACCTGTGGAGTTCTTTCCCCCACCTCCTCATTTTATGTTTTGCACATCCCTTAGATCTCAGCTTAGATGTTGTTTAGTCTGGGAAGCTGTTCCTGTCCCTTAAACCTTGGCCAAGTCCCTGTGTTCTCCTATCGTTGCCCCGTCATATCATTTTGTCATTGATTTTTCTTTTTTCCAGCCTCCCATGAAACTCTAAGACACATGTGGGAAGTAACTATGTTACTTATTCATAGTGCTTAGCAAAGTTTCTGATGTTTAGAAATTTCTCAATAAATATTAAAAAAAGAATGCATGTTGAGCTACATTTCTGTGATATGTCAAAAATCTAGAAGTATTTTTATTAGTAACTGATAGAAATATCTTTCAGTCAAAACATTATTCATCAACTCACAAAAAAGCAGACTAGCTTTGTGTTTGAGTTTTGTTTTTGTTTTTCCTGGTAATTTTGTGTTCCATAATTTCTCAGACACAGAAACATTATCTTTCAAATTTTAATACCACTTTATTTGACTCAATCACATGTAAAATTTTTGTTCAGAGAATTTTGAATGTATCCGTGAAAAATATTCAAATGTCGAAATCCAAATGTCTTGCTTTGGCTGTGGAGCAATATCATTACTGTGACTTAGTTCTAGAATTTAGACTTAATTGCTAAAAAAAAAATTTTGAATTCAACTTTATTAATTTTGTCAAGTTTTTGATGTGCTAGGTGGACATTCTTTCCAATTTATTACAGTCCCTTCATATAGACACAAAAGCTTTTAACACGATGGGAAAGCTGGTGAGACAAGTCAGAAAATAAAGCAGCTCTTTTTTCTTTTTTTGTTGAGACAGAGACTAGTTCTGTTGCCCAGGCTAGAGTGCAGTGGTGCGATCTTGGCTCACTGTAGCCTCCACCTCCCAGGTTCAAGCAATTCTTGTGTCTCAGGCACCGAAGTAGCTGGGATTACAGGCAGTAGCCACCACGCCGGCTAATTTTTGTATTTTTAGTAGAGATGGGGTTTCACCATGTTGGCCAGGCTGGTCTCAAACTTCTGAGCTCAAGTTATCCACCTGCCTCGGCCTCCCAAAGTGCTGGGATTACAGGCATGAGCCACCGTCCCCAGCCAGAAAGCCGTGATTTTTAAGCTGATGCTTTGTACCATCAGTGTGAGGAGTGATGCTATTGATCCCTGCTGGGCATGAGCATTAGAAGAAAGTTGAGCAGGGACTTAAAATGGGGATGTGGAGCACTGTGCCAATGTCTTTCAAATGGGCTTTTAAAAATTATTTTAACAGGATTATTTGGAGAATCATAAATGTTTGAGCCTCAGATACACTCATAGCTACCATTTACTGAGTACTTGCTATATGCCAGGCACTATAAAAACTGCTTTAAATAGACAATCTTGTTTAATTGTAATAACAGTCATATGGGATTGTTACCATCATTCCCATTTAACAGATGAGAAAATTAAGGCTCAGAGAGGTTGAGTGGTTTGCCCTAGGTCATATAGCAGGTCAAAGCTAATGCTGAACTATGAACACAGTTCCTCTGACTGAAAATGTGCAAGGCTACTAACGACTAGGTCCTACTGGCTTATGTATTGAAAAGTAGATCAATGAACTCATTCTGGAGCTAAATGTTGTCTATTACTGTGGATTATCCATGACATAACCCACTCATTATATTCCAGTATTGGTTAAAAGGTAGGAGAGAAGTGATAGTAAATTTCATGGGTTCGGCATATCTTCTGACCGACAGAAGACATGGAAATGTTTTAAATGTTTCTTTTCCTTTTTTTTTTTTTTTAAAAAAAAAACAAAAACAAATAACACTAAAAGTTTCACCAAACAAGGGTTCATAAAAGGATCGTCTCTAAATTGTGAGTGTGGTGAGTGTGCATGCTCTGAGCAAAAAGAGCCTCCCCTTTCTGAGGGAATTGTGACCCTGGAAAGGAGGAGAGCAGGAACAGCTGGCCATCTCCCCCTGAAAGGCCAGGGCCCCCCTCTCAGGCCTCTGGGCTCCAGCTCTGGCTGAGGGTGTGTTTGTTTGGCTGTGACTCTTTCCCTTCTGTTTCCCTCTCGGTGTCATATTTCATGAGCTCCAGGCTCCTGCCTGTTTCAGCTTGAGCCTCTGGCTTTCATCGCTGCCTCCTTGGCCAAAGCTGAGTGAGGGCTTGAAAAAAACACTGATTGGATGCACATTTAGTGGAGGCGATTGCTGGACCAGCACCTCACCAATCCCCAGCCCCAAATGCAACTGACAGCTACACCCTCCTGGCTGGAGCCTAAACCAGAGGCCCCTTTCCTCCCTCCTCTCCACCCATACCCTTGCTGTTTGCCCAACTCTTCCTGCTGAAATCAGAGGCAGCTTGTGCCTCCCAGCCTTCTTCCCTGCCCCCGCTGTCTGCCCAGCCACCAGCTTCCCCTGGGCTGGAAAGACCCCCGCTTGTCTGACTGTGCTAATCCTCTGTTTGAGGTTCCAGAACTTCCCAATTGTTGGGCCTGGGTTCCTGTACTTAGCTGCCCAGAGTCCACTTCTCTGCTGAGATTTCTATTATACAAGAGATTCAACCAGAACCCTCTCCGTGGGCCTCCATGCCTCTTTTTGCTGAATTCCCCATTCTCATTCTGCGTAGGGGGTGGGAGTTGGTGGGGGTACATGCACCTTGAGTCTAATCATGATCTTACTGGGGAGAGCTCAGTAGGAAAGTAATAACATATTCATTTAAACAACTTTTTCTCTGTTAATCTTTTTATTGAACTTCATAGAATTAATGGATAAAGACTATTGGTTAGAGTGCGTCTTTCTTAGACGAGATGGAGTTAGAGACACTTAAAAAAAAATAAGGCTTGCCACTGCAGGAGTGCACAGAGCACCTCAACTATTGGAGCCCAGGTGATCTCTTCAGTGGGTCATAAAATCTGAGTCATAAGAACCTCATGGCAAAGAAAACTTGAAACTGCAAAGTCTCACATAGTCATTTGCTGAAAACTGAAGTGTCCCAACAAATGTCGGGTTAGACCTACTTTGAGAAACACATTCCAATATGAGATCGAACCTGACAATTTTGCATGCTAACCTGGACTGTTTCTTATTAGAGCAAAGGGGATGGGCTTTTTGTTTGCTTTGGGTGTATTTGTTTTTGCTGCCAAAGTGTTGTAATGTCATGATTATTTAATATGTATGAGGCCTAGTTGTGTACTAGGGAGAGTCAAAATACATTTACTACGAAATGAGACCAGCTCCAGTTGTTTAAACAGCTCCAGTTGTAATAATAAGAGCTAAGACTTGATGCCAAGCACTGTTTCTAGGTATTAACTTATTGAGTCCTCATGATTACTCCTCACGATGGTCCTCTTGGAAAGGATCCTATTTTTCTATGAGAAAACTGAGGCTTGAGTGTTAAGGAACTTGCTTAAACTCACACAGTTAGTAAAGGTCAGCTTTTAGATTTAAAGCCAGGCACCCTCATTCTAGAGCTTGTGGCTCAACCACTGAGCTATACTGCTTGTTAGGGTTGTTGGTGGAGTGATAGTAGAAGTAGATGGGCTAGAGTTTTTCATTTCTAACCCTAAAAATCTATAGCTATTAACACTGAAGACAGCAACTGCCAATTAAATAAATCCTCAACAAGACTGAGAAGAGAATCTGCTAATCTGTTGGTCACTAATGTCTGCAGTTTATCTGCTTATCTATCTGCAGCAAAACTGTCTTAGAACACTTTGCTGAATGAAATTGAACATGGAAAGCTGACTGAAGGGAAAACAGAGAAGGTGGGATAGTTGAGAAGGGAGTAAGATCAGACAAATGGCAATGCTCTGTGGGATACTGCGTCCAAGCAGAACAGTCAAGGGATTCAGTTCTCAGAAGCTGTTCAGGTAGACGCCCTCCTTACCAGAGTCGGTTAGCCTCTTGCTGTATGCACACTTGAGGCTGCTCAAAGCGCGAGGGAGGCATGGTCTGTGCTCATTCCAGGCATCCAAAGCACCAGGGAGGCATGATCTGTGTTCATTCCAGGTGTCTTATCTCGCTGCCACTTCCAGGCCTGCACATTATAGGCAATATATTTACTACACTCTCCCTTCTCCTTTATTTTTTACTTCTGGATGTGCCATGGTGAATATTTTTCAGGCAAATGGGGGGAATCGTTTCCATTTCAAGCTGGGTTGAAATCTAGCACTATGATTAGGGTTGTGCTAACCTCTGCCTGCCTCTCCCCTAACTCCTGCTGTGTATAGGTGGGCATGGCTCAAGCATCCTCAGGGCTGGGAGAAGGTTGCATCAGGAATGTTTCTACCAACAGAAGCTGGCCAGTGGGAGGCTTGTAGGCACTTTGTAATTTACCATTCTCTTCTTGAACTATGCAGCAGTCTGAGGGGCTGTACAGAGGATTCTTCCCAGTCATTCCCATTGCTAGCTTTGGAGGCCTTCTCCCACAATTCATAGCCTCCTAGTAATGTGCTTTATTCCTAAAGCCCAGTCCTTGGGGTTTTTGAAGAAAAGGAAGGCAGATCAGCATGCCTTCCCTAGTCTGAAATTACCCTGTTTGACTCATATAGTGTGGAGCTTTATAATCTGTAATCCAAAATTGGGATTGTCTATACTATAAGGATATTCTCTGGGACTTACGCTTATTTAACCAAGGTTGTCTGCAATGGGAAGCTCCCATGACGGGAGATTCAGGAGAAGGCTGGCATAGGCTTCTAACTTACACCAGTGCTCCCTGATGCCTGTGAATGTGGGGAGAGGGCAAGGAGATTTTGAGAACAGATAAGAGACATTTGAATTTCTCAATGCCTTCTGAAAACCTGTGTGCAGAGTTGAATTGAAACTTACCTTGTTAGCATTATAAATCTGAACACTTTCCTTGCTAGGCCACAATGACTTAATAATATCGTCTAAAGGATCTATGTTCACTCTGCTTGCACTGATTTACATCTCCTTTTTCCAATTCTGCGTAGTCTCTGGACACTTCTACTTCCAAATATCACCTGTTTAAGGAATAGCACTTACCTTGTCTTGTACTGTGAACCCAAATTTCTGTGAAAAATGGACTGTAGCAGTTGTTCCAGTTTGAGATTGCTGAGTGTCATGAACATTGGTTTTGAAGAGTATGGAGTGTTGTTGGAGGACAGCTCGAGGCTAAATGTGGTTGTGCAATATGGTTTCTACACACTGTCCAGCAGGTGGTTGGATACAGTTATGCCATTCTCTGCTTCTTGTTTGTTGTCTTCAAAACATGAAAAAATAAAAGCAAAATATAGAATATCTTCGATGAATTCAGCTTCTCTTAATCTCACTTTTATCTCCTTTCTGTAAGACTTAGTCTATTATTTCCGAATATGCCATCAATTTTATCCAAGTGAAAATTCAGTTTTAGTTTTAAAACACACAGATATAAAAATAAGATGCAAAGTTCTACAGTAAAATTCTTAGACATAAACACTGAGATTTTTGGATTCACAAATAAATAGTTTAGATAACACTCAGAAAGATCTTTTCCTCCTAATTAGCTTCTATTGTCACCTCTTCCTAAGTTGATATGTAGCTCAATTTGTTAGGAAATGGATTTCCCATGCATGCCCTAACTATAATCATAAGCATCTGCAACTCTGTTTTCAAACAAAGCATCTGCAACTCTATTTTCAAACAAAGGTAGTTACTCATGAGAGAGCTTCTTTAAACTGCAATGGACCACACAGAGGTGGATGTCTAGCACATTTACAGTGACCATGATCCTATCTCTCACCATTTCTTCTTTTCAATATTGCAGGATTCTAACCATATGACTTTCCCACCCCTCACCTGATGTTTGGCGACAATATCCTGGCTTCTACTGGCAACACCATCTTTTGCTATTTGGGTAAATGTGCTCCTTATCAGCCTTGGATCCTACCCAGGCTCAGGGCCTTGTGAGTGCAATGTCTATTGGGCTATTGTGGACCCCATGACTATGACCCAGACACTCAGTTTTGTATGCCACATCCCTTTTCAGGGAGCTAGGTCAAGGACATCATGCAACTCATTTGCATGCCATATTGAAGATTCACACTTGGGGGAATATTTTATTCTCAGGCAGCTAAGACCTTGAAACTCCAGCATAGTATGGAGAGTGCTGAGCCTTCAGCATTTTTAGCACATGATTTCAGCCTTGGAAATCTGATGTACTTGCAGACCTCTACACAAGAGGAGGTATTTGCATAGAAACATGAGCATGCTGGGGCTGGGTCATCCTTTTACTACACATGTTAAAGCATACATTGTAACCAAAATTTTGGAAGCAATGAGAATCTCTTACTCTACTATTGGGATTTGGGGTCACAGCAAGACTTTGGAAGAGGTATTACTGAGAAGATGCCTCTATGAGGTGTTACTCAAAGTCATTAATTACTTACAGGGCTCTACGAGAATGGCATAGTTCATGTCTTAAAACCGCTTATAGCTACTGGTTGAGACAGAAAAGGAAACTATGTGCTGTGTGATTAAACCGGTGTTTTCTTTTTTGCATTCTGTCTTCTACATGTGTTGTGGTGAAATGAAACTTTACCACATTCAGCAGTGCTCAGGAGAAACATTGAGCAGTGTTGGTATATATTTCAATGGCATTCAAAACCCTGATAAATAATTTAGGACTTGGGGAGATCTGGGTATGGGAAGAAGAACTGAAAAAAAAAAAAAGCAGCGGTAATTTACTAATATATGTTTGTAGGTTAAAACACTTTTTATAGCTGACCGTAGTAGATAGAATCATTCTTTACAACTATTAAGTGGTATTAAATAGGTTGACCCAACTCCCTTGGAAAAGTGATTAATTTTGTCTTCCAGACCTGACTTCTGAAGCTCAAAGTTGGTTTAAACAGTTCAGCTGTAGTAGAGGATAGCCTGATATCCTAGTTTTGCCACAGTATCTGGGCCAGATGGCATTTGCAGTAAATGGAAGGTAACAATGATCAGCTCTGGTATTTACGTGTGTAGGTGATATGGTCATGTGGGAGTGTTCATAGGCTTACAAGCCATATGGCTCTTGGCCATAAACTATTGCTAGGTAAGGCTTTGACTCTGTATCAGTATGAATAAAGTAGCTCTTTCAGCTCATGAGTATCCATTTGCTTTGTGTCAGGCTGATGTCAAGTTAACCTGCTTTTGCACTCTGGTGAACAGACACATAGATTATTAAAACTGAAAGTGATCTAAAAAGTTATCTAAACCAATATCCTACATGAAGAAGGATCCTCCCTACAGCCTCACAAGTAAGATGATTAGTCAGCCTCTACTTGAATATTTCCAGTAGTGGGGAGCTCATAACCTCACAAAGAAGCACAGCCTGTTTTTGGATGGCTCTAATTTTTAGGGTGTTCCCTCTTATTTTTGATGAAAATCTGCCTCTCTGTAACTTCCTTAGTCATGACTGGAGTTCTGTTGTATGAGCTGAATCCTTTTATTTCAGAATAGGGCATCACATATTTGAAGACCAACATTAAGTCCCAGTGTAGTTTTCTTTTTTCTGCATGAAACATTCGAAGGTCTTTCAGTAAATCCCCTTGTTTTCTTGGTAGGGAGTCACTCATCACCACTTTTCTCTTCCCACTGGAGCTGTATTAAGCTCCTTGAAACTTTGCATCCTGGAGATACAGCTTTCTAGTCACAAAGCCCAATTTACCTTCTCTGAGAAGAGTCTAGTTCTTTTTATTAGTTTTAGTTGTACAGTTTGGGATTCTCCTTTTTCTCCTCTTTGTCTTATTTTTCTTCCCAGCTTCCTCCTCACGTGGCGTTGTTGTGCATAAAGTTCTGAATCATATTTTTCATCTTTGTTCGTTGCAATTATTGTCACTCTGTCTTCCTTCTTGGATTATTTCTTTCATTCTCCTTAGAAAATTTTTGAATTCTCCCATCAGCTGGAGAAAAGGTATCTTTTACCTTCTCCTCCATCTTATACTGACTATGCAAGCAGCTTATACTTAGGTCCCATGCAAGCAGTGACTTCAGAAAAAACAAGAATACCAACAATGTATCATCTCCTATTGTTGGCTCTTGGTTTTGAATAGATATTCCCTACCCAACTAGATTCATGTGTGCGACTCTGAGTATAGGTCATTCATCGAATGTCTGTTACTGCTAGAGTCTTTGAGTATGTAGTCTGTTGATGTGAACCTAAATGTAATTGGTGTTACATGCAGTTTAAATGTCACCCTATTTCAACCTCATGATTCTCAATCTTTATGCCAATAGCTACAGTATATTTATTGTCTACCATAGGATCTAATTACATAAGCTTTGGTACTGCTCGTTGTCCAGAAGGATCATAATGTTAGAGAGGACATGTCTTCCTCACATTATGAAGGACTAAGAAACAGAGGCTCAGGGAGAATATTTGGCTCATCCAAGATTACACCATTAGTTCAGCAGCTGGTCAGATGCTGTTTCCGATAAGCCACTCAGCTAGCTAACTCCCTTGGCTTCAATAGAGAAAGTGACTTAAACTGTGGCATTTCTGGTCTTTTATACTCTCTCTCTCTCTCTGTGTGTGTGTATATACATTTTTTCTTCTTTATCACCTAGCATATTTTCTGATATGTAATAAGTTCTCAATAAATGCTGGTTAATGAATATTTCAAGCCATCCTTTCCTTTTGGAAGTTGGGAACATGTGTAAAGGAAGAAGACTAGATTGAGTGATAAAGCATAAAATATAACTAGGAAAGTCATAGCTTGGGATAGAGAGTATATGCAGTTTGTTCAGAAGTATATAAGGCATTGTGCTATGTGCCACGATGCCTATACAGAACGTATAGCCTAGTTCCTGATATCAGTGAGTTTATAATGAGATAAACGTATTATATTTGGCATTGTGAAAATGAGATAAAAATAGAGATAAGACTGAATCATATGGAAAAAATTAGTTTCCAGTTCAAGAGAATGTTATCAACATCAATGAGGAGTTCAGAGAAGGGAAGGTAATGAAGAGCCTGCTATTATGCTATTGTTCTCATCAGAAGAGGGGTGAGTGTGAGGGAGGAAGAGAGGATAGATGGAAGATGAGAAGAGGGTGTGTGCCAGAGCACTGTTGTCCATTTAGTGCCAGCCCTGTGTGGCAAATAGGACACAAACCTCCAATTGGCTTAAGTTCCTGAGGTAGAAGAGATTAAGAATGTTAAAAAGGGAACAAAATTTATTGAGCACCTACTATAGGTGAATTCATGAATATTTCTTGATCACCTGTCTGTGGAAGGCACTGTGTTAGGTGTTAGAGATAAAGAGAGA
Organism: Homo sapiens; assembly: GCF_000001405.40. Taxonomy (NCBI): domain Eukaryota; kingdom Metazoa; phylum Chordata; class Mammalia; order Primates; family Hominidae; genus Homo; species Homo sapiens. The sequence continues at coordinate 162,703,669 of NC_000001.11, forward strand.
TACTATCTTCACCTTCAAGGGCAGGCCAAGCAGTGTGCTAGGAACCTCACAAAAGGAGGTGCTGAAGTCACATAAGCTCCCCTTATGTAGTTATTCCAGTTCCTGGTTTTCACGTCTAATGGATTTTTCCCCATAGCTTCTCCCCCTCCACCCAACCCCAGCCTTTCCAGAGTGTGTCTGTCTTCCCAAAATGAGTTTGATACTTTGTGCGCATGCCGGGATCCCCATGGGATTGATGACATCATACGCCATTGGCTCCTATTGCACACAAGAGAGGAGACAGATCTGCACATTCCTGCAGTTAATGCTGAGTAGAATCTTGGCAGAGGTGGTGGCATCCTTCATTTGACTTTAGACCTTCAGCCTCCCTTTTAAAGCCCTGGCTCACACAGTTATTGAGAAGCCTTATCCTGCAAGGAACCTACAGCTTAGGAAAGAGTTGCCCATGTGTCTTTGCTATCAAACAAAAGATATTGGCAAATCTTTTATCGATTTTCTATTCTGGCAGAGGTACCATTTATTATGGGGTAGATGGGATATAGATAAAGCATCTCCCTGCCCCTAATCCCTGCCTTGCTGAGATAAATGCCTGTTCCATTCCCCAATCACCAGAAAATGCCTTGGAGCAATGGAGTCTAACAGCCTGAGAGTTGTAAAGGGGCAGCAAAGCCACTTCTGCAGGAAGAGAGTGTGCATGAACCTTATTCATTGTCCATGTGTGGAGTTGCTTCATGTTCATGCTCTTCACCCTGATTTGACACATACCAACATCAAATAACTATCTACTCTACCCCATTTGGATACTATAATAAAAAAAAGATAGTCCAGTTACCTTATAAACAACAGAAATTTATTTCTCATTGTCCTGGAGGCTAGGACGTCCAAGATCAAGGTGCTGGCAGATTCAGGGTCTGGTTAGGGCCCACTGCCTGGTTTATGGATGGCATGTTCTCACTGTGTCCTCACATGGTAGAAGCAGTGAGGCATCTCTGCGGGGTCTCTTTTAAAAGGACCCTGAAAGAGGGTGCCACCCTCATGACCTAATCACTTCTCAAAGGCCCTACTTCCTAATACTATCACATTGAGGGTTAGAATTTCAATATAGGAATTTTGGGGGAACACACACATCCAGTCTATAGCACTATCTGATAAGGCTTCTGAATAGTCCTGGGCCATTTTACATAACGGGGGTTTACTAAGGACTCTCAACAGCATAGCTCTTGCTTCAAGGGGTTTTCCATGCGGGGCCTGCCAGAATCCCCTGAAGATTTGCCCTTTTGCTTTTGGGAGAATCATTGAGAGAAAAAGGACCTGGCTCCTGTGCTTTTCGCATGCTCACCCACTCCGGCCCTTCTGATTAATGTTTGCTGTTCTGCTTTGCAGATGCCTCCCAGGACCCAGAGGGAGACTGTAGCCTCATTTCTGTGGAGACCTTTGGCTGGACTCTCCTGGCTCTCCCAGAGGTGAGAGACCGTGGTTCCTGTAGCCTCAGGCTTGGCACCAGCTCATCTCTGGTGGATCCAGGATTCCAGATATCCAATCTCACTACAGCCAGGGCCTCTTTGTCCCAGTGTGACCTTGTGGGCTGTCCCCCTGACTGCGTCTTAACAGCCCCTGCCATTGGTGATTTTCATTCCAGCTACGAGCCAATGGATCCCTGAAAGCGACTGTGTGGGCTTCTCTCACCATGTCGCTCTGGCCTCAGCCTGGCGGTGTGCTCCTCTGTGGTCTGGATGGGGATGATGAACTCGGGCTGCCCGTTGTTTTTGTTTTGTGATATTTAAAGCAGCCGAAGCTCTCATTACTGTAATACAGTATGTGCCTGGGCTAAAGGGGGAGCAGCATTCCTTCTGGATCAGGGGGCAACTCTATTCTGTTGTGGTACACCCGCTGGAGTGTTTAGAACCACGGCTGGTAGATTTACAGTGCCAGGGCTGACAGGGGCCTTGGAACTCCTCCATTTTCATTCATTCCAGCCTCGTTGTTGGAATGAAGAGGGAGCTGAGCCCATTCTGGGTATGGGACGATTGCTTAGGCCCTGGGGTGATGAGTGGCAGATCTGGGACTAGAACTCAGGCCCAGAGGCCAGCTTACTGTCATCTGGCTAAGTTTCTGCTTCTGTTCTCTTCACTTGTTCAAGATCCTTCTGAGGCCCTGAACCAAATGAGGAAAATTCATGTAAATCTTAGCACACTGCCTGATACATAATAAGTGCTCCATAAACGTTTATCAGTGCTCTCATAAGCCCTGAGACATGCAAAATATTCTTGCCCTTCAGGGACTTACAGTCTTGAGGAGGAGATAAAAATTTCACACATACACACTAACACAATTAAGGAGCAATTTAAGTCACTAAATGGTTATCTGCTAAGTTTTGGGGAATAGGTGCAGTGGATCACGCAAGAGAGGAGACAGATTATTGTGGCCTAGAAGAAGTGCCATGGTGAAGATAAGAGCATAATGTGTATGACATCTGTGTATGACATCTTTTCAACTCCTGGCAGTGAGATGAACAGGTCAGCAGCCATTCCTGGACACTGCAGAGCCCTCAGGCCATCCACTCATCTACCCAGCACATTCACTGATTATCTCCCAACTCTGTGCTCTGCATAAGAATGTAAGGAAGACCATGACAAGACCCTTTCCTCAAGCCTAGCCAGGGAGACAGACATGCATAAAGATACTACCACTGAAAAATTCTACATTCATATGTGTTCATATCCTCAAAGCATCGTCTGAGCCCACAGGTGGGTAGGCAAGTCAGATAGGAGCAAGAGTTTGAAGGAAAGCATACATTTACCTGGTGAAAAGGGGCAACTCACAAGCCATAAGCTCTTGTGCAAAGGGGCTGGTAAATGTGAGTCTTCTGCAGGAGAGGTGGAGTTGCTGGGAGGTTAGACCCAAGCAAGGGCATTCTGAGAATGAGATTGAGAAGCCTCTGAGGCCAGCATGGGGCAAGCCCTTGGTGTCACACTTGGCCCTGGCAATGTGGTATTTTTAACCTGGGCCAGAAAGTGGAGAGGAGCGGGCCTGGTAGGATAGAGAGGAGGGCTCTTTACTTATCAAGAGTAGGTACCAGATGCTGGTGACTCAAGGGGAAGCTTCCTGAGTGGAGATGGAGCCTATAGGTGTTTAATCGCCTGGAACAAACATATTTTCTGCACTGCTTGGTTCAGAGGCTGCAAGTTAAAGTAACACAGAAGAGAATGTCCGGCCAGCAATGTGAAGGAAGCATGAAATGGAAAGGGTTAGAAGCTGAACTTCTCTTGATCAATGACTTTATTATCTTGGCAAGGATTGCAGAAACTGTAGGTGCTGAGGGACTGACTTGTTTGGAGGAAGGGGTAGGGACCAGGAAAAGAATCCCAGACACTTGGTGCTAATCCAACTGCTGAATGAGGCTTTCAGGCTCTGGGATTCAGGCAGGAACTCCTGGGCCATATTCTTCCTAGGTATGGGGCTAGAGAGCCTTCAATCTTAGTGTCTGTATGTCCCTGGGCCAATCTGCTTTGTTCTACCATGCCTAACATCAGAAAAAAAGGGGTAGATTAAGTTTAGAGCCACTGCTCTGTGTCTCCATCCTGCTTCTTTTTCCTAAGGCAATTGAGCCTTACAAGGCCTTCTAAGTCCCTATGAGGTCTACAGCTGTCAGGGATTGGTGAGGATGGAGAACAAACCAGTCTGTTCTGAATTCAACTCTTGCTTTCTTTCTCCCTCTCACAATTGAAGGTCTTCCTGAGCCTTTGCCTCTTTCAACAGCTGGATGTTGAGACTGCAATTTTTCATGATTGCTTGTTTTGTATTTTTTCTTCATGGTCTTTCCTAAAGTCTGTTATTCATCCAGGTCCACTTATACATCTTCTAATCTATTGCACCAACCCTGCAGCCATGGCCTGGCATGAAGCTGCTTGCTCATTGTCTTGTTGGTTTTTCCAAATGCTCACAGGCGCTAGTCATGTAAATCTCCTCCTGGCAAGAAAAAAAGACTGACTTTTTGTTGTTGTTGTGTTGCCCCAGGTGATTCAGCCAGTCCTGGGCTCACAATAGATGCTAAACATACGATTGCCACCTCGACTGCTGATCTTTTTCTTCCTATACACCATTCTATTCATACCGCTATTCAAAAATTGATATTTATAAGCACTTACTATATCCCAGGAATGGTACTGTAAGTTCTTTATATGCATTATTCCATTTAATTTTAATAGTGATACCATTTTCTACTTTTAACCAGCTTATACTTTCTACACTGATAGAAAAGTGTCCCTAAACCCACAGACTAGTTAGTACCTGGCTGTTTTAGAAGTTCCTCACTCATGACATTTCTGAAGTTATCACTACAGGATATGGTTGCAAAGGCCTGGGAGGAGAAATCCTTTCTGTCTCTGATGGTTTCAGAGAAGGTGAGAGGTCTCTGTCTCTTTGTGGTAAAAACACCAGGGTAGGCCTTGATCTCCTGAGTCTTGAGTATGTTAAGGGAAAGACACTAAGATTGCTCTGCCAAAAGGGCAGACAGACCCTGCCTGGTGTCTGGGAAGTTGAGCCCAAGTTTCTCTCCAAGGAGGGTCTCCTGCAGGGATCAGGAAGGAGGGTCTATTGGCATCACACATGATCTCTTCTGGGTTCAGGAGGGGTTCCTATAGCTAGATGAGATAGAATTGATTGATGTCTCAGTGATGCTTCAGGCCATGTTGATTGGGCCTGCACTAAAAGTAAGCAGCCCTTCAGAGCCATGTGCTCTCAAGAGGCAGCACAGCCATAACCGCAAGAGTAGGATGGTCCTGGTGGAAATGGCACAATCAAAACAAGCTCCTGGGCCTTGTGGCTTTGAGTGGCTGAACTGGAAGGTTCTTGAGGTATGAGCACTCTCACTCACGGTATTGATCAAGCAGCGTAATCACATCACTGCCCCCACAGAAGTGGCTGCCACTCAGTTCTCCTCAGCCCAGGCTGATTTCTGCTCTGCTGGTTCATAGGAAACTGCTTGGGTCTTTCATGACTGCTGAAGCCCAAGGCACTTTCCCCAGAGGCAGCATCACTCACAGGATGGACCAAATGAAATGTCCTGGTCAAAGGCAGGAAGTTTGTATTGTTGTTCTTGCCTATTTTACTATCATGTAAATACCTGCCAACCAACCTACACATATTCTCTGAGTACTTACTGAGTACTTACTATATAGGTGTTAATGGATACAGAAATAAGAGTATGGCTAGGGGTGGCATGCTTTTTGCCCCTAACTTGCAAATTTATTGAGAACATGATGCCAGGCACAGTGAAAACCAAAGAGAAATACAAATAAATGGTAACATTTATGAGACAGGTACTAGGTTCTAGACACTTCTTACATGTTAACTCATTTCATCCTTACAACATTCCTGTGGGCAGGTGCCATTATTACTCCCATTTTTACAGGTGAGAAGACAGAGGTGCCAAGGTTCAAGTGTGTGCCCAGGTGCATGACACTGGTGAGAGGTGGGAGACAGGACTCAAACCCAGCAAGCCTGGTCTCAGACAAGGTGACTCATAAGGAGCAGCAAGGGAGGTAGGAGGCAGAACATTGAGTGCAGGGGCTCAGAGGGTGGAGGGAAGTAACTTCAATCTGGTTTAAAGAAACCAGTTATCAGAGACAGACAGGGCCTAAAGAAGGTATGGGTGGCTCAGAGTTTTAGGAAGGAAAAACAGGAAGTTGGGCTAATAGGGATAGCGTGATAAGAGAACAAGTGCTAGGCTGGAATACCAGGGGCCTGGCCTTGCCTGTGAGCAGCTGCTGCCCCTGGGGAGGTCACTTTGCTTTTTGGGCTGCCTTATTTTTATCACCTCCAATTGGAGAGAATTGAGAAAGATGAGCTTTCAGGTCCCTTCAGGTTTTTACCGTATGGTTCTATGATTTTGAGGGCTGGCATGTTTCCTTGGTTGCTTCCAAAAGCCTCTGACCACAGTCCCTCAGGCTGACCCTCTTGTGCCCAGTAATGTGGAAAGATGACCTTCTGCTCACCAGCACATGCTTCCAAGGGCTGCGGAGCCTGGGACAGAAGGTACGGTGGGAAAGAAAATGAGAGGAGCTGGTTGGGAAAGATACTCACATGCAGAAAAGTTTCCAGCAAGTCAGAGGTGAGAGTAAAAGATCCAAATGAAAAGCTAGAGATTGCTAGGGCTCACCAAGGTTGAATAACTTGTCCAGGGTCTTAGCAGACTGAGGGATACTGGATGATAACACTTCTAAAATACTGTTTTGTATCTGGAAAATGCTCTGCCTTCAGTTTGCATTTTCTCTCCTTCTTCCTCCCAGTAATCAAATGAAGACGTTAGATTTGACATTTCCAGTGTGTACAGTACAGACAGGAAACTAGGTGAATGAAGTAATGCAGTCAATGTTCTGTGACTCCATTCTGCCCCTGGAAGAGGGATGTTTTCTATAATAGTCATGTGACTCAACATCTTCTTGTCTTCTTAGAAAGGAGTGAGAGAATAAGATAGCCATCTAGCACTTTCCCCCCTCACCTCTCCTACAAACTCTAGCATCTCATTTTACAGAAGGAAAGGCTGAGATGGAGGGGAGCAAAGTAGTCTTATAACAAAGGCAGAAGTGGAGCTTGCTATTTCATCCAGTGTGGGTCACCTCAGGTCACCTGGGGCACATCCTATGTGCCCAGATACTTACGGAAGGGGTCATTCTGGGCCTTTGGCTCCACACTGAGGGGCTGCATTTTGAGAATCACGAGGTTGGGACTCCCAGAGGAAAGTTGAGAGTTAGGAAAACTTCAACAAATCCTCAGGAATAGAAACAGAACATGAGATGAGAATGTTTGGGACAGCTCTGCTGTTTGTTTCTGTGTATGTGTTTGAGGGCCCATCTCTTGCCAAAACCAAGCTCATTTCTGCATATTTGTTTGCTTAATATGAAATACTCCAAAACTGCTCTTCATATTTGTTTAATCTGAAATGAAAATGACTCAGCAGAGAGGAAAAACAAGATTTAAATGCCCTGAATGGCCCCTGAATTAAAATACATAGCCCTAAATCATGGGGGTGTTCTTCTCCCCACCAAATCTTAATCTTCAACACACACAAATGCAAGTGCCACACACAGTCATGCACACACACACACACACACACACAAACATTGTATTTGCCTGCCCCAACTTGACCTCAGTCCCTTTATCTCTTTTCCCCTTCATACTCCAGCCTTTCCAGGGTCCTACCTTTCCTGCAGGGGAGGTGCATTTGAGCTTAGGTGGAGAGGCCTGGCCTGGGCTACAGGCCACAGATGATTTTCCTGGAGGGCCAGCACTTCCTCTCCAGTCCAGATCACAGGCTCAGTGTCAAGATCCCTGGGGGAAATCTGAATTTTCATTCTTCAGCAAAGTCGAGGCCACCTCAGATAGTCCCTAGCTTTTGGATCTGGAAAAATGGACTCCGTGGAGAGAATGGCTGTCTACCAAATCAGACATGTCTTGCTTTTTACACAAGCTGTATTCCTGAAAAGTTGGGTATAAACTGGATCTTGGTATGTTGCATCAATTTTGAATGTACTGAAAAGATTTGCTATTCAAAGGAACCCAGCACTGGATTCTTTTGTCAAGGGATGAATTACTTTGTAATGGCTACTCATCTAGTGATTTATGAGTTTGGTAAGTAGATGGAATATTTTTATATACTGAATGTTATTTTAAATGTACTGTGTGGGATTTTTTATTCAAAGTTACCCGGCATTGAATCCTTTTGCGAAGAACTATTCTGTAGTGTAGATAAACATTTCATGATTTATGAGTTTGGTAACTTTAGGCATTTCTTAAAGTGGGATATACCCCTAGTTCTGCTTCAGAGAAAAAGTTGTTTTTTGCAATGATCAGACTTGGAGAAAAAAGAGTTCTACCATATTTGAGTTATGGTCACTCCTGAGGGGCTTAGGAAGAATGGAGGTACTCAAACTTTCCATTTTGTTGGAGCAAAAGATCCAGGAGTTGCCTGCTCTTCTTACTTTCCATATTATCACTGGGGTGGAAATGATGGAGGTATTTTTCCAAAGAAATGTAGTTCACTATTATAGCTACATTTCAAAGGTGTTTCTCTTCATATCTATATCATTTGAATATATATTTATATATATATACACACACATACATATATACACACACATGCACATATGTTTATACACACACATGCACACATGTACGTATATACATATATAATCTATCATGTGTATTTAGATCTAAAGCAAAGACATTGCAGTAGGGCTTGTGTTTTGAACCACTGAAGGGCTGCTGTTTCCACCAGTCCAGAGTGCTGGGGCTTGCTCTGAGATCACCAGGGGTATAAACCAGGCAAGAGGAGAACTTAACTTCCTGCTCACTCTTTCTCACTTGGCAGGTCAAAAATCATTTCAGCACTTATCTCCCAAGGTTCCTAGCTGTGTCCCCATACCATCCTATCTGAGCACTAGTGTGAAGCTTGTTTTGGGAAATGATCTGATTGCTAAGGCAGTTGGAAAAGAGAAATATGGTGTCATGTGTGTACAACCAAGAGCTGATCTAGGATGCCCACATATTCCTGGCTCATCCATGAGCCACATATTCATTGAAGTTCTTATAGGTAGGAGCAAACCCTGCCTATAAGAACCCTACATGGACTGGAACTGTGTCAGGCAGAATGTTCAGATAACTTACCCTTTCACCATGATTTGGCCCTGAATGTGTCTCAGAAAAAGGCTTTTAGAAGCTCACCCAAGTACAGAGATAATTTGTGAGACATTTAACCTCTCAGACTCTTGCTTTTTTCTTTCCTGGAGAGCTGCTAATTTCTAGTTGTGGCTGCCACACTCCTGTCTGCCTGATCTTCCATTTTACTTCCTGGTTTCCTGGTGGCTTTGACACATGGCCTGTCCAGATCCCAGTGGGGGCAGTCCTGAGATGGAGAGCTGGTGGTCTTTTGTCAGATCTGGGAAGTCCTGAGCCATGACTTCCTTTGAAATCAATTTGGAATGTCCATCCAGCTTGGCTAGGGAAGAGGATTTTGACTGTGAAGAGGGAAGTGGGTTCTTTACTACAAAGGACATATTCTCTCTGAGCCACATGCTCCTTGATGTTCTTTGGTAAATATTGGGCTGTGGTCCTAGAAACACTGACCTTGGAGTCAGGCGAACTGGGATCCAGTTCTTACTCTGTGGTCTTCTAACTTAGTGACCCAAGCAAGTCAAAATTAATCTCATTTCGAGATAGAGATATGCAAGATCCTTGACCTTCAATGACTCATGGTCAGGCTTGAGAGAAAGTCAGGTAAAGAAGCCAACTCTAATTCAGCACAATGAATGGGAAGCACCAGCCAGACCAGGTAAAACAGCCTCAATTGAGGGTGAAGTGACTTAGGGCCGTACTTTTCTATTGTCAAAAGGAGATGATAATTTCTCTCCACAGGATTGTGGTGAGGCTCAATGATGTAATGCATCTATAAGTAACTGATAAAGTTCAGGAATTCTAAAATAGAAACAGGCAGTAATTCTCAACTGTTTTCTTCTTCCACTCTATTCATGTGCAAGATGTGCTAAGACATTTCCCAATACAACAAGTGATTCTTGAAGTATAGGACGTGTTCCCCCCACACCTCCAACTCTCGGAAATGCACAGAAAGTGTCCTTGAGATTCTGATAGCCTGCTTCCAGGAAAAATGTTTTGTTTGGTTTTGTCAGAAAAGCTAATATAAATGACATTAACAAGGAACACATTTTCCTTGTTGAAAATCAAAACATTACAAATAAGGCTAAAGTCTCCCTTTGATCACCATTCACAATCTCCTCTGACAAATACAGCAGTCCATCTCCTAACTCTGTCTTGGAGGGAACCACTGCTGTCAGCATGGTGTTTAATCTTCCAGATCTTATATATATATAAATGTACATGAGTGTGTGTCTATCATAAAAATATATAGTGTGCTTTACATAAACTTTGCAACCTTCTTGTTCACCTAAAAACATGTCATAGACTTCAACCGTTGTAACTGTGAGTAGCTCTAATGCATTCATTGTTACTATTGCATAGCATTTCACAGTAGGAATATTCTATAGTTAATAACATTATCCTACTGGTAGACATTTTTCTAAGTTTTTGTTGTTAAAAAATATATTGCAAAGCACTTTTTTGTGCATGCCTCATTGTGTACACACACAAGTCTTTCTTTAGGGTAAATAAGAATAAATGGGATATAGAAATTATGGTATATGTATTTTTATTGAAATTATCTTCTAATTTATATATCCAGCAGCAGAGTATGAGAGTATGCATTTGCCATATTATTGCCAAAGTTTATATTATCACACTTTAAAATTTTGCCAGTCTGATAGGTAAAATTGGCATTCAACTACTGCTTTAATGTTTGTCTTTGTGACTACTTGAGAGGTTGAATACTTTTAGATGTTTACAGCATTATATTGTCTCCCCTGTTGAATGCTTTTTATTTACTTGGCCCATTTTTCTAGTGGCTTTTAAAAAATGATTTATAGAGATTATTAATACTAGAAGTTATTTCATTATACAATTTCAAATATTTATCTTAGCCAGTTGTTTACATGTTATGTTTATGATGTCTTTTGGTCTTAAAGAAGTTTTGAATTTTGGTGGAAATTTTTATTATTCTTTTCATTTCTGGATTTTGCTTTCCATGTCTCATTTGTGCAGGCCTTCCTTATCTTTAGCTCATAGCAAATTTTTCTAGATTTTCCTTGAAATATTCTTATGGTTCCATCTTTACATTTTGGGCTCATTTTTGTGAGGTGTAGATATACCTTCATTTGCTTTTGAAAAGGCTACTAAAGCATCTGAAACTTCTTCACCAAGTTTAAATACCCACCTTCTCATGTAGTACATTTCCATTTATTCATGAGTCTTTTCTGGGTTGTTCATTCTCTTCAGTGTTCTGCTTATCTATTTCTATACCAATTGCATACTCAGAGAGGCCTTTGCTGGCCACCTTACCTAGAACAGCTCTCATTCCCTTTCTGTTACATTACTCTATTTTATTTTCTTCCCTGTACATATGTTTCTTTAAAATTCTTCTTCATTTACTTGTTTTCTTATGTACTATAAGTTCCATGTTGGCAGGAACCTTCTTTGCCTTTTTTACTGATGTGCTTATCACCTGTAATAGCACCTAATAGATATTTACAAAATAGTTGCTGAATGAATGAATGAAGGCCAATGGCTTGACCAGGGGTGTTTGCATTTTGAGTTTTATTTCTTGAGGCTTAAATAAATTGTCAAAGGGGTTTGTACTACTAACTAAATAAGTGGGTAGAGAAGGGCTTTCCTAGCAGCTCCTTGACATGCTTCCATGTATACTTTTGAGTTCTGTTCACATGTCACATTGTTTAAATATTGAACCCTTGGAAAGACTCATTCGAAGGTGCAGAAAAGGGTGATTCTGCTCACAATAAGCTTTAGAGATACTTCCTTTTAGGGTATGGAATTTAGAATGACCAGATGTAGTCACTGAATATATGGCTCAAGGCAATCATTAATTCATTCTGCAAATACTTATCAGGCACTCTGGTAGTGTTGAGACTACAACAACGAATAAAATGAACATGGAGCTTGTGTGTGTTGGGGGGGAATACAAATTAAACAATCACAGCAATGAATATATAATGAGAAACTATGATCATTTCTATATAGAAACATTATGTTTTTAGAGCATGTAACAATCAAGGGGATGAGAGAATATTTTGCTGAGAAAGTGACCATTTAGTAGAGATTTGAACTAGGCAAAGAGAGGAGAGAAACTTCTTGGCGGAGGTCCTTAGGCAAAAGAAAATGGAAGAAAAAGAAAAGAAGCTCCAGTGTGACTGAGGTGGAGAGGATGAGGAGAAGGGCAGCTCTGGTGAGGTAGGTGGAGCCCAGATCAAAGGATGATATAGTGTGATGATGAGCAAAAACAAAAGAAGGAACAACAAAAACAACAAAAACCCATGTGGATTTTGAAGTAACACAAGCCTTAGGTTCACATATGAGTTTGGTCACCTATCAGGTGTGTAACCTGATTAGCTTTAACCTCTTTCTCCTTAGCTTCCTTGTTGTTGAAAACAAACCTCATTGAGTTACTGTGAATATTGTAAGAGATGGTCTCTGATTCGTAGTAGAAGTACATGGTATAGGTATAATACTTCTAGGTGCTTTACAGTGCTCTGTTTGTTAGCTGACAGTCATCTAATTTTAGGCAAAACAGAAAAATAATTATTGCTTTTGGAGATTCGCAGCTTGAAGCCCGGCAACAGTTTCAAAAAGTAAATTAGTCAACATTTTTTGAACACTTAGTAGGTTTGGCTTAGTTCAGTTAAAAACCATTTTTGAGCACATACTTTGTGCACGATGTAAAGTAATACTTTGGCAATATAAGAATGAACCATTTTGAAGTTAATGATTAAATGGATAATTTTATAACAATGTTGTGAAGGATCCAGTAGAGTTAAATTAAGCATGTGTTTTGGTGAAGGAAAGAAAGGAAATGATGTGTGGGAGACATTCTTTGCAGAAGGAATTATTGGGGAAGGTTATGGAGGGGAGGAAGTTACGGCCAGTAACCCATGAGAGAGGTGCCACAGGAGAGAGAGAGAATTCTAGGACTGTCCTGCAAAAGACTGCTAGGAGAGGGCGGTGAGCCAAGTCAGTCCTGGGCCTCAGCACTTACTGGATGGCTGCTTACAAAGAGCTCGGGTCTCTCTGGAAGGACATCCTGGATTATGGTCATGAGTTAGTGCTCAACTATAGCCAAGACCAATGTCTCCAGGATTCACCTGTGTGTTTCTTTCTCTGGGCATGTTTATTTAGGGACTTATTTATGGAAATAGTGTTCCCGTTGCTGGAAGTGGCTAGGAACACTGAGACATGTATTTTATCTTATCCAAATCAATTGCTATGAAACTATGCTCATCACCCTTTGTAGTTGTAGATCACATACCCCTCAGCCCCTCACTATGGGGCCATTTAAATCTTCCGTGTTTTATTTGCTTTGGATCCATCCTCTTCAGTCAAAACCATCTGACTACATTGCTTTTTTTTTTTTTTAACCCCTCTGGGTGTGTCAGTATTATACTGCTTAGAAATTGTCTTAGAAAGCTTCTGTTTCCTGAAAAAGAAAACTCCTTACTCATGTCATCCTCTGATTTACTCCATCCCTGTTATTGCCTATTAAAGTCTTGTCCATCCTTCAAGAACCTGATCAGATATTTATTTCTCCATGAAGCCTTCCTTAATCACTCCAGCTTAAGGGAATTTCTTCTCTCTTTATAATATTGTGTCACATACTATTTCTAATATTGCATCCAATGCTTGCTTGATTATTAGTGTTACTCAGAGGGAATTTTTTAAAAATCACTTTGTATTCTAGAACAGTTTTTTTTTTTTTGTCTCACTCTGTCGCCCAGGCTGGAGTGCAGTGGCACAATCTCGGCTCACTGCAACCTCCACCTCCTGGGTTCAAGTGATTCTCATGCCTTAGCCTCCCAAGTAGCTGGGATTACAGGCACCCACCACCAAGCCTCGCTAATTTTTGTATTTCTAACAGAGACGGGGTTTCACCATGATGGCCAGGCTGGTCTTGAACTCCTGACCTCAGGTGATCCACCCGCCTCGGCCTTCCAAAGTTCTGGGATTACAGGCGTGAGCCACTGTGCCTGGCTTTCTAGAACAGTTTTATATTTACATAATCATTGTGAAGCTAGTACAGGGAATCCTTGTATATCCCACATCCAGTTTCCCCTATTATTATCATCTTATATTAACATAGTACATTTGTCAAAATGTATGAACTGATATAGATACATTATTATTAGCTAAAGTCCATTCTTTATTCTGATTTCCTCAGTTTCCCCTAATGTCCTTTGTCTGGATATAACATTACACTTAGTTATCATATCTCCTTAGGCACCCTGAGCTGCGATAGTTTCTCAGACTTTCTTGTTTTTAATGACCTTGACAGTTTTGAGGATTACTCATCAGGAACTTTATAGAATTTCCCCCAACTGAGACTTTTCTGGTGATTTTTTTATAAGTAGACTGAGGTAATAGGTTTTTGGGAGGAAGTCCACAGAGGTAAAGTGTCATTTTCATCACATCATATCAAGAACACATACTATCAATATGACTTATCAATGTTGATGTTAACCTTGATTACCTGTCTTGAGGAAGTGTTTGTCAGATTTCTCCACTGAAAAGTGACCCTTTTTCTTTCTCTGTTTTTACACTGTACTTCTTGGGACAAAGTAACTATGTGCAACTTACTCTTAAGGAGCTGGGGAAGGGAGATAGTAATGCTTCATTTTCTTAAGAGCAGATTATCTACATAAATTATTTGGAATTCTTTTGCATTGGAAATGTGCATATTCTCCCCATTTGTTTATTCAATCATTAATTTATAGCAGCATGAACTCATGGATATTTATTTTATTCTTTGGTTTATAATTCAATACTGCTGTTTTTGAGGGGAGGAACTCATTAAGTTGGCTACTGTGTCCCTTTGTCATACCCCATCATCTTTTTGTGTGTACATTTTCTCAATTTCTGGCACTAAAAGATACTCCAAGTCCATCTTGTTTATAGTCTGCTCCATTCCCAGAATCAGCCATTTTTCTGAGGAATCCTGTCTCCTTTTATTGAAGAATGTTATTAGAAATCAAGATCTGAGCACTAGGTTTGCTCATTGCTACTGGGATGTCATTGCCTCTAGGCCTTTTCAGCGGATGGAACATATGTGTGTATACTAACCCAGGCATATACACATATCTATAAATATTTCCATATGTAACTATTTGTATCCTTATTAAGCTAAACATAAGTTCATACTGATGTCTCCAAATCTAATCTATTATCATAGATTAGATATTATGAATCATTTTGGGGAAACCTGAAAATACAGAATCCCAGGTATCACTCCAAAGATAATGAATCGGGATAAATATTGAACTTATATGTTTTGAAAGGCAAACATTAAAAGTAAATGCTTCTCTTGGTTGAATATTGGAATCAATATCAAGATTATGAAAACATCAGTTTACATGATAAATATAAGTTTTACTTTACCATTATTCACCATTTGGGTAAGTATTTATCTTAGGAAAACTTCGTGTGTCTGACTATACTTTTGCTAATTTAAATTTCATGAGTGTGCAATCTGATAGAGTTTGAAAATTATTATATTAGGTGATTATTGGATGTGCCATTCAACTCCCAAAGTCTGTGATTCGAAGTCCCATATATAAAAACAAACACTGCAGGAACACAAAATTAATTGTGAGAATTGTACTCATTCATGTTGGCAGTATCTGCCTCACTCATTTCCTCTCCTTCTCTTTCTGTTTTCTTGCATTATTGGTTGGTGGCAGACTCCAGTTCCAACACCATCTTCTGAGATGATCCTGATTCCCAGAATGCTCTTGGTGCTGTTCCTGCTGCTGCCTATCTTGAGTTCTGCAAAAGCTCAGGTTAATCCAGGTAACATGGCTATTACTCAGCTATATGCTAGAAGACCAGCAGAATGTTTAAACCCATCAATGTTCAATGGTGGGTCTAAAAGCTGCCAAGAGGGACTACAAAGCTCTTTCTTTTTAAATCTCCATGGTGAAATATGACTAAAATAGGAAGAAAAATGAATATACTTTATATATATGTATTTTAATACTTACAACCTGTTGAATATTGTAAAATATTTTCTTATATAGAGTAGGGGTGCAGTAAGAGGGCATTTTAAAAAATGGGAGGTGGCAGAAGCAACCATTTGCTTCTGCATCTTCTGAGAAAAACAGGACAGAATTTTTAGATGTCTTGGAGAACTTCTTCAGGTTGGTTTACCAGTTGTTTTGGGCTGTCTTAGACTTTGATTTTACTTGGATGTCCTGTTATGCTTTTGGGATCCTGGTCCTGTGGGATCTCAGGCAGGTTCTCTTTCCTCTAGGATGTGGCCATGCTAAAAATAGATAGGTTAGGAGAATCTTTTGAGCCCAAATTTGTGGGATTATTTTGTATTACATGCATTTTTAAAGTTTAAATGGAAGTAAATAATTGTATTATTTATTACACAATAATGCTGCTTAACAACCTATCCAAAGCTCAATGTCTTTAAACGAGCATTTATTTGGCTCCTAGCTGGACTTGTTTGGACTGTTCTCTGTTCTGTGTTGATTTACTCAAGCATAACTGGAAGTCAGCTGGCTATTGGCTCATCTAGGATGGATGTGGCACTGATGAATGGGGCAACTTTGCTGTGTTCTGTTTCATCCTCCTGCAGACTAACCTGGGTATGTTTTCCTGGAAATTGCACAGGAACAAGACCAGAAGCCAGAATACTCAAACATTTTTCAAGCCACTGCTGAAATCATGTTTACTAAGTCTCATTGGCCAAAGCAATTCATGTGGCCAAGCCCAGAGTCAGAGTGGGAGAGCACAAAAAATTAGATGGTAAAGGTCTGGGATGCAGGTATTGGAGAAGAATTGGAGTCATTTTTTTTTTCATTTTGCTACAAATATGAACATGGAAAAGTATACAGCTTAAATGTTCAATTTTATGAATTCATAAACTGAACACATCTAAACAGTACCTGGATTAAGAAACAGAACTATACCAGCACTTTAGAAGCTCTCTTCATGCTCCCTTCCAGTAACTTTTCTCACCACCCCGCAAAGGTAGCCATTATCCTGCTTTCTAGCAACATAGATTAGTTTTGCCCATTTTTGTACTTTATATAAATGGAATTAGATGATGCATAAATACTCTTTGTGTCTGGCTTCTTTCACTCAACATTTTGTTTATGAAATTCATCCTACTGTTGCATGCAGTTGTCAACTATTCATTTTCATTGTTGTATATTACTTTGTTTGAACATTTTATTTAGCCAATCTACTGTAGATGGGAATTTGAATAATTTCTAGTTTGGGCCCATTATGAACAAAACTCCTATAATTATTCTTATATAAAACTTTTGGTAGAGATAAGTACTCAGTTCCTTTGAGTATACACTTAGAAGTGGAACTTCATATGTGTAGCATATGATATACTATTCTGCATAATACCAAAAATTTTTTCAAGTACTTTACCATTTTACCATCCCATAGCAGTATATGCAAGTTCCAGTTGTTCCATGCTATATTTTGATTCTTGAGGGTGCTTTAATTTTGTCCTCTTCATAGCATAAGGGTACATTTGTGAAAATGCTTGCTCTCCTCCCTTCATAAAAGTTCCATGTGCATGGGTTTTTCTTTATACCTTCAATAGGAAATATGATCAAACATCCTTAAAATCAAAGAATTATTGGCTGAAGGAGCCCAGTGCCTTGTTACTTTCTCGTAATAAGCTCAGCTGTTGCATCTCAGATCCTAACTTGGGTACCATTTTTTCCTTTTTCTGTTCTGTATTCCTCTCAATCAATTGTTGATGTTTGGTTGCCTCCTACTACATTCTTCATGCTCTGAGTTCTAAGGAAGAGTGCTGTGAGTGCATGGAATGGTGGGATGTTTTGGTGGTAAGCATAGTCATGGAGACTGGCATGCCACGAGGACATTTAAATGACTAACCAGGAGAGCTGATCTTCTGTGTTAGAGTCCACACTGTGGCCCTGGAGCAGGAAATGGGCTATTTGGAGACAGCAAATAGTCATCTTAATTTTTTTTTCTATTTCTGGTGTCAGGTATTTTTGTTGGCTCTTTCTGACAGGGAAAGAGAAATAGACTTCTTGCTTTGCAAAGACCTTTATAGGAAAACAGGACATGTTGAAGGACTAATCCTTCTCTCTGCCATTTCTTTCTATTTTACCAAGTCAAACCAGAGATGAGTGTTTGAGGCAGATGAGACATTTTCATTCATTATCAGTGATAAAGAGTCTATCATGAATCCTGAGGCTCATAGAATGTTATAGCTTGCACACTGCTGAGCATAAAGTCAGCATATGATAAATGCATGTTGATTTAAGGATGACTCTTCAGGAGTCCTTACTGGTGTCAACTGAAAGACTGACTATAACTGAAAGTATTGAAAGGTAACTGAAGGCACTGAAAGACTGAGTGAATTCTTGGCCAGTTAGGTTTTTCCCACAGAATGGCCACATGATATAACAAATAGAACTTAAGCCAGGAGACCTGAGTTATAAGCAAATCCAATATGCAACCAATTATTAAATTACTGAAACATTTTAGTTGGTTATTAGCTATAACATATTGGTTGGTTAATAGTAACTGAGCTAAGCATTAAACTCAATAAAATAAAAATAAAATAATAATTAGTTGAAGCTCATTGTTGAAGATCTTACAATGACTATTGGTCAATAAGCCTTCAGTATTAGCATGATTTAGTTGATAACAAACATTAAACATGATATGATATGAAATATCAATCTTGGTGTCTCAGCAGATACCAAGAGAGGATAAATAATCTTGTTTACATTTAAAAAAACTCTCTAGTATTTGAAATCATAAATGTCTCACAGGTGTCATCCATGGAGGCTGCAGAGTAGTGGTGGTATGACAGAGATAGTTGGCTGAAGCACGAAGGCAGCAGAGTTTTTGGCTCACTGTTCTAAAGTATCTGAGTTTTGGCAAAGCAGGCAGTCAGGCAGATGGTGTTAGTGGCATTTCCAGTAATGGCAGTGTTAAAGGTAGCATTGTCAATGGGGCCTGGAGCGTAGGCTACGCAAGTCTTTGTGGGAAATGCTGACATGAAGGTGTATATACATAGTCCTGAATTGTGGGCAGAGTTCTCAGCTATCTTCCAGCTGCAACAGTGCACCAGGAACTGGAACCTAATCATCATTAATCCAGTGGGAGAGGTTATTGGAAGAATTAGAGGCAGTTTCTTATGTCAAAATCATGGCTCAGAAATACCATTTAGCTAGTGACATCCAAATCAAACAAATAATCATCCCAATAATTTCTGAAAATCATTTATACAAATCAACAGATGATTGGAATGTTATTAGTTCTGATGAATGATTTGGAGTTAACTTAGAAAAAAGTATTTAGCTTAACTTTTGAGTAACAACCCTAATTATAATCCTGACTTGGTCATAAATTAATTGTGTGACAGTGAGGGAGTTGTTACGTGTCTCTTTATACTTCCTTAATATTTTCACTTGTAGTAAGATTAAGTTGGATTAGATAATCTATGGGACCCTTTCTGCTACAAAATTACTGTGATTTTTATGATGTGAGAACTTTATAGCCCATACTGGAAGATTTCGGCTTGGAAGTATAGCCCCTGAAGTTGCATGGCTGTTTTTTGCAAGAAAGACTACTTGTTTCCAACTCCCTACCACTTCCCAGGCTCAGGGATGTGAAGTCTGAATTTCAGGAGAATCTTGCCTTTGGGGCTAAGCACACAGGAAGTGACTGATAAATACTTAAAAATTTTAAACCCTAAAACTCTGCTTAGTGGCAGGTGAATGCAGAAACCCTGCCCCAGCCTAACCTGCAGGAGAGTCATAGTGCTACAAGCTACCCTGCTCCAGAGCATCTTTTGCTCTAGAGGTGGGGCCAAGAGGTAGCATTTCAGGCTGAAGATATAGCGTATGCAATGGCTGAGAGGAGGGTGAGGAACATTTGGGGCTCCTGGTGGAGGATAATGAGTGAGAGAGCCAGCGGGGCTATGTAGGAGATCCATTCCCCTGTGGGATCCTTGAGTCAAGTTTTCCCTTATTTCCAGCTTGGGCTGGGACTGCCAAACTTGATAGGAGAACTAAGGGCATCTCCATGGGAAAGAGACCCCACAATCATGCACAAAAATACGGGGCTGCAGTAGTTGTTTGAGTGGACATCAGTGTCAGGCTCCCCTAGGGGATATAAAACCACTGTTTCAGTGGTTAGTGGGGAACTGGCACCTTACGTTTTTCCAGGTAGGAGGATGAATAGAACTATCCTGATGATCCTGAAATTCTAGCCCAGCAGTCTGAAGCCCTGGGACCCACCCAGCCAATTAGAGGATTGTTGTGTATAAAAAACACAGGGGTGCTTGTTCTTATTCCCCTGACTTGGCCTGTGACAACTGTTTGTGCTCAGGAAAGGGAGAAACATCTCTTCTTCTCAGCAGGCAAACCAGGCCTTTAGGATCCATGGTATAAAGCTGAGGCAGGGCAGTGCTGGAACTTCCCATTTTCATGTCACACTTTCCCCTCATAGGAAGCAGGCAACTTACTACCAGTTCAGAGTCCTGGGGTGGGAGTCCCCCTTTGGTATCCAGAATGCTTCCACTTTGAAAAAGAGTGGCAAAGCCATTCAGGGTTTGGGATTAGGAGAGGACGAGCTTTTCTCCTCCTGGCCCCAAATTTATTTTAGGTTCACCACTGTGGTTTTTGTTCTTTCCAGCATCAATCCCACATGTCAGTGAGTTCTTAGGGTCAGGCAACTAGAATTCTAGACTGTTCATGTTGGAATGGACCTTAGAAATATCTAAGTCACTCTTCCTCACTTTACAGATGAGGAAACTGGGAGTCAAAGCAGGTGAGTGATTTGCCCATGCTCCACATTTAGCTAATAGTTAAGCTAGGACGAGGACCCAGGGCTACCTGTCTCCCAATCCCAGGTGACTTCTACCTGGGCCCTCAGGGAGCAATGTGCTGAAGTGACCTTTATCTAAAAATCACATATATCCATGCAGCCTCATGCTTTCCTTTCTGCAACCAACTTCCAATGTATATTTATGGGGATGAGATGTAATTGAGATTTGAGGGACAGCCTGAGGCCAAAGAATGGAGTCAGACGAATAGGATATACAGTGCTCACACCTAGTCTCATGCTAAATGAGGAAGGCTGGAGCTAGAAGCCCTGCGGGCCAACTTACCCCCACCCAGAAACTGAAGCACCAGGGATGCTTTGGTTCCCTTCTGCACCAGGTTGTGCCTTTATCACCGCTCCCTTGTCTTCCACCAAGACTGCTATGTGTTAATTCACCTACACATATTTCCAAATTGGAAACTCATTTTTGTTTCCCTGGCTTCTCGTCATTCGTGTTCCCAGAGATGTGCTGAGAAGGTTTATGTGGCCTCATCTGTTAACGAGAAGGTGATGCTAGTTTCAGGTTTGTGAAACCAGGCCTGAGGTACTAGTGTTGTGATGTGTGTGTATGTGTGTGTGTAGGTGGGTGGCGCGGGGGTGTAGTGTGTGTTAGACAGCCTGAACAGGCCTTGAGAAAAAGATAAAAGGCCGGCAAAAGACCTCTCTGGTTGAATTTATCTTAAGTGAGCAATGCTAGAAGCTGCCCAGATTGGCTCTTTCTTGCTTGTGTGTTTGTTTTTTAAGTCTAGGCTGACGCCTGAGAGTGGCCTTTGGCATCCTTCCTGCCAGTAAAAGAGCCTTTCTCTGGGTAAAACAGAAACTCATCTGCCCCTTGAGCCCTCTTGGTTGTGCCAAATAGGGAAAAAGAGAATGCAAAACTCAAAGAATATTCAATGAACACTTAATATATTCTGGGTACCATTTTAAGTGGTGTCAACAAATTTAATCTTCACAATAATCTTATTAGTATTAGTGTTATTATATAATAGTAGTATTATTATTCCAGTTTTACAGAGGAGAAAGTGAGGCCAAGAAACATTAGGTAACTCATAGCAGGTTACAGAGAAAGCTAAGTGGCAGAACCGGCATTCGACTCTGCTCCAGCAAGCATGCTCTTTTCTTCTACTTCTTTTTTCTTTATCCCGTTTTTCAAATTTCCAACAATGTATCAGTTAAGAGTTTTTCGCTTGTTTTTTTGTTTGTTTTTGGAGAGGGCATGTTGCTCTGTCACCCAGGCTGGAGTGCAGTGGCATGAACATGACTCACTGCAGCCTCAACCTCCTGGGCTCAAGCCATCCTCCTGCCTCAGCTCCCCAAGTAGCTGGGACTACAGGCATGCGCCACCACACCCAACTAGTTTGGGTACTTTTTGTAGAGAAGGGGTTTTGCCATGTTGGCCAGACTGGTCTTGAACTCCTGACCTCGCCCTCCTAAAGTGCTGGGATTACAGGCATGAGCCACCACACCCGGCCACAAGCATGCTCTTGACCTCTGTGCTCTACTGCCTTTGGAGTGTGAGACTCAAGGAATGTCAGGGCAGAGGAAACCCAGATTCATGGACCAGCCACGAATGGGCTACAGAGACCCGTGAATCCCCTGAAATTGCATCCCAAACTTAATGTGTGAAGACAAAAGTACATTTGCAAAATGAAAAATGTTTTCTATTATCAGATGCTCAAAAGACTCTGTGACCAGTTCTAGAAAAGACTAAGAATGGTGGATTTAATCTAATCTTGTACAAATGAGGAAACTGAGGTTTAGGGAGATAAAGTGATGGGAGGAAACATGTTTGAAAAGACTATTAGCAGACCTAACCAGGCTTTGCCTACTCGCTGGACGAGCATGGTCAGAGTTTTGGGTTCTCTGAACTGCAGTCTTCTCACCTATCACTGATCGCTGCCTTAAGGGCTGTTAGGAAGAGTAAGAGAATATATGTAAAGTACCTAGCATAGTGTCAAACACACAGAATGTGATTAATAAATGCTGGAACTTCTGTCCTCTTCCTCAATTTTGTATATTGTGCTGTGATAATGGCAGACTTCATTAGTCTTTCCATTATTCTATACTGTCCTTTATATTTTAGTTTAATCATTTCATTAATTAATTATTTAACTTAATTACTATACTGTAAAAATATTTCATTTTCTTTGAGGGCAGACTTCACCTAATTCCTGGGCTTTGTATCTTGGGATAAAAGGGTTCCAAATACATCTACTGCATCATCACCTTTCCATCCAAAGTAGCCAGGTGAATTCCCGGTTCATACCCTAAAACTTTGCCTTCACCCTGTTGTTTTGCATTCTGAGGCCTAGATTCCTAGTTGTAAAAGGCAGTCAGAGGAGCTAAAAGTAATGCAAGAAAAAACAAAGCTCCACTTTTTTTCTGTTGTCAGTAGGGATAGAGGCCCAGGGAGACCTAGTCTCCTTGAGTCTAAACTTTGGGGCCAGGAGCATGATCATGGGACTCCAGGAAGAGCTTCACACAAAGTCCCTTTTCTGGACCTCTCAGTTTTCACAACCACCTGCAGAGCTCAGTTTTGCTCAGGGCTCTCGTGTGGAAAGACTAAGAGTCTACAGAAGAACAACAGTGTTGGCAGGAGCAGACAAGGAGACAGGGACCCTGCTTACCATGGAAACTGGGCGCACTGGGGCCATTAGGTCCGTGCATCACTGCTGCTTCACATATTTGCTTATTAATGTTTTGTTCTGAAAGCTGACAAGAACTCTAGGGGCTTCAAGCCCATAAGATCAAGACATACAATATAGCGATATAAGTATGTAAGAAACATAGATTGATACAGATATAAAATAGGAAAAGGATATGAAACAAATATAATATATATGATAAAAATTATAAATATTATAATAAATATATTATAAATATTATAATATTTAATATTATTAATACATTAAAATATAAACATATATTTATATTTTGTAAATATAAACATATATTTATATTTTGTAAATATAAACATATATTTATATTTTGTAAATATAAACATATATTTATATTTTGTAAATATAAACATATATTTATATTTTGTAAATATAAACATATATTTATATTTTGTAAATATAAATATAAATATAAATATATATATAAAATATGTATAAAAATAAACATAATAAATATTATAATAAATATACACACATATATATGTGAGTATATTTATGTATGTATTTATATATAGATATATCTATATTTATGTGTGTATATTTATGTAAGTATATTTATGTATGTATTTATGTATATATAGATATATCTATATGTTCACATGTTACATGTTATATAGATATATCTATCTATATATAGAGTTAAAAATAAATAAATAAATAAATAAAAATAAAAATAAAAATAAAAATAAATAAATAAATACAGAGAAGCCTGGGAGTTTCCTTGACTTCCTTTTTCCCCCTCCCTCTTCTTATTCATCAAACATTTGTTGATTGCCTATATAAGCCAAGCACTGTAATAGGTGCTGGTCATGACGACACAACAGATTATCACTACACCAGAGACAAAGACCAAAGTCATAAAAACCTCTGAAGCAGGAAGAAAAAAAAAGTTGCATAAATTTTTTTAACAACTCATCACCTCCCACTTAGGCTCATAAAAAAACCTCACTGATTTTAGTGTCTTAACTTCTACTTTACTGTGTATGTGTCCAAACTACTGAAAAATTCTGTGAGGGCTATCTTGCCACATCCATACTCTTCAGAGACCCACAGGCCAGGACCAAGAGCTAAGTCGACAATCACACTATATATATCTATATATATATATATAGATATAATCACACTATATATATCTATATATATATAGATATAATCACACTATATATATCTATATATATCTATATATAGATATAATCACACTATATATATCTATATATAGATATAATCACACTATATATATCTATATATAGATATAATCACACTATATATATCTATATATAGATATATCTATATAAATATATAGATAGATATCTCTTTATATATATATAGATAGATATATCTTTATATATATATAGATAGATATATCTTTATATATATACATACATAGTCCATAAATATGTACATAAATATGTTCACATTTTACCCAATCAGGTCAAATCTCCAATGTCATGCTAGTTGAGATACTGAAGGTATGAGAGTTAGCTGGAGCTGAAAGAATTTGCCAGGCCAGGTAAAAAGAGGAAGGGAAAGCTTTTGAGCTGAAGAAAAGGCACAGAGGCACAAATAGAAAAACAAGAGTGAGGATAGTGATTATTGAGGGGTCATGAAGGCAAAGGTGGGGTTAGGATGGCACCAAAAGTAGGAACCATATAATCTTGGGATCCTCAGTATATGACAAATGTTTTATGATCAAAGGCCTTGTCTTCACCTGGTGTTAACATAATGCTATGCCATGCTGTCTTTCCCAGAGTGCAGGTTCCTTTTGCTATCACATTTCAACAAATCCTGGGACAAGCACATTCTAAAAATTAGACAAGCAATAATCCTCCCTGGGCTCTCTGTCCAGATTCTTCCCCAACTTGGTGATTCTTGACCCTAGTGATCACATGATAAACAGGGTGTGTGTGCTGGTAGCAGGGTGTGATGACCACGTGATACGGTTACTAGACAGACTGTGACAATGGAGATCAAGAGATCTAGATTCTAGTTCCAGCTCTGTCACTATCTAGCTTTGTGACTTTAGGTAAATCTCTGCACCTCACTTTGCTCATTTATAACATGGGGTCCATAAACTTTGCTCTCTGAACTTCATAGGGTTACTGCAGGGGATTGAAAGAGATAATGGAAATAAATGGGCTTTGGAAAATTACATGCAAATATCAAAGACTGTGATTTGTTACTTTTGGAAGAAAAGAAAATGAAAATAAACACTATGAAACAACAGTTTCTATCAAGCAGATGATGCAGGAGGAAGAAAGAGAAAAAAACTCCATTAGTGATCATTAAGGTCCCTTGTGGTCCCCAAGACCGACTCAAGTTGCTTTTGGGGAATGGGGCTTCTAACAGTCCTGAACTCTGGCCACCCTAACTCTAAAGGGATGCAGGACCCTGTGCTCAAGCCAAGCATATCCATTTATATATATATATATATATATTTTTTTTTTTTTTTTTTTTCCTTGGGAGAATAGTGTGATTGTTGACTTAGCTCTTGGTCCTGGCCTGTGGGTCTCTGAAGAGTATGGATGTGGCAAGATAACCCTCACAGAATTTTTCAGTGGTTTGGACACATACACAGTAAAGTAGAAGTTAAGACACTAAAATCAGTGAGGTTTTTTTATGAGCCTAAGTGGGAGGTGATGAGTTGTTAAAAAAATTTATGCAACTTTTTTTTTCTTCCTGCTTCAGAGGTTTTTATGACTTTGGTCTTTGTCTCTGGTGTAGTGATAATCTGTTGTGTCGTCATGACCAGCACCTATTACAGTGCTTGGCTTATATAGGCAATCAACAAATGTTTGATGAATAAGAAGAGGGAGGGGGAAAAAGGAAGTCAAGGAAACTCCCAGGCTTTTCTGTATTTATTTATTTATTTTTATTTATATTTATTTATTTATTTTTAAATGGAGTTTCACTCTTATTACCCAGGCTGGAGTGCAATGGCGCAATCTCGGCTCACTGCAACCTCCGCCTCCCAGGTTCTAGAGATTTTCCTGCCTCAGCCTCTCGAGTAGCTGGGATTACAGGCATGCACCACCACGCCTGGCTAATTTTGTATTTTTAGTAGGGACGAGGTTTCTCCATGTTGGTCAGGCTGGTCTCGAACTCCCGACCTCAGGTGATCCACCCACCTTGGCCTCCCAAAGTGCTGGGATTACGGCGTAAGCCACCATGCCTGGCTTTTTTTTTTTTTTTTGCAAAAAAAAAAAAAAAAATCTAAATGATGCCATGTGAGACTTGATCTCAGAAAGATGTTGGGAAGCTGGGAAGGAACCCATAGGAATATCATCCCTTTAAATGATGAGATGCTGAGTATGGTGTGAGTAAATTAGAAGGAAGATAATGAACCGAGGCCATTTCAGCTGAAGCTACCAAAGTGCAGCACCAGGTCCAGCCTTCTAGTGTTAGAGAACTGGGAGAGCCCATCTCCTTGCAGAGGTAGAGCAGCCCGGGACTGCAGGGGAGGGTGAGGCCTTCATGCTTGTTCCTAAATGCCTAAGGTCTTCGTTTAGGCTACAAGCGGAGCATTTTGATTGTTATACATAAAGGAAAATGTGGTTAAATTTAATTCAAATATATGTAAATATCTTATGATTGGCATTTCAAGGGAGGAAGTCAGATTCAATCTTTTGGCTACTGTAACCTATATTAAAGATAGGAAGTATGCAATGATGTGTACTGTCTATGTACAGGTATTGCTAACTTGAGAAATGTATTGGCATGGGAGGAGCCCTGGGCTTGCCCATAGGACAAATCCACCTCGAAAGCAGAGCAGAGTGTCTTCATTCTGGGTAGCTGGTAGGATGTAAGCCTGAATTCTTGGTCTTCCAGTGCTTCTTAAAAACTCCCACGTGCTCTCTTTCCTCACCAGGTCCTGAACTCTAATCTGTGTCCTGTCCGACTCTCAAAAAATCAGCTCAGCTCTTCAGAGGGCTTCTCCTTACATTCCCCCTCCACACAGCCCCAGCATTTGGCACATGTGCTGAGTGAGATACACTGCATGCTCGAGGGATACCAGGTCTCCCTCAAAAACTCTGCTAATTTTGTCCCGTAGAGACCGTCTGCTAGTGCCAAACCCGGAGTCGGCCTCCTGCCCCTGCTCCAAATGGGCAAATGGCTGAAAGTGGCTACAGAAGTTCCCTCACCTCTCTGAGATTCTCCCTTCTCTGAAGTCTTGGTCTCTGCATTCTCATTGCCTCAGAAACAATCAGATTCCTTCAAGTAGATGATTTATGAATTTTATTTAGCTCTTCCAGTTACTTTTAGAGGGAGCACTAATTACTGCACACTACTCCATCCCACCTAGAAACAGAGATATTAATAAAAAGTGAATTTATACTTTATTGCCACTGTGATTCATGTTAACTAATCATGTTTTACTTTTTGACTTGACTTCTAGGAAGCTCAGAGCCAAAGTTGAAACCCATCATCAGCCAGTGGTATAGAACCAAATGTAATACTCTTTCTGTATTAACCTTAGCTCTAGCTTATCTAATTGTTCCTATTTTCTTTTTCCTTTATCCAAATTTCTTCACTTATTTATTTATTTATTTTTATCTTATGCAACTTTGGAAGCCGACTCCAAACTTTACTGAGTGAGTCAAAGTAAAAATAATTAAAAATAAATAATACCTAACTTTATTGAATATTAGTGCTCTAAGTGCTTGACATAATTAACTCATATATTCCTTATGGCATTCCTATAAACAAGTGCAATTACTACCATGAAATTGAGAGGCTGAAAGCTTAAGTAACCTTTCTAAGGTCATAAAACCTTTTAATTGTTTAAGGAAGAGTGAATGTACTATTTTAAACAAATAGTTCTCTCTTCTCCTCTTAGATATCATTTATTGAGCCCCATTACATTCTATAAAGTATGCTAACTTCTTTGTATACATTATGTTAACCTTGGCTTGGCAGGATTATGAAAGATGAAGAAACCGAAGTTCATAGAGGTTTGGTAACTGGTAGTGGGGTCCCATAATTCAGAAGTGGCAGAGCCAAGTCTTAATATAAACTTTCCATGATTCCAAACCGTGGCCTCAGTTTTCTTCTTCACTCCTGATCTGCATAGCTACCCAGTTTCCTCTTCAGCTTACCTTCTTGTTGGGGAAAGGAGATACTATTTACTATGAAAGTTTCACTGTCTTTGTTAACCAGGAAGAAGAATTCATTATCTGATCCCTATGTTAGTATCCTGAAACCCACTACAGCTTGGGGACTGCTCTCCTGGGGCTCTGCAAGAATTGTTTCTGGAAAGTATTTTGGGCTTCCAGGAAAACTGCAATCCTAAAGGTCTATTCCTAAGGGGAATTTCAACTTGTGCAAGAGGTCTGGGTGACCATTATACCCAAAGAATAGCCCTGTAGGCTGAAGAAAGAAACCCAAATAATCTTTCTTGGCCCCCCTGTGGAATCCCATTGTGTCAATATTTATCTGCACAAAGGACCAGTCTGAAACAGCCTGCTCTGTGAAGCTTGTGGGAAGCAGGGCCTCAGTGACAGTTTCTTTAAGTGGACTACCTTGTCCTTTCAGAAACTGGAAGAACTAGACCATGGTAGCCTAGGGTTGGAGGAGGAAGAACCAGGGATCAGGAGACCTGAATTTCAGTCCTGGTTACCCTAGCCCTCTGTGTGAACTTGAGTAAGTCACTTCACCTTTCTGGGCCTCAGAGGTTCTGATATTTAACACGGAGACATTAGAGGGATTGGCTTCTTAAATTTGCTTCTGGGCTCCAACGTTTTATGATTGCAGATGTCCCTTTAGATTGTAGACTGGCTTGAGACCGCTGACCCCAATAATGCCCCTCAGTCAGTCTTGTCTGGGCCCAGAGAGGCCCAGGTGTCAGGTCTCTGCACCTCAGGCCTCATGTGGGCCATGTGTGTGTTTTCCTGGAAGCTGCATATAGGACACTCATTGACGGGGAGCCCGTGGTCTGGAGCTAGTAGTGAGATGGTAAACATTATGGAACAAGCAGCCCTTTCAGGCTCTCAGCCTTGGCAGGATAGTATGAAAAATAATTCTTGGGAAGCTGGGGACTGGTGGCAGCTGCTTCTCCTCAGCCTGCCTGCCAGGCCCTACCAGAGCTTGGAGGGCTGGAGCTCCCTGCTGGGCCTGCCACAGCCTGTGCTGGTAGTTTTCCACTCTGGGAAACTGGAAAAGTGAATTGGCTTCTCTGTCCGGGAGATTGGTGGGTAGCGGAAGCATCAGAAAACCGCTAAGACAACTCAGCAGGAAAAACCAGGAGACACTTCTTTGCTGCAGGGTCTCTTGCTTCCCTTGCCATTCCCAGCTTTTTCATGCTTCTTTACAGTTCATGATAGAACAAAGACAGACTGGTGGGATTTGATGAACGAGGAAGTGGAACTGGGGGAAAGCAAGGAGACCTGACATTTAGGGCTTGGGCCAACTTGGCAGTTCTGAGTCTTGACTATTGGCTGAGATCCCTTCCACAGAAGGAGTTTACCCAAAATAGGCACATTCAATGGGAAAACCACACTGGTACAGCTCAGAAGTGCCACGTTGGTTGCCCTGGGCTTTTCCTGGTTCCAAAGATTCAGTAGGATGAGAAAGGTCATCCAAGATCATCTTGTCCATTTTCCTGTGCCTTTTCTCTAAGGCCCTTGGGCATACTGAGTCACTGAGAAACTTTGCCTATTTTCTTAATGTGACTATTGCTGATTTACTAAGTTCTTATCTCTGAATTGTCTATCCTCATCCTTATATTACTTTGTCACAATTTCTAGACCTCCATCCTAACTTTCGTTGTCTGGAGATTGTGTGCAATACTTGTAGCCCTCTCTGCCTTTTCATCTACTTATTTATTTGCCAAACGTGTGTTAAGCATCTCATGGGTGCTGTGTGTTGGCAGGTACTGAGGGGGAAAAGGAAGAATCTGACATGATTACTATTCTCAAAGTTGCTCACAATTTCAACAAGGAGGTAACCAAGCACAAGAGTAACAGAAAATCTCCGTTGGAGTTTGTTACTTAATAGAGCTCGCCTACACACCATCATCACTTTAATCCCATACCACGTTTTAGTATTTTCCATAGCTTCGTCACATTATCTGAATAGAAAGAGCCAGTAATAGCTACTGTCAAATACATAATCAAATTGTGCCTATTTGATTATGAAAAATCTATTTTCTTTTTTCTGTCTCCCCTACCGGAATGTAAGATCCATGAGACAAATTATTTTATCTGTCTTGCTTACTACTGTATCTTCAGAAGAACACCCGATACACAGCAAAAACTTATTTATTAAATAAATACATACACATTTGTAAAAGAAATACATTTGTGAACTCAATACATGCAGGTAAAGATAGGTTGCAATAAAATATGTCATGACTCAGACTTACAAGGAAGTTTCCTGTATCTCCTGTCTGCTAAAACACCATTAGCCAAGGCTACCCTTGACCAAACTCCCAGGACTTTGTTTTTAAGCCTTGTAAAGTGATGAACAACAGAAAACACTTCCTTTATCACTTTTCAATAGACGTTTATTGAGCACTTGGTTAATGCCAGACATCCTACTAGAAATTGGAGATACAACAGAGGAAGATAGATATGATCCTTGCCCTCATAACACATGCTGTTTAGTGGGCAGACCAAAATTAAACAATTATTTACATTACAAGTCTAAAAACTGTTATGAACGAAAACCAGTTTGTTATAAGAGCATATAATAGAAATTCCTAACTTAGCTGGGGACTTGGGGGAATTCCTTGGGGGAGTGACTGGCTGACAGCTGAAGGATGAGCAGGAGCTAGTGAGTGAAGGAGGGAGGATGCACATCCCAGGTAAAGGGAGCATCATGCACAGAGACCTTGAGGCTGGAAGATACTTTGTGCATTCAGGAACTGAAATAAGGTCAGCGTGCTTGGTAGAGAGCAAAGAACAGGGAATAGCCAGAGATGAGGCCAGAGAGTAGGCTGAGACCCAATCGTGTGGACCTCAAGGGTCACATTTTCTTAAGAAGAATGAAAACCTGTTAGAAGGTTCATGACAGAATAAAGTTTTAGGAAGCTAATTTGGGCTATTGTGTGGAGAAGGGATGATAGAGGAACAACGAAGAAGAGCTAGAAGGCATTATAGTGGCTCAGATGGGAGGTCATGGAGGTTGCGCACTGCATGGGAAGAATAGAGGAGAGAAACAGCTGGACTCAACTGCAGGAGGTAGGATTTGTAGAACTTGCTAATGGACTGGATGGTTCTCAAAGGCCAAGCTTACTTCTCATTCCTTGACTGCCGCCTGTTGAGAGTAACATCTTACCTATCATTCCTGGACTCTTCCTCTCCAAGAATTCTATTTTGGTCTCCAGGCAGAGGTTGACTCAGGGAGAGCCTTTCCAGTTTTCATCAATGTCATTGCCACTCTGCTGTCCACCACACAGTTGACCTAAACCCTCTGTATGCTGGAAGAGCTGGACGAGTCGAGGAAGAGGGGAGCGCTGACATGTGTAACAAGTTATTTACATGAAATGAAGCCTCATGTCCTCCCCTACTTCCTCTAGTTCTCAAGCTTGAGTCTGCATTAGGGTCATCTAGAGTAGTGGTTAATACACTGTTTGCTACCCCCTCCCAGCAACCCCACCAGAGTTTCTGATTCATTAGGTCAAATGGAGACTGATAATTAGCGTTGCTAATGAGTTTCCAGGTGATGCTGATGCTGCTGGTCCTGGAAGCATATTTTGAGGATCACAGCTCTAAATGGTAACTGAAATGCAATCACAATACATAGATCAAAGAGCTTTCAGGAAGGAAACTGGCACTCCTTTGACACCACATAGCAGAGTATCCTATATGGATCTACCTCCACATCTGTTATATAGGAAAATTCCTGAATGGGTTCAGTTAGGACACAAAATATAAAGGGTTTCTATGCCTAGGAAATATAATTTAACTGAAATGTGTCATAAAAGCAGCTGCAGCAGCAGTAGCTCTGATAAAACTCCTTAGTTGCCATTCTCAGAATGAGCAGTACGTTAGAAGGAAAGTTATTTGCAACAATATCATGATTCACCTCATGTGACCCACATTCCCTATTTCTGCTTTACTTTAGATATTCCAAGAAGCAGAGGCTCTCATTGCATTCATGGCCTAGTGTTTAGAGATGCATTAAAGCCAGGGATGAAAGCCCAGTGGGACGGTCAGTGTGGCTTTCTCTGGTGCCCAGCATGGTCCTAGAGAATCATTACACGTCCAGGCTGAAGGGACCTGGGAGCAGTGGCTCCAGAGCCTGGCTACACAGCACAGTCACCTGGTGGACTGTAAAAATATGCAGGTTACTGGGCTCAGCTTCAGGTATACCAAAGCAAAATCTCTAACAGGAGGCTCACAAACATGTATTCTAAAACCTCTCCAGGCTTTTCTAATGCTATTGGTCCATGGACTGGCTTTGGGAATCACTGCCTTACAGAAAGCCTAATAGAACTCTCTTGCTTTCCACATGAAGAAACAGACCGAAAGAGAGCCAGGAGCTTGCTCAGATCCCACATGGTATAAGTGGTAGAACCGGGAGTGGATGCGAAGTCTTGATTTTCAAGGGTTGTGTGCTCAGTGGAATTACAGGCTTTAGAGCCAAGTTCTAAGATGAGTTAGTATTTACTCAAGGAATGGCCTTTGCAGTTAAAACTTACCTGTAGAATGTGTGATTAGTGGGAAACATGAAATATTGGGTGGAAAATGCTTATCATATTGCCTGACACTTGGTAAATGCTTCTAAATGGATGTCATCATTACTGCATTTTACTGAATTTAAGCAACTCACGACTCTAAGATGCATCATTACTTTATGTGCCTCTAAGAAAGAAAGAAAAACTACTGCCAGTTAAACTATGACACTATTTGCTTGCGAAGTGCATCCAGATTTCAGAGATGTCAGTACGTGAAAGAATGGGCAGTGTGGTATTTCACTTCTCTTTTCTCAACTCTATGAAGATTCTTACTTTACTGAATTAGACACTTAACAGTACATGAAAATTCCTGAAGGAGAAGTATACTTAGTGTGTTTGAGGAACAACAAGGAGGCCAGTGTGGCTGATGGGGAAAGTGGGGTAAGGACAAGGTCCAAGACAGCCAGGGGATGTCTGATTCCATGTCTTCACTATTGTGAATAGTGTGAACAGAAGAGTTTCATGATATGACTTTCATTTCTTTTATGACTACATAGTATTCCATGCTGTATATGTACCACATTTTCTTTTCTTTTCTCCTTTGCTTTTTCTTTCTTTCTTTTTTTTCGTTTCTTTTTTTTTATTACAGTTTTATTTTTTATTTATTTTTTTTGGAATAATTTTTTTTTTTATTATACTTTAAGTTTTAGGGTACATGTGCACATTGTGCAGGTTAGTTACATATGTATACATGTGCCATGCTGGTGCGCTGCACCCACTAACGTGTCATCTAGCATTAGGTATCTCTCCCAATGCTATCCCTCCCCCCTCCCCCGACCCCACCACAGTCCCCAGAGTGTGATATTCCCCTTCCTGTGTCCATGTGATCTCATTGTTCAATTCCCACCTATGAGTGAGAATATGCGGTGTTTGGGTTTTTGTTCTTGCAATAGTTTACTGAGAATGATGTTTTCCAATTTCATCCATGTCCCTACAAAGGACATGAACTCATCATTTTTTATGGCTGCATAGTATTCCATGGTGTATATGTGCCACATTTTCTTAATCCAGTCTAACATTGTTGGACATTTGGGTTGGTTCCAAGTCTTTGCTATTGTGAATAATGCCGCAATAAACATACGTGTGCATGTGTCTTTATAGCAGCATGATTTATAGTCATTTGGGTATATACCCAGTAATGGGATGGCTGGGTCAAATGGTATTTCTAGTTCTAGATCCCTGAGGAATCGCCACACTGACTTCCACAATGGTTGAACTAGTTTACAGTCCCACCAACAGTGTAAAAGTGTTCCTATTTCTCCACATCCTCTCCAGCACCTGTTGTTTCCTGACTTTTTAATGATTGCCATTCTAACTGGTGTGAGATGATATCTCATAGTGGTTTTGATTTGCATTTCTCTGATGGCCAGTGATAATGAGCATTTTTTCATGTGTTTTTTGGCTGCATAAATGTCTTCTTTTGAGAAGTGTCCGTTCATGACAAACCCACAGCCAATATCATACTGAATGGGCAAAAACTGGAAGCATTCCCTTTGAAAACTGGCACAAGACAGGGATGCCCTCTCTCACCGCTCCTATTCAACATTGTGTTGGAAGTTCTGGCCAGGGCAATCAGGCAGGAGAAGGAAATAAAGGGTATTCAATTAGGAAAAGAGGAAGTCAAATTGTCCCTGTTTGCAGACGACATGATTGTTTATCTAGAAAACCCCATTGTCTCAGCCCAAAATCTCCTTAAGCTGATAAGCAACTTCAGCAAAGTCTCAGGATACAAAATCAATGTACAAAAATCACAAGCATTCTTATACACCAACAACAGACAAACAGAGAGCCAAATCATGAGTGAACTCCCATTCACAATTGCTTCAAAGAGAATAAAATACCTAGGAATCCAACTTACAAGGGATGTGAAGGACCTCTTCAAGGAGAACTACAAACCACTGCTCAAGGAAATAAAAGAGGACACAAACAAATGGAAGAACATTCCATGCTCATGGGTAGGAAGAATCAATATCGTGAAAATGGCCATACTGCCCAAGGTAATTTACAGATTCAATGCCATCCCCATCAAGCTACCAATGACTTTCTTCACAGAATTGGAAAAAACTACTTTCAAGTTCATATGGAACCAAAAAAGAGCCCGCATCGCCAAGTCAATCCTAAGTCAAAAGAACAAAGCTGGAGGCATCACACTACCTGACTTCAAACTATACTACAAGGCTACAGTAACCAAAACAGCATGGTACTGGTACCAAAACAGAGATATAGATCAATGGAACAGAACAGAGCCCTCAGAAATAATGCCGCATATCTACAACTATCTGATCTTTGACAAACCTGAGAAAAACAAGCAATGGGGAAAGGATTCCCTATTTAATAAATGGTGCTGGGAAAACTGGCTAGCCATATGTAGAAAGCTGAAACTGGATCCCTTCCTTACACCTTATACAAAAATCAATTCAAGATGGATTAAAGATTTAAACGTTAGACCTAAAACCATAAAAACCCTAGAAGAAAACCTAGGCATTACCATTCAGGACATAGGCGTGGGCAAGGGCTTCATGTCCAAAACACCAAAAGCAATGGCAACAAAAGCCAAAATTGACAAATGGGATCTAATTAAACTAAAGAGCTTCTGCACAGCAAAAGAAACTACCATCAGAGTGAACAGGCAACCTACAACATGGGAGAAAATTTTCGCAACCTACTCATCTGACAAAGGGCTAATATCCAGAATCTACGATGAACTCAAACAAATTTACAAGAAAAAAACAAACAACCCCATCAAAAAGTGGGCAAAGGACATGAACAGACACTTCTCGTTTCTTTTTTTTTGAGATGGAGTCTCTCTCTGTCGCCCAGGCTGGAGTGCAGTGGTGTGATCACTGCACCTCCGCCTCCCAGATTCAAGCAATTTTCCTGCTTCAGCCTCCTGAGTAACTGGGATTACATGGGCACACCACCATGCCTGGCTAATTTTTGTATTTTTGATGGAGACAGGGTTTTACCATGTTGGCCAGTCTGGTCTCAAACTCCTGACCTCAAGTGATCCGCCCACCTGGGCTGCCCAAAGTGCTGGGATTACAGGCGTGAGCCACCATGCCTGGCCCACATTTTCTTTATCGAATCCACTATTGATGGGCACCTAGGCTGATTTAATGTCTTTGCTATTGTGAATAGTGTGAGCGGAAGAATTTCATGATTTGATTTACATTCTAAAAGATACATGGGAAAAGGTGGACAAAGGGAGATCAGTTAGGAAATTATTGCACTATTCCTGGCAATGGAAGACAGTGAATTAGCTTATTATGATAGTAAAATATGTGAGAAGAAGTAGGTGGGATATGGGAATATTTTTAGGGTAGCCAGTAGAATCTTCTCTCAGTGGATGGACTGAATACAGGGTATTGAAGGAGTCAAGAATGGCCTCAAGATTTTTGGCTTGAGTCGTTGAAAGAATGGAACCTGAAAAAAAAAAAAAAGACTGAAGGATGAGCTTTGGAGGGAGTCTGTATTTTACTCAATGTTATCTTTATTCCTTATTTACATCTATCTCTAAAGTTTACCTCTTTTTTTAAATAAATATTTTTAAATACCTATTTTCTCCCCAATATGCACTGAGAAATAAAAATGAATAAGATACAGTGGCTTTATTCCCCTCAAAATTTTGCCACCTGCAGGGGAGATAGGACTCACACGTGGTACATTACAAAGCAGTATGTATCTAATAGTATAAGAAAGATATTTAAAATGTGAGAAATCAGAGAAAGGAGGCATTCATTGTAATTGGCCCTATCCTCCCCTCAAAATGCTTGCTTTTGTTGAGTACAAGTTCATTACATTGGAAAAGGAGAATGCTAGCATAATAACTTTAACTAGTTTTTTCACTTTGGGTAAACTGCCTCCTTGCTGTACCTCAAACCACCTCCACAACAAGCATGCTTTTTCCTCAAGTTTACCTTTGCATTTGCTGTTCCCCTTGCATAAACCATCATCCCTGCAAGAGTCACCTGGTTGCTGTCTTCCTTCACTCAGGTCTCTGCTCCGAGTCACCTTATCTAAGAAGCCTACCTTGATTTCTTTATATAAAAGAATGCCTATTCCTTTTGCATACTTTTTCTTCACAGCACTTGCCATCTTCTCTCACATTATATATTTATTTGCTTTATTGGCTGTTTCCCCACATGAGAATGTAAACTCAGTGACAAAAGGCACTTTGTTTTGTTTACCACTGTATTCCCGCAAGGCCAATGAATTGCTTAACGAATTATTTAATAAATATAGGAATTAAAATAAACCATGGGTTTGGAAAGCAATAAGCAAATGGGGTTGGAGATAGGACTGGACTCTGAACACAGCGTTGGTTTCAGAAGAGAGAGAAGACACTAGAGAACAGCTCTCTGACTAAGCTACATGCCTCTGTGGCAGCCTGGAATCTTGGGACACACGGCTTGCACCAGGCCACTCTTTTGGTTAAAGCAAAGGTTAAAGTCTGGTGTATTGGGACAAACTTTGGATAGAGATACAGAATGTGATCTACGTCAATCCCTACTACTTAATAGCTGTGGGCCTTCTGCCAGTTTCCTCATACAGGATGAGTATCCCTTATCTAAAATGCTTGGGACCAGAAGTGTTTCAGATTTCAGAATTCTTGGACTTTGGAATATAATATAATATAATATAATATAACATAACATAATACAATACAATACAATATAATATAATATAATATAATATAATATAATATAGTATAATGTAATGTAATGTAATATAATATAATATAATATAATATAATATAATATAATATAATATAATATAATATAAATTTACCCAGGTGAGCATCCCAAATCCACAAATCCAAAATCCGAAATGCTCTAATGAGCATTTCCTTTGAACGTCATGCTGGTGTTCAAAAAGCATCAGATTTTGGATTTTAGATTTTTGGATTTGAGATACTCAACCTGTATATATTTTGAGAGTAATAGTGTGTACTCTGCCAACTACATAGGGTTATTGCAAGGGTAAAGCAAAGATAAGCCATGGGACAGCACTTTGCAAACTGTTAAGAATTCTATTATCAGGGTCAAGATGGCAATCAGGGACACTATGACATGGACTACAGTCAAAAGATCCAGGAATGCCTGCCTTGGACAGCTAGATCTTCTCCCCAGGAGGTGCCTGAGGGAGACATACACACAGGTGACAGTCACAAAGGGTAAGTGAAGTTCTACATTATTAGTAGCTGGGCTTGGGTCCTAAATGCCAATGTGAGCGTTCTGATAAACTGACCTGGGCATGTAGCCCAGGTTAAAGGCCTCCAGAAGCCTCTCTTTATTCATTAAGTCACTGGTGACAAGGACTAAAACACTTAGCACACTCAGCGACATGTAAGATCAGTGTTGAGGAGGGATTAGAGCAGGCCCCTGAGAGGGCCATTTTCTTTGTGTGATTTTCAAAAAGTACATTGATCTCATCCATTGGAAATTTTGGCCCCATTAGCATCCTGTGTTAGTGTTTCCTCATCCTTACTCTTCCCTTCAATTTCACTTCTCAGAAAGTGGAATTTGAGAATTTGTTGCTTCATCCCCAAACAGTTCAGATTTGCCCTTAAGATTCAAGCATAATGATTACCTGTGGCACACATTACCTCTACTGGAGAAATTATACTTTTGATAAGAATAGGCAAAGTGATATTACATTCATATGTTCATCTCTTGATTCAAAACTGACTTGGAAATCATAGTGGATGGTGTGTTAGGCTGTTCTTGCATTGTTATAAATACATACCCAAGACTGGTCAATTTATAAGAAAAGAGGCTTAATTAGCTCATAATTCTGCAGGCTGCACAAGCATGGCATTGGAATCTGTTTGGCTTCTGAGGAGGCCTCAGGGAGCTTATAATCATCGTGGACGGTGAAGTGGGAGCAGGCATGTCACATGGCGAAAGCAGGAGCCAGACAGAGAGAGTGGGGTGGCGGGGAAGGGACTGCACACTCTTAAATGACCAGATCCCCTGTGAACTTAGAGCGAGAGCTCACTTATCACCAAGGGCATGGCCCAAGCCATTCATGAGAGATCTTCCCCCATGATCCAAACACCCTACCTCCTCTCCCACCCACCAGCCCCCACCTCCAGCATTGGGGATTACTTTTCAGTATGAGATTTGGGTGGGCACAAATATCCAAACTATATCTGATGGTGTATTAATCCATTTTCATGCTGCTGATAAAGACATACCCAAGACTGGGAAGAAAAAGGGGTTTAATTGGATTTACAGTTCCACATAGCCGGGGAGGCCTCAGAATCATGGCACGAGGCGAAAGGCACTTCTTACATGGCAGCAGCAAGAGAAAATGAAGAAGAAGCAAAAGCAGAAACCCCTGATAAACCCATCAGATCTCGTGAGACTTATTCACTATTACAAGGATAGCACGGGAAAGACGGGCAGGCCCCCATAATTCAGTTACCTCCCCCTAGGTCCCTCCCACAACATGTGGGAACTCTGGGAGATACAATTCAAGTTGAGACTTGGTGGGGACACAGCCAAACCATATCAGATGGTGAACATAGAAGTGTTCCTGTGGGTATATGGCCATGTTTCTTGCCAAAACTTCCTGCATATGATTCTGGTTAATTGCAGTTTCTGGAAGTATCAGCTAATCCTTGGCCTAAAGCTATCTTTCCCTTTTTTAGGGTGAGATAAGACTCCAGGAGTTCTCCTTGGTATGATACAAGCAGAAGGGCCCTCTTGCCTTCAGTTCTTCATGGTTGTAGTGGATATCCTCCTTCTTCAAGCCCATGATGTTCCTTAGGGAAGGTAGTTCTGCTGTTTCTGTGCCAAGCCTGGGCATTATGCTCACGTGAAACCTTTTTCCCTTGATTTTTGCTACTTCTCCAGGGCACTTCCTGGGAATGGGGCTTGGTACCTATTAGGACTATAAATTTGCCTCTCTCTGACCCCTCCAAGCTGAGAGAAGTCTCGCCTTTCTCCCTGCCACCTCTACTCCACCCTGCAGTCCCTTTCTGAGGGCAGGCTTTCTAGGAAGTTCTTTGTCTTCATGTAGTTTCTTTTTTCTTCCCTGTAAACATAAATGTCCCCTAGGGTGAATGAACATAAAGGCCTGGCCACAGGCTTTGAAAAAGGAAGTGATAATACACAAAAATCTTCAAAATTATCTTTCTCCAGAGATTATTTCAAAAACAGTTTTATTGAAGTACAATAGACATACAATAGACTGCACACATTAAAAATGCACAAGTTGGCCAGTTTTGACTTACATATAAACCTGTGAAATCATCACCATAATCAAGATAATGACCACATCCATCACTACCAAAAGTTGCTTGTGTCCCTTTATGATTCCTCTGGCCGCTCCTCCTTCCCCCAGGAAACAACTGATCTCTTTCTGTCACTATAGATTAACTTGTTTTTGTTTTCTAAAGTTACATATAAATGGAAGCATACAGTATGTGCTTTTTTGGTCTGACTTTTTTTATTAAGCATAATTGTTTTGAAATTTATCCATGTTGTTGTAGCATGCATCAATAGTTCATTTTATTGCTGAATAGCAAGGCATGATCTAGGGTAGGACAAGTGAAGTGCCTAGGGTTAAAATGCAGTCAGTTCCTTATGATGATAATCATAATGATGATGACTGTAAAAACATTTAATGAGACCTGCTCTCTGAACAAGTTTTTAAGTGTAATATACCGTATCGTTAAGTATAGGCACAATGTTGTACAGTGGATCTCTAGAACGTATTAATCTTGTATAACCGAACTTTATATCCCTCGAATATGAATTCCTCATTTCCCTTTCCTCCCAATTCCTGGCAACCATCATTCTACTTTGTTTCTATGATTTAGGCCATTTTTGATATGTAACGTATGTGGAATCAGGCAATATTTACCCTTCTATGGCTGGGTTATTTCACTTAGAATTATTTCTACCGGGTTCAACCATTTAGTCAAAAATGTTAGGATTTCTTTCTTTCTTCTTTTTTGTTCTTTTCATTATTATTTTTTATTATCATTATACTTTAAGTTCTGGGGTACATGTGCATAATGTGCAGGTTTGTTACATAGGTATACACGTGCCATGGTGGTTTGCTGCACCCATCAAACCATCATCTACATTAGGTATTTCTCCTAATGCTGTCCCTCCCCTAGCCCCCCACCCAATTTCTTTCTTTTTTAAAGCTGAATAAGATTCCATTGTAGGTGTATCCCACATTTTCTGTATCTACTTATCTGCTGATAGTCATTTGTGTTGTTTCCATGTCTTGGCTTTTGTGAATGGTGCTGCAATGAACATGGAAGGGCAGATATCTCTTCAAGATGCTGATTTAGATCCTCTTGGGTATATACCAGAAGTGGGACTGCTGGAGCATATGGTAGTCCTATTTTTAATTTTTTGAGGAGCCTCCATACTGACTGCATCATTTTACATTCCCACTAACAGTTTATAAGGGTTCCAGTTTCTCTACATCCTTGCCAACATTTGTTATCTTTTGATTTTGTTGATGATAGTCATCCTGACATGTATAAGGTGATATCTCATTATGGTTTTAATTTGCATTTCCCTAATGATTAGTGATGTTGAACACCTTTTCGTGTAACTTGGCCATTTGTATGTCTTCTTTGAAGAAATGTCTATTCAACTTCTTTGACCACTTTAAAATCATATTTTTTGTTTCCTATCAAGTTGTATGAGTTCCCTATATATCTTGGATATTAACCTTCAAATATATAATTTGCAAATATTTTCTCTCATTCCAAAGGTCTTTTCACTTTGTTCATTGTTTCCTTTGCTGTGCGGAAGTTTTTGTTGTTGTTGTTCAATTGTAGTTCCGCCTGTTTTTGCTTTTGTTGCTTATGTGTTTGGTATCATATCCAAGAAATCATTGCTTAGACCAATGTTTTTTTCATGTATCTTCTTCCAGGAGTTTTATACTTTTAGATATCATGTTTAAATCTTTAATCCATTTTGAGTTGATTTTTGGGTACAATGTATGATAATAGTTTAATTTTATTATCTTGCATGTGGATATCCAGTTTTCCCAACACCATTTATTAATGAGATTTTTTTTTTTGCCCATTGTTTATTTTTGACACTCTTGTTGAAGATCAGTTGACCTGTGTGGGTGACTTCCAGGCTCTCTATTCTGTCCTATTGGTCTATATGTCTGTTTTTTCAGGTACCATACTGTTTTAAGTAACTTTCTAAAATATTTTGAAATTAGGACGTGTGATACTTCTGACTGATTT
This sequence comes from Homo sapiens, assembly GCF_000001405.40. Lineage (NCBI taxonomy): Eukaryota > Metazoa > Chordata > Mammalia > Primates > Hominidae > Homo > Homo sapiens. The sequence goes on from NC_000001.11 coordinate 162,745,766, forward strand.
CTTCTTTTTCAACATTGCTTTGGATATTTTGAAACTTTTTGTGGTTCCATATAAATTTTAGGGTTTAAAATTATTTCAAAATAATTTCTGTAACAAATGTCACTGAGATTTTGAAATGCAATCAGTTGTGAATCCGTTTCAATTGTTCTTTTTTTTCTTACAATGGTTTCTATTTTTCTGCTTTGTCAAATGCCTGATAATTTTTTATAGTATGGGACACACTTACACCTTAAAACTTTTTGTTAGATGGCTGAATAGGAACAGCTCCAGTCTACAGCTCCCAGTGTGAGCAACGCAGAAGATGGGTGATTTCTGCATTTCCAGCTGAGGTACTGGGTTCATCTCACTGGGACTTGTCGGAAAGTGGGTGCAGCCCACAGAGTGTGAGCTGAAGCAGGGTGGGGCATCGCCTCACCCAGGAAGTGCAAGTGGTTGGGGAATTCCCTTTCCTAGCCAAGGGAAGCTGTGACAGATGGTACCTGGAAAATCGGGACACTCCCAGCCTAATACTGCGCTTTTCCAATGGTCTTAGCAAACGGCACACCAGGAGATTATATCCTGCGCCTGGCTTGGAGGGTCCCACGCCCACGGAGCCTTGCTCACTGCTAGCACACCAGTCCGAGATCGAACTACAAGGTGGCAGCGAGGCTGGGGGAGGGGCCTCTGCCATTGCTGAGGCTTGAGTAGGTAAACAAAGAAGCCGGGAAGGTCGAACTGGGTGGTACCCATCACAGCTCAACCAGGCCTGCCTGCCTCTGTAGACGCCACCTCTGTGGGCAGGGCGTAGCTGAACAAAAGGCAGCAGAAACTTCTGCAGACTTAAACGTCCCTGTCTGACAGCTTTGAAGAGAGTGGTGGTTCTCCCAGCATGGAGTTTGAGATCTGAGAATGGACAGCCTGCCTCATCAAGTGGGTCCCTGACCCCCGAGTAGCCTAACTGGGAGACACCTCCCAGTAGGGGCCTACAGACACCTCATACAGCTGGGTGCCCCTCTGAGATGAAGCTTCCAGAGGAAGGATCAGGCAGCAACATTTGCTGTTTTGCAATATTTGCTGTTTTGCAATATTTGCTGTTCTGCAGCCTGCACTGGTGATACCCAGGCAAACAGGGTCTGGAGTGGACCTCCAGCAAACTCCAACAGACCTGCAGATGAGGGTCCTGACTGTTAGAAGGAAAACTAACAAAGAGAAAGGAATAGCATCAACATCAACAAAAAGGACATCCACACCAAAGCCCCATCTGTAGGTCACCATCATCAAAGACTAAAGGTAGATAAAACCACAAAGATGGGGAGAAACCAGAGCAGAAAAGCTGAAAATTCTAAAAATCAGAGCACCTCTTCTCCTCCAAAGGAACACAGCTCCTCAAGAGCAATGGAACAAGGATGGACGGAGAATGACTTTGACAAGATGACAGAAGTAGGCTTAAAAATATCAGTAATAACAAACTTCTCCAAGGAAGTTTGGAGGATGTTCAAACCCATCGCAAAGAAGCTAAAAACCTTGAAAAAAGATTAGACGAATGGCTAACTAGAATAAACAGTGTAGAGAAGACCTTAAGTGACCTGGTGGAGCTGAAAACCATGGCACGAGAACTACGTGATGCATGCACAAGCTTCAGTAGCCAATTTGATCAAGTGGAAGTTCAAGTGAATGAAATGAAGCGAGAAGAGAAGTTTAGAGAAAAAAGAGTAAAAAAAAATGAACAAAGCCTCCAAGAAATATGAGACTGTGTGAAAAGATCAAATCTACATCTGACTGGTGTACCTGAAAGTGACGGGGAGAATGGAACCAAGTTGGAAAACACTCTTCAGGGTATTATCCAGGAGAACTTCCCCAACCTAGCAAGGCAGGCCAACATTCAAATTCAAGAAATACAGAGAACGCCACAAAGATACTCCTCGAGAAGAGCAACCCCAAGACACATAATTGTCAGATTCACCAAGGTTGAAATAAAGGAAAAAACGTTAAGGGTAGCCAGAGAGAAAGGTCAGGTTACCCACAAAGGGAAGCCCATCAGCCTAATAGCGGATCTCTCAGCAGAAACTTTACAAGCCAGAAGAGAGTAAAGGCCAATATTCAACGTTCTTAAAGAAAAGAATTTTTAACCCAGAATTTCATATCCAGCCAAACTAAGCTTCATAAGTGAAGGAGAAATAAAATCCTTTACAGACAAGCAAATGCTGAGAGATTTTGTCACCACCAGGCCTGCCCTACAAGAGCTCCTGAAGGAAGTGCTAAACATGGAAAGGAAAAACCAGTATCAGCCACTGCAAAAACATGCCAAATTGTAAACACCATCGATGCTAGGAAGAAACTGCATCAACTAATGAGCAAAATAACCAGCTAACATCATAATGACAGGATCAAATTCACATGTAACAATATTAACCTTAAATGTAAATGGGCTAAATGCTCCAATTAAAAGACACAGACTGGCAAGTTGGATAAAGAGTCAAGACCCATCAGTGTGCTGTATTCAGGAGACCCATCTCATGTGCAGAGACACACATAGGCTCAAAATAAAGGGATGGAGGAAGATCCACCAAGCAAATGGAAAACAAAAAAAGGCAGGGGTTGCAATCCTAGTCTCTGATAAAACAGACTTTAAACCAGCAAGGATCAAAAGAGACAAAGAAGGCCATTACATAATGGTAAAGGGATCAATTCAACAAGAAGAGCTAACTATCCTAAATATATATGCACCCAATACAGGAGCACCCAAATTCATAAAGCAAGTCCTTAAAGACCTAGAAACAAAGAGACTTAGACTCCCACAGAATCATAATGGGAGATTTTAACACCCCACTGTCAACATTAGACAGATCAACAAGACAGAAAGTTAACAAGGATATCCAGGACTTGAACTCAGCTCTGCACCAAGTGGACCTAATAGACATCTACAGAACTCTCCACTACAAATCAGCAGCATATACATTCTTCTCAGCACCACATCATACTTATTCCAAAATTGACCACATAGTTGGAAGTAAAGCACTCCTCAGCAAATGTAAAAGAACAGAAACTATAACAAACTCTGTCTCAGACCACAGTGCAATCAAATTAGAACTCAGGATTAAGAAACTCACTCAAAACTGCTCAACTACATGGAAACTGAACAACCTGCTCCTGAATGACTACTGGGTACATAATGAAATGAAGGCAGAAATAAAGATGTTCTTTGAAACCAATGAGAACAAAGACACAACATACCAGAATCTCTGGGACACATTCAAAGCAGTGCATAGAGGGAAATTTATAGCACTAAATGCCCACAAGAGAAAGCAGAAAAGATCTAAAATTGACACTCTAACATCACAATTAAAAGAACTAGAGAAGCAAGAGCAAACACATTCAAAAGCTAGCAGAAGGCAAGAAATAACTAAGATCAGAGCAGAACTGAAGGAGATAGAGACACAAAAAACCCTTCAAAAAATCAATGAATCCAGGAGCTGGTTTTTTGAAAAGATCAACAAAATTGATAGACCGCTAGCAAGACTAACAAAGAAGAAAGGAGAGAAGAATCAAATAGATACAATAAAAAATGATAAAGGAGTTATCACCACTGATCCCACAGAATTACAAACTATCATCAGAGAATACTATAAACACCTCTATGCAAATAAACTAGAAAATCTAGAAGAAATGGATAAATTCCTGGACATATACACCCTCCCAAGACTAAACCAGGAAGAAGTCGAATCCCTGAATAGACCAATAACAGGCTCTGAAATTGCGGCAATAATTAATAGCCTACCAACCAAAAAAAGTCCAGGACCAGATGGATGCACAGCTGAATTCTACCAGAGGTACAAAGAATAGCTGGTACCATTCCTTCTGAAACTATTCCAGTCAATAGAAATACAGGGAATCCTCCCTAACTCATTTTATAAGGCCAGCATCATCCTGAAACCAAAGACTAGCAGAGACACAACAACAACAAAAAAGAGAATTTTAGACCAATATCCCTGATGAACATTCATGCAAAAATCCTAAATAAAATACTGGCAAACTGAATCCAGCAGACAACAAAAAGCTTATCCACCACAATCAAGTTGGCTTCATCCCTGGGATGCAAGGCTGCTTCAACATATGCAAATCAATAAACCTAATCCGTCATATAAACAGAACCAAAGACAAAAACCACATGATTATCTCAATAGATGCAGAAAAGGCCTTCAACAAAATTCAACAGCCCTTCATGCTAAAAGCTCTCAGTAAACTAGGTATTGATGGTAAGAGCTATTTATGACAAACGCACAGCCAATATCATACTGAATGGGCAAAAACTGGAAGCATTCCCTTTGAAAACTGGCACAAGACAGGGATGCCCTCTCTCACCACTCCTATTCAACATAGTTTGGATGTTCTGGCCAGGGCAATCAGGCAGGAGAAAGAAATAAAGGGTATTTAATTAGGAAAAGAGGAAGTCAAATTGTCCCTGTTTGCAGATGACATGATTGTATATTTAGAAAACCCCATCATCTCAGCCCCAAATCTCCTTAAGCTGATCAGCAACTTCAGCAAAGTCTCAGGATACAAAATCAATGTGCAAAAAATCACAAGCATTCCTATACACCAATAAGAGACAAACAGAGAGCCAAATCATGAGTGAACTCCCATTCACAATTGCTTCAAAGAGAATAAAATACCTAGGAATCCAACTTACAAGGGATGTGAAGGACCTCTTCAAGGAGAACTACAAACCACTGCTCAACAAAGTAAAAGAGGACACAAACAAATGGAAGAACATTCCATGCTCGTGGGTAGGAAGAATCAATATCGTGGAAATGGCCATACTGCCCAAGGTAATTTATAGATTCAATGCCATCCCCCATCAAGCTACCAATGACTTTCTTCACAGAATTGGAAAAAACTACTTTAAAGTTCATATGGAACCAAAAAAGAGCCCGCATTGCCAAGACAATCCTAAGCCAAAAGAACAAAGCTGGAGGCATCACACTACTTGACTTCAAACTATACTACAAGGCTACAGTAACCAAAACAGCATGGTACTGGTACCAAAACAGAGATATAGACCAATGGAACAGAACACAGCCCTCAGAAATAATACCACACATCTACAACCATCTGATCTTTGACAAACCTGACAAAAACAAGCAATGGGGAAAGGATTCCCTATTTAATAAATGGTGCTGGGAAAACTGGCTAGCCATACGTAGAAAGCTGAAATTCGATCCCTTCCTTACACCTTATACAAAAATTAATTCAAGATGGATCAAAGACTTAAATGTTAGACCCAAAACCATAAAAACCCTAGAAGAAAACCTAGGCAATACCATTAAGGACATAGGCATGGGCAAGGACTTCATGACTAAAACACCAAAAACAATGGCAACAAAAGCCAAAATTGACAAATGGGATCTAATTAAACTAAAGAGCTTCTGCACAGCAAAAGAAACTACCATCAGAGTGAACAGGCAACCTACAGAATAGGAGAAAATTTTTGCAATGTACCCATCTGACAAAGGGCTAATATCCAGAGTGTACAAAGAACTTAAACATTTATAAGAAAAAAAATCAAACAACCCCATCAAAAAATGGGCAAAGAATATGAATAGAAATGTCTCAAAAGAAGATATTTATGCAGCCAACAGATACATGAAAAAATGCTCATCACCACTGGTCATCAGAGAAATGCAAATCAAAACCACAATGAGATACCATCTCACACCAGTTAGAATGGCAATCATTAAAAAGTCAGGAAACAACAGGTGCTGGAGAGGATGTGGAGAAATAGGAATGCTTTTACGCTGTTGGTGGGAGTGTAAACTAGTTAAACCATTGTGGAAGACAGTGTGGCGATTCCTCAAAGATCTAGAAGTAGAAATACCATTTGACCCAGCAATCCCATTACTGGGTATACACCCAAAGGATTATAAATCATGCTGCTATAAAGACACATGCACATGTATGTTTATTGTGGCGCTATTCACAATAGCAAAGACTTGGAATCAACCCAAATGTCCATCAATGATAGACTGGATTAAGAAAATGTGGCACATATACACCATGGAATACTATGCAGCCATAAAAAAGGATGAGTTCTTGTCCTTTGTAGGGACATGGATAAAGATAGAAACCATCATTTGAGCAAACTATCGCAAGGACTGAAGGCCAAGCACCGCATGTTCTCACTCATGAGTGGGAATTGAACAGTGAGAACACCTGGACACAGGGCGGAGAACATCACACACTGGGGCCTGTCGTGGGGTGAGGGGACGGGGGAGGAATGGCATTAAGAGAAATACCTATTGTAAATGACGAGTTAATGGGTGCAGCACACCAACATGGCACATGTATATATGTGACAAACCTGCACATTGTGCACATGTACCCTACAACTTAAAGTATAATAAAAAAAAAAGAGAAAAGAAAAAAAAAAACTTTTGTTGCTTATCCGAAATTTAAATTTAACTAGGTATACTCTATTTTATCTGGCAATCAGGTGTCCTGAGACTCTAGCTTCCTTTACTTCTCTGGACTCCCATTTTTGTCTCCTCAACTCAGGAAATTCTCCAGGCTCTGCCTGAGTTCCCACTCATTGTGTTGTATCCTGGACACACTCTCATGCCAGTAAGCTGATGCCACCGTAGGGGTCAACTTTTTTGTTTCCTGACTCTCAGATTGTTGTCCTTCGTTGTCAGATGCTCATTATCTTAAAACATAATTTTTCATATATTTTGTCCTTTTTGGTTGTTTCACACTGGAGAGCAAATCTGGTCTCTGTTACTCCGTCTTTGGTTGAAAGTGGAAGTCTGTATCCAGAAGTTATTGTTTATAGCCAGGAGCCAGAACATGGTTCTAACCAGGGCCAAAAATGTGTGTTTGATCCCTTCATAGGTGAGTGTGTAGTTTCTTTATAGTTTTTATGCAATTAACTACTGAAAAAAATAATTCTTTGGGTCATAAAGGCGCCTGGTGATTATGAGGGTTCCTCACTACTGTCAGGAAATTGATTAGAAGTAAACATCTTCTAATAAGAGAATGGGATGGGCCACTGGGGTTATTACCAAGTACAAAGCATAAATTGGCACATTACATTGTATTACATTGATTGTCAGAGTTTGAACCAAAATATAGATTTGGCTGGGGGTCAAATCTCGGAGGCCCAAATTGTATTTGGAGTCAGGGCCAGGAAGACAAGTCTGATAGAGTCAGGGTGATCAAACTGGGGCCATAGAGGAATTTAGGAAGATGTAAATTCTCTTATTCCTTGTTCAATATTCAGTGATATTCTTCCTAGGGGGCTTGGAAATAAAAATAAAACCATGTCCTCTCTTTTCTCTTTGGTTTCTCTTGGTCTAGCTATATGCCGCTATCCTCTGGGCATGTCAGGAGGCCAGATTCCAGATGAGGACATCACAGCTTCCAGTCAGTGGTCAGAGTCCACAGCTGCCAAATATGGAAGGTGAGGATGGTTACATCAAGAAAGCCCATGTTCTGGGGTTGGGCAGATTTCCTGGGCACAGATTCCTGACCCTAGGGGCTGGGGAAGGTGGTGTTATTGGCAGGAACTGTTGAGAAATGAAGGACAGACAGCAAGTGGGCCTGTCCTGCTCTGTATGTTTTCAGGGAGAGAATTTAGGACTTAGCCACATGTACTGGTCTGGCAGCCCCATCTCAACCACAGAGGCCCCAGGGCCACATTACCCACAGTGAATGGGTTCATTGATAGGAAGTGGATTTGCTTTCCCTGACTTTCTCATTGTGAGCTGCTGCAGGAGGCAGGCAACAGTGGCACCTATGGGAAGGTGCAGATTATGTAGGACACTGGGAGTTAGCATCCACTCCTCTTCTCAGTGGGTCTATGAAACATCACTCACTGCAAAGCATCACTCACTGCCAAGCATCAAGACACTGAGGCCTCCAACAAGTTCTCCACCTCTCTCAAGGATCTCTTACACAGAAGGGCCATCCTTGCCAACAGACAGAGTGTGGCAGTTTCCTGGGGCGATTGATTTCAGGGGTCTTGTACATCAATAAACTCCCTACTGCTCTACTGGTTGGACCCAATACTCTACCTGGAATCTTATTATTTTGTGAAGTATTGATTTTATTAAAATGGAATTACCCATAAGAAAATGAATCCTGATGAACCTTTCCCCTTAATTTCTTAGTGTATGAAAGACTAGAGTGATGGTAGGTGGAATTGGAAGGGAGCAACAAATGAATGGGTAATATCTGTGAGAAAAGGGAGCAATCCAAGGGAGAGGAAAAGTGGTAGGGAGTTCTCAAAGTAAACTTTATAATAATTTCACAATTTTGCTCAGTGGTAGCTCAGCCTGAAGGTAATAAAATGAAACCAGATTATTTACTACTTCCTTGACATGCTCTTCCCCCTCATCCTCCCCATGTGTTTCTATGGCTCCTTGCTGGTCTGCAATGCCCATCCTGCTGCATTGCATAACCCACACTGGAGACCCTACTATCCCTCCTCCCTATTGCCATAACTTGATGTCCAAGCAAAGGGTGGCTAGCTTTGTTAGGCTGAGTTTGAAAGAGGGAAGGGAAATATGAAATGACTCATGCGGGAACAGAGAGTAGGAAGAGTTTTATTTCTCTTTATGCTTCTAAATCAGGATGGGAAGTGAAGGCTATGTGTGATCTGAAGGCCTCAGCTCACTGTCTTTCAGGGTCTCATGGTACTCCAGGGAAAGGGATCTGACCACAAATGGGTACTGTGGTGGCAGTGAAAACTGTGGCAAGAACCCAAAATGTTTATAAGGACAGCCTGCTCTCTCCCCTCAGTACAGGGCAGCTGCTTGCCTGTGAACCAGTAAACAGCTCTGTGGTTTCATGGTTGCTCCCTCTCTCCCCAACCCTCACCTCTCAAGGCTGGACTCAGAAGAAGGGGATGGAGCCTGGTGCCCTGAGATTCCAGTGGAACCTGATGACCTGAAGGAGTTTCTGCAGATTGACTTGCACACCCTCCATTTTATCACTCTGGTGGGGACCCAGGGGCGCCATGCAGGAGGTCATGGCATCGAGTTTGCCCCCATGTACAAGATCAATTACAGTCGGGATGGCACTCGCTGGATCTCTTGGCGGAACCGTCATGGGAAACAGGTAGGAAGAAGAGACATCCAGATCCTGGATGTCCAAGACCATATTTTGACTTAGGCTAGGAGAAGAAGGGTACAGGTTTTCTGTGTGGATATGTGTGTCCACAGACCAGGCATGCCCTTGTAAATGTGTGACCCAGGGTGAGGGAGGCAGGGAAGGAATATCAAGGCTGTGGGGAAAGCAGAGTAGATGCATTCTGCTCCTCGAATTAAGAAGAGAGAGTCCATCAAAAACGTGGTGGGGTGAAGAAAAGTGAGCATGATTTAATACCACCTCTTCACTCATTCTCTTCTCTCTCCTCAGGTGCTGGATGGAAATAGTAACCCCTATGACATTTTCCTAAAGGACTTGGAGCCGCCCATTGTAGCCAGATTTGTCCGGTTCATTCCAGTCACCGACCACTCCATGAATGTGTGTATGAGAGTGGAGCTTTACGGCTGTGTCTGGCTAGGTAGGTCACTAGCCCAGGAAGCCTATAGACTTTATTAAAAACTCCAACTTCTGGGAAATGAAGGCAATCAAATCAGAAAGGGATGGGATCAGTTACTCCTGGAATGGTGATGCCCTCTTGGGAAGAATAGAGACAGAAGCATTGCTCATTAACCCAGGGCTTAGGGCCCCACACTGAGTCATGCATTCAGAGTCATTACGTTGACTGCCATGGAGGGGCACTCCTCCAAAGTCTTCCCTCGGTGTCCAGATGGAGTCCTGCTGGACACGCTGTGCAAGCTTATACCCTTGAAACTCACATAGTTCCCTGAGGTAATGGGCCTGAGCAGTAGGCACTCACTTGGCTGTGTTTCCTTTGCAGATGGCTTGGTGTCTTACAATGCTCCAGCTGGGCAGCAGTTTGTACTCCCTGGAGGTTCCATCATTTATCTGAATGATTCTGTCTATGATGGAGCTGTTGGATACAGGTAAATCCTGGGAAACTTTATTAGAATGGGAAATTGGCCACTAAGAAAGAATAATATTTTATCATGTCTTGGGATCAATAATCAATCAACCAATCAGTATTTATTTAGTTCTTGTACAAGGCATTTGGAAATAATTTAGATGAAGGAATACACATGACCTTTATTTCCAGGGAACTTAAAGCCCGGTTTGGGAAGACAAGTTAATTACCCAGAAAACAATCAATTACACAAAGTAATGGCTAAAGTTTGTGATATGGCTCTAAGTATAATAGCCATATTTTTGACCCTCAAAACAGGACATGTAGTCTGACACAAATATTGACCTACTTATGGAAACAAAGGGCCAGAGAATTGAAGTAATAAGTATAATACTCTGGGCAAGTCAAGAAGTCAGAAAGAATAGACCTTATACATATAAATGCTTTGAAATTTGTAAAAAGGGGACTAGTAAGACTTACAATAGACAAGGAAAGTTCTAGGTTAAGATGAGAATTGTAGCAGAGGAAGGTAGGTAGAAGGTAGCAGAAGAAAGGAAGCAGGGCTGAAGGCAAGACTGACCTGGCTATAGTAGAAGCTGGAGTTGAGAAGAACAGAATGGAACAATGGATAAGCCTGAAGTGGATCAAAGGAGTGCCATGGCAAAGAAGTGTGACCAGATATAGTAGGAACTTAGGGTTGGGTACAGGATGCTCCCACCTATACTGTTTCACTTCAAGCCTTTAAGCCTTGCCATTCTTCTAGCCCACACTAACACTTTTCTCTCTAAGCTTGGTCTGCATCTGCAAAGTGAGCCTGGGAGAGAATTCAGTCCATCGTGAAGACCAGACCAGATGATGGAGGTTGACAGGGCTCGAGAGAAGGAGATACTAGTGAGTCTCAGGAAGGGAGTGTGGAATTACAGCCTTCTACTGGCTTAGGTGTGGAGAATGAACTATTGCCCTCTAGCTGCCATCCCCTGGGTGAAGACCTGATTCATCCACTCTTCTACTCCTAGTCACTTCCTTTCCATCTTCTTAATCACTGTTCTTTCCTTTTTGCTTAAACGGTCTTGGCATAATTTCGCTCAGTCACACCCCAACAGGCATGTATTCAAGGCACAGAGGAAATCAGAGATCAACCGAATTCAGTTTAATTTAATAAGCCTTTGTTAATCAACTGTTACTATATACAAGGAATTTGGCCAGGCATGTTAGGTATTCAAAGGTAATGGAGTCATTGATCCTACCTTTAAAGTGCTCACAATTTGGAGTAGGGGCTAAAACAGAATATAAGTTACTATGATTCAAGTATATGAGCAAGAGATAGCCTATGACTGCTCTGGGGTTCAAAGGAAAAAGTAAACTATAGTAGGAAAGCACAAAAATGGGGATGAAAACATCTGGATTTCATATAATAAAAGTTACTTCTGTTTGCTACAAGGCTTAAGGGATTAAAATGTGTGTGAAAAGCATTTCGTAAGATAAATTGCTATGCACATATAAGTTGTTATCTGATTATCATTTTTCTGACTGAAGGACCAGTAAAGATATGGTAGAACAGATGAAATCTGAACTGGGTCCCAAAGAATGGGTAGTACTTTCACAGGTGCAGAATCTTGAAATGGAATTTTAGGCAGAGGGAATAATAGCATGAGGAAAAAAGAATCATGGTTATAAAGTTTAGGGGACTGTCTGGGAGAAATCAACAGTTTATTTAACCACGGGCCATATTTATGTGGCAAAGTAGTGCAGGAGAAGCAAAACAAAGCAGATTATGCCATATTTTGAAGGAACCTGAAGTCAAAGCCAAAAGGAGCAAGAAGTGGAGGAGGAGGAAGAGGAGAAATTGCTGTTCTTATTCTTCATAAACATTATCATTAATGTAATGAGTCATTGAAGATTTTTAAAGCTGAGGAAGGACATGATTGGAGCTGTGCTTTAGACAGATTAATCAAGCAGCATGCAAAGGTTAGATTGGAATGGAATGAGGAGGCTATGAGGAACATTTTAAAACTCTTAGTTCTGCCAAGTAAAAAGAATTAATGACCAAGGCCATAACCGTGACTGTGGGGAATGAGGAAAAGATATTCATTTAGGATGTTTGAAATCTGATTGGATGTATGAGGCAAAACAGTAGGGTGAGAAAAAGGGTCAGATGAAGTTTGACAGTCTAAGTGACTGAAACAATGGGGATGACATTTATTTATTCGACAAATATATTTTGAGTGCTTACCTTGCGCCAAGCATTTTCCATTACTATGAAGAGAAGTATAATTTATGGAAAAGGGAAACCAAGGAGAAAGACTTAGTTCAGTAGGGGATGATGATGGATTTAGTTTGGAGTGTAGGTCTGTGAGACTGAGAAGACATTCAGTAGAGAAATAAGGAAGGTAGCCGGAATTATGGCTCTTAACTCCAGGGGAAAGATAAAAAAAATTACAAAAATGTAGACATCATTGGCTTTCATTTAATAATTGAAGTAATGAAATATCTGGTGGAGGTGGCTGAGTGAAGAGATCCTCTCAGCCACTGAGAGATGACATCAGAGTCTCAGGAAATAGTCATATTAGCAAAAGTTACTTTTTAAATTTAAAACAATTTCAAGAATAATATATGCTTACTGGTGATTTTAATAACTCTAAAGTATATAAATATTGAACATTTATTTTCTTATCCCTTCTTCACTTGATTTAATTTTGACCAAGGGGGAACTGAACAGGCATTCCTTTTAATTTCTGTTGCTTTTCATAAAACTTTCCTGGGATTTATTTTTCTGAGGATAATGGGAAATATATTTATTGCAAGTAAACTTACGTTCTCCTAGCTTTCTGATCTGTAGAGAGAAGAAAAAGATGGCAAAACCTTGGAAGGGAGATCCAGGCTCTGGTCACTGTGGATAAGGCCAGTCAAATTTTATAATTTACCAAACATTTTCAATGATTAAATATATTTTAAAAGGCTGGCATAATCACCCTTAGTATTTTTTTATTTTTTGCGATTCACAAATTTTACATATTATTGATCTAGCTCTAAACCTCAAGGGTCACACCAATTATTGCTTGAGGGTGAGTATCCCAATCTCGTCATTTGGGAAATTTGTGTCATATCTGCCAGAGCTTGAGATGCAGAGCTTGAGGAAAGAGAAGTTCCACATGATGGTTTTTGCTCTGTCCCTCCATAAAAAGAAGGAAGGAGCCTCTTCGTGTTCTCTAAGTAGTCAAATAAGCATACATGCAGTTATATTCCATCCAGCAGTCAGGCTTCTGGAAAACTCAGCCTTTAAAACAGAGCCTCTTACTCAGAAGTCAAAAAAGCCTGCTAAGCTAGAACACAAAACTAAATCCAATACCTGGGATTCTCATGAAATCCTTGCATCTTACTTCCTGGGTCTAGTATCCTACAAATTTAATTAGAATTAAATAGAAATTATTATTTAAATTTAGAGCTTGTATTTTCCCCCTTAGTTTAATATCAAACTGGGTTGTTGGATATGTGGAATAGAAGAGAGTGTGACTGGATTCTCTGAAATTGATTCACTGAACAATGACAATATGTAGTTAAAGGAGAGTCAGCACCAAGCTCTGGAAACATTTATATGATAGTGGGGCAAGTGCTACTATGTATGGTAGCATTCATTCTATGCATTTATCCATTTCCTCATTTACTCTATGAATTAGTTCATCAAATGCATTTGATAATATTAAGTCATTATGTGAAGACATATTCAGTATATAAGAATAGGCAAGGTGCAATAAATTATAGAAAGCTTTTCATATTAAATAAGACATTGTTTAAAAGTTTTACTACTAAAGGAGTAAGCATCAAATATTTTATAAAAATTACTAATATGAAATTCTTAGTTCTCCATTGATGCAAGATAAACGAGTCAATACTATAATGCAAATCTGATTATTTACAATCCTTCAATTCCAAGATAATAAGCTCATACAAAATCTGGAGTGAAGATGCCGGGTAAAAGCTCTTCCACGAATGTGTGGTTAACTCAGATTTCTCTCTCCTTTTCCTCCTCTTCTCCTGGCCTGAGCAGCATGACAGAAGGGCTAGGCCAATTGACCGATGGTGTGTCTGGCCTGGACGATTTCACCCAGACCCATGAATACCACGTGTGGCCCGGCTATGACTATGTGGGCTGGCGGAACGAGAGTGCCACCAATGGCTACATTGAGATCATGTTTGAATTTGACCGCATCAGGAATTTCACTACCATGAAGGTCAGTGGGGTCGGGTGTGGTGGAACTTCTTTAAGGAGGCACAAATCATAGTGTGGTAGAGAAAAGGCATGCTAGAAAAAAGTCTAGGCTGATGCCAGTTCAATGACATATTCTGTTACTAACTAGCTAAATGCATTTCACAAGTCACTTCATCTCTAAGGGCGTGATTCTCCATTTGTGTGTAAGGGAGTTAGAATAGGTCAGTGAGCTCTCTTTTTTTTGTTGTTTTGACACTAAAGGTGACATATCCATTAAGCCAATAACACAGTGTCCAGGGCCCACAGATTTTTAAGACGCATAAAAATGCTCTAATTTCTTTTAATATCAGGTGAAAAAAATAAATTTTTAGGGTCAAAGATTATCTTTTTACCAGCACAGTTGTGTGTGTGTGTGTGTGTGTGTATACACACACAACTATATATATATACACAATGATATATATATATACACAACTACATATATATAACCATATATACATATACAACTATATATATACATATACAACTATATATGTATATACATATACAACTATATATATGTATATACATATACAACTAGATATATGTATATACATATACAACTAGATATATGTATATACATATACAACTAGATATATGTATATACATATACAACTAGATATATATATGTAGTTGGTGTTCTGCAGTCTTCTGAATTTTTCCTTCTAGGAACCTCACAGTGGCAGTGATAGTTGGTCAGGCCTTATAAAACCTGGGCTGCAACCCTGGTTACCTGTATGCACTGTCTGCCCTTGGCCACCTCACTTCATGTTGCTGGACTGCAGTTTTCTCATCTGTTAAATGAGGACTGCACCAGCATCTTCTCAGCCCTTCCTTGCCTTGAACTCTCTCGAGTCTATAATCCTCTCAGCCGCAGTTGCCGTCTACCCTGATTCGTGTGTGTATCTATACACATAGATACATACACACATATGTGAGAATATGTGTATTCTCATTTAGAAATGAGATTTCTAAAAAAAAAAATGAAATTGTTTTAGATTGTACACTATTTTGGGTTTCTCACCTAGCCCTGTGAAAAGAAGAAGACTGGCTCTGAAATGTACCTAGGAGGAAGCAGGATGGCAGTCTTCCTCTTACCTCAGTTCAGAATAGCTCGAATCAGGGTAGACGGCAACTACTGAGTTGGCTGGCACTGTGTCTCCATGCACCTTAGCAGGGCCAACCTATCACTCACATGCCTCTTTCTCTACCAGGTCCACTGCAACAACATGTTTGCTAAAGGTGTGAAGATCTTTAAGGAGGTACAGTGCTACTTCCGCTCTGAAGCCAGTGAGTGGGAACCTAATGCCATTTCCTTCCCCCTTGTCCTGGATGACGTCAACCCCAGTGCTCGGTTTGTCACGGTGCCTCTCCACCACCGAATGGCCAGTGCCATCAAGTGTCAATACCATTTTGCAGATACCTGGATGATGTTCAGTGAGATCACCTTCCAATCAGGTAGGGAGCTCAGGTCCTCTTTGGGAAGTGGGAGCAAGGTGATGAAGGAGGAATGCACATGCCCAGAACTTCTCATTAGCAGGTCTCTGAGAGGAGTGGGATTGTACAGGCAGCTTCTCATTGACGGATACGGTGAATCCTTTGTGTGACTAGTTTTAACTGTGGAGGGGATGGGATGAGAATGGAAGTGAACAAAATATGCACGTAACTCTTCTTAGAAAGAATGTTTTTAAATGAGAGTACAGTGTGTTAAAAATTTTATATAATTTAAGGTAGTTAACGAGTGCGCTGTTAAGGAAAAGCACACCTAAGCATTACTGAGATATTTAAATGAAAATTTCTAAATATACACAAAAGTAAAGAGAACAATAAACCACTCATCACTCAGCTTTACTAATCATTGATATTTTGCCATATTTGTTTCACCCATTCCTTCCTTTTGGCTGTAGCATTTTAAAGCAAATATGAGATACTACTTGATTTCATTAGCAAATAATTGGACTGCATCTAAGAAAATAGCATCATTTTCATAGGTATAATGCCATGATAACATCTAACAACCTTTATTATTAAATAATTTCTTAATACCACCCAATATCCTGTCCATATTCAAGTATGACTAACTGTCCATCAATGTCTTAATTCAGTTGACTTTATCAAATAAGGATCAAAATAAGGATCTGTTGGTGAGTTTCTTTATTCTATTTGCTCTGTGTCTCTTTTAATCTAAAAAATTCCTTCCATTTTTATTTCTTTTTAAATGGATTCTGGCTTGGCTGATGGCTTTCTGTGGTGTCATTTTACTTGAGCTTCTGTTCTCTGTCATTCCTAATGACTGGTGCTTACATCTACAGGTTAATTTGATTCCAGTTCAATATTTATTTTTGTCAAGAATTCTTTATAAGCATTCTATATATCTCAGTAATGCTGTATATTTTATGCTGAACTTCATCATGGGGATGTAATGCTAGATCCTCTCACTTTTTGTGATACTAAGATTGATTTCTGGTTCCTCATGAACTTTTTCCCTAAGTTTTATCCTCCATCAATAACCACTGTCTGAATTATTTATTTCACTAGGGTTGCTAAATGACGATTTTCTAATTCTTTTATTTTTTCTGCATTTCTTAGCTGAATTTCTTCCGAATAGAGTAACTATTCTTCATCATGCACCAGTTTACTCAGAAATCACATTGAAAGAGCAGCATACGTGACTTATCTTCCCCTTTAATTGTTAATTTTCAGAGTAATGACTTGATACCGTAGCAACCCTCAATAATGTCTAATTAATTTTGGTTTTTACCCTTATTTTTTTGGTATCATTATAAACTCATTGCTTTTTATCAATTTAATGCTTAATCGATTGCAGTTATTATTATTAGTAGTAGTATGTTTATTTTTAGACAGAGTCTCGCTCTGTCACCCAGGCTGGAATGCAGTGGTGTGATCTTGGCTCACTGCAACCCCCGCCTCCCGGGATCGAGTGATTCTTCTGCCTCAGCCTCCCAAGTAGCTGGGATTACAGGTGCCTGCCACTGCGCCTGGCTAGTTTTTCTATGTTTAGTAGAGATAGGGTTTCGCCATGTTGGCCAGGCTGGTCTCGAACTCCTGACCTCAAGTGATCCGCCTGCCTTGGCCTCCCAAAGTGCTGGGATTACAGGCATGAGCCACCGTGTCTGGCCATTATTCTTTTTAATACTCAAGTTGTGCTGTCTTTGACTAGAGTTTGCATTTTTTTTTTTTTGAGACGGTATCTTGCTCTGTTGCCCAGGCTGGAGTACTATCTTGAGTCATTGCAACCTCCACCTCCCAGGTTCAAGTGATTCTCCTGCCTCAGCTTCCCAAATAGCTGGGATTACAGGTGCCTGCTACCACGCCCGGCTTTTTTTTTTTTTTTTTTTTTTTTTTTTTTTTTTGCATTTTTAGTAAAGACGGGGTTTCACCATGCTGGCCAGGCTGGTCTCGAACTCCCAACCTCAGGCGATCCAGCCGCCTAGGCCTCCCAAAGTGCTGGGATTACAGATGTGAGCCACTGCACCCAGCCTAGAGTTTGCATTTTTAAGGGGGCTCTTTGCTCTTTTGATCTGACCCTAGAAGCCTTTGATAACTTTCTTGTTTTCCGAAAGAACAAGGTATTTCAAGCTCATTTTGAACATGTACAGCACCCGACGTGGAATCAACCATTTCAAGAAATCTTGATTCCTTTTAGTAGGAAATGGTATTTAGAAAACACAAACTGGGTAGTAGGGATGCTCATTACTAATAGGTTGTCATTGTTTCTTGGATTTTTCGGTGGAAGAAAGCAATGAAATATGTATATTTAAAAAGAAAGATTGTGAGTTTACATTGTTACTTCCAATTCAAATTAAAGATAAGGTTTTTATTTAAAGTTGATTTTATACGTTCATCTCTATTATTTATGCTAAATATCATGTTTCCTAACAATGTTAACAGCATTTTCTTCATCCTATTATTCAAAAAGCAATACCAATATTATTACTAGCAACGTAACTATTGAACATTAAGATTTCTTAGCAATTCTCTTTTCTTTGTCCTGAGAATATATCCTACTAAGAATGTGCAGTCAAAGCACTATGTTCTAAGGTCAGTTGGGTAACAGTGGGATAATTCTTTTCTGTATATAGTTATATCACCAGTGTGGTATACAGTTAGGGTAACAGTGGGATAATTCTTTTCTGTATGTAGTTATGTCACCAATGTGATATACAGTTAGGTTCATTGTATTCCATTTGTTTCAACCTTTAGGGATTCCTTTTAAACTTTAAACACTACTTTTGATTGAACAGTAACTGCAGCAAATAGTGATTTAACTTACTACAGCCAGAAACTGTGCCAAATCTTGAAAAGTTAAAAGGTGTTTAGAACATTGTTCATACCATTAAATTTAAATGGGAAGATGAAAGATACAGAATGCTTTAAAAAAAAAAAAAAAAAAAGAAATGTCCAAAGCAATATGAACAATAAATGGTCAGGAGGAGAGAGGCACTAGCGTGGGTTTGTCATAGACAGCATCAAAGGAATGAGACTTGTACTGGGCCTGGAAGAAAAGTCCAGGTGTAAAATAACATAAAAGAGAGGAAGAGACTAATTTAAAGATAAACCACACTTTGGGAGGCCAAGGCAGGAGGATTGCTTGTATTCAAGAGTTTGAGACTAGCCTAGGCAACATGGCGAAATCCTGTCTCTATAAAAAACACAAAAATTAGCTGGGTGTGGTGGCACGTGCTTGCAGTCCCAGCTACTTGGGAGGCTGAGGTGGGAGGATCACCTGAGCCCTGGAGGCAGAGCTTGCAGTGGGTCGAGATTGCACCACTGCACTCCAGCCTGGGTGACAGAGTGAGACCCTGTTTAAAAAAAAAAAAAAAGAAAGAAAAGAAAAATAAATCAGAAGAACCCATCCTTTCAGATTTGATTTTTAAGGGAAAAAAATTTCAAGATGGTTTGCTTATTAAGATGTACTGATAAGAAAATAGAGCATATTTTTAGGAAAACAGGTTTGGTGTTTAAATGCCTTCTGTGCTAATGATTTAATCTAAGAGTAAGTTGATTGATTGTTTCATCTGAATACTGAGAGTAGAAATCAAGATGCTCAAAGTCAGTGCCACTTACACTGTAAGTGTTAACTGGGGGACAAATAGATTCCCACCCATCCTCAGGGATTCTCCTGGCATAGTAACTGGTACACTTATTATAGCTAATTATAGCTATGAACCATGGTTTTTACTCCTGGGGTCTCTTGAGCTTTAAATCCAATGCATAATAATATTAGTTTTCACCGGAGCCTGACAGCCGAACTCCGAAAGCACATGCAGAGGCCAGATACCTCCTTATTTATATAATAATATTAAGAAGAAGAAAAATTAGGATACCTGGAAGAAATGTCTCTTAGAAAGGAAATACATATTCTAATTCTTGACCCCCTTGATTAGACAAATCAGAGGGAAAAACTCTGGCAAAGCTGCCAACATCAATCTGGCAAATACGCTTTTGTGGTTTAGTCTCAAAAGCTGTAAAATCACAGAAAAAGACACTCCAATGTCAGTAAATATCTATAAAGATTAAGCCTTAATTCATAAATTGAAGGGCTAGGCCGATGAGGCATAGTGGAGACTCTTTTATAAACAATCTAATATCCTTGAAGGAAAAAGCATCTTAACACTATGTCTGTCCCTTGCCCATTTACCCGCTATATTCTGTCTATATTTTCACTGAATTTGGGTCCTGCTTCTTATGCTTTATGACAATGTGTGGTACAGCCCTTTGAATCACTGTTTCTTAAACTTTTTTGTACCATAGCATCTAGTATGTAATATGTGAAACAAAAATTTTACAAAGGAAAACTTGCTTTTACTATTTAGATAAATGGTGATTTTTTATTCAACGTATTTATGATTTTATCTTTTTAAAAGACTGATGACAACTCACTAAATTGATCTTGTAATGTGCTAGGTCACAATATGCCTTCAGAGAAAACACTAGCTGTCTGTCTTCTCCCTGGCTCTGACTCACCCTTGTTTTATAACAGATGCTGCAATGTACAACAACTCTGAAGCCCTGCCCACCTCTCCTATGGCACCCACAACCTATGGTATATGTGATTCCTAATTACACAAATTAATTTGAAGGGACTTACTGGGGGATGAAGAAGGGTGGAGAGTTGCAAAGCCCTGGCTGTGTGGGAGGCTTTACACCAGTTGGCTTTGGATGAAGAGTAGCCCTGGAAAGGTAGGACTGTCTACCTCCAAGTTATGGATCCAAATATACTCTCTTCACTATGGATTCATGTGCTTCTTCAGCTGAGGCAGAGTCTGGAGTTGTCCTAATTTCTCCATGAAAGTTTGGGAATTTGGGGTCAGAAACAGGGAAAGGGACATTCCTGGGTCAGACCCATAGTGGGTATTTCTAAGGAGGGGTGGAAATCAAAGAAACAAAATGCTGATATCTCCAATTGGAGATAAATATGCCATGTATGCATTGCTTTAGGCAGTCATTGGTGACACTAGCCAGCAATGTGGGAAACATGTGGGATTGAATGTGTCCAAAGAGGACTTTCAGCTACCTTGGCATGTCTCAAAGAATGCAGAGAGTGAAACTGGTTCCTCACCTGTTTTTCATGAGGTGTGATTAAGGGACTACAGACTCAGGCCATAATAATACAGAGACAAAATTTTGGGAAGAATAGAAAAACTCACCATTACTCTGTCTGACACATGGAGAGGGGGAGACTACTGTCTTATGGAAGAGGGAAATAGGATAGGGGAACAAAGTAATAAACAGATTGGGCGTGGTGGCTCACACCTGTAATCCCAGCACTTTGGGAGGCAGAGGCAGGCAGATCATGAGGTCAGGAGTTCGAGACCAGACTGGCCAACATGGAGAAACCCCATCTCTACTAAAGATACAAAAATTAGCCGGGCGTAGTGGCGCATGCCTGTAATCCCAGCTACTCAGGAGGCTGAGGCAGAATTGCTTGAACCTGGGAGGGGGAGGTTTCAGTGAGCCAAGATCATGCCATTGCACTCCATCCTGAGGGACAGAACAAGACTCTATCTCAGGAAAAAAAAAAAGTAATAAAACAGTAGCAAGAAAACAAAACAGTAGCAAGAGCAAGAATAAGCAGAAGTATTAAGGTGGCATCTTCCATAATTATCCTCAAGGAACAGGGTCTACCTCCATGTTTCCAGTTCAGTCCCTCATACTTTTACTTGACCTGTGAGATGATTGTATTCTCTGCCTTCTCTCCCTGGTCACAGATCCAATGCTTAAAGTTGATGACAGCAACACTCGGATCCTGATTGGCTGCTTGGTGGCCATCATCTTTATCCTCCTGGCCATCATTGTCATCATCCTCTGGAGGCAGTTCTGGCAGAAAATGCTGGAGAAGGTGAGGAGGTGCAGAATGGTCATGATATAAGAAACTGCTCCTTTCTTTCTTAAGCCACTGTTGTCCCAGGAGTAAAAGGCAAATTGCAAACATTTATTAATGGTTGGAATTAACTGAGGCTACCAAGAAACATAGGAATGAAGCCAGAATAGAATTAGCTAAGTCTATTTTCTCATTTTTAGAGTGGAGATGTTGGAACCTTCCTAACGTTCCTCGGAAATGCAGAAAACTCTTCTTAATACATTGAATCTCCATTCAGGCATTTTCCTTGAAGATTCTGATTCACTGGATTTTGGGTAGAGTCCAGGCATCCATATTTAAAAAAAAATTTAACAAGTGCTTCTGATGCACATTCGAGGTTAAGAATTACTCTCCTAATGCCAAGCTGAAATTTCTGATAATGCTGTTGAAGTTCCTTCTCATCTTTTTCACTTTGCTTGTCTGTTTGGTGTGTGTGTGTGTGTGTGTGTGTGTAGAAAAACATCCAGCTTCATTAATATTCAAGCCAAGTTTCTCACTATTCTATTTCTACTTTTGTGTACTTGAAGGTTGTGATTATGTATCCCTCTGAGTCCCTCTTCAGACTCTGTCTATGCCAAATGATCTGAATAACTTTTTACATTGTCTAACACTTTACAGGAAGCAGAATTTTTCCTCATGCATAATTTTATATACACCTCATTGAGTAATAACTCATAGGCATTGTTATGTTTAACTATTTTTCTGATGAGAAAATGTGATGTGCTTAAGGTCATACAACTGATGTCCAGTCTTCTATGCTTTTTCCAATTGTTAATATTGAAATGCATTGATTTCTTTCTTCAAAACTATATTCATTTCATCAAAGATGGAATATCTATGACTTGTCTTGGTTTCTTGGACCAAATAGCAACTCCCTTGGACCAAATAGCAACTCACTGCTGCTTAGTGTCTGATTCTTTTGGGGCCTGCTGACGACTAAGTGTTTCTGCCTTTGGCCATGATCACCTCTCCTGGTCAATTAGTTCCTCTCAATAGACATGGACTAGTAGAGGCCACAGGAACTCTGAGCTGTGGGGCTTTGAACTGCCTCCTGAGGGCAGGGAATAGGAAGGAGGAGAAATCCTGATTGATTTCTGTGTTTGGGGGTGGGGACTCAGAGGAGACCAATGCCTGTGTGGAACCTCTATTCCAGAGGAGAGGAAAGGGCACCATGAGAATGGGCTTGAGTCTCTAGAGCTTTCTAGATGCAGGATGGGAGAAAAATGGCTCAAATCAGGGGTAAGGAGGAGCAATCCTGATGAGTAGCCTGCAATTCCTTCTGATCTGTGCCACCCTCAGGTTCCTGAGATGGTTGATGTTTGTTTTAAGGTTTTTAGGAAGGAATATTTCATGGAAGAGAAGGTCTCCTTGCTTCCCACAAGTATGTCTACCAGTCTGAAAACACTTAAAGCTTTCAATTCGCAAATAGCAACAGAAGACTGAAATACAGAATCCACAGAGACTCACTCGCTGTCACGAGTATGTCTCAAGGCATGAATGAGGCAAATATCAAAATTTTTCCTCCTTTAGAATGCTGGAAAACACTAGTGTTTAATGAGGTATTCCAGAGTGAGGGTGGTGGTGAACTGAAGGTTCATTGAACTGCTTGAAGAGGATATGTGACCTTCTTAAATAGTCTGTTAGGACCACATTTTAGCCAAGGGGGAAAGTCTGTGTTCTCTGCTATATGAGCTCTTTTTCTCTTTATTTGAGCCACAATTTACCATACTTCTCTGAGTCTTTATTCTGAGGCCTGTTGGAATATCTTCATGGGCTAAGAGAGAAATGTTGGAATCTCCAGGTAAAAGGTAGAGCAAACATTTTGCCCTTGAATATTTAACTTGGTCCTCCAAGAAATTCTACCCCTGTACATCCTGAGTAAGATGACTCAAGGTGCTCTGGAATGACACCCAGTGTTTCTTCCTGGGAACAAAATTTTATGTGGAAAATCATTAAGTACACACATACATTCTAAGAACATTACTTAACATAGCTGTAGACTGTATGTAGCATTATTTGTAGGATAATTTTGGTGGTGTCCTCAACATTCCTTCTTTGAGAGATTTAACCCACATATATTGAGTACCTACTTTGTTCTGAGCTTCATGCTTAGTACTGGGGATATTACTGCAACAAAAGACCTTCAGTCTAGTGGAAAAGTGCACATCTAAGTTTCGCCATTGAGCACCAAAGCTGTGTTTGTTGGAGTGGAGCATTTTACATGTTTAAACCCAAATAGTCACATACATGCAAATGCTGGCATTTGCCTTTTGATGGAGCAGGCAGGTTATATTAGATAAGATACCACAGAAGTAGTTGCTTTGTTGTTCTCCCTCCCTTATTAGGTGTAAGTCACATTGTTATCTCTGGACACCCAGGGCTTTCCTGTCCCATGTTGTAGCCATTTTATTTTTGGTTAGTGAAAATATGGGTCAGTGGTGGGTATTATCCTAATCTAGGGTATCAAAATGATCAAGTAGAACTACTGATTCATCATGTTATAGCACATGCATTAAGTTAATAAACAATTTATGTCTATTCCAAAACCAAGTAGTTAAAGGGTAAGCCAGGAAAACCCATCATTTAATAAAACATAGAAAACTCTATAAGATTGAGATCTTTGGCTACTGATGGGTTCTTATAGCAACAGGGAGATAATCTTTTTTTTTTAAGTGTTTCAGAAAGCACATCATAGAAATTAGAAGATCAAATTCTACCTTGAAGAAATGAAGGATTATTCTAAGTTCCTACAACACAGGCATTTGTGGAACCAGACTGCATTCCTAGCACGTGCAGTGTTGCTGGGGTTAAACAGTAGTAAAGAGTTATTTCATTTGAGTGGGAGAGCTGAGTTTAAGAAGAGGAGGCATTGACCATCTCTTTTGTGCCAACATGCCTTTCTCCTTGCTCTTCTCTTCCAGGCTTCTCGGAGGATGCTGGATGATGAAATGACAGTCAGCCTTTCCCTGCCAAGTGATTCTAGCATGTTCAACAATAACCGCTCCTCATCACCTAGTGAACAAGGGTCCAACTCGACTTACGATCGCATCTTTCCCCTTCGCCCTGACTACCAGGAGCCATCCAGGCTGATACGAAAACTCCCAGAATTTGCTCCAGGGGAGGAGGAGTCAGGTGAGGATGATGTGGTGGGCAGGGTGTCAAGGGAGAAACCTCAGCAAGCATCAGGTAGGTATGACACGCCTGCTCCCAGTTCATTGCATCTATTTTTAGTCTCTGCTAACCTCCTGAGAAGTCCACATTCTCTTTCTAGATTTGGTCTGCCGCTGCTCCTGGCCTAATTTGAGCAACTCTCCTTTGCTACTGAATATAAGATGTGTGGAGGGACCCACATACCAGAAAAGAAAGAAAAAAATAATAAAACATGTGAATTAGGTGTTGACACCAGAAGAACCTAAACAGTCCAACCAGTCTAACCTCATTTTACATGTCGGGAAAGTGAGAAAGTCCAGATAGAGTACTCACCCAACACCAAATTTCATGAGTGGGTAAAGGCAGGACTAGATTTTTACCTGGAGAAATAAATAAATAAATGAAGCTAAAGACATTCCAAAATTCCCAGTGGTGTAGCCATTTAAATAACTAAAATAAATAACTACTTGAGTTATCTATTTTTTGTGAATTTCTCTTTGGTAAACGTTTATTAGAGTAATATGAGATTTTATTATGAGAGTAAAACATTTCTCACCTTTTCTCAATAAAAGCATTGAAATAAAACAATAAAACAGGTAAAACAGTAAGTAGTGTCAGTTGATTCAAATTTCGATGTCTTTCAAAAAATGATGCAGAGTCATATCAGAAGGGAAGCTGGAGTCACCTCTTTAGCTCAGAGCAACTTTTCTATAAGATCATCAACCTGAGGGACCCGAGTCAGTAGAAAAGAACTTGTAGTGTTCAGGAGAGAGGAGCTAGGCCTGAGCTGGATGTAGAAGCAGACAGGACTAAATTCAAGAGCATAGGATTTTATAGGAAGGAGCCTGAAGGGGTCTTTTCAAAGGATAAAAGGAAACTTGCATCTATTTTATTATTCAATGGATAGAAGACATGAAAGAGCATGCTAAATTCAAGTAATTTCACAGAGACAGCAAGAATAAAGGATATAAACTAATTTATTTCTTGGGGTGAATGGAAGTAATTTACCTATTTCCTAAGTCTAAAACATCCCCCACTTCATATTTTAAGGCTTTTTTAAGTTAGAATATGTCTTAAGCTAGATCATATGTCTTTAATCTGAAAGTTTTTTATACCTAAAATCAGTTTTTAAGTCAATAACAGTGTCTTAAAATTAAGGAAATAAGTTATTAAACCTTCAACCTTTAATATTCCCACCCTGATATACCATGAGCCTTCCTATAGCTTCACCACACAATTCCACAAGTTTAGCCACAGAATTTGTTAATGATCATGTATTATGAGGAAAAGAATGAGAAATAAAATGATGTTCTACATTCTGTAGGCCACAAGAAAATCTCTAGAGGAAGCAAAACCATTTTCCAAGTAAGAATGTCATGAAGCAGGTTAGGCTTTCACAGGGGCATGTTTTAGCCCTCCTCTCAGAGTTCCTTCCTGAAGAGATCTCCAAAGACACTCCACGGAATGAGGGCTCGTTGCCCTTGTCTTCCCAGGCTGCAGCGGTGTTGTGAAGCCAGTCCAGCCCAGTGGCCCTGAGGGGGTGCCCCACTATGCAGAGGCTGACATAGTGAACCTCCAAGGAGTGACAGGAGGCAACACATACTCAGTGCCTGCCGTCACCATGGACCTGCTCTCAGGAAAAGATGTGGCTGTGGAGGAGTTCCCCAGGAAACTCCTAACTTTCAAAGAGAAGCTGGGAGAAGGACAGTTTGGGGAGGTGAGTTGATTCTTTGATTCCCTTATAGCTCGAAGAAGGTGGTTGGATAAAAATGATCAGTAGAACAAAGAGTCCCTTCCAGAGGTGGATTCACAACAGAATGTCTCTTCCATTTGTCTCTCCTTGCATTGTCCTCTGGATTTCAGTATTGGGTCAACCTAATCTTTGTCAAATAGCTGTGGAGTTCCTGGGACTTCTGATTTCTATATAGGAGTTTTTAAGGCAGGCAAGTCACTAGACTTCAGATATCTTGAAAAACATTCAATATTTTCAAAAATGTTTACAATAGATTATGGAGGGTGGGATCCAGAAGATGTGATCATCTTTTATGAACTGTCCAGGAACATTCTGCTACTCAATAGCCACTTTGTTTTTTTCCCCTTTAATGGGAGTTATATGTAAAATGGTCAAAAACAACCTCGCCCCTGCCTTTGGTCCCAGAATCAGCCACTAGGGAATGAATCACCAACTAAGATAAGGAGGAGTACTCTTTTCATTTGCCCTCAGAGTGATGCATGCATTATTAAACTTTTCATTCTTGCATCAGTCACATGAACCTTCTGGGAGCTCAAAGCAATGTTTTGAATTCTAATAGGAACTCTTCACCACTGCCGTCTAAACTCCAAATAAAACATTTGGTTTCCTAAGACATGTTATTGGTTTTCAGTGTGGATCTCATGTTCTCTCCTTAGATAGGTCTGGTGTTGCAAGAGGTTGAGGGACCCATGTTATCTGTTCATGGTGTGACATGTACTCATTCTGTCCCCTGGGTTGAAAACCCACATCTGTTATACTGTTACTAATAGACAGGAGTTTCTTATAATGCTAAACCCTATACTAAGGGATTATTTTAGGAAATTGCCTTACGTTTTACATGATCCAGTGACTAATGAATCGAAGTTCAAGCATTTGTAATAAAAGACATTTTATATTGGGCTATGCTGTAATATAATATTGTTATTGATTCATTCATTCACTTAGTGTTCCAAGCAATGTGTATTTCTAAGGCAGGAGAGTGGCACATTAGCTGGGTACTTTACCATTGTTTTAAATCTTATCAATTATTTGAATCATAGATATGTTACACATATCTTCTTATTGGTCTTTTGATCATTTTGCCTGAGTTGTAAGAGTTAGTTTATCTCCAGGAAATGCCCAGCAAGAGTACTGAGACATCTTCAGGAGAAATGATGATGCTGAGACTAGATGACTTTTGTCTAGGTTCATCTCTGTGAAGTGGAGGGAATGGAAAAATTCAAAGACAAAGATTTTGCCCTAGATGTCAGTGCCAACCAGCCTGTCCTGGTGGCTGTGAAAATGCTCCGAGCAGATGCCAACAAGAATGCCAGGTCTGTGGTCTACATTTTGAATTTTCCTTTAGGTATTTCATCTTTAGGACCAGGAATACTCCTGGATACTTCTGAGCAATTTTTTCTTTTGAGATGGGAAGGTCAGTGAGCTGCCTCCCATTTCCACTGTTATCCTTTTTCTTATTCCGATGGGGTCGGCAGTCCTCATCTTTTTCTCCACCTCTCTCAAACACAAAGGTACATTTTCCATTGTACTTGCCACATATTTACTTCCTAACCCCCTGTGCACAAGCACTGTACTTGTTCCCAACATATACAACTGTCTAAATGTGTACTTCTTTGGTCTTTATACACAGACATACTCCTGCATGTCATTACCTCCTCTTGACAAAGTCTTCAGAATCACACATGACTTTCTTGCTAAGCCTCTTCCAGTCTCCTTTTTTCACATTTCTATTTATTTTCTCATCCCTTTTTTCTCTTTTATGCTCCTTTTCTTCTATTTGAGCAACCCTCAAAATGAGAAGCTACCTCTATTTGGAAAATTATCTATGAACCTCAAAGCAAAAGGATCCACAGTTCTCTAGCAGTTTTCCAAACTGGCTAATAATCTCTTGGATCTTTTTCTACATAAATTGCAGTTTCCAGCCACACTTCATTGTCTGACAGCCTTTCCATTACAATAATGGTGAGTTAATCCTCACCCAGAGAGACAAGCTGGTTGAAAGCTGGCTGTATGTGTCCCAGAGAAATCTCCACACCTGGATAACATATGCATTTTCCCATTTGTGTTGTCTTGATTTGTCTCACTGATATTCATAGTGAAAAAAAGTTTATTATTCTTATTTTCCAAATTATCATAAATTCCAAGAATGGTGATAGACTTCATTAAAAGTCTTGCAATGGACAAGATGTAAGATAAAGAAGAGAGAAAGGTGAGGAAATGAAACTGGAGGCTTTAGAAATTTAACTGATAATTTCAATCTTTAAGATACTGGTAAGAATAAAAAGTGACATTCTCTGGGTCTTATAGAGAGACGAAGTATTTCTTATATTAATCTTAGCACATGATTGGAGAAAGTGGCATGAGGGGAAACAAAACCAAACCAAACCACAGGACATAGGATATGACAAAGCCTTTCTCCGTTGTTCCGATCGGTGAAGTTTGCCATTCCTCCACCTGTGTCCTTAGCAATGATGGATGGCCATGACTGCAAACCCTCCCAAGCCATGGAAACCCCTGGTTTGAGACGGAAGGGGGAATGAAAGAGGGGAGGTGTTGCATCAGGACGGCATTGATTCCAGTGGTTTATATTGACGTAGTATGACTTCCAGTCCAGGATTCCTAGCAAACTCTTGGAGGGCTTATAACTCATCTGCTCCAACAGTTTTGGGAATGTGGGCTAGAGGCCTCACTAACAAAATCTTGCTACTTTATGACCCAAGGGTGTCTGTCACCATGTACTCAAACAATTATTAGTCTTGGTCAAATGAATACTTCTTTTGACATGATTACCACCACAGCCTTTAAAGAGCTCTGTTTTCGACAGGCTACTAAATACATGTTGCAACTGACTGATGGTTCGTACTGCATTAAGAAAAGTCAGTATGAGAAAATAAAGAGTAATCAGATAAGCCAAAGATGGTTGTTCACATCATACAAAGTTTCTTCACTAGTAATAGAGTGACTCCATGGCTTTAAAAAAAAAAAGGTAAATATCCTCGTGCACTTAAGATATGATTTTCAGTGAAACATTTTACTCTGTAGAGTGGTTTTTAGCAGCCTATTTTTGATTCAGCAAATATTAATCACTTTCTGTGTGGCAGGGATTTTGTTAGATGTGAGGGATAGAAATGTGAATAAGTCATGGATCTTGTTCTCAAAAACATTACAATTGAATAAGGGCCCATGATATTTCAGGAGGAATAGAATGAGACAGATCCAGGTGTCAATTTCTCTGTCCTCTCAAAAGTTATCCAAAGGGAAACAAGATTTGGCATAATGTCCAGGAATAGGCCTTGGTGTGCATTCTTCTCTCTCTTGATTCTGACTCTGGCAACTTCTGAGTTTATCTATGTCTGTATCCTCCCAAGGAATGATTTTCTTAAGGAGATAAAGATCATGTCTCGGCTCAAGGACCCAAACATCATCCATCTATTAGCTGTGTGTATCACTGATGACCCTCTCTGTATGATCACTGAATACATGGAGAATGGAGATCTCAATCAGTTTCTTTCCCGCCACGAGCCCCCTAATTCTTCCTCCAGCGATGTACGCACTGTCAGGTAAACAAGCCAGGTCTTCCTTCTCCTCCCTGTGGTCATGAGAGTAACCTGGGATCTGAAAATAGGGAGCAGTGAGCCTTAAAGTGTATCAATGTTCTGGGATGGTGGGGGAAGTCAGTGTGCAGGGAATAATGGAGCAGCTGCCCTTTGGGGAAACGCAAGGGATTCATCAAGAGTAGAGAAAGAATGTTGAGCTTTCAACCCTAGTTTGTTGATACCATTTTAGAATGTGTACCTTTCACATCTTCCTGTTTCCATAGGCTACCTTCTGTCTTCTTGTCTATTTCCTCAGTTACACCAATCTGAAGTTTATGGCTACCCAAATTGCCTCTGGCATGAAGTACCTTTCCTCTCTTAATTTTGTTCACCGAGATCTGGCCACACGAAACTGTTTAGTGGGTAAGAACTACACAATCAAGATAGCTGACTTTGGAATGAGCAGGAACCTGTACAGTGGTGACTATTACCGGATCCAGGGCCGGGCAGTGCTCCCTATCCGCTGGATGTCTTGGGAGAGTATCTTGCTGGTAAGTTCTCAGCATTTTAAAGCCCTGTCTAACAACTGGCTTGTGGGCTCACATGCATGACACGTGGAGACAAACCTGAGACAGCAGGAGGCAAACTCAATAGACTGTAGTATTTTCTCTGATTTGAAATTATTTTCTTTGTGTACTAATTCTTATTATTTAATGCTTGCCTATTTCTGCTAAAAAATTAACACACATAAAAATTTAGGGAGAGAAGTTAAAAAGTATAAGAGATTTATTATCTTTGTTTCTCTTTATCATTTCTACCTAGTGATTGTTCTTAATTTAAGATATTAAAAACCTTATCATTTAAAGAAATGTTACCTATACAAAATATTTTCTTCTCCATTAGTTTCATAAGCATGTTTCTCATAATTACATAGACTAATTCCTATAATTGTATTTCAATACTTTTCAACATGTTCTTTTTAAGTTCATCATTCTTTGCTTTATAATTTTTATTTGATTCTTGATATTCCATACCATAAGTGAGTAATTTTTCCCAAATATCTCTATTAGAGGTATATTTTCTGTCCATGCATACCTGAGACTTTTTATTGTTGATTTTATAACCACTCAGCTGATTTATAGACTCATTAGACTATACACTTTTACTTCCTACAATGCCATGTACATGTTATTTTATCTTTTTTCTTGTGTGACATTGCAGAGAAAAGTCTGAGACCAATTTGGTTTTGTTCATTTATGATTAATCTGCTTATTTCCTGCTAATATTCTTATAGGATTTGTAAATTAATTTTGAAATAAAAAATGTATAGTTATTCCCTTGCACTCACCAGGATAACCACTATCAATACTTTGGTATATTTTCTTAGAGGATTTTTTTCTATACATATATTTTTTCTATGCATGCAATTTTTTTTCTGTGCATGCATTTATATACATATGTACATATATGTAATTTATATTACATAATTGGGATGACACTATGCCATACAATTCTCTATCTCTATTTTTAACTTAACATTTTATTATCTGCATAATATTCCATGTGTAGATATATACTATAACTTAATAATGCCTCTATAATTTGATATTTAAGTACTTTCCAATTTCCTGCTATTATGAATGATGCTGTGATGTACACCAGTTTACATAAATCCTTATAAAGATCTTTTTCACCTATATATGTGAATTGCTATATTTTACCCATTTCTAATGGGATAGTTAGGCATTACTCTCCCTAAAGGTATTATATGGTGTTCAAAACAATATATTAGACTGACATTCAGAGGACCTTGGTTCAAATCCAGTTTTTCCACTACTAATGGTCTTATTAACCAGAAGAATTTGGGAAACCTCTCCTGTTTCATTTTTCTGATCTAAAAAATAAGGATAACTGGCATGGTGGTATGTACCTGTAGTCCCAGCTACTCAGGAGGCTGAGGCAGGAGGATGAAAATCTGGGCTGCGCTGCGCTATGACAATTGGGTGTCCTCACTAAGTCTGGCATTAATATGGTCACCCCTAGGAGCAGTGGACCACCAGGTTGCCTAAAGAGGGATGAGCCAGCCCAGGTCAGAAACAGAGGAGGTCAAAACTCCCGTGTTGATCAGTAATGAGATCAAACGTGTGACTGGCCATTGCACTCCAGGCTGGGCAACATAATGAGACCCCATTTCTCAAAGGAAAAAATATTTAATAATAAATAATATCATCCACTTCACAGTGTGGTTGTCTGTATTGAGTAGAAAATGTGAGTAGTCAATGCATGCTATTTACACCTGAATCTCATTGCTGTCACTTGTTAAAGTCTATCTTTCAACACTGTGATTATCACTGAACTGGTAAATGAGAGTCCTGGATTCACTGCAGGCACTTAAACTAGATTCCTCTATCTCTAACATAAAAACCATTGACTTCCCATTCAGATTTTGCCTTTCTCAGGAGCATTTTCCCAAGGCTACCCTAGAGTTGAAAGGTTGACCTAACACTCAGTTGCAGAGTCAAATAGCTTATGGCTGCGTTTTTTTCAGCTCTTGGATCTCATCCCCAGAGAAACAGAACCAAGCTGAGATCATGAGAATGAAAGAATGGGCTGTTTCTAAATACTCCATGCACATCTTGGCATTTTCAGAATTCCTTGCCTGTGGTGGGGGAAGGGGTATAGCTGCAGATTATGAAATTTAACAGGGTGTTGTTGTGCACAGGTTATTCTGATTTCCCATTCTTTTCTTTACTTAAATAGGGCAAGTTCACTACAGCAAGTGATGTGTGGGCCTTTGGGGTTACTTTGTGGGAGACTTTCACCTTTTGTCAAGAACAGCCCTATTCCCAGCTGTCAGATGAACAGGTTATTGAGAATACTGGAGAGTTCTTCCGAGACCAAGGGAGGCAGGTAAGAACTGTTGGGGATGAATGGATGTGGACCTGTGTACCTTGAAGGATGGAGAATGGCAAGTCCTGCCTTAGCAGGAGTGGGCCGAGATGGAAGACAGACTATCCAGGTGTTAGTCTTTGTCACTAACTATCCAGATGATGTGAAAGACCAGTATCCTCCCCAGGCATCCATACACTTTGCTTTATCTATGTGTCAACTCATTGACTCTTGGAGAGCATAAAGGGTCATGTCAGGTTTCTCCCCAGCTCAAAGGTAGCAGGAAACAAAGTCCTATCTCTCATGATTTATCTATTTCTTGATCTAGACCATGTGGTTTTTCTTCTGGGTCAAAAAATAAAAGTGTAAAAGGGATGTATTAGCATTCATTAAAAATATAGCTTAGTATAAGAAATGGGGTTGGTTTTGACTATCTAGCAATGTTTCTAGACTTGGATGTCTGAAAATGGGCAGATATATCCTAAACTTGTTGCTCTTGGAAGGCATCTCTGGGCCCAGTATTGTGACATCTCAGGACTCAGGGAAAGATGAGTTCCCAAGCTCCCCAGGAGTCTCAATTCCTAGCCAAGATACTCCAAGCTTTTTTTTGGGTGGCTTAGATTTAAAATTCCTGTGAGATCTGGAATTTAAAGCTTGCCAGTAACTACAGCACCGCACTTCCCCAAAGGGGCCTGGCAACAGCATACCCTTGGATTATGGTATCTTTACCAGGAAAAGGATAATAGCTGGGGGAAGGATCTTGCAGACAATAAAAAGTGGATCTTCTGTGGCTTGAACAGATCCAAGCAAGCCAAAGATAGATAAGGTATTGACAAGAGATAATACATTATGCATATTAAAAATAAGAGAGGGGTCTGAGAATTTAATTGTATCTTGATACTCTGTAAATATTTTGGCAGCAGGGAGTCTAAATTAGCTATCTTGGTTATGAGGCAATTTGCCTTCTTACTATAGTCAAAGGAAAATTTACTCCTGAGTACATGAGATAAGTGAGTGGGCCAAAGAAAAATGTTGTTTTCTGCCTCTGCCATGATCGGCTCAGCCAAGATGAACTTCAATATGGGTTGCCCATAAATGGAAGATTTGGTCTCTTTTTGGTTGTTTCATCTTTTGCATGAAGGTAGGGACCACATAATGGCCCATCAAAAAATTCTGCTGCAGACAACTGCAGAAGACAAATGGAACAGCTTAGAAAAGGGCTGATATGATTCAGAACTTTCACGAGTAGGAAAAATGGACACTACACCCATTTCAGTTATCAAGTTCAAGAAAGTGGGCAGGGGGCAAATCAAACCATGATGCAAAGATACTTCCCTTTCCCCCGTCTTTGTAATATTCTCTCTCTCTCTCTCTTTTGTTTTCCTTTATTTTTGTTCCCAAAGACTTACCTCCCTCAACCAGCCATTTGTCCTGACTCTGTGTATAAGCTGATGCTCAGCTGCTGGAGAAGAGATACGAAGAACCGTCCCTCATTCCAAGAAATCCACCTTCTGCTCCTTCAACAAGGCGACGAGTGATGCTGTCAGTGCCTGGCCATGTTCCTACGGCTCAGGTCCTCCCTACAAGACCTACCACTCACCCATGCCTATGCCACTCCATCTGGACATTTAATGAAACTGAGAGACAGAGGCTTGTTTGCTTTGCCCTCTTTTCCTGGTCACCCCCACTCCCTACCCCTGACTCATATACACTTTTTTTTTTTTTTACATTAAAGAACTAAAAAAGGAAAAAAAAAAGCCTAGGGCAGATACAATCTAGTAAAAGAAAATCTTTGATATACCAAAGTGTTGGATAACAAAGGCTAGAAAATTCAGATAATTTATAAAGGTTAACTATACTTGTGCTTATAAATGTGCAGATTCTACAATATTTTTCCATGTCATTCTAAAAGAATCTTCAGAAAGAAAAACTTGAAGAATACTAATGTCTTGGGAAACATGAGATTAAGTTTAGGGAAAACACTTGATAGATGTGGAGAATCTGAGGACTCAGAATTCAGCAACTAATCACAGGTGGTTTTCTAATTTGGCCTCTGGACATGTCTCACTGTTTGTATTTCTCTCTCCTGTCAAAGTGAATGATATATTCTTGAAAACCCCCAATTTCTTGAAATGGGTGTTCTGTTCATTCATGGGCAGGGGTCAGGATTGAAGTTCATATATGAAACAACTGGGGATGTAGATAGGAAAGAATGTCTGCTGCAAGAGTGTATGAAGGGGGATTGTCATTTACAAAAAAAAAGTACCTCATGGATGGAAGGATTCATGAATAGATAATGGACATAGGAAAGGAGGTCAATGGAGGACACATAACAGACATGCTATCCACCATTTATTTGTGATTTTGTAAGAGGGTTCTCTTCTTTGTCTTGTTCAGATATTTTCATGTGTGTGTTTTAGTGAGAATCTGAGTTTTTAATCAGTAAAGTCTGATGTTTTGATATCTTGATGTTTTGATGGTAGACTCTTGAGTTCATCTTGTCCAAATCTTCTAGCATTTTCAAGGATGAAGCCTCTGTGGGATCTTTGGGCTTGGGGCTGAATTTCTCAGGCATAAATACCTAATGGCCTTGTCTAAGAGGGAATAGATCTGTTCTGAGTGTCCCCAAAAAAGTTGTCCTAGGAACTGATGTGGAGAAGTTACAGGGAGACTGATTTCCATTCCTTATTGGGGAAAACGAAGCACTCAGAACATACAAGGATAAATGGGCTGCCACCAGAGGTGAGGAGTCTCTTGTCACTGGAGAGGTTAAGATAGAGGCTCAAGAACAATGCAAGGAAAATGGAGGTTTTCAAACACAAAGTGGATGGTGGTATGAGACAATGTTTAATGTCCTTCTAACTCCGAGAGTCCTTGATTCTGGAGAGGCACAGGATGAACATCTGTTGCTACTGCTGAGTATACACACTCTTGCCTCTGAGATGGCGTGACCAGCAGAAAAGAAAGCTCAGGGCTGTGGCTTCAGAATTCATGGAAACAGAGCCACTGTCAAGAAGGAATCTGCTCAGAGCAGATTCTGAGTTTTCACACTCCACAAATCCTCAGATTTAGTGGGAAGCTGGAAAAAGGAACTCTTAATTCCAATTGAGGAGAAACAAGAAAACATTACAAATCAGTTTCCCAAGCTGAGAAGGATTAGCCTTGACCCCTTGGGTCTGCCTCTGTTGCCCTCACCAGTTTACCTTCTACAACAGTTTCTCAGGAACATGTGTATTTCCCCATTCAGCTTTCAGCATTGCTCCACGCCACAGCATAAGCATAGATCCCAAGTCCACAGGCTCCATTTTGCAGGTCATCTTCTGATCCTAGCAAATGTCCTTTCCCCATAGTTGTCCTATGCCTTTGGGCTTTAGTCTATCCCAGGACTAACTGTGGAGAAATCATTGGTTTGAGAGTCAAGAGAGCATTGGTTTGGGAGCTTTAATCCTCTTTCTGCTTCACACTAAGTGTGTCATCTTGGCTAAATCACTTGGTCTTTCTGCATTTTGTTTTCTTATTTATAGGATGAGGAAATTAGATTAAATGGTTTTGAGGTCCTTTCTTGTTCTGATATGTCCAGTACTCACTGGAAAATTGGATCTATAACTGATGGGTTTAGTAATCTGGTCATTTCTTGCTCTGAAAATTGTAGTCAGCAAAAGAGATCATGGAAGAAATCACTGTAATGGTAGTAATAGTAACACATGCCATTTGTATTGTGCCTTAGGTTTACCAGGTGTTTCCAAATACATTAGCATATTTGATATGTGCAGGACTAGATACCTTGGGACCTGCCACACTCCACTTTCAAGATATGTATTAGCTTCATTAGAATTAAAGGGACTTGAACTCAGGACCTGCAGCCTATTCTTCTTTATCCACATGTCTCTGGTAGGGCTACATCCAGATCACACCATGACTTCTTATAGAGCAAGAGAAAATAATATTATTATATCTTCCTTTGCCTAAAATCTCTCCACTTATTCTTTTTTATGATTCTGCACCAGTTCACTGGGTTATTCTATGATTCCATATTTTTTTTAAAAAAAATCATATTTAAAATGAACTTACAATGTCTGAATTTTCCTGGCCTTGAGTCACAGAAGTAATATGTTTCAGATGGCTGCCCAATATGTATTATCATGTAATACATATCTGTGTCCTTTTCTGGGATGAGGAAGGCTTCAACTTCTGGCACTGAGAACTTTGTATTACAGACACAGGTTTAGTTTCTAGCTTAGTCATGCCTTTAGAGTTTAGTAGCACAAATCCATGCAACCCAACAGAATACATGGTGAGGGCCTAGTATGTAGAATTTGAAAGTAGTTCAAATTTGAATTAGAAGAATGAAGCTAGGACTTATTTGGAAAAGGAGATAGAAAAAAAATGATCAGAAACTGTGGGGCCTTATTACCTTTGCAGTAAGTTATCTTCTTCATGATATATGTGAATTATTTTATGTGCAGATTGTGTTTTGGGATTGTCAGATCTAAACTTATATTCTTGCTGGCTAATGTGCTGATAGCCAGGTCTGAAACTTGATGTGCTATCCAGACACATATGATCAGAAAAGATCTAGAGTGCAAAGAGGTGCCTGAGGAGCAAAATGTGGTTTTAATGTTGTGGAAAGATCACTTGCAAGTATATAAGACTGTATAAAGAAGAGGACTGTGTGCAAGTGGGGTGAAAAAAAAGGATACGTGAATGTGCATATGACTGAATAGGGAGGAAGGTCAGGGCTAGAAAGGAGGCTACATAAAAAGGGGCAATGGAGAATGCACAGGAAAGACACAGGGGAAGGTCAAGTCGAGCAAGGTAGAAACAGGAGTAGCTAGAGCCATTGGGAATCCATTTTGAAACAAGAAGGAGTTTTGAAAGGGAATAGGAAAGTAAGTGTCTTGAAGTAAAAGATAAATATGGATGGAGAAAGAAGAAATTCTGGATGATAGAGATGATAAAAATATTTATTAAGAAATGAAGTCAGGTTCAGTGTATGAAATGGAAAGGAATTTTTCAGAATTTTAAGAAAGGGGAAGTTCCTCTTGGAAAAGATATAGCAACCATCGGGGAATGACCTTTTCATTTCAGAAGTGGATGAGGAAGGTGGTGTGAGCATCAGGTATATTCTGGACCATTTCAAGTGCTGGTGAGAAGAAAGGAACTCTTTGCCTGAACTGGGCTTGGTTTTCCAAGTGCTGCTTTGGAAATGAAGACCCAGAGATGCAGAGCTTATGGTAGTTCATAAATCTTCATGTTCTATTATCTTTCATCTGCCAATAAAGTTCATTTTCAATAATGTCCACCATTGCTGTGCCCAGAATAACCACAGGCAAACATCAAAACAATACGCATAAGTTAGACAAGATTAAATCTTGTCTGATATCTGCACAAACAGATATGCACCATGTTGGAAACATGTGTTTTCCTAGTCCCATCCAGGCTTCCCACAAGAAAGCCATGATGTGGGTCTAAACCATATGTTTTGAGTAAAGGAGAATAGAAGAAGGGGAGTGTCCGCAAAATGGAAAGAGATGAAGATGTTCCAAGGAAGTATGCTGAAACAGAACAGTGAATGTTTTGCCCAAAACTACAAAAATAAAAGAAAAAAAGAAAATTGCAATACATGGCTACTAAGTCTTTGATCATAAGTCGAATTTATAGACCTGGAATTTGCCATCCTAGTCTTTCCTTTTTAGTAAGACTTCTGTCCTCTGGCAGTGCATATGGTAGGTCTCTAATGTTTCTTCATCTCCAGGAAGATGCAGATCCTTATTTTTGCTGGGAAATCCTTCTAAATAGAAATGTAACATTTTTATAAAAACAGATTAATGTGTTTTTCACTTAGTAAATGTTTTCAAGAGCTGAATTGAGAAGGAAAGAGACTGGAGTGGTTAATGGTGATTTGATTTCTGGCATTCTGAGTTTTCTGCTACAATTAGCTGCATTACTTGGTGCCAAAGAGCAGTGGGGAATTGTTGAGTTGCTGTATCCTTTAAAAAAAAACAAAAAACTTGTTATTTTGAAAGAACTTAAGGCTCACAAGATGTTACAAAAATAGTAGAGTGGCCTTACCCTAGATCCAGTTTTCCCCATTTATAACATTTCACTTAGTCCATTTTCGGAACCAGAAAATTAACATTGGCATAATGCTATTAACTAAACTACAGACCTTTTTTCAATTTCGCCAGTTTTTCCACACATATTCATTTAGTTGCTGGATACTTTTAATTCTTGCTGATTTGTAAACTGGCCTTGCTTGGATACAACAGGAAAGATACTATCTGGATAAAGTTCTACAGTTTTAGAGAGACTATTAACACATTAATGTGTTCCTTTGTCATGAGCAATACCCTGCCTACACTGCTTCTAAATTTTCTGATTTGTTTGGCTGTTTGGCATCTGAAACAATCCAAGACAAACTTAGAAAGATTAGGCAACACAAAACACAGTAAGACCTGTTCATAGCTTGTTGTCTAGAAAACCAGGTAGCAGGATATTCTAGATGCTTCCTGCTGCTTCTACGTGAGTAGGATTAGCACTGGGGACAAAATAAGGAGTTTAGAGTAAACCAGTATTTCAGTCAAGAGTTAGTTGGCACTTAGTTAATGGCACTGGAAATAGCTTGTGGAGAGAATAGAATACAATGGTATAGACTCCTAATGTTTGATAAAATACTATTTTCAGAGTGGTAGAGAGGTTTTATTTGCCTAAATAGCCGTTATTAAATGGAATAACAACCACATTAGACCAAATTAATTGCAAACACAGCGGCAACCTGGGGAGAAGTTGAAACTCCAGTTTTGTGGATTACAGTTTTGAGTTTTATGATTGACATTTTTAAGTCCCCTATTTAAGGGGTCAAGATTATAACAATGTGTGTCTTACTAAGTTTCTAGGTCATTGTGAGCACTTGATAAATATTTGCTGAATGTTGTTTTTTTGAATGAACATAAGATAGAAACAAAAACTTCTCATCCAGTTAACTAGAGTGAATGTAGGGAGAATTGTTTTGCTTGTAACATGGAGAGTTTATTTTCAAGTGAGGAAAGAGAAAAAAATTACTCAGACTTGTTCCTGGTGAAGTGCATTCTCTGTTTGTATACTTTTTGATGGAGAAATTGATCTATAGAACTGCTTAATTTTTTGAGGCATTTAGACAGCAATGAAAGGTAGTTCTCCACAGGACACCGAATCAAAAGGAGAGACCAGACTCTGGCCTCATACCCAGCCTATTTGAAACAAGCTATCTAGTTTCTCCTGCAGACACCTTGTCAACAACATGCAACAGTGTCAGGTGCCTTGCAGGAAAATAATCTGAGTCCCAAGCTAGCCTGTGCTCATCCACAATCACAATGAACATGTCAAGGAAGAATTTGCAGAGACTCAAGGGAAGCACAATGGGATAAGGTAATCACTTTCAGTGAAAAACTGTTTTCTTGAAAACAGGCTTGGACACAATTGAAAGCTGGCTTCCTGCAAACACACCAAGAGTCTGTAATCTAGCCTATCCATTATATGTCCTTTATTATTCATGATATCCTATTCTTCTACCTTGTTGCCTGGTAACTTTTTCTGAGGACTGAGTTTCTGCAGCGATGTGGTGCACTCTTCCTGTGATGAGGAAACATCTGGGCCCCCTTCTGCAGGCTTTGGAAGATGATGTGTCTTGTCAAGGGGTAAAGGGCAAATGGATTTAATTTCTGCTTAAAACTATCATAGACGTTCCAAATAGAATATGTAAAATTTCTCTGTATTAGAAAAAGAAACGTGATACCAATTGTATATTTTCTTTTCTTTATTTATTCTCTGTAAGTCTGTCAGATGATAAATTGTAAATAACAATGATTAAAGAGTCATGCTACTGATGGATCTCCCTTTCTGTATAAACAGTGCCAGTTCTGGGCTTTGTAACCTTTGCTCTTTATAGTCTTTCATTCCTGGGGAAGTGATGGGGCATGGGCCCAGAGCTGGGGTGTATGTGGTATGGACACCTGTTTGTGGGGCTTTCCAGCAAAGGATTATTTAAATAGACCTCTAACATATGAGTTGACTGTTTATTGGGAAGAAAGCATCTTGGTCTCTGACATATCCAAACATACGAGACACTGGGATTTTACGTCCTCACATTAATTAGTCCAGTTCTGGGGAATCCAGTCTAGAATTAACTGGTGATCCCTTATCGTTATGGTTACAGACTTGTCTTGTTTGATACACAGAAATCCTTTTTAAATCCAAATATAGTCTGTCTCAGACTACCTGCACATGCACAAACCAAAAAAAACTATGAAAACCAGAATTTAGACTCAGTCATTATACTAGAGATTAGAATGAAACGACCCCAAACAACCCATTTCTTACCTGGTCTCTGAGAATAAGTTTATACTTTTAGTTTTCTGAGAATATTTCTCAGAATATGTGAGTTTTCTGAGCACATTTTTCAGCATGGGGTATGGTAGATAAATCACAGGGCCAAGGTTTGGCAGGGATAGATGGGATCATTGTGTACCCTATTGTTCTTCTGATTTCCAGGAGAACAGAATGAGCCCATGCAAAACATAAACTTATGATGATTAAAAAAAACACACCTATCCATTCACTCATCAATAAAAACATATTATGATGGTTATCAAGCTGTGTCCTATGAGTGATAAAATATTTGTAAAATATAAAATTAAATGGCATCTATTTTGAACTCTATTCTAGTCTCTCTGAGCACCTCTAGCAGTTCAGCCCATCTTTCAAAAGTCATAACACCTTGAAAGCAGCAACTTTAGTGCAGAAAAAGGAAGAAGAGAGCAGTTTCATCACTTGGCTTGAATGAAAATCTTGGGGAAAGGAGAGACAGACGGTCTTGCTCTGAAGCTGTCTGGACTTCACTTAATTCAGTCTGTCTTAGGCTGGCGGTCATCCCGAGACTGCGGTAATGCTGAGCCTCCACAGCCCAGGCCCTCTCCCTTCTTTATAGAAATGATTTTTTTATGGGACAGCCACACAACCAGGTCTTCTTCTTATTCCTTATCACCTCTGAGCTCTAGAACATTTTAAAATGAGTCTTTGGGTCTAGACTCTCACAATTAGGCTTAATTTTACTCCATGACTTTCAGAAAATGTTGTTAAATTGTGGTCTCT
Organism: Homo sapiens; assembly: GCF_000001405.40. Classification (NCBI taxonomy): domain Eukaryota; kingdom Metazoa; phylum Chordata; class Mammalia; order Primates; family Hominidae; genus Homo; species Homo sapiens. The sequence continues at coordinate 162,787,838 of NC_000001.11, forward strand.
TTAGAACAGTTGAAAGTGGGATAAGCGTAGGAGCTGAGTTCCACCCCCATGATAAAGAAATTTTATTGGCCGGGCGCGGTGGCTCATGCCGGTAATCCCAACACTTTGGGAGGCCGAGGCAGGCAGATCACTTGAGCTCAGGAGTTCAAGACCAGCCTGGCCAACACGATGAAACCCCACCTCTACTAAAAAAAAAAAAAAAATATATATATATATATATATATACACATACATATATACACACACAAAAATTAGCTGAGTGTGGTGGTGTGTGCCTGTAGTCCCAGCTACTCGGGAGGCTGAGGCAGGAGAATTGCTTGAACCCGGGAGGCGGAGGTTACAGTGAGCCGAGATTGCGCCACTGCACTGCAGCCTGCTGACAGAGTGAGACTCTGTCTAAAAAAAAAAAAAAAAAAAAAAAATTTTATTTAGGAATCTAATGTTCTAATAACCAGATTTGTTCTTTCAATCTAATTTTATTGATATAGGATAAATGATTACTAAGTAAGTTGGTATCATTAATCAAAACCTCTAGAATCAAAAGCCAATATAAATTATCTCAGTGTTTTATGGATCATTGCTGTTCATAAATAATTAAAACACTGAAAGAGGCCATTAAATAAAGTATGTTCAGTAGCGTTTGATGTATGATACACAGTTTTATTCTGCATGAGCTGGGGCTAGTGATGGTCCCATTACCAGTCTACTACAAATACAGAAACCTAGAGTAAGCATTAGAAACCTTTATAGCAGTTTTGTCACTGGAAGGAGGGCCTTGAGTGTGAGTCGTCCAGGTTTTTGGCCATTTGGAACGAAAAGTTGGACAAAATGCACAAAGTAACAAAGGAATGAAGCTGCGAAAGCAAAAGCAGGGATTTATTAAACTGAGAAAGCACTCCACAGGGTGGGAGTGGGCCTGAGCAAGTGGCTCAAGGGCCCAGTTACAAAGTTTTCTGGGTTTTAAGTAGTTCTTTTGAGGTCCCTATGGGCTACCCCTTATCTGGATGAAGGATTTGGTTTATGGCTAAGTAAAGGCTGAGGTGAATTTGTGCCCTATGCAGATGATGGCATGGCCCATGCTTAGTGCTTGGCCCACAGCCAATCCAAGGCACTTTCCCTTTCCATCTGAGACATGGTGGAAGTGTGGCAGGCCAGGTCTCACTAACAACTGTTTCAGTACTAAGTGGTTAAATATTAAAAGCCAGTGCCCTTATACAAAGGCTGGGATGTAACAAAAGCCCATCAAGAATTTTGCCTAGGCCTTTCCTGGGCCTCTTAAAGCATACAAAATAAAGAAAGAATTCTTAACCGGACCCCTTTAGGATTAAACAAGTTTTATTGTGGTCTGAAGAAACTCCCCAGGCCTCCACAAACAAGTTTATTGGGGGGTCTAAGAGAACTCCTCAAACCTCCACCACTTAGCAGGAGAGAATACAAGGGCAATCACCCCAGCACCTGGACCCATTTAGGTTAAGTAAATTTACTGAGGCTCCAGAGGAAGGTTTTCAGGACTCAGACCTTAGTTACAGATTAAAAGAAGTTAATCACTTATGTCTTTAGATAAATGCACACTTACACATAGACAGTTCGCTTAGAAGGCATATAAGCTCTGAAAAACTGTAATTTTGAGTTGGTCTGGTGATAATTTCCAGGCCTTCTCCCTGCAACCGGTTACAGAAATAAAAACTCTCTTCCTCCCCAGCTCATCTGCATCTCGTTATTGGGCCTTGAAAAATAGCAGCCCAACCCTCAGTTTGGTCTGAGAACAGAAGGTTGTAGGGAGAGTAGCCTTTGATCCTTTGCTACTGGGGAGTGGGGAGATGGGGTTTTTCCTTCTGGTTTAGCTTTAGGAAGTTGGTGTTAATTGACCCTAGGCTCTCGGCCCCCAGACCCAGGTGTTTTCCTTTTGATCCAGCTTTGGGAAGCCAGCACCAATTGGTCTCAGATTCCCTACTTCCAGCCCTTGCTGTTTTTCCTTGATTGAGCTTTAGGAAGTCAGCACGAAGTGGCCTTAAGTACCCTGCCTCCAAACCCTATTCTGCCTCATTTTGGCAGAGTACTTTTATATGTCTTGGATCTAATAATAAAATATCGGGGCTTGTGTTTTGTATGCCTTTTGCTTTTCTTTTTCTAGCACTTTATTTTTTTGTATTTTCTAAAAGCACCCATCTGGGATGGCTTGGAGACAAAAACAGGTCCTTTAGCACAGTTTGAGATGCACTGATACAGAAGGTTACAGCACATTCTCAGTACTTCGGAGAATGAAGTTCTGAGATTCTGATTCCACGCCACATTCCAAGTTTTGAATACTGGTAATTTACGTCTGATTCTACATAAAGTTCTTAATAAAATCAGTGCTCATTTTCTCAAATAAGCTTCTTTAGAGGAGGAGGTCTGGGATCAAAAGTTGGGCTGTGAAGTGGCACAATGCCTGGATCTGTACATCCAAAAAGGAGTGGAAAATTAGATGATAATCGCCCAACTTTGGCTCCTAGACCCAAACCTTTTCTCTAAAATGGGCACTGGTGCAAATACCGTGAGGCCTTCCTGCAAAGAAGTGCCAATCTCAGGCGCCAGGGCACAGACCCAGTGCGTGTCACAGATCCTGTCCTGAGTGCTAGGCCGGGTGACGCCCCCACCAGGATTAAAGATCAGGCGCCCGCTGAGCCCTAGGAAGCAGTGACAGACACCTGCGCCTAGGCGGAGCGAGAAGAGCCTGGAATGGCTCCGGGCTTTGCGTCACGCAGCTCCGCCCCTCGGCCTATCTCACCCGACGCCGTCTCCGAGGGCAGGGAACGGTTGGCGGACTGAGATTGGAGGGATCAGCTCAGACTCGATGACGCAACGGGAGGCGGGGCGTGGCCGTACTCTGATTGGTGACGGGTGAGGCGGCCCGAAATCGTAGGACTTCCGAAAGCAGCGGCGGTGTTTGCTTCACTGCTTGGAAGTGTGAGTGCGCGAAGATGCGAAAGGTGGTTTTGATCACCGGGGCTAGCAGGTGAGGCCTCCTTTGGGTTGGCAGAGGCGGCAGCGGATCAGGGGTCCGAGAGAGCAGGGGTCTGCGACCCTCCACGAACGGACCCCGGAAGCGCCCGCCCCTGGCTTTGCCTAGGTTCCCCGGAGTCTGCAGCAGGTGTGGGGCATGTCGGCCTCTTGAGGTGCTCAGTAACTGGTGCTTTGTATTAAACATGACAGTGAAAAGGAAAACTAGAGCATCAGTAAGTGATGAGTGTCGCAGTGATGATCCTGAGGTTATCAAGGCAATGGGGTACTCAGGCGGGCTCCGCCCCTTTTCCATCTTTGCCTACTGTTCGTATTTATCGTCAGTGCCCAATATTTTGCTCCTGACCACGTGATCATGTCTTATACTCCAGGTGTTTTGTCTGTACAAGCCTTTTGCCTACAAATTTGAACACCCATGAACATTAGGACGGTGGAGAGAAAACAATCCCGTTTCATTTAGCTCAGTGCTAGAGAGCTAACATACTCTTCAGAAACCCAGAGAAAATTAATCTTTTCCTATGAAGGCATGGTTGGGGTGCAGAATAACCAGCTCATAATAATTCCAGGGTTGCTCGTTTAGTCTCTCAGCCTCTTCTGTTGCTTGTTTTACCTGTCATTTGCACTTCTGTGAAAAATGTGTGGAGGATGAAGCCAATCAAACCATTTTTCTACTAGTTGCATTTGGCATTTTTAAATGATTAAGACAGAGGACATGTTAAACATTTAAGATTGATCCACTTTCAATTATTTAACCACATGCGTATTAACTAAGCCAGCTTGGTAGGTGTCTGCATTTGGCAACTTTTTAGCATACCCTCTCAAGTGACTTTAACCGTTGATTGGTGCTTCTTATGTGGAAGGTACTGAGTAAGTCAGAATTGATTTTGTCTGTTTCTTTTACATATATTGTGACATGTGCAATTGTATATTAAATGCCTACTGTTCTCATGTGAGGACAAATAAATATTTTTGATGCTTTGTTGTTGGTGCTAATAGATTACTGATGGTTCCAGGCTCTTTTTGGGTTTTAACTATTAACATATTTGCCTGGAATCAGCTTAAGTCTTGAAAGAGAACTTATTACCCAGCTTTTCATTGCTATCAGCCAGGCTGGTCTGACTGCTGTCACCACTCCTATGCGGTTTTACAATGCTGGTTTTGAAGTTCTTTGTTTCCAAGTGGTGTACTCATCTAATATTTAGTGTATTCCTACCTTCTACTTAATCATGTTGAGTTCTTTCTTTTTCTATTATTTAATCATAGTTGTTGAGAGGGATTTGTACATCCTGCCATGTTACTGATGCCTCATCCTGAAAGATTCATCTGTTCCTTTATCAGAGATTTCTGGTGCTCCTTATGGTGTTTACGATACCAGTAGGTGGTAGAGCCCTTGCCCCTGAGGAGCCTAGACAGCAAAGTCAAAATGCACATAGGAAACAGCTAATAAGATGCTCTTTTGAGCCCTTACTGGTGATATATTAAATCATTTTCATGAGTGACATAATAGGTACAAAATGAAAACCACTGGCAGGATAAAGCCCAGTAGTAGAAAAACTAAAGAACAATTCTTGTTTTCAGTCCAGTTATTTTGTCATTGAAGTTTTTCAAAATGAGAAAAACACAAACTAGGCTGTGTCTCAAGCAAGTGACTATTGGAGTGTAGGATTCCTCCCTTCTTAAATAATTGTTGAGTCTTTTCTTTCTATCTGGGCTTCTCATTGGAGGTCAACTTGACACAGTTTTCTGAACCAGAGAGAAATGCCTGTACCTGATGCCATCCCAGATAACCCACATCTTGTGTCTGAATTGTCCTCCCAGTGGCATTGGCCTGGCCCTCTGCAAGCGGCTGCTGGCGGAAGATGATGAGCTTCATCTGTGTTTGGCGTGCAGGAACATGAGCAAGGCAGAAGCTGTCTGTGCTGCTCTGCTGGCCTCTCACCCCACTGCTGAGGTCACCATTGTCCAGGTGGATGTCAGCAACCTGCAGTCGGTCTTCCGGGCCTCCAAGGAACTTAAGCAAAGGTATATCTCTTGCTGATGGATTTTTTTTCTCATGTGATTGTGCAGCATAACACTTAATAAAATAAGAGAGGAAAGAAAAACCTGAAAAGAAACAGGTGCGGTGTAAGCAGTTATGTTGAGGAAGTCTGTATAGGGTGACCCATTGTGTCTCAGTACCACGTTTTCTTTCTTTTTTTTTTTTTTTTTAAAGAGATGGAGTCTTGCTCTGTTGCCCAGGCTGGAGTGCAATGGCGTGATCTCGGCTCACTTCAACCTCCACCTCCTGGGTTCCAAGTGATTCTCCTGCCTCCACCTCCTGAGTAGCTGGGATTACAGACATGCGCCACCATGCCTGGTTAATTTTTGTATTTTTAGTAGAGACGGGGTTTTACCATGTTGGTCAGGCTGGTTTCGAACCCCTGACCTCGTGATCCACCCGCCTCGGCCTCCCAAAGTGCTGGGATTACAGGCGTGAGCCATTGCGCCTGGCCAGTACCACATTTTCAGTCTCAATCATGATCATAATTATTTCATGGAGACTAATTTATGAGTACATCCTGATGTGTGATCAGTTGGTACTGGGATTACAGGCGTGAGCCATTGCGCCCAGCCAGTACCACATTTTCAGTCTCAGTCATGATCATAATTATTTCATGGAGACTAAGTTATGAGTACATCCTGATATGTGATCGATCAGTTGGTGCTGGGATTACAGGTGTGAACCATTGCACTTGGCCAGTACCACATTTTCAATCTCAATCATGATCATAATTATTTCATGGAGACTAATTTGTAAGTACATCCTGATGTGTGATCAGTTGCACTGCCTTACGTTAAGGTAACTCCTTTGACATTTGAATTCATTTTTTACATCTTTCTTCACATAATGAATTCATTAAGTAGATAAGGCAAGTAGTGAGTGACATTTAACAAGTGAAGAAACTGAGACACAGAAATAAGGGTAATATGCCTGGGAAGGTCATCCAATCTTATATTAGTTGGGTGGGTCCAAGACCCCAGGGCTTCTCCCTGCTTCCTAAGGGGTATTTTTTTTCCCTAGGCCAGTAAAGATTTGTTCACACCTTCACAGTAATTGGCATGTAATAGACATTTGATCAATAGTTGGTATATGAAGGAATAGAGTCCTCAGATGTATAACTCCCCTGAAAGTGAACACAAAATTGCATGTAGGTGCACAATGCATTTTTCTGAGCAGAGAGGGCTTTTTATTTATTTATTTGTTTTTAAATTGTAAGAGGAATTTATGATGAAAAAAGTCCAAGAACCCTGCACTAGTCTATGCTGCCCTAGGGCTATCTGGAATAATTAATTTTCAAATATTGAGGCACTTAAGAGACAAAGAACTACCTTGTTTCCTTGGACAGTAGAATGAAATGGGTAGAAACAAGGAAGGCTTTCTTGATGAAGATGTTTGCTGAATAAAAATACTTCACATTTTATGTGAATTGATAATCATTTGCATTTGCCTGTTCCAAATGCACAAGTTACAAAGTGAAAGCTAGTTTTCTTCACTCCAGCTCTTCTCAGTGTGGCCTTAGTCCTTTGTAAATGTGGTTTCTCTCTCCAGTACTGCTGAGCTATTAGAGTTTTCTACCGCATCTTAAAGAAAAAAAAACAAAAAACCTGAGATTTTCTAGGTTCTGTTTTCACATAAATTTTGATATATTCCATATCCCCTACTCCTCCATAACTTAAGCATCTCCAGGGCTGTGAAACTGTATACTGAATGTCCTTATGGAGATAAAAACCATGAAGTTGAGAGAAGTTATGAGTTTTAAATCATGTTTACAGGCATTCTTTTCCCAAACTTTCTTAGCCAGCTGGCTTCTTACCTGCTTTGTTTAGATTTTGTTATATTTTCTTATTTGGAAGAAAAGAACCTTCATTTCCCAGTTAATAATATCCCATTCCGATGCAGTTTACTTTTGAGACCCAAAGTTTTAACATTTATAGTACTGACTATTCCCAAATGCCTTCAAAGGTTCAAGATATTCGGTACTTTATCGCGAGTTCAGTAATTTAGTATTTCGTAAGATATTTAGCAACTTAGCACAGATTCAAGGCAGTGAGGCTGTGGGGCAGAAGGGAGCACTTCAGGTGATAAGTGAGTTGTCCCAGGTACCTGTCATCAGCATTTTAGTGAAGTTTTGAGGTATTTAGTCCGCAAAACAGCCTTTTTTTTGAGATGGTTGGTGTCAATTCAAGTTTAGGAAATGAATGGTTATAGTGATATTCACAAGTTTGGAATATATGAAAGTGTCCAGATAGATTCTTACTTATGTCAAGAAACTACACCCAGTGGCTCAAATGGATCTCTTCAGTTCTAAGTCTGAAATAAACTAGAGCTAAAGAGAGCTTGAGAATCCCTTCTAATGGCTCAAGTAGCACCATCCCTGACACCTGGTCTTTCCATCTGTAGCATTCTCTTCTATTAGATAGTGCAGATGAAAACTAGTAAGAAATAGTGATGCTGTTTTATCCATATTAGAGCAATGTATCAATTATTTTATTGATGAGTGGTATGTCATTTTACTGAAGCCAGAGCTTAATTTGATGTCTTTACTAAACATTTCCTCTCCGTTCCTAGCCAAATATGTTAATATTCATAGATAAAAGTTGGCAAATAAGGTAATAGAACAAGCAACAATGGATGAACTCACACTATCTTTGTGGCACTTACATGATGAACTGATGGTAATAATATCAGCATTTTAAATGGTCAATTTAATAATTTGAGTCATTTGTCAATTATTTATAGGATGATCAAGAAATGGTTGTATGTGATCTGTGTTGAAGACCATGTATGTATTTCAGGGTCCTAAGTTTAGAAGCTATGACTCTTAATATCTTGGGTTATTCAGAGACAGTTTGGTACATAGAACTCTAGGAGATATTCTGAATATTTATGGTGTCTGTGAGTATCATGAGAGCAGGCTTTACCTGCCTTGAACCTAGTTCAAAATGAGTACATTTAAACCTATGTAAGTCTTAGATGAAGAGTCTTAGATGAAGACTTACATAGGTTTAAAACTGAAAATGCTTTTTCAACTCAGCATTTCATATCCCTTCCGTGACAAGTATTCAGGGGGGAGCCCAACAAGATTACCTTACCCCCATTTATCTTTTATAATCTCAGTGTATTCTTACGAACTTTCATCATTTTAGGATACATAGGACTTGTCCATGAACACTGAAAGGTTTCCACATGGATCTTCTGTTTTATTATATATTTTGGCATTCAGATTTCAGCATTAATAGATCAGGTCAGGTGAATATCAATAGTATATAAATTTTACTTGTCAACCAGAGGAGATGTGGATTTTTTTTTTAAAGCAAGACACTTTGTAAGACGAGGAGAGTGGGTTTAAGAGATAGAGGGTTGCTGCAATTCCTTATTGAGAGGACAGAGCTGGAAGGAATTATTGATCAGAGGTTTTACTTAAAGCCCACGATGACTCCACAGATTCTGTTTGAAGCCACTACCAAAGAAAGAATTCTCAAATGTTTACTGTAGCTAAAGAAAAACTGTTGAGAAAGAAATGCTGTAACTCTAATGTGCTATAAATTCTTCTGAACTTGCTGTGGCTAATATATTAATTTAAAAAGTATTTTTTGTCTTTCTTAGGCCTCCTTGATTCTAGTCACTCTAGAGATAGAATACACAATCTTGTCCTGATGTTTTTACTTGCAACTCACAATCTTGTTTGGTGGTTTACTTGCAGGTTTCAGAGATTAGACTGTATATATCTAAATGCTGGGATCATGCCTAATCCACAACTAAATATCAAAGCACTTTTCTTTGGCCTCTTTTCAAGGTAATTTTCGTTTTATGGATGAACTGATTGGAAGGAATGTGTTCATTTTTCTGCCTAGTTTTGATGGCATGTTAAGTTGGGGGGATGAAAGGTAAGGGGTTGTTGAAAAGGTTGAAGACAGAAAAAGGAGATGTCGCAACCATATCATGAAAGAAAAGCAATCCTCTTTTGTGGGGAGTGCTGAAAGTCCCGTTTTTTATGGTATTCTAAGTCTCCAGGACATTCTAAATGGTTTAGAAGGTCATTTTTTGGTCTGCCTGGATATGCCTATTAGCAAGAACATTTTGAAATTAGGCAGAGTTCTCAGAGAGTCTCCAATTTCCAGGAAAGTTACTTTGAACTGTTTCCCAGCTGTATGTCAGGTGCTCTGACCAGTAGGTTGGGGAAATGCAGACAACTAATGTTTCCTGGGAGATTCTCGTTACTCATTAGTGTAGTGGCTTTCAAAAATGTTGAAACACAACCAGGAGAATTCTTATTTATAGGAATAGATCTTACTTTGTGACCCAATACACTTATTCATAAATAGGCATTCTTACTATGTGCTGCTTACTATACCAATGCTTTTGCTTTACTTCTTTTCCATTAAAAGACAGACACACACACACACTCTCACACTCTCTCTGTCTCTCTCTCCCCGCATTGATTTTGACCTACTAAATTGACCTCCCAGCAGAACACTATATTAATACGTTTGAAGTATTCCCAGTTAAAAAAACAATCTGTTTAACTCTTTTTTTTGACAGTTAAACATACTTTGTGCACAGGAAAACTTTTTTTCCCTTTGGCATAGCTTATTATTCCTTTAGAACAGTTTACCTGTAACCTGATTGGGAAAGAGGTGAAGAGAATTTTAGCAGCAGGTTTTTGAGAGACTCAAGTTCCTATTGGTAGCGTGAGCTATAAGTATGTAAGTATTTCTGTGAATTAGTGGGGGGAAGGAGGGTCTTTGGCATTTCATTTAATACAATAACCCAGTCTGAGAAATAGGTATTTTTATTCCTGTCATTATAGAATCAAGGGAGGTGTAGTTTATGGGTCGGGGGGATGGGTTGGAAAGTGTTTTCAGTATTTCCAGTTAAAGAAGCTTTAAAAAGTCATGCAATTATCTTCTGCTGTTTCAGAAAAGTGATTCATATGTTCTCCACAGCTGAAGGCCTGCTGACCCAGGGTGATAAGATCACTGCTGATGGACTTCAGGAGGTGTTTGAGACCAATGTCTTTGGCCATTTTATCCTGGTAAAGAAGCTGTGGGCTTAATAAGCTAATATTTCGTGTGATAGTTTCTGTAAAGCTCTGGGCACAGGGCATTATTATAGTTGAGCAGCCAGTTAACTGATTTAATCTCATGTTTGAGTTTTCTTGATTGCATTTGCCTTGTTTATTGTGAGCATGGAATACTTCTGGAAGCTTTCCTAGTAGATTTTTCTTTAATAAATGTACTAATAGTTTTTGATTTACAGAATTACTGCAAAGATAGTACAGAGACTTTCTGTATGCCCTACACCCAGTTTCCCCATTATTAACATTTCGCATTGGTATGATGCATTTGTCAAAATAGATGAATCAATTCTGCTACATTATTATTAACTAAAGTACACACTTTATTCAGGTTCTGTTTTTGCCTAATGTCTTTTTTCAGTTCTAGGATCCCATTCAAGATACTACATTACATTTAGCAGTCATGTCTCCTTAGGCTCTTCTTGGTTGTGACAGCTTCTCAGACTTTCCTTGTTTTTGATGACCTTGACAGTTTTGAGGAGTACTGCTTAGGTGTTTTGTAGACTCTCTCAATCGGGATTTGTCTGATGTTTTTCTCATGGTGAGACTGAAGAATGTGGTTTTTGGGAGGAAGGCCACAGAGGTAAAGTGACATTCTCATGACATCATATCAAGGGTGTATGCTATCAGTATGACTTCTCAGTGTTGATATTAACCTTGATCACCTGGCTTGAGGTCATGTTTGTCAGGTTTTTCCATTGTTAAGTTACTTTTTCTTTCTCCCTTTTCATACTCTACTTTTTGAAAGAAAGTTGGGCCGGGCACGGTGGCTCCTGCCTCTAATCCCAGCACTTTGGGAGGCCAAGGCGGGCAGATTACCTGAGGTCGGGAGTTTGAGATCAGCCTGACCAACATGGAGAAACCCCATCTCTATCAAAAAACAAAATTAGCCGAGTGTGGTGACGCATGCCTGTAATCCCAGCTGCTTGGGAGGCTGAGGCAGAAGAATCGCTTGAACCCGGGAAGCGGAAGTTGTGGTGAGCCGAGGTCATGCCATTGGACTCCAGCCTGGGCAACAACAGTGAAACTCCGTCTCAAAAAAAAAAAAAAAAGAGAAAAAGAAAGAAAGTTACTATGTGCAGCCAATGCATACTGGCTAGTGCTCTACCTCCTTAAGAGTGGGTTATCTACAGAAATTATTTGGATTTTTTCCACAAGGGAGATTGTCAGTTCTCCTTTATTTATGTCTTTAATTCAGTCGTTTATTATATCCATATGGACTCATGTTTATGTATTTTCTGCTTTGAAATTATAAATACTATTTTATTTTCCTGCTCAAATTTTTTCAGTTTTGGCCACTGGGAACGCTTTCAGTTGGCTCCTGTATCTCTTTGGCACACCCCCATTGTTATGGTTTTCTCTTTTTGTTTTAGCTTTCGTTTTGAGCAGTTTCTTACTATCTGGCACTACAAGATCCTTCAGACTCATCTTGTGTATTTCCTTGTTCAGTCCTAGAATCAGCTACTTTTCTAAAGCCATATGTTTTCTTTTATCAGAGAATGGTTATTAGAAACCAAGATCTGGGTGCTTATTGCTGCTGAGATATCAGTGTCTTCTAAACCCTCTCTGCTGATAGACTAAGAGATATATATGTACATACTAACTCATGTATGTATACATATCTATAAATATTTTTCTGTGTAACTAATTCATGTCTCTTTTAGATAACTAGTTAATACTGATGTCTCTGACCCTAATCTCTTACCATACAGTACAGTGGTTTCAAAATTTTTATCTGTATTCTGTCAGTATATTTTAATACTTTTTTTTTTTCTTTCACCCAGATTCGGGAACTGGAGCCTCTCCTCTGTCACAGTGACAATCCATCTCAGCTCATCTGGACATCATCTCGCAGTGCAAGGAAATCTAATTTCAGCCTCGAGGACTTCCAGCACAGCAAAGGCAAGGAACCCTACAGCTCTTCCAAATATGCCACTGACCTTTTGAGTGTGGCTTTGAACAGGAACTTCAACCAGCAGGTAAGGCCTGTCTCAGTGATACGGAAATGGCAGAGGAGGGTTCTCTTAATTACCTGCTGTTGATTTCCTAATAAGGTAGCTGGCTTTCCACTAACTCTTATAGTTTAGATTGATATTTGGTGTATATGAAAGTGTTAGGGCAGAGATAATTGGCTCCTGACATTATAGTTATAGGTAGTTCATTCTGTGGTTCTTCAGGAATTCTAACTTATGTTAACAGAGTGACACTACTAAAAGTGATAATAGCTACTGTGTTGGTACTTGCTGTGTTTCAGGTGCTGTATTCGTCTGTGTATGTCATTAAATACCTGCCTCATTACATGGAGGTGGGTCTAAGTATTACCATTTTCAGATGAGGACACTAAATCTCGGAGAACTTAAGTCATTTACCTGATGGTCACACAACTTGTAAATGGTAGAGCTCAGAATTGAGCCCGAGGCTGTCTTGACTTTATAGCTTGGACTTTTCCCACTGTACCATGCTGCCGCCTAGTGTTTGTCATAGCAGACGTTTATAGGACAGTCAAGTAGTTATGAAACCTTCTGGATAGTGGTGGTTTTAGGTAAGACTCCAGAGCTCTGTCTCTATGAGGATCTCAGTTTATGGGATGTTTTTCAGGGGATGGTGACCCTTGTTGGTCATACTGAGTCCTTGTTGCCACTATGGTCTGCACCTTACTGCTTCTTTGTATGTCTCTGTTGCCCAGGTCTAAATTCTTACCTGGAAATCTCCAGTCTTCGCCTTGGACATTTTCTTTTGTTTGCTTTGATTGACAGTGTTCTATGAGTATGGGGCTATGGAGAAGTTTAATTTCACTAACATTTACAAAAGACCTATCATGTTTAGGGCACTGGGCCAGGTTTAGGGTTGAGGAGGAAAGTGAAATAAGATGATGATCAAGAATTATGTTTTACCTCAACGGAGCTTCTTGGATCATGAATTAGACATAGAAATATAACTCTTATGTGATGGTCTAGACCTGGCTTATTCTGGAATTGCTACCTTTATCAGGTGGTATTCTGTGTTCTGGCTCTTAGAATGATGCCCCCCTTTTTTTTTGAGACAGAGTCTCATTCTGTTGCCCAGGCTGGAGTGCGGTGGCACAATCATGGCTCACTGCAACCTCTATCTTCTGAATTCAAGTGATTCTTGTACCTCAGCTTCTCAAGTAGCTGGGATTACAGGGATGTGCCACCACACCCAATTTTTGTGTTTTTAGTAGAGACAGGGTTTTACTATGTTGGCCAAGCTGGTCTCGAACTCCTGACCTCAGGTATCTGCCTGCCTCAGCCTCCCAAAATGCTGGGATTACAGCACTTGCGCCCAGCCTGAATCATGCCTCTTATAAAGTTGAAGCTAAGAGCATACTTTCGGGAACTGAATTTGAATCCTGACTCTTTGTAACCCTAGGCATATTATTTAATCTCCCTATGCCTCAGTTTCCTCATCTGAAAAATAGGGATAGTAATAGTGCCTGCCTCACAGATTTATTGGGAAGATTGACTGAGGGGGATCTGTATGAAGCACTCACAGCAGTGTTTTGTATTCAGAATGTGAGTTTGTGTGTGCATGTGTCTGTACAAATATGTACATGTGGATATACATGAGTGTGGGTATGTATTTGTGTGCCTACCCATGTGTAGCATGTTCATATGTACATGTACGGGTTTTATGGGTGTGTGCACATGTGTTTGTGAATGTACTTTTTGGGTGTGTGCATGTGTGTAGGTGTCAGTGCATGTGGGCTGCACATGCGTGTACATGTTCTTGTATTGGCTGTTAATATTGCAGGTTGGACTCAGCATGTTGGCCCAATTGTGCACCTCCTTCTGAAGTTTCTTGAGATGTTTAAAAACTTGTCACAACTGCTTCCTGATACTCTGAGAACTCCCTTTTAGAGGGATTAGCTTTTCCTTTCATAAAAAGGTCTGGGATTCTATTTAAGTCTCAATTATCAAGTGAGCTTTGGGATTTTATCTTTTACGAAGGAGGGAGATTTAGCTATTGCTTGTAAAATCTGTTGAGATTGGTTCTCAGCCAATGACTTTTTCTTCTTGGCCTTTATGAGGAAAGAAGCAGCTGAGAAAGAATAACATTACAGGATTCCTTTTGAAGCCCTGTGTTACTGGAAATGTTGTCAGGTTCTATATAGACTGCCTGATAGACTTTAATTATCCATGCATGCTCCCCCACTCAAGCTGTAGAGAAATACTCAGGATCATCACAATTTAATCCCTATAATTAAACAAATGGAAGGATACAGTCTTGGTTAAGATTGTCTTCTTCTTTCTTTTTTGTTTATCTCTCAACATCAGAAAATTGTATATGTTGGAAACGCTGGATTTTAGTTTGAAGATTTCTTCGTTTAGGACAGAATAGTCCCCAAGTGATCCTAGGAAGCTCCTAGAATAAGAACTTTTCCTTAGCTGTTTTAGGGGCAGAGCACATTGTTTTCTTAGGAAAAACTTTTGGACTATCATGAGGATAAGTCTTAGCTCTTGACTTTTTTCTAGAGGATTGTTGGTAAATCAAGGGGATTCTCAGGGATGGTTGATCCATGTCAGGCAGTGCCAAGCCTCTGCAGTACCAAATAAAGGATGAAAAGCCTCCAGGTTCTGTTGCTTAGGGTGCTGTCTGTCCATTGAACTGTCTGTTAAACTGGCACTTCCTATTTTTTTATTTAAAAGAAAAAATGAGTTTAAAAATGATAAAAATGAGTTAAAATAGTCAATATCAAAATAAAGTAAAATGTATAGTATAAATTAAACTAAATAAAATAGTAAAACAAATCCCAATAAGAGGCATGATCCCAGGGCTCCAGGACTTAACTGTAGATCACATAGGACCCTTTGTATTAACATAAGCTCTGTGTTAATTGGGGCTCTCTTTGTAGGGTGGAACTTTCTAAAATGAGTTCTAGGCTAAGGACCTGATTGAGAGATCTTCAGTTGGAGAAAGTTTTGTGATAGCACATACAGCCTAATGCCGGGAGCACCCCCCTCAAGCTAGAGGTATGGGTCTTATGTACTTGCAGGGAAACAGACACATACTTTAGGTTTAGCTGTCTATTTATTAGGCCAGAAACTTCTTGAAGGCAAGGACTGTACTCCATACATCTTTTAATCTTAAATGCTCATTATGATTAAAAAGCTGATCTTCAGTTAAGCCAATAATAGGAAAAACTCAGATAACCAGGCCCTGCTTTTCTCCCCCAGCGTTAAGATTGGTTATTTTTTATACTGCAAGGTTCATGAGAATAGAGACTTTGTCCCACTAATTTTTGCATCCTGGGTGCCTCTCACAGTGGGTTCTCTTAATACATGATTCTTCAACATAAACGTTCTACCCAACTTCAGAGACAACTCAGAACATAAATTCTTTATTACCTGACTTCTGGCTCATGTACATACCTCTTTTATTAACTAGCATGTAGCTGGACTGAGTCAATATACACTGAGTTAAAGTCTCATTGCTACACCTCTCTGTTCCTAGGGTCTCTATTCCAATGTGGCCTGTCCAGGTACAGCATTGACCAATTTGACATATGGAATTCTGCCTCCGTTTATATGGACGCTGTTGATGCCGGCAATATTGCTAGTAAGTGATGAATATACTTCTTTTCTTAACTCATAAAAATCTCTTTTTGGGACCTAGAAGATATGTTTAAGGGTTGGGAAATGATTTAAGGAATTGAACCTGAATGCCATTTAACTTGAGGTTTTTGAACTTACTTAATGTGAAACCTCTGCTTAATATTTCTAAGTGTTACTGCCACACCACCATTTGAGTGTCTACTTCTCTTTAAAGGAGTGTTTCATTGCTCATGCACCACAGATCCCAAGAGTTCTGTAATCATATAATTTTAGAAAACCCATGTTGAACATTGTTAAACTGGACTTCTCTAAGTTTTCAAACTGATCCTGTGCATCAAAAGTTCCCAAGAAGGGGATAATTGTGTACTATGTAACTATACAACCATATTTTTGTTTTGTGATTTGAACGTCTTGCAGGACCATTGTTTCTGTGGCACATCTTGAAAAATGCTACTTTTAGGAAATGATTCTCTCTTTAGGGCTCAGGAAGAAGTGTCTTTTCCTTAGGGCAGGCATAAAGTAAAGATCAGAAGTAAATAGGCCTTCATGTTAAAAGTAGTGGATTTGGAATAATGGAGATTAAATGATGTTTCTTTTTTGACTTCTTTATTTTTTGTTACTTAAAAAGTGTTCTATAATCAGAAAGGCAGGGTTTTAAAAAATATTTAAATGAATAATTCTTTCGTGACTCTATTCTAAACCACCAAAAAATAACAGTTGTTTTCTTTTCCGCAGCTTCGCTTTTTTGCAAATGCATTCACTTTGACACCATATAATGGAACAGAAGCTCTGGTATGTTACTGAAGTTTTTATAACTTGTATGATGACTTAGCAGATGTGAATTACAGGTTCACTCGTAGTAGAAATAATTTCAACAGAAAAGATAATAAGAGAATAAGCTCTGTGAATAATTGAGGTCCCGTTTGGAACTAAAGCGGACTATAAGGCTAAGCACAGAACATTAGGAGTGAAGTTTGCAAGTTTAACATCTACCATGGCACTGGGCACCATGACTGTAGGGAAAGCACTTCTTTAGAGGCAAGATACACCAGCAGCTAGAGGAGAGACAGAGCAATGGGAAGCTGGAGGGACAGGCAGAGCAGGACGGTGACTGCACAATCAGTCTGTGATTTCCCGTGGAGAAAGAGCATTTTGTGGGTCAAGAGCCAGGACAACAAGGTTGAACACCATTCCCCTCTATGAAGATTTTCTTCCCTCTCTTAGAAGATCAAGTTGTTATTTTATTAGGAAGCCAGTGGAGTTAAATCACACGTGGCAAATGGGTTGCATGTGTTTCCTCATCAATGGCAGACATTACTAATGGGCTATAATACTCCTTTCTGCTATACACACGTGATGTCTCTGAATATTCTTCAACCCAGAGCTCCAGAGGCAGCCTCTGCTAACGGTTCAGAATTGTCCTACATAAAAAGCCCACTGTATCTGAGTCAGTCCTTTACATTTGTCTCCCTCATTCCATTGAACTCCTTCAGGATTTTTGCTATTCACTTTGGAAACCTGAGGACCTAGCATTGTAGTACTTAGTAGATTCTTAAATCTTGACTTAATTGAGATTAGCTAAGGAAAACATAAATGGAATTGGCTTTGATGCTCTTGTTTTGGTAAGTGTTACAGAAATAAATGCATTTATTGTAGGAATACAAATTGGTTGTAGAAGCAAGTGCTTTTAAACTATATTTTAATTGGTTCTCAATATATTTGCCAAACCATTCACTGATGATATTTGAGAGGATGTTTATAATTTGTCTGGGGAGCTCTATAAAGTGCAGATTGTGAATCTCCACCAGCCTCACTCATCTTGGGCAGAAGAAACAAATCATTGACACATCCTTCCTTTCCAGGTATGGCTTTTCCACCAAAAGCCTGAATCTCTCAATCCTCTGATCAAATATCTGAGTGCCACCACTGGCTTTGGAAGAAATTACATTATGACCCAGAAGGTAAATGTGCTTACATTGTTGCACTGATGTTTGCTGTTGGGTTGATGAATTAAGCCTGTGTTCCTGACCAGCCCCTCAGCCCCCCAGCTTCGCTTCTCTGGGTACTCACTGTTCACCAGCATCACACTGGCCTGATTTTATTTCATCCTGCTCCCTCCTGCTTCTCGCACATCTTATTCCCCCGACTTGAGCTGCTCTCAGCCTCTTGATGATTGATTTGTGCTCATCCTTCAGATCAGTTTATCCCATAGCCTTTAGTGACCCTGTAGACCGGGCCTGGGTGCCTCTGTAATAGGCTTTCTTGACATCTCGTACCTGTTGCAGATCATGCTTGTTCACCTTCGGGTTCCCCTGTCAGAATGTAAGCTCTTTGAGGAGGAGGGTCATACCCCATTTCCTAGCAGGCTGCCTTACACATGGTAGACGCTCAGTAAATACGTTGCAAGTTGAATGAAATATGAAGTGTTTTTCTGTGTGAAGTTAACTTCCCTTTGAGTATTCAATTCTGCTTGTGACAATTGTCAGCTTTAATAGATTGGTGTTTTGAAGAGGAACAGAATAATGTGCAGAAAAAAAATGTCAGTACTGTGTTTTTTAGACTTGGTATAATCTAAAATGAAATCAAACATAGAGTTACATACTGGGGAATAAGAAAATTTATTTTAAACTAAGAGAACTACTTTGTTGTACTTTTGTCATGCGTAAGGTTTGTTTCAGCCCCTGATTTTCCACTGTCCAGCCTGTTGTGAGGAGGCATTAGCATAAGATAAAATGAGATTGAGGTGACTGTTATCGCAGGTAAGTCAAGTAACCGGCATTGATCTTGGCCTCTGTTAGTAGCGTGAGTTAAAAGGGGAGCCATGCACTTGGCTTCCTGTGCTATCTGTTCACTAAAAGTGAACCTTCCAGGTTTTTCAAAATATGTTCTGTGGGATACTAGTTTCCTGAGAAGATTTGCAAGAAGCAGTTCCTCTAGCAAGTAAAATTGAACCATGCTTCATATTACATTCCCCTCTTTCAGAGACTTGTACAGCATACATCAGCAAAGTAAAGGCTGTGAGAAGTTGAAACAGTTAAGAAATGTGTGTGAAATATTTTATCCTGCTGTTTTCAGTACTTCACCATGAATATTTTTTAAAGCAAATTTTACATAACCTGTAACATCCCTTTGGGGAATTCTATTGTAAACTAATAGCTTACTTTAGGCTAGCAGGGTGTATTTGAACTTACTATCTATTAACTTAGAAGGAATGATTTGTTTATCAAGGGGAAAATGTTTAGTTCTACAAACTGACATACTCATTAGCATTTTATGGAAATGCATTGAAGAAAGTATTTTAACCTTTGATTAATTTGGGGAAGTCAGCTTTCTCTTCTGTTAAAAGATGGGGTTGAACTAGAAGAGTTCTGTAATGCTTCTTCCAGCTCCATTATGGAAAAACTCTAACTTGATTGAAGATAAATGTTATTTTCTTTCTTTTTTTTAAAATTATTATTATACTTTAAGTTCTAGAGTACATGTGCACAACGTGCAGGTTTGTTACATATGTATACATGTGCCATGTTGGTGTGCTGCACCCATTAACTCATCATTTACATTAGGTATATCTCCTAATGCTATCCCTCCCCTCTACACCCACCCCACAACAGGCCCCAGTGTGTGAGGTTCCCCTTCCTGTGTCCAAGTGTTATCATTGTTCAGTTCCCACCTATGAGTGAGAACATGCGGTGTTTGGTTTTTTGTCCTTGTGATAGTTTGCTGAGAATGATGGTTTCCAGCTTCATCCATGTCCCTACAAAGGATATGAACTCATCCTTTTTTATGGCTGCATAGTATTCTATGCTGTATATGTGCCACATTTTCTTAATCCAGTCTATCATTGTTGGACATTTGGGTTGATTCCAAGTCTTTGCTACTGTGAATAGTGCCGCAGTAAACATACATGTGCATCTGTCCTTATAGCAGCATGATTTATAATCCTTTGGGTATATACCCAGGAATGGGATGGCTGGGTCAAATGGTATTTCTAGTTCTAGATCCTTGAGGAATCGCCACACTGTCTTCCACAATGGTTGAACTAGTTTACAGTCCCACCAACAGTGTAAAAGTGTTCCTATTTCTCCACATCCTCTCCAGCACCTGTTGTTTCCTGACTTTTTAATGATCGCCATTCTAACTGGTGTGAGATGGTATCTCATTGTGGTTTTGATTTGCATTTCTCTGATGGCCAGTGATGATGAGCATTTTTTCATGTGTCTTTTGCTTGCATAAATGTCTTCTTTTGAGAAGTGTCTGTTCATATCCTTTGCCCACTTGTTGATGGGGTTGTTTGTTTTTTTCTTGTAAATTTGAGTTCATTGTAGATTCTGGATATTAGCCCTTTGTCAGATGGGTAGATTGCAAAAATTTTCTCCCATTCTGTAGGTTGCCTTCCTCTGATGGTAGTTTCTCTTGCTTTGCAGAAGCTCTTTAGTTTAATTAGATCCCATTTGTCAATTTTGGCTTTTGTTGCCATTGCTTTTGGTGTTTTAGACATGAAGTCCTTGCCCATGCCTATGTCCTGAATAGTATTGCCTAGGTTTTCTTCTAGGGTTTTTATGGTTTTAGGTCTAACATTTAAGTCTTTAATCCATCTCGAATTAATTTTTGTATAAGGTGTAAGGAAGGGATCGAGTTTCAGCTTTCTACATATGGCTAGCCAGTTTTCCCAGCACCATTTATTAAATAGGGAATCCTTTCCCCATTTCTTGTTTTTGTCAGGTTTGTCAAAGATCAGATGGTTGTAGATATGCAGCATTATTTCTGAGGGCTGTGTTCTGTTCCATTGGTCTATATCTCTGTTTTGGTACCAGTACCATGCTGTTTTGGTTACTGTAGCCTTGTAGTATAGTTTGAAGTCAGGTAGCGTGATGCCTCCAGCTTTGTTCTTTTGGCTTAGGATTGTCTTGGCAATGCGGGCCCTTTTTTGGTTCCATATGAACTTGAAAGTAGTTTTTTCCAATTCTGTGAAGAAAGTCATTGGTAGCTTGATGGGGATGGCATTGAATCTATAAATTACCTTGGGTAGTATGGCCATTTTCATGATATTGATTCTTCCTATCTATGAGCATGGAATGTTCTTCCATTTGTTTGTGTCCTCTTTTATTTCATTGAGCAGTGGTTTGTAGTTCTCCTTGAAGAGGTCCTTCACATCTCTTGTAAGTTGAATTCCTAGATATTTTATTCTCTTTGAAGCAATTGTGAATGGGAGTTCACTCATGATTTGGCTCTCTGTTTGTCTGTTATTGGTGTATAAGAATGCTTGTGATTTTTGCACATTGATTTTGTATCCTGAGACTTTGCTGAAGTTGCTTATCAGCTTAAGGAGATTTTGGGCTGAGACAATGGGGTTTTCTAAATATACAATCATGTAATTTGCAAACAGGGACAATTTGACTTCCTTTTTTCCTAATTGAATACCCTTTATTTCTTTCTCCTGCCTGATTGCCCTGGCCAGAACTTCCAACACTATGTTGAATAGGAGTGGAGAGAGAGGGCATCCCTGTCTTGTGCCAGTTTTCAAAGGGAATGCTTCTAGTTTTTGCCCATTCAGTATGATATTGGCTGTGAGTTTGTCATAAATAGCTCTTATTATTTTGAGATATGTCCGATCAATACCTAATTTATTGAGAGTTTTTAGCATGAAGAGTTGTTGAATTTTGTCAAAGGCCTTTTCTGCATCTGTTGAGATAATCATTTGGTTTTTGTCTTTGGTTCTGTTTATATGCTGGATTACGTTTATTGATTTGTGTATGTTGAATCAGCCTTGCATCCCAGGGATGAAACTCACTTGATCATGGTGGATAAGCTTTTTGATGTGCTGCTGGATTCGGTTTGCCAGTATTTTATTGAGGATTTTTGCATCAGTGTTCATCAGGGATATTGGTCTAAAATTCTCTTTTTTTGTTGTGTCTCTGTCAGGCTTTGGTATCAGGATGATGCTGGCCTCATAAAATGAGTTGGGGAGGATTCCCTCTTTTTCTATTGATTGGAATAGTTTCAGAAGGAATGGTACCATCTCCTTGTACCTCTGGTAGAATTCAGCTGTGAATCCATCTGGTCCTGGGCTTTTTTTGGTTGGTAGGCTATTAATTATTGCCTCAATTTCAGATCCTGTTATTGGTCTATTCAGAGATTTGACCCCTTCCTGGTTTAGTCTTGGGAGGGTGTAAGTGTCCAGGAATTTATCCATTTCTTCTAGATTTTCTAGTTTATTTGCGTAGAGGTGTTTATAGTATTCTCAGATGGGATCGGTGGTGATATCCCTTTTATCATTTTTTATTGCGTCTATTTGATTCTTCTCTCTCTTCTTCTTTATTAGTCTTGCTAGCAGTCTATCAATTTTGTTGATCTTTTCAAAAAACCAGCTCCTGGATTCATTGATTTTTTGAAGGGTTTTTTTGTGTCTCTATCTCCTTCAGTTCTGCTCTGATCTTAGTTATTTCTTGCCTTCTGCTAGCTTTTGAATGTGTTTGCTTTTGCTTCTCTAGTTCTTTTAATTGTGATGTTAGGGTGTCAATTTTAGATCTTTCCTGCTTTCTCTTGTGGGCTTTTAGTGCTATAAATTTCACTCTACACACTGCTTTAAATGTGTCCCAGAGATTCTGGTGTGTTGTGTCTTTGTTCTCATTGGTTTCAAAGAACATCTTTACGTCTGCCCTCATTTCGTTATGTACCCAGTAGTCATTCAGGAGCAAGTTGTTCAGTTTCCATGTAGTTGAGTGGTTTTGAGTGAGTTTCTTAATCCTGAGTTCTAGTTTGATTGCACTGTGGTCTGAGAGACAGTTTGTTATAATTTCTGTTCTTCCACATTTGCTGAGGAATGCTTTACTTCCAACTATGTGGTCAATTTTGGAATAAGTGCTGTGTGGTGCTGAGAAGAATGTATATTCTGTGGATTTGGGGTGGAGAGTTCTGTAGATGTCTATTAGGTCTGATTGGTGCAGAGCTGAGTTCAATTCCTGGATATCCTTGTTAACTTTCTGTCTTGTTGATCTGTCTAATGTGGACAGTGGGGTGTTAAAGTCTCCCATTATTATTGTATGGGAGTCTAAGCCTCTTTGTAGGTCTCTAAGGACTTGCTTTATGAATCTGGGTGCTCCTGTACTGGGTGCATATATATTTAGATAGTTAGTTCTTCTTGTTGAATTGATCCCTTTACCATTATGTAATGGCCTTCTTTGTCTCTTTGATCTTTGTTGGTTTAAAGTCTGTTTTATCAGAGACTAGGATTGCAACCCCTGCCTTTTTTTGTTTTCCATTTGCTTGGTAGATTTCCCTCCATCCCTTTATTTTGAGCCTATGTGTCTCTCTGCACATGAAATGGGTCTCCTGAATATAGCACACTGATGGGTCTTGACTCTTTATCCAATTTGCCAGTCTGTGTCTTTTAGTTGGATCATTTAGCCCATTTACATTTAAGGTTAATATTGTTATGTGTGAATTTGATCCTGTCATTATGATGTTAGCTGGTTATTTTGTTTGTTAGTTGATGCAGTTTCTTCCTAGCATCGCTGGTCTTTACAATTTGGCATGTTTTTGCAGTGGCTGGTACCGGTTGTTCCTTTCCATGTTTAGTGCTTCCTTCAGGAGTTCTTGTAGGGCAGGCCTGGTGGTGACAAAATCTCTCAGCATTTGCTTGTCTGTAAAGGATTTTATTTCTCCTTCACTTATGAAGCTAAGTTTGGCTGGATATGAAATTCTGGATTGAAAATTCTTTTCTTTAAGAATGTTGAATATCGGCCCCCACTCTCTTCTGGCTTGTAGAGTTTCTGCCAAGAGATCCGCTGTTAGTCTGATGGGCTTCCCTTTGTGGGTAACCCGACCTTTCTCTCTGGCTGCCCTTAAAAATGTTATTTTCAAAATGTTCAAAAGTTTATTTAATTTTTAGCCTTTCAATTTTGTGAACAAAGAGGCTGTTCTTGAAGTTTAGGCTCTGTGTTGGCTTGATGAAAGGATATCACTATTTAAAAGGGCTGAAAGTTTGCCTGTACATACTGTTGAGATTTTCTGCATGAAACACAAGAATGTAAAATAACTATAGATTAAACTAGATAGAATCTTAAATTTCTTGCATGTAAAAGCATTTAGGAGAGAGGCAGTCTCAGGCTGCCATGGCAAGTCCACAAATTGTCAGGTACTCAAGTTCCTTGCAATCACCACCTGGCCATCTTTAGGGCATGGCCCTCAGGCTTGTGGCTCGAGAGTGGTATGGAAGAAGGGAAGAAAAAAGGGATGCTTTATTTCTCTTGAAGAGACTCCAGGTATTATTTACATCTCACTAGCCAGAACATAGTCTCATGGCTCTGGCACCCATTGTTTCAATGGAGGCTGAAGTATCGTCTTATATCCAGAGGGCAGTGAGCCCAGCTAAAACCAGGGCTCTTTTACTAAGCCAGATTGATATTAGGAAGTGAGTAGCCATTAAAAACTCACAAAACTCTTGATTTTTCTGTTTTGTCCTTTGATAACCAGTTGGTTGGTGTCTTCTGTTACTGGGCATATAAAAGTTGGGGGAGATAGCAAAACTCAGATCTTTCAGTCTTGCTGTTTAAGGGAAGCATCAGTGGGTTTGGTGAGTGTTGGAACTGAGACTGAGATTTAGTATGTCTTCAGGCTCTCAGCTTCTTCCACGTGTCTGCCACCATGGCCCTTTCCTGCTGCCTCCTTTCTTTTTATTTCATATATTGAATGCCTTTTTTTTATACAAATACTATTCATCTTATTTTTCATTTCTAGACATCTCTATTTTTGCTTCTTTTCCAGATGGACCTAGATGAAGACACTGCTGAAAAATTTTATCAAAAGTTACTGGAACTGGAAAAGCACATTAGGGTCACTATTCAAAAAACAGATAATCAGGCCAGGCTCAGTGGCTCATGCCTATAATTCCAGCACTTTGGGAGGCCAAGGCAGAAGGATCACTTGAGACCAGGAGTTCAAGACCAGCCTGAGAAACATAGTGAGCCCTTGTCTCTACAAAAAGAAATAAAAATAATAGCTGGGTGTGGTGGCATGCGCATGTAGTCCCAGCTACTCAGAAGGATGAGGTGGGAGGATCTCTTGAGGCTGGGAGGCAGAGGTTGCAGTGAGCTGAGATTGTGCCACTGCACTCCAGCCTGGGTGACAGCGAGACCCTGTCTCAAAATATGTATATATTTAATATATATATAAAACCAGAGCTGACAATGACACTCTGGAACATTGCATACCTTCTGTACATTCTGGGGTACATGGATTTCTACTGAGTTGGATAATATGCATTTGTAATAAACTATGAACTATGACTGTCTCTTTTCCTTCCTTTTGGAATGATCTCCAAGACTGTGTATGTGTATGCATATGAGAAAAAGATTGGGCCGGGCACGGTGGCTCAAGCCTGTAATCCCAGCACTTTGGGAGCCTGAGGTGGGCGGATCATGAGGTCAGGAGTTTGAGACCAGCCTGGCCAACATGGCAAAAACCCATCTCTACTAAAAATACAAAACTTAGCCAGGTGTGGTGGCGTGCACCTGTAATCTCAGCTACTTGGGAGGCTGAGACAGGAGAATCACTTGAACTCAGGAAGCAGAGGTTGCAGTGGGCCGAGATCGTGGCACTGCACTGCAGCCTGGGTGACAGAGCAAGACTCCATCTCAAAAATAAAAAATTGATTAAGTAAAAATATTAATTAGTTATTCTCTAGAGTGGTATCACATCAAAATTATTAGAGTTCTTTTCGGAAAGATTTTATGTAAAAATAAAAATTATTTGAGTCACCCAACAGAGTATCTGTTTATATTATTCTGCCAACTGGGGCCTAAGCTGTGCTCCATGGGACAAGAGGTGGACTTGAATAATTGTGACACAGGCACGCACTGCTCCTTTCTTTGGCCTGACCCCAGCAAAAGGAAGTACTGCCCACTATCTGAGTGGCAGTCGGAACTTTGTTGCTTTATGAGCAATTTTTTTTAGCTCTTTTGCCTTATTTCTTCCTCCATATGTTGCTTCTGACAATCTTAAGATTGTTAGAATCCTAACAATCCTCATGTGGGTGCCCATGTGGTTAATAACAAAAACCAAATAGATAGATGTTTGGGTCACTTGAATTATTTCTTGTTTAAAAAATATCTTTTATTGATTCTGAGGGAGTTGATGCTAATATTGGGCCCGACCCTTAACACTATTTGCAAATTTATTAGTGACCAGCCCATTTTCATGATCATATCTTAATAGTTGTAAACTTGCAGCAAGAAATTATTCACTCACATTAAGTTTCAATAAAATTTTCTAACTGGGTAACTGCTGGTGTAAGGTACACTATAGTGAGGATTTAGTTTACATGTATCAGATAATTATGCAAACTTTATAAATTTTCAAAGAACCACACCCCAGGCCTCATTTGATATGAAGAAAAATGATAAAATGCCGTATATTTTTACTTTAAATATAACCAATGTAATGCCTGAAATCTAAAGTCAGTAAAATTTTGAATGACTTGACAAAAGTAAAAAATGATATATAATTTCCTCACATTTTAAAGTATGAAGCTGTTGGTTCTAGTTTCTCTAATTTTGTTGTTAAAGGTTTTCTATAAACATTCTATAAGTGAAAATGAGAGCTGCACACCACTGTGTCCACCGTCTTTGGGAGAGAAGGGTGAAGTTGACCTGAAATCAGAGCTGTTTTTCACTCTTCCATTCACTCACATTGTAAATTTGGAAGAAGCACATTATCTGTTGTGAATCTCAGGTTCCTCATATGTAAAGTGGAGTGGTTATCTTTTTGCTGCTTCTACTCATGGGTATGGAGTGAAGATTTAATGCAATAATATATGTGAATGAATAAAGAGCTTTTTTTGGCACATTGTAATAATTTTTACTGGAGATTGAATATGCCAGAATATCATGGTTCAAATGCTATGGTGTAAGGCACTGAGTGATCACTTCCTATCTGGTAGAGTTGGTTAATTTTCCAAGTTTGACCCGGAAGGCAGCATCTGATCAAGTGGGAGGGCATGGTGGGAGGAGTATGGGCTTTAGGGCTGGGCAGACCTTGCATCAGATTTGGATTTAGCCAGTTAACTATCTGTATGGAGTTCGAGACCAGTCGTATAACTTTGGGCAAGTTACTTCAATTTGTACCTCAGTTTAATTACATAAAGTATTGATGCCAGTGCCTACCTTGCAGAATTGTGATAATATCCTAGTAGGTGCACAGTCAATGCAAATTGGTACTGAATTCTGTTCTACGTTAAGTACCCAAAAGGAAGCTTTAAACATGAACCAATCTTGATTTCACGTCATTGATGACGTGTCACTAGGTTGGTGCTGTACGTATTTTCTGAGCCATTTTATCCAATTTCCTCAAAATAGGGAACACTCCCTTCCCACACTCCCAAATGATGTACCTGTACAATTGGTTCCTTTCATTAAACAATCCTAGGTTTCACTGTTTTTGTATCTGACTGGAGTAGTAAGTTAAAGATTCAACTGCTAGGAAGTTGGATTTCAGCAGATGCCTGCTTTCTGCCTTGATCTGGTACATTTATTTTGATTTCCAATGGGTTCAGTATAATTCATTCGTTCCACAGATGAGCACCAACCACATGCCAGGCACTGTTGGGTTTTGAGGATATAGAAGTTAACATATGAATGATAGAGTGAGACATCTCAAATGCTTCTAGGCATTCTAGAAAGAATTGAGAACATGGGAAAGAGGCAACTTTGAGGAGATGAAGGCTGAGTTTTTTTTTTTTTTTTAGAATTGATGGAAGCCATGATCATCAGATTCAGGAAAAATGGCAAGTTCCACACAAGATAGACACAGATAAAGAAAAACCTAGACATAGTGAAACTGCAGAGAACCAAAGAAACTAACTTGCAAAAACAATTGAAGACAATAGATTATTGACAAAAATCACTGGGTGGATTAGCTAATGCCTGTAATCCCAGCACTTTGGGAGGCCAAAGTGGAAGGATCGCTTAAGGCCAGGAGTTAGAGACCAGCCTGGGCAACATAACGAGATGCTGTCTTTACCAAAAATAAATCATTTCTTTTTAACATTGTTGGATTTGCTTTGCTAATATTTTATGGAGAATTTATGTGTCTAGGTTCATGAAAGATATTGGCCTGTACTTTTTTTTGGTTTTGACTGGTTTGGTTATTTGGCAATAGCAACCTCATAAAATGAGTTGAAGTGTTCTCTCACCTTCTATATTCTGGAAGATATTATATAACATTGGTGTTAATTCTTCTTTAAATATTTGGTAGAATTCACCAGTGAAACCATCTGGGCCTGGAGATTTATTTTATGAATCTTTAAAATTATGCATGTAATTGTTAATGATGATAAAACTATTCAGATTTTCTGTTTTATCTTGTGTTTTTGTCATTTGTACTTTTTAAGGAATTGGTCAATTATTTCTAAGTTTTCAAATTTATTAGCATAAAAGTTGCTTGTAGTAGTATTTTCTTTTTAATGGCTACGAGATCTGTAATTATGTTCTGTATTTCGTTCTTGATGTTAATGTCTTCTCTTTTTTAGTTTTTGTCAGTCTTGCTAGGAGTTTCTCAATTTTAATGGTATTTTCCTAAGAATCAACTTTTTGTTTGGTAAATTTTCCCAATTGTTTTCCTATTACCAATTTCACTGATTTCGGCTCAGATCTTTTCTATTTCCTTCCTTCTGCTTGCTTTGGATTTATTTTGCTCTTCTTTCTCTACTTTCTTGCTGTAAAAACTTAATTATTAACTTGAAATTTTTCCTCTTTTTTATCATAAGCATTTAGTACTATAAATTTTCTTCTTAGCACTATTCTAGCTGCATGCCAGGTTTTTTGACACATTCTTTTTTATTAAGTTGTATATATTTTTATTAACTTCCTTTGATATTTTCTCTTTACTCATGAATTATTTAGAAATATTGTTTAATGTACATATTTTTAGAGATTTTAAAAAACTTGTTATTGATTTCTGACTTTTTTTGTTATTGATTTCCAGTTTTATTCTATTACAGTCAGAGAACACATGCTGTCTGATTTCTATACCGTTAAATTTGTTGAGGTTTGTTATATGGCCTAGGATAAGGCCTGCTTTGGTGAATGTCTCATGGGCTGTCCTCCACACTGTGCCTGCTGTTGTTTCTTCTTCGGAATTCTAAGGTAATTGTTTTTTTTTTTTGCCTTTTTTCCACAGTTAATAGTTGTTCTTCAGGAAGGATGGTCTGTACGTGGGGTACATTGCTATAATTAAAAGCAAGACTTCTCCGCACTTTTTAGTTCCATCTTTATTTCTGTATGATTTTACTTTCTTCTGTTTCTTTCCTGAGTATAATCAGTTTTTGTTTTATTTCTTCCTGTTCTTTGTCCATTTCTGTTTTTAAAATTTTTGATCCATAGTATTTTTTAATATCTCCAAATGCTTGTTTAAGGATATTTAATTCTGTTTCATTGGGTTAGTATTTTCTTCTCCCTTGTAGTTGTTTTCTTGGGCATGGGAGATGGTGGTTATTGTGGTTGTCAGCTCAAACATTTTTTTTTCCCTCATTTTGTTTGCTTCACTTCTCAGCAAAGTCTTCTGGTCACCCAGTCTAAAATTTCATCATGCTCCTCATATCTTCTAATCTTTCTTATCTACCTTTTTTTTTTTTCCTTTTTGTTGCTTATTACTATCTAACATATGTATTTTACGTATCTTGTCTATTGCCTTTCAACCTACCGAAGTATAAGCTCCAAGATGATTGGGACTTTTAAAAAAATTGTTTCGCCACTATTAATGCAAGGCACATAGTAGGCACTCGATTACTGCTTGTTGTATAAATAAATATATGAACAATTGATTAAACAAAGGTTTATTCGAATTAAGGTATCATGAAATGGTGTTTGCAGTACCAAGTCAGAGTTTATTGAGGTTCTGTCTGCTGTCATTGTCATGTTAGAATTTTGCCTTTTGCTGATACAATTCCTTCTCATGAAAAACAAAAAACACTAAGAACAACAAGAATGTAGAATGAGTCTTATTCCTACTAATGGAACTCCACGCAATAATCCATGTTTCTTGTCTGCCACCTGAAAATGTGAACAAATTTCATTATCCAACAAGTCTCATTTACTTATTATTTTTAATAACTGTGACAATATACATAAAGGACTGTTGAAAATGGATAGTAATCCACTGGGTTAAAGAGAGCTCATCTCACCATTGCTGGAGGTTATTCCTCACTGTCTCATTTGACTCCTGTTTCAAAGAAGGGAATTATGGGAGGTTTTATAGCAGTTTATTGTGGAAAAGAGAAAATTCAGAGACTCTGGATGTTCAAGAAACACATTTTTTGTTAGTGACTCATAAATAGGTTTAAATGTGGGTAGATGACATAGATGATGCTTTAGATATAGGCTATGCATGGATTTATTTTCTCTCTTAGGCTAGGAAGTAACTATCCCATCCTGCTGTATTTAACAGTCAAAATGATTCTATATTCTCTATATCTTTGATTGCAAAGTGATCTCTATTTATAACTATCATTCATATTCTACATTTGAAAGAAATATATTCACAAGCACCCAGGAAAAAATGATTTATTATATATGCCATATGAGTAAGAATTAATTACTTATCATTTATAACAATGTAAAAAATCCTATCCCACACATTAGTTATGAGCCAGGCCGGAGGTATGGGGATTTGGAAAGAAGAGATATGGATGATAGGAGGGAAAGGAAATGAAGGGAGAGTGTTTGAGTTAAGGCAGTACTTTCCCCCTGCTTGAAACTGGAGGCAACTTCATTCCAGAGAGATCCACAGAGAAGTACAAGTTCTCTGTTATAAGGGGCTAAAAATAAATCATTTTATTCTTGGCCATCAAGGACTTAGTTCCGGCACATGATAGGAATTAGAGCTAGATTTTAAAGTTCAGGGTAGAAGTGGATGAAAAAAATAGCAAATAATCAGCCACAGATAGAGCTGCCAGATTCTTATTGAGAGAATGGATGAATGGTTGTCCAGGAATAGGGTTACCATGACCAGGCGATGCTTCTCCATGTCCAGAAACTAAAATATCTACATCAACACAACAAAAATCAAGAAGAAAATGTAGGAGTTGTAGGAAGTAAAACCAAGGGCTTAATTTGATTAGATCCACCAAACTTATCCTGCCCTGCTTGCTTTGGGTTGTTTGCTTGTTGCTTTTGTTTTTGTTTTTCCCTGAAGCTGAAGGCATGGTAGCTGAAGTCTGCACCACTGAATGCTGTAACTTAACCTTCACTGGCTACTTTACAGATAACATAAGTCACATGGTAGTGGTCACTTCAGTTGTGTTTTAGGAACTTAGGGCAGCTTCTGTCCAGTTCAAACCAGTTGAGACCACGTACCCTTCAACTAGGCATGTGCAGATACATGAGAGGGAAACTTTTGATGGCAGAGGCAAAAACTCCATTCTCAGATCATGCTAATGCTGATCTGAGACATATATCCTGTGAAATGCCATGAACCCTGATAATGCTGGCATAGATCACTGATTACCTCATTTTAACCCACTGCCAATCACCTTTCCCTATGCCTTAGACCATCTGCTTCTCTAATCCATAAATATTTCCTATCTTTGGGGAGGCAGATTTGAGAGCTGTTGTCCACCTCCTTGCTGGGATGCCTAATTAATCTTTTCTTTTGCAAAAACCCATTGTCCCAGTAATTTATTTACTGTGCAGGTAGAGTGAACCTGGCTGGTATCAAAAGTACACAAAGAGACATCAACAAAATGATAGTATCATGATAACTGTCCTATACATAATACATTTTAATAACTTAAATACATGATTTCTTCAGTCATCTAGAGTTCTGTCTTTCTCTGTTACTTTTAGTAGGTCAGACAATTGTTCAAAGTTTGCAGCAGCTTGAAAGCAAATTCTTTAGTGAAAGGTGCCAGGTCTCTAGAGATAACAAGAAACTAGGTCTTTCTTACGTGGTTCTGATGGAAGTGATGGTGGGAGGGAGAGGCTGCTGGCCTTGCTCCAATGCCTTCAAGCCTTCCTGGAGTTCACAGTTTTTTTCTAGCTGTCATTCCCACATTATGATGAGTGTCAAACCTCCAAGATTAGGACCCTTTTCTGTTTTCCAGAGGGTGAGCTCTTCATGGGACAGCCACACTCCCAAGTTTCCACTCACTTTCTTTCCTTACGTGACACCTCTGAGTCCAGGAACTTTCACATTGAGCCTTTGGGTCTGGCCCTGGAATAAGACTATTCTTATTTTCAGAGTTAGAGTTGTCAAATACTGATCTCTTGTCTTGGAAGGAGTTGGAGTGGGAGAAGGGTAGGGGCTGAGTTCCTCTCAAATCATGAACACTTCTGAATTATCCAGAAATCTAAATGTCAGACAACCAAACAAATTGGTAGTATCAGTGATTTATTCCAAATAATTTTGGGACAAGTGGCTAGTAACCGGGAAAAAAAAAGTTGGAGCCTTCTATCACTGCTGTAGTAGGCAGAATTTAAAATGTCCCCCATGACCTTTGCCCAGTTACTCTCATGATTGCATTGTTATGTGGCACAGTTGTTATTAAAATAGGGAGATTATCCTGGATTATTCAGGTGGGCCACATGAGCCCTTAAAAGCTGTAGAGAAGGAGCAGAAGTTAAGTCAGATCTGCAGCTATAGTAGTGCTCTCCTGTGGACCCTGAAAGAGCAAACTACCTTCTGCAGAAAGGGCTACCTGACGGGATAGTGGGTGACCTCTAAAAGCTGAGGATCCCTCCCTCTGTCTTCCATCCCTGCAAAGTTTATAAACTGCAAGAAAGTGGGACTGTGGACCTACCAAGCAAGGAACTGGTTTCTACAAAGGGCCTAAGTGAACTTGGAAGCTGATTTGACCCAGAGCCTGCCTGGCTTTTATTTAGCCTAGTGGGACCCTGAGCACAGAAATCAGTCAGGCTATGCCAGGCTTCTGACCCACAGATCTCAGATAATAAAATGTGTATTGTTTTAAGCTGCTAAATTTGTGACAATTTGTTACAGCAGCAATAGAAGACTAATACAATTCCTTACACCCAAATAAATTCCATATGTATCAATGATGAATAAATATGATTACAAAATAATTAAAATTTCCTGTACAATAAATTATCACAAATAAAAATCAAAATTCAAATAAGCTGGGAAAATATTTGTAACATAGAAGCCAATTGGATAATTAACCCACTATTTAAATAATGTGCACAAATCAATAGTAAATTTTAATCTCACCCATAGTAAAATGAAATCAAATTAAAAGCACATGAGTTATCACCTTTTTGCTTATCATATTATCAAACACCAAAAAGTTTTGTTCAGGGTGTGAAAGAACAGGCACTTTCATTTCATATTGTTTGTGATGTAAATTGTTAATTCCTTTGAAAAGCAATTTGACAATACCAAAATTTTAAATGCATATACCTTTAATAATTCTACATTTTGAAATTTATCCTAAAGATACAACTCATTAATATACCTAAAGATATTTATACAGGACTGCCATCACTTATGCAAAATGTGTACTAACCGTGCTTTAGAATTTAAAATTGCTTGGAGTTTAGAAAGGTAAGTTGGTGCATACAATACAGTATGTTTTGCAATAATTCTACTGGGACCTGGGATAACAACCTGCAATCAAACCTAGCTATATGTTAGCAAAAAAGATACATGAATTCACATTAAGTAGTAGAAGTAAAGATGATAAATAGCCTCACATCAGTACAGCTATAGTTCAGCTGCCAAACGAGTGTGCCAAAAATTTGAAAAGACTAAATTTTCTTAGCTGTTTGGACTTTAGAATTGTGGGTAAAGGATTTTAGATCTGCACAAGAACAATTCATTGCAGCATTTTTTTTTTCCTGTAACAGCAAAAGAGTAGAAAGAACTGAAACATATTCCTCTAGCCTCTGGGGTACTGGATAATTATGTCATATTCATAAAATGTAATAAAAAATATTAAAATAAATACAATTACTAAAAAGAGTGAAGTTTTAAAAATGAAGTGATATATATGGATTGTGGATTAAGTGCATAAAAACAAGATGCTGTAAACTTTATAGATTTTTGTTTTCATTTGTATTATACACACATACACACAACACATATACATACATACACACAGAATCTCTGAAAGACCCTATCAGAGACTTGGGCTTTGTGACAGTGACAGTTGCACTGTAAAGGCAAAGTAGCCAAGAGGAATACTACATGGGCTTTTCACTGCATTTTTCTTGTACTGAATTTTTAGTTTACATATTTTATTTTCAATTATTATTCAGAAAGAAAAAAAAGTCTCTAGGTAGTAAGTGGTTGGTTTAGATTTAGTTCTGTCTCCAGGCCTCCTCCTTGGAAGTTGCCACCTCCTCCATGGTGGGTGTTTGGAAAGATGGTTCTGAGAAGTAGAAAAAAAGGGAGAGAGAAATCGACTGAAATCTTTTATAGAGGGTTCGGTTTTAAGTAGAGGCAGTTGAAGTGGATGACCTTTTCTACACCATAAAAATACATATTGTGATAGTACATACAATTCCTTATCAAAATCCAGGTTATTTTCTGCTTCAGCCTGTAAACAAAGAAACTAAGACATGAAGAGTTTTTTGTTTTGCTTTTAATAGGTGACTGCAATTAGGAATGTAATGGCAAAGGAGGGAAAGAAAAGGAGATGAATGACTGGAATGTGAACATAAAAAATGACACAGTGCCTCGATTCTTTTTTTTTTTTTTTTTTTTTGAGACGGAGCCTTGCTCTTGTCGCCAGTGCCTCGATTTTTGCATTTAAAATGAGGCGAAAGAACAAATGGAATAATTATAGAAAATTTTAGCCTCTAGCAAAACACTGTGAAGCAGCTCCAGCCTGTGGTGGAAGATGTGCGAAAGGGATGGGGGAACGCTGTGGACCGGTGTGGAGTCTAGGACGACAGGTGGTGGGCTCTGTCCCCACGCGCCTCGCGGCCAGCAGAGGCCCCCTCACTGCGGCCGCCGGGCGGGACTGGCGCGGGCGGCGCTGGGCTGGGCCCGGGAGGCTGGCATCCCTGGGTGCTCCGGTGCGGTACTAGGGGGCGACGGCTGAGCCGTGGGTGGAGCCGCTGGGTCAGTCTCGGATAGAAATAAACTGGGAAACTGCTGTGGTCTCTGTTGCTTGCGTGCTCGGTTTTCGTGCTTATCACGCTGATGATGAGGAAGGTGGTTTTGGTTACGGAGTGAGCAGGTGAACGCCTCCCCGTGGACCCCACCGGACTGGGTGGGGAACTCACAACTCTGACGCCCCGTGACTGCATCCCCTAGCTGGGCAGAGACGCATTTGGCTCGCCACCAGCCACCTCCCAACAGCGCCCAGCTCGGGGAGCTCAGGGAATTTGCAGTTGAATCAGGCGTGGCTCCAGGGACCTGAGCTCTGCCTTCAGATGGATCCTAGTAATCCTCCAGGTGCGGCGGGAGAGAGCAGCCGACCATCCCCAACTCGGCTCAGAGCCTGGGGTCCTAACTCACGTGGTCATGTATCGGTTTCCAGTTGTTTCATGATGTAGAGCTTCTCTCAATTAGGTTTAATTAACAAGTAGAACAAGGACTGGCAGAGCTTCATTGGATGTTGCACCCCTTACAGCTTCCCTCCAATGACTAAGCATTGGAGGGAAGAATCATTTACCTGTTGAATATGGAAAGAACATACAGACCCTTCAGTGGCTCATCTTGTAGGCCCTTTCTGCTTCTGGCTGTTTTACTTATTTGCATTGCCAGTGCAGGGCATAAAAAAAAAGTGGCTATAGACATTAACCAATCCATTTTGCTGCTTTTGAAATCTGAATTTATGGTAGATGCTAGTACTAGATTAAAAGTTTCAATTAAAATGACTCAGTGTTTAGCATATTTACTTACATTTCCTGTTAATCAAAATTGATGTTTAGGTGCTTGAGGACACCTCTGCCACATCCAGTGAATCACCACTTCCCTTCTCATGCTCCTAAACAACCCCCAGACTGTCTTCCACCCACCAGTGCCGAAACAGTGCACACGATCAAGATAGATTCTTGTTATAAAATTATATTAAACAACTAAATAGTACTAACCAATTTCCAGGCACCGTTCTAAGTGCATTATATATTTTTTTCATGTAATTTTCATGCTGTAGGCTAGGCACCATTATTATCCTCATTTTACAGATAAGATAAAGGGATTAGTTATCTTGCCCAAGGTACAGAGCTAGTGAGCGATAGAGTCAGGATTCAAATGTACCCAGTCTAGCTCTAGCTTCTGTACTCATAACTACCAAATTGTACAGTTCACAACATGGGCATTCTCTCTCTCTCTCTCTCTCTCTCTGAATGTACATAAAAATAAGGTAAGGCTTATTTTTTCTCAGTGAAGGAAGATACACAGTGAAGGTGTTTGGCTCTGTGCTTACAGGCACAGCTGCTTAAGGACATGTTTCAGAGTGAGCTTTAGAGCATTCTTGAGCCATTTGTCACCTTGTGACAATTACAGGGAGACAGAGAGGATATATTCAGTGGCAGGTCATGGTTATCATCTTTTTAATACACAGTCCTGTTTGCTTCCTTTGAAGGCTTTCTTCTGAAGACCTGTCTTCCTTTGACCTCCTGTATCCTCAGGTATCCTACTTTTCCTACTTTCTCCTTCCTGGCCTCTATTTGTATGTCCTCCATTCTTCTTTCTAAAGTCCTAATTTGTTCAAGGAAAAAAAAATCGCAAAGCCAAATAAACACTTAATTACACTGAATGCTCCTTTTTACATTAGTTATGTTCTCAGACTGACTGGCTAATGAACAATGAATTCATTCATTTATTCATGCAGAAAACGTTTGCTGTTTGCCCCTAGCTGTGATGATTAAACTTACTCATGGCATTGTATATGCCCATGAGGAACTTGCAAACTGCTTGAGAAAATAAAAATTGTATTAAAATGGTTGATAAAGATGCTGTCTTTAACACTTGCTATGGATGGTTTGTAATCACCCTTAGATATCAGTTGCATAGTAAATTCAGGATGATAACGTGCCTCAGAATAATCTCAATAGAGCAATGAGCAATGGAAAAGTACAGCTCTCATTGTTGACAGTACACTAAGTAAGCGGCTATTAGAGTGTGAGTTCCCTCTTTCCTTTACCTTTTTTTTAAAAAAAAAAAAGATTTTTAAGGCTTTAAAAAATCTTTCCTTGGGCTCCTGCTTGGAACCAAAGCAGTCAAAATCAGTTTTCTGAACCAGAGAGAAATGCCTCTACCTGATGCCATCCAGATAATGCACATTCTGTGTCTGAACTGCCCTCCCGGTGGCATTGACCTATCCTTCTGCAGCAGCTGCTGGTGGAAGATGATGAGCTTCACCTGTGTTTGCCATGCAGGAACATGAGCAATACAGAAGCTGTCCATGCAACTCTGCTGGCCTCTCACCATACGGTCAAGGTCACCACGATGCAGGTGGATGGCAACCTGCAGTCAGTGCTCCAGGCCTCTAAGGAACTCAAGCAAAAGTATGCCTGGACAGTCCTCATGAAATGGTATCTCTGATTTCTATTTCAAGATGGCAGACTGAGCACTCGGTAACTGCCTTTTCCTTCCACATCGAATCTGGAATACACATATGTGAGTGCAATTACAGAAGTTTGGAGTGGCATCAGGGGATCCGCTGTGGAGGTAGAAGATTCTAGGAACTAGAAGAGAACAAAGGAAATAAAAAATGGTGATTGGTTGGGATACAATGGAAATAGCAGGCAGGTATGTAGGCCCCTGTAAACATCCCCTTGTCCTTTCTTAGAGCAGATTTCAAGTTCTTGATCCTTTAATCTTCTGGCTGTATATGCTCCTTATTTTTCCTGTGATTCAGAGATACTTTTCTCTCTCTCCAATCCAAACTCTCATATTTACTGCTCCTTTCTGACATACAACTGAACCTTGAGGATGTTACGTTGAGTGAAATAGACCAGCCACAAAAGGACAAATACTGTATGATTCTTCTTATGTGAGGTACCTAAGATAGTCCAATTCATAGACACAGAAAGTAGAAAGGTCGTTGCCAGAGGGTGGAGGGAGAGAGGAATGGGGAGATGATTGTTTAATGGGTGCAGAGTTTCAGTTTTTCATGATGAAATAAATATGTTCTGTGGATGGATGGTGGTGATGGTTGCACAACAGTGCAAATGTACTTAATATCACAGACTATACCCTTAAAATTTTTTTTTTTTTTGAGATGGAGTCTCACTCTTGCCGCCCAGGCTGGAGTGCAATGGTGTGATCTTGGCTCACTGCAACCTCCGTCTCCCGGGTTCAAGCAATTCTCCTGCCTCAGTCGCCTAAGTAGCAGGGATTATAGGTGCCCGCCACCTTGCCTGGCTAATTTTTGTATTTTTAGTAGAGACAGGGTTTCTCCATGTTGGTCAGGCTGGATGATATGTTTTATGTTAGATGTATTTTGCCACAGTTAAAAATATTTCTTCTTAAGGGCTGAATAATATTCTATTATATGTATATAGCATATTTTGTTTATCCAGTCATCTCTCTATAGACACTTGAGTTGCTTCTACCTGTTGGCTATTGTGAATAATGCAGCTATGAGACCGAGTATACAAATATCTCTTTGAATCCTTGCTTTTGCTTCTTTTGGATATGTATCCCGAAGTGGAGTTGCTGGATCTTATAGTAATTCTGTTTAATATATTGAAGAGTTGCCATACAGTTTTCCATAGTGGCTGCACCATTTTACATTCACATCAGCAATGTAAAAGTGTTCCCATTTCTCCACATCCTCATCAATACTTTTTATTTTTTGTTTGTTTGTTTTTTGATAATACCATCTAGTGGGTATGAAGTGGTATCTCATTGTGGTTTTAATTTATATTTCTCTAATGACTAGTGACATTGAGCATCCTTTCCTGTACTGATTGGTCATTTGTATACCTTCTCTGGAGAAATGTCTATTCAAGTCTTTTGCCCATTTTTGGAATGGGTTGCTTGTTTCTTTGTTGTAGAGATGTAGTAGTTCTTTATGTATTCTGGATATTAACCCCTTATCTGGTAAGTGATTTGCAAAAATTTTTACCAGTTGGTGGGTTGCCTTTTCACTGTATTAATAGTGTCCTTTGATGCACAAAAGTTTTTAATTTTGATAGAGTCCAACTTAACTATTTTTTCTTTTGCTGCCTGTGCTTTTGGTGTCATATCCAAGAAATCATTGCCAAATCCAGCATTTATGTTTAGGTTTTTGACCAATTTCAGTTACTTTTTTGCATATGGGATAAGATAAAGGTCAACTTCTTTCTTTAGCTTGTGGATATCCAGTTTTCTCAACACCATTTGTTGAAAAGACTGTCCTTTCTTCCCACTGAATGGTCTTGGCACCTTTGTCAAATCGTTTGACCAAATGTGCAAGGATTTACTTCTGTGCTGTCTATATTCTATTCTTTTGGTCTATCTGTCTTTATGTAGCACACCACACTGTTTTAATTACAATAGCTTTCTAGTAAATTTTGAAATCAGGGAATGTGAAATGAGATCTCCAACTTTGTTCTTTTTCAAGGTTTCTTTGGCTATTACCAATGGGAGTATTTAGAAACTTGACAAACAGTTTATAAGAGTAATATGGATGTATAAAGATGTGAGACTAGCTAAACAATTTTTTTTTTTAGACAGTCTCACTCTGTCGCCCAGGCTGGAGTGCAGTGGCACTATCTTCTGCCGGGTTCAAATGATCGATTCTCATGCCTTAGCCCCCCTAGTAGCTGGGATCACAGGCGCATGCCACCACACCTGGGTAATTTATGTATTTTTTAATGGAGATGGGGTTTTGCCAGCCAGGTGTGGTGGTTCACACCTGTAATCCCAACATTTTGGGAGGCAGAGGTGGGTGGATCACTTGAAGTCAGGAGTTCAAGACCAGCCTCGGCAACATGGTGAAACCCCATCTCTACTAAAAATACAAAAATTAGCCGGGCATAGTGGCACATGTTTGTAACCCCAGCTACTCGGGATAGTCACCTTTAGAAGGTAAGGTCTAATGAAAGGGATGCAGAGGTAGCAGTGAGCTGAGATCACGCCACTGCACCCCAGCCTGGGTGACAGAGCAAGACTCCATCTCAAAAAAGAAAAAAGAAAATAAATGGGGTTTCACTATGTTGACCAGGCTGGTCTCAAACTCCTGGCCTCAAGTGATCTGCCTGCTTCAGCCTCCCAAAGTGCTAGGATTACAGGTATGAGCCACCACACCTGGCCCCACACAATTTTTAAATAGAAAAATAAGTAGGGAATATATTATATATATATTAAACTATATTATAAAGCTATAGCAGTTACAGTAGTGTGGAACTGATGCAGAAAATAATAAATTGAAGAAAACAAAATCCAGCACTAGTTCTATAAATGGGTGTCATTAAAATTTAGGGACAAGTAGTGGGTGGGACAATTGACTATATCATGTGGAAAGATAAAGTTAGTTATCTTCCTCATCAAAGTCACAAAATTAAATGCTACATCAGTTAAAGGCTAAATGCAAATAAATAGATGAACAAATGAATGAATAAAAATCCATAAACATATTAGAAAACAGAAGAATGTGATCATGAATTTGGAATTAAAACAGGATTTTTAAACAATACCCCCAAATCAAAAACCATGAAAAAAAAATGGGTGAAATTGACTATAAAAAACCAAATTACTGTTTAATAAGAGATACTAGAAATGAAGTTAAAAAACAAGGGTGAAGCTGGAAGAAGAATATTCACAACATATAAAATAAATAAAATATTAAAATCTAGAAAATAAAATTATACTACAAACCATTAAGAAAATGACAACTCTATAGACAAATGGGCATAGTATAAAAATTGGCAATTCTCAGAAGAGGAGACTCAATGGCAATGAAGAAAAATGCTCAACCTCATTAGTTCTCAGACACATGTAAGTTAAAATTATAATGCAAGACATTTCACACCCATCAGATTGGTAATAATAAACAAGCATAAAATTGTGTGGCTAGTGTACATAAATTGTGATAGTCACCTTTGGAATGTAAAGTCTAATGAAACTTTAAGTGTAACTTATGAACAAGCACTGATGATTTTTTGGGTGTCCTTCCTAGAGAAACTTTCCTACTTGTGCACAAGGAGGCAGGTACAATGATTGGAGGCTACCTAATAGTAGCTATTCATCTATTTATCAATAGATGAATAGCCAACCCATTCATGGATGAATAGATTAATGGGCTAATGGATTCATGGGTTATTATGAAAGTAGGAATGGTGCCTTTGTGAGAAGAAGAAAAGAGACCTAAGCTAGCACATTATCATGCTCAGCCCCATCACTGTGTGATGTCCTGCACCACCCGGGACTCTTGAGAGTCTCTACCTGCAAGAATACCCTCACAGATGTGCCCTTGGATGTTGGACTTCTCAGCCTCCATAATCGTAAGAAATACATTTCTTTGTAAATTACCCAGATTCAAGTATTCTACTATAAGCAACAGAAAACAGACAAAGACAGCTATTCTCTCAGAAAGGAACAACTTTTTGATTTTTAACTAAATAGCACATTGAGTAAAATTTCTTTTTCTTTTATTTTCTTCTTTTAAAAAATCGTCTGTTTCAGAAAGGTGATTCATGTATTCTCCATAGCTGAAGAACCGCTGACCCAGAATGGCAAGATTACTGCTGATGGGCTCTAGAAGGTGTTTGAAACCAACGTCTTTGACCACTTTATCCTGGTAAAAGGGCTTTGAGCTTTATAGGCTCATCTACTCAGTGTTACAATTCTAATGGCAGTGCTGTTCTATTAAACTAATAGTTTTTGGCTAATACTCTATCCACAGGCCTATTTCTTCTTCTTCCTTCCTTCCTTCCCTCCTTCCTTCTTTCCTTCCTTCCTTTCTTTCTTCCTTCCTTTCCTTCTTCCTTCCTTCCTTTCCTTCTTCCTTCCTTTCCTTCTTCCTTCCTTCTTTCTTTCTTCCTTCTTCCTTCCTTCTTTCTTCCTTCTTTCTTTCTTCCTTCTTTCTTCCTTCCTTCTTTCCTTCCTTCTTCCTTCTTTCTTACCTCTTTCTTCCCTCTTTCTTCCTTCTTTCTTTCTTCTTCTTCCTTCTCTTCTTCCTTCCTTCTTCTTCTTTTTTTTTTTTGAAAGAGTCTCACTCTCTCACCGAGGCTGGCTGGAGTGCAGTGGCATGATCTCGGCTCACTGCAGCCTCCGCCTCCCGGGTTTCAGCGATTCTCCCACCTCAGCCTCCTGGGTAGCTGGGATTACAGGGGCATGCCACCACGCCTGTCTAATTTTTATATTTTTAGTAGAGATGGGGTTTCACCATATTGGCCAGGCTGGTCTCGAACTCCTGACCTCAGGTGATCTGCCCACCTCGGCCTCCCAAACTGCTAGGATTACAGGTGTGAGCCACCGCGCCTGGCCCCTATTTCTTCTTTTACTTCAAATCTAAAGGGTAAATTTTGAGGGAGAAAGTGCAAACCAAAGAGAATTTGCATATAGAATGATCTGAGACATGTAGACTGGTCCCATAAAGAACGTTGTTTTCTGCTAAGCATATCTCCATTTAGAAGAGGACAGCAGGAAAGTTAAATGGAAGGCACTTTTTCATGCCCATTTGTTAGATGTGTCATGTACTAACAACTGTCTTAGATTAGTTAAATTTGTCCAATGTCAGTGTCAGGTACTGATGAAGAACATTAAGCACAGGTTAGACCAGTGTTCAAAAAAATTAGTTTTATCTCTTTCCAAATGTAGAGATTTTCTGGCTTCAGTGAAATTTTCTTCTGTGCTCTTTCCTGAGTCACATAT
Source organism: Homo sapiens (assembly GCF_000001405.40). Classification (NCBI taxonomy): domain Eukaryota; kingdom Metazoa; phylum Chordata; class Mammalia; order Primates; family Hominidae; genus Homo; species Homo sapiens. The sequence goes on from NC_000001.11 coordinate 162,830,298, forward strand.
GTCATACATAGTACTACTTTAATATCTGAATCAAGTAATTCCTGACTCTGGTAGGGGTCAGATGTAATTTGTTGATGTTGGATAAAGTACTTTTGCATCTAGAATTGCATGTCACAGAATTTGCGTCTCATTATACCCAGGGGCAATATTCAAGATAGGCAACAATCAGATGGCATATGGGAGTCAAGTAGTCAGAAGAAATGTAAGCCATAGAACTAGAACAGAGTCTTGGAGCTTCCTAGAGGAAGAGGAAACCAACTCTTTAGTCAATGAGGTTTGGGGCAGGGCAGGGGAAGAGGAGGGGGAAGCGGCACCAGCAGGCTCAGGCTTTGTTATTATATTTACCCACTGGTGTGGAAGTAGTCCAGAACTTAAAAACCAATACAGTTGTACTGGATAAATATTTGAATCATAATTCTATTGCTAAATATTTTATGATTTAGCTCTTTAACTCAGTCTATTTCTTTTCATCCCTCTACAGTATAGAGGTTCCATGTCCAAGTTCCAAAGCCAAACTGTCTGCTTTCACATTTCAGCTCCATCACTTATTAGCTGAAGGACTTTGAACAAGTTACTGATCTTTCTGGATTAAGTTTAAGTTTCCTCATTTGTAAAATAAGAGTTAATAGTCATTACCTCATAGAAGTATTGAATATTAAATGAATGAATATATATATATATACACACATACAATTGCATATGCATATATTAAGTTTCTCATAGAATGCTTTTAATTAAACAATATAAACTTCCTTATTCGGATGAATGGAATAAAAACAGAAGCAGAGTGGGGCTACAAGTTTTTATTTTTGCTCCTACATGGTGTGGATTTTCTTTATGAATAGGTGGATGTATGAATAGAGATTTGGAATCTTACAGCACTTTGGAAACAAATCTTGTTGTAAAGTTAATGTGTATGTTTTTATAAGCTGAGACTTCTTCAGTTTTCTAACATGGCTCTTCCCCAGTTTCTAATATTCAATGTATTATTTAAGGTAAAGCGAATTGATATAACCCCCAAATCTCAATGGATTTAATGCAATACTTGGTTCTTACTTACATAAAGTCTATTTAGTGGTTAGAGGGGTAGTGTTAAAGATATGTGAATGAGAACAACTCCATCTTGAATAGGAACTGGGTAAAATGAGGCTGAGACCTACTGGGCTGCATTCCCAGATGGTTAAGGCATTCTAAGTCACAGGATGAGATAGGAGGATGGCAAAAGATACAGGTCATAAAGTCCTTGCTGTTAAAACAGGATGCAGTAAAGAAGCCAGCTCTAACCCACCAAAACCAAAATGGCCATGAGAATGACCTCTGGTGGTCCTCACTGCTACACTTCCACCAGTGCCATGACAGTTTACAAATGCCATGGCACGACAGAAAGTTACCCTATATGGTATAAAAAGGGGAGGCATGAATAATCCACCCCTTGTTTAACATATCATCAAGAAATAACCATAAAAATGCGCAACCAGTAGCCCTTGTGGCTGCTCTGTCTATGGAGTAGCCATTCTTTTATTCCTGTACTTTCCTAATCAACTTGCTTTCACTTTCCTCTATGGACTCGCCCTGAATTCTTTCTTGTGAGAGAGCCGAGAAGCCTCTCTTGGGGTCTGGATTGGGACCCCTTTCCTGTAACAGTAGGAGTCCTTGCTCTGCTTCATACAGTCACTCAAGGATCCAGACAGATGGAGGCTCTGCCTCTTTTTATCCATGGATTTTGAGATTACTCTGTCAATATCCATTTAGCATTTAGGGAAGAGAGAACATTACATGTGGGAGGTTTATATGAGCCTGATCTCAAAACGTACATAGGATTTCAGTTCACATTCTACCAGCAAAAGTAATTTATATGACATACCTAACTGGAAGGGAAATTGGAGAATAGATTCTAGCTGAGTACACAAGAAGAAACGAACATAGGTTTGGTGAATAGTTAGCTGTTGTTACTACATGTAGAATGAGGCCGATAACACAACCTGGCAGCTTGTTTCTAAGGATCAAAGATAATGCCTTTAAAGTATCCAGCACTGTTCCTGGAACCTAGGAGGTCCTCAGTAAGTTATAATGCCATATGAAGATTATTTTTATTATTATAGCTGAGGAACTGTTTTGGTTGTCTTTATTCTAGTGTTTTTGGGCTTGGTTGCGTTTGCTCATTTATTTATGCAGGCGTCAAATATTTCTGCAAACTCCCACATCACATTTTAAGATGCAGTTTTTTGTTGTTGTTGCTTGACCTCAGCTTCAAGAACTACAACCTCTCCTCTGTCATCTTGATTATCTTGGATACAACCTACAGTGCCTGGAAATCCCACTGTTATTATCAGGCTTGAAAACATCCAGCACAGCAAAGGCCAGGAGCCAGGCAGCTCTCCCAGATCACCACTGCCCTGAGTGTGGCTTTGAACAGAGACTTCAACCAGCAAGTGAGGCCTGTCTCAGTGATATGGAAATAGCAGAGCAGGAGCTTCTTTGTTACTGTTGAATTCCTGATTATAAGGCTGACTAACGAAAGAATTGCCGTCATTTCAGAAAGTTCAGTATAGTCACTTGAGCTGGATTGCTGTGAGGATAAGATAGGACACAAGTGTTGCTAGTTGGTATAAAAGAACATTTTAGAGTAGTGAATATGTGCTTATGGCACTCTACTTATATGTAGCCCATTCTCTTGCATTCTGAAACTCTCTGGGACATCTGATTTATCTAACGAATGATAATAAAGCCATGGCTACCTGCTATGGGACTGTCCTGGGCTCTTTATGTGTATTATAAGCTTGTGAGGTAGCTGTAATATCTCCATCTTCTATCTTCCAGAGGAGAAAACTAAGGTACAGGAAGGACAGTACTCACCTCAGATCACAGGTTGGGATCTGAGGTGTAAATTAATTACAACACTTTCCTTTTCAGCGTATGCACTATTTGAGTAACATATGTGAAAAGAAAGTATCTTGGGACCCCAAAATCACTAAGGAAAACTCAAGGTGGAAACTGATAAGACAAACCTGCCTCCCATTCTATTCAGCATTATCCCCTCTGCTCACTGAGATAGATGCATATCTGATTGTCTCCTTTGGAAAGGCTAACTGAAAACTCAAAGAATGCAACCATTTGTCTCTAACCTACCTGTGACCTGGAAGCTCCCTCCCGCTTTGCTCTGAGTCTTCCTGCCTTTGCTTCAAGTTGTCTCACCTTTCCAGACCCAACCAATGTACTTCTTACATATATTGATTGATGTCTCATGTCTTCCTAAAATGTATAAAACCAAGCAGTGCCCCGACCACATTGGGCGCATGTCATCAGGACTTCCTGAGGCTGTCTCACGTCCTCAACCTTGGCAAAAATAAACTTTCTAAATTAAATAAATAAACTCAGACCTGTCTCAGATTTTCTGGATTCACACATACATATAAGGATTACCAGATTGTTTTGTTTCTGGCAAAGCTGGACCTGATGTTAAAATTGGATTTTTTTTAGTCCGTTTCCTATGAATTAACATTGCTCTTCAGCTACAGGCTAGATGATGACTACCTTCCCACCGGTGGTGGAGCCTACCTCACTGAATGGAGAAGGCAGGGAAGAGAAGAAGAACATGAGCTGCTTGTGGGCAAGCCAGCTCTGGAAGAGCTGAACCACACAGGCTCATCCCCTTTGCTTAATCTCGCCTATAAGATAAATCACTTTCATAGAGAGGGTAAGCAGGAGGTGGCAGGGGGTGTGGGAGCATCTGAGCAGTGTCATGGAGCCACATGTTATGGAGCCTGTGGAGACTTCAGCTATATACATGTGAGACAGAAGAGTGAAAAAGGCAGTACAGTGTAATTATGAAAGTGGTTTTGACCTGATAGGCCCCCTGATCAGTTTAAGGACGGATGTTCTAATACCAACTATTGTTCCTTCATGTTTTCTCTGGGCTCACCGGGTGAACCTTTGCTCCCAGAAAGTTCTGGATTGGGTTAGAACAGCTCATGAATGAAATTAACTCTAAGGTCACATTCTACCCAGAATTCAGTTTTGCTCTCAGTTCTCTCTTCTAATTCTCAGTTGTGTGCTCTGTTGTTCGATATAGCTCTCCAGAGATGAAGCAGTGAGCTTCAAGGACAACAGAAATACCCAGTACCAGTTATTGTGCTAGACCCCTATTGACTCCAGTAGTGGTGGCCACTGTGTCCAGGAGGCCAAAGAAGAGGTCTGGAGCCAGTGAATGAGACATAGTGTTTATTGAGGACTCACATACAGGGAGGTCCAGGAGTGGCAGGCTGGACTAGAAAAATGCTACGGTTCACAAAAAGCACACAGTTATATAGCATTTCCACTTAGCAGCCTCCGCCTAGTAACCTGCATTTAGCCCAAAACAAAGGGCCTCAATCCCCCGTATAGGCTGTGTCCCAAGGGATGGGCCAGGGAATTGGATGTTCTTCATAGATAAAGAGTACATCTCTTGGTTGGTACTTCCAGATTCTTTAACTTGGAACCCTGAACATATATGCTTCTTAGACCCAGGGTATTCTCAGGGTATGCTTGAGTTATTGCTATCAAGTGCATCTGCCATACACCAGCAATGTACAAAATCCCTCAATTTGGACACCATGCGTATGACCTCATTTTAAAATTTTCTGGGAAAAATTAATGTCTGAAGATGAAAATTCCTCTCCCATGTAAGTTAATGTTTCATTATGTCCTCAAATCATCCTTCTTCATTGCTTTGTCCACTATAGCCATCATGCTCAGATGTTTAGGGTGAATAGGGCTGTCTCCAGCATCTGTAACCTGAGTAACCTGAGCTGCCTATTACTGGAATAGCCATTATTCCCTTAGAACTCTGTGACCGGATTAATCAAAGCCCATTCTCTCATCACCCTCTCCTTAAAGAATCTATAGTATGAATAGGACACATAAGATTTTCCTAGCACTAGCCTCACACCCCAGGCTCCTAGAAACTACAAACAAATCTTGAGCCCCTATAGCAGTCATCCTAAGCAAACTTCAGAACCCACATTGCTATTATTTGCCAAAGACCGTAGCAGAGACTTTGTGGTAGAGTGTGAAAAACAAGAGAAAAGAGAACATTGTGTGGTTTTTCAGTTTCACTTGTATGCTTGGCTTCCTGTGCAGCTATCTAGAGTTTAACATATGGAAGAAATCACCCATCATGAGGTTTACTAAGGCACTTTGCCATATTTGCAAGAAAATGCACCTAAGCATATTTTCTGTCAGAGAATAGCATATGAGACATTTCTTCTAGCAAATTTAAAAAGTTTATGTAGTGGCCAGCCACTATGTCTTTGCTTGAAATTCCCCTTTTCCCTTTTATGCCTATTTAAAACCTTTCACTTCTTTTCCCTCTTAAGTCTTATGTCCCCAGAATCTCACTGCTACACTGGACTGTCTAGTGACACGTTTGTGGCTGATGTGCCCCAACGACTCACCTTGTAGCCTCTCCTTCTCCAAGTCCTGATCTCTTACTCTTTCTTTGGATTTCTTCAATCCAACAAAGTTCAAGACATTTTTGAACTTGATGTGGCTGTGGCCTTTGCTATTGTCCCCTTGCTCTGAAATTTCTTTAGGCCTATAAAAACTTGATTTTAGGGACAGTCTCTCCCTTGTCACAGGTTTACTTCAGCTAGAGAATCATCTTCAGCATATACCTGAACTGAAACTGCTGTTAGTAATTCCAGAGTCTGGCTGCAAGGGACCCAGTGAAGGCCAATACTTGTAGTGCTATGTGCTGCCCAAACTTTACCCTTTCTGTATGTTTGCATGTTAGAAGCTTTGAATAATTTGTACTAGTAATGTCAAGTCCTGGACCAGTCTTTTGGCTTCCATGTGTTTTCTTTAGTCTGTTTCACCCTCCTGGTACTTTCCTAAGCATGTTCCTTCAAGGTATGTGCTGCAGTAACTTTCCCACTTCCAGTTACTGTCACCTTAACACTTTCTTATTTAATGCTTTAATTTTTTTTTTTTTTTTTTGAGATGGAGTTTTACTCTTGTTGCCCAGGCTAGAGTGCAGGGGTGCAATCTCGGCTCACTGCAACCTCCGCCTCCTGGGTTCAAGTGATTCTCCTGTCTCAGCCTCCCAAGTAGCTGGGATTACAGGTGTGTGCCACCATGCCTGGCTAATTTTGTATTTTGTATTTTTTAATTTTTTTTTAGCAGAGACAAGTTTTCACCATATTGGTCAGGCTGGTCCTGAATGCCTGACCTCAAGTAATCTACCGCCTCGGCCTCCCAAAGTGCTTGAATTACAGTCATGAGCCACCATGCCTGGCCAATGCTTTAATTTTTATATGCTGAGTTCCTTTCACATCTGGTTCCATCTTATATAATCATCTAGCAGAGCTGTTCTGCAGTCTTTAAGGAATAGTTGTAAATGTGTGTGTAATCTCTCTGTAGCTTGAAGGGTAGGGAGGAGTCATTTCAGTTTGCCTTTCTGCTTCTGTTCAGATTGTTGGAATCTGGTCACTCTTGCTTATCCTATAAACACTGAGCTGGAGCTAGGCAAGGTTGGAGTGTATTACCCATTCTTGAGGGCATCTGGGATTTTACTTAAGCCACAATTGTCATGAGAGGTTTGAGCTCCTTTTCTATAAATGGGGAATAGGGTAATGATAGAATATTTCTTTCTGAAGGCTCTATTGGCTTTCTTGATGAGAAAGGACCTGGGAAAGAACTAAACAGGACTATTCCTTTAGAAAGTTTATGTTATTGGTGGTTGTCCAGTTTCAGAGAAGTAGAATAATAGATTTAAATAGTTCACATACCTCTTGTAGAGAGTTTCAGGATTACCTGCATTTTTCCTTGAATTAAACTCATGGTGTGATTACAATGAAGGGCCCACTGGGCTGTGACTTCCTACCTGGTTAGTTTTTTTGTCTAATATTGATTATATGTGTTGGAGACTCTGAGTTTTAGCTCATAGATTTTCTCAGCTAGAAACTGAGTGGTGCTAAAATAAAAGAGAAATGCAGCTTCTCAGCTTTTCTGAGCACTCCTTGAGATAAGACACATTCCCCTCTTTGAGGAGGGGGGCCTGGATAGATATTTATAAAATGCTTACCACAATATCTGCTATATAGTGGCTATAGCTATATTTGTTTATTAAAATAAAAATAAATAAACAATGAGTTGCCAAGAGCTGTGATATTGAGCCTAAGGCTATTCACCTGACCTTTTCTGGGGATGTTATGAACTTCTTATTTAACCACATAAGTAGCATGAGAGGAGATCTGCTTTAAGGGCCAACAGACTTCCCTACTGCTGCCTGGAGGAAGAAAGCAATAGGCTTCTTTTATTTGGGGCACAGGCAAAACAGGGGCTGTCTCATTTACACTGGTATTTTCTAGTCTTCACTTAAATGAATAAAATGAGGATTAAAATAAAATAAAGATTAAGATTAAAATGAATTGGTATAAAAATACTAATTCATATATAATTAAGTATAATGTATATATGATTATATATGACATATATTTTGATTATGCTTATAATAATTATTATTTAAAATAAACTAAAATTAAGATGACAAATAATAAATGTGTTCTTAGGATAAATTATCAATAATTAAAATAAATAGTTGAAAATTAAGCCATTATAAAATACTAAAGCAATTCTGCTGTGGTTAACAAATCACTAAAGACCAAGCAGTGCTTTTAAATGGAATAAAATAGCTACAAGCCACCAACAGAAGTTTTGTGTAGACTGAGATTTTCATTCTGGCAGAACTTACTAGAGGGATGTGACCCTGGGCTAAACATCTCATTTTGAGCTTTCCAGCTCCAGTCTTTTTCTAATGACTAGAGCATCTACCTCAAGCTAGAGGCAAAGGATATTGTATCTCTGGGACCACTTCTTCTTCCCCAATCAGTTCTTAGGTAAAGGCATGGTATAGCTGTCTAATTTTTTATACTACAAGTTTCTAGGAATAGAGGCTTTCTTTTATGTCCCGGGTTCCTTTTACATGATAGACACATAATAGTTGTTGAACTGAAGAGATCTCCTATTTCAAAGAAAATTGACAGAGTGTGCTTAGGACAATATCTTGCATATGAAGATGACATGGTAATTATCTGATGAATCAAGAACCTCATAGTGCCCCTCTCTGTGTCCCCAGGGCCTGTATTCCAGTGCACAGTTGAAACCACCTTTGCAAAAACTGTGACAGTGAGAGAAATCTAACATAACTAATTCCATCTGACTTGTAATCTCACAAACTATTCTTGCTCATTCCTGGGCGTAGGCTATGGGAGGAATTTAGTTTACAGTTTAACTTTAAAACAAAGTCGTTTCCTGAAACTAACCTCCTCCTTGCTCAGGGACTTAAACTGCCTTTGTAGAACTCCACAAGGTTAGAATTATGGTTCAGGAGTTATGTAGCCAGAGGTAACAAGAATTAACCTCCTCAATTGCTCCTATAGATAGCATCACTATTGTAAAAACTAAAACTGGTGTTTGAGGTGTTTTTCAGACCTTGCATTTTGATGGACCAGGTGGTGCCACCTGGACTGGTAGCCATACCAATAAATTGGCTCAACTGGTCTTGTGACCCCTACCCAAGAACCAACTCAACATGACAAGAGAACTTCAACCGCCTGTAATTTTATCTCTGACCCAACCAGTCAGCATCCCTCATTCCCTAGCCACCTGCCCACCAAACTATCCTTGAAAAACCTTAGCCTCTGAATTCTCAGAGAGGTAGATTTGCGAAACATCTCCCACCCTTCAGCTTGGCTGGCACTGTGATTATTAAACTCTTTCTCTACCGCAACTCCTGCTGTTCTCAGTGTTTGGCGCTTCTGGGCAGCAGGCAAGATGAACCCACTTGGGTGATTACAGGGTGCTCAGGCACAGTGGTGGCCAACCTTACATATGAAATTCTGCCTCCTTTAATCTGGATGCTGCTGGTGCCCATCATATTATTGGTGAGTAAGAAATATGACTTCACTATAAAAATGCATTCACTTTGGGTACATATAAGATTAATTTTAGGTTTGGGGAGCAAAGAAAGCAGATGTTTATGTAAATTACAAGTTTTAGCAGTTTTCAAGTTCATTAATTCTTTATCTTTACTTTATCCTACTGATCCAGAGGGTACAGCATGTGGGAATTTATTTTGCACTCTTGTTTGTACCATACAGTGTTCTCTGAGGCAATATACCTCAGCAGGTGCCACCAGGTGTAATGCAATTATCTTTGCACTTAATGTCTTCCATCAGCTGGACTTGCTTCCCTCATGTTGGCTGCCTGACTTTGAGAAACACAGAAATGTGAGACCTTGGGAACATCAGGAACTGCCTTTCTTTTAGAAATTATTTTCCAACATGGGTTCTTCAGGAAAGTAGTTATTCTGCAAGATGTCAGTAGGTAATAAAAAAAAGCAAGCAAGCAGGGAATAAAGAAAGAAAGAGGAAGGAAGGGGAAGGGAAAGAAAGAGGCATAGTGGAGAAGTAGAAAGGGGAGCAAGGGAAGAAAGAAAAAAAGAGAGAGAGAAACAGAAAGAAAGAGCAACAGAGAAAGAAAGAGAGAAAGAAAAGAAAGAAAGAAGAAAGAAAGAAAAAGAAAGAAAGAAAGAAAGAAGGAAGGAAGGAAGCAAGGAAGGAGGCCGGGCGCAGTGGCTCACGCCTGTAATCCCAGCACTTTGGGAGGCCGAGGCGGGTGGATCACGAGGTCAGGAGATCGAGACCATCCTGGCTAACACGGTGAAACCCTGTCTCTACTGAAAATACAACAAAAATTAGCCGGGCGCGATGGCAGGCACCTGTAGTCCCAGCTACTCGGGAGGCTGAGGCAGGAGAATGGCGTGAACCTGGGAGGCAGAGCTTGCAGTGAGTGGAGATCGCGCTACTGCACTCCAGCCTGGGTGACAGAGCGAGACTCTGTCTCAAAAAAAAAAAAAGGAAGGAAGGAAGGAAAGAAGGAAGGAAGGAAGAAGGAAGGAAGGGGGGAGGGAGGGAAGGAAGGAAGGAAGGAAGGAAGGAAGGAAGGAAGGAAGGAAGGAAGGAAGGAAGGAGGGAAGGCAGGCAGGCAGGCAGGCAGGCAAGCAGGAAAGGAGGAAAATTTCCATAGGAATTTTTCTTTAACTGTGGAACTTGCCAAGATCTTTACTATGCTAGTATCATGTTACCATGTGTGAATCCCTAAGATGGGGATAGAAGATACAGTGTATCCCAAATGCATTCAAACACAGACTCCTTTTTTGAGGACATCTTGTGGCCAGAATGCTCTATGAAAACACTGGGGGAACTGTTCCTAAAAGGTAAAGGCTTCTGTATATCTTTACTGTTGTTGTAATATTCCTCCTTTTCAACAAAGCTTAGACAAAAGATTAGAAAGGAATATGCTGACACATCAATAGCATTGCCTCCTAATGCTGGGACCTTGTATACATTTTTAGGTTCCTGTAACATTTTTTGTACTTTCCAAATATCTACAATTAACATGCATTTGTTATTATATCCTAAAATAATTAAATAAAAATTATGTTTTTATGACCCTGGTTACACTAGCAAAAATGTTGCTAGTTCTTAATGGGTAACTTATCTTTCTTCCTTTGCTCAGCTGTACTTTTCCTGGTGAATTCTTTCACAGCAACACCTTACAATGGAGCAGAAGTGTTAGTAAGTGCTGTGACATCAGAATCCTTCTTAACACAGTGATCCAAGAGTAGCTGCTAACAATCATGGCCCATGAGAAACAAACTAATTTGCCAAACCTTCCTTGTATCTAGTGAGAGAGATCCCAGTGCACTGTACTTGCATGCTGGTGTGCCTGTCTCCCACCGCCTCTCTGTGAGCAGCTCTAGACCCTCACCCAGCATGGGAATGAGTGCTCAATGAGCAGCAGCCCTTCTCTGTGTATCTACAGTGCCTAGCCCAGTAGTGGCTAGCCCGGAAGTGCCTACTCCTAGTGGGTGCTTCATAAATGCTAGCTGATTAAAATTAAGTAAAAGATTCGGTAAAAGGAATCTATGTTCAGAGTGAGAAATCTTCAACTGATTTTCTTATAAAGTTTTCTCTCCTTTTGAAAACCACCAGGAACATTAATAAGCAACCTATTGAGGACTCTTACTTTCTATACATCTATACATTTACAGCATTGGGATATAAGTCAAAGGCATGGGTATTTATGCTCAGGCTTGTGCTAAGAGCCCCAAGGGACAGAGAAAAAACAGTCACTGGTAATCTGTCCCCCCTCACATGCACAATGCAGGGAACTTAAATCTTGATGAGGATACAAAATTTAAGTACAGAGACAAAGAGAGGTCAAAAACAAGACCTCCTAAATGTGCTGCTATAAACATGCGTGTGCAAGTATCTTTTTCGAATAATGACTTCTTTTCCTCTGGGTATCTACCCAGTAGTGGGATTGCTGGATCAAATGGTAGTTCTACTTTTACTTATTTAAGGAATCTCCACACTGTTTTTCATAGTGGCTGTACTAGTTTACATTCCCACCAGCAGTCTAGAAGTGTTCCCTGATCACCACATCCATGCCAACGTCTACAGTTTTTTGATTCTTTGATTATGGCCATTCTTACAGGAATAAGGTGGTATCGCATTGTGGTTTTGATTTGCATTTCCCTGATCATTAGTGATGCTGAGCATTTTTTCTTATGTTTGTTGCCCATTTGTATTTTTTTTTTTTTTTTTTTTTTGAGACGGAGTCTCGCTCTGTCGCCCAGGCTGGAGTGCAGTGGCGCAATCTCGGCTCACTGCAAGCTCTGCCTCCCGGGTTCACGCCATTCTCCTGCCTCAGCCTCCCGAGTAGCTGGGACTGCAGGCACCCGCCACCACGCCCGGCTAATTTTTTTGTGTTTTTAGTAGAAACAGGGTTTCACTGTGTTAGCCAGGATGGTCTCAATCTTCTGACCTCATGATCTGCCCACCTTGGCCTCCCAAAGTGCTGGGATTACAGGTGTGAGCCACCGCGCCTGGCCCATTTGTATATCTTCTTTTGAGAATTGTCTGTTCATGTTCTTAGCCCACTTTTTGATGAGAATTGATTGTTTTCTTCTTACTGATTCCTTTGAATTCATTGTAGATTCTGGATATTAGTCCTTTGTCAGATGTAGATTGTGAAGATTTTCTCCCACTCTGTGGGTTGTCTGTTCACTGTGCTGACTGTTCTTTTTGCCATGCAAAAGCTCTTTAGTTTGATTAGCAAAGTTGTGGAACCAACCCAAATGCCCATCAATCAAAGAGTGGATACAGAAACTCTTATATATATATATATATATATATATATATATATATATAAAATATATCTCATATATCACATATATCAGATATATATATGATATATATATACACACACACACACAATGGAATACTACTCAGCCATAAAAAGGAATGAATTAGCAGCATTTGCAATGACCTGGATGAGATTAGAGACTATTATTCTAAGTGAAGTAACTTGGGAATGGAAAACCAAATATTCCATGTTCTCACTGATATGTGGGAACTAAGCTATGAGGACACAAAGGCATAAGAATGGTACAATGGACTTTGGGGACTTGGGAGGAAGGGTGGGAGGGGGGTGAAGGATAAAAGACAGCAAATATGGTGCAGTGTATACTGCTCAGGTGATGGGTGCACCAGGTTCTCACAGAACTCCACTAAAGAACTTACTCATGTAACCAAATACCAACTGTACCCCAATATCTTATGGAAAAATAAAATTAAAAATAAAAGAAAAAAGACGTTCTGAACTCAAGTTTTGAATTGCTGCTGCTCCAGCAGACAGGAAGGGAGAGATTCCCCTGCGAAATCATGCATTAAGTGGGACTTGTGCTGAGCCCTGAAACATAAACAGATTTCAACATAATCTAATTTTTAGTTGATGGTGATCCTGTTTGGATATCTTATAACGTGGGCGCTAGGAGACTATCATCCAAGGCTTCATTTTAGTTCTAACATAATGCTTAGTTTTTCGTAGGTGAAGGGCATTAAAAAAGTATGCGTATGTATGTGTCTCACACACAATATACACACACAGATACTCTTTGTTTCATTAATTGTGAGATTTACATTTTCATATTTTAACTTCTTTGAAATTGTGATGCATTTTACAATCAAGAGCATGCCATAGTTTAATTGGCAGCATTCTTTTTCTTTCTTACTAGTACATAAAACAAGGGTGCATCTCATAAAATTGGCATCCTGGATCAGATGAAATACAGTATTAAATATTTATGTCTATTTACATATGTATAAGTGTACTTGTTTGCGAGTATGTATCTCTATACTCACATCAACATGTGAACATGTATTACAAATGCAGTTTGCTGTTCCATTCAGTCATTTGAATAAAATGGGCTGCCATAGAAGCCATCAGGCTTAGCCCTTCGTTGTCGGTCAGACCTGGGTTTGGATGTACTTGCTCTCCAGTTCCATTTGGAAAAGTGGACTCACAATAATTTTATGCCAAATGATGTCTATAAAATGTGTTGCCTTAGTTTTGGCTGAGGGGTCTATTTAGATCCATGTGTTACCATTCCATTTTCAAGGTCCTGGGAGATCAGGGATTCATATGTTACTGTGACACAGCGTGTGCAAAATTATAGAGCTTTAGGGAAGGAAACAATTGTAATGGGATTTTCTCCCTTTACATAATTTGCAAGGACATTGTTAATCAGTTTGTCCCACTACCTTCCTATGGCTTACTTTTGAGAGTATAAATCACTGAAAAAAATCACAAATGAAGAACATGGAATTTGTAAGTTTTGTTCAGTGTAAGGTACTAGGTGGACAGCACCAGAGCCTCCCTTAGCTCAGGTAGGTGTGAATCACTGACATTCCCACCTCCTTCCTAGTTACGGCTGGTTCAATAACAGCCTTCAGTCTCTCAATCCACTGACCAAATAATAGAGTGCTATCAGGCCTTGGGAACAATTGTATCAATACCCCAATGTAAGTTATTTTAACATTGTTTAAATGAAGACTTTTAGTAGGGAGACCCCACCTTCTCTGCAAATCCTTGCCGCCCATTCCCTGCCATGCTCCTCCTCTTCCTAACTCCCTAAGCTCCAGCCACAGGGCTTTTCTCTCAGGACCACCCCCACCCCCTTGCTTCCCCCTCTCCAACCCTGCTTCTGCTCCCTAAGGGCCTTTGCTCAGGTTCACCTTCCCTCTGGAAACTCTCTGCTCCTCCCTCCTTCCCTTTTAACTTGCCAGTTTCTCCTTATCCCTCAAATCTCAGCTGAAATTTCAGGCCCTCATTGAAGCCTTTCTTGTCTCTCCAGACTAATTCAGGCCTCTGTTTTTGGTTTTCTTTGCACATATACTTTTCACTCATCATAATTGTAATTAAATAATTACTTGAATTTTACTTTCTTATTGTTTGGCTCTCCTGCCAGAGTAGATGCTCCAGGAGGAGGGTTTTCTGTGTCTCCACCCCTGGAACAGGGCCTTTATACAGAGCAGACAAGAAATATGCATTGCATGAACTGCCAAATAAAGGAGAGTATGGTATTAACCTAAAGGAGTATTCCCTTAAGAGATTCTCTACTTCTTAATTCATCCTAAAGACCACTGTCACTTTGACCATTAGCAGCTATAGTAGTTTGATATAAGAAATGCTGTTTTGAAAGCACTGAAGATGAAGTACAGAAAAAGTCTTCTTAGATTCAGACCAGTCTTTTGCAAAAAAAAGTTCTACAATAAGAAAAGAGAAAATTTATTATTAATTTACAAAAACTGTCTTTTATCTTGATCACATTCAAGGTTTCTTTCAGTTGAATATCCCCAAGAGCACTTTTGGCTCTTGTAGAGAAATATGATATGGTGATTTACTTGGAGGTTGGGAGGAAACAGAGTGGTGTGTGTGTGTGTGTGTGTGTGTGTGTGTGTGTTTGCCAAATATCCATCTATCAGACATCTTTATTAAATTAGCTTCACAAGCATGAACAAACAGCCTGGAAGTTGGCCATGACTGCAACAATCATACCTTGTATTCTATTTTCTGTAATGAAAGAACAGCACCAATCACAGAATGGTGTTCAATACAGATATTTGTTGAATGAATGATTCTCAAGAAATACAGCAGTGGGTGTTTTAGCCCCTGGCCAGCAACCAACATGTTGCATATATTATCTTAATTGTGTATCAGAATGCTTAATAAAATTCAGCCTTCCCCCTAGTTGTATTAAAACTGATGAAATAACAAGGAGAGAAAAAAGGGAGAGAGAGAGATTGATTCTTGGAAGAAAGAGAATGATTTGACTATAGCCAAAACATAGGAGTGCCTAGAAATCCAGGCATGAAGTAGCTCCTGCCAAGGGCAAGATTTTGTCTCCCTGATGTGTCCTGTGCCTCAGACACATCGCAATATATTGCCCTCTATCTCCTCTTGTTGACAGTTTCTACTGGACTCCTAGCCACTGTCTAATTCTCTTTCTTCAAATTTTTTTCTAATTGTTAATCTCTTTCAGAAAGATTGAGAGCGCTAGCACAGTTCTCCCAACCCCCAAGTTACTTTCTACATCAAGATAGCATCTTATGTACAAGTCCATGCAGCAGGTCCAGTGAGCTTAGCATCCCGCAGCCTTCCAAGTTTGGTTGCCAGGGTCTTCCCAGCAAGAGGGGAGGGCCATTACTCCTTGGGTTTTCCAAGTTCTTGGAAATGGCTTCATCTTTCATGAAGATGCCCAAGCCAGGGACCGGAATCCCACCTTACCTTCCTTCTTCAGACCTAGGCAGCCACCACGTTCTTCCTTTTGAACGTTTTTCTAATCTTCCCCTCTTCTTGATCTACACCACTCTGACCTCATTGGGTCCCTCAACCTCTCTCATGTTAGCCAGACCTACAGTTTTATCCCCTGATTCTTGGCCTACCCTGGAAGCCCTTCTCTCTATAGCAGCCAGAAAGATATATATAAAATCCAGAAGTGGCTCTAACCTTTTAAAAGTTCTGAAGTAGCCAGGCCCAGACAAAGTCCAGACTGATCAGCATAGTATGTAAGTAGGTTATTCCACTGTATGCCTCTTGTCCCAGTTTATTTATTTTTTTGATTTTTTTTTTGAAGATGGAGTCTTGCTCTGCCACCCAGGCTGGAGTGCAGTGGCCCGATCTCTGCTCACTGCAGCCTCCGCCGCTGGGGTCCTGTCTCAGCCTCCTAAGTAGCTGGGATTACAGGTGCACGCAGCCATGCCCGGCTAATTTTTTGTATTTTAGTAGAGACAGGGTTTCACCGTGTTGCCCAGGCTGGTCTTGAACTCCTGAGCTCAGGCAATCCGCCTGCCTCGGCCTCCCAAAATGCTAGGATTACAGCTGTGAGCCACCATGCCCGGCCTCAGTTTATTTATTAGTAGCATCCCTTTTCACTCTTGGAAGTGTTCTGGTTTAGACGGTCAGTTTTGTAGTCCCCTCAATATCAAGTTTTTCATTATCTGAATCTCCCACTTCTCCAGCTCTTCAGCACATCCACTCAGCAGCTTATCTCCTGCTCATCTCTCCCTGGGCTTCCTCCTCCCACTGGAGCAGGATGGCTGTAGCAGATATTCCAGAAGCAACATCTAGGAAGTCACATCCAGATAGGACAGTGTCTAAAGGATGGAAACAACTGTTTTCTCTGTGTCTATTTCTTAGGAATGGGAATGTCTTTCCCAGAAGTCTTCAGGAGACTTCCCTTCATGTCTAACTGAGAAGGATTGAGTCACTTGCTCTTTTCTAAACAAGCCTCTGGCAAGAAAGAAAGAATGACCATGACCGATGTTTATCATTTGCGGTAGACGTGAGGAAATAGGTAATGACCGTGACTGTAACACCAATTTTTGTTTAATTTGCTTTGGGGCCTGTTGATTCCACTAGACGGCAAGCAAGATCACTGTGTGGGATATGTGTTCACCCTTAGCCCCAAGCACAGTGCCTGCATCAGCGGGCACTTTTGTTGCCATTGTTGAACTTTTGGATGGATGCAAGCTAGGCGGTATAATGTAGTGGGGAGAACAGGGTCCTTGGAGCTAGATAGAAATAGGCTTGGTCCCCAGCTCAGTACTTGCTGCCTGTTTAGGATCTTGCTGGACTTCTGAAGTTCAAAATCTTTAAGCTTCAGATTTCTTACCTGTAAAATGAAGCAAAGACTACCCCCGAGAACACATGTAACACAGATGAACCAGCCAAAACAGCCACAGATATTTCTCCAGTTTCTTAACATTTCCATTTAATTCTAACAATATTTTTGAGTGAGGGTGTGGCAATGTTTGTGTGTGTATGTGTGCACTTGTGAACAGGTGTATGTCATGTATATGTGGGAATACCTGTAAGAAAAATGGAGGAAAATATCTTCTAAGGAAAATGTCATTCCTGCTATTGCCCTCTGGAATTTATGAGGTCTTTGCTGACTATTTGACCTGTAAAAGATAAAAAGCCTCTCTTAACCTATTTTTCATTCCAGGAAAGTGTTTCTAAAGTGTGCTTTGTGGATTGTAATAGTCCCTGGAGATGATTTATGGACAAAGTTTTCATGGTCATATTATTTGGGGGAATTCAGTGTGGTGTGATTTCCCCCTTGACAGTCACAGTGACATTAGCATATTAAAGGCTTAGAGAAGTCTCATAGAGAAATTTGTTTTCATTGTTTAACCCAGGTTTCTCCAAATTTATTTTAACCCAGAGTCCTTTTTTTTTTCTGACAGCACCTAACAAGATCTTTTGCAATGCTCTTTGGGAAATTATATTAGCCTAATTACTAATTTCCTGGCCCTCAAGGTGACTTGCTTGAACTTGCCACCTTCGCCACTAGGGGGCAGCATTGGTTTACACAGGGTGAACAAACGTTCAATTCTAAACTAATATTCTTTGGTGGGAAAGTGTGTTCATTTTGGTTTGTTTTGAAGAAGTCACTTCATACCTTTGAACTGGGGTTAAGCTGGTTAACTCCCAAAATTCCACCAGTTCCAATATCCTATGGAAAAACCCCAAAACCACTAGTATAAATAAGATAGTTATTTCTGTTACTAAGTAAAGTTTTGTTAATTTTTTTAGTGATATTTAGGATTAAATGGCAAAGTATGGGTAAGCTGTAGAACTTTCCACCTAGGGATTCTGATTGCCCTTAGCCAAAGTACATTCTCCTGAGCGTGAATTATTTTCCATCCCTGGAGAGTTAGCTATGAGGCAAAAGGAAAGTCTGTATAGGTTTTCAATAATGAAAGAAGGACCCTTGGGAATCAGTTGTTATGAGAAAAAGCTTCTCACCTTATCGCTGCAGGGACAATTAAGGAAAAGTCTTGATTTTAGAATTGAGGTCCCTGTCAAGGCTTGGTATTAAAACCTGTATTAGGGACTTTTTTTTTTTTCTATTTGGTCATGACACCAGTTGTTAGTGCTTCTGCTACAGAAACAAAGATATTCGGGGGCAGCAAAGCTCAGACGTGCCAGCTTTTCTGTTTAAGAGAAGTCCCACTTGGTTTGGTAAGGGATGGAGTTAGAACCATGTGATAACATGTTCTTAAGTTCCCTGTGATTCCTAGAATTGCCTTATCTTGCTGATCTCTTTCTGTCTAGATTTTTAATTCTCTTCCTATAGACTATGCCAAATGTCATTTTTAGTCCAAACTTAATTAATTTTATTTTTCTTTATTTTGGGACCCAACTGTATTAGTCAGGATTATCTAGAGGGACAGAACTAATAGGATATACATATATGTGTTTATGTATATATGTATATATCCCCATAATATATGTATATAGGGGAGTTTATTAAGTATTAACTTACACGATCACAAAATCCCACAATAGGTCATCTGCAAGCTGAGGAGCAAGGAGAGCCAGTCCGAGTCCCAAACCTGAACAACTTGGAGTCAGATGTTTGAGGACTGGAAGCCTCCAGCACGGGAGAAAGATGTAGGCTGGGAGGCTGGGCCAGTCTATTCAGTTTGATTCCAACCAAAATGTGCTATGTCTTTTCACATTTTTCTGACTGCTTTATACTCTAGCTGTGCTGGCAGCTGAATAGATGGTGCCCACCCTGATTAAGGGTTGGTCTGCCTTCCCAGCCCACTGACTCAAATGTTAATCTCCTTTGGCAACACCCTCCCAGACACACCCAGGACTGATACTTTGAATCCTTTAATCCAGTCAAGTTGATGCTTAATATTATCCATCACACCAACTTATACTTCATTTTGCTTGTATTTTTCAGATGGACCTGGATAAAGACTCTGCCAAATGTTTTTAACAAAATTTGCTGGGACTTAAAAAACTGTATTAGGGCTGCCATTCACCCTTAGTTCCCTGAAACATGATCACCTCCCACCAGCATACTGATAGCTAGCATACTGCGGGTATGAGCGCTTGTAGTGAACTACCATCTGAGTCCTCAGGGGCACCTTCTTTTTATGGCCATTTTTAAAAAGAGTGTTGTGGGTCTGAATGTCTGTGTGAGTGTGTACTCCCTAAGGAAAATGAGGGGAAAATCCTCTAAGAAAAAATATCATTCAAATATGAATTCTTATACCTCTTCTGTAAAATTATATCTGCTCTTTCATTTAATAATATCAAAATAATTACTAGCATCACTATTATTCTGCTCATACTATCCTACTTGCTGGAGCTCCAGGGGAAGCCAGGAGGGAAGTAGGCTAAGGGTCTCAGTGATGCAGGCAGACGCTTGCTCACTTTCTGTTTCTCTATCCACAGCTGGATCGGTCACTTGGTTTGGCAGTCCTAGCTCTTGTCCTTTAGTTTTGAACACTTGGTCTATGCTGTTTGTCTCATTTCTTCCACCTCACTATGAACAAATAGTCCTCAGCAAGAGTGTTCAAAAATTTTTCCAGTAGTGAATTGCATAAACATCTTTATATACAGCATGTATACATTTTATCACTCCTTTTTAAACTAAGATTTATTTTTATTAATAATTTTGAGTTGAGAGGGTCCATGCGAGTATTCAGTTTGATTCTAACCAAAATGTGCTATGTGTATTTGGGGTCTTTGTATGTGTATTTATATGTGTTTTCCTTTTACCAGGAAGGTTTCCTCATTGCCCAGTTTCATGCAACCAGTTCAATGGGATTAAACTTGAGTAGTTCAAAATAATTTAACTAATTACATTAAATTTCATTTACAATTTTTAATGATGCCTACTCTTAGGACATATAGCAGCAACATATTCAAAATAGTGGTGGGAAGGTGGAAAAGTTAGGGTATAGTTTGCGTTATGCCTAATTATGTAAAACATTTTTTTCCTATAAATCTTAAGGGGGCCACACATGCCCCAACCCACATTTGAGATGAGGACCATAAAATAAAGACCTGATTTTTTTTTTTTTTTTTGAGATGGAGTCTCGCTCTGTTACCCAGGCTGGAGTACAGTGGCGCAATCTCGGCTCACTGCAAGCTCCGCCTCCCGGGTTCACGCCATTCTCCTGCCTCAGCCTCCCGAGTAGCTGGGACTACAGGTGCCCGCCACCGCGCCTGGCTAATTTTTTGTATTTTTAGTAGAGACGGGGTTTCACCGTGGTCTCGATCTCCTGACCTCGTGATCCGCCCGCCTCGGCCTCCCAAAGTGCTGGGATTACAGGTGTGAGCCACCGCGCTCGGCCAAAGACCTGTATTTCTTATAGTCAGTGTAATTCAGTGCAATGCATCTTTATATAGGTTAGGTTGAGAAATCTCAGTTTGGTGAGGTGTAAACATGGAATGGTTATCTTTTCTTACCCCTAGTAACTATGACCAACTTTGCTTAATATTATTTCAGTCTGATCTGATAACTTCCATGCACTTCTGTTTTAAAAGTTTTATTTCCGGTAGATATTCATTTAACTGCATTTAGGTTATTATTGTTTATGGTTCTCATCCAGTTTAAAGTCTTTCTTCTCCACCCGTGGAACTTCTGTTCTACTGCAGTGGCCTCAGGCAGAAAAGGAGGACCTGGCTGCCCGCTCTCCCTTATTCTGTCTTCAGTGCCTGAATGTCTGACCCAGTAGGTGTGGTTGGAGGTGAGGGAATGAGTTGGTTCACGCAATGGTCCACACACCTCTGGTTCCTCTCCATTTTTTTTTTTTTTTTTTTTTTTTTGCAGTGGTTGCTTGCTATTCTGGCTGTCATTGGTGAGATAGAGCTGCTGACATCTGTTTGGACTGGTACCCTCTGCTTCCCTGGTACTCTTGGTGTGAGGGCAAAACACTTGCCCAAGCGTGATTCCCTCTGTCCTTCCTTCAAGGCTCATTTCACCCTGAGAGGAGCTGGTCCCTCCAGTGTTCATGGTAAAAACTTACCCAACTTTCCCCCAACACTGAGGATTGTGACACCCTTCAGGGTGCTCTTCAGTAGCCTCCAGAGAGACTGAGCCTCTACTTCTGGGAGTTTCCAGCTGCCTCTGCCTGTAGGTGAAAAATGGAATCTTTTCCCATTGAATGAGTTAAGGCAACAAGTCAAAAGCCCCTTCTTCCTCATGGGGGAGGAAATGGGGAAGGGATCATCTGTCCCCAGTACATCTCTGAATGAATGAATGAATGAATGAATGTAATAAAAAATGTTTCCTCAAAATTGAAGTATAAATTATCCCTTCTAACCATGTGTTACTAATTTGAATGTTAAAGATTTGTATTTGTAGGGTTGAAAGCATTTCTTAACTGAAAACGAGGGCAGGAGCCATCGGACACATGCCCTTCCCCATCTTCTTTGAGAGGAGAGTATGGGAAAAGAGTACCCTGGTCTTTGTTCCTCATCCACATTCTGGTATGGAGAAAGCTATTTTACTTATCATGAGCCTCAATTTCTTTATCTGTAAAATGGCAGCAAGTATCTCCCTGATTTTCTGTCTCAGAAGGTTCTGTGAATATTTAATGTAATGGCACAGGGTGGAGTTTCCAATCTTGGCGCTATTGATGTTTCGGGCTTGTTAATTCTTTGTTTTAGAGGGCTGCCCCATGTATTATAGAATTTATGGTCCCTACCTACTAGACTCCAGTGGCAGCCCCCTCACCTCAGTTATGACAACCAGAAATATCTCTGGACAGTGCTGGATGTTTTCTGGGGACAGGGGGCACATTTGCTCCTAGCTGAGAACCACTGGTATAAGTAAAGTGGCCATGGACTGGTCGAGAGCAAGCCATCCTAGAGCACCGTGTGCCACGTCAGGATTAAGGATTTAAACTGTTTAGAATTTAATGAGTTACACAAGAAAGGTTCCATGCAGCAGCGTTCTCTTTGATTGAGTTAAGTTGTACTAATCAGAGTATTACATCCATTGTATCGAAGAAGGCAAATGTATTAGACTAAATGATAAGAAGATAAAATCTAGGTGGTTAGAAGATTTTTAAATGTATAATTTTTTGGCGATGCATGGAATATTATTTAAAACAGGATGTACTAAAATATTGATTTTAGAAGTGCAGACAGATCTGGGTCTGTCAGATGTATATGAAGACACAAGCAAGATAGCAAGGAGGAACATGCAGAATGTTCACTTCTGTAGATGGCAGGATTGAGGTGGACCTGGAACAGAGAACTAGGCTGAAGTTGGCTCCCTCCTGCCTTGTGATGGCCCCTTCCCGCTGTGAGAGCTAGTACAGTGAAAAGACCCACTTAGCAGTGACAAACCATTCACTCAGGACTCAGCCTTGAGGGAGAATTGTGATGACGATAGGCAAGGCTTGCGTAGAAGACAAGAAGAAAGAACTTTTAGGAAAGAGCTTGCGCAGTTTACAAAGGGGTTCTCTAATTGTTGTATGCCTATTCATGTTGGCCCAGGCATGGCTGGTGCAAATAAATTAAGTTTTTGTGAATCAATCAGTTCTGTCACTTATGGCCTGCCTTCCTCTGTTGCTTTGCTTCATGGAAGAAAGTGTTGGAGGAAGCAGATTTCTTGTGTTCCTTTCACTATAAAGTATTGTCTCCCCATTGAAGGCCAGAGGCTGGGCTGATGAAACTGACTCTCAAATGTTTGATCTAAGTTTTTGTCTTCAGATAGGTGGTAGTGTGGTGTAATGAAAGAGCATGAGCAAGGAAATTGAGTAGAAGAGAGATCAAATGCTAGTCTGCCATCTATTAGCAAGTTACCACCACTCTTCCCTCTATTTCCTTATCTGTAAAATGGGGATAAAGAAAACTATTTTGCAAAGAAAACTTTTGCAGCATTGTTTTGAGGATCAGTTGGCATGCTGTGTGGAATGTGTCAGGATAGGGGGAGGTACTGAAAAATAGGAGCTATTAGGAATTACTATTTTTAAACACAAGGAATTCTAAATCTGAATTAAATGAAATGTTTTCAAATTAAATATACTTCAAATTTATATTTAATGAACTATAAATTAAATATGAATTAATCTTCATTTCAGGCCCTTTGTAATATTAGTAGGTTGGGGTCCTTTATCATTTCTGAGCTAAATAATCTTGTTTCATCAAAATATCCCAGGCTGGGTTACATCAACTATTGATGCCAGAGATGAAATAGGCCCTCAAGTTTATTCTTCTGGAATTAAAGTTTGTTATTGGGCTGAAGATTTGAATTTACCCACCACAGAGGCATGATTTCTTTGAGACCCACGGGGCAAGATGGTTTTCCTGATAGAGTCAGTATAGATAAAAAGTGGTGATGATTTTATTCTACACTTCATTAGGTAGACAGTAAGTTTAAAACGCATTAACAAAAAGCTATTATTTTCTAATGACTTATGATACTACTTATTTTTAGAGTGATATTTGGGTCTGTTGGATGGGAAACAAAATCTAATCGATTCTTTTACAGTGTAGCCCAAGACATAGAGGCCTACTTGAAACAATAGCTTGTTAACAATGTTAGTACCTCTCATTTTACAGTGAAATCATTTTGATAGAGTCTGCTATGCATTTGACAGCATGTTGGGAGATGATTAAAAGTTTTTTAAATCCTTTGATTCTAGAAGATATGAGAGGGAAAAGATTGTCCATTATTCTTTCAATAGGATTCAAAAAATTTGATATGAGCAGGTTGAAAGTGGGAGGGTGAAAACTAAAATGGAGCTATCTGTAAATAAAGGAAGGAAGGAAAGGGCTTCCAAAGAGAGCACGTGGGTGTGGTTAAAGAGCAGATTTTCTTTATAGACCATGTTACAGTACCTATTTACAATCACATTCCTATTCCTACCACTACTATATATCAAACTAAAACAGAGAGAATAGCTATGCCGTTTTGCCAGCAGGTGGCACCATGAGAATCTCCTAGAGGAAACAGGAAGTCCCTGAAAGCAAGACTGTTACTGTTTTCCCAAGTCCAGTCATCAATATATATTCATATTTTTGATGACATCATAAACATATCACTTAAAATATTTTCAGAAGATTCATTCTTCCTCTCCTTTTTCATATATTAGCATTGTTCATTCAAGAAATATTATATTCCCGGAAAATAATAGGGAGTTTAAAATAAAATTGTAATTCAATTATGTTTGTTTGTTTTTCTCTGTATTGCTTAATATAGTCATTTGAGGAACACATTTCCTTAGCAATAATGGCATATGTTATTGTCAGGCTATGTTAAACGGTTAGAGAGGAAGAAACTTAGAAGGCACCCTGTTTTCACACTCCTTTCCTGCCCTGGATGATGAGGATTCCCCATGCCCAAATATCTCTCCAATGCTAAGCAACCTCTCAGACTCAGGGGGGACCCTGTGCCGGAGATAATGGGCATTTCTGGCCTTTGAAAGCAACTCTAAGAAGGTTGGCTTTGTGAACTCGCCTTCGAAGCTTCCTGCACATTCCATGTGTTTTGGGGGAATTTGTTTTCCAGTGTTCCCATCTGGCTTTAGAGCAACATCTTTTGATCTGGTCTCATCAGCACATGCCATTCCACTATCACTAGCTGGGCTGGAACTAGGACCTTGTTCTATGGTGTTGGTGGAAACCTCTTGATTTTGGCATGGAACAGAGATGCCCTTGCTGGGGTCTACGTCCTTAGATGGATTCACAGAATCTTTCTCTTGGGCTTGTGGTTGCTCTTTTATGAAGCAGGCAGTTCTGTTATTTTGAGAGAGTGGCTGCTTTTTGCTCTTCATGGGGTCTTTGAGGCCAGCATCATGTGAAGGAGGCACCTGGGACTTGCTTTTGCATGTGTCTTGGGCCATACGGGTTGCCAATGCTCTGAGAAAGGACATAAAAGAAAGATCTCTGAAAACCAATAAAAAGGCTCTTCTTTAGACCTTTCAACTTATTAGGATGTGGCCCCCTTCAGTATCGGCCAAGGTAATATAGGTGGGAATGGGGTGGAGGGTGAAACTGAGTAGTAACAATGCAGGGAAAATGTCTCACTTAAGAAGTGGAACGGAGCATTTCTTCAGGAAAACAGTTTAAAGAGGTCATTTGGGAAGAGAGACTTAATGTCATACCCATGGGTTTAGTAATCCATTTCTTACCTCATTTTCTTAGCCTGTGGGGCTCTGTGCTTCTGCCTTCCCTGTGGTGAGAACACGAGAACATCTTCTGGTCTCTTCTGAAATCCATTCCCCAAATAAGAGGAGAACTTTTTCTTCATGGTTTCTGCTTTGAGTTAATTAAGAAGTGTTATGAGTTGGATTGTGTCCTTAAATTTTTTATGCTCAAGTCCTAACCCCCAGTACCTTAGGGTGGGACCTTATTTGGAGATAAGGTCTTTACAGAGAAAATCAAATTAAAATGAGGTCATTAGGGTGGGTACTAATCCTATATTACCGGTGTCCTTATAAGGAAAGGAACTTAGAACACACAGACACACACAGGGAGAGCACTAAGAGACACAGGGAGAAGACAGCCATCTGTAAGCCAAGGAGAGAGGCCTGAAACAGAGCCTGCCCTCACAATTTTCAGAAGGAACCAGCATGTTTGACATATTGATTTTGAACTTCTAGACTCTAGAATTGTAAGGCAATAAATTTTTGTTGTTTAAGGCACCCGGTTTATAGTTCTTTGTTATGGCAGCCCTAGAAAACTAATATAAGAAGAAGAAAAATAATTCTGCAAACTGGGCTTTCAGAGAACCAATGTGTATAAACCTTGGTGTATATTACACATTAGGTTGATCTGGTGTGATAGATGGAAATGGAAAATTTAAAGCAGTTTTCCAGTGTTTGCGTAGTATATGTTAAAGAGGATTTAGAAACACTAAGATCAGAGGTTTAAACCAGCTAAGCCCCTGGAGGTTTCCTTTGAACATTTTACTTGGCAAGCACAATGTTTTCAAAAACAAAATGACTGGGTGTGAGTGGATTGTCTCCTTCACCACAATTATGTGACCTCCTACCCACCTGTGAGTTTGCAACTGCCAGCCGTGACTAAGTGGACTTTTCACTTGTTGAGTTGATGTTTTAGCATCTTGCAGTCATAGCTGCTATGGAGAACTCAGTCAGTTTTTAAGACATCTCATGAATTGGTCATTTAGAGTTGAAAGTCTTGGACTAGTTTTGCTCTAATGGGAGAGAACTCTTTAAATCTACAGTTCGGTTAGTAGGCACTAAGCAGAGGGAATATGACCAGATAGGGAACCCAGAATTCACATTGACTCCCAATATTCTTTCATATGATCACTTCTTTGTGAAGTGATCAGAGCAAGGAAGAGTTCTTTGTGAGCCTTTCTTCCTTTGTTGTCTCCTTGGGGTCTTTTGTGGGGGTTTCTTCCATGTAAGAACTTCACCTATTCCATATAAATTGAGGGATTTTGAGCTACTTCTCCCAGCAAGATCTGTTTTCTGAAATTTAGACCTATGGGCCCAATAGGTTCAAAAATGAACATATCTTTTCTCTGAAACTTGATGTTTCTCCAATGTTCTCTCTGTGAAGGTATGGTACTTCTGCCCACCCAGTTACCAGATTTGACAAGCTCGTTTGAGCGCCTACTTTGTGCCAGGTAATATACTTTTGATTCTGGTTTTCTTTACCCTTGGATATATATTTAGTCTTAAAGCTCCGACAATTCTACTTTCTAAATATCTTGAGATGCTCATCTTCTCATTTTCTTCACCTGACCAATGCCCTAGTTTAGGCCTTGAAACCATGGCCTGAACTTTGTAATTCTATCAGGTCTACTCTGACTATAGTCTGAGGTCTATTTTACCTTAAACTTTGCATCCAGAATTATCTTTTTAACATTTGAGCATGTAATTTTCACCAGTCTCAAACCCTACAGGGTGAACTCTCAACTCTTTTGCAAGACCTGTGAAGCCATTCATGATTGGATTGGATTGGAGACATTGGCTATTTTGTGTTGTCTCTGAAAACTGCACCTACACCTCCTCTTCCCCACTTCCATGTCACATGCCTGCAGTACTGAGCTATTTGAGGCAAGCAGTGATCATGTATGCGCCTTTATACATACTATTCCTTCTGCTGGGAGTGGCCCCATTCCATACGTCCTCCTGACAAACTTCCCGCCCTTTCCCCCATTTTCCTCCTCCTCTAAGATTCTGCTCACATACTGTGTCTTTTGGGAAATCTTAGCTAAATTCCTTTGATAGACACAGGAACCTTTTTATGTTCCTGCCCTACTTTGTGAAGAACTCAATTAGCAGTTTTGATCATCATTTTTTATAAGCGGAACTACTGTCCAATTTAAATATGGGCACCTTGAGGGCAGAGACCATGCTTTTTCATATTTGCATTCCAGACTCTACCTGAGTAGCTGTTTTGCAAAGTCTGGTCTGAAATACAGCTGTCCCAGAATAATCTACCTTAGTATCATCTCAGTTAAAAATGTGGATTTTTAAGCCTAATTTCTAACCTGCTGACTCAAAGGACTGGCAACATGCATCTTAAATAATTCACTCACTGGCATATCATTGAATCTCAATAACAATTCCATTTAAATGAATCATGGAAAACTATTGCCTA
The DNA here is from genome assembly GCF_000001405.40 of Homo sapiens. NCBI lineage: Eukaryota > Metazoa > Chordata > Mammalia > Primates > Hominidae > Homo > Homo sapiens. Next base: position 162,858,078 of record NC_000001.11, read on the forward strand.
GCACAGTGCCTAAGAAATATTGAGACTTAATACATATTGCTTCCTTCCTGTATCCCTGATTTTACTGTCAAGAAGTCTGAGGCTTAGAGAGAATATGACTTCCCAAAGGACATGGAGGCAGAAGCACCTGAATCAAAGTTTTCTGCCTCCTGATTCATACTCTTTCCAACCCAACTCTTTACTCAGCCAGGAAAGCCACTTACTAGGGCCTGGCCTTTTGTACACCCTCCTAAAAGTAGGCATCTGATCTTCAGTGTCCTTTTTGAATAAGAGTGGGAATCAACTAAATGGCTTCTAAGACCCTTTTCCAGTATGTGAGCTCTCATTCTAGGTTGGTTTAACCATTTATTGCAGACAGGGAAATTGAAAGCAGAGGACTTCAGTTAGTTACTCAGAGTATCTTTCAAACCCAAAGCTGGAGGTTAGAAAGAATTCCCAGCCTAGACATTTGGCTGTTACTCTTGGCCTTTATGTCATGTATAAGCTGTGTTGACCTGAAATATTTTATGTTCGTTTACAGCACCTGGCCTTCCTCTTGAACATGTTCTGTCCATTTCAGACTCCTGAGTTCTGGCACTCTCCTTCAGTAAGAAAGGATGTAGTCTTCAAGAGCTGAGATATTTCTTTCCTGTGCTGAATTTTTAAGTAATATTAAAATCTAATTATTTTAATGATGAACAAAGGAGAACTAGTTTCTACAGACTGTACAACTGTGACTATTTTCAACAAAGACAGTAGAAGGGTTTCAATTGTGTAACAATTTTTAATTGATAAGAGTGGGCACTTATATAGCACTTACTTTATGTTTTGGTACTATTCCAAGTGCTCACTGAATCCTCAAATAACTTCATAACATAGGAAATACTTTTATTTTACATTGGAGGAAGCTGAGGTACTAATTCCAGAGAAATTTTTTCTTTCTTTTCTTTTTCTTTTTTAACTTTCATAAAGTGGGCTAGGACAGTGACTTGCACATGAGTAACTGCTCAATAAATTGTTGTTAGATCCAAAAGAGAAAGATCAGATATTTAAAAAGGGGTGAAACCAAATCAGCCCAGATAATGAAAGAAAAGCAAAATGAAAAATAAAATTTAAAAGTAGAAAACGAAGGATTTAAGCAAGAAAGAGCTAACTTGAAAGATGGCAGTGACTGGAAGCCTGAGAAATGTTAGCTCAAGAAGGCTTATGAGTAGGCTGCTGCAGGGAGCTATGTAATTGACAGGGGAGGGACAAGGAAGGTTAGGCAGCCTAAAGTCCTGGCTGTGATCAAAAGCTCTTGCTGTCTTGGCACTCAGAGCTCTGAAAGGGCCTCAGCGGAGTGATGGGCCTGCTGCCCTGCTGTGCCTCTGGGGCATCCTCCTCACCAGTCCTGAAAGTCTTACCTTGCTGCAACCTCTGCAGTTCTTTTTGGAGCTGCCTCTGCTCCCAGGTCAGCAATTTCACATGGTAGAGGCAAATAACCTTTAGTCTCTGCAGTCTTTGGTCCAGTCTGGCTTCAGCCTGCTTGGCATTCTTCCTCTCCAAATCAAAATGCTTATACAATTGTCCCCTGACCATGTGCCTCTCCATCTTCTTTATGGTCTAGAGACAATAAGGTATCACAAATAACCTGATAAATGGAAGACTGGGATACTGACCCCGGCTTTTAATCAGAGATCAGTGGTAGAACCTGTGTATTTCTGAAACCACAGGTGCCTAGTCAGATGAAATCACACTATTGTTAAATGAGTTTCCAGAGTAACACAGAAGGATTGAGGGTAGTCATTCCTCTGAGCCTCAGCCTCCCTGTCAATAAAATAGTGATACAATACAATAGGCTCCCCCAACACAGATCCCAGTCAGATTTCCAAGAAGATCAAGTGAGAAGTGTAAGAACAACTCTTTGGAAAAAAAAAAAAAAGGCAGTCTACATATATAAGGCATTATTTACCCAATAAGAAAAGCCTCTTTTACTGTTTCTTAAAGGCTCCCAAAGAGACTGCTCAGAGGTCTGGAGAGGATTTAGGAACTTAGGACACGGCCATTCCTTCCCACACCCTGCCAGTTCATTAATTCACATATGCGTAGGTTCATTCAGCCTGTAATCCTACTGTATGCCAGGTGCTATGCTAAAAGCTAAGAGTAATGGTGAATGAGGCCCAGTTCCTACTCTCAAGGGGCTTTCTCGAAAAGTGGAAGATTGGGGTATCCTGATTATAAAGTAGAACAGCATCCACGATGAGTAGTCTGGGCAACACTGGGGAAGCTGCTTAGACTGGGCGAAAGCTCCTCTTCTCATCCTCACCCATCTTCTCAGACTTTAGATGCTCTCCTCCCTCCATGTACCCTGATGTCTAAGCCCACACCTACTTCTTTCTCCTCTAAATAGCGCTAAGTAGGGACACATTTTTCTCTCCTTTGAGTCTCTATAATACTTTTCTCAGAGCTAAGAGCACAACATGTGCTCAGGATATAAACAGATTGCTGTCAATAAAAGGTTTGGTGATTTTTTTTTTTTTGAGACAGAGTCTCACTCTGTTGCCCAGGCTGGAGTGCAGTGGCGCGATCTCAGCTCACTGCAACCTCTACCTCCTGGGTTCAACCGATTCTCCTGCCTCAACCTCCCTTGTAGCTTGGACTACAGGCCTGCACCACCACGCCTGGCTAACTTTTTATATTTTTAGTTGAGGTGGGGTTTCACCATATTGGCCAGGCTAGTCTCAAACTCCTGACCTTGTGATCTGCCCGCCTCAGCCTCCCAAAGTGCTGGGATTACAGGCATGAGCCACCACACTCGGCCGAGGTTTGGTGATTATAATACAGAAAAAAAGCTTAACATTAAAAAGGAAGATAAGGTCAGGACATGGGAAAGAAATACATTTTAAGGCACTTGTTTTAGAGTCTAAAGTATAACTAAACTTTTATTAAAGAACAGGGCCAGTAGAACTTACCTCCAAATCCAGAGTTTTCACCATGAGACTATGTCTTGTTTCTTTTGCTATGTCAGACTGAGTCTTGATTAATGAGCTTATTTTTCTTCAGTAAACTTAGGAGTTTGGTGTTTGGAGAAAGGATAGAGGGAGACCATTGGAGAGGGCTGCGAGGAGAATGTTAAATACACTTGAAAGCTCTCTTCGTCCCTCCCTACCTCCCCTGGTCAGGAATGCTAGCTCCTTGGGCCATGGCACCAATCCCTGCTGGAGAGGCCAGAGCTCTAAATAGCTCTGTGGGTAAAAGAAGCCTGCCAGCTTCTAGCCTGTCCCTAGAGGGGCCCACAGTGCTCCTTCTCGGCTGTGTCCATGGGAGCCAGGAATGAAAGCAAGGAGTGTGTAACTGTGTTCTCAATCTCTCTCTCTCCTACCCTTTCCTCGTTTCTCTCCATTTTTTTTTTTTCTCTCTTTGTCATACCTCCCTTCCCTAACCTTCATTCCTACTTCTTGAAAACCAGGTCAGCCTCAAAAGAAAGCACCGTTTTTTCTGTCATGACTGTTCACACTTCGTGCAGGAGAGAAGTTAATTTGTTTATTATGTGTTATTGCACACCGTACTGACCTTCCCCAGGCCTTTCCACATGCTCAGAGCACTTCGGTGCTTATCAAGATTTTCAAAGTGGTGAAAACAGCACTAAGCAAAGTAAAATTAAAATCAACTTTTGTGCCCATATTTTGAACAGCTACCGTAGAAGGTTGAGCAGAGCTATTGTTTATATAACAAGATACTGAGTGGGATTTTTACTGTTGCCTTGGAGCTTCGTCTGAAAATAAGACGCACTGATATGCCACAGTCTAAATAGAGCTGCCAACACTGGGGCCTGATAATCCCCCCAGAGTTTACTGAGAGGCAGGCAGCTAAACAGGCCCTACTAACCACAATCACTGCCCAGCAAATAAATAATTATAAAGAGATTACGAGGGGTGGCAGGGAGGAAGAGGAGCATGCTATTTTCTCAGTGGGAGGTAGTTCCTTTCCCATCCTTTCTCATGAGGTAATTCCCTCACCTCCAGAATTTAAATGAATGAGGTGGGATTCCAAGAAAATTATCTGGGAGAATGAGATGCCACACAAGGAGAGACCAGGATCGGGATTGTACCCCCAGCTAGAGGCTTGCTGACTGCAGAACAATAGAGCAGCCCCCATTCCATCCCTTTGTTGCCACTATAGCTGATGATAGTGAGGGATTTCTTAGAAAAGCTTGGTTCCTGCATGGCATTTTGAGAGGGAACTGAAGAGGAAAAGCTTGCAGAAATAATCTATGGCTAAAGGGCAAGAAGGAGCCTTAGTGTGGAGTGCCTAGGAAAAGAATGGTGGCCAAAGCCATCCTAGTTACTCTCAGCCCTCTGAGAATGCCAGAGAGGACCTGGCTCCATGGGAGGGAGCAGAGGGGTTATATGAGGTGGCGGAAACCATGGCATAGTCATCACATTGCTCTTCTTGGAAGACAGTGCTTCATCTGGAGGGGAAATAGAATCACAGGCAGGGCCAGAAGGAGGCAGAGACAGAAGGGATGTGAGTGCAGATGAACTCCCTCATAAAACCACACATCTCGAAAGCAGAGGACACGAGAACACAAAGAATAGACAGGAATATCTATCTATGGGAACATAGGAACACAAGAATAGATAGGAAAATACCAGTCATGCCTTAGCATCACAAATGTGGCAGTTATATAGGAAGATCTCTGCCTCCTCTATTCTCTCCTAGCCCATGACCTTAAAATGGTTAGTGTTGAAAAGACAAGGGAGAGGAGGTATATAAAAAGATCATGCCTTTTCCACTCCAAGGGTTGGAGAAGGAAGAATGATAGAGCAGATAATCCTCCTTTCCCATCTCCAAACTTCCTGGAGTCCAGTGAGGAGTTTAAATTATATGTGAAACTGGAGCTTCAAAGTGGAATGGACTTTTTTTTTTTTAATAAACAAAATGGCAAGAAATGTGTAGAATTTGCCCAGGATATCATTAAGGAACAAGAAAGAAAATCAGCGAAGATAGTGATTGAAAGTATAAAGCTATCATTCTCAGATCATGTTCTTGCTTCCACCACCAGAGAAAGAAATAGTTCAAACTGTTCAGTAAAGTGATTTTGATTAAAATACAATTTTACAGAATATATTTTTAATGCACATCCGTGTAGTTTTCTATAATTCTCTCTGTTTTACATGGAGTCACACCCTTTTGTAGTCAAAACACATCTGGAATCAAAGAATCTGTCATTTATAGACTATGTGACTGTCCTATCCCTTGGTTTCCTTATTTGTAAAATAGGTTAAAAGTATCTTTATCATAGGTTTTCTGATAGAATTGAATGAAATGATCAATTTAAAGTAATTCATGTATAGTAGATGTCCAATAAAAGTTAGCTCCTGATTTTCAGCAAAGATGGAGCAATAGGAACTAGATTTACTTTTCTACATGAAACAATTTAAAAAAGCAGAAAAAATTCATGAAATTAAAAAAAACTGGACATCAGTCAGATAGGATGGTGATCCCTGAGAGAGTGGAAACAAACCAGGGAATCATTATTATTGCTACAGCTTACTGTCTGGAAAGGGTTTCCGGACTACAGCACAAGAATTGAGCAACGAGGCAGGGGTTCCTGACTTGAGGAGACAAAGGTGTAAGTTCAGAAAGACCAAGGTATCCAGAATTAGCAGGGTACAGTAGCAGATCTAAGAAACTCAATGAGGCCGGGCGCAGTGGCTCATGCCTGTAATCCCAGCACTTTGGGAGGCCAAGACAGGCAGATCACAAGGTCACGAGTTCGAGACCAGCCTGGCCAACATGGTGAAACCCCTTCTCTACTAAAAATACAAAAATTAGCTGGGTGTGGTGGTGGGCACCTGTAATCCCAGCTACTCGGGAGGCTGAGGCAGGAGAATCATTTGAACCCGGGAGGTGGAGGTTGCAGTGAGCTGAGATCACGCCATTGCACTCCTGGGTGACAGAATGAGACTCCATCTCAAAAAAAAAAATATCAATGAATCTCAAGCAAAAGATATATGAATTAAACTTCTCCAAGGTATATAAAATAAAATTATTTTAAAAAGTAATAAAGAGATAATCTTAAAAACAGCCAAATTTAAAAAGGTACATTACATACAGAGGAACACAATAAGAATTACACAGACTTCCTACCAAAAATGATGAAAACCAGAAGATAGTGGAGCAAAACTTTTTAAGTTCTGAAAGAAAAAAATCAACCTAGAATTCTGTACTCAACAAAAATATCTTCAAGAGTTAAGGAAAATTGAATAATGTTTCAGTCACACAGAAGCTTAAATAATCCTTCAACAACAGACCTACAGTTCAAGAAACGTTAAAGGTAATTCTTCAAGCAAAAGAAAAATTATACCAGATGGAAATCCAAAGCTACAAAAAGAAAGAAAGAGCACCAGAAATAGTAACTACATGAGGAAGTATAAAGACTATTTTTCTTGTTATATAAATCTCTTTAAAATGTAATTAACTGTTCAAAGCAAAACAGAAAAATCTAGTGTGAGATTTACAGCATGTAAACATGTAAACAGCATGGGAACAGTAATACAAAATTCGAGTGAGAATAAATGGAAGTTTACTGTTATAAGGTTCTTATAATATATTTGCAGCATTATAATATGACTTGAAGGTAGAATGTAATGAGTTAAAGCTGTATACTCTACACTCTAAAGCAACCACTAAAATAATATAACAAAGAATTATAAGAAATCAACAAGTAAGATAAAATTGAATTATAAAAAATACTAAATTTGAAATAAAGCAGAAAAATAGGAAAGAGGAAATAAAAGAACAATTTGGATAAACAAGAAATAAATGGCAAGATGATAGATTTTAAACCCAAATATATTAAGAACCATAATAAATGTAAATGGTCTCAGTACCCCATTAAAAGGCAGAGATTTTCAGATCAAATAAAGTAACAAGGCCACACTATATCATGCTGACAAAGAAATAAACCGAAAACACTTTTGTAAAGTATGAACAAATGAATAGGTTAAGAGTAAATGAATAGAAAAAGATATACCATGCTAACACTAAATAAAAGAAATTAGAGAAAGCTATATTTATCCCAAATAAAATAGTATTCAGAGCCAATAATATTAATAGGAATAAAGAGGGTAATTTCTTAATAATAAAGGGATTAATTCATCCATAATAAAATCCACAATATTTTGCACCTAATATGGGAAGCAAAAACGAATAGAATTACATGGAGGAATGAACAAACCCACAGCTATTGTCAGTGGCTCCAACATCCTTTTCTCAATAAGTTAGTGAAAAAGTGTAGAGAAAATTAGTAAGGCTAAAGGAAATTGAAACAACACTATCAACCAACTTGACCTAATTAACATTTATAGAATGTTAATTATACCCAACCACAAATACCCATTCTTTTCCAGTGCACAAGGAACATTTATCAAGATAGACCACAGGTGGGCCATGAAACAAGTTTTAATACATGTGAAAAATTAAAATAACAGTGTATTCTGTTTCGTGTCGCTATAATGAAATACCTAAGGTTAAGTAATTTATAAGAACAGAAATGTATTTTCTCGTAACACAGGGTTGATTTGATGTTTAAAAACCAACATGATTTAACCATATTAACAGAATATAGGCAAGAACCATAAAATCATTTGAATTAAAAATCATTTCACGAGATCCAATATCAATTTCATCAAACTAGGAATAGAAGGAAATATCTTCAACCTGATAATTAGCATCTATAATAAACCCATAGTAAACATTATACTTAATGGGAAAATACCCCCAAAGAGTTAGAACAAGGCATAGATATTTGCTCTTACCACTTCTACTATTGTATTAGAGGACTTAGCTACTTCAGTGAGGCAAGAAAAAGATATACAGACTGGAAAGGAAAGCACAACTGTCTTTATTCACAGATGACATAATTTTCTGTGGAGAAAATAGTAAGGCACTTATATCTTGTGTGATTTTAGCAAGATCACATGATAATATATCAATATACAAAATATGTTTAGATATATTAACATAAAAATATTGTAAATTAAAAATACCATAATGAATCACAAAACATTTAGAAATACATTTAATAAAATATAGAACTACAAAATGTTTTATAGGGAGATTAAAGAAGACCTAAATAGGCCAGGCATGGTGGCTCATGCCTGTAATCCCACCACTTTGGGAAGCTGAGGCAAGTGGATCACCTGAGGTTAAGAGTTCGAGACCAGCCTGGCCAACATGGTGAAACCCAGTCTCTACTAAAAATACAAAAATTAGCTGGGTGTGGTGGGTGAGGCAGAAGAATCACTTGAACCTGGGAGGCAGAGGTTGCAGTGAGCCAAGACGGTGCCACTGCGCTCCAGCCTAGGCGACAAGAGTAAGACTCCATCTCAAAAAACAAAAAACAAAAAACCCTAAATAAATGAGGAGATATATCATGTTTATGGCTAGAATCCTAAGTATTTTAGACTGCCAATTCTTCTAAAAATTATCTGTAGATTTAATCATGATCAAAACCCTAGCAGACTTTTTTTTTCTGGCAAATAAAGGTGACTCTAAAATTCAAGTGGTAATACAAATGACTTACAGTAGTCAAAATAATTTTGAAAAGAATGAACAAATTATATAGGACTTAATATTATCTGATTTCGAGACTTATTCTAATGCTATAGTCAATAAGATTGTGTAGTGTTGGTATAAAGGTGAACATGTAGGATCACTACCACAGAGGAGACTTTAGAAGTAAACTCACACATTTAGTCAGTTTATTTTAGAAAGAAACACCAATATAATTTAATGGGGGGGAAAGAATATTCTTTTTACAAGTAGTATTGGAACAATGGGTATCTATGTGGAAAAGAAATCAAATTTCAATTTTTATGTTATCCCCTACACAAAAATTATTTTAAAATTGATTATATACCTTAACATGCTGGCAAAAACTACAAAACTTCTAGAAGAAAAATAAGAAAAGAAAATTTTTGTAAACTTGAGTTTGGCAAAGATTTCTTATATAGCAGAAAAAAAGACCAAACTATAAAAGAAAAAATTTGATAAAATTGACTTAATAAAAATTAAAACCTTCTGTTCTTAAAAAAACACTACGAGGGAAAACAAAAGGCAAGCAAGAACCTGTTGGAATATATTGACAACGCAAAAAAACCTAACCAAAAAACTCTATCTATATCTAAATAACACCAACAACTTAACATTAAGGACACAAATAACTCTATTTAAAAATGCAAAAAATACTTGAATAGACAATCCAAAAGAATATACAAATGGCCAATAAACAAATGAATATACATTTAATTTAATTAGTCATTAGAAGATTAAAACAACGAGGTAACCCTTTTTACCGTTAGCACAATTTAAATTTAAAAAAAGTGGTAAAAGCAAGTATTGGTGAGAATATGGAGCAACTGGATTTTATTCATTGGTTTTGTGAACATAAAATGGTATGACCATTTTGGAAAACATTTTGGGAATTTCTTACAAAATTCAACATATACTTACATATGACCCAGCACTTCCACTGCTGGATACTTAACCAAGAGAAATGAAAGCATGTGCTCATAAAAAGATTTGTATAGAAATATTGTATAGCAGCCTTATTCATAATAGTCGCAAACTGGAAACAACCCAAATGACCATCAACAAGTGAACTGATAAACAAATTGTGGTTCATCCATACAATGGAATACCACTCAGCAATAAAAATAACGATACATTAATATGGGCAAAAGCATGAATGAATCTTACAGATAACATGCTGGTAAAGAGGCTGGATAGAAAAGAGAAGTGGATTCCATATATTTGAAATATTATAACATGCACAATTAATCTATGATGACAGAGATCAGATCAGTGGTTGCCTGGGCTGAGAGGTATAGATAAAGACTGATTACAAAAAGGAATGAAGGAACTTTCCTGGGAGACAGAGGTGATAATTACTTGCTGCATATATTTGTCGAAGCCAACAACCTAAGGACTTAAACTGTGAATTTTAGTGGATATAAATTTTATCTCAGTAAAGTTGATTTTAAAAAAAACTTAATATCATAGTAAAAGAAAGTAATTTTCAGGCAAGTAAACAAAAAATAGAGTTTGTCTCCACTAAATAAAATTCTGCAGGATGTATTTGAAGCAGAAAGAAATGTTTCTAGATGTAGGACTAAGATACAAGAAGGAATGAAGGGCAAAGAAAGTGGTAAACATGTGGGTACATCTAAATGAAGATTGAATGTATAAAACTGGGACTTGGAAAATGATAATTCAAAGTAACACAGCACAGAGCTTTCAAAAAAGAACAGTTAATTGTTCTGAGGTTCTTTTTTTGCCCTGAGAAAGGTAAAGACATTAACATTATACTTTCATAGATTAAGATTCATGTTGTCAATTGTGAATTTTAGCTCCAGATCAACTGCAAGAACAAATCAACAATCCCAAAAGGACCCACAGACCCTCTGGAGGAAGTGGACTGCTCCTGCAGGACCCGGGAGAACACCCCAAATGCTGTGTGTCCCAGCTGTGGAAGTGGGAAAGGGAGACCCTCCTCTCCCAAACGCACACCCCCACTGGAGAAACTGAAGACCTCTTTGTGGGAGAAGTTACCTGGAGTTGAGTCAATTTGGAGAGCCAAGTGAAATACAGGGGTGGAGGAGGCAGTGGAGAGGTCCTGGGGGCTCACTGCATCTCCTAGCAGGCCATTCCTGCCTGGCACCATGGGGATCCATCAGGAGGGTGACCAGAGGAGCAGGGGTAGAACTCCATGGGGAGAGGGAAATGTCCAGCTGAACTTTTTAACAATTTGGATGGGGCGAGACGCCTCCTGGTCAGAACTCAGGGGAGGGCGCAAATCTGGTGTGCAGACTCCACAGGTGGGGGACGAACCAAGCCCTTTTCTTTAGCAGCCGGTAGCCTGGGGCAAGTTTTCAACCCTGTTACAGCCTCCACCTGGAAACAGACTTGGGGTTGTTGCGGGGGGGCATGGTGGGAGGGAGACCAGCCCTTCATTTTGTGTGGGAGCTGGGTGAGGCCTGTGACTGCTGGGTTTCCCCCACTTCCCTGACAACCTGCGTGACTCAGCAGAGGCAGCCATAATCCTGGGTACACAACTCTATTGACAAGGGAACCTCACCCCCATCCCCCACAGCAGCCAAGCGAGACCCACCCAAGCAGAGTCTGAGCTCAGACACGCCTAGCCCCGCCCCCACCTGATGGTCCTTCCCTACCTACCCTGGTAGCAGAAGAAAAAGGGCTTATAACCTTGGGAGTTCTAGGGCCCCACCCACTGCCAGTTCCCCCCAGTACTACCACAACTGATGCTTTCTGGAAGGCGCCACCTCAGGCAAGAGGCCAACCAGCACAGAAATAGAACATTAAACAACCAAAGCTAAGAACCCTCACTGGGTCCAGTGCACCCCACCACCTCCACTGGAACAGACACTGGTATTCATGGCTGAGAGACCCACAGACAGTTCACATCACAGGACACTCTGTAGACAACCCCCAGTGTTAGCCTGGAGCCAGGTAGACTCTCTGGGTGGCTAGACCCAGAAGAGAGACAACAATCACTGCAGTTTGGCCCACAGGAAGTTACATCCATAGGAAAAGGGGGAGAGTACTACATCAAGGGAACACCCCGTGAGACAAAATAATCTGAACAACAGGCTTCAACCCTAGACCTTCCCTCTGACAGAGACTCCCCAAATGAGAAGGAACCAGAAAACCGACCCTGGTAATATGACAAAACAAGGCTCTTCAGCACTCCCCCCAAATCACACTAGTTCACCAGCAATGCATCCAAACCAAGAAGAAATCCCTGATTTACCTGAAAAAAAAATTCAGGAGGTTAGTTATTAAGCTAATCAGGGAAGGACCAGAGAAAGGCGAAGCCTAATGCAAGGAAATCCAAAAAATTATACAAGAACTGAAGGAAGAAATATTCAAGGAAATAGCTAGCTTAAAGAAAAAACAATAAAAAATTCAGGGCACTTTGGACAAACTTTTAGAAAAGTGAAATGCTCGGCAAAGTTTCAGCCATAGAATTGAACAAGTAGAAGAAAGAAATTCAGAGCTTGAAGACAGTGTCTTTGAATTAACCCAATCCAACAAAGACAAAGAAAAAAGAATAAGAAAATATAAACTGAGCCTCCAAGAAGTCTGGGATTATGTTAAATGACCAAACTTCAGAATAATCAGTGTTCTTGAGGAAGAAGAGAATCCTAAAAGCTTGGAAAACATATTTGGGAGAATAATTGAGGAAAACTCCCCTGGCCTTTCTAGAGACCTAGATGTCCACATATTAGAAGTACAAAGAACACCTGGAAAATTAATCACAAAAAGATCTTTGCCCAGGCACACTGTCATCAGGTTATCCAAAGTTAAGATGAAGGAAAGAATCTTAAGAGCTGTGAGAAAGAAACACCATCATTCTTCACAGAATTAGAAAAAACAATTCTAAAATTCATGTAGAACAACAACAAAAAAACCTGCATAGCCAAAGCAAGACTAAGCAAAAAGAACAAATCTGGAGGCATCACACTACCTGATTTCAAACTATATTGTAAAGCCATAGTCACCAAAACAGCATGGTACTGGTATAAAAATGGGCACATAGACCAATGGAACAGAATAGAGAACCCAGAAATAAACCCAAATTCTTACAGCCAACTGATCTTTGACAAAGCAAATAAAAACACAAATTGGGAAAAGGACACCCTTTTCAACAAATTATGCTAGGATAATTGGCTAACCACATGCAGGAGTATGAAACTGGATCCTCATCTCTCACCTTATACAAAAATCAACTCTAGATGGATTAAGGACTTAAACCTAAGGCCTGAAACTCTAAAAATTCTAGAAGATAACATTGGAAAAACCCTTCTATGCATTAGTTTAGGCAAGGATTTCATGACCAAGAACCCAAAAGCAAATGCAATAAAAACAAAGATAAATATCTGGGACCCAATTAAACTAAAGAGCTTTTGCATGGAAAAAAGGAACAGTCAGCAGACAGACAACCCACAGAATGGGAGAACATCTTTGCAATCTATACATTTGACAAAGGACTAATATCCAGAATCTACAACAAACTCAACAAACTCAGTAAGAAAAAACCAAACAAACCCATCAAAAATTGGGCTAAGGATATGAATAGACAATTCTCAAAAGAAGATATACAAATGGCCAACAAACATATGAAAAAATGCTCAACACCACTAATGATCAGGGAAATGCAAATCAAAACCACAATAAGATGCCACCTTACTCCTACAAGAATGGCCATAATCAAAAAATAAAAAAGGTAGATGTTGGCATGGATGCGGGAACACTTCTACACTGCTGGTGGGAATGTAAACAAGTACAGCCACTAACAGCCACTATGGAAAACAGTGTGGAGATTCCTTAAAGAACTAAAAGTAGAACTACCATTTGATCCAGCAATCCCACTACTGGCTATCTACCCAGAGGAAAAGAAGTCATTATTCAAAAAAGATACTTGCACACTCATGTTTATAGCAGCACAATTTACAATAGCAAAATCGTGGAACCAACCCAAATGCCCATTAATCAATGAGTGCAAAAAGAAATTGTGGTATGTATATACAATGGAATACTACACAGCCATAGAAAGGAGTGAATTAACAGCATTTGCAGTGAGCTGGATGAGACTGGAGACTATTATTCTAAGTGAAGTAACTCAGGAATGGAAAACCAAACATCATATGTTCTCACTGATATGTGGGAGCTAAGCTATGAGGATGCAAAGGCATAAGAATGATACAATGGACTTTGGAGACTTGGGGGGAAGAGTGAGAAGGGGCTGAGGGATAAAAGACAACAAATATGGTGCCATGTATACTGCTGGTGTGATGAGTGCACTAAAATCTCACAAATCACCACAAAAGAACTTACTCATGTAACCAAATACCACTTGTACCCCAATAACTTATGGAAAAAAAAGACTCTTGTTGTCATTTCTGGGGTAACAGCTAAAAGGATTAAATAAAAGGATACGACTTACAAACTGGCAGGAGACAAACATTGAAATGATTAAAAAAATCTGAAAACGGAGAAAGATAAAACAGAAGGTACAAAATAAGACAGAAATTTAAGTCCAAATGTATCAGTAATTATGTATATAAATGACTAAATATACCAATTAAAAGTCAAGAATTGTCAGACTGAAATTTAAAAAAAGAAGCTCTACTTTATACCAAAATGGTTATGAATATAAATGCAAATGAAAACAATGAAATCATAAGGCATTTCTCAGTTAAATCACAGTTACTGAGATGATCTAAAATATTTCAATATCACTCCCAAAACATGGACTTGAAATGTATAAAGTGAAAATTAAAATAACTGTAAGAAAAAAGTGACATCCAGAATCACATTGGAAAATGTTTCTTTACTTATTTACTTTTATGAATAATTGATAGATTCAATCAGAAATCAGTAAGTACATGGGATATTTAAACAATACATCCGATGGTATGTTTAAAATCACCTGTGTATATAAAAAAATCACCATGTATTTAAGGAAGATTCCAGAAGCTGTTACAAGAAACTTGTTTAAAATTTATTGACTTGAACTTATTCACATGGCCACATCTAGCTGCAAAGGAGTCTGGGCAATGTTTTTGTTTGTTTGTTTGTTTGTTTCTTCCTGGGCAGCCATGTACCCATCTAAATATTTGGGGTTCCACTACTTTGAAAGAAGGAGAAATTTATATTAGGAGTCAACCAGGACTCTCTGGCACAGATACTACTACAAAGATAGAGAGCTAAGATTAATTTGATGCTCAGCACCCTTAATATGCAATAGGCTACAATTAAATAAAAATTAATTATTATAAATATAAGTGAAAATGCAAAGTTTAAAATCATGTGGCAGCACTACCTTAAAAGATGATTATACAAATAGTCAGAATATGCCAATGTTATTTTTTTAAAGATTATATTTGAAATGAATCAAATGCACTTGCCTTCATACATTCTTGTAGAGGAATTCAAAATGCCCCTCCCTGCCTTATCTATTTATAAACACCAGTCCGAAGAAAACTGGCTCAGAGAATGATACCCACAAAAGATTTTTCAGGATCTGGCCCCTACCTCATCTCTCACACTTTCCCACACCTCTTCCCTGCACTGTTTGCATTTCTCCAAAGGCAATATGAATTCTCGAAGCTGTAGGTCTTGTATACTTTTCTCTTCCTGGCTCCTTCTCCCTACATTGGCCTTTTGTTCCCATCGGAGAAACAGGAATGTGCCAAGAGGGTAGGTAGGCAACCTTATTTTTCCAGAGGTAATTAGGCATACTTTTCTCTCTTTCCCCTAATTCACACATGTAAAACATATAGTATTGACATTACTAGTATCATCATCATTATTAAGTCTTTGAACTCTAACCAGTATTATGTTGCAATTTTTAAAAATCTCAGTACCCTTGCACTGTTTGTCTATTTCCCCTAATGGTGTGCAAACTGCTTGATTGGAGGGACTTATTTTATTACCATTCTTGGTATCTTCAGCATATAGCACAATGCCTGGCTCACAAGAAGTGTTCAATACATATATGTCACATGAAGTATTAATTAGAAAAAAATAGCAAGTTAAATAAGCTTCCTTAGGAACTTTAGTAACTCAATGTTTTAATTTTCCTAAGTAAACACTAAAGTGCTCTTTAGTGCTTCTCTTATCAAACTAGAAAGATGAGAGTGTTTTAAAAATAATGCCAAATGCCTTACTAATTTTTTGAGTTGGGAAAACAATAGTCGACACGGTGTACCATGCTTGTTGCGGTCATCTCACATTCATTGTAGGTTGATTCATTTCCATACTTTCATACTCCCTCAACTGACTCATTTTTTATTTAAATCCAAGCTTTCTGCCCTTTGTCTTCCCATTTTGTATTGAAATAAACACTTTGTGAGCTTGTCAGTTTCCTAAAAACCAGCAGCCTTCACAAGACAAGGGCAATGAGGTACTAAGGATGCTTCATTTCTAGCAGGGATGGTTTGTGCCAGGAAAGAAAGCTGGACGGACCTCTTTATTTCTGGTTATAAGGCTTCAGCCTTCTGTCACACAGTGATCAGATAACAGCAGTGGCCACCCTTATGGAGGAAAAAGTACACAGAGTTATTTTGTGTACTTACCGAGGAAAAAGTACACAGAGTTATTATGTGAACTAACACACTCCTAATCTCTCCATCTGTTTAATGGGTAACTTTATACAATAGTGGATCTCCATAGAGACATAGTCCTGCAATATTTACGCCACCTGGCAAACTAAACATCTACTTCTTTTCCCCTACACTGAAGGCTGAATAGGGACTACATTAATTTGCTATGGCTTCCATAACAAAGTACCACAAACTAGGTGGCTTAAAACAATGTAAATTTATTCTCTTACAGTTCCGGAGGCCAGGAATCTGAAATCAAGATGTTAGCAGGGCTGTGCTCCCTCTGGAGGCTCTAGAGGCAGATCTCTCCTTGCGTCTTCCAGCTTCTGGTAGCTCCAGATATTCCTTGGCTGTGGCAGCATAATTCCAATTTCTGCCTCCATCTTCTTGTGGCCATCTTCCCTCTGTGTCTTGCTGTGTTTCTTCTCCTTTTATAGGGAC
Source organism: Homo sapiens (assembly GCF_000001405.40). Classification (NCBI taxonomy): domain Eukaryota; kingdom Metazoa; phylum Chordata; class Mammalia; order Primates; family Hominidae; genus Homo; species Homo sapiens. The sequence continues at coordinate 162,874,670 of NC_000001.11, forward strand.
ACCAATCACATTGGATTAGGGTCTACCCTAATTCAGTATGAATTCATCTTAACTTGATTACATCTGCAAAACCATATTTCTTTTTTTTTTTGCCTCAAAACATTCTTTAATACTATTCCCATTCACAAATAAATGAATTTATTTGCCAAAGAGAAACTGAATTTCAAGTGCACAAACCAAGTCAGCCTTTATACCACTCTGAGTTCCTGAGTTATTATACAAATTAACAGAAGTTAGGTGCTATTTTTAACATAAACCTTCCATAAAAAAACCATATTTCTTAATAAGGTCAAATTCAAGGCACCAGAGATTAGGACTTTAACATATCTTTTTGGGGGCCACAGTTCAACCCATAACAGCAACTTCGAAAGAATTCCTGTGAAGCCCTTCACTTTTAGGTCAGTGTTATCCACTTTTTATTTCCAATATTCACAAATATATAATTTGTAGATTTTTACATTAAAAATTGCTGCTATCTTAATCTTTACTGTATTCACTACTAGGAATCATGCTATTTTAATTACCAACATGTCTTATTAATCTATTGTTATAACATTTCCAGTAATATGACATGCGTCTTAATGTAGCATCTTCACCATTTGATTAACTTATTTCTGTTGCTAATACCCTCATTATTCCAGATCCTTGGGCTTGTCATCATCACTGATCCTTCTGTTTCCCTTGATACATGTATCCATTACTAAGCCCTCTTAACTGCCTCATTACAGTATCCTCTGCTTCCATTTCTTCCTTAATATCAATGCCATCCTCCTTTTGATTCCTTATGTCTAAACCATGATAATGGACTCCTAATTGATTTCTCTACTTTGGTCCCTTCTCACAGTACCAGATTAATCTTCACGTCATTCCATTGATTAAAACCTTCCAATAGTATGTCTTTGCTTGAGAAATAAAATTCTTTAGCCTTAGAATTAGATGTTTGCTATGGAAATGCACCTCTAGTTATGGCAGCAGTGACAAAAGGATTCAGATTCCAGATTCTTTATAAGTATTGTGTAATGAAAAATTATATTGACATCAGTGAACACCATGCCCTCCAATATCCCCATCATCAAAGAAAAGTTAAATTTGGTCGCCACCTACTATCAAAGGTAGAAAATAGAAATCATTATAACTTAGAAATAAATTTAATAAATACTGATATAAAAGATCTCTTATTCATAGTCATGTTTAATATTTGGTGAGTATGAAATTGAGATTTGTTTATTGCAAGAAATCTGGAAAATAAAGTTTAGGAAAAATAGTTCAAAAAATCATTGTAATCTCATCAACCTATTATCATTTTGAAGTACTTCTGCCTGCTCTCGAAGGAGAAAAAACTTGCTAATGAAATGCTTCTGTTTTGGCCACTGGGTACCTCCCTTTTTTATTATCCCTAACCCATTTGTCTCAGCCTATCTTTTTTTTTTTTTAACTGAGCCAGCCCATGCTCATTCTATGCCCAATATTTTTTACAAATCCTCTTCTTATGCTTGGGAGCTGGGTTTTAGAGGCTACCTCTTGCCAAACCCATCTTTAGAAGAATTGGGGTCTTAGAAAATTTCCAAAGCATCCCGAGTTTTACTGCAGCACCTGATAAAGGGAAAGAAAGTGGGGAGGATACCAACCAGCAGCACCTGTGAACCTTACAGAAGAGATCTTCTGGGAGTGGGGTGCAACAGCATCAGAGAGGAGGGTCATGCCCACTCCTCAGCAAAACCTACAGGTCTCCCCAGAAAGCCTGACCTTCTTTCTTGCTTCAAGGGAGCCAAGACCAACTTTGAACTCAACTATCCTGAGTAGAGAATCTGATGTCACCACCCTACGTTTTATGATCTTATCTGATGCAGTCCCTGAAATTGGCAAATTAAAGATTCCCTTAGCTTCAAACTTCATTGAGTCTTCCCTCCATTAAAGAAGAGAAGCCTGGGAATGGCTTGGAAATGCAAACAGCTGAATTTGAAGCTCTTAAAGGATAGAAGCAACTGGGGCAGAGCACCTGTGAGTGTTCCCCCACACCACATCCTGCAGACGAATTTACTGCTTTTGTGCTCTTCACTGCTGTGTCTCTCCCCTTACTTCCATCCGATTCTCATTCACTCCATCTTTTGCACGGGGAAAGCAGTTCAGGTGCTATGGACTAAATGTTTGTGTCTTCCCAAAATTCGTATGTTGAAACCTAATCCCCAATGTGATGGTATTTAGAGGTGGAGCCTTTGGAAGGTTATTAGGTCCTGAGGGTGGAGCTCTCTCTCATGAGTGAGATTAGTGTCTTAGAAGAGAGGCCCCAGAGAACTCCCTCCTCCCTTCTGTCATGTGAGGACACACAGGAAAATGGCCATCTGTGAACCAGGAAACACTCATCAGACACCAAAAACTGTTAGCACCTTGGTCTTGGACTTTCCAGCCTACAGAACTGTGAGGAATAAGTTTCTTTTGTTTCTAAACTGCCTAGTTTATGGTATCTTGTTATAGCAGCCTGGATGGACTAAGGCATGAAACTACACCTACTGGGTTATTTCTCAAAGATGTTGCTGAGAAGAAACCTGAGCCCTTTAAGATTGTACACCTTTTACCTTCACATCTGTTAATTTCTAAAGAAGTTCTAGAGCCAGGGATTCCACTCCAGCCCTTGGTCATCCATTCTGGAATTCTGGCACTGCCATGGTTGGGACCATTTGTAATTAAAGAAAAGAAGAAGCCAAATTTACTTTAAACACAATAAAGTCAGAATTGTTATTTTGCAAGTGGAATTAAAGGCAGGTTTTGTTTTTACAAGGAATATGCAAGTTAGTCGGTATGGTCAATGGGAGAAAATGTCTGATTGAGCAAAATGTGTTACCATTTTAAGTAAATTAGGAAGCAATATGATGGAGAGAGTGTGTTAAAGTGGAAACACCTACAGCCCATCCCACATCATTACACTCTCCTTTACAACACCTACACACCCTCAGCCATCGTCCACTTCCTCTCCTCATACCTAGGACCAATGCATATCATTTCCTGACTCTAAATTCAGAAAATGCTGGGCCAAGGAAAATTCTCTGGAAATTCAATGGATGCTTGAGATGGCAGAATTGTTGAGACTCAACAAGGGTTTTGGGGCCAGGCTTTGTTATTCCCTGAAGCATGGGCCGTAAAGATGGGGAGGGTCCAAGAGAGGATGGAGAACTGCAGAGAGGGGGATAAAGGACAGGAAGACAGTGAGGGAATGAGAGGGCTTCCACTTTGAAACACCTGAATCTTTAGGCCACTTGCATAGTCAAAGGAGAACTTAGTGTCACTTAACATCATGGTAATGATACCATCCAGTCTCATGATTCTATTTTGCCTAGCACAGTTTTTTAAATCATTCAATAGAGACTATTAAATCTGTGTTGGAATTCAGTTGCATGGACTAGGGAAATAACCATAGGCTTGAAATTAGGCTATGGCCAGAATTTCAGTTGGATACGTCTAGTTAAAGTGATTCTTCAGGACTTGTGAAAACTTGTTGTAGTTTCTGAGTCTGACATGGGGTGGCGCTCCTAAACCACTCTCTGTGCGCAAAACCTTTGAGCAGGAACTCAGGACATTGGAAGTGTCTGGGCCCTGGGCATGAACCTCAGTGGGGTAAGTCAGAAGAGAGCATGAGCTCCTGTTTGGCCCAACAAGTAAGACCTCTCTCCTTTCCTTCACCTTTCTTTTACATGTAACATTTGCTTCTCCTAATGCCCACAACATGCTGTTTCATTAAAGGGGGTTTTCATTTTTCTTAAGATGACTTAGCTGAAGTTATTTTTTGCATGATGGAAGTTAGGAAACATTAAAAAAAAAACTTTTTAAAAGGGCAAAATCATGCCACGGGTTTGAATTCTCTCTTCTTGGTTGCTAAAATGAAATGAGGACTACTCTTCTGTGTCAGTCAAAAAAATTGTTTCTAGAGGGTTCTGCCTAAAGGTTCATGTCAACTCTTCATTCTGAACTCTAGAAGCCATTTTGACGTTAAATTCATAAAATGTGATAACAGAGGGAAAGGACTTTTTTAAAGCCATAGAATGCCAAAGAAATGTGACTTGTGATGACCGTCATTATAAAATTTACCTGGGCATGGGATTTGAGTTCTTTTAACTTGCTAAGGGTTTTCTCACTATCGTTTCACTCATTTTGGTCATCAATTCCCTCTTGAAAATGCTTGTTTTCCACTTCCTAATTTGCTGATGCTTATCCTTAATGGAGAGAATGAAGGTGAACAAGAGCTGAGTTGTTCTTCCTTCTCTCTGTTATCTGTCAAGATGACGTCCCTTCCTAAGCCGCGGAACTATCCTTTCTGTCTATCTGAATATTGGACAATAGCCTCTTCCCACTGAGAGAAAGAACCTCTGTGGCTCTCTTTAGCGTTTTCCTTCTGCCTCAACTGGCTCCAGACTTTGGCCTTACTAATACCTGTCCTCGCAGCCTAGGTCACATTGGATGTGACTGAGCTTCTTTCATTTTCTGCTACTTATAACTGGAGCTCACTTCGGAGCACCACATGCATCCACTTTGGTTTGTTTTGTGCTGATCTACTTTCTTCCTTATTTTTCAATTATTTTGAAGGACTTCCTTCTCTCTTTAGACATGTCTCTAAGTTATATATCGCTCTTTTCTGGACTTAAACCAGCCTTCCTAAAGACCCAACTGACCACACAGAATCACCTTCTTTTGTGTTAATAAACTTCTAGACAACAATTTTTTTCCTACATTTCTCTCTCTCTCGAGGATCAATATTTGTATTTAATTCTACTTCTCCAATTAGTTCTTTTTCTTTAAGTCCTCAACTGTTTATAGTAGCATTTTCCTTCATATTTCTGAGAGCCAAACTTGTGAGCCAGGAGAAAAATATATGATTTTAAATGTAAAGACTTACCAATTCAAGTAAAGCTCCTAGCACACAGTTATCATCCATGAAATGAAAAGTATTATTATTAGTTGAAGTTTTTCAATAAATTTAATTCAATACACTTTCAAATACACCTGCTTAATGCCAAACTCTGTACCGAAGGTGGCAAAAATTAATAAGCTATGATCCTGTTCCTTGAGAAGCTCAAAGATGAGGAAAGGAGACAGGTGTCTAAATTAACAACTAAAAAAAAATGTGACCCTTCTAATTAGGAATTTTTTTTTATTATTATACTTTAAGTTTTAGGGTACATGTGCACAATGTGCAGGTTAGTTACATCTCTATACATGTGTCATGCTGGTGTGCTGCACCCATTAACTCGTCATTTAGCATTAGGTATATCTCCTAATGCTATCCCTCCCCCCTCCCCCCACCCCACAACAGTCCCCAGAGTGTGATGTTCCCCTTCCTGTGTCCATGTGTTCTCATCGTTCAATTCCCACCTATGAGTGAGAATATGTGGTATTTGGTTTTTTGTTCTTGTGATAATTTACTGAGAATGATGATTTCCAATTTCATTCATGTCCCTACAAAGGACATGAACTCATCATTTTTTATGGCTGCATAGTATTCTGCGGTGTATATGTGCCACATTTTCTTAATCCAGTCTAGCATTGTTGGACATTTGAGTTGGTTCCAAGTCTTTGCTATTGTGAATAGTGCCGCAATAAACATACGTGTGCATGTGTCTTTATAGCAGCATGATTTATAGTCCTTTGGGTATATATGGCTGGGTCAAATGGTATTTCTAGTTCTAGATCCCTGAGGAATCGCCACACTGACTTCCACAATGGTTGAACTAGTTTACAGTCCCACCAACAGTGTAAAAGTGTTCCTATTTCTCCACATCCTCTCCAGCACCTGTTGTTTCCTGACTTTTTAATGATTGCCATTCTAACTGGTGTGAGATGGTATCTCATTGTGGTTTTGATTTGCATTTCTCTGATGGCCTGTGATGGTGAGCATTTTTTCATGTGTTTTTTGGCTGCATAAATGTCTTCTTTTGAGAAGTGTCTGTTCATGTCCTTTGCCCACTTTTTGATGGGGTTGTTTGTTTTTTTCTTGTAAATTTGTTTGAGTTCCTTGTAGATTCTGGATATTAGCCCTTTGTCAGATGAGTAGGTTGTGAAAATTTTCTCCCATTTTGTAGGTTGCCTGTTCACTCTGATGGTAGTTTCTTTTGCCCTGCAGAAGCTCTTTAGTTTAATTAGATCCCATTTGTCAATTAAACAGAGATATAGATCAATGGAACAGAACAGAGCCCTCAGAAATAATGCCGCATATCTACAACTATCTGATCTTTGACAAACCTGAGAAAAACAAGCAACGGGGAAAGGATTCCCTATTTAATAAATGGTGCTGGGAAAACTGGCTAGCCATATGTAGAAAGCTGAAACTGGATCCCTTCCTTACACCTTATACAAAAATTAATTCAAGATGGATTAAAGACTTAAACGTTAGACCTAAAACCATAAAAACCCTAGAAGAAAACCTAGGCATTACCATTCAGGACATAGGCATGGGCAAGGACTTCATGTCTAAAACACCAAAAGCAGTGGCAACAAAAGCCAAAATTGACAAATGGGATCTAATCAGGAATTTTTAGGAAGAATGGCTATAACAAGATGAGAGAAGACTCAAAAAGGTCTTTGTGGAATAATGACAGGTGTCCCTTCTCTTTTTAATATGGACTAGACACTGTTTTAAACCCTTTACATATATTGTCTCTTAAAACAACTTTATGAAGTAACTACTATATCATCCTCCTCCTCATGCTAAAGGAAAGGCACATAGGGAGGTTCGGATTTGAACCCAGGCAGTCTAACATTCAGAGGTTGTGTTGTTGACCACTCTTCTGCTTCCAGCAGAGTTGATGAGGAGGGATAGAGCAGGAAGGGCATTCCAGGCAGGGGGACGGGGCTGTGCTAGTCATGGAAGCAAAAAACATGTGAAGGCTTCAACAAAGCCTGGTGAAGTGCAGCAGGGCACTCAGCCCGTCAGGACAGGAATGAGGGGACATTCTGGACTTCTCAGGGCTTTTGTTGCCTTAAACCTTTATTTTGAACATCAGAGCTGGCACACTGAGGGAAGACCCTGGCTCCTCATTGGAAAGGGACGTGCATGTGGACGCTGCGCCATCCAGAGCAGTGGATGGTGAGATTTGCTCCTATGCATTCCATCCTCTGAGTGCCCAGCAGCTCCTATGTGGCTGCATCTGGCCTTTCACAGGATCACAGAAGAACGGTGGAAGTGAGAATGGTGTTTTCTCACAGCACTTGCCCACTCCTGGCCCTAGCCCCGAGGGCCCCAGTGGCCTCCACATCAGCCTCCTATCCCTGTGACCTAAGGCCTGGGCTCTCTGTGGACCTGGCTACTACTAGTGCAGGCAGCTCTTTGCTTGACAGTCCTAGATGTTCTGAGGTCCCTTACCTGCTCTTGCTTTAAACAAAGCCCCATTTCTTACAGTATTTCTAAGAGAATCATTCCAGGGGTGTATCTGTGTGTACGTGCTCCTCACAGGTAAGCAAGGGAAGATAACAGAGCAGGGCGTGGGGTGAAAGGAAAGAGCTTCTTCACCTTGTCCAGAACCTCATTCTGCCCGCAGCCTGTGTACCTGTGTCCATGTCCCTGGAGATTTCTCCTCCCTTAGTTCCCATGGGAGAGGTGTTTCTGTACCAAGCAGACGCTTCCTAAGTGTGTGATTTCAAGCCTGAGACAGCCAGGCTGAGAGAGGCTGGCATTTATAACTAGATTCAGCTGCCTGTTATGGCTATAATGGGCTTTCAGAGACCAGATGGCGGCCCCATTGGCCAACCTGCATCTGGCTGAGAATGCAGGGAGGCACGTAGCTGGCTGGGGTGCAGGAGATGTCCCTTTGGGGAAAGTGACGACAACAGGAATTTAAAGGAGTGTTTATGCCACATTCTGCATGTGTCTGAGATACTCATCTCCACTCCTGGCAAGCTGCCTTCCTCCTCCCATCTTCTCCCTGACCCCAGTGCACAAAGACCAAAGCTCAAACCAAATATCCGACTCCAGTGCCTCTGATTTCTGTTTCCCTGTCTGTGATGGCAGAATACAGGGCTTTCCTTAGAGAAAACTTGCAAAACTTCCAGTTAAACTTAGTCAACATATGTGCTCTAAGTCTGACAATCAGTGTACTCACAGGGATGGCCTTTGGTCCAACAAACAACTTAAAACACCAGATCCACTTCCCGTTGACCACGGAGATATTGAGAATATCTTGGAAGTCATCGAGCCACATGCAGTCAGAGACATGCAGGTATCCTATATAATCTGACATGTGGAAACCAGGTTTGGAATGTATTTTCAGGAATGTACCTATTGTGAGGAGCCACAGATTTTCAGAGTAGTGAGACACTTTAGCATTCCTGTCCTGTTGACCTCATTTTCTGGGAGACGAACTGAGATGCAGACATATAAAATGACCTGCCCACAGTGACTCGGTTGAAACCAGTGCTAGGATCAAAATCCAGATTTCCAGCTCATCACTTGGTATTTTTTTTTTTTTTTTTTACCCAAAGCACACCTAAACTTGCACTTTCCCCTCCAGCTGCTATGATAGGCAGGCTATAGCAGACGGACTACAGTCACTGGGAGAGAATAATATGCTATTAAAACCAGGAATACTTTTGAACATACATTCATTCAACAAACCAGTATTGAATACTTATTACATGCAATCCATGGCCGCCCAGTCTGCCTGGGCTTTGCAACTTGGTTCTCCGTAGTCTCTTTTGTCCTGGAGAAAGCCAAGCCTAGTTTCAAACAGAATCAGTACCAGAGACATTGTACTGCAGACATCTACATCTTGTTGTCGTACAGTGTTTGGATTTGGCCCCCGTCTATGTTTCTGACGCCTGTTATTATCTATCGATGCCTATCCTCCTATTTATTACATAGATTTTCTATAATTTAACACATACTCTAGAACCCTGGTTGGTATTCCTGATGGTTGCCTTCCCGTTTCCTGCATTCTTAGATACTGCTTGCTTGCTCTGCCATTTCCGTTCTGTCTTTCATTTCCTGGATAGGCATCCTGCTTCCCATCCAACCCAACACTAATTAACTACCTGTTCCTCCCATGACCCTTTACTTCACAGATACATACCTGCCATATTTTTCTGGGCTCACCTAACTCTCAGGCCTGACATCTCAGAGTTTTCCATTTTGTTGCCACCCAATGCAAAATAGTACATCCTTTTCTTGAGCTCAAGGAATATAAACCATGACCTGGATTGTCTCTGACTAAAACAGAACAGAGGGTTGTGCTTAGAAATAGGCAACCAAAAAATCATTTTGAGGCTGACCTACTTGGAAGCTGAAATTAAATGGCTGAGAAAAGTTTTGATTTCAAAACAATGATACAGGTTGATTGAAGAGGAGAATTAAATATTGGAGAGAAAGTTACTGTATCATACCAAATATTGCTCCAAATATCACTTTTAAAACTAATGGTTAAAAACTAGTAGTATTTGCTGATGTTTACTTGGTTCGATAAAGTTGTTTTTATTTTTTTTAAAAAGAGTAGCAAATTCATGGTAAAATATCTTCTGGGCTTGAGCACAGGGTCCTCCACATATTCAGTACATGAGAATAGGTTATTTAACATGTGACTCTCACCTGTAGTAGTCTGTCCATCTAAATTTTTGTTCTTACTTTTGACAGGTGAATAACTCCTTGAAAATTTGCTCTTCAAAATGGAAGTGGCTGCAAATGCTAGATCCAATGAATGATGAGAGGTCTGTGAGGGAATCTATTCTGAACTCAGCCCAGTGGTTCCCAAACTTGGCTGCACATTAGAATCACCTAGAGATCTTATTAAAATCCTGATGCCAAAGTCACACTGCATGCTAACTAAAGCAGAATGTCCCTGGGGTGGGGGCCAGGCATCAGTATTTTGAAAAACACCTTAAGTATGTTAATACTTAATCATAATCACCTATAGGGGCTGTTTAGGCACAGGTCACGGGGTCTCATCTCCAGAGTTTCTAATTCAGTAGGTCTGGAGTGGGGCCCAGAAAATTGCATTTCTAACAAGCTCTCAGATGATACTGATGCTGATCTGGGGCCTCTACTTTGAAGATCACTGGGCACCCTATATATCCAAAGCAATGGCCCTTATTATGTATAACATTATAGTTATCAGAAAGTTAACAAATGAACTCTGCCCAGAATTTACATCTATCTTTATAATATTTTGATGCTGAATCTCTTTTTGTATAAAAAATGAGTGGTCATACATCTTACCTGTTTTGTCTCTGTGAGGCAGTAATCAATATACATGCTCCTTAAAGGAAAACTTAGAATTGAGCTTTCTCGTCTTGTGTGCATTTTCCCCTAGAGGCAAGAGATCTGTCATGCACTGGTATCAAAGACTGGTGTTTCTAACAACCAGTTTATTGCTCCTTAGGTAACAATGATGCATTTGTGCTGAGGAAAAATGCTTGTATTTTCTAAAACTAATATCTTATGTTTTCAAGCATCTTGATAGAGCTCATGTTTTGGAGAGGTTATGGCTGGGTTATCCCTTGCTGGGAATTGTTTTCCTCTCCCCAGAGTGGTGGGAGTTGGGGAGGGAGACATCCATCAGGTCCAGGGAAAGTTTATCCATAGCTATTGCAATCTGAGCCCTGGAGATGCAGGGAAGTATTCCAGCTTAACTGGACTTTGATCTTTTTCTTTTTCTATTTTCGTATTACTTGTAAACAGACTAGATCAAATTGATGGTATCCATCCTTCAATCACAGCCCATGGGTGATAAGAACAATACAGCCTGGAATTTATGGAGCAGGTCTGTGTTTTTTCTTTGACAGGCCAGAGCTACATCCTACTGGGCTGTTACCCATCAAGAGTTCAAACCAGGAGAGTTTCTGAAACCAAGCAGCAGCTTGGCCAAGCTGACCATTTTGATCAATGCAGCCTCTACTGATAGGGATTTGTAGAGATTAGGGGCTGGTGGGTCTCTTTCATGTTTTAAACGGTGCATCATTATTTTGTTTAACCTTCTCTAACCGTATTATTCAGGCCCCAGGGAAAAGAGAGTAGGAAAGTAAGTGGTTGAGGGAGAATGCTGAGTTCTCTGGTCCCTGCTCTGCCTCAGTTAATCCTGATAGGTTTGTCAGCGTGTTCTTGCTCTTATCCAGCTAGAAGGAAAGCAGGGGTCTATAAGAGTCACCAATATGGGGAACCAATGGGGGTTCTTGATAAAGTAGGAAAGGGGGTTCTAGTGTAGATTTTACTCAGAGATTCATGAGAGCTCTGTGATAAGATCTTATCCCGGCATTCAAAATCATGGACAAACAACAAAGTGCAATTATGCTAGAGGGGCTGGTGGCCTGACCTGACTCAGTGCAGTCACAGGAAGTGGCACATTTTCATTTCACAAATAATTATTGACCACCTACTCTGTGTCTGGCACCATGCTCAGCACACTATTACAAACATAAACTCTGTGTGGTGCCTCACCTTGTGAGGCTCATAGCCTTCAATTATTTGCCGCGTTTAGCTCTGTGCTCAAAAACACTCTCAGAAAAATTATCTAAAACTAGTAGAGGAGATTTGTGTTTGGGAAAAAAAGCCCACATTATTTCGCATTATTTACCACATTGTCATGGCTGGTCTATTCCTTCTTTCCTTCCATGAGCATTCATTCTGCATCGAATGCATTTCAACACTGTGCTAGGTCCTAGAGATGAACCGGATGCATTTCTGCTATTGAGGGGTGTACCGTTTGACCCATAGGTGAAGCTTACAACCACAAGCTCTTTAGGACTATTAGGACTTTACTGTTTTGTAGGTGGAATTTGCGAACTTTCTTTTTGGAGTAGGGCCACTGTCTAAAGGGAAGAGGAAGCATTTAGGTCTATTTTAACCAGGGTTAACTCTTCTGTTCCTACTAGCAGCATCCCCACTCGTTTAGCCAATACCTTGCTTCTTGAGCCACACAGCTGGTTCCTTAGAAAATAAAAAGGTGGCCAAAAGCTACAGAAAAATTAGGCAGTGAAGGCAGCTGCTGTACCTCATCCAAACCCCCCAATACAATTACGCAAAAGGAATAACATGTAGACAATGAAATTGTGACATTAAGGACCATTCGAAGCATCATGAGGAATTGTTTTTATCTCTGGATAATCAATAATAATGTTTAGTTCTTGGAGTGGGTGGGGATAAGTGAAATGGAATAGTTTAGTTTGAGTCACAGTTCTTTTAGAAAAGCATACAATTCCTTAGAAAGCTCTCTATGTGTCCCACCCTGTCAGGGATGACTGTTCAGTGACAGTTTTACATAGAGATGCTGTGTGTGAACAGATACAACAGGAACCTAAACACACTGGGGAATCAGCTGCAATGAGATACTGTCTTGAGTCATATTTATTTTCTGGAAAATGATGTGGTGCTTAGATGGCTACTCAGCCTGTCTCCTAGACATGATGGCCAAAGACGGTACCTAAAGGTTGGCTTTGATTGTACTTACTTCTTTGTGTTTAGAAAACTATTTCCCTGCTCAAAAATTTGTAAACCTCTATGTAGCTTATTAAATTAATAGGAGTCTTAACCTGGTATTCTTTTATTATTTTATTTTATTTTATTGAGATGGAGTTTTGCTCTTTCACCAGGTGCTGGAGTAAAGGAGTGAAGTGGCGTGATCTCAGCTTACTGCAACCTCCACCTCCTGTGTTCAAGCGATTATCCTGCCTTAGCCTCACCAATAGCTGGGATTATAGGCACCCGCCACCATGCCGAAATAATTTTTAGTAGAGACATGGTTTCTCCATGTTGGCCAGGCTGGTCTTGAACTCCTGACCTCAGATGATCCACCCGCCTCGGCCTCCCAAAGTGCTAGGATTCCAGGTGTGAGCCACCGTGCCCAGTTGGGCCTAGTATTCTTGACCCTCCCCTTTCATGAACATTTTCCTGAACAGTATTTTCTCTCATTGTTTCTGGTTGTATAACAAAGTTAGACTTTCTATGATTCTCAGGTCTACTTACCGTTATTATCATGATCACAATGGAGCCTGAGAGCAATGGAATCCTGAGGGCATACTTTTAGGAATTTAATAATATATGAAATCCTGTGGTATAATCATGATTTCATATTTGCATGATGTCTGGAATGTAATAAGGTAATCACAGATAAGCTACAAACACCCAGACTAATTGGGGTCATGGAGTCTGACCATGCTCCTGTGGTAACAATGGAGCTTTCTCTAAAAATAATTGGTGTTACCAAAGGCCAGTCATCCTGAGAAAGTGTCAGGGCTTACTATGTAATTTGCAGACACAGTGCAAAATGGAAAGGTGGGCCCTGACCAGGAATGGGGGAATCAATCTCTCCTTGCTATGGCCCATGGCCCTAAACTCTGGTGGGCAGGAAGACACCATGGGATGTGGTGAGAGCTCCTCTTCCCGCCCCCAATCCCTTGCCACTCATCCCCAGTCACCTGCCAAGTGCTCTTTGGTACTGCCAGTCCAGGTGTGGTTGGATGACTGCTGCCCTGCTCCAGCCAAGACATTCACTCAGCTCTCTTCTTTCCCATGCTCAGGAGCCCTGGGGACAAAGGGCAATGACAGAATGAATGCTGACCCCCTGCCTAAGTAATGCAGTCATCCTAGGCAGAGGACAGTCAGGGGACTGCTATGAGGAGGGGGAGGCCTAGAACCTGTCCCGGGGAGGTGGGGAGGTGACAGGCAGCAGGACCTCAGAGCTTCAAACCCCTGGCACATGTTCCCCTGTCCTGTGGGATTTCACTTACAAAACACAAATTAAAAGATAAAATTATTAAGAATTTCAAGTTGGTGACCACAGAGCACTAAGTCTGAAGTGTGGGATCTTTCTGAGCATAGGACCCCGTGAGACTTCACCAATCACATACCCATGACACCAGCCCTGAAAGGAGTTAATCTTGGGACAGAAATAGGTAGGCTGGACTTCCTCTTCTTTTTGGGCCAGAATTAGGTCAGATCTAGACTCTAGGGTATTGGGAAGCCTGTAATGACTTTCATTGTATGGTGGGAGGACAAGGAGGGAGGCAGGTTGACATCGTTAAGAGACCCTTAGACACATCTAAGCTTATGCTATAGTTAGGCAAACCTAGGCTGTGCTTGTGATGGCATGACCCAGAGGGAAGGAGTGTTCTCTCCCTGACAGAATAGGGTCTGGGTGGTGCTGGTTTAAGTAGGCCCCCAGCAAGGGGTAGTGTAAGGTCCCCACTTTTCGGCAGTTGTGCTTGCAGCATCAGCAGTGCAGAGATGCATCTGGGGCAGCTATTGTAGCCTCCTGCAGACCCCAGGGATTACATCTGCATCTTGGCTCCATGTTTGCACTGGGAAAGTAGCTAGAAATGATCTTGTTACACATGCCAGTAAGCACACAGAGAGATTTGGAGACCTCAGGGAAGGGGAGCTCTGGGTAAAATCTGGACTTCTTGTTAGTCTTGGCAGATCAGTAATGATAGCTAACACTCATGAGTGCTCATTATGTTCCAGAGTATTTTATGCATTCAAAGAGTATTTTATGCATTCACCCCATCCTATAGGATAGGACTATTGTTTTCCTCATTTTACAGATGGGCAAACTGAGCTATAGAAAGGTAACTTGCCCAGAGGTCACATAGTTTGTAAGTGATGGAGTCAGGATCTGGCTAAGACATCCTGGCTCCAAAGCCTGTACTCTTAACCACTCTTCTATACTGCCCTGTAACTGCCAGGTACTGGGCTAGTGCTTTACATATACAGCGGGAGTAGGAGTTGTATTGTGGCGTATAAATTTGAGATGCCGTTGTTTCATGCCAAGAAGGTAAAATTAGATCTACTGGTTATATGCTTGATAGTTTACAAGGTATTTTCACATACCTCATCTCATTTTATTTTTCCTGTTCACTATGAGAGTGGTAAGGCAGGATTACTGTAAAGCTTTGGCTCTGCCGTTTACTGCCCTGTGGCACTGGGCAAGTGACTTGACATCTCTGATCATCTATTTTCTTAATTTTGCCTTTGCTTTAAAGGTCACTATGCTATATGTTGAAATATAGGAAAAAATGAGTTTATAAACCTGCATTCTTATCTGGGAAGACCCCTTATGTCTTGGGGTTCCCGAATGGGGAAAGTTTCCCTGTTCCAATATAGCATCAATTCCATTATACTTCCAAAGGTTTTCCTTATTCCTACTTTCTTACTTCTCAGGGGACACCCTGGAGTTACTGCCCCCACTGTCAATGGTGAAACCAGGGAGGGGAGGGCACCAAGAGGGCTTTCTGATGTGGTGTGAGCAATATATGATGGAGGACAGGAGGTAATTTAATATGCTCTCAAGTATGGGTTTATTGACCATATCAAATGTAGTTTTGCTTTCTCCAAGTCCAAAATTCAGGCTCTTTTTCTTCTTCATGCTTAATTACAAGTGTTTTTAATTAGATGAATTCCATTAATGGCCAATTAAGTTTCAATTTAGAGGTCATATATGAACACTGGCAGACCCATCACAGCTTTGGCTCTCTGCAAAGTGACCTGGGTCTGGGCTTCCATCTGCTTAATGTTGCTTTGCCCATTAAGAGAAGTTAATGCTTCGCTAATTGTTTGCCTTGGGAGAGAAGCCAACTTCTCTCCTTCCCTCAGCAGCCTGCACTTACACAACTATGATAAGAGCTGTCAGCCGGGAAGGGAAGAGAATAGGCATAAGGAGAGGGGAGGTCCAGGGTGCTATCAAGAGAGGAAGGGAGCCCAGAGGAATGGACTATCAGAAGGATTTAGAGTGGCTGTGGCTTGAGAGCTGGCAGAGGCTCAGCTTATGGCTATGTCTCATGAAGACGGTGATAGTTTGAGTTTGTCGGGTCAGTACCTGGAGGATGCTTAGGTGGTTTTGTAGGTGATTTGCCTGGTATTAGCATATGCTGCAGGTCAACTGAGAGACCTGGGGGCTGTTGGCACCATTCAGATTACTGTCTTATAATTGCCAAAATATTGCAATCTGAGGAAGGCAATTGGGGATTTTCCTTAATTAGTACATATTTACTATGTGATAGATACTGTTATAAGCACTTTAGCTGAATTATATCTTATAATTGTTACCATATTCTATAGTAGGTAATATTTTTATTTCTTTGGTTTTTTTTTCTTTTTTTTTTTTGAGATGGAGTCTCGCTCTGTCACCAGGCTGGAATGCAGTGGCGCCATCTTGGCTCACTGCAACCTCTGCCTCCTGGGTTCAAGCGATTCTCCTGCCTCAGCCTCTCAGCCTCCTGAGTAGCTGGAATTACAGGCCTTTGCCACCACGCCCAACTAACTTTTGCATTTTTAGTAGCAAGGGGGTTTCACCATGTTGGACAGGATGGTCTCGATCTCTTGACCTTGTGATCCACCCAACTTGGCCTCCCAGAGTGCTGGGATTGCAGGCATGAGCCACCGCACCGGCCTTTATTTCTATTTTACAGAAGTAACTGAGGCACAGAGAGGTTGAACACTTTTGGAAAGAGTGGGAATGGAATGCAACACCCGACTGCAGCTCCATGAAACTTGGGCCCATGATGAGTTCACACTAGCACAATGCCTGAGTGATTGAAAGAGTCACAGAGTCTTTTTATCCAAAAGGGTGAGATGTTTATTTTTGCTTAGTAAGATTAAAAAAAAAGCAAACATGGCTTTTTATGTCAAGCAGTGAAGCCACATGGCCACCAACAAATTTCCACACAAAGGTAATACTCTAACCTTAGACAGCTGGAGGAAAAGGGGATAAAAGGACACAAAAGGAACAGGACAGCGGCAGGTACAGAATCCTCTGTTACATACATATTCAACGTTAAATAATAGGGGGTGTTTATTGAAACAGAGAGTAAAAAACTCTATGGCATGTCTTCTCCTTGTCACCGTCATTCCTTCTAGTTTTCCTGAAGCGGCATCATTTTTCTGGGGAAATATTTGAGGTTCATTGTCTTGTACTAAGAAGGTGGAAGACAGATACACCAGGAGTAGGCTTAAGAGCGGAAAGTTTAATAGGCTAAAGAAAGAAGAGAGAGCTTCCTTGTGCAGGTGAAGGGGACCCAAGTGGGTTTCAGGGTTTGGGGCAAGATGCGGTTGGTTTTATAGAGGAGCTTGAGGAGGTGGTGTTTGATTTACACAGGGCATAGTGGATTGGTTGGACCAGGTGTGCTGTTTACATAGCCAGAGAAGGGGATGGCTATCCCACCCTAATCTTTTACTATGCAAATGAAGTCTTTACCTGGCTGGCACCACGACACCTGTACATGTGGCTACAAAGAAAAGGGTAGAGAAAATCTCTATGTTAAACATACCTGGCTTCCAGGTATCCATTTTCTATTGGCATAGCTACAAGCTTTTAGCTTGCTTATCTATGCTTGCAGCTTGATTTTTTAGGCTGCTTTTTTTTTTTTTTTTTTTTTTTTTTTGAGATGGAGCTTCACTCTTGTCACCCAGGCTGGAAGGCTGGAGTGCAATGGTGCGATCTCAGCTCACTGCAACCTCTGCCTCCTGGGTTCAAGTGATACTCCTGCCTCAGCCTCCTGAGTAGCTGGGATTACAGGCACCCACCACTAAGCCCGGTTAATTTTTTGTATTTTTGGTAGAGACGGGGTTTCACCATGTTGGCCAGGCTGGTCTTGAACTCCTGACGTCAGGTAATCCACCCACTTCAGCAACCCAAAGTTCTGGGATTACAGGCATGAGCCACTGCACCCAGCCTAGGCTGCTTTTTGTTAGAAAAGAAATGATTTGGGGGCTGCTTTTTTATAAAAAGAGAAACATTACTGAGGACTCCTGTACCCTCACTAACTGCCTCAATATTTTTTTAAACTCCTATATCATTCCCTTGTGTACGCTTTGCAGTTTGCATGCACAAGACCCTGCTAAATCCCCAGGAATCCTGTGAGGTGTGAGGCACCACCATCCCCTTCCCCTTCACACTCTGCTTTGTGCCAAGCAACTCAAGACGCAGAGTTCAGTCTCATTTTAATGCCCAGTGAGGAGAGGAGGCTACTTGCAAGGTAGTGGGTGGTAGGGGTGAAGGGAGCTGTGTGGGGAAAAGGAGGTGTCCCCAGGTTGAGGTGGAAATGACGTGTACTGATAGGTAGGAGTGTTGGTGAGAAAAACAACAATAATTTAATCTCAGCATGCAAGGATTTATTCCACGTACCAGAAAAGAGGAAGTATACTTTTGGAATTTGGCTTGAAAGTATTCTTCTTGTTGTATAAACCTGTTTATTTATACATTTCAAGCAAAATAATAATTAATCTACATCCTGTCATTCTAAAAGTGCTCAAGTACTAGAATCATAGAAAATCGAAGTATGAAGGTCCTTAGAAGTTGTGACTTCGACCTCCTAAATTTGCAGTTGAATAAATAAAAGCCCCCATAAGAAGGGTAATTTGCCTAATGTTTGAAGCTAGAGAGTGGCAGAGTAAGAATCAAATCCCAGGTCTTAGAATGTAAAGCCAGTGTTCATCCCATTACATCACATTGTCTCCAACCCACATTCTTGCACAATGTCTGCAATCTTTCTAGTGGGAGAAAAGAAGAACAGAATTGCTCCCTACTTCCTAACCACCTTCTCTCCTGATCTCAGGTGTTGGGGGTTGATTTAACTGTAACATCATTGTCAATATAAAAAACAAAGCCCATCTTCTTGTCCCTTTCCCTTTCTCTCACTCCTTCATCCCTTTCTCTCCTCTGCTTCTGTACCTCCTATCGCTAAGCTAAAAACAAATAATTTAAATACCCAGAGATCGCTAAGCTAAGGAACAAATAATTTAAATACCTGATAGCATGCTGTTTAAAATGTATCCTTAATTGTAAATACCTGATGCTAGATCTCTTGATAGTGGGTTTCAATGGGAGGAGGAAAAGAGACAGAGAACTGCAGTTGGTAAATGGAAGGGACAAAAGGTCACAGAGATCAAAGGCTGGGCCCACTGTAGGTTTCCTTCCCCTTCCTGCATTTCACAATACTTCTGACTCCAGTTGTCGTGTCAGACTTGCATTGTTTTAACTGAATAATCACTGATGGAAACACAAGCATATTTAAGTATTTAGTTAAATTTCAATTTATGAATTTCTACAAAAAGATTTTAGTACCCACTATTTATAGACCATGCTGGTTTCCTGTGCTATAAATAGGTAATTATAGGACTAAATTAAATGTTGAGCCACAGACTCTCTCATGTTACAACTCTACAAATACAAAAGCATCACCATAATCACATTTACAAATAACCTCCTATATTTCAGGGAAATAAAGGATGTCCCTACCTTTGATAACTCTGAGTAATTACTTTTGTTTGTTTTATATTAAAAATAGGACAATCAAGTCTTCAGAAGTTAAATGCTTTGCTCAAGGTAACATCAGAATTTTGTAGACTGCACATGAGCTTTGGAATTAGACAACTACATTGAAATCCTGGCTCTGCATTTACTTCCTAGTTGTGTAACCATGTTAATTTTCTGAACTTTTCTGTGAGCCTCAGTTTCTCACCTGTAAAATGAGAATAATAATATAGGGTTGCCGTGAAGATCAAATTAGATTATATGTTGTATATATACATATATATAGTGATTGATGTATAGAAAGCCTTTGATAAATGCTGTTTTTATTTTCTTCTGCCTTTCTTCTTCCATTTTGTTTACAAATGAAAACTCTGAGGCTTGGTGATGGTAAATGATTTCTTTAACAGCTCAGAGGAAGAATCCACTCACCAGAAAGACCTGGAGACTGTCTTGGTTTAATGACCCTCAACCATCCCTTTTTGACACTGCTTAATCTCATGGCTACTCCATAGTTGTTATTAAGTGTGGAGAAAGCATACCTTCTTGATTAAACAACCACTCTCTAAATGAGACTTCCATTTTAAGTTTTGGCTGGAGCCTGACTTCCGTGTCAGCCATGGGGCTTCTTCAGATTCGTTGGGACAAATGATAAGAGATGAGACCCAACAAATATCTTCTTTTTCTTTTTCCTCCCTGTCCTCTATGCTTTCCTCTCCTCCACCCTTTACCTTCTAATTAACTCTGCAATTCTCAAATTTGTTCAGATCTAAACTTAGGCTTTCTACTCAGGAGACAGGATCAGAGAATATACAACTTTTCTGAATCACAATAACCCACAGTGTGATAGACCATTTGTCCTGGATGGGGCTTTAGTCACTTAGAGAAGGAAGACAATGGTTTTTTGCTTTGGTATAAATGGGAATCTGGGACGAATGTCTAATTTTCTCGGGATTGGAACAGTTGAGGACTTGAAGACTTTAAGGGATTTTCTTAAATCCTGAGACATCCCTCTTGTGCACTAGCATTCCAAGGCAATTCCATGGTATATAAAAGGCTCCTAACAATAAGCCAGTTGTCACCTTCCAGAATGGTAGAGATTAAAAGAAAATATTTAGTTTGAGGCAAGTGCTCTCAAACACAGTTGGCGGAAGTAGAAATTACTATTATCTGTTAGAAGAGTTATTTGAAAATATCCTAAACATGCACATCTTAATTCATTAATTTTTCTTTTATTGGTTCATTCCTGAATTGTTGAAATGGTTATCATTCCAATATTTATATAATACTACATCTATTATGTAGCCCTTTAAGATTACGTTTTTGAAGACTATGTAATGATATAGAGCTAAAATTTCATGGCTTAATATTAAATTAAAAAAATCAGAAATCAAATTTCTATATAGTGTATGACCCTCATTTTATAAAAACTATACTTGTACCTAAATAAATACACCAAAAATAATAAGAATTATCTTTAACTGGTGGACTTACTGTTGATTTTTTTCTTCCATATACATTTCTGTATTTTTCAAATTTTTATTGTGAAAGATGCATTTGTAGCTTACTTAGAGAATGTTATGTAAAAAATGGAGAATTAGAAGGAAGATCTGGTACTTTTCTTTCTGATTTAATGAAATGCAAAATATTTTAGGAAGCTTTTTCAAAATTTTCCCTTATCCTTCCTGTGGAAAATAAAATTGGAATTACAGATGGTTTAGAGATTTAAACATAAAAAATGACTCATAAAATTTCCAAAAGAAAGCACTGGGTAATATGTTGCTAGTCTTGGAATGAACAAGGCCTTTAAACAAGAAAGTTACATAGAAAAAGTTTGATAAATTTGACTACGTAAAGAAATCTTAAAAAAAAATTATGACTTTAATTATGTCGAAAGCCAAACTACAAACTTAGGAGAAAATATTTGTTGCCAATGTGACAGCCAACAAATATTCTTTTTTCTAAAAAAAAAAAAAAAAAAAAAAAAACCCAACTATTTTATTTTTTATTTCAGTAGGTTTTTGGGGAACAGGTGGTGTTCGGTTACAAGAATAAATTCTTTAGTGGTGATTTCTGAGATTTTGATGCACCCATCACATGAGCAGTGCCAATGAATATTCTTAATTTATAGAGAGAACATCTAAATCATTAAGAAAAAAAACGGAGATGACTTACCCATTAGAAAACATGGACAAGGCCAGGCGTGGTGGCTCACGCCTGTAATCCCAGCACTTTGGGAGGCCGAGGTGGATGGATCACAAGGTCAGGCATTAGAGACCAGCCTGATCAACACGGTGAAACCCCATCTGTACTAAAAATACAAAAAAAATTAGCTGGGTGCAGTGGCACATGCCTGTAATCCCAGGTACTCAGGAGGTTGAGGCAGGAGAATCACTTGAACAAAGGAGGCAGAGGTTGCAGTGAGCGGAGATTGCACCACTGCACTCCAGCCTGGGCGATAGAGTGAGACTCCGTCTCAAAAAAAAAAAAAAAAAAAAAAGGGAAAAGAAAACACGGACAAATAGGATTTCTTCTTTTGGTAACAGCTGACTAGGTACTTCAGACCATCTATTGTGCTTTAGGTAGAAAATCTACCTAAAAGTAATGAGAAAACTTGCAAAGTATTGCATAATTAAGGGCAAGATCTGGGATAATATGGAGTTGTGGATGGAAGAGCCCATATTTGGAGCCCCCTTTCCGTTAGGGGGACCTGCTGATCTGGAAAGGGCAGCTGAGAGGCTGAGTTTCTGATCAGAACATTTGACAGGGAATTCCTTGAAAGGAGACTTCTTTCAGGCATTTGGCAAGACTTTATAGACTGTGGAATCAGAGGACTGCCATTGAACGTCTAATACATTGGAGAAAGAAGGCTGAGGATAACTGATCACCAGTTAAAGGTAAGTTGTGAGAGACAGAGAGTTTCCTTTGTAACAGAAAAGGCTGGAGATAAGGCCCAGGATTTAATTATAAAGGTGGCGGAAGTCCAGAAAAAACGGAATTCCCAACCCTGAGGTGTCTGCTCTAAGAAGCTTAGATTCCTGGTCAGAAAGAGACGGGACTCTGAGCCTTAGGATGGCAACACCTGCTTATGTACACTCACTGATCTTGAATGTCCAGATGGTTCTAGACCCTCTAGACTTACAGAAGTGGCCCATTCCTCCCTGTTGAAAGTTAGCACCTTCGCTTTCTTTGAAGACAGCTCAGAAGCCTCTGCCTTGAGAGACAACTGCATGCTCAGAACCTACTCCTATATCCCCTTCCAGGGACCAGCTCAATAGCTATAGTAAGTCCCCACATCAACTGTCCTGGAAAATGCTGCACCTGTTAGAGGAGAAAGGGAAATACACACTGAAGGAGCTACAGGACCTAGTCAGCATGTCCAGCAGGAGCTGTGAGAGGATAGATAGGACTGGGTTCTAG
Organism: Homo sapiens; assembly: GCF_000001405.40. Taxonomy (NCBI): domain Eukaryota; kingdom Metazoa; phylum Chordata; class Mammalia; order Primates; family Hominidae; genus Homo; species Homo sapiens. Next base: position 162,897,304 of record NC_000001.11, read on the forward strand.
AATACAGGATCCAGGGGCATAGAACACAAAGTTGGAAGAGAGAGAGGGTTTTTTTTTTTTTTTTAATAGAGAATACTCTTCTGTGTTATAGAATTCAACACCTTGGAAAAGACACTAGGAGACAGATCTACACTGTTATAATGCTTTTGGAAGCTTGGAAAAAGTGGTAGCCAACATCAAGTGAAGTAACTGAGCAAGAACTGTTCCGGAAGATGGTGGAGGAAGGAATAAAAGGCTCAGAGAAATGAGCATGCTGGAGTTGATATGCTACACAAAGCTGGATAACCCACAAGCTATATTCTGTAGGAGGGCCCAGGCCAGAGGACAATTTACTTGCCAAATTGACAAAAAATGCACAGATAAGAGAGGTACCAGCATCACTGAGAAGTTTAGTGATTGCTTCTCCTCTGTTAGGCCAAAGCAGGTGTAAGAGCTGTTGTTACAGAATGTGGCTCCCTGATAGCAATGAGAATGATGTTATTCTGAAAGTACTAGAGTCCAGGATGGCAGTACCATAATGTCAGAAGCAATGTGAGCCCACTTATTGCCCTTCATGGCAAGTCCAGATTAATAGATTAATAGAATTCAATATTCTTAGGGCAAGATATTTGGCAAGGCTGTAAGAGGACTGCTTAGTTTATATAACTAAACAAACTAAAGATATGTGCTCAGAGGATTCCTTTCCAGTTTCAACACCTGTTTTCAAACTTAGAACTCATTGACTCAAGGAGAGTCAATGAGTCAATGCTTATCCCTGAAGAAGCATCATGCAAGGGTGGCAAAGGTATACAGTAATGATTTCCCCAGATAGTCCCCCCAAGGGACCTCTGACAATTTACTTGCCTAGTCATATACTAAGGAAAGGGAAATACCAAGAAATCTGAGGAGTTTGTGCACAGGGTCTGAATTGACATTGATACACAGGAAAATAAAGTGGCTTCAAGCCCCTATCCCCATTAGAGTGAAGACATGTGAGGACCATGTAGTAAATGGATGCCTGGCCCAAGTCTGTTAAATAGTGAGACCTTTGGGTCCATGGACTCCCCTAACAGTAGTTTCTGTCATCACTATATATATACAATTGGAATGGACATATTTGTAGCTCAGAGAACTCTCACATTTGTTCCTTAATCTATGGGATAAGAGCTAACATGGTAAGGGTGAAGAAAGGTTATGTAAAAGTTTCTGAACTTTCCCCTGTGTCACCCACTCCTGGCCAAGACAGAATAATAAAACTATGTGGTAGCTGGGTTCAGTGGCTCACACCTGTAATCCCAGCACTTTGGGAGGCTGAGGCGGGTGGTTCACCTTAGTTCAGGAGTTTGAGATCAGCCTGGTCAATGTGGTGAAACCCTGTCTCTACTAAAAATACAAAAATTAGGTGGGCATTGTGGCAGTTGCCTGTAATCTCAGCTACTTGGGAGTCTGAGGCATGAGAATCACTTGAACCCAGGAGGCAGAGATTGCAGGGAGTCGAAATCAAGCCACTGCACTCCAGCCTGGGCGATGGAGTGAGAGTCCATCTCACAAAAAAAAAAAAAAAAAGAAAAAGAAAAAGAAAAAAAAGAACCCCCCACACCACAGAAAAAAAAACAAAATAAATTATATCGTATTCCAGGAGGGCTGGCAGAGATGAGTGCCACTCTAAAGACATAAAGGATGCATGGGTAGTGGTTTCCATCAGATCACCATTTAATTCATCAGCCTGTTCCCTACAGAAGTCAGATGGATCTTAACAGATCACAACTCAGCCATATCACAACACATAATCTGCTGTGCTGGAGCAGATTAACACAATATCAGGTACATACTATGTGACCATTGATCTGACAGATGCATTCCTTTTAAATCCCTATTAGAAATGTGAAGCAGAAGCAGTTCAAGTTTACATGGAACAGACAATAGTATACATTTAAGATCTTGTCTCGGGGTCACTTAACTCTACTGCTCTCAGTTATAGTCCAAAGGGATCTGAACCACCTGAACACTGTGCAGCACATCTCAGTACACATCTCTATTAAGGACATTTTGTTAATCAAGTCAGATTAGCAAGAAGTGGAAATTACGATGAGGGCCTTGGTAAAACGGTGCGCTCCAGGGTGTGGGATGTAAACCCTGCACAGATTCAGGTCTGCCCTAATAATAAAGTTTTTAGGGGACCAGGAGTCTGGGTATGGTAAAATATCTTCTCCAAAAAAAGGACAAATTGTTGCATCTTACATCTTCCACCAGTAAGAAGGAAGCACTATACCTGGTAGGCCTTTTCACATTTAGAGAATCATATTTCAAACTTGAGAATAGTGCTGCGATCTATTTGCCAAGTGACATGAAAGGTTACCAGCTTTCAGTGGAGCCCTGAGCAGAAAAAGGCTCTTCAGAAAATCCAGGCTGCATGAGCAAATGGTCCTAGATTTGGGCCATATGATCTGACAGACTCTGTGGTACTTGAGGTATCTGTGGTAGGAAAATATGTTGTGTGTGAAGTTTATATTAAGCTCCAATAGGAGAATCACAACATAGACCCCTAGGGTTTCAGCATACGGCCAAGCCATTTGCAGCAAAGAATTAGACACCACTTTAAAAATAACTCCTGGCAGGCTACTGGGTCCTGGTAGAGATGCAACATCTGACCACGAGACATCAAGTGACTATGCAGCCGGAACTGTTCATAATGAGCTGAGGTTTTTTATCAGAACTGTTAAATCATAAGGTTGGATGAATTCAACAGCAAGTTATTTTAAAATGGGAGGGATACATCTGCAACTGGGCGTGAATAGGGCCAGAGGGCACAAGTTGGCTGCTTGAGAAAGTAGACTGACACATAACCCACTGACAGAGGAAGATAAAGCATGAACTTAGTTCATGAATGGTGTGTGTGTGTGTATATGTGTATATATATAAGTGTCTTGTATATATATATGTGTATATATGTGATGTTAGATGACACATGACTTTGTCTCGCTGTGTGTATGTGTGTGTATATGTATATATACGTATGTGTGTGTATATGTATATATACATATATGTGTTTATATGTATATATACGTATATATGTGTATATGTGTATATACGTATATATACACACACATAGACAAAGTCATGTGTCATTTAACATATACACATACACATACACACATAGAGAGAGGGACAAAGTCATGTGTCATTTAACATTAACAAGGGGGATACATTCTGACAAATGCATTGTTAGGCAGTTTTGTCACATGAACATCACAGAGTGTACTTACACAAAACTACATGGTAAAGCCATGCAGCCAGCTACACACCTAGGCTATATGGTATAACTCACTGTTCCTAGGCTATAAACCTGTACAGCATGTTACTGTACAGAATACTTTATGCAATTGTAACAAAATGGTATTTGTGTGTTTAAACATAGAAAAGATACAGTAACAATATAGCATTATAGTTTAATGGAACCACCATTGTATATGTGGTCCGTAATTAACTGAAACTTGTTATGCAACACATGACTGTATGCATGTGTGTGAGCGTGTATGTTTATGAATGTATGTAAGTCATCTGGAACATGTGAATGTGACTTAACTTGGAAAAAGTGTCTTTGTAGAGGGCTAAAATCAAGGGGCTGGCAGGGCTACAGTTCTTCTGGAGGCTTTAGAATCCTGAATCACTTTGCTTGTCTTTTCCAACTTCTAGAGGCTGCCTGCATTCATTGGCTCATCGCTGCCTTTCTCCATCTCCAAAGCCAGCAATGGCCAGTCCAGTCTTTCTCATATTGCATCACTCTAACACCTACACTTTTGCTCCCTTCTTCTGTATTTAAAGGCCCTGTGATTACACTAGATCCACCTGGTTAAGCCAGGCTACTCTCTCTAATTTAAGGTCAGCTGATAGGCAACCTTAATTCCACCTGCAACTTCAATTTCTTTTGGCCATGTAACCTAATATATTCATAGATTCCAGGACTATGCATTTAAACAACTTTGGGTGGAGGCAAACTTTATGCCTACCCAAAGACATAAAGTTTGAAGACCTTTATGTTGAATGATAGCACCGACTAGGGAGTATCCACAACAGAAGATAAACAACCAAATAAACAGATGACTTGGTGAGTTGTCAGCTAGCTAATTAATTCTGGCAAAATAGGCTCATGAACTGAGTAGTCACAGCACAGATGGAGGCTAGCCATGCCAGTAGCATCTGTGTACTACTGCTGTTTAATGTCCAAACTTTGAGCCAGAGATCAAAGCTGAGCCCTTGATACAACACCATTTCTTGAGGAAACCCATCAGTTATTTGGTGGCAAATCAATTACAATGGACTCCTTCTGCCCTCTCCCTGCCTCCATCTGAATGTTACACTTTATTGCCTGAACTGTTTCTTGTCCTTCTCTCCAATACCTGACCCAGTTTTTCCACATCTTGCAACCTTTCCCCAGCTTGAATGTTGACCATCTGCACTCAAGAAGGCGGTGAAGTGCAGCTGAAAACATTACAAGCTTCTTTGGCTCTACCACTAATTGGTTTGATTTTGGACAAGTTAGTTAATAGTAATGAAAATAATTTATCAAAATAATTTATCATTTAGTATGGGCCAAACACCGAACACACATTTATCTTTCTCACAATTATTCATTTGAAAGCTAGAAGAACCGAGATTTGGAGGGGTTTATAAAACATGCTTAAAGTGACACAGCTAGGAAGTGAGAGTTGGGATTTCAACCCAGATCTGCATCTATCTCAAACATACCCCAGGTTGCCACAGTTAAAACCTGTGGACCTCAGAATCTCCAGCTCTAAAATGTGAATAACGACAGTACTCTCCTGGAATTTGAAGAAAGATGAAATGAAATACATGAAAGTGCTTTGCAATTTACAGTGCACTCTGTCAATAATCACTAACATTTATTGAGTGCATATTACAGCCAGGCACCGTTCTAAGAACAGTATGAGCTCATTTCATCCTATGAAGTAAGACTTCTATTAAACCCATTTTACAGTTGAGAGGACTGAAGTGCTGAAAGGTGAAGCAACGGTCTTGTGGCTTCCCAGCTTCTAGATGATGACGCCAGGTTTTATACTTAAACAGTTTTGTTCATAAGCAGAGAGCCTGAGCTCCTGGCCAAGATACCTCACTGCCAAGGTAAGACCTTATTCTTTATTTATTAATTTAAATTATGAGCTTGTATTAGTTTGTGAGGACTGCTATAATTAAGTAACACAAATGGGGATGGCTAAAACAACAGAAATTTGTCTCATAGTTCTGGAAGCTATGAGTCAAGATCTAGGCATCAGCAAGGTTGGTGCTCTCTCAGGACCACGAGGAAGAATCTGTTCCCTGCCTCTCTCCTAGCTCCTGGTGCTTGGCTGGCAATATTTGTTCCTTGTTTTATAGAAGCATCACCCGAATTTTTGCTTATATCTTCACAGAGTGCTCTCCCTCTGTGGGTGTCTGTGTCCAAACTTCCCCTTTTAATAAGACACCAATCATATTGGATTAGGAGTGCATTCTAAGTATAACTTCATCTTAACTAATTACATTTGCAGTGACCCTATTGCCAAATAAAGTCATATTCTAAGATACTGGGAGTTCAACCTCAACATGTGAATTTTAGGGGGTCACAAATCGACCCATAACAGGGCTTAGGAGAAAAATTTCAGGGTAATCTTTTGTTGCTGCTTTTCTTCTGTTACTTTCAAAATGAGCAGATTTTCAGCAGATGGTGGTGGTGGTGACAGAAGTGCCTCTTTGTGCCTCCAGAAACTCAAGGTCTGCTCAGGCTTTTACCTTTTGACTTTTTCAACACCAAGAGGCCAGGCTAGTGGGTCTAGTGCCTGGAGTCACACAGCTGATTGAGAGGCTGTGTACACATCATATGCCATAAGGGATAAATGTGATTGACGTGTTTTTAATCATTTCGGCTTTATTGCTGTTTGTTCTGGTCAACCCCATTATCTAAATTAAGTTCATGCTTTACATAATGTCTCATTTCATAAAGTCAGAGAAAGCTTTTTAGTTAAGTCTCTCTACCTTTTTAGCAGGGCCTAGTGAAAAGGGATCTGGCCTGAAAGTGTAGAGCCCATGGGCCTAGGCAAGACAAACATGCTTCAAGCTCCTCATTCCGCAGCCTTGCTGGGTGTATATGGGCCCCTCCCATCTCTCTAATCCCTCCTGCTCCCTGCTCTTGCCCACACATCGCAACTCCCTGCTCCTCCCTCTCTTTAATCCATTTAGACCAACTGAATTTTGTAGATTACATCCCTCTCCTTTTTTGGGACCTCACATGCAGAGGGTTGGGCATACCTTAATTTAAGGAAAACGCTCATCATTAATCTAAGCAAGGTTCCGCACTTGCTTTGTTTACTTATTTTCTTTTACACGAATTCCCCTTTTCCCTTGCCCTTCCCTGAAACAATCACTCTCTGATGTGTTTGCTGTATTGGTGGACTTTTCTGTATTTACAAATATTTAATTTATAAAGAGTATTTTGCTTGATATTCTCTTAACCTCCCTCTTAGAAGTTATTCTTTGACTCATTAACCTAAAATGGCTTTTTATTGTCTACCAAATTCAGACATTCTAGGTTTCAATAACCCCACTTGATTTTTCAGAAGAAAGTGAAGGAACTGGGTCAGTGTCACAGCCCGTGAGGGCAGAACTAGAACTGGAACCCAGGTTTCTGAATCTCAATTATGTCTGAGTCTCTCTACTGCCCCTTGAAAACCTTACATCTTTGGACTTTTCAGTTTAAAGAATTTCTTGCACTTTGGGGGTTTGCAAAATATAAGAAATCTGTGTAAAGTAAAATATGGAAACTGAAATGGGGGAAAGGAAGGATAAGAAAAAGGAATTGGGCATCTCAGAATACTCCAAGCGAAGCTACATCAATTCTCAATTTAGTTTCACTCAGTCTAACAAATATGGGTCAGGCCTTAGGCCAGGAGCTATTAATACAGCAAGACATATTCCTATCCTCAAGAAGCTCACTGTCTTGGAGAGGCAAACTTACAAATAAAGAGCCAAACAGTGTATCGGGGCTATAATGGAGAGAATTCACGGAACACCATGAGGGCCAAAAGGTCAGAGAATTTAGGCCTCCCTGGAGTCCAGGGTTGTTGCTACAGAGGAGATGAGTAGGGGACAAGCAGGTGGTCAAATCCAAAGTTCGTTCTGTGCAAGTTCAAATGCACGGCAGACACAGCCTGGTATGTTTGGGAAACTCTAGGTATTTCTTTCTGGCTGCTAATAACAAGGAGTTTGTCACTCCTTTTTTCTGCTTGGATTCATCATCTCAGCAAGCAGGTACTGAAACCACATGTTCCAGCTCTGGTCTGAGGTTGTAACTTGTGGCGAGCTTCAGCCCAGAAGAAAGGGCTTACTCCAGCGGGATACTTAGGCTTATCACATTTGGGCCAAATTTTAACCTGCATTGCCAAGAAGCTTCATCCAGTTAATGGTGGCTGGATGGGTAATGAGCCCTGTGATCTCTGGCTTGGTGCCTAACAATGTCATTGTTAAACCGGCTTCCTCAGCTCATTTAACTTCCCACAGGCCTAGGGAAGGGCACAGTCTTTGTATCTATCTTTAGTTGGTACAACAGCCTCACTCTCAACTCACATGGTTCTAGCCAAGCCATAGCCTAGTGCCTTGGTGATAAGCACTAGAGCTGTCAGGCTGCACCGTCTGGAGATGAGCAATCTTTCATCCAGCCTGAGCTAGGTACCACTACTTTGTCGCCCTGTGCTTTTTGAGCAACTTAAGCTAGGCTCTGCTGCTCAGAGGTGAGAGTGTCTCTCTCTGTTCTGGATAGATCCCTAGGGGGTCATTGTTCTGCTCCCAATAAGGGATACTGCTTCCTTCCTCACTCTAGCAGGACACCCACATGCCCTCCATCTCACATGATAGACATTAGTGCCTCTGCTTCATTCCCTTTTCTCTTATTTCTGGGATACCTTTTCCCTGTCCTCTCACTCAGAGGATAATTCCACTTTCAGCTGCAGGTCCATTGCCTAGTGAGGCCATGGCATATTGTATTTTCATTCTGAGGCCAGACCCAACATTGCATCACTTTCTTTCACACAGCTCCAGCCCCACAGTGCATTAACAAGGAATGGTCTTTAACGATGGGCTTAGTGGGGATGCTGGGGATGCTGTAAAGAGCATTTGCATTGTGCACCACAAGACAAGGTTTCTTAAACATTCCTCTCAGACATTAATTTTGGTTCCAAATTTATTTCTGGATGGCAGCTGTCTCATTCTAATTTTTTCTTCCTCTATGGCCTCTAATCTATTCTGCTTATAAGCAAACATCTGCTTGCAGACACACAGAGCAAAGCAGAATCCAGCCCAGCTAGCCCATAGCACTGTTTAGGAATGCATCTTGGAGGTCTCATGCTCAACTCTATCAATTTTTCAAGGTATTTATCCCCCACAAACAGTTCTCTGTTTAGGGGTAAATGAATAATTTGCTACTAAGAAAATATGATGAAAAAAAAATCCCAGATTTAGCCTGGTATTTAACTTGCTGCTTTCTGTCCTCATGAGACTCTCCATGCTGTGAGCTTATAGCTTTTAAGGCCAATGACTCATTCAAGCAATATTTGTTGAAAGCCTGTGTGTCACTGTGTGTCAAGCTCTTGATTAGGTGTGGAACATGTAGGGGTGTTAAGTAAAGTTTTTATCTTTATGAAACTGACCTTCTAGTGGGGGAGATAAACAAAAAACATGTAACAAGTAAATGAGTGAGGTAATTAGGGATGATGGTAAGCCCCACTTAGAAATCAATATTGGAATACTTAACTGAGTACCAGTTACTGTGTGCCAGGCCCTGTGCTAAGTGCTTTGCCCATTTCTATGATCTGAATGTTTGTGCTCCCCTCAAAGTTCATATGTTAAAGCCTAACTGCCGATGTGATAATATTATGAGATGGGGCCTTTGGGAGATGATTAGGTCGTGTGGGGGCAGGGGAGCCATCATCCACAGGATAAACGCCATTTTAGAAGAGGCCCCAGAGAGCTGCCTCATCCTTTCCACCATAAAAGGACACAAGTAGAAGGTGCTATCTATGAGGAAATGACTTCCCAGCCTCCAAAACAGTGAGAAATAAGTTTCTGTTGTTTATAAGCCACCCAGTTTATGGTATTTTGTCATAGCAGCCCAAACTTAATAAGAGACTCTTGTTAATTCACTTAATCTTTATGAGATTAAGGTACGTCTCTATCAACCCACTTTTGTAGCAACCTTCTGAGGCAGGTGAAACAGATATTTTTATCTGCATTCTAAAATCTCATCAGAGAACTACTCAGCCAAAGCCACAGAGCTAGTAAATAGTGGGATCAGGATCTGGGTCTTTGTGGTTCTAAATCACACACCCTTAGTCACAACAATACTGTTTCATGTGTTGATGGGTTGATTAGAGAGCACTTTGACGGGAGAATACTGACCTCTGAGGTTAGGGAGGGCTCTTGTAACATTACCTATCTATATGCTGTAATAGATTGCACATGCTCCCTGGTACTACAATTGTTAGTGTGTGTATCCATTTTTTTCCTTATGGCTGTAAGCTCATTGAGGAGCAAGAATTGTGGCTTGTGCATTTTGTGTGTGTCCCCTCTATTTGTAGCTTGGTGCCTAGACAATGAACATTGAATTGGACTAAAAAGCTGTAGTAGCACTATCCAACAGGAATATCAAGCAAGCCATACATCTAATTTTAAAATTTCTAGTAGCCACAAGACAAAAAAGAAGAAACAATGAAAATTAATTTTAATAATATACTGTAATTTCAACATTCATCAATATGAAAATTATTGAGATATTTTATATTATTCTTTTCATACTAAGTTTTTGAAATCTGGTATGTAATCTACACTTACTCCACATCTCAGTTAGGACTAGCCACATTTCAGTTGCTCATTAGCCACATACGTGGTTAGAGACTATAGCACTGAACAGCACAGAACAATATTCCTGAGATGAATGAGGTGTGGATGCACGCCAGGTAGACCAGACTAGGTGTTAGATATTCAAATTCCAAAACCACTTTGGATCAAGCCCTTGAGACGTCTCATAGGAGCAAAGGGTTTTTTTCTATCACTGGCCTTAAAAGTGGGTACCCTTCTGAAGGTAGGAGTCAATGAGGCCTAATGGAAAAGGAATTAATTTTAGAAAGGTCTCTTATTAATTATGTGGCTTGGAACAAGTTACTGAATCCTTCTGAACCCATTTTCCTCCTCTGTAAAAGGTGGACCCAAAAAATCTCTTGTAGAGTTGAAATGTATTTACATGCCTGGCACCAAAAAAGCACCCAATAAATAATAGCTTTCATTAAATATTTTATTTTGTACTATCAGATACCTTCTTTATTTAATAGACTAAAAGGCTGACAAATGAGATCCCTAGATGATATGCCATCCAACAAATATTAATAGAGTACCTACCATGTCTCCAACACTGTTCCAGGCACTTAGGACATATCAGTGAACAAAATAGACCAGGAGGATGTGCTGTCCCAGACAATCAACACAAGGCTCTGATGTGAGTACCTCGTAACACAATCTTCAGGCAAAACTAGCATTTTCAATATGAATCTCACATCAGAAGAGAAACAATGCTAGAGGTGCAGCAAGAACAGAGATCCTTTTGGCCTGTGTGTGGTACCTGTAAGGAAATACTGCACAAGCGCTGGCACTGCCCTACCCCATGAGTTCTACAAGGGGAGTGCAATGTTGTATGGGGTACTGTAGCCATATTTACAAGTGGCGATTCTCCTTGGAATATCATTGTTATTTTAAGGTAAGTAATTTAAAATACTATTTTAACATGAAGACCAACACAGAAATATTTTAAAGCTAAATGCAAAATTCACATACAGTTTTATAACATAACATCGACTCCAAAGAAATTTCTAGGTTGTGGTGAGCATAACAGGTCACATGACAGGAATATTAGGTATTGTGCTTTATTTTTATAAGGATACCTTAGTGAGAAATTCTGGGAAGAAGCACATTATTTATTTTTTGTTGTTTCTCTAATATATAGAAACTCTTTTGAACTCTGATATTGTAATTCAGGTTGTTTCTTAACCCCTCTGTCAGCAGAGCTTTGTGGACACCAGATTTAGAAAGAGGGTGTTTTATGGCTTGTTTACTTCAATCTGATGTCATGGGTCCGTGATTAGACTTCGTAGGTGCTCCAGTCTCTGCCTGCATTATAAATCAATAGGCTAGGACTTTTTAAAATTCAATTCTATGTCACCTATATTCCTTGCTTCTCTTTTGCACAAAGTGAAATTGCCTAAAAGCTTCTAGAAGAATTAGGAAGCATGACCATGTTCAATTAAAATGAGTTTATCAGAGAGAAAGAACGTGGATTTTTCAAATCCCCCAGTGCTTGGCAATGCCCACAACTGCAACTGCTGTGGAGAGACTCCCAGCTCCCAGGGAGCCAGTGACCAGAGGACCTAGGTTTTAGGGCAACTTGTTAGAAGCAAGAGGCTCTTCTTTATTCTCTAATCAATTTCGTGGAGAAATATTCTTCTGTGCTTGCACTGAGAGCTTGAAACCTTGGCCAGTAAACGCTGAATTCAAATCCACAGACTGTTTTTTAAAACATTTTTTCACTTAGTGATTGAGTCAGCCTTGTAGATGGCCTGAGTCCCTCTCAACCTGACCAAATGTGAAATAATAATGACTCACATTTGTATAATGGTTTATGAATGGCAAAGGTCTTGCTCACATGTTATTCTATTTTGTTCCCACAGCAACCATATGTGGCAGAGATTGATACATAGCCCCCAGTATCTGTCCCCTTATTCTTCCACTATAACATGAGCTGCATTTTTTATATGACTTTTCAGAATAAAGACACCTCCAGGCCATACATGACCATGGTGTTGCCATGTGTCTAAATTCTTGCCAATGTAATGTAAGAAAAAATGATATGTGCAGTTTTTGTAATTCCCTTGTGATTTCTTCTTTAGCCTTTTGGTTAGGAGTGTGTTGTTTAATTTTCTCATGTCGTGGATTTCCAAAATTTCCTTCTGTTTATAATTTCATTCTATTGTGGCCTGAGAATATACTTTGTATGATTTCAGGGTTTTAAAAAAATGTATTGAGACTTATTTTATGGTCTAACATATGGTTTCTCCTGGATAATGCTCTGCTGCACTTGAGGAGATTGTATGTTCTGCCGTTGTTGGGTGGAGTGCTCAGTAGATGTCTATTAGGTCTTGTTGGTTTATGTAAGTGTTCAAGTATTCTATTTCCTTGTTGGTTTTCTTTCTGCTTGTTCTATCCGTTATTGAAAGTGGGGTATTCAGGCCCGGCGTGGTGGCTCACGCCTGTAATCCCTGCACTTTAGGAGGCTGAGGTGGGCGGATCACGAGGTCAGGAGATCAAGACCATCCTGGCTAACACGGTGAAACCCCGTCTCTACTAAAAATACAAAAAATTAGCCGGGCGTGGTAGTGGGCGCCTGTAGTCCCAGCTACTTGGGAGGCTGAGGCAGGAGAATGGTGTGAACCTGGGAGGTGGAGCTTGCAGTGAGCTGAGAACGTGCCACTGCACTCCAGCCTGGGTGCCAGAGTGACACTCCATCTCAAAAAAAAAAAAAAAAAAAGAAAGTGGGGTATTCAAATATCTATTATCATTGAATTGTGCCTATTTTGCTCTTTAATTCTATAGTTTTTGCTACAGTAGCTAAGTTTATTGGTGTTTATGATTGTTATCTCCACTTGATGAGTTGATTTTTATTATTATAAAGGGTCCCTGTGGCATAATAAGAAAGATGTTTAGCCTTTGTCCCCAGTTTCTGGCACAGAGCTTCTAAGACTCTTGGAATTCTTTAAGCGATATGGATTTTGAACTGTCTTTTGTTCTAATGAGGTGACTCTTCTTGGAAGGCCACTAGATAGCTTCAGGAAGGGAGCTGGTCTCCAGAAAAGCCAAGTTTTAGAAGTTTCAGCCCCATACTCCAAACTCCAGGGAGAAAAGAAGGACTAGAGACTGAGTTAATCATCAATAGCAATTTAATCACAGACTATGATTTAATCAGTCGTGCCTATGTAATGAAACCTCCATAAGCTATTCTAAATGATGAGGTTCAGAGAGTTTCCAGATTAGTGAACACATCAAGAAGCTGAGAAATTTGCATGCCCAGTGTGGCATGGAAGCTCTGTGCCTCCCCTCTCCATACCCTGTCCTGTGTTTCTCTTTCATGCCTCAAAAAGTTGTATTCTTTGTTCCGATGTGTCTCCTTTGTAATAATTGGTGAATAGCAAGTAAAAACACTTTACTGAGTTCTGTGAGTTGTTCTGGCAAATTATCAAAACTGAGCTGAATGTGAGGCCATGGGGGAGGTTATGAGGAACCCCAGATTTGTAGCCATGTCAGAAAGAAGTCTGGGTAATCTGAGGATCTATGGCTAGTGTCTAAAGTGAGGGCAGTTTTGTGGGACTGAGCTCTCAAACCTGTGAAGTCTAATGCTAATTCTGTGCAGTTGGTGTCAGAACTAAATTGAATTATAGGACACTTAGTTGTTTGAGAGTTGAAGAAGTGTTATTGCAAAAGACTACATATCTGGTGTCAGGAGGAAGAAAGTCTTCAGTAACAATTTTTTCTTAAAGTCTATTTTGTTTGGATTAGCTCAGTCACTCTACTCTCTTTTGATTACTTGTTGTATGATACATCTTTTTTGAGTCTTTTACTTTCAACCTATTTGTGTCTCTGAATCTGAAGTGTTTTTCTCTAGACAACAAATAGTTGAATCATTTAAAAATTTGTTCTGCCAATCTCTTTCAATCTCTTTTAAGTGCTTAATGCATTTATATTTTATATAATTATTATACTTATTAATTATGATTAATGCATTATAGTTTATATAGTTACTGGTAAAGGATTTAAATCTGACAGTCTTCATTTTCTACATGTCTTTTTTTGTTTGTTACTCCATTACTGTCTTCTTTTCTATTAACTAGATACTTTCTAGTGTACCATTTTAATTCCCTTATCAATGTTTACTATTTTTTTGAGTTATTCTCTTAGTGGTTGTCCTGGGGATTACAATGAACATATTCTTTTTAATAATTTAGTTTGGATTAATACCAATTTAGTTGAGACAGTATATAATATATATAGCTCCAATCTCTCCTTGTTCCTTTGTGATGTTATTGTTCTACAATTTGTATTTTTATGTATTATTTGACTGTCAGTATAGATTTATAATTATTTCTTTACGCAATTGACTTTTAAGTCAAATGGAAGAAAAAAGAGCTACAAACAAAAGATAGACTTATACTGTGTTTTATATTTGCTTATGTAGTTACCTTACTAGTATTTTATTTCTGCATGTGGATTAAAACTACTGTCAGCCGGGCGCAGTGGCTCACGCCTGTAATCCCAGCACTTTTGAAGGCTGAGGTGGGCAGATCATGAGGTCAGGGGTTCGAGACCAGCCTGGCTAACATGGTGAAACCCCAACTCTACTAAAAATACAAAAATTAGCCTGGCGTGGTGGCAGGTCTCTGTAATTCCAGCTACTTAGGAGGCTGAGGCAGGAGAATTGCTTGAACCTGGGAGGTGAAGGTTGCAGTGAGCAGAGATCATGCCACTGCACTCCAGCCTGGGCAACAGAGCAAGACTCAGTCTTGGGGAAAAACAAACAAACAAACAAACAAACAAACAAACAAACAAGCTACTGTCTAGCATCCTCTCATTTCAGCCTAAAGGAAACACTTCAGTGTTTTTTGGTAGGGCAGGTGTGCTAATAATAAATTCTCTTGTTTTTATTTATTTACAAATGTTTTAATTTCTCCTGCATTTTTGAAAAACACCTTTACTGGTCTGCTGGATATAGAGTTCCTGTTTAATAGTTTTGTCTTTTTTTTTTTTAAAAATCTGTCAGCACTTTGAATATGTCATCTCATTGCCTTCTATTCCCCATTGTTTCTGATGAGAAATCAGTTGTTAATCTTATTGAGAATCTCTTGTGTATGTGAAAAGTCACTTCTCTCTTGCTGCTTTCAAAATTATTTCAGTCATTTGACAGTTTGATTATGACATATGGATTCCTTGATGTTTATCTTATTTGGAGTATGTTGAGTTTCTTGGATGTGTAGATTAATGGTTTTCATCAAAATCTGGGAAGTTTTCAGCCATTATTTCTTCAGATATCCTTTCTTTCCTTTTTTCGTTCTGCTCTTCTTTTGTGTATGTCAATGAACTTGATGCTATCCCACAGGTTTCTTAGACTGTTCATTTTCCTTATTCTTTTTTTCCTGTTCTTCAGACTGGTTAATCTCAATTGACCCATCTTCAAGTTAATTGTTTTTTTGTTTTTTTTTCTTCTGGCTGCTCAGATTTGCTGTTGAGCCCATGTAGTAGATGTTTCTTTCTTCTTCTTTTTTTTGAGACAGAGTCTCACTGTCACACAGGCTGGAGTACAGTGGCAGGTGTGATCTTGGCCCACTGCAATCTCCACCTCCCACGTTCAAGCAATTCTTCTGCCTCAGCTTTTTGAGTAGCTGGGATTATAGGCTCCTGCCACCACACCTGGCTAATTTTTGTATTTTTAGTAGAGACAGGGTTTCACTGTGTTGGCCAGGCTGGTCTGGAACTCCTGATCTCAAGTGATCCACCTGCCTCAGGCTCCCAAAATGCTGGGATTATAGGCGTGAACTCTCTGTGCCCCGCCAATTTTTCATTTCCGTTATTATACTTCTCAACCTCAGAAGTACTATTGGTTCTTTTTAATAATTTCTGTCTCTTTTGACATTGTCTACTTGATGAGACACCATTCTCTTGCTTTTCATTAGTTCTTTAGACATGGGTTCCTTTAGTTTCTTGAAAATATTTAAAATAACTGATTTAAAGTCTTTGTCTAGTAAGTGCAATGTCTAGATTTCCTCAGAGATAATTTCTATTGATTGCTTTTTTCTTATTTATTGGTCATGTTTTCATGTTTCCTTGTATGCCTTATACCTCTTACTGTTGAAAATTAGGTATCTTACATAATATGATGTGGTAAAACTGTGGAAATCAGATCCCTGCCTCCTGGCATACACAGGATTTTAAAAAATTGCTGCTGTTTGTTCTAGAAGTTGTTTTTTGTTTACTAACTTTTCACAACGAATTCTGTAAAGTCTGTATTCTTCACTGTGTGGCCACTGAATCTCTGCTTGGTTTAGTGGTCACCTGATGACTAGGCAGGAATTTTCTTAAACAGGCAAAACCAGTCTTCCAGTTTCTATGAAAGGGCTCTGTTTGCATGTTGGATCATGCTTTCAACACTCAGGTAGATAGCTGGCAACTCAGCTTAGCCTTCATGTCCTGCTTGCTCAGAGCGAAAGTGAGAGCTTAAGGCCTTATCAAGTCTTTCATGAACATGCCCACAACCCTGGGTATGTGCGTGGTCCTACACACACATGTGCCCTTCTATATTCCCAAGAACATGTCATCAGAGACTTTCAAAGCTTCCATGGACATCTTACTTCCCAACTTTTCCTTTGGAGATTCTCAGTTAGTCTATTGTTTGCTCCAATTATTATCCACTGCCCTAGGGAGCTGCAAGTTAAATAATTACCTATAATTGTTTCTAACCAAGGAGCCCAGGGAAAAGGCTTTTTATACAGGACAGCTCTGAGTGATGCCAAATACAGACAGCTTTACAAGTGGGGTCCTCCAGGGAACCACTGGATAAGTTAAATAATGACAATTCTCTGGGAATGAGACGTTGGGGTCACTCCAGCTCTATGCTGCTTCCTCCAGTGGGTTCCAGGCTGCCAGTTTTCACTGTAAATGCAGGCTGCTAGTTTTCACGGCTACTGTGAAGCTGGAGATAGGGGAATGAGACTAAGGAAAGTTAAAAATGTCAAAAAGCTTATTGTTCTTACTGAGATTTTGTTGCTTTTCTGAAATAAATGCTTCCTGGATTGCTGCAAGCCTTTGGTTAGTTTCCAAAGTTCTGAAAAAGGTGATTCTGACAATTTTGCAAGTTTTTACATTGCTGTTTTGGAGAAGAGAATTTGTGAAGGTGCTTATGTTACCATTTTCTCTGATGGCCCTCTCCTGTTTTTAGTTTTCAAAATAGTGTCCTTATAGGCAGGGTCATCTATTTCCTCTGCTCTTTATTCCCACCTGTAACCAGAAGGCAGATATCACTGGGAGCAGGTGCAATCATCTTACATTACGAGATGAAAATTGCACGATGGGGATGGTAAGATAACAAGTTACAAGGAACTCAAGTCTGATGATCACTGAGCCATCACACCATCCTTGGACCACCTACCTGAACTTCTACATGAGAATTAGGAGTGTTTGCCATTTAAGCCACTGTTATGTTAGGTTTTCTGTCACACTGCACAACCCAAATCCTAATAATGCACTAGTGAAGTAGATAAGGCAGATTTGTTACTGTGCTTTATTTTTCTTAATGTGAAGAAATTAAAGCTGAAAAGTATTCACTGACATTCTCAAGGATAAACAGCTATTATGAAATGGTTGAGTCAAAGTCCATATCCAGGGGTTCTCATATCATAGCTCATCCTCTCTCCCCTTTCATAATATCTCTCTGATGATGTGCATGTTACTAGTTTTCCAGCAGCTAAATATCTCATTAAGGGCCATTCTCCCATAGAAGATGTTGGAGGAGGATGGCCTATGTATTATGATCTGAGGGGCAGTGGATGAGCTTCTGAAGTCCAGAAATATCTAATCCACAGCTTTGTAATGGGAGAAGGGAAATAGCTAAGGAGAATTCAGAGAATAGAAGCAGCCCTTCTTTCTTCAAGGACATTTGAGATACATTCAGTTGAAGTCTTGTGCAGAAGACATGAGATTGTTCACTTGTTTACAACAAGAATAGTATTGGGGTGCAGAAATAGAGAAAGGAATTAGAATTGGAGAAGCTGTCACAGAGGTGATCAAAATGAAATGCAAGGAAACTTTAAGGGGAATGAACAGAAAGGAGAGAGGAGAAATTAACAGAGTTATGGCTGAGACCCAGCAGAATAAGAAATGAAGGAGGGGAAAATTTTAGACTTTGTTCTTTTTGGATGATAGCTTTTTTTGGTAACGTTTATTTTAGGTTCAGGGGTACATGGTACCTACATATGTACCCCGGAACCTAAAATAAAGGTTACCATGAAAAGCTAGCATCGAAACAAAGATTACCTTTGTTATATAGGTAAACTGCATATCATGGAGGTTTGATGTATAAATTAATTCATTACCTAGGTAATAAGCATACTACCCAATAGGTATTTTTTCTGATTCTCTCCCTCCTCTCAGCATCCACCTTCAAGTAGGCCTCAGTGTCTGTTGATCCACTCTTTGTGTCCATGTGTTCTTCCTGTTTAGCTCCCATTTATAAGTGAGAACATGCAATATTTGGTTTTCTATTCCTATATTACTTTTCTTAGGATGATGGCCTCCATCTCCATCCATGTTACTGCAAAGGACATGATCTCATTCTTTTTTATGGCTGTGTAGTATTCCATGGTGTATATGTACCGCAGTTTCTTTATTCAGTCTGCTATTGGTGGGCATTTAGGTTGGTTCCATGTCTTTTCTATTGTGAATAGTGCTGCCATGAACATACACATGCATGTGTTTTATGTCACTGCATGTGAGATGGATCTCTTGTAGAGAGTATAATCTTGAGTCTTGCTCCTTTATCCACCTTTCCACTCCGTGCCTTTTAATTGGGACATTTAGCCCATTTACATTCAAGGTTAGTGTTGATATGTGTGAATTTGATCTTGTCATCTTGTTGTTAGCTGGTTATTATGCAGACCTGTATGTGTGGTTGCTTTATAGTGTCACTGATCTATGTAAGTGTGCTTTTGTAGTGGCTGGTAACAGTTTTTCCTTTTCATATTTAGCACTCCTTTCAGAACCTCTTATAAGGCATGTCTGGTGGTAACAAATTCCCTTAGCAATTGCTTGTCCGAAAGGGATCTTATTTCTCCATCAGTTATGGAGTTTAGATTGGCTAGATATGAAATTCTTGGTTGGAAATTCTTTCCTTTAAGTATGTTGAATATAGGTTCTTGATCTCTTCTGGCTTAGGGTTTCTGCTGAAAGGTTTGCTGTTAGCTTGATGGACTTCCCTTTGTTGGTGTCCTGTCCACCTTCTCTCTAGCTGCCTTTAATATTTTTTCTTTCATTTTGAGCTTGGATAATCTTATAATTATGTGTCTTGGGGTTGGTTTCTTTGTGCAGTGTCTCACAGGGGTTCTCTGCATTTCCTGAGTTTGAATGTTGGGCTCTCTAGTAAGGGTTGGGAAGTTTTTATGAATGATATCCTGAAAAATGTTTTCCAAGTTACTTGCTTTCTCCCTATCTCTTTCAGGGATGTCAGTGAGTCATATGTTTGGTCTCTTTACGTAATCCCACGTTTCTCAGAGGTTTTGTTCATTCTTTTTTATTCTTTTTTCTTTATTTTTGTCTGACTGACAAAAATATTTCAGACAGCCAGTTTTTGAGCACTGAGTTTCTTTCCTCAGCTTGGTCTATTCTGCTGTTAATGATTGTTATTGCATAATGAAATTTTTGTAGTGTGTTTTTCAGCTCTATCAGATCAGTTTGGTTCTTTTTATAATGGCCGTTTCATCTATCAGCTCCTGTATCATTTTATTATAATCCTTAGATTCTTTGGATTGGGTTTTGACTTTCTCCTGAATCTTGATGCTCTTTATTCGTGTCTATGTTCTGGATTGTATTTCTGTAATTTCAGCCATTTCAGCGCAGTTAAGAACTATTCCTGGGGAACTAGTGTGGTTGTTTGGAGGAAAGAAAACACTGGGTTTTGAGCTGGCAGAATTCTTGAGCAGGTTCTTTCTCATCTGTGTGGGCTGGTGTTCCCTTAACTGTGGTATAAATTGAGTACAGTCAGTAGACTTCTATTCTGGATGTTTTTAGAGGGCCATGGCTTTGTGCAGGGCCTTTATGTGTTGCTGAATTCTTGTTCTTGGTTTCACAGGGGGTGTTTGTTAGTGAAGTGTTTCTGGTGTTAAAGTTTGGGCTGTGATCCAGTAGGTAGGCTGTTGTTCAGCCATGTGGCTCCCCTGTATTTCCTCACAATTGCAGCCACGATCCCTCTCAGTGCTGTGAATGTGTGGGTTCCTCTCCCACTCGAGTGCTGGCTGAAGATCTTGGCTTGGCACTCCTGGGCTGCCCACTGAAGCTCTGGGGAGAGCTCAGGCTTTATGTTCCCTCCGCAGTTTGGAGGCAGCAGCTCCCTTGCTAAGGAAGGGGCCTTGACAGTGACTGTGGCAGAGGACCTTTCACTTGTTTCTTGGGACTCCACCCCAGAGAGATGTGGATCTGCCATCAATCAGTGGAATTGGCCCGGGATGGGGAGCTGCCCTGTGGGCCCAAATGGCGAGGGATGGGGGCCCTGACAAGTGGGGTGGTGGGGGTGAGGTTGGTGGTGGAGGTATCACGTGGGAGACAGACTATCCTTTTCTCCTTAGGGCAACTGCAGCTTGCTAAAAGTGTGGTTCAAGCACTCAGGGTCTTTGCTCCTTCCCTAGCCCAAGGGCAGCAAGGGTAGTACCTCTGCAGTGGCAGTGGCAGAGGGGATTTCAGTTGCCTCTGGGAGCTCCACCTCAGAGAAAGGAAGAGTTGATGCTACTGGGAATGTTCAGCCAGGGAGTGGGATGGCTGTGCTGCTGGCCTGAGCCTGGGGCTCTGCTTGTTGAGGAGAAGGAGGTCCAGGGCTCACAGGGAGGAGAGACTGGGCTCCTGCTCGTATGGTGACTGTGGTATGCTGGAAGCACAGGTGAGGCTCTCAGGACCTTTGTTTCTTCCCCAGGGGCAGAGTCACTGCTGTGGCAGTGGCAGAGGGCCTGTCAGTAACCCCTGGGAGCCCCTTCCCAGGGAAACTCAGAGCCACTACCAATGGGTCTGCTCAGCCTCGGGTGGGGTTGTTCCCTGAACCAAGCCGGGTCCGGCTGTGTTTTCTCAAGGCCCAATAACAAGAAGCAGACAAACTAGGAAAGAAGGGAATTTATTACTGTAACCGGATACAGGGAGAAGGCCAGAGATAATTCCACCAGAACAACCCAAAGCGTTACAACTTTCTTAGTGCTTATATAGGTTGGGGTTTGTGCCTACGTGCAGTACAGCATTTGCCTAAGTCTATTGGTAACTAATTTTGTTTCAACTAGAAGTACAGAGGAAAAAAAAATGCTTGCTAAATCCAATTAAAAGGGCCCCAGTACCTCAAGGCCTGTCTACTCTGGTACCAGAGTGATTATTTCTATCTTATCTCCTTTATAGCTTGGTCTGGAGAGCTGCCTTAGGCTCTCCAATGAATCTATTCAGACAGCTGTCTCTGTTCCCTTGATTTGTCTCAGATTTTGTCAACCTGGGATGGGTCCTGGCACTAGGAATGTAAGGCTGTCTCTATAAGTTTGGCTTGCTCCACAAGGGAGAAGCCCATGCAAGGGTCCTATGTCGACCATACGTTTTATTTCTAGCTTTGATGTTTGGGCAACGAATTCTCTAGGTTTAAATATTTGCTCAATGTTAAGGCAGCGCTGTGGAAATTTGTCTGTGTAGCTGGGGTGCTATGCAGGCCTGTCTGTGTGATTGTCAGGGAGAATTGGCCTGCCACAGGGTGGCTGATCTGTGATCCTGAGCTGGGGGCCCTGCCTGGTGAAGAGTGGCAGGGTGGAAGCTCACAGGGAAGAGAAACTGTGGTATGGTGGCTGTGGTGTGCTAGAGCTGCCAGCATAGCGACTAGACCCTTTGTTGCTTCCCCAGTCCAGAGTGATTAGGGTGGTATCACTGCAGCTGCACCGGCAATGGGGGCTGTCGGTTGTCTCTGGGATTTCCTCCTCAGAGAACTGCAGAGCCACCTCTGACTGAAGTGTTCAGGCAGGAGAAGGGTAGTTGTGCTGCAGTTCCTGGTTGGGAGGCCCTGCCCAGTAAGGAGAAGTGAAAATGGAGACCTGCATGGAGAACAGTCAGGCCAGTTTTCCACGGGGCGGCTGCACTGTACTGGGAATTTGTGCCAGTCCGCAATCACCACACAAACTCCAGAGCCTGAGGGTAACAGCAGCGAGGGCTGCAAAGCAGCAAAGATGGTGGCCTGCCTCTGCCTCTGGGAGCCCCTCCAAGGAAGTGCAGAGCTGCTACCAGCCCACAGCCCAGGAAGGGGATGGCTGGAGTCCAAAGTCGGGAGGTCCTGTCCAGTGAGGAGAAGCAAGATTGGAAACCCATGTATAAAACAGTCTAGCCACTTTTCCATGAGGCATCTACACTGCGCTGGAGATCTGTGCCAGTCCCTATTCAGCCATACCCTCCAGAGCCTGAGGGCAACAGTGGTGAGATGAGGGCTGCAAGACAGCAAAAATGATGGCCTGCCTCTCCCTCTGGAAGCTCTCTCCCAGAGAAGTGCAGAGCTGCTACTGGCCCAAGAGCCCGTTTGTGGGGTGGCTGGAGTCCCAGGCCAGTGGGCCTTATCATATCAGGTGCAGTCGAGGCAAGGCCTGCAGTCCATTACTGCTTAGCCCCCTGGATTCCCCTTTCCTGGGAGTGTGCAAGGCAGACTGACCTCCTGTTGCCAGAGCTGCAGCCACTAATGCCAGGATGCCTGGGGATCCAAGGCTCCTGGGACTCTGCATGTGCCTGAGTGGTGGATCTGCCCAGAATCTGCATAGCTCTCCATGTCAGTCTGAAGGCCCTGGTGGGGTGGGCTCATAAAAGGATCTCCTGATCCCAGGGTTGCAAAGGTCCAGAGCAGGAGTATGGGTCCCTGGGGGCTCTCACTCACTGTTTTCTCACAGTGCGGGAGACTCCCCTGGCTCATGCCGCTCCTTGGTGGACAATAGTCCTGTCTTGCTCCTCTTGATCTCTGTAGGTTGAATTGATTCCTTGATGAATCCCAATGTGTCCACTGGATGTTCCAGTTGAAGATCTAGTATTTACTCTGCACTCCTTTTTCTCTCTGTGAGAGCAGCACACCTGATTTGTTTCTAGTCAGCCATCCTGGCCCCTCCCCTGCTATCATTTTTTCTTTTAGCCAAGAAAGAATTTAACTTTAAATTATGATTTCAAATTCTAAATTCTGTCTAGGAACTTAATAGGAAAAGACTCACATTATATTATTTGGGATGCTGTGTAACATCCTCTGTTGAAAAATTGTATAAACTCAAGAGCTCTGGAGCCAGAGTTACCATGTTCAAATTTTTGCTCAACCACTTCTAAGCAAGTCAGGGAAGAGAGGGCCTAGGGCCCCAGCCAAGGAGATGGTTATAGGAAGGTCGGCATCTTATGCCAGGGGAAAGGTTACAAGCTATAAAACAAGAGCAGAAAACATTCAATGCTATTTCTAGAGGAGTTGCGCAGGTAGGTATCTTCAAATATGCAGAGTGGTCAGTATGTAAACAGCGGCCACGTAAGGTGTCGGAGGGCATGAGAGCAGCTTCTGTATGTCTCTCTTGGACCTTCAGCTTTGACCAGTAATCCTTTGCATTTGTGGCCTAGGTCCAACCCTAAAGGGATCTCTCATGCTGAATTAAAAGACCAATAGGCAATGTAGATTTTTTTGATCAATGATAAGGAAAAAAACAATTGATAACACACATTGTCTTACAGATATGATTTTTCAAGACAGTGTCCACTTTATAGAGAGAAAAGACTTTTAAGGGATTCTTGGTGATAACAGATTGGGAACCAAAGTATGAACTAATGATCTCTAAGATCTTTCCAATTTTAACATTCTATAAACTAAAAAAAAAAGTTTCTTACGACCTTCTTATTAAGGCATGAAGTAATCCACACGTTATTTCTTATTTGGAATTCTGAAAAGTAGTCAATAACAGTGTCCCATCATTATTAACATTATTATTATATTTAAAGGTCATATAGTGAAATAGTATTCTGAAATATCATGTGTTTTTCTTCCTCCCAATATTTTCAGTTATTTTATAATCCCTCCCTTATTTAGGTGGCTAGATCATAGACATTAACACATACTACACTCGAAGCAGAGAAAAGCCTTGAATTTCAGAAGCCTAGGCTCTGAGAAGATACATAGCACAGAAAATGTGAGATGAATCAGATCTATTTTTCATGCCCCCAAACTATTTACAGCTTATCAGAATAAAGAAGACAGTGGGCTGCATGAAGGAGGTGACAGTCACAGAGGAAGCTCGAAAGGTCACTATGTTGGTGAATTGGAGCACCTAACTGCAGACAGGACCCACAGCTCCATTCTTGAATGGAGGCCAGTGAAACAAGACTCTCGCATGGAAAGACGTGTAGAATGTCTAGTGTGAGAGGCCTGAGAGGCTCTGAAAACTGCTACTGCTCATCATGATGTGGGGGCAGAAAATTGAGCCAGAGAGAAACTGGAATTTGATGCAGGACTATGGTAGTCCCATGTGGTTTCTATAGCTCATGGGCCATGAGGCCAACAGCACATTCACTCCAGAGCGGGACACTGGGATTATCTGAGAGGGCCCTGGTCACCAAGGATCGTGGATGGAGAAGGAGGGTTGATGCAGCAGGGACCTGCACTAAACCAAAGACTGGTTAGGCACAAAACCA
Source organism: Homo sapiens (assembly GCF_000001405.40). NCBI lineage: Eukaryota > Metazoa > Chordata > Mammalia > Primates > Hominidae > Homo > Homo sapiens. The sequence goes on from NC_000001.11 coordinate 162,921,838, forward strand.
ACAAACATGTACCTGTTCAGGTGGGTAACAGCCCTCTTTGCCTCCCCTAGGCCCCACTGACCTTGTCCCTGAACCCATTGTTTAGCTTTGCATAATCTGTCCTCTGAAATCAGGAAAACCCTGAGGAAGTTGGGGGATGGGGCTGATAACCAAATTGATTAAGTTTCTGCCTCTCAGCAGATTAAAGATGTACAAGTAGATTTTGAATTGAGTTATAGAAAAATAAGTTTGCATTTAAATACTTTTCAGTTTGCCGGTTAAAATTCTTATCTGCTATAGTTAATACCTTTAACTAAATTATTTAGAATCTTCCCAAAGATCCTGCTGGATTTCTTTCATCCCCACATCACAGATGAGAAATTGTGACCAAGAAATTATGTAACTTACCCAAAGGCACATAACTGGCAAATGGAAGGAGGGGAATTTGTTGTTTTGCCGATAAAGTCTCTGCTCTTTCTAGAAACCACACAGCTTTGAAGGATATGGCTGCCATGGAAAGGTGGGGTAGGCAGAAAACGAAAGCAACCAATTAAAGGGAGCCAATCCAGAATTTGCCAGTTGCCAAAATCTCTTTGAAATAACTGTGATTCACTCACAAGGAGGAAGGAAGTGGCTTTAAAAGAATCAAAATGTGTCTTGTGACAAGAGGCAATTAAATTCTGTTCCCCTTGAGTTAAATCCCCTTTATGGCTCTTTGGTGGACACACAATGACTAAAATTTTGTCTAAAGAAAAGGCTGTTTACTCTTGGCTGTATATTGATGGGTTAAACACAGGGCACACTCTTAGCACATTTGTAAATATGGTCCTTAGGGTTGGCTCCGTATAGAAGGCTTCTTTGTATGTCTACGATTAGCAGAAACAACGCCCAGGAGGACCAAAAGCAAGGGTCCCTATTCCCGGTACAATTAAGGACAAACTTACTGCCAAAGCTGATAGAATTATTTGGGGTTTGTTTACTTGTGGTAGCTATTGAAGAGCTTATGGAAGGTGGAGAGGTGGCTGTTGGCTCTTAGTTCACTTCACAGACTCCAGGACAGGGGATGGATATAGCCCCCTTTACTTCAAAAAGCACTGTTAATGGGCATTTAAGTTGCCTTGAATAGGCCAAGCTATCTCAACAAGTGAATGGGAGGAATAAAGAAAAGAAACACGTATAATTTAGTAGCACCTGCTTCAAGGACTGTTTCACTAAATTGGATTGTTGCTGTATGGGCATTTACAAAGCAATTAAAAAAATAAAACTACATAAAAAACTTTGCCTTCGTTTATGGTTCAAAAATACATGAATGTTTTTATTTAGACCTCACAAATAAGTAAGACTTCAGGGTTTAATATATGGTTTTATTTGGTTCCAATCATTGCCTTTAGTAACCTCCTATTTAATGTTCTGACCCTCCCTGCAGGTCTAGGGCACACAGGATGTCCCTCATGTCTGCAAGCAACACCTTTCATAGTGCTGCATTTTCTGGCTGCCAGATGGAGCTTTTCTTTCACACTAAATTGATTTCTGTGAAAAGTCTTTGTCACCTGCAATATGATGATGCTTCTAAGTCTATGCACCATCTTAACAGAAGGTCCCCAGGTGGACCTTGAGCCATCTTTCTGTGACCCCTCTGTGACCTCTCTGTATTGTTGCCCTTTTTTGATATTTCTGATGATCTCCTCTGAGACTCCAGCTGCAACATCACCCTCTCAGAAGCACAGATTTCATCCTCTGGAAATAAATCCTGGATATATAGTTTTTAAATTGCTCTCTTTGAAAACTGCCTCTACTCTCTGATTTATTTCTGGTGTGTGTGTGTGTGTGTGTGTGTGTGTGTGTGTGTGTGTGTGTAGTTCTCATCTGCTAATATGCCTTTAAGACATTCTAGAACTATTTTTGATTGGATTCTAGTTAATAATAAGAATAGTAATAGTAATAAAACACTGAAGAGATTACAAAGCACTTTCCTAATACTAGAAATGAAGCTTAAGGGGTCTAAACAGCAAAACCAGGCTACTATATTAGTAAGGGGTAGTTAGGTTTAAAATTCCTGTCCAGGAGAGATTTATTCAGGTAGCACTCACTTCAAGGTTTTTCTTTCATCAATAGCCACAGTTGTCTTAATATTTCTCAAGTAAGAAAAACAGAAACCAACCAAGCAACCCATTGACAAACCAAAACATTGTGTTAGACAGTTTTTGATGTTGCACTTTGTGGGAAGTGTGGACTCTATAAATTCTTGATTTGTATATTTCTGAGCTTTAAGACTGGAAATACCAGCTAGTGCTGAGAACAAATAATTAATGATGACTTCACTTAGAAATTTTCAACAACTACATATGGGAAAACCAAGAGCTCTCTTTTATTATTATGAATAATTCTCTTTTCTCATTCAAAGAAACATCAATTCAGTATAGACAGGCGTACTAATGAAGAGTAGAGAGTAATCAAATACAGAATGATGGCAGTTACTTGTCTTAGTCCACCCAATTGTCTGATTTCCTACTTACTCCCTGAGAGAAGGTTTTGGAGTGTCCTGGGTGTGTGCATGTGTGATATGTGTGTATGTATGCATGTGCATATATATACACACACCCTTTTGCATGTGTGTGTTTATATTCAAGTACTTTAGTTGTTAGCAAACGAAGATAATAAAAACAGCTAACATTTATTGAACAATAACTATTTGGCAGGATCTCTGTTGGGCACTTTATATGCATTACCTAATTTAATTTTCCCAAAAACTCTTGTAAATAAAGCCTCTTAGCCTTCTTCCCCATGTTATCAGCTGAGAAAGGTAAGTTTTTGTTTTTTTTTTTTTAACAAAGTTTGAATTTTGTCCAAAAAAAGTGAATGTCCAACCTAGGACCAGCATGGGCTCTGCATTAGAACTCATATTACGATGTTACATAAGTCATTCTCATTGAACTGCTTTGATGTTTTTATTTTTTTTGAAGGCCAAATCAAAATCTTCCCTAAGTTATTATTTTTAAAATGTATCTGCAGCAGGTAGACTGCAGTTGATAATAACCCTCAAGATTTGGGTTCCCAGAATGAATGGACCAGAGACATGTTTCCCTTATAAAACAAGACTAGAATGAACACTCCTTCTCTCTGTGGGTGACCCACATCACATTTGCATTTGCACTGTGTCATCTGAAGGTCTTCCCTGCTTTCAGGTCACTGTTCGACAGTAGCGTGGCCATCTGATTTACCTTTCTATCTTCGCCATTCCGACCTGACTATTCCTCAGAATTAAACATGGCAGTCTCAGATTTGCTCATTTATGGTCACTGATGCTGTGTTGCACTATCCTAGAGGTATCATTTGCATTGCACTCACCATTCACAAAGGAAATTAATATGAATGATATGAATAATGTTCTCTGGATTTGTGCAACCCAGCAGTTCTGCTTCTCATTCACCTTCCTATCTAATCGTTCACAGTCTCATAACAGTTTCCCAATTAAATCTGAGTTCCATGTACTTTCTAGTATCAAATCCCCAACCTCTCACTTTTCTTATATGGATGAATCAGTTGTTTTCTGAAAAGAGGGCCAGTAATTTATTTATAATTCAGTGTTTTCTTCTTGCTTGATCTAAGGACTAACATCTGCTGAATTACCTCCCTACTTAATTGACCCCATAGATTGTCTTTGTAAAGCAGCATTTCCAACTTAAATTTCCACAAGCCTGTATTTTCATGATCATTGTTTATAGCAAATTCAATATCTGAAGTTTTGATGAGCCTTCCATTTTAATCAACATTTTTCTGCGTAAAGTGTGAAGATTTTCAATGTCAAATGTCACACTTTATGTACAAATCTGATAATTTTTCCATCCAGTTATAAAACAGATTAGTCACTTTATTCCTCTCTCCTTCCTCTGAAAGCTCTCCTTTGCCTCTCTAATTTGAATATCTCATCCAGTACTTATGGATCTATATATCTTGCATTATTTTCATCTTTTTTCTGTTAGAGTACATGCCCCTTGAGAACAGGAGCCATTTCTTTTTAATTTTGTATTCTTGTATGTCTAGCAAAAGCACTTGCACAGCAAACATTTGTTAATGTATTTGTCCTTTTTGTTCATTGTTTTATCTCCAAAAACCTAGAAAAATGCCTGGCACAACTATTTTTTGGATGAATAAGTTGATAGTGTTTGTAACGGGAACTTTAGTAAAGAAGTTCCAATGAATAAGATATTTATATAAAAGGCCAGACAGGTAGTAGACACTCACTCTGTCTGAATTGGAATCCATGAGATACTTTGACTGTGATAAATTATTTATAAAATGCAACATTAATAATTCATATTTAGTCCAAAATGAAAACTTGGTGCCCTTTCTGAATATTTTCCACTATGGAAACCCATTTCTCTGAAGATTCATAAGTCATGTAAGAAAGACACTGTGAGAACTTTGCATAGTTAGCCCCATCCCCACCCCAACCCATATACATCAAGTTGTTTTCAGCATGGGAGAGCACAAGAAAGCTGGAAGTTATGTGTGGCATTTTCAGAATACATGAAAGCTTCAACTCCATGCAGAACCACCTGTATAATATGTGGAGTTCAGTGCAAAATAAAAATGCAGGGCCCCTTGTTAAAAAAAATTGCGAGAATTTTAATATGGCAGCAGCAGAGAATCAAACCAAGCTCAGCACCCTTCTGATGTGGGCACAGCTCACAGGTCCATGAAGCAAGGCTGAGCTCCATGTGAGATCTGTCACTATGGATTCTATGAGGTTAGTTTAAGTTACTCCATGGAGGAAACAGTAACTGTTCAAGAAAGAGGATATTTTTGGTCTGTCTGTGGATTTTAACACGGGGAGTACTCAAGGATCTAAATGGAGTATTTCATAGGGGAGCTGGTATCTGCTAAGGCAGGTCACTGGCTTCTGGGAAGAGATAGAATTGTTGGCATTATTAAAGCATTGGTAGGGAGGACCCTGAGGCCCCATCAGAAGCAGACAATGCCTAGAAAAGACACGGATCCATGTAAGTCTTGATCTACAGAGGACATAGACATGGACTCTCACCTGGGAGCTTGGGAGTGGCCTTGCTAATGCCAGGTTCTCTTAGAATTGGAGCCCCAAGTATCTGAAGTATCCTGAATCCAGTGCAATGTTTATTTTAACATGAGACCTTGGGTAATAGAAAAAAAGTGTGGCCTGAGAAATAGGAGGTACACATAACTAATCCCAGAAAAAAATGTGCATGATTGCATGATGGGACACCTGGTCTCATTCTATAAATAGAAGGTCCAGGCGGCAGCCTGGGCTTAGCTCTAGGCAGCTGTGACTTCTCCGAGTCTCACCTTCCTCAAATGAGGGAGTTGACCCAACTGATTCCCCAAGTTACCTTTCAGTATCAGGAGTCAAAAAATAAGTCTCAATTCTTTCTGTCGGTGTTGGTATAAAAAGCTCACAAAGCACTTCCACTTATAACATTTCATTCTGCAATTGTTGAAAGTAGGCCTCCTGCTCCCAGTTTAGGCTCCTCCCACTTCACCACACTGTCTTCTGGCAAACATTTTCTTGTTATAGATTAGAAATGAGCTTCATATTATCTCCTGTTCATAATGTTTTCATACTCTGGGTTTACTCTACAGGAGACTTCCTGTCTCAAGTGTACAGGTGAGGTAGAGACATTGAAGAGCTGTCTCTGCTTCAGCAGACCTAGGTAGTACGCAGACATGTCCTCTGTGATGGAAGAGGTCTAAGTAAGTGTAAGGACAATGGCTGCATTGCAGTCAAGCAAAGGCGGAGGTACACATCCGGCACAGCATGACACAGTGGGATTGGAGCACAGGTGCACAATCTTGTGCATTATGTAATCACAGCTTTGTAGCCATAACATGGGGGTGCTCATTGCCTGCCTCTGAGCCACTGTTGTCTGTGAGGTACATAAAAGCAGCACCGACAGTGTGAGGGAGCTGCTGAATAAAGCCATGTCCCACCTACCTGTGGTCTTGTGAGTGTTCTTTCAGCTACCCGCCACCCCACCAACTCCCCTCAGACCTTGGCTGGTGCTGGAACCTAACAGTAAGTGTAAGCCAATGTGCCAAGGGAAAATCTCTGAAAACATTTGGACTTAATTCTAACTTACATTAAATCCTCTACATGCCTCCCAGGAAAGCAAGGAAGTACTTTCTTGCTCCTGTCCCCGAAGGGGCAATAAAACAGACCACTTCCACATAACAACAAGTAAGTGACAGAAAAAGGATGGCTAACCTTTAGAATCTGACGTGACATATCCAGTGTAGGTTTGGAAATAGCTCAGTGCTCATGAGAAAACATCAGGGGACATCAATGCCAAGCCAGTGAGGGAGGCAGGAAGTTGGGCCTCACACAAAGCCCAGAAATTAAGGAGCTGTGATTTACCACAAGACTTCTTCTAACAAAGTTACTGCCATGCCTAGGATCACTTGCTGGCTGCTGGGTCCATCTGGCCCTTTATCAGCCAAATGTGCATCAGTAGATAAAATTTGTCACTATTTTAATTTAACTAACATCACGGAGAGAGCATGGCCTTTGGATCAGACACACTTAAGTCTGTTTGAACTTATGGGAACTAATGGTCATAACAATGTTACTTGATTCATTTGATTTAATAATGTTATAATAAATGCATGTAAAAATTCCTGGACCTTGGGGGTTATAAAAAACTAAGATTACTGTCATTGAAATATTTTAAAACTGGCAAAGGCAAGAGTAATTTCTCTTTAAGTAAAAAAGACCTGTTAGAGAGACTGCTTTGGCAGTATAAAGTCTTAGGATGCTAGAACTGGAATTTGGTATTAGATTAATAAAATAGAGCCCAGTTTCTTAAAATGATGGAAAACAAGAGCAATACAAAGCACTGGTAGTCGTAAGAAGGATGTCAGATCTGAGGATTGAGCAAGGTAATGGATTGCTTGCCCTGTCACTCAATAAACATGTATTGGGCCCTACTATGTGCAGAGCATCTGAAGGGGCCTTCAAGCTATAATCTAACAGGAGACACATGGCACATCCTAGACATTAGAAAGCAAAGTGTCAAGAGAGGACCCCTGCAGGAGTTCAAATGGCTAGGGCCTAAGGATATAAGTAGGTTTGCCAAGGAGGTGACATTTGAGACAGTCCTTAAAGCAGGGTTCTTCAGATTGTGGGTCATAAATTTATTATGGAAGAGATGAGAGACTGCACATTGCAAGAATGAGTATTGTTTTTTTGGAATTTTTGATTCAGTGTGTGTCCTAGGTCAAAATGTACAGTTCTTATTGTAATTCATGGTCAAAAAGTTTGAAAGTCATTGCCTCAAAAGATTGGTAAGATTTGGACACATTTCTCTGATTTCCTGTCTCTTGCACTGGATTATTTCATTTCTTGAGGTACCCTTCTGTTGCTACTCCCTCTTTCTTGCCTTTCCAACTCCAGTATGAACTGCAAAACTGAGTTTAGGCATGGCCTTTTTCCATAAGATTTTCTCAACTCCCTCCCACTCACCATCTTTATCCTAGTGTGGGTTGAGTGCTCCATCACCATGTTCCCACAGCATCCGTGCTTACACATTTCACAGCTCTTATATAGTGATTGTTTTTGCTTGCCTGTCTACCCCCAACCCGTGCTTCCTTGGGTTGGGGAGCTCATAAAGTCTGTGTCTTATTCAGGGCTAGCCTTATGGGTATGCAGTCTGTGTAGTCACACAGGGATCTGTAGTTAGAAGAGCCCTGTGCGTCTAAGGCACTGTTATCACTGTTTTGAAATTCTTATTTTAAAACAGAGTCTGAATTTTCATTTTGTACCATACCTACAAATTATGTAGTCATTCTGTTCTTATTGACCCTAAAGGTAACCAGAACCTTGCTTAGAACAGAGTAAGAGATCCACAGATGAATGAACAAAAGATGAATGATTGAGTGAATAGCACCCATCATCTATTGAGAGCCTATTATGTTGTCTCAGAAACTGGGTTAACAGTGGTCATGTACGTCGCGTCATCTAAATGTCTGCAGACTTAGGGACAGGTAGCACCAGGGGAAGCAGTATTATGTGAACAAAGATGGGAGGTGAGAAAATATAGGATATGTGAGGAAAGTGGGGCACATGGTTTAGTTCAATTTAACAGCAAGAGAAGGCATTAGTGAATGATGTACCTGGAAAGTAGGTTGAGACCAGATTGCAGAGGGAGAGGTGAAAAGTTGAACTTTATGCCGATGATAATGGAGGCCAAGGAACATTTTTGAGTAATAAGGTCTGGGCATGAGGAAAGTTTTGGAGCTGCTTAATGTCTATTCAGCTCTGGAAGAGTATATGGGAAACCTGTTTATCATTTGGGAAAGGAAATTTCCTAAGGTTCTATGAAGTCATTGTTATATTGCTTTTCATGTGTTTCTCCAGAATTGTGTGAAAATCAAATGTCATGAACCTATTTTAACAATTGATATTTTGAAAGCACTAAGAGAGACAAGTATTTCAAGATATCCTTTTTTTGAACCAATAATCAATTTGATTTACAACTTTGGGAAGGCATTTTAATTGTGGCTCATCCCTGATTAGGAAGTAGTTGAACACAGAATAAATTATATTAAGTCTGTGAAATATGAATGTTCAGTTTCATAAAAAAAACATAAAGATTGCCATAAAAACATATTCATATGTTTGGAATTCATATGGATTTCCATAAGAACATATTCATATTCATATTGGAAATAGTGTCAGCACATTTCCAGGTAAGGAGAACCTGTGTTTCTGATAGGAAGAGATCAGACTGGCCATTCAACATGTGATTCCATCAAATTGCTCAATGAAAAAGCAAACTGTGTACATATGTTGAGGTGAATCCAGGGAGAAATAAATGGAATTGGATTTTTTTCAAAGTCTTATCTGTCCCTAATTCCTTCTTTTACAAGGGACAAAACTGAGACATGTGCAGCATGCACCTGGCCAAGACAAACAGCCAGTTTGTAGTCAGGTCAGAACCAGGGCAGGACCAAGGCTGGTTGCATTGAACTCTGAAGATTGCTGCTAACTCCAGTTTTCTTGGTGTCAGACACATTTCTTTCAGTGATTAATGCTGATCATAAATCCAAACACTGCTTTGGAAATAATAAAAATCTAAATCTTAAAGTCCATCTATATATGTGGTGTGTGTTTTTCCCCTTCTTTTCTCTGCCATAATGGAATCCAAAATAGAATAAACATGTTTTAGATATTCAGACTGTGCCTAGCCAGCAATTTATAGCTATCCCTATCTAAACATTGTCTATCAAATATCTAAATAGAGATCCGAGTCATTTTTCTTTTCTTTCTGCCAGTAGATAAGTAAATAGAAGGAAAAAAATAGCAAGAGAAAAAATAGAAGGAGAAAAATACCATTTGCTTAAAGTCAACTAGCTTTTACTATGGCTCTGTAAGATAAGGAAAAAGCATTTTCAGACAGTTGCTCTGGTGATAAATCATACACAGGAGATTAGAGCTTAAATAGAGATCCGATTGGTACAAGGTGCAGGGATTCTTTTCATAAGGAATAGATCTTATTTTTAACCTTGGTAGGTTGCACGTAGCTCCTTCAGCAAATGTTATTCAACAAATTCAGACTAACAAACATTCTTGGGCACTTTAAGTGTGCCAAACCTTGTGCCAGGATTGGGGATATAGGAAGAAAAGAGGTACATTTGCTATGTTTAGGAGTTCACAGTCTAGTGAGGAAACACAGAGGTAAACAGGCTTTCATGATATAGAATAAGTGTTATGATAAACCTGACCTCTGAGTATTAGAATGCAGAGGAAGAGCGTGTTTCCAGCATTGGAAATCTGGGAAGGCTTCTGGAAATGATGACTTGGTGATATGGAGATGAAGGGAGGACAGAAAAAGATCTGAGGGAGGAAGGTGTTCTAGGCAGAGACACAGCATGTGCAAAGTCAGTGAGCAGGGAGGCCCCTGCTCATTCTGCCTGTATAGCCAGGAAAACCTGAAGTGTTTCCCATCTGTTTTTCCCTGTGATAAAACAAAGTGATTCCCTACCCCTTTCCCAATTCAGTAAATTGAAAAAAATAGTAAATTTATTAGAAGGCTGCACTATTAAACACACAGAGTCACAGGAAAATATAAGACCAGAAGTAAAGAGAGGCGTTTCATAGGCCTGACTTCAGCCCTTATTATTTTTGTGACCTTTGGCAAGTCATTAATCTTTTAAGTCTTAGTTTTCTTATCTGTTAAGTGGAGATAATTATGCCTGCCTACATCACAGACTCCTTTTTTTAATCGTTGTCAACAAACTACCAAATGCTATATAACCTAATAGATTTTTGACACCCACACACGTGTGTGTGCACATGATTATGTAGTTCATTAGACTGTAAATAGACTATAATAACTTTTATGACCCAAATGTGTTTCTCATGATTTGAGAGTAGATGTCTTCCACACTGAAACCCAAGTATTTCACCAAAAATATAAATCTGATTTGTCATTTTCCCACTTAAATCCTTTCAGTGGCGTCTCTTTACCTACCAATATCCAAACCTCAATATGTGACCATAAGTCTCTGTTGACAGGTCTCCTTCTTACTTCTTAGTTTAATCTACCACAACTTTTAAATTGTGGTTTGTGTTTTCGTAATCCAAGAGACTGAGATGGCCTCTTTCTTCTCCCTTTCTGCCTCCTGTCCTTCTTCCCTTTTTGGTCCCCAGTTAAACTTCTGCCTAGGACACATTTCATCTTCTGTTTGCATTAGGGATTGTTTTGAAGTACACAGATGATCTGTAACCACATTTGAAATTCCTATTGATTACCAAGAAATTTCTATTTCATGTATTCCCCTTATCTGTGGAAGCCGGGATAATGCACTGTGGCCAGTTAGTAAAAATGGGTCCTAGTGCAAAATCTCATATTCCCCTCCCTTGTCCCCCAGTGTCAAAATATCCTTTTCCATCTCACTGGTGGTGAAAGTTTTAGGTGTTTTTGTTACTGAGGATGATCTTGGAATTATCAAATGTAAAGTTAATTTTTGCATTTTAAAACTTCATTTGTTTAAATATTTGATGCCAAATATTTGTGTTTGAATAAAATACTTAAAAAGTCCATTCAAAAACCAAGCCATTTGTGATAAACAGTGTTTCCCAGACTTTCTCCATACTGTGCAGTCACATTTCTAGTAAAACTCATATGTCTAAAGGCCGCTGTAGGTTATTCTCCTATGCAAACGAAGTATGCTCTCAAAAGGTGAGTTTAACTCTCCACTTTAAGGAAGCGGAACTGTCTACAGCTTTTCTACAGATGCTGTTTTCTTTCCACGGCCAAACTTCACTCATACCTTTCTTCCTCTCTCTTTCCCAACTTGCCTCTTTTCCTCTGTCTGGCACTAGGAGCTCAGTGGCACGGCTCTTGTTCTACTGTAGCATACGGACAGACCATCTGCAAAGGCTCCCGTGAACATGGCAGCCCATATGCGGATTTTTCTCTCTGTGGGGAGAGGGACATAAGAGATTGAAGATTGATTAACTCAGCTCTATGTCTTTCAGAAAAAAATCCAAGGCAAGACCTCAGGCATACACAGTAGCCTCTGGTTCTAATTGTATTGTATTGAATCATTTGTGGGACTTGTTATGAATTCATTTTCATGGTCATGAATGGTAGGCACTATTGGTTAGAAGCAGTTGAAATTCAATATGTCCCAATAATCTTGATATTTAATGAAAAAAAATTAAAAATAAATAAAAAAAGAATAAAGAGTAGACCAAATTCTCCCTAAATTTCCACATTTACGTGTTAAATAAACATGTATTAGCAAGCAGGCAAACAGTTTACAAAACTTATCCTATAAGCTGACTCAAGATCCAGCCTCTGTTCTTTTAGATGATTTGGCCATGTCAAATCAAGGGAGGACCCATTTTTACTAGCTGGCCACAGTGTATTATCCAGGCTTCCACAGATAAGAGGAATACATGATATAGAAATTTCTTGATAATCAGTAGCAACTTCAAATGTTGTTACAGATCATCTATGTACTATTCTAGAGGCAAAATTATTGTGGGCATTAGGCAACCACAATTTTCTACAAAATGGCTCAACATAGTAGCTTTTATGGAGCAGGCATCAGCCATTATTTCTAAGTGCACAGGCTATAGACCTCTCTAAATTTTTATATCTAATTTTATACAAATAAAGTATCTCTAGAATATTATAGACAATCCAGATGTTTTGAGAACCAGCTTTCATCAGTGGCAACCCAGATCTAGTATATGTTAAGCTAAATAAAATGCCAGTACTTTCACCAATAAAAAATTCATTTCTAGCATTCATCATGCTAAAAACCTCTGGAGTTAATGGACAATATTGGTAGCTAAAACTGTTGGTAGTAATTTCCTATGAAGTTTGGCTTTTTAAAGTAAATATTAGCTGGCCCCTATCTTGTAAATTAGAACTGACTACAGCAATTGATTGTCTCTACAGTATAGTTTAATCTACATCTAAAATCTTATGACAAAGTAGATTACAGACAATATAGTACTCTGGGTTCAGAAAATACAGCAAACAAACAAACAAAAACTTAGCAGAGCTAATTTCGGGACCAGACTTCTAAATAGGGTTAAGGGTTAAGTTGCCTAGCTGAAGGTCTTCTTTCCCCAAATAACTTTGTATACATTGCTAGAAAAGCAGTTATATTTTCTGAGATCTCACTAACTCTGAAGATCACATTATCTTTAAAAATATAAACATATCTGGAAAAGTTAAAGGGCCATCAGTACTTATTCATTCAATCAAGTTTAGTGAAAGTGGTTTGGTGGAAATTAATGTTAATTAAGTGTTTTACCTCTTCCTCCCCACGCTGGGCTGCGCAAGTGGGCCAAGGGGTAAGCCAGAACAAAGCCGGGGCCCTGGGGATAATGTGGAGTATGGTATCCTGAAGTCTGAAGTACCCTGTCTGAAGAGATCAGAGTGAAAAAAGCAGAATGGACAATGTGAGCTATGTTTTTGAGGAGCCGTAGAAAGAACCTAGAAAGCTGCCTTGGTAAGGACTCAACAGGACAGTTTGCTTTGTGGAGACTGGGACCTTCCAATTGAATGCTGTTTCACAGCAACATTTTTGTTCATCAGGTTATTCTCAAATGCAGACTTATTCAAGTTGGTTATGATAGAGCAGTTAGAACTTAGAAGATGATTCTGTGTTTGGAATGCAATGGTGTGCTTGACTCTAAGTTACATATTTTCAAAGGATTGGTAGATTTCTTGCACTTGAATAGCCTAGGAAACTGAAGGCTGGTCACTCTCAGTGAGAGTCAGGACAACACTGAACTGGATTTATGAAATGGAGAGTGCAAATGATCATCTCTCTGGGCTGAACGGAAACAACACGAAATGGCGAGATGATTTGGGGAAGGCTACATTAATAGCAAAGGGCTGTAGCTTATGCCTGGTACCTCTACTCCAAAGCCCGTGCTCTTCCATACTAGGGAATGGAGGGAGGATAAACGTGAGAGGAAAAATGGGGTCAGGGAAATGAGTTTAGAGGCTTTTTCAATGGTCCAGATGAGAGATAACAGTATCTATGTTGGGAGCAGTGAAGTTGCAGAGAGGTAGACAGATTAAGAACACATATTGAAGGTAGAACAAACAAAATTTTATTGTGGTTTGGATATGAAGGGTGGGTAATAAAGAAAAAAGAGCAATTAACTCTGAATTTTAGATTTTTGACTTGAGCAACCAAAGTGGATGATGTAGCATTTTGTGAAAAGGGGAATGGTTTTAGAGAAAAAAGAGGTTTGGGCAGGGCAGATAGGAATTTAAGGAGGAAATTTAGAGAATTTTGTTTTGGCCTTATGTTTTTAGAGGCATATTAGACACACATGTGAGATGGCAAGTCGGCAGAAAGGTAATCATGCATCAATGTAATATTCTTATGAAACTACCAAGTCAAGTTTGTTTCAAAATGTAATCCTCAATAATGAAAGATTGATTATGCAGTATAGAACTTTTGGGGTAAGGCATTACATTTTGGAGAATGTCTTGAAAACATTACGATTTGAGTCTTAGAGAAGTTTGTGGTAAACCATTCTTTCTGCCAGTAGTTTTGTAACAGGGTATATTGTCTATTGAGCCTTTATTCTAGCACATTAGACAAGACAAGAGGTTTTCAAACATCGTGTTTAAGGCTTTTTCTGGATCTGTCACCTCACTTAGGAAACTTTTATTTCAACTTCTAGGCACCTGAACAAAGACTGTTTGTATTGAAGTTCATTTTACCTACTTGTGAAATGACCTCCATGGTCTAACCTGGAAACTGATTTATTCCTTATAACAGTTTTTATTTTATTTTTTAAAGGAAAAAGTACGTTATAAATTCCAAACAATCCATTTAAATAAGCTTTGGGAACATAGCCTGCTAGTAAAAGAGAGACTGCCTGTACTTCCTTTTTCGCTACTTTTCAATCCAATTTTCAGTTAGGAAGAACTTGAAGGGAGGAGAATATGTGGAAAGGACTCAGCTGTGTATCTAGCCAGCATTTTAATTGGAGTGTGAATCATATTTAGATAGAGTAGAGCCTGATAAAAGTCAGGTTCTCAGAAACCGGAACACCTGTGTTGGAGATTTTAGAAGTGAGAGGCTCAGGACTCCTGCATTGCACATCCCCAAAACCACCACACACAGTGAGAATTACATTTCTTTCTTTCTTTCTTTTCTTTTCTTTCTTTCTTTCTTTCTTTCTTTCTTTCTTTCTTTCTTTCTTTCTTTCTTTCTTTCTTTCTTTCTTTCTTTCTTTCTTTCTTTCTTTTTTTTTTTTTTTTTTGAGACAGAGTCTCTCTCTGTCGCCCAGGCTGGAGTACAACGGCACGATCTCGGCTCACTGCAAGCTCCGCCTCCTGAGTGCACACCATTCTCCTGCCTCAGCTTCCTGAGTAGCTGAGACTAAAAGTTGTGCAACAGAGAGGCCCTGGAGACTCCCAAAATGCCATTATAAAACAAGACATAGATGAAGTACTGTGGAAAGGACTTGAAATTTAACATCATGTAAGTCTAGATCTCAGTCACACTTTACTGCTTACTAGTCATATGGCCTTAACCTATGCAAGAAAATCACCTAACCTATATATGTTTGTTTTCTTACCAATAAAATGAAGATAATAAATACTGTCACATTAGATTAGTTTGTTTGTTGATTTACTCATTCATTCATTCAACAAATGTTTTTTGAGCATCTACTATGAACCAGCTATGTGTTAGGTGCTAGAGATACAACAGTGAGTAAGGTGGACATGCTTTTTCCTTCCATGGATCCAGATGGCAGGTCATCACATAAGCAGTTGCCATAAAGTGGAATCATTTCCCAATTAGAAGAAAGAGATATTCAAACACACGACAGGAAGACCTTACATAGCCTTGGAGGATGGGGCTCTGGACAGATCACCTAGAGATATAATAGATTGAGTTGGCCAGATAAGGAACAGATGCAGGCAGTCTCCCTGTCTTTTATTCCTTGTATTTAATCACCCATGCCCTGTTGCTTCTCTCTTCCTAACACTTCCTTCATCATTCTTTCTTCTCCAGAGAGAAAAATCTTTGGCCATTAGGCCAATCTCATAAAATAGTTTCTAAGTAATATACAATTTGTCTTTTTGAGCTGCTTCTCCTCCTACCTCAAATGGTAGGAATTCGCCAATGTCAAGTCTGTTACCTTTCCTCTTCTCTCCTTCAATGAGCCAATCTGAGTCCCATCTTTAACAATGATTTTCATATTGGGGGACCCATAAACTTGTGTCCCCCAATAACACATAAATTGGAGGATTAGGGCAATAAGTCCCACCAGGAACAGCCTAGGGCAATTTTGCCCCACCGGGAACATTTGGAGACATCTAGAAACTTGATTGTCAAGACTTGGGAGGAGATAGAAGGCTATTGACAGCTAGTGGGTAGAGGCCAGGGATGTTGCTAAATACCCTACAATGCGTAGAATAGTCCCCACAACGAAGAATTATTCAGTCCCAAATGTCCATAGTTTTAAAATGGAAAAACCTACTCAATTTCTGTAAATACCTATGGGCTTACACTCTCATGTTTCTGTCTGCTTTCTGTCTCTTTTTTTCTGCAGCTGCTGTCTGCTTTGTTAATCTAGACAGAAAACTCGGCCTCTGAACAGGTTTACCCAATAAAATGCACTTACATCAGACATTTTTGGGTTTATTGTATTTCACTGAAAATGTCTGAAGAATCATAGAGAATAAAATTGCACAATGCAGCTTTTCTCTTTATCTTTCTCATCTCTGTTCCCATCCGGTTCCTCTTAGTTTACCTGAAGAAAAAAAAAAACTCTAGATTGTTCTCTATCTAGTGGAAAAGCAACTTCCTTATCTGAAACTTTGGCTTCCACTGATCCCTGAAGACCTAGTCGGGGGGTGGTAGTGTTGACTACTACTAACACTAACACTTATCAACACAGTTTTCAAAATAAGATAGTGGAATTCCTAACATAGTTTCTGATGTGTGAAATCTCTTTGTTTTTAAAATGTGCAATTTTAAATTAATTTAAACCTTATTGTTTTCAAAATGCTTTCTACTTGTGAGATTAAAAAGTGTATTAATCAGGTTACAGATTCAGTTGCCCAAAACAGAGATGTATAATTACAGGGACTTAAATGAGACAGTTTAGTTCTTACACTCTTAAACACCTAAACTAGTATGGCAGCTCCATTCTGGGAAAAGCAGGGGCCCCAGGGTAGCCCTTTTCAGCATAGTTCACAATGGTCCTCTACCACATCCTCATTCCACTGGAGGAAGGGGGAAAGAAAGTGAAAGGCATGGCCCTTGCTTTTAGTTTATTTGTTTATTTAAAAAATTTTTGTTCTTGGCCCTTGCTTTTAAAGGTAGGACCTGGAAGTTCTCCATTACTTCCACTCCCATCCCATTGGCCAGAACTTGGTCATATGGCCACACCTAGGGGTAATGGGTGGTGGAGAATATAATCTATATTCAGACTCATTATATGTGTAGCTAAAACTCAAAATCCATCTTCATTGGATGAAGAGGAGGATGGCTGCAGTGGAACAATTAGGAATATCTGCCTCAGAGGGGACTTTGCTTCAGGAGTACCTGAGAACAATGGGGATGTCTGTGTAAACTTTATCTGTGTTTTCTTGATTCTTTATAACATTTCACCTCCATGCTCCTGCCGCAACTCAAATTCCTTCCTTATGCCAGCACTATATTATTACAGTCAATTCCTATCAGTCTCCCTAGTATAATTCTCCTTGCTTCATTCCCTTGCCCAAACCCTTGTCTTAAAACAGACCCCTATCCTACCATTAAGGGCCCTCCAGCTTTTGACCTCCACTTCCCAGACTTAATTCTCGTTAACACGTTACTTCCCTCTTTTCCCAGTCTTTCCAGACTGTAGAGACGTATCTCTTCTCTGAACTCTAATAACCAGTAGAGGGTGCGCTATGCAGTTTCACAGGTGATAGCTTATGTGCATGTGCATATGTGTGCATGAAGTGCATATGTGTTGGGGGTTTGGGAAGGCTGTTTTGTGGGGATGTTGGGAGTGAGTGGAAGTGAATGTGGAGAAGTAGGAAGGACCAGGATTGAGGATCTTATTAAGAAATACGTTAACCTATAGACACAGAGGCATTATCAAACACTCCTGGGATGAGGGCATCAAAAATTTATACTGGAAGAAATGCTAATTAGAAAAGAGTAATCAGACAAACTGCTCTTTGATCCCAGTGAATACTCGCTCAGTGCTAAGGTAAATCCTAGTGAGATTAGAAACTCAGGACAAATATGTAGAGATCTTGAATTACATGTGTTAGCAACAGTGATGAAATATTAATTGATTTGCTTGTTTTCCTATGTAGAAATACTTAAGAAAGTAGATTATGATATTCTAGAATTCCAGAAGGGAATATTTATTAATAGGCAGGCTAGGATCCCCTAGAGAGAGACAAAAATGGAGAAGTACAATAGGATGTCTAAAGAGAGAGAAGAAAAAGACTGGCTTCTTTTTATTCTTTCCTTCCTTTCTACTCCTCCTTCTGTCTCACTTCGCAGAGGTGGGCTGTGACCTCTAGCCTTTCCAAAGCACAAAACAGTGCTCCCTCCTGTCAGGGTTTTAGGAAACTGTGCTTCTTCCAACCAGATTCAATTTTTGCTCCCCATCCTCAGATCATCCAGCCTTTATCTCATATAATCATATCAGAGGTCTCAGTTTGAATTTAAACTTTAATCACCCTAAGATTTAGATATGTTGTGGTGATGAAATGGGTCTGAGAAGAAGAGGCCCAATATATGAGGGACTCAGAAGCCTCCATGAACTGTAGGTAAGAAAAAAATGAATGCTAGAAAAAATAGTGTTATCCACTCCTTCAAGGCCAGAAAGCCAAGGTTGAAGAAGAGAAGTGATTTTGAGAGGTACAGGCTGCAAACCAGCCCAACCCACAAAGAACTACACCTGAGTCTTAGAATGAATTAGATATAGTAAAAGTACAGGTAAAGAAGCTGTCTCCCTAAAATTCTCTATGGTACATTGCGAGCCCAAGGTATAGCAACATTATTCTCTAGACCTGTAGCAGCAACAAAAGATGTTGCTAGTGACTTTAGCAGAAGCCATTTCAGTGCTTATGAACTCAGTCACTAGTAGCCTTAGGTGGTTGGCATATCAGTGGGTCTTCGCATATATAGCAGTCACATTTGGCATCAGCATTGGTAAGTATAGAGATATCACCTCTGAGCCCCCAGCAGAAGAGGAAAATCATGGGAGACTAAAGTAACCAGGGTAATCCATTCACAAGCAAACGTGAAACATGTCTTTGGGCCATGGTTTCCACAAATAGGGTTAGAGTGGGTCTGAAGTTAGCCTCAGGCTCTCTGGGTTAGAGACTATGGCTAGATAGCTGGACTTCTGAGGCACTTAAAGCCATCCAGCCTAATCCTTTCCTTTGATAGAGGAGGAATCAGAGACCTTTGAAAAGTTAAAGATATGATCCAAGTCAGAGGGAGAAATTAGACCCCAAACTTAGGTCTTCTGATTCTTAGTCTGGTGCTCGATACTCAACACTAAATAGTTATCTTATTAAATGTAAGTCTTTTATGACGAGAGCTTCATTTTCAGATGTGTTATTCAGATTATTTGTGCAAAAAGGGGTACTGAAGAAATGTTAGTTAGAAAAGGAAAAAAAAAAACCCTCCATACTTGGTGTAGGATGGACAAGTCTCACAGTCCCACATAGTCATCCCTCTTATCTAACCCAGGTCTTGAGTTGTGTTCTTGGATTTTGACTTAGGCTAGCTCTTTCCCAAGGAGCTCTGTAGCCCAGCTCCTGCCACCAAGCCTCTCAAGAGAAGCAGGCATGGCTAGGTCTCTGGTGAGCACAATTAGGCTAAAACAGAAACACGTATTTAGGTTGGTGCAAAAGTAATTGCGGTTTTGCCATTACTTTTAATCCTGCTGTGGAAGGATGGAAGTCCTGGGCTTTGAAGAAGGATGGCATTGGAGCAGGAAGTCGACATGCAGCAGCAACACCTCAGTGGGGTACTGACAGGAAGAACTTGGGAGCAGTGTCTCCTGGAAGAGAACAGAGAGTCTTAGCCCATGTCTTCTACAGAGAAGGATGGGCTATGGTAGCTTTCTCCTTCCTTATCCTGCTTTTTCATCTATTCACTGTCTAAGTTGTTCTATTACCTTTCCCTTCTATCACCCTTTGATCTCTTACTTAGTTCTAAATCTGAAACAAGCCATTCCAATGGGATAAATCCTTTTCATTCATTTAAAATTACCATAAAGTATAGAATCCTCACTGGCAAGAAGCTTAAAGTTCTACAAAAAATTTATAAAACAAAAAATTCATGCCCTTAAAAAGGTCAAGCTACAGAGTCAAAATATGTACTTGCAATCAAAAGTATCCTGGGTACAAACTAATATAATATCTGGTAGGTGCTACTTTTGGAATACATTTCTAAAATGCAATGCTGTGTTTATATGCACTCTCTCATTTTGTTTTTATACTCTTTGTATGTGATTTGTAAATTTTTAATAGATATGGAAATAGAGGTTAAGAGAAATTGAGAAACTTATCCAAGTTCACACACAGCAAACAAGTTCTGGGGCTAAAATTCAAACTTCAGTATTCACAGAGATCTTCCACCACCCTCAAGTTGAGTACATTATAGCTGAGGACCACAGATATTATTGGCAATAATGAGTATGTGTGTCCCAGAAGAAAAGAAGTGTGCACTAAGCTCTGATGGTTGTGAAACTTTCTCCTAGCACCCATTATGTGTCTACTGGCTACTTTACATATAGAATCTTATTTAGTTCTAACAATCTCATGTAATCAAATATTTCAATTTTCACCTTATTGATTAAGAAACTGAAGACTGAAGAAGAAAATTAAGCATGGATGGTCCTGCAGCTACTAAAGATCAGTGTGGATTCCAACCCAGTCTGCCCTCAAGTGTGTGACTTTCACAGAGGTGACAGAGAGGGAATTTCAGCTGAGAAAACCATCAGGAGCATTAGTACCAGGGTAGAGAAATAAGTCAAATATACAAAGACAGAAAGAAAAATTTGATAAAGGTGAAACGCTGTGATCAAAAAGGGAGAAGTAAGGAAAGAGAGTGAAGCATTGGGAGGGAAAGTCACGGATAGGTCTTAAAGCCAAAGTAGAGGAATTGGGGTTTGATATTCCTGGCTGAGGGAATCTATTGCATGGTCTCAGGAAGGTTGGGACATGGTTAAGGTAGTGGGCTGAAAGATGGTTTTACTGTCTGTGTACCAGATGGAAAATAGGAGAGTGACTAGAAACTGCATGACTGCCTGGGACGTTTTCCCCAGTGTCCCCAGATTAATGATAATGGTGATGGCTGTCTTTCTGGGAAAGTATCTATGCACTCAGCTTTGATCTATGCACTTTACATGTATTTACCTCCTTAATATTCTCAATTAGTTTATGAAGTACTATTATCATCATCCCTATGTTATAGATAAAGAAAGTGAGGTTCCAAGAGCTAAGGAACACATAACAATTAAGTGGTAGGGCTAGAATGTAAGGAGGTCTGTGTGACTGCTCAGAGCTTAAGCTTTCCCTTATACCATGCTGCTTCTCACTGCTCTCCCTGTCACTCAGTAGCAAGAGTATCCTCATCAGTACAGCTTCCTACATAAAACCATTTAAGTGCAGCTGAAAAGAAGCAGCAGCAGTGAACTGCTAACACTTCTCTTGTCCCAGATGTTTGACTGTCCTGTACATGTGAGCACTAGATCAGATGTTAATGTCTCTGCCTGGGCTAAGAAGTTCTTGGCATGAGATGTTTCAGGCTGAGCTTGAGATTTAGACAGGCTGTTCTGGGTACAATGGGTGGAGACTTTCTTTGACACAACTGTAGCTTAGTAAAAGCTTCAGTAAAGGTGCTAATTGTGTACAACTTACCTGCAGAGGTTTCCTTTTCATAAATATTCTCTTTTCCCTCAAGGAAGCTGACTAGCTTCTGAGAGCCAAATTTCATTGCGTAACGGCAGAGACTTTAAAATACATCAAAGAGTGTGTCAAACTTTTCCACTCTCCTAACTGCAGGGGAACTAAATGCAAACCCTGTGGGAGCCGGGGGTGGGGTGAGGGGTTGGAAAAGAGTAGGTTAAGAACAAGACATTTCTTTGAAGTTTCATGTTTCATCTTAAGAATTTGTGTGAAGTTTCCATTCCCACAAAAGACATCTGTGTTTTAAAATTAAAATGTTTTCCTAAAACATTGGGTTTGTGAAATAAAATTAAAATGTTTTTAGAATTAGAGTCACCATGATAATCCAGGAGTTTCACGTCCTCCCCAACATAGCATCTCTTAATCCCAAAGTCAATTAAATCCATATGAGACACCCAAACATAACAATTTGCAACTAGATCTCTGTGGCCATGGGAATAGATTCTTCCAATCCTGTGTCTTGGCAAGCATAGTCAGAAGGTCATAACTCACATAAATGTCATGCACAGGACAGCTGCACCATGCAGAGATTGTTTGTAACCAAATATACCATCAGGGCTCCTGAAATACCTGAAGGTTAGTATAGTACAGTGGTTAAGAACAAGGCTTTACACTTAAAGAAACAGTGTTCAAATCCCAACTTGGTTGGTAACAGCTGTAGCACCTTGAGTTAGTTAGCCACTTAGAAAGGTTGAGTCCATGAATATGCATTATAGTGTTTAGAAAAATGCATGGCATATTTTAAATGCTCAATAAATGATAGCTTTAATTATAGTTAATAATTGTAAGATCATGAGATTTATTTTTTGAATGTAAAACTTAAAATATATAAAAGTATTACAAATTATTATTGCTTCTTAAAAGAAAAATAACCTTTACACAGAAAATATTTGATTATCTATTAGGTCTGGAAACCTGAAACAAAATTCTAGGTTAAATTTTCAAAAATGTACACCTACGTGATCCCTGCCCTCTAGGATATGGAAAGAAAAATTGTGATGCAGAAAATCGTACAGAAAAGTTATGAAAAAGCAATAAATGAACGAAAGTGATTTTCTGTCTCTTAGAAAAGTATCAAATTATTCTTATACACTAGTCTGGATGCCCAAGACTTGAGAAACAGCATAAAATTTACGGAAAAGATGAATATATGAATACTTAATGAGACTAGAAAATAGTAGAGGCAAAATCTGAAAACTGAATAATCAAGGAACACCAATTGAAGGAATATTTATTATAATAATTGAATAATATAAAACATAATGAAGTCCTTTAGACCCAGTATTCTGTTCTTGGGCTGGTGAGGAGTGTGGCATCTTTAATTTTTCAATCTACAAAAATTTATGGATTTATTGATCTAGATGTTATGTAACACTCTGGACTAGAATGTGTCAGTGTGCATTCTCAAGGAACCTGCAATGAAAGACTGTGGCAGTGTTTTTCCTTTCTCTATGATGGAAACACAGTAGTCTGATCCTTCAAGTTTCTTCCTATTCCTTACTTATTAGATCTATGATTTCTTTCGTTATGTCTCCAGTCCTTGCTAATTGGACAACTATGGTGCTGCGAAGACATCACTTCAGAACACCCTTCCCCTTCTAAGAAATTTATTTCATAGATATTCTGAAATAGAGATATCCAGAGGCAGTTCAGAATAAAAAAAATAATGTGTTGATTAGAGACTCCTGCAGCTACAGACACATATTTGTTGATTGGATTAATATAGGTTGGTGAGAAAAAGAGAAATTAGCACTTACTAGATTCTCTCTCCCCATGATGTGGCCAGAAAAACTGCAAGAGTTGTTTGGTGACCCAATTTTTAGAGGCATTATTATCAACTAAAACAGATATCTGCCCTTAAGGGAGATGAATCAGACCCAGAGGGCTCCACTAGGCTTCCTGCCAGAGACCCACTTCTAGCAGCTCTCCCTGCAGAATGCAAATTTGATCTAACAGGTAGCAACTCAAAGAAAGTAATTAATTTCTATGATTCTTTCATAGTCACACACCGCACACATATTTAGGGAATTGTCATAAATATTAATATTTAGGGAATGTCCATGTATATTCAGTGAATGGCAAAAAGATCTCCAGATAGTGCTCACGGAGTTCTCTGCAAGCTCCCTCTCAGTAACGGACAGATGAGGGGAAGGGGTGGAGGTAGATAAAGAAAGATAAAACAAGCTTTCTGTGCAGGCCTCTGAGTTGATGCGCCACCTTAGCTGAATTTGCAGGAGTATAATCTAAGCCAGAGGGCTGGCTGTCCTCTCTGACACATCTAATTAGACGTGGATTTATGCTTGCTTCATTCATGGTACTTGATCTCTAATATTTAGAGTTTATAGAGCAGGAAGCCCTTGAAGCCCTTCAGATTTTCCTGTGTAGCCCTTGAAGTCAGGGTGAAGGGAAAAACATAGCATTATGAATTGTTTTGATGCTGAGATTAAGTGTAGTTTTATATATCCTTGAAGGCCTACAATGATTTCATCCAGGAGATGCATGCTGGCATTTGAATCATCGTTCTAATTAGTATGAAAAGTAGATTAAGATATTAGCAATTTCTAATTATACTTTTGCTTTTAAATGTTAATATTAACATTTATACATTTATGACATTAAGAAAAAAAATTATACTATAATCCCACTACTCAGATTCCCAAAATGTATCTTCCTCTCTGACAATCATTCAGTGTATACTTAGATGTATAGATGCTTTTTGTATAGATATCATTATAGCACATATACAATTTTGGGGTTTTATTTTGCTTAATATTGTTTGATATAAGCTGTTCTCTGATTCTATTTAGGTTGGTGCAAAAGTAATTGACGTTTCTGCCATTACTTTCAATAGCAAAAACTGCAATTACTTCTGCACCAACCCAATACCTAGTGCTCATACTTTTTGTTGTAATTGCCATATAATCCTAATTAATGAGTAATTAAAACAATAGTATGGCTAAGAATTTATGATGGCATTTTATTTTGCCCAAACTTTGGTCAAGTTACTGATATTCTCTGAGTTTTAGTTTCTTCATCTGTAGAATATAGATAATAAGATCTATCTCATAGAGAGTGTGTATAGACTAAATGAGATAAACATGTGAAAGACTGTACAGGGTCTGGCTGACAGTAGGTGTTCAAGTCATGGATATTACTATAATTATGTTAAAGGTAGATTTCACCACCACAATCCACAAAAGGCAGTAATAACACAAGGCTCCTATGTATGCAACAGCTATTTTTGAAGTCTTTATTTTCCTAAGTCTCTATTCTTTGCCTATTGTAAATGTTATGGGCTGAATTTTACCCCTCACGCTGAGTGTTGAAGTTGAAGTCCTAACACCCATGAACCCAGAATGTGACCTTATTTAGAAGTAGGTCATTACATATGTAATTAGTGAAGTTAAGATGAGGTCATTAGGGTGGCCATAATCCAATTTGACCAGTGTCTTTATAAAACAAATATCATGTGCAGAGACAAGCATATAGGGAAAATGATGTGAAGACACAGGAACAAGGCATTTACCTACAAGCCAAAGAGAGCGCCTGGCACAGATTCTTCCCTCACAGCCCTCAGAAGAAAACCACCCTGCCAAGACCTTGATTTTTCACTTTTAGCCTCCGCAACTGCGAGCCAATGAATTACTGTGGTTTAAGCCATCCAGTTTGTGGGAATTTGTTACCACAGCCCTAGCAAGCTACTATAGTAAGGCTGTCTTAGTGGCAATTTGAAGAAATGGCTCAACATTATTTCATTGTTTTATAACGAGAGCACCTATTCACTTATTTAAAACAGAATTGAATTCCAGATCACAGAGTGAGACTAGACCAATAAACACAGTATTTAGAGGAGTTGAACTAAACCTCAGCTATTAAAACATTCACAAACGCATGCTGCCTGACAATATTTATCATGTGAGCCAGCATTATTACCCCCTTGCCTCTCTCCTGGGATATATTTTCTGTATGGTTGCCAGAGTGATATTTTGGAAATGAAAATCTGATTATCCTTCATTTCTGTTCAATAGCCTCCAGTGGCTTCATGTCACACTGGAAACAGAATTCTAAGTTTAAGAGAGTTTACATCGCCCTACAGGATTTGACCTTTGATGAATCCTGCCACTTCATTCTTCCTCTCTCATCCTAGCTCACTGCACTCCAGGCATGCAGGGCTATTTGTTGTTTCCTCAAACTTCCAAATGCCTCCTACTTCAGAACCTTTGCACTTTCTGGTCTCTCTGACAGGACCACTCTTTACCCAGATTATCTATCTATCTGTCTATCTATCTGTCTATCTATCTATCTATCATCTATCTATCTATCTATCTATCTATCTAAATATCTATCTTTCATCAATATCTCTGGGCTTTAATCTCTCACTCTATTCAGTCCTCCATTCAGCAGGTGCTTCCTTACAGAGGCCTTCCCTTGTCATCCTATATAAAATTCCCCCACACTTAAAACAGTACCTGGAATGTAGCAGGTATTCAAACACTATTTGGTAAATGAATGCATGAATGAATGAGTGAATGACTTAGACTAGACCAATCTCATTTGCCCCGGGAGTAACTCTGAGGCATAATTTGTAAAATCATAGAACTAGAAGAGAATTGAGAGATCAACATCTACCTCCCTGCCTTTATATGGATGAAATTGTCTGAAATTATAAATGTCACTCATTCATTGCTCATGAACCCGTTGCTTATTATTTCAGAACATCGAAAATATTGAGGAGAATAAAAAACAAACGGAAGTTTTACTAATATTGATGATCTTATAATCTAAATACATGCATACTTAAGAGAACTTTAAAGAATGGCCGGGTGCAGTGGCTCATGCTTGTAATCCCAGCACTTTGGGAGGCCGAGGCAGGTGGATCATTTGAGGTCAGGAGTTTGAGACCAGCCTGGCCAACATGGTGAAACCCTGACTCTACTAAAAACACAAAAATTAGCCGGGTGTGGTGGCAGGTGCCTGTAATCCCAGCTATTTGGGAAGCTGGGGCAGGAGAATTGCTTGAGCCTGGTTGCTGGAGGTTGCAGTGAGCCGAAATTGTGCCACTACACTCCAGTCTGGGTGACAAAGTGAGACCCTATTTCAAAAAAAAAAAAAAAAGTACAAATTAGCAAGTTTATTTAGAGCAGGAAGGAGATAAGAGGATACAACTCCTTGTAATGTTAGGCACTGGTAAAACACAAATTGCCAGGGTTCAAATTCATGGTTTGACACTAGTTAGCTATACTTAGAAAACTTACTCAACCTCTCTAAGCCTCAGTCTTTTCATCTGTAAAATGGGGGTAATAATAAGGTTGCTATGAAGGCTAAATGCATTATTATTTATAAAGTAGTTAGAATAGGGTTTGCTAAATTGTAAGCTTAATTTAAATTTGTTAAAGAATAATGTACATCTGTATTTCAGTACTGCAAATGTTATTTTCTGCTTGAAAACACTTTTATTGTCAATTTGTATTAAGTAAGACACACAATAGAGGAGTGAACAAATTATCAAATTATAGCTCAATATATTTTCACAAAGTAAATTCCTGTGTAAATACCTCTCAGATCAGGAAATAGAACATTACTAGCATCCCAGAGGCCATCCTCCTATTTATTCCATGTTGCTATGTCCATCCCAAAATTAATATGATGTCTATCACTCTTGATTAGTTTTGCTTGTTTTTGAACTTTATGTAAATGGAATAATATGTGCTCCTTCATGACTGACTTCTTTAATCAACATCATGCTTATTATATTCACTCATGTGATTGCATGTAGTAGTGATTTGTTTATTTTTATTGCTCTGTAGCATTCTATTGTGGGAATGTATCATGGAATATACTGTTTTACTGTTGATGGGTATTTGAGTACATTCTAGTTTTTGGGCATTATGAATTGGTCAGATTTGAACATTTCTATATATAGCTCTTGAGGGATATATGTATTCATTTTATTGAGTATTTATCTGGAAGTAGAATGCTTCTCTGGGTCAGAGTAAAATGCATATATACAATTCTATCAGTTTTTCAAAGATTAGTAATATTGTTTAACAGTATGTAATACGGTGGACTATATCTATAACCTATAGGAGTTCTTGTTGGCCTAGCACCTTTGTTAACACTTGCTATGGTCAACCTTTTTGATATTGGCTATTCCGGTGAGTATGTAGTGATTTTTCATTGTAGTTTTAGTTTACATTTTCTTAATGGGTAATGCTATGGGCCACCTTTTCATGGGTATATTGGCTGTTTGCTATCTCTCCTTCAGTAGCTTAAGTATTATTCTTCCTGTGAAACAAGGATTCGGCATGGGGTGGCTGTGAAATAACAGCCAATTGACTCCTGCAGACTTGTTCCACTTACAAACTAGGGGTCTCTCTCATGAGCACCAGTAGAGGCCCATAAAGAAGAGCCTGTGAGTGAGTGTAAACTCTCAGTGTCTGAGGACCTCAGACTGACATGTTATTCACACTCGACCTTCAACAATTCAGCCACCTGGTCCTTTCATGCTCTGCCACAGGTGACTCAGACCATACATCCCATTACCTTTGGAGGAGTCTATTGTTCCTTGCAATTCAGGCAACTTGGTTGCTCTGTTACCTTAGCTCCCTAGTGGGCTTGGAAAAGTTACAATTTCATAGTTTCTTCAGCTTTTTCTCACTGTTAGGGTGAAACCAACACTTTGTTAAATTTTTACATCCAAGGTAGAAGTAGAAATCCTGAATTTCAATTTTTTCATGTGTAGTCAAGTCTAGTTCACTCCCACTCCTCGCATAGAGCATTCCAGGGACTCCAAGTGTGAACCCATGCTATTTGCTAGTCAGCAGTATCTCCAGTCAGGAGTAGGCCCTGAACTCCGATTTTCATTTCCAGAGTATCATGAGGCTCCCCTAAACTCTGCCATGATTTTTAGTCACTTTCTGTTTGACTTCTTGACCTTCTGTTCTAGGTAGCTTAAGAACCACCAAATTCCCCAGGAAAGAACTGGTGATCAGTGTTGGAACTTCTCTGCATCTCCTTTCTCTTGGAGATTTGGGGCCCTCAAGTCTGGATGGCTTGCCAGCCAAGAGCTCACATTTTTATCTTCTCAACCTCACACAACTGCTGAAAGCTCTGCTGCCTCTCTGCCTCTTAACCAGCTGTCTTTTGGCTAGCTCCTCAGCTTTCAACCTTGAGTCAAAATGTGGCAAATATTCCAAAGGGAAAAGTGGCAGGCAGAAAGTTGAGCTTATCTCAATGAGCTTTCCTTCTCTCTAGGATATTGTCCTCAGTGATTGTAGCTAATGTGACAGTTCTCTGATGCTTTTAAAAAGGTGATTTTTTTTTGAATTTTTAAAATATTATGTCTGGCTTTTCTTGTTGTTCTCATTGGGAGCATTAGATTTTTGTTATGCTCCATCAGAGCCAGGAGAGGAAGTTTTGAATGCATTCTTGTACTCAAGGATGTGAAACACAGAAGGAATACTGCCTCACTAAAAAATGTTCTTAAAATTTTCTGGAGGTAACTAGGTTTCAGAATCTACCAGATGACCGTTTTAATCATTATTAACAAAAAGGTTTACACAACAAATAAATGCCAAATGATTTAGTTTCTTTTTTTAAAAAATATGAATTGGCTTTAATAGGGAAATGAATAAGGAAGAAATAGATCAGACTCTTGCTCTTCAAAAAGATGCAATGATCTTTGGCAGAGCCTCTTGGAGTGAGCTGAGGAAGAAAAGAAAGAAGGCCTATTTGGTCAGGCCTCACATCCTCCGAGCATATTATCAAATGCAGCTCTGCATACAGATATTACATGTTTTATGTTAAAAAATTTGAAATGTTGAATATAAGTGTATTGCAATGTTTATAACCCTATTTCGTTACGTTTAATTTTTAATATACTGTGAGTCTCAAAAACTGAAGATGGTTTGGATGAGCCCCTCTCAATCTCTGAGAAACCCTGGTTCTCAAAGTTGAGAGGTTTATCTTAGACCCAATCAAATCTGTCCTATGTGCAATATATGTTCCTTTCTTTTAAAAGAAAGCAGTCCTAGGATATACACACTGTGATGCAGACAATAATTTTTCTCAGCGTTTCCACATTTCTGCCTTTAGCTCACAGGAGAGCTGTAGTTTATTTCAAAGTTGATGCTGATCTGGGTCCTGCACCTGTAGAAGAGAGTAAACCAAGTGACAGGAAATAGCAGATTACGTGTGCATAGCTTATTGTTTTTATTAGATGGTGATATTGAGGCAAAAGAAAGTGAGATTATGTTTCTTGGCTCAAATAACGAATTTGCATCTCAGTAGGAATACAAATCAACTGCCATTCAGAATGATTACTTAGTTACATATATTTTAAAGGAAAATACCATTGCACAAATAAACAGTATAACTGTGTCCTTTTTAACTCAAGTATCTCTGGATTAGCAAAACACCAGGGTCTCCCATAGGCCAAACTGCCTGGGGCACTCAACACTCAACAGGTGCTGCTGCTGGATTAGCAGCACACAAGTGTCTGACTCTGGTGGATGACTGAGCTCAAATAGGCAGGTTTCACAACTTTACTATCTGTTGTCAACTAGATGAAAGAAATGATGGCAGAAATGGTATCCTGCAACCCTAACTGCTCTACCTTAATCCATTAAGTTCTTGCTATATTATTAACTTTTTATTTTTGAAAATCTCATTGAGAGGGATGGAGAAAAACATGCAAATAACTAATTGTAGGTCAATACATGCGATAGAAATGTCCCAGTGGCTGAAGTGGCCATGTGGAAGAACCAGAGTGGTAAAGGAAATGAAACAAATAGAAATGACTCAGACTTCACTATCTGGGTGGATGGTATTGCCCAAATGGAGACAGAAAATGCAAGAAGTAAGAGAAGAAGCAGGACTTATTCAGCACTGAGAATGGTGTGGTTAACAAAGCTGTAGGGCATATCAATGGAAATGTTTAGTAGGCAGGTAGGTGGATCTGTTGCTCAGATGTAGATCTGGACTAAAACTGGAGATTCGTGAGCAATGGAAATATAGGAGATAGTTGAAGCTATGGAAGGAGGTGAGATTTTCAGAGAGGGTAGATAAAGTGAAAGTAGTAAATGGCTGAGAATGAATGTTTGGAAGAAACAGAGGAATAGGAGCAGGGAACTAAAGAAAAGTCTGGTTTCTTGGCCTGGTGCTGTGGCTCACGCCTGTAATCCCAACACTTTGGGTGGCCGAGGCCGGTGGATCACCAGAGGTCAGGGGTTTGAGACCAGCCTGCCCCACAGGGTGAAACCCTGTCTCTATTAAAAATACAGAAATTAGCCAGGTGTGGTGATGCATGCCTGTAATCCCAGCTACTCAGGAGGCTGAGGCATGAGAACTGCTTGAACCCAGGAGGCTGAAGTTGCAGTGAGCTGAGATCCTGCCACTGCACTCCAGCCTCCAGGGAAGGAGCGAAAGTGTTTCAAAACAAAACAGAAAAGTCTGCACTCTCAACCCAGGAAAGAAGCTGGGGTCCTGTCCAAGGAATCTTAGGAGATAGCTATCCAAACATATACTGACTTCTCCCCAGCCTCCCCTTCCACCCTCCCACCCTCAACCCCCTACCTCATCTTCCCACTCCCATACCTCCTTCTCTAACTCCCCCTCCATCCCCCTCCACGTTACATGCATCTCTTGCTACCCTTTCTGGATGCTGTTTGCCTTTACCTGCTTGCACTTGCCTCATTCACTCAGGATATCCACTGGCTGAAGTGCTTGCCCCAAAGATTTTTCCACCAGCCTTGCTCTCTGGGCTTACCTTGTTCTAGTCCTGCTTTCTCTGCATCTGGCCTGTGACACTCACTATAGAACTTAGAGCTGCCTAATCTACAGCTCTACTGATTGCCGTTTTAGTTTGAGTGGCATAGTGTGCATGTGCGCACATGTATGTGTGTGTGCATATGTACATTTTATTTAAAATAGCAGAGACTGAATATGACTATAGTGGATTTTTTTTTTTTTTGAAACAGAGTTTCGCTCTTGTTGCCCAGGCTGGAGTGCAGTGGTGTGATCTCCGCTCACTGCAACCTCCATCTCCTGAGTTCAAGTGATTCTCCTGCCTCAGCCTCTCTAGTAGCTGGAATTACAGGTGCCCACCGCCACACCCAACTAATTTTTGTATTTTTAGTAGAGACGGGGTTTCACCATGTTGGCCAGGCTGATCTCAAACTCCTGACCTCAGGTGATCCGCTCGCCTCGGCCTCCCAAAGTGCAGCTATTTACAGGTGTGAGACACCGTGCCCAGCCAACTGTAGTGGATTTTCATTTTCTCTCTATATTGTTGTATTTTTTTGTGTCATTTTTCCACCTCTAAGTACAGGCTATTGTCTGTGTGAAAAACCTATCACAGAGAAAACTGGTTTTTTTTTTTCCTTCTTGTGGTAAATACATCATTTTCTCCTTAGTCTCTTATTTTCAATCATGTTATTTCCGATTTCCTCCTTGCATGTTTACCAACATCAGTGATATAAATAAACATGACATCGTGTTATTGTGTGGTTCATGTATCTGCTTTTGCATCTGCCTATGAACTCTTAACTTCAGATTTCACGCTTTGCTTTAGAGGCTAACTTGGTCAGAGTGAATGCCTTATTTCTTATGATGAATTGATGTATCATTTTACTTTTAAAAGCTTTTTTTCCCCATCAACAGTCATTCCATTGACTATTCATTCCTCCAACAAGTATGTCTTCAGTATCTACTGTTTTTGTATGTATATGTGCATTTGTGGTGTATTCTTACACTGACTTATTTGAACTTCAGAATAATGAAAAAGAAGGGGCCAATAACTAACCCACTGAGTTACTGAGCTGTGGGGACATAAAGTGACTACCTAAGGTTCACAGAGATAGCTATTGGAGATAATGTCAAAACTCACTTCCCAAGCCTCCTTTCGTAGCATCTTTTCAGGAGATGAGCTCTGCAACCTAAAATGTGAGTCAGAAAGGTAACACTATGGACTTCCTCCAGGGTCTCAGACTAACAGCAACAATAGTAATTGATACAGTTTGGCTGTGTCCCCACCCAAATCTCATCTTGAGTCGTAGTTCTCATAATCCACATGTGTGGTGGGAGGGACCCGGAGGGAGGTAATTTAATCATGGGAGTAGACACTTCATGCTGTTCTGGTAATAATGAATGAGTTCTCATGAGATCTGATGGTTTTGTAAGGGGCTTTTACCCCTTTGCTCAGCACTTCTCCTTCTTGCTGCCATGTGAAGAACGTGTTTGTTTCCCCTTCCGCTGTGATTGTAACTTTCCTGAGACCTCCTCAGCCCTGTGAAACTGCGAGTCAATTAAACCTTTTTCCTTTATAAATTACCCAGACTCAGGCAGTTCTTTATAGCAGTGTAAAAATGGACAAATACAATAATAATAAAAAATAAAAAATCAGCTAACATTCATTGAATACTCATTATGTTCTAGGCATTATTTTATTATTTTTTCATTATTATTGTATTAGTTCATTTTTACACTGCTATAAAGAATGATTACATTATTTCACCATTACATTATTCCATTTATATTTCATTTGACATATAAAGAAACAAGACTTTGAAAGTGTAAACAATTCTGCAAAAGTTCATGGCAGAATGGAGGGTAAAAACATGAAATGAATGTCTTAGAAAGAGTTATTGAGCAATAATGATAGAGTCATTATCTTCAGTAATGACTCAAGAGAAGGCCATGGAATTTTAAAGTTAGAAGGATTGTAGCCACTATTGTGTGAATGTGTATGTTCTCCCCGCCTTCCGAAAACATGTTGAAATCCTAACCACCCCTGCCCCACACAAAATGATTGTTTGAGGAGGTGGGGCCTTTAGGGGTGATTACGTCATGAAAGTGAACCGCTCATGAATGGGATTAGTCCACTTATAAAAGATGCCCCAGAGAGACACCTCACCTCTTCCATCATGGGAGGACACAATGAGAAGACTGCTGTCTAAGGTAGTGGGCCCTCACTAAGACACCAAATATGCCAGCACTTTAATCTTGGACTTAGCCTCCAGAACTGTGAGAAATAAATTTCTGTTGTCTATAAGCTACTGAGTCTATGGTTTTTTGTTATAGCAGCCCTAAAGGCTAAGACAATAGGTAACAACAAGTATTTGTGTGATACTGTATTAGGGTAAATCTGTATCAGTTGGGCTTTTACCAGGGAAAGAGAAGCGGTGGGGTATCCATCTGTATCTGTATCTATGTCTATATCTATGTCTATCTATATTATCTATATCTATGTCAAAAGAGATTCACTTCAAGGAATTGACTTATGTGATCATGGAGCTAGAAAGTTTTAAATCTGTGGGGCAGGCCCACTGGCTGTAGATCAACACTGTAGGTCACAGGGAGAATTTCTTCTACTTTTGGGAAACTTCAGTTTTCCTCTTAAGACCTTTCAACTGATTGGATGAAGCTCATCCTAACTCAAAGTCAACTTACTTCTACAAAATAGCTTCACAGCGGTGCCTAGATTAGTGTTTAATGAAATAACTTGTATTTTATGTGTCAAATTTACACATGAAACTCACCATCACAGGTGCTTTATAGTTAATTAAGTGTGTTCGCATATCTTATCACTTTAGGTTACCAGTAATAAATAATACATGGTCCTCCCCTCAAGGTACTACAGAAACATGTAGTACCTTGTATTGGAAGACAGAAACATGTAATTATAGAACAGTTATAGAAATGTTATAATAGAGATATTGCAAAGTGCTATGGGAATATGGAAAAAGAATAACTTGGAGGCCTTTAAGGAGGAAGATGGGATTAGAAAAAACAACCATTTTAGCATTGTGCTGGGATTTTACATCCATTCGTTTATTAAATTCTTTACAACTCTGTGAGTTTAGGTGGTATGATTCCCATTTTACAAATGTGGAAAGTAAGAATGACCCAGTAACTTTCCAAACATCTCACAGCCTGTAAGTTGCTGAGTTAGGACTTGAAATGATTCTGGTACCAAAGTCTATACCTTTTCTACTGTGTTATCACAGAGACTGTTAAACTCATCATTAAACTTCTGATACCATTGAACAGCGTGCCCTCCATGTGGCTGGCACTCCTTTGATGTTAATTAAATTACAACATTGAGTTGAATTGGACTGAACTGAACTGAGTAATCACTGAACGGTGGTAGATAGGTCTAGAGAACTGTTACCCTTGCTTACTTGGAGACTTTGATATCCGCTCCCTCTATGTCTCATCTGTGCAGTGAGAGTTTGAAGATGATGTTGAAATTTATTTCAGTTATTAAAGGTTATTTTTCTATGAATTGGCTTCCCTGAGGTCACACAGCTAGAGGGTGACATTACAGTGAAGTATTTTCCCTTGATTTTTATTATAAAAATGTTCCACATATAACCAGAGATGAAAAGGCAGTAAAATAAGTGCAATGAAACAAAATACCATGAAGGAAAGAATGAGTAAATAAATGTTTTTCAGCTATTACTGACCGTTTCCTGGCTAAAGCAGAGGCAAAGTAAAATTATAATAGGAACGCAATGAGCCGCGCTTTATTTTTCAAGTGATATTGATTTCAAATGTTCCTGTCCCCAGTTCTTTGGGCAATTGCTGTTTTTGAGTGTCCCAGGTGAGCTCTTTTGTTACCTGGGCTCCCAAATCTTGAATGAGTTGACCCCAGTGAATGCTTCCATCAAGGACAAAGCTGCCCTGATGGTGACAACAAGGCATATTTAGCTCTTGTTTTAACCTTTTCATCTGATTGAAGTA
Source organism: Homo sapiens (assembly GCF_000001405.40). NCBI lineage: Eukaryota > Metazoa > Chordata > Mammalia > Primates > Hominidae > Homo > Homo sapiens. The sequence goes on from NC_000001.11 coordinate 162,957,015, forward strand.
GGTGCTCAGAAGCCTGGGAGGACAAAACTAATTGCTTTAGATTTTTCAGCACAGGCTGTTACCAACATAGGGGAACATTGACCGTGTTTATGGGATGCAGAATGATCTCATGCCCCTGGAATTGCTTAATTGACTGTTCTTCTCTGAAATCAGCTACTGAGAATCTTTGCCATCCTTTTTTCTTGAATACTCCTTAAAGAGGTCGTGCTCACCAAGAAATCCCCTGAATTCACATTTTCTCAGGTGAATGTTCCTAGGGCACTATTCCCTCTCATCACATGTTTAATATTCTAGGTTCTGACTTCTTGTTTTTCTGGGAGAGGGCTTGTACTGTCTAATTCTGAGGCATCTTTACATTACTAGCTGATTATTTGGTCTCTGGTGCCATTTGGTGCTCACTGTATAACCTTGTGGTGAGTTGAAGTGGACAACCTACCTCGGTGTAATTGAAGGTAGGAAAGTGAATATGTTGTTTATTTGTGACTAGTGTGGCCTGGAACTTATTTTGATGTTCCTTTCTAGCTCTTTCCAGAAGCTTCTGAGGGCTACCTTTTCCTTGTTTGTCTCATTGGTTCTAGGAGCACCATCAAGGGTACTTCCCATTTGTCCAGATCCCCTTTCTAACCTGGTTTGCTCCCTGAAGGCAGATCTTCATGGGCAGCATTGACCAGCTCCCTCCCTTGCCCACTGGCTTTCAATCCCACCAGTGGGAAGCATAGGCCCATGAGGGAGAAAGAGAGGGATATTTTTCTCCTGGCTACCCTCTCCAGGGCCTCTGCTTGACAGGGGCTTTTTCTTTTACTTAAGGAGGTGCTCATTTCCTTGGTCTTCTCTCATAGTTACAAGCGACCCTGAATTCTAGTAACCAAACTTCCCTTTGCTCTTTCAGGCCTAAGGATGGCAGTGGCTTTCCACTTTCTCTTAACTCTGCCACACTTCTGTACAAAGTCTCTTCATTAATAGTTTTTAAACAACCCCTTTTTGAGGATTTTGCTTGTTGTTGCTGAAACCCTGACAAATACAAATACATGGAAGCAGAAGTAGGTGTTGGGTGCAGAGATGTGGGCAGAGACTTCCATGATGGTCTCCATTTCTTTCCTCCAGCCATATCCCTGTTAATCAGTCTTGTCTGTAAAGCGCAGTGTTTTAAAAGAAAATACAGGTTTTCTTCATAGGTATGCAACCTGTGTAGTTTCAAAGGGCCTAGCACAGAATAGGACTCTGGGCTTGGTTAAATGCTCTGCTGCTGCTACCTTGGAATTCTTAATAGTTTTTGAGCAAGAAGTCCTGCCTTTTCAATTTGCACAGGGCTCTGCAAATAAGGTAGCCAGACCTATGAGCAAACATAGAATTGAAGGAGAGGACAAGTTCTTAGCTACTCTCTTTTCCTAAGGGAAAGTTCTTCCACATTTCTCTCATTCTTCTCCCCAAAAGAAGAAATACTAATCTTATTTTAAGGTGGTTCCTGGGTCGCATTTACCCCCAGGAATAGATACCTGGGTTTCTTTGCTTCTTGTTGCTCCAGCTGCTCTTCACCTGCGGGCTTTCTCTTTCTGTTTTCCCCTTCCAAGTGGCTTTTGAAGTAATAGAGTCCAGACTACAGGAGAAGGAAGAAGAGCCTGACATTGAGAGGTCTCCCTCTTTTATTCTTTCAATATTCCCAGACACTTATCTCTTTGACCTCCTATCCCTTGTGACTAACTGGAAATCTGGGGTTTGGGCTTAAGAAGATAAAGGAGCCTCACAAATTCATTTTTAGGCCTTGTTCTTAAGTCGATTAGATCCGTATCATTTATCAGAGCTATTATAACTATCATAGTTCTGATTAGGAGTTCCAACTATAATCCCTGCTAATAATTTCCTTTGCCACTCTTTCCTGTAAGTTCATGTTCATCCAGAACCTCATAGGTAGAAGAATTACTGGTTAGCAAATGAAACAAAATGGGAAAACTCTCCTTCATCTCCCCTCTATTCCTCATCACTAGTAGAACATTCTGGCATACATTCTTCCGGACTGCCTCTACATTAATATTCAAATACATACATTTACATACACATTTGAAAATACAATTGAAAAATAATATGACCATATATGTATGTTTGTATAATATCCATATATGTGATTTTTATATTTAATAATACATCTTGAAGATCTTTCCATGTCACTACATGATGATCTACCCCAGTTATTTTTTCTATCTGAATAAGATTCTGTAGAATGGAGTTGAATCTTCCCTGTTAGACATTTATGTTGTTTACAACTCTTTGCTATTATATGCAATCATCATTGTACTTGTGTGTCTATAGATAAAAAAATTCTTTAGACCAAATTACTAGAAGTAACTTGATGGATCATAAGATTTTCATCTTAATCTTTGATAAATAGTACTAAGTTGTAGCTTGAATAAAACAATATTGCATAAGCAGTTTCTAGCCATGCCATTTTCTCAAAATCTCAACTCTTGACTTTTGATGTCATTTGATTTTATTTTTTAAATATTTGTAAATATGATGGCAAAATTATATCTTAATTAGCCTTTTTCTCATCACTTTTGAAAGTCAGCATCTTCTCATATATTTGTCATTTATATTACTTATTCAGTAAATTGCTCATTTCCTTTTCTCTTTTTTAATCAATTTATGTATTTTTTTCTCATGCATTTTAGTTTGCTCTTTATTCTAAATGCAGATCCATTGTCACATACTTTGCAAATGTTCCCACTAGTATATGTCTTGTTTTTTAAGTTTTCTTTCTTCCTTTTGTTTTTTTGTAGGCCTGGGTCAGCCTAGAGTCTTTTAAGTTTTTTTTTTTTGTTTTTTTTTTCTTTTTTGAGATGGAGTCTTGCTCTGTTGCCCAGGCTGGAGTACAGTGGCGCGATCTCTGCTCACTGCAAGCTCCACCTCCCGGGTTCACGCCATTCTCCTGCCTCAGCCTCCCAAGTAGCTGGGACTACAGGCTCCCGCCACCACGCCCAGCTAATTTCTTTTTGTATTTTTAGTAGAGACGGGGTTTCACCGTGTTGGCCAGGATGGCTACGATCTCCTGACCTCGTGATCCACCAGTGTCGGCCTCCCGAAGTGCTGGGATTACAGGCATGAGCCACTGCACCCAGCCGAGTCTTTTAAGTTTTCTTATTCAGCCTTTCGTTATTTAAAGGAAGAAGCTAATCAAAATAATAAGATACACGATCAGAATTACAGTATCATTTCCTGTTCTCTCTTTTCTCTGTTAGCACCTTCTGAAATAAGGTGGAATTTTTAGGTCTATACTGAACATTTCCTGATTCTACCATACTTTCTAGTCTTTGAGTGTTATGCAGTTTTGGGGGGAGAGTTTCATTATATTATCTTCTAGCTTATGTCCATTGTGTTTTTTTAATTCAACTGTAAAGCCCAACTTTGTACTTCAATTCTCGAATGGTTAATTTCCATTTTTATACTTAGTTCCTTTAAAATCTACTTTATAAATATATACCTTTTAAATATGCAGTTTAAGGAATTTCAAAAAATTTAAACAACTTTGTAATTATCACCAGTCATGATATAGAACATTTCCATCATTCCAAAATGTTCCCTCATGCCTCTTTGGAGTCAATCCTCTCCTCTCATCCCTAATCCTTGACAACCACAGGTATACTTTCTGTCACTAGAGTTTTGCCTTTTCTAAAATTCTACATAAAGGCAATTATATACTATGTAACATTTTGAAACTAGCTTTTTTTCACTTAGCATAATGCTTTGAGATTCATGACTTTTGTTATGTATTTAAGTGGTTTCTTTATTTTTATTGTTGAGGAGTATTCCACTGCATGGATATACCACAGTTATTTATCCAATCACTCATCAATGATTGGGTTGTTTGCAGTTTTTGGTGTGGATATTCGTGCCTGGTCAATGGCTGCTTTTGCATTACGGTGGCAAAGTTGGACAGTTCTGATAGATACCACATAACTTTCAAATCTAATAATATCTGTCCTTTATCCAATAATGTGACCTTTGCAGAAAGTTTGCCACCCCTTCATAGAGTATATTTAAAATAGCTGTTTCAATGTCTTTGATTGTTAATTCCATCAATTCTGTCATTTATGTTTCTTGTAATTGATTATTTTTTCTTTGCTTATGGGTCACATTTTTCTTTTATATGTCTGGCAACTTTTTACTGGATGCTGGACATTGTGAATTTTATGTCACTATGTGCTGAATTTTGTTGTATTCTTTTAAATAGAGTTGGAATGTGTAATGGCATTTGTTTACGTTACCTGGAGTCAGTTGTATTTTTTCAAAGTTACTTCTAACCTTTGTTAGAGCATTTCCAGAGTTGCCTTTGGTCTTGCAAAGAAAAATGCAAAATCTCAGGCTCCTCAAACTCTTTATGCCAACGGAAAGATTAAGTCTGGAGGCTTGAGTCATGCAACACCCTCTTCCAAATCAATAGCTGTTACTAGCATTATGCATCAGCCAGATCCCCATGGAAATATAGAAGGCCTCAGGCATCTACAAATGACTGCCCCCACAGATCATTCATAAGTAAATTCTTTGCTTGCCCCCCATAAAAAAGGACATGCCAAGGACATAGTAACTTTAGGTCTATAAACTAAGCCTAGCTTCAAAAACAAAAGTCTGTTCCATTACACACTGGTGATGTTGATTTTAAGCTTATCTTCCCAGGGGTAGAACAAAGACAAACCAAGATTAATAATTTCTCAACCCACCTGGAGATGTCTACATAATTGATTCTTCCTTTACTCCTTTTTTTTTTTTTAATCTTAAAACATTTACCTTACCTTATGTAAAATGTAGATTTACTGGGCACCAGCTAAAGTCCCACAAGATTGTAACTATTCACCTTATTGCCTACTTGCCCATCTTCCTACTTGCCTCTCCTCACCCTTTAAGGGAATGTATAAATATTAAACCTCCTGACAAATCTCTTCAGAAAAAAAGCCACAGATGCATCTCATATTTTTCCCAGACATGCCCTTAAGCTGGCTCAATAAACCTCAATTGATTGAGATCTTTCCCTCAGTCCCTCACTTCTGTTATCATTCTAGGGAAAATCTAACACTATTAATAAAGCCACTATCTTCTAAAGACTACTGGATGCCACTTGTCTTATGAGGTCATTTCACTCTAGCTTTTGGGAACATAAACCAATCCTGGCCCTGTGTGACGTATGGAAATTATCTAGTGGACTGTTTTTTCCATTGCTGTTTCCCTAACCTTGGGAAGTTTCTTCTCACTCATGTAGAGATAAGTACTCAACCAAAGTGCCAAGGAGACTTTTCTACAGATCTGTGAAGCTTTCTTTCTGTGCATCTCCCTTATTTATGATATTCTTTTTCATTAAATCTAGCTGACCTGGTCTCCTTGAACTCCCATCTCTGTCTCCTTAACTTAGTAGGAGTGCTGGGCTTTGAGTTTTTCCTTTCTGTATGGCAACCTCAAAAATGCTTCTAGTTGTTTTCCTCTTAGAGATAAGAGACCTTTCCTGCTTATGTTTCAGCATTTAAAAATAATTATTTCATATAGTCTGCTTCATTTTCTATTGTTGTATGTGGAGGATAAACCCAGTCTCTGCTACTGCATTATTGTAAGAAATGGAATTGTAGCATTGAAACTGCCTTTGCAAAAATGATAACTGTGAGAAAATTATGACAGTGAAAAAAATCTGATCTAACCAACACCCATCTCTTGCTTTTAGGCTCCAAACTGCTCCTCATCATTCCTGGGCTTTGGCCAAGCTAACTTGGGGAGACATTTAGTTTATAATTTAAATGATGAAAGCCTGTCCTCAAAATTAACCAACTTTGAAAAGCTAATGAAAGACCACCAGGTTGGGAGGATGAGAAGAGCCTGAATTCTGCTAAGATGTAGATATAAATGACTACCAGACTTTATTCTGGAAGTCACAAGATTTGCAACTTCCCCAATTACTCCTGCAGATAATATCACTATTGGCCTTTTGAGATGTCCTTTTCAGGTTTTTGCATTTCTGATGACCAATGCCTTTACCTGGACCCATCAGCTAGTCCCATGGCCCCACCCAGAAGTGGACTCAGGCACCCATAAGGACCATTTTCCGCACCCCTATGATTGCACCCCCAACCAATCAGCAGTACCCATTCCCTGGGCTGCCAAACTATTTGTGAAAAACATAGCCTCTGGATTTTCAGAGAGACTGATTTGAGTCATGAAACTCTGGCCACCCATTCACCTGGCTCTGCATGAATTAAACTCTTTCTCTATTGCGTTTCTTCTGTCTGGATAAATTGGCTCTATCCAGGCAGCTTGCAAAATGAACCTGTTGGATGGTTATAGTGTTGTCTCTTTTTATTGCTTAGTCCTCCTTTTACTTGCTCTACTTCATCTTCTACGTGGTGGGCCAAACAACAGTGGGCAGCTATTTCATCCTCCTGAATATCCAAAACCCAAAGAATTTCTCTCCTTACATGGTCCACTAGAAAAGTCTCAGTAAGAATTCTAATTTGCTTGGTTTGGTTCATGTTTGCACTTTTCGTCTTTTTTTTCCATCTCTTTATTGTGCTGTGTTTTAAGAGATTATCCTTACTTGATGTTCTAGTCCTCTAATTCACTGTTTATCTGTCTATTGAGATTTTTCTTTCACTTTTCTTTTTTTTTTTTTTGAGACAGAGTCTCGCTCTGTCGCCCAGGCTGGAGTGCAGTGGCGTGATCTCGGCTCACTGCAAGCTCTGCCTCCCGGGTTCATGCCATTCTCCTGCTTCAGACTCCTGAGTAGCTGGGACCACAGGCGCCTGCCACCATGCCCAGCTAATTTTTTTGTATTTTTAGTAGAGACAGGGTTTCACTGTGTTAGCCAGGATGGTCTCGATCTCCTGACCTCGTGATCCACCCACCTCTGCCTCCCAAAATGCTGGGATTACAGGCGTGAGCCACCACACCTGGCCCACTTTTAACTATTAATCTGTAGTCTCTCTGAAGTCGATTTGTTATGGATATAACATTATGTTATATATTTCTGAAGAGATTTATATTCAAGTGACTGCATTACTTTATTTTACCTCCTGAAGTATTTAGTTCTTCAGTTTGGGGAACTTTTTTTTGCCTCTTTTTAATTGTTTTAGTTCCTTCAAGTGTCTTATGATAGATGGTTGCTCAGTTATCTTTTGATAATCCTTGTTTGATTTGAGGGAGGTGTCTGAATAGCATGAAATGGATTTTTTCTTTTATAACAAGGGAAGTTCTTTACCTGTCTAAGGGGTGGGGGATAGGTGCTAGATGGACAATAACAATAAATATCCAACATGCTATCTGATATTGTCTCTAATGATTCTACTACTTATCCTCAAACTCATTTGATTTTTCACTTTTTTTTTTCAATGTACCCTGTGCTTCTTTCTACCTTCACAACATTGATCATGATGATTGTCCTGCCTAACAGGCCATTTTTCCTTCTCTCTACTTGCCAAAATCCTGTGTAATCTTCAGGCTCAATACAAGACTCAACTCATTAAAAAAAATTCCCAAGTACTTTAGCTCTTTTAATTAATGTGTCTCTTTTGCTTAATGCTGATTAGAAATGTGACTTCAGGTTCATTTCAATTGCAGTAATTGCTACGATTCTGGGGGCTCCTAATACATGCTAAGCCCTGTAGTGGATATGTCATATATACTATGTCATTTAATTCTTATTTAATGGGATGAACGTTATTTTTCTTTGTTATAGAAGAAGGAACTAAATTTTGGAGCAGGAGATCATCCAGCTCAGAGACCCCTGTCCTCAAATCTGGATGGTCTCTCAAAGCTGGCTGCTCTCCCATACTCCTGCACTTCTCTCCACTCAACCCATGTCCTTGAGCCACATACTTGCAGAATCTGCCAAGACTCCAAATCCAAAGAGGCATGGTAACCTCAGGATTTGCAAAGAAGATCAAAGGTATCTAAATCAAGCAGGCAAAGTTATTTAAAGTTTTCAGAACATGTTGGAAAAAGACTAGTATGATAATCTTTATTCTGGTATACTGCTCCAGAGCTATTTGACACTGCTCCTTCTTATCAGGATAACTTTCTTCTTTGTCTGGCAAGAATATAACTGAGCAAAATACTGTTAAGTAAACATGATTTTAAACGAACCTTTCACTTCATTCAGAGATTTCCTTAGACTGCACCTCTGACTTTGGAGATAAGTTAAAGGCACAAGTCAAAATGGTTTGCTTAGGTTTATTCCTAGTGATTTAAAAGTGATATAAAGGATAAAAATAATTATGTTATAGACGTCAGAGGTAAAATAGCGGAAAGTACAAGCCAATGGTGTACTGTCTAGTTCGCTTCAATCAGCAGACACCTGATGGCTTTCCTCTACGCAAAGGGGCTTTAAAAGCTGCTGCCCGCAACTTCAAGTCTGTAAGCCAAAACATAGGTCTAATGCCAAACCAGATTCTGTTTCTTTTACATCATGTTCTCCTGGCTAACTAAATTTCCGGGTTAATCAGAAAGTGTTAACAACGAGTAGAACCACAAAGAAAAAATAAGTCTCAACAAACACAAAATGTTACTAATTACAGTATTAGAGTGCTTTCTGGTTTGCCAAAGCACTTTTATACATATTATCTAATTTGTTCTTCACAACTGTGTGTTGTAGAAATTATTGCGTGCATTCTACGATTATGAAATTGAGGTAGTTGATGTAACTCATATTCAGTTGTCCAGCTAGAAATGGCCAGAATTGAGAATTAAACCCAATTCCAAATTACATCTTCTCCTCCACACCAGTGCTCATGGATGCTCACATGCGCACTCATACACATCACTGTTTTTGTCGATGTTTAATGTAGCACTCTCTCTAAGCAAAATAATAAGGCAAGAAATTTATTTAACACTTCAGCCAATATTTATGAAGCTCCCACTATGTGCTATATACTGTCCTAGACGCTTAAGATAAAGCAATGAACAAATAAAAACAAACAAAAACCCCTGCCTCCTGAAACTTATGTTCTAGTGGGTAGAGACAGGCAAAAATATATATGTAATAGATAAGAAAATAATAAGGTATTCTAATAAATAATAAGTAATATGGAATAAAAGAAGAGATGGGGTGGGCACAGTGGCTCACACCTGTATTCCCAGCATTTTAGGAGGCCGAGGTGGGTGGATCATTCGAGCCCAGGAGTTTAAGACCAGCCTGGGCAATATGGTGAGACCCTTTCACTACAAAAAAATTAAAAAAAAAATTAGCAGGGCATGGCGCCATGCACCTGTAGTCCCAGCCACTTGGGAGGCTGACATGGAAGGATCACTTGAGCCTTGGAGGTTGAAGCTTCAGTGAACCGAGATTGCACCACTGAACTCCAGCCTGGATGACAGGGAGACTCTGTCTCAAAAAAAATTAAAAATAAATAAATAAATAAAAGACAGAGAGAAAGATCAAGGTTGAGAAATTTAGCATTAGGATTTGGAGAAGAGCAGGGCAATTTACAGCATTAAGTAGGATGGTCAGAGTAAGGCACTTCAAGAAGGAGAAATTTAGGCAAATCTTGAAGGATGTGAATACCTGGAGAAATATTTTTCCAGGCAAAGACTGCTAAAATGTGAAAAGATGTGATAGGTATAAAGAACATCAAAGAGGCTAGATCAGAGGACATGAGGGAGAGGAGAAAAAGATGATTAGAGGCCATGGGAGAGAGAACATGTAGGGCCACATAGACCATTATATTATGAGGACTTTGGTGTTCTTCTGAATGAGGTGGAGAGCCATGGGAGAGTTCTGAGTAGTGACATTTGAGAATGTTGAGTTGTTTTGAAGTGACAGGGCATGATTTACAGTGAAAGGATTATTTGGGCTGCTCTGTTGTATACAAATTTAAGGGCCGGGGGAAAGAGTAGAAGCAAGGAGGAGTGAGGAGGCTATTACAGTGTATTAATTTCCTGGAGCTGCTGTAATAAAATAACACAAACTTGGTGACTTAAAACAATAGAAATTTATTATCTCAGGGTTCTGGAGGTGAAATGTCTGAAATGAAGGTGTCAGCCAGGCTGTGCTCTCTCTGTGGCGTTTAGGTGAGACCCTTCCTTGCATCTTTTAGCCCCTGGTAGCTCCAGGTAATCCTTGGCTTGTGGCAGCATAACTCCAATTGCTGCCTCTGTCTTCTCATGGCTGTCCTCTTCCTAGGTGTATCCACATCATTTCCCCTCTGTGTGTGTCTCTCTGTATCAAAATTTTCCCCTCCTTTGAGGACACCAGTCATGTTGAAAAAAGGTCATGTCCATGTGACCTCATCTTAACTTGATTCCATCTGCAATGACACTATTTCCAAATAAGATCACATTCTGATGGCCTGAAGTTTAGGATTTTAACACATTTGGAGAAAGCAGAGAGGGAAGGGGGAGAAACACAATGTAACCCATAACAGGCAGTAATCTAGATGAGAAGTAGTAGAGGCTTAGAATAGGTTGGTAGCAGGGGGACTATGAGGAGTGACTAGATTCTGGATGCATTTTGAAGCTAGAACCAGCAGAAATTGCTGCTAGATTGGATGTAAAGAGTGAGAAAGAAGCCAGAGATGACTCCAAGATATTTTACCTAACAACTGGAAGGATAGAGATACCAGAAGGTAAAACAAGTTTTTGGAGAGATAAGAGGATTAGAAGTTTAGCTTTTTTTTTTTATATTGAGTTTGAAATATTTATGTAGAAAAACAGGAATGTTGGATGGGAAGTTAGATATACAAGTCTAGAATTTGGGAGAGAGGTCTGGGCTGAAGGTGCAAGGGTTTAAATTTGTAAGTCTTTAGCATATAGAGGAAACTCAAAGCCAAGTAACTGAGGTTACCAAGGAAGGGGGTCAAATAGAAAAGATGACCAAGGTCTGAACCCTGGGCCACTCCAGCATGAAGAGGTGATAGGAGAGGAGGAACCCATAAAGGAGAAACCAGTGAGGTAAGAGAAAAATCCAGAGAGTGAGGGGTCCTGGAAGCCAAGGGAAGAGTGCAGTAAAAAAGGGGGAAGTGATCAACTGTGTTAAAGGCTGCAGATAGCACAGGTGACATGGAGACTGATAATTGATTATTAGGTTAGAAACAGAGGCATTTTTATGATTTTGACAAGACTTGCTATGGGGTGGTGGCGGAGAAAGCCTTTTTAGTATGGGTTCAAGAGTGAGTGGGAAGGGAGGATTTGGGAACAGCAAGTAAAGAGAATGCTTTTGAGGAATGGAATGGTAGCATGTAAGAAGAGTGGAGTCAAGCAAGGTTTTCTTCTGTTTTCTCAAGTGTCGGAAAGGAGATTGCCACCCCACCCCCTTTTCTGGTTGTCCTTCTGTTCTCCTGATGCTCCTGGTCCCCTGGCCCTCAGGCACCCTTGCTCCTGCCTGTGTCTCTGAGGCTGGCTATCCTGGCTCCTCCATGCTCTGGGCTACCCTCCCCACACCCTGGCCTCCACCCCTCACCTTCATTTGTTTTTTGTTTCAGTTCCTAAAAGTTCCAATTTATAAAACTGCATCGTTTCCATTTCTAGTGATGCTAAAACGGCATCATTAGATAATTTCTCTGCTTACCTCACTGAGTCTAGGGAATGATGGGCATCAGATCATGAAGATGAAAGTGCTCTGCTGACTCTAGAACCATACACATTGAGTTCACTGTAAAAATGGGATTTGAAAAATCTATCAACAGCATTCAGTGTCTTTATGAGCAGAAGATTTTTCCTCTCATCCCCATGGTCTTAGTCTTGGTCAGGTCTTCATCTCTTCTCCCCTTGTCTATTTAAGTAGTTTACTATATCGTCACTCCTGGCTCAGGTGCTTGCTTTTTCTCTTCCACATTTCAGAATCCCCTTTCTAACATGCAAAGGTGACCCTATGCCTTCTGCTTAAATTCTTTTGTTGGCTGAGGCTATGACAAAATGGTCATTATCCTCCATACAGGTACTTGGTATCTCTTTATCTTCTTTCATACTTTTTCTTTGTTTCCTGCCCATTCCTTGTGTTATTCTGTGCCTAAAATGTGATTATATTTACCCTTCATTGCTAAGTTCAAGTGACCTCTTATTCATGAAGACTTTTCTGAATCCTCCACCCAGCCCCACGCAGAACAGATTGCTCATGTCTCTATCCTCCTAAATGATTTTACAAATAAATATCTATAATAGTTTTTAAAGTGCATATCTATTTTTTTTTCTGTTACACTATGCCATCTGTGAAGGTGGAGACTCTGACTGATTCCTTTCAGCTTTCACACTACCTGGTATTATTCCTGGCACACAATAGGGGTGGTATGGTTTGGCTGTGTCCCCACCCAAATCTCACCTTGAATTGTAGAAATCCCCATGTGTCAAGGACGGGGCCAGGTGAAGATAATTGAATCATGAGGGCAGTTTCCCCCATACTATTCTCATGGTAGTGAATAAGTCTCATGAGATCTGAAGGTTTTATAAATGGGAGTTCCCCCGCACAAGCTCTCTTGCCTGCCACTACCTAAGACGTGACTTTGCTCCTCCTTTGCCTTCTGCCATGATTGTGAGGCCTCCCCAGTCATGTGGAACTGTAAGTCTATTAAACATTTTTCCTTTATAAACTACCCAGTCTCGGGTATGTCTTTATTAACAGTGTAAGAACAGACTAATACAAAGAGTTTCACGAAATTTGTTAAATGGATCCTGCTCATTAGCTGACTGCGCTCCCCAGGGTAGGAGTAGTAGGCTGGTGGTGGGCGTTGTTGTGGGGACTTCCCTTCCTCTTCACCGTATGCTCCTTTTCTGGAGATTCTATTTATCTGGAGGTAAGGATTAGTATATATAGGGTCCTTCTCTTCTAATAAAGATGTCCTCGCCACCACTATTGTCCTGGCTTCTCATGTTGTAGCAATGCAGTGAAAACACATGAAGGTCACTGCTGTCCTTGGGTCAGTGGAGAAATATTTCTGAAAGGTCATGAAGACCAGAGACAGAATGCCAGTGACTAATGTGAAGGCAAAGAGTGTATTTTTGGCATGAATAGCTTGCCTGCTCCTTTGCAGGTGAGCAGAGACTCATTTACCCTTTCTGCATTTAAGAAACAGGTTCTCTTTGTCCCTGGCAGGGTCAGCAAATGAAATTTCTGTGTTAGAACTCAGCCAGCAAAACACAGAGCTTTTGTCTGTTAGTAAAAATGCAGTTTCCAAATACAATTCATAGCTCGAGTTATTTTCACTGCCCCAGTCCTTCTTCCATTTCACATGATGGGGCTGACTGCTCTGAGTGACCTTTAAGCCATCCCTCCTAATTAACACGGAGCCACAAACACGGCAACCAAACCAGAAGCACTGCAGACTCCCAGAATGTCTACTATCCTGGAACAGTCTAAAATTAGGCCTCATGTTTGTGTATTTGAATTATTATAGATCCCTGGTAGCCTCAGTCATTTAGCCACTGTTTATGTGATTTCTGTGACCAAGGGAAATAAGGCAAAGGGAGACGTACATTTGATAGGACAAAAGGGTTTAAGAGGCTGCAGCATAATATGATATTTTCATTAAGGCCACATTAGGATGGGGTCCAGCCATGGCTTTTTAAGAAGTATTTTTAGCTGGGGAATGTGAAAGTTATTGGCATCTATTTATCTTTAGAAATAGAAATTTCTTATGCTGATTTTTCTCTTTATCTGGAGCCTGCATCATTGAATTGTTTCATGCAAGAAGAGGCAGCCATGTAGCATGACTGAGAGAGTACTGGGCTTGAGTCAGGGGATTTGGGTTTGAGTACTAATTTTGTCTCTTTCTTATTGAATGATTATGAACAAATTATTTATTTGCTATGAACCGTCATCACCTCTTTTTAAAATAGTGATAGGGATGGCTGCCTACTGCAAAGGTTTGTGATGAGGAGGTTTGTGATGCTACTCTGTGAGCTGTAAAGTGTTGTTCTCATCTAAGCCATCATGAGTAAGAAGCTGTGGGCCTTTTTTTCTGGTGGGATATCCTCTGTCTCTATGAGGCAGCAAGGGCTTGGCCATTACTGTGCCCATTTAATAATGAAGCTTGAGTCATAGATCAAAGAGGTCACCTGAGCGGTTAATCCATACTTCTAAACACTATATTACTATGCCTCCCAATTCACTCTAAGCGTACGTGAAGGTAGACTGATTCAGCCAACATCATTTTCTATGAATCTATTCTCTGTCATTTGGAGGAATCAATATTATTTTACTTTTGAAAAGATTTTTGTCCTTGAGAATCTTTAAGTGTTGAGATACAAACAGTTGAAGCACACAAAATAGTGAGTCCATCAATTTGCACCACAAACTGAAAGCATGAGCCAAGGAGTTAAGTATTAATTGGAAAGCCTTCTCGTAAGAGACAGAATTTAGGTCAGGTTTGACAAAAGATCATTGCAACTCATAAGCTATGTGACCTTGGGCAAGTTACCTAATTTCTCTGAACATCAAGTTCTTCATATAAAAATTCAAATATTAATATATTCTGATTAGGGTTATTATGAGGTTTAAATAAGATAATGTTCATAAAATACTTCATAAAGAGAAGATAATAAAAGCATATAAATGAACGACCAATACAACCAAATTAAATAAAAATCCAAAATCCAAAATAAAACTTTAGAAAATAACAAAAGTTAAATACATAAACAATTGATGGAAGCCATTATTATGAGCTTCGAACAAATTTATTTAAGTGCACAAGGTGGGTGGGAGTCTGCAGGCTGGGCAGTGTTTTGGAGATCAGTCCACAGACAGTAGGGCCCATACATTGGCTAAAGTTCAGAAGAGAGAAGAATGACAGGGAGGACAATCCGGTCAGGAAGATAACTCAGCCAGGACCTAAGAGCAAGGACCAAGGCAAAATATCAGTTCTAGGGACAGGACCGATATAGCAGGTGAGATGACAAGAAGATTGGGCAGGCCCAACACCCAAGGTCTGAAAGTCAGCTGCTGTGATTTAGTGGCAGATGGAGAGGGGTCAGGGCTGTTGCCATGCTGTTGGCCTCACACTGAATGGGCCAGGAGCTGAAGAAGAACAGCACCTCCTTGCTGGTGTGGAGATAAGGGGGCCCAGCTGAACCGAGAGGGTGGGGCCAGGAAGTGGGCCTGATAGGAAGACATTGCTGGCAGGAATGGCAAGAGCAGAGAGGTGTGCATCAATGAGTTAGTAGCAAGGAAGAACAAATCCATAGGCATGGTTGGAAAGGAGAATGTGTCCTAAGGTGGAGGAGTTTGGATTTTATCAAATTGGTCAAAGGAACAACAGTGTAGGAGTTGAACAAAGAAGAAGAGAGAGACAATGAAAAACGTGGCTTGATGAAAACTAGGTTATTGGCTGGGAGATAGAAGGATTACAAGTATAGAGACAATGAACAAAAAAAACAAAGGACTGCAACTGGGGAGATCAGGGAGGTTGTGATCAGTTCTAGATACTACTGTGAAAAGTAAAACATTTGGAACCCAGGCCAGAGTTGGAGCAGCACGGGTCTCTGAGAGTTAGTTCAAGACCCTTTCTTTGCTTGCTCAGGTACTTATTCCATTCAATTAATCTTGTGCAGAACAGAGGCTTCCAGAGAGTTCTCCTTTGGATCTACCAACAAAACAGAACTTTTGGTTTGCAGAACTAGGAAGAAAACATCATCACGAATGGAGGCTCCAGTGGCCTCTTTGTCCCTTTTAGAGTCTCTTACCTCCCAAAGAGCCCACATTCCTGCAGCTGAGGAGCAGAGACGTCTGAATGGAGTGTGAGCCCTTCAACCTCTTTCGAACAGCCAGGACTCTCTTAACTGGCATCTCCCTTTGGCAAGATGTTTGAAAATGCGGTGGGAGAGGAGAGAAAGTTTGGAAGGATGTTAATGAGAGAAAATGAGCTACCGAGAAGGGACCCTTTTCAGCAGAAGTTAGAGGGTGTAGAAGAATAATTGCAGAATATAAATATGCCTTAGAGTGTTAAGTAACAGGATTTTAGCCTCTCTCAAATCATAGGCATCTTCAGGCATTTCTGAGATGCTGTCAACACCCACTCATCACTATTTGTCTTTCCCGTGTTGTAGGGCAGTTGGAAAGTGATTTAATAATTATCTCTACTTCCTTACTAGATAGAAAAGTTTTATTGAAGCATAACATGAAATGTTAGATTCTCCACAAGGGTAACCTAATATAGTAGACAAGACAGAAAATTATGACTTGAGTTCTAATCTCACGTGGATCCTTTGTAAGTACTAGGACTATAGTCGCACGTATCCCTCTGGACTTTTGTTAAATCTATAAAATCATGTTGAAAGATTCCTCATAATTTCAACATTCTATAATTTTGAATTCTACAAAACTATAGAAGCAAAAACACAACGGGTCAATACTTTCAACTTAAAAATGGGTCCATTTGCCTTGTTTTTATGAAAAAAAAGTTTGGGACTCACTATAATTCAATTTTACCCATGGAATGAAAGGAATTGTGCTTATGTCTTTGTTTCTAACCTCTGGGTTATTATTTTCTTATGACTCATCAGACTAGTAAATGCACCAGAAAGATAAGATGATTTGATTTTTTTCCTATTTTGGATTTCTTGTCCTATATTCTTTTTAAAGATAGATGTATCTTGATTTGAGCTGATTCCAGACTACCACCAGGAATGTTGATTGAGTCTTAAAGGCAATGAATTTCAGTCTCAAAAAGGATGGATTCTAATTATTTCCAAACTGAGTCCCCTTTATTGTAGCTACTATGACTGGAGTTCAAGTTATTGGCCTTGTTGTTACCATGGTAATGATAGCTCACATTACTCAACCCAGAAGTAGGCAATTTCACCACATACTAAGTATGTTTTGGAGGTTAAAATACTCAAAAGAAAATGTGGCCTTTGAGACTGAGCTCTGGAAGATATATCTATTTTTCCTATATAATTTTCTACTTTAAATTAAAATATATTCAATCTATTGCCATGACTTCTTTCTCTAAGCAATACAAAGTAATTTATAGAAACTCAGTTTTGATTCTTACCTTTACTATAGAGAAGCTGTCTCTGTGAATTTCTTACATTCAAAAGGAAATATACTCTATTGGTTCAAGTGCTCACTACATGCAAAAACTCACATATAGTGCCTTAAGTGGATTATCTTATTATTAAATAAGATAATTTTGCAATAGACCCAGAAGATAGGTAATTTAAAAAATCATTTCCATATTACAAATAAAGGAGTTGAAGTACAGAGATTTTAATCAACTTGTCCAAGGTCACATAACTAGTAACTGGGGGTGTTGGGATTTGAACCCAGGAACTTTGTCACCACTGACCAGAGCCCATATACTTAACCACCTATAGCAATGCCTCTGGTTAAGGTCCAGCACCTGGCTGTCAATAGCTGGGATTCACCAAGAGCTCATACCTTTTGGCATCCTTTGGCCATGTGATACAGCATGGTAGTGACTTGGCAACAGAGTATATTTATTTATGGATTAATACTTCTTCTGAAAAAGACAAAGAGCCTAGTAATTTGTGTTTTGTGTATGAACTGTGGCTTTCCCTAATTAGAAAACTCTTATCATAAAAATTTTTCAAGACAGAAAATAGCTGGCTAGTGATCTTTATGCTATGTGTGTATGTTGCTTGAGGAGTTGGAGAACATGAAAAGAGAGAAGAGATGCTGAAGCTCTCCCCAGAGCCCAAATGCCCACCACATTTTGAGTAGCCTAAATTGTTCGTCTCTTCCCCATGTATTGAGCAGAAAGACAGGAGTTGGGAATGCTCCTGCAGGCACAGTGCTGGGCTTCAGGAGGCCTAAGTCCAATATCCAGCTCTGCAATAGTTGCATACATAACCGAAGATAAGTCACTGTACCTCTTTGAGCCTCAGCAAAATGGAGGATGGAATTGGCTGGTGTATAAGTACCTTTTTATCACTAACA
The DNA here is from genome assembly GCF_000001405.40 of Homo sapiens. Classification (NCBI taxonomy): domain Eukaryota; kingdom Metazoa; phylum Chordata; class Mammalia; order Primates; family Hominidae; genus Homo; species Homo sapiens. The sequence goes on from NC_000001.11 coordinate 162,974,866, forward strand.
ATCTCATTTGTGCTTTTAAATGCCCTCTTCCTTATAGTAAAGATGATGATGATGATGAATCTTGAGTGAGAACAGGATTGAAACTCTGGGCCTCTTCACCAGTTTCATTCCTGGCCTCTCTCAAAATACCTCTCTGTCTGTCTGGTCAGGCACACATATTTGCCTGTTGATGATAGTGTGGGCCTAATTGTTTCTCAGAACTTCTATGAGACTGGAGAAAACAGTTCTAGTAAGAACAGCAGTGAATTGGAAGCAAAAATTTTGTCCCAACTTGTAACTTTGGGTAAGCCCCTTCCTTCAACAAGGCTGATTCCTCCTGACTGTACAATAAGGAGTTTGATCATATGCTATCATGAGCTCTTTAGAAGGTTATCTTATGATAAACATATCTGTATTAAAAGTCCATGGAGGTACAAGAGATGTGTCTTTGCAAAATTTCTCTCTAGAAGTGTTGAAAAGGCTGGCTCTGACATCTCAGTTAACTGTCCCACTATTTGGATGTGGGGTATCAATAATCAATTACCTAAGAGACATATTTCAGAATAAGATGCATAGTTAGTCATTCCAGCCCCCTCATCTCTTATGTGTCCAATTTCTTCAGACTACTCACTTTTCTTACTTCTAACTCTTTCTGACTTGTGTTTGCCTTCTACATTGCCACCAATCCTCTTGCCTTAAATATAAATCTGATCACATTGCTTCCATAATTAAAATTGCTCAGTGATTCACTGAGTGATTTATTGTCTATAGGGTGGGTTCAAACCTTTTAACAAGGCAGAATGGGTCCCTCACCATCCACATTTACTTAGCTGTATCTCTTGCCATTGCTACTCTCTGTTTCACACTGAAATCGTCATCATTCTTGGAAACCATTGCTATTTATCACCTCTCTATATGTGTTACCTACACTAATTTTCCCATCTGTAAAATGAGAATGCAAATACCCACATTCTTTATGATTATAAACTTAGTAGAGATATAATATGTTATTACTTTAAGAGGTATGCTTAGAATTCCTTTTAGAGAGTGAGAGCTCTCATCGTTTAAGAAGCAGCTTATAATGGATGTGGTTAGTGTGAAGGTGAGGTTTTTGGAAACACCTTGGATGGGCTAGAGTGAAACTAGGGAGCTAAACTGCCTTACTTAAAAGGCAATCTCAAAATTAAGGGAGAATTAAGAGGCATTAAAATTAAATGCAACATGTGGACTTTTGTAATTGTGAAAATTTGGAGAGCAATTGGATATTTCATGACGTTAAGAAATCACTTTATTTTTAGACGCGGTAATATTTTTTGATGTCCTTATCTTTTAGAGATACATACTATATTGGTCAGGGTTCCTGAGAAAGACAGAACCAGTAGGATATACGTATGTAGATAAATAGATATGTGAAAGGGGACTTATTAGGAGAATTGGCTCATGCGATTATGGAGGCTGAGAAGTCCTGTGATAGGTCATCTGCAAGTTGGAAGCCCAGGGAAGCTGTTGGTGTTTCTCAGTCCAAGTATAAAGGCTTTTAAACCAGGAAAGTTAATGGAGTGACTCTCAATCTGAGGCTGAAGTCCTGAGAAGCCGGGAGCTGGTGCAAGTCCCAGAGTCCAAAGGCCAGAGAACCTGGAGTTCTGATGTCCAAGGGCAAGAGATAAAAGTACCCCAGCTTCAGGAGAGAGAGAGTGAATTCACCTTTCCTCTGCCTTTTTGTTTTATCTGGGCCCCTAGATACAACAAAACAACATTGGATGGTGCCCACCTACATTGAGGGCAGCTCTTGCCCACAGAGTTCACTGACTCACATGCCAATCTCCTCCAGAAACACCCTCACAGACACATCCAGAAATAATGCTTTACCAGCTGTCTAGGTATCTGTGTTAGCTAACCAGTGCTGTGTAACAAATTACCACACACTTAGAGGCTTAAAACAACACACATGGATTATCTCACAGTTTCTGTGGATCAGGTCTGAACATGCCTTAGCTGGGTTCTCTGCAAGGCTGTAATTAAAGCGTCCAACAGGGCTTGGGTCTTGTCCAAGGCTTAACTGAGGAAGGATCCACTTCCAAGCTCACGCAGTTGTTGGCAGAATTCAGTGCCTTGCAAGCTACCAGACTGAGGATCTTGGTTTCTTGCTGGCTGTCAGCTGAAGGCTGCCCTCGGTTCCTTGCCATATAGCCCTTTTAAATGGGATACTCACAACATGGCAGCTGGCTTTTTCCAATCAACAAGGGAGAGAATCTCCTAGAAGGATGGATATTACAGTCTTATGTACACACAATTGGTTGGGGGGAAGTCACACGTTCTGCCCACACTCATAAGGAGGGAACTACATAAAAATAGAAACACCAGAAAATAGGAATGGTGAGAATCACCTTACACTCTGTTCACCATACACACTGAATTTTTAATGAATGAAGTATTATTATTCCTGGGAATAATAATGTGTCTAGGATTTTCTTTAAAATGATCCAGTTATGGTAGGAAGTGAGAGACATTGATTTAAAATTTTAATCACACATTGGCCCTTGTTGAAGCTAAGTACCCGATTGATTGCACTCTTTTCTTTTGCATCTGTTTGCTAATTTTCATAATAAAATGCAAGGCAATATCAAATACATTATTTGGGAGAAGGAACTCAGAAACAGGAGGAGTTACAAGGAATATGAGCACCCTAAGAACCCTTGGAGATATTGAGAAGGACCCCAAGTTTCCTAATGTACATAAGAGGGACATTCAAGCCCATTTTTACTTAAATGTTAAAAGACAAGATGACTTCAAAAAGCTGGAGAACTTAGGGACAGTCAGGGGCTGACATTTAAGTTATACAAGGCTTAGAAGAACCACCTGGTATATGATAGGTGTTAATAGTGGGTCACTCTTGTTACTTCCTACAGGCTGCTATTGGAGGTATAGAAATAAGCCCACATGGGTCTTGTTCTTCTTGAAGACTCTGTCCTTGCTCTTTCTTTCTCTCTCTGCCAGCCTCCATATCATATATTATTTTCATGCCATCTGTAGGATCCACATGGCACTAAATCTATTGTAAAGACTTGGTATAATTGAGTCCATGTAAATATACCAATATAACAGAGGAAGTGCTTCCACTGCCCCATAAGTGACATTCAATTGTGCCCTCTTGATCTCTGACCTTCTCACTAAGATGTAAAGTACCAGAGATGAAGGTTAGTTGATCAACTAGTGATCAACTCTGGCCCTCCATGCTGCCCTCTCAGTCTCTGGAAGAACAACAGATGGGATCCAGATGGCCATGTTAGTCCACAGTGCTTTAATTAGTGGTACAGTCCTACCAGCAGAGGAGGAAATTTTATAGATATTCCTTAGAAGGCCAGTGTTAGGGGAGGGAGGAAAAGGAATGAAGCCTTGCCTCATCACAGAAATCCCTCTCAAATTAGCAAGAACACAAACATGGGTAATTAGAGGAAATGCATACTGGAGTGCTTGTTGTTATTCCCGTGGCCGCCTGTTAACTTGCGGCACTTATCTCATTAGCAGACGGTGAGAGAATACTCTGTCCCAGGGTCTTGCACATCCTGGAATTGATGTGCTTTCAGAAATGAACTGGGTGCCGAGAAACTGATCCAAACAGGAAGGAATCAGATGCATTCCGAATCAGAATCTCTGATGTGTTCCCATGTGGCTTCATTACTTAAGGTAACCAGAGAGTAAGCGGGTGGGAAACAAGGAGGCGGGGTCCTCATTTTAAGAAAAAATATCATCAAGAGCTCAAGGACTCTGGAAGTGAGTCAAATCCCATTGAAATCCCTAATTTGCACATTCAGATTAATCACATGTGAAAAAAATGGAACAGCAAATAGTCCACAATGACCTAGAAAGAATTATTTAATGACTTACTGTCTGCAAACTAAATGTTTAACTTGTGGATGGGAGGGAATTTGATAGAGATTTCACAGTATCCCCTATGGTCTTCTTTTTTTTTTTTTTGAGACGGAGTCTGGCTCTGTCGCCCAGGCTGGAGTGCAGTGGCGCGATCTCGGCTCACTGCAAGCTCCGCCTCCCGGGTTCACGCCATTCTCCTGCCTCAGCCTCCCGAGTAGCTGGGACTACAGGCGCTCTCCACAATGCCCTGCTAAGTTTTTGTATTTTTTTTTTAGTAGAGACGGGGGTTTCACCGTGTTAGCCAGGATGGTCTCGATCTCCTGACCTTGCGATGCCGCCCCCCTCCGCCTCCAGAAGTGCTGGGATTACAGGCGTGAGCCACCGCGCCCAGCCTTCCCTATTGTCTTCTTATCCCTCATCACACACACACACACACACACACACACACACACACACACACACACACTCTTTACTTTTTTCCCAGGTTCTCAGTGACTTCTTTGAATTGAGAAATTATGTATTTCTCTATTACTAAACAATCTATTAATTTCTAACTACTCATTTATTTCCACAAAGATGGATAGAGAGCTTGATATGTGCAAGTTACTCTGACAGGGGTTGGAAAACAAAGATGAATGAGACATTGACTCTGATTTTTAACAAGCTCATGGTCTAGGCAGAACTTAGAATTTACCATTTTTGTTTGTTTGTTTTTGAAGGTTTCAAATTTATTTCTTCAATAATGCCATATCTTAAGGGTATACAGTGCTTTCACTTGGCATTGATTATGAGGTATTTTTTTAAACAATTCAATACTATACCAGCTGGGATGATTACTGATCTCTCCATTTCTTTAGGGTGACTCTGCCAACAGTGGACAGGTTCCCTTTTATTGTGATTTGTGTTGCTACATATGTCCATACAGCAATACAGATAGTGTCTCCACTAGCTAATACAGCGTTACCGTCTTTATCATGAAAATCAGATATACGTTTCTGGTGGCTCTGCCTTGCCATTGTTTGCCAAATGCTTGGAACATGGAGATGACTTAGTGAATTTTTGACCAAGGGAAACATCGTGAAGGTGAAGATAGAACTGAGGAAATGCAGCTGCTGCTTTGGTGCAAATTCACTTCAGGTACCTTTGAAGAGTGCTGAAACACAAAAACCACTCACACTTTACTTTTTTTTTTTTTTTTTTTTCCTGGGACTGAGTCTTCCTCTGTTGCCCAGGCTGGAGCGCAGTGGCGTGATCTCAGCTCACTGCCATCTCCACCTCCCAGGTTCAAGCGATTCTCCTGCCTCAGCCTCCCAAGTAGCTGGGATTACAGGCACCCATCACCATGCCCAGCTAATTTTTTGTATTTTTAGTAGAGACAGTGTTTCACCATGCTGGCCAGGGTGGTTTAGAACTCCTGACCTCAAGTGATCCGTCTGCCTTGGCCTCTCAAACTGCTGGGATTACAGGCGTAAGCCACTGCACCCTGCCTTCAAACTTTACTTTTAAGGATAAAATAACATGCACCACCAAAATAATATTTGTTACTTATTGTGTGCCTACAGTAGATAAGGAACTCACATGTTGTCTCATTTAATCCCCAGATAGTCCTACAAAGTATTGATAAAATGATAAATGATTCCCATTTTACATATGAGGGAACAGTTATTGGTAGATTTGGGCAACAGTTCTAAGAACAATGGCTCTAATATAGTAAGTGCTTACATCTTAGTTGAAGGACATGCATGGGTAAGTCACCCAGCAAGTGAGCAAAGACTCTGAACTTGAATCCGGTTCTACCTTCCCGTGCTTGTTTTATTACCTGCCATTTTTTCTTACTCCATCATCTGAATGCTCAGGATAGATGAGGACTTAAACAAAAAGGGGAAAATGTCCCTAAAATTTTGGGCCATCCTATAGAAACATGTGAGCACTCATGCCCAGCAGAATCACCATACAGCCAATTGAGGTGACACTCTGAGCAGTGACTTAGTGGGATTCTTTTGCCGTAGGTTAACTAGAGTCTGAGGGGCATACAGCTGTGGAAAAGATGATTTAGTTAATCTGTAGTAAAATAGAACAGAATAGAAATATGCTGTCAGTCTATAAACACCTTCTCCAACTCCCTTAGCAAAGGGATTCCCTTCTTCCATACCCACCCCTCATATTACCCTTTAGTGATAAGTGTTTTCTTTTTGATTCCCTGATAATTGAAAGCAGTTTACTTGTTTGGATAAAATGTAAATATGTGGGAGCAGAGAGACAGCTACAGTATGCCCTGTTCAGGGACTCTCACATTATATAAAGTTCCTGGGCCTGAACCAGAGAGACTCATAATTCAGCCTCCACAGAAACCCTGCTCTGTGGTCAAGCAGCTCAGAACAATAAGCAGATGAAGCCAATGGAAGTCAAGATTATTTGTTGAGGGAGTCTAGGCTTTTCAGAGGCTTAGGTTTTAGCACCAAGCAGAACGTAAAGAGAAGAAAACTACAGAACGTGAGAGATCTGTTTTGGCCCTACCTATTTGTTTTCTTTTTCATTTTGGCTGTTGTTGGGCCCCTTAAGAGGTACCATTTTGGTTCCTTTTGGGTCTTGCTCTTTGCTGATGATTAGCAATGATATAAGGTGAAAGTTGGTAAGACTTAGGTCTCCCAGAGGTTTGGCATAGAAAAACTGAGAACAAAAGGCTTTGAGACCCAAAGAGTAAAACTCCAATAATGAACTAATAAGCATTAGGATAGATTTTTGGAACAAAGGATTTACCCAGCACTTCTTTAAGTCACACCATGAAATTGTCTGTTTGATTACAAAATCACCTTTCTCATAACTAATATTTTAAGCCCAGAGAAAGAGAGGCATGGATTAAGCAATGAACTCAGAGTCAAGACACCTACGTCTTTTCCAGACTCTGCTTCTAACTAGCCGTGTGTCTTAGGTGCTGTGAAACCTTAATTTTCTACTTTGTTAAGTGAGTATATTTGACTACATGCTCTAAAATGATCACATTCTCAAATGTTTGTTGTCAGAAGCAACTAATGGAAATGGAGGGTGTCTGGCTCTATCTTAAATTGTAACTGTGACAATTTGAAACCATCTCTTTTTAACATGCCTCAGTTTTCTCATCTGGAAAGTATGTCTTTTTAAAAATTCCTTCTTTCTATCCCTGGACTCTTAGTGGTGGACCTGTGTAGGGGAAGGCCCATAAGTCATCCTGACTTGGCTGACAGTTCTGTTAACAAGCAATCATACAGGTCTGGCAGTCCTCGCCACTCCTAGGTGCTCTACGTAAAAGAGTAAAGAGTTCTTGCCTGCAGTTCTGGAAGAACTGCCATTTCCCTAACCACACAGGAACATTTAATAGGAATCTAAGTGTTCTATTTGATAAAGACCAATTCAATTCCAGATGATTTTGACTACATAAGACTCCTCCCTATTGCATTAACAACAGCGTGTTCTGCCCTAGAAATCCTTTAATATCTACCTGAGACCATCAATTTTCAAATACGAGCTTGGATCAGAGCTCTGGCAGGGCAAATAGGAGAGACATGGTTTTGCATAAACAGGAGCTTATATTTGGGAAGAATACATTAACCTTTCCCAATGCAAATGATAAATGCTTTCCACAATCTTGTGACAGCCTGAGCCCTTAAAGGGGCAAGGGACAGTCATTGCCCCTCAAAGTATGCTCTGTGCTCTGCAAGATGACCTTAAGGCTAAAAAGGAAGGTTTCCATAATGCCATGTCACTGGGCCAATTTCATTTCTCCTTTTCATTAATGAAGAGTTTATCAGTTCACCAGCCTCAATAAGTCTTTCAGGAATTTTTTTTGAATTCAAAGATGGGGATTGTGCAAGACCTGCTTCTGGAGGGATTGTAAGAGAGCACCTAAATATGCTTATTAAGAAATAAAGAGGATACATTTCTTCTACAAAACTGGTAATAAAATAATTTCATGTAAATATGTATTTTTAAAAAATTAGCCCTTGATATATTCTGTTATGTTATTATTAAGATCCAAATAACCTGATGAACATAATTCTCAAATTCTGATGCAGTTAACTATTCCCTGTCAGCGGTAAGTGGATGATGCATACACTCATTTCCCCATTCTAAAAGGTTCATGTTATTAACTTTTCCTTTATGGACCTTTCCTCTTGACTCAGGGCAATGAAAAGTGAAGGACTTTTGTGGCATCTGACTACCAGGGTGATCTCCTTCATTTCAGAGCAGAGGGTGGTATGTAAGGGTGCTGGTATGTGTTCATTTTGGATGAGGGAGAGTTTCTAATTACTCACTTTTGAGTGTAAAAAATACAGACCAGAAATGAGTGACAACCATATTCGGACCATCAATGAATTCATATTAATGGAAGCACTAGGCTCAGGGAAGTTTCTCTTATCATATGTGACTACAGATTAGACCAGTGGCTCTCAAAATGTGGTCCCCAGACCAGACCAGCAGCATCAGCATTACCTAGGAACTTATTAAAAATGTAAACTCTCTGTCCCCACCTAGTGAGTCAGAAACTCTGTTGGTGGGGCCAACAATCTGTAGCTTAACAGGCCCTCCAAGTAATCCTGATGCATGCTAAAGCTTGAATTCTTATTCTTTTTGCTCTTCTGGTTTTTCACATCTATCTCGCTGTGCTCACTCCTTCTCATCGCAGTGGCTCATGCTACACAGCCAGGGTCAGTGGAAATCAGAAGTATTGGACTTCAGCCCTAGTTCCTTCTCTAACTAGCTCTAAATCTTTGAGAGAGATTATGCAAACTTCAGTTTCCTTAGCACAAAAAATAATATCATGATAACATCTGTTCTGCTGACCTTATAGACTCATATTAGATAAGTATCAAATAAGACACATGAAAGCATTTTAAACTGAAAGGGGTGAGAAAATGTATGGTAAGAATGATGCTAGTCATGGTTATTGTGTCTATGTTCTTCTTACACAAAGACTCAGATAAACCCTTCATAGGAAATCAGTCTACATGTATTATGCAGCGTATATTAATATTATTTAAAAGACAGTGCTAAAAACTAGGGAGTCTTGAGATAAAGAAGAGATATGACTCTTGCCTTAGCAGAATTTCAAAACTAGTTGGTGGGAGGCATTATAAGCACATATCATGTATCTTCAAAAGACCTACAACAACACATAATTATTGGGCAGATGGCATGTAGAATCAGGTGTGATTCATTCATTCCAACGTTGCAGCCTTCTTTGGGTCATAGACCCACCCTTTGAGAATCTCATTTTTAGAATTGTTTAGCACAATAATTCTAGGGATCCTTTACCTAGAAAAGTGCACCACCTATGCATTACGACTCAAAATATGTGTAAAAATACAATTTTTAGATATTGATAGACTCTCTTGAAATGTACTTACAGACTTCTAGATTAAGAACTCCCCTGGTTTTGGAGCAGATAAGAGACAATGATTAGCAAAAAGAAGGAAATTTGGTTTTCCCTGCAAGCTCTTTGAGAATCCTGTGGTTGGTAGTCTCTGGGCTTCTCTTGTGACTCACTTTAACCAACAATAATGGTGGAGTTAATATGGTGCCTGTTCAGGACTGAAGCCATAATAAGGTGCAGAAACTGTGCTTTTGTGGTTTTGGGAGCCCTAAGCTGCCATATAAGAAGTCTACCTTACTAGAGAGAACATCTAGAGAGGCCAAGTTAAGAGAGAAAGAGAGAGACTCAGTCCTACCAACAACCCAGATGAACCCAGCCCTGCCAAGGCATGTGAATGAGCCATCTTAAGTGTTCCCACCAGTGACGTCCCCAGATAACTATAGCCCCGGCAGACTCCATGTGGAGAAGAAATGTCCAGCTGGACACCCAGTCAATTCATAAAATCATGAGAGATAATAAAAACTATTCTTGTGTTAAGCCACTAAGTTTTGGGTGTGATTTGTTATGCAGCAGTAGATGTCAGAAACAAATGGCTAGAACAAAAATAAGAAATTGGGAATTAAATGAATTATGTTCCAAAAATAATGTGAAGATTAATGGGCCTAGAAGAGTCAACACAGAAATTTATGTGAGAAGTAGGATAGTAGAAATGAGGCATGCCAAGTTCATCCTAGGCTTTAAGAGTTACAGGAAATTACTGTGTTCTCAGGCATCTCTTGTATCTGGAAGCAGGATGTACGTCACTTTCTAATAGGCTTATCTTTTGGGTGAGGTGGAGTAAAGGGTATTAAGGGAGATGCAAAAACAATCACAGTCTACACTGATTCATATGTGAAACATGGAACACGGACCCAGGCTTGCTCTAGCCTAGGGAGAGCTTTGCTTTATGAGCACTGGGGAGGAAGGAAGCATCTGATACTTCTTTGGGTTCCCTATTGGTTCTCACTTGTTTATTCCTATAATTATCAGAAAAAGACCTTGCTTCTAGCTTTTAGAAAATGGGAGAAACATTCCTCTTTGGAGTAATTCACAAAGACATATTGATTGCCCCTGTTGGAGGCCTTGAAAGAGGATACAGGAAAGGTAAAGACTAGAGATCTATTCTTTCATTTGGAATGCAACTATCATCAGCTACTTTTGCAGGACAATGGAGCACTCCCAAAACTGGCACTCAAATTGGCCAATCTGAGCACATTACCAGGGCCAGCAATACGTGCAAATTTGAAATTGGAAAAGGGACAGTGCTTGGGATGGCATAAAACTAGGGACAAAGTCAGAAAGTCTTGGATGCCACTTCTAACATCGTGCCCCAACCACAGCTACTGAGAGCCTACGTGGAGTAATGGCAGAAGTCTTACTCTCAGAGACACTGGAGTTTTGTTCTGGTGCTATTATTAATCTTCAACAAGACATTAGCAAGTCACTTCTCTTCTCCAGGCTTCAGTCATCTTATTTGTAAAAGCATTAGACCACACTAATGCTTCTCAAACTTCAATGTGCAAACAAATCACCTAGGGATCTTGTTAAAGTGTAGATTCTGATATATTAGGTCTAGGGCAGGGTCTGAAATTCTGCATCACTGGCAAGCTTCTAGATTATGCCAGTGCTGCTGATGAGTGGATCATACTTTGAGTAGCAAGGGACCAACCAGCAGATTCCCTTAGGCCATCTTTCAGGTTCGTGATTCTGATTCCATTCTTTGACTCTCGAAATCATGAACACTCCATTTCCCTACTACCTCCTCTAAAACACAAATAATTCACCAAGTAAAGATGCTTATGAAGTTTCCAATGTTTGTCAGATGTTTGTCAAGCTTAAGAAACCAAGCTCTATACACTGACCACATGCAAATGTGTAGCTCTTACCCTGACCTACGTGGGCCCTGAGATGTGTGTCTTGTGAGAGAGGTAACATTTGGATTCTTTCCCAGGCAGCCAAACCATACCATGCAAAAAGAATTTGAATCTGGAAAAACAATGAAAAACTTTTCCTTTAGCAAATCAGCTCAGTAGAGCAGCACCCAACACTGCAAGTTATCCTCCTAGCAATTAGCATGCAAATGACTTTTGACACCCATTTGCTAATGTCAGCTTAATGCAGACATATGGGAGGATATTGAAGTAGAAAGCTACTGCCCTTTTAGATGACAGCAATTATTATTACATTTCCAGGAACTCCTTTCTGTGTTCCCATAGCAACTCAGATCAATTTAGCTTTACTGATACACTGAACAGGTTTAGTTTTGGAGAGGGAGTAGTTAAGGCCATCCTCAAGTAGAAATAAGTAGTTGGCCGCACAATCTGTCATTTCACCCCCACTTTCACCCTACTCACCTTGTATGAAATTCCCTCTTTATGGGAGTTGCAATGCTGCTTTTTAGTTCCGGCCAGACATATTTTAGTCTTATAAAAATATACATTTTTTATTCCAGAACCTTGCCGCCATTTCACCATCACTTTGGAAAGCTGCTAAGTTGTGTTAGTATAGACAGAATACAACTGTTTCTTCATTATCCTGTCACTTATTGAGCATGCAAATTTTCTATTTCATTTATTTGGAGCTTGAAGGATTTTCTTACCTGTGAGAGTTCCCGTTCCCAGTGTATATGCTCCTGTGAAGAGATTTATTGCATTACAGATAGCTCTAGACTGGAAGTCAGGATATTGTGGTCTCACTTGGGTTTCGTAACTGAGGAATGGTGATACCTTTCTGGAATCACTTCCTTCTTCTCGGCCTCCTGCAAAATGGAAACATAAGAATAGGTCTTGCTAGAGTATCTCCTTTCTGCTAGTAATATCTCTTAACTGTAAAACAGCAAATATTAGCATTTGGGATGGTGAGGTCAAGGTATGCATTCTCATGGATGAAGAAATGTAGAAAAAGATTCTGTACCATCTCCTCTGTCTTTCTCCATCTTTACCTCGCCCCTCTTTCTCTAACAAGAATTTCCTTCTACATTTCCAATTACACAGCAAAATTTCCATGTCTACTGACAGAAGCAGCTTAGCTTGGGAGGGAATGTATGGGGAAGAGGGGGTTACTGAAAGCCTATAGACCCCATACTGAACTGCCCTGTAGCATTTAGATGTTTGGAAAATCAGTTACTCAAATGTAGATTGGAGATGTTGAATGGTGTGAGTATGGGTATAGACCCCATCATGTGGGCTTCTTTGATCACTCATAGAACACCAGTTTTCCTGTCTGTTTTATTCCTGGCTCAGCCTAAACATAGGAGTAGCTATTTAACCTTTTTTTCCCCAAAATCTTAAATGGGTTTGTGCATCCTCTGGAAACCCAATTTTACTATTACCCTGTACTTGGCATCCATAATTTAAAACTGACATATAAGTTAGGCATCTCTTAATAAGGAATTCAGGCAGATTGAAAATCAAAATGATCTATTCCATTACAAATTTAGGCAGTATAATAACAGGATTCATCATTATCTCCTATATGCACATTTTTTTTCTGTTTTTATGTGTATCACTAGGCATAGCACAGTGAATAACCACCCCCCGACTTCCCTGCAGCACCCCTCATTAGTGTGAGGGAGTCCTGGGGGGTCTATGGCAACATATTTTATTTTCTCATTTGATCCTCACTTCAGCCTTTCAAAGCTGTGTTCTTTTCTTCAGCCCCAAGGGAATTCAGGGTACTCAAAAAACTAGGTCACAAATTGCATCCATCTCTTAGAAGAAAGGAGTGAAATGACATTGTTGTTCTCTCTGCTCCTCTTATCCAGAGATAACAGTGAATATGTGCTGCTTCAGAGGAATAATTATGAATGTGTGAAAATCTACTGTGATTCAATAACAGTGCACATTAGTCAAAAACCCTTTAGAGGAGCTGAAGCTTATAGTCTACCTAAAACCAAAAACCTCTAGACCTGGAGACTGAATGGATAATGAAATTTAATCACAGTCATCCTGTGAGTCAGAGGTGAATAAGCTTGCAGCCCTGGGAGTGATCCAGGTGCTTATGGCCTTGTCTCAGGCAAAGAGATCTCTTCAGTAGCTTTGCCGTGAGAAGGGCTTCTCCAGCTCCTCTCCCTCTCATGAATTTTTACCTATACCAGCACCATTCTCATCCCATGAAAATGAGATTCCAAGGAGCTCCTCCTCATATTGCAAATTAAGCACCTGGTAACCCTTGATATTTTGGATATATCTCAGTTCCCTGGCCCATATGTGGAGTCCTGGTTTAAGAAAAGTTTGCTATTTTGGAGAACTTCTTTGACTAATGAGGGTGAAGAAGGAAAAGGAGGGCAAAAATGTCTTACCTGCCTGGCCTATCTCCCTGGCCCTTTCTGGCCTTGAACAACAGATCTGCTACAGAGGCTTCTGAGCACAGAGCCCACTCATCGTCCCCCGCCACAGCTCTCAGTTACAGCCATACAGCCATCTTCATGATTAGCTCTGGACAACTATGTTCCTGTTTCTGAATGCCTTAAAGGGACCCTAGGAGAAGTTCAAGCAAGGTGGGGCACCCATGCATGGTGGCAAGATGTGTGGGTACTCTGAACTATGCTATCTGAAAAGCCAGGTTGCTGTTTGCTAGTAGGCAGCACAGGGTAGTGGACTCAGCAGAGCACACAGCTATGACAGTAGGCTTTGGAGAGTCAGGTAGAGAAGTGCATCATGACAAAATAGCCACCAGTTATACCTGTGTGTGTATGTCACTTATCCAAGATCACTAATTAGTGGCTGTGTTTATTCTAGTTAGAAAACCTCCTGAACTCACTACCCTATGAGATTTCCATTAGAACTTTAATTGCAATTGGCTTAGAGCATTCTAAAGCTGTTTTCAAAGCAAGACTTTGAAATCCCTTTGTCAGACCCTGTTCCTCCACCCCTAGACTGGATTCCCCAGGTGACACTAATGGGGAGTGAGGTAAAGGAAGGTGTCATTACAAGTTTCCCACCTCCAGGGGATGCTCTATCTTGGGAAAAGACCTGCAGAACCCTCTGAGGCACCTGGTGGATTTTAGATCAGGGACACTGCTGCCCCTCACATGCGTCCTATGAAAGGAGATAAAACGATTGATCTCAGTATCCTTTCCCATCCCCGGGGCATTGGGTCAAGGTTGTTTAAGGATCATGTGGTTTCCAAGTAGTTTAGAATTCCAGCTTATCTCTCCCCATTTCATCACTCAGCTTTAGAATGCTCTAAGCCAATTGCAATTAAAGTTCTAATGGAAATCTCATAAGGTAGTGAGTTCAGGAGGTTTTCTAACTAGAATAAACACAGCCACTACTTAGTGATCTTGGATAAGTCACATACTTTTTCTGCAGCGATCTATATACAATGTAAAGCCTGTAGGATTAAAACAGAAATAAAATCCTTAACACTTCTAATATCCTACGAGTGTAAATGATCATTCCCATGCAACCCCCTACAAACCCTCATCACCACCCCAAATTCAGCTCATCAGAAAGAATTAGCACATACTTAATATTTATTCCTCCTATTTTTTTCTCTTGAAGAATTGTGAAGTTATAGAACTTGAGAGTTGAAATGGGTCCCAGGAAGAAAATGGCAGTAGCTGTGCAGTGGATGTCTCCCTCGCTGTGTGAAGAAAATGTGTATCTCTAGATCAAAGAGGCAAGAGCCGGTCATCATTGCCAGTTTTCAGATCAGGAATTGGAGGACTTTAGAAGAAAGCACAGGTGCCTTCTTACCCCTAGGACAGGTTATGGCATTTTCCTCTGTCAACCACAGTCTCTTGTTGAGCTATTCCCCTAAACAGTGATTCCTTCTCCCCAACCTATATTCTCTTCTTTGCCCTGCTCCATCTAAAATCTGCTCTCAGGCCCTTCCCTGCACAAATTCTTCATTCCAACTAAAGTATATGCATTAAAATTGTACTCTATACTGAAGGCTTTGGAATTTAACCTCATTTCATGCCTAGGGAACACATTATAGGGGCAGATCCATATTTGAGCATAGGCTTCTCCACAGAAATCCTCCCTGCTCCAGCCACATCCTCCCCACTCCAGTCTTGCTGTGGATAGCACAGACAAACCATGTGTCCAATGTGGGATCCAAGTGAAAAGACAAAAGGACTCGATGTCACCTTTTTGGACCCATTCTCTTAAGCTGAGGGGACATTTCTAGACTTCTGTTAAATGTTATTTCTTTGGCACCTTCCACACTGAGAGTAAAGATGCTGACTTCAAGGTTCTACATTTTACAAAAAGCTAGAGATGTTCTTTTTAATCTCACTAAATGTGTATTTGAAGAGCCTCAAGAATTCACGTTTCTAAAGAGACACATTGCCCTCGTCCTGTCTCCTGTCCTGTGAGGTTTTACGTCAGCCCACCTTTATTGTCTTTGTGTGTCATCTGTCAGTGGGCTCTCTGGAGCCAAGATGAGGACACTCTTTTCAAGCACTTACCAAGCCTCCCTTCAAGCAATGGCATCAGTGGAAATTCTGTGAGAAAAAGAAGAAGGGTGACTTCTGGAGAGAACTAAGTGCAGTTCATGGCATTCGATGCTCATTATGAAAAGCCATCACAAGGTGCAGCACCCTGATTTTTTCAGTGTACCCCAAAGTATTAGGCTTTTCTTTCACTGTTCTCACAGTGTTTGTCATAGTTTATTGTCATAAACTTTACAGCCATGAACACTGGCATTATTCAGGGAGTTTTTCAACATTTTCCCTAATCTCATGACCATGGCTTCTGGTATTCTTATCCATTAATCACTGTGACTCCTTCACCATACCCGCTTATCTTATTTCAAGAGGGCAACGTAAAACACATATCCAACCTCAGATGTTCATTTATGTTAATACTTAATGGCCATTCCCCTTAAAAAATCCAGAAGGTATCATTCCAGCCCCCAAGGAACTCATACTCAGTAGCGGGAGGCTGACTAACATTTAAAAAATCCAGGCTGTGTGCAGTGGCTCACACCTGTAATCCTAGCACTCTGGGAGGCCAAGGCGGGAGGATTGCCTGAGCTCAGAAGTTTGAGACCAGTCTGGGAAACATGGTGAAACCCCATCTCTACTACAAAAAAAAAAAAAAAATTAGCCAGGTGTGGCGGCATGTGCCTGTAGTCCCAGCTACTCGGGAGGCTGAGGCAGGAGAATTCCTTGAACCCGGGAGGCGGAGGTTGCAGTGAACCAAGATTGAGTCGTCACTGCACTCCAGCCTGGGTGATGGAGCGAGACTCCATCTCTTAAAAACAAAAAAAACAAAAAACTGAAGTAATGTGGTGAGTGGAAATGGAGGCAGATACTATGTTATGCGAAGGCTAGAGGACAAATTAGTTAACTTCATGTGTGCAAATGTGGAGAGGTTCAAGAAGGAGAGTGGGGGGAGGCAAAGCAGGCAGAAATGGGAGTTAGAGAAAGCAGACAGGAGAGGTGGCCGTGGGAATTGAATTTTGAAGGTTAAACAAAAACTTGTTGAAGAATACTCCAGCTAGATCTCTGTAGCTGGAGAGATACTGGTACTGCAAACCAGAGGTACGGGTACTGCAAACAAGTTGAAACAGCATTGCAGATCTTCAGGAAACCACAAAAGGCCCAGCAGAGCTGGAGGGGGCTGTTTGGTGTGAGATGGAGTAGGGCAACAGGCGATCACCTGCCCCATGTGCGTGCTGTGGCGAGAAGACTGGAATCTCTATGAGGTATTAGGGGTCTCATTAAGCAGGTGAGCGAGAGATTTAGAAAGAAGAGTGGTGCTGACACACTTTAATGCTGTAACAAGGTTCCCCCAAATCAAGGGTTCTCAAAGGGTAGGCACTGGACCAGAGGCATTAGAATCATCTAGGACTTCTAGATATACCACCTCACAGCAGACTTGCTGAATCAGAAACGCCTGTGCTGGCACCCTTCAGGTGACTTCAGTGCATGTTCAGATTTGAGAGGCATTGGTCTAAATCAGTCAGCTCTTTGAAAAAGTTTAGTTGGGAAAGGCAAATAAGCAAGGCATTGGAGAGGTTAAATAGAACAAAGACCTCATTCTATTTGCTCAATTTTGGACCGAGTTACAGAATTCTGCCAGTAAGTGCTTTAAGAATAAAGCAAGAAGGCTTTATGAAGAAATGTTATTTGAACGATGGGTGCAATTTAGAAAGACAAAGTAGACAGGGAATATTTAGTAGATAAAGCCACAGGCCAATAGACAAGTAGATATTCAACAAATAAATAAATCAACACGTTTAACAAAAGTTGATGGAACCCCTATCTCGAGCAACCCTCTATCTCAGGTGCAAGAGAAGCATAGAATAAGACATGCCTTCAAAGAAATAAACCCATGAACAATTACTGAGACTCCTATAATTCTCTCTTGTGATTATTTATCCAGATGCAATGGAAATTTTATGGCTATTGCCTTCATTATTCCTGGGGATGAAATAGAATTAATTTAGGCCATGGAATCTTCGACTGCCTGTTCTTTCACCCAGGAGTTGTGGGGGGAGATGCGGGGTGGCAATGGAGGAGGCCCAAGCCATTCTCCATGTGAGAGTCCTTGCACGTGTGTGTTGCTGTTTAGCAGCAGCTGCTGCAAAGAAAATAATTATTTTCTTGAACTGGAAACCTATTTCCTCTAGGGATTAATCATGACAAAAGTAATCTAAATCTCGTTAAGACTACTTAATGATCAATCTTTCCCTCTGTTTTCCCTGACTATAGGGAAGTGAATTGCCCCAATCCTTCTCTATCACCCCCCTGCAGCCATGCCAATGCCTTACCTCTGTTATATTCAGCCATAGGGGAAGCTTATTCTCATAGAATCAGGGGTTGGCATGCAGTCACTAGCTATTCTTGGTGAGACTAGTGAAGATGAGTGAAGGAAAATATTGCAT
The DNA here is from genome assembly GCF_000001405.40 of Homo sapiens. NCBI lineage: Eukaryota > Metazoa > Chordata > Mammalia > Primates > Hominidae > Homo > Homo sapiens. The sequence continues at coordinate 162,992,945 of NC_000001.11, forward strand.
AGGTGAAATCTCATAGGCACAAATAGGTGTTTGTGAGAGTAACAATAAAAGAAAGTCATTCCCATACTCTAGTAGATGACTCATTTTCTCCTCATTTTTTTTTTTTCAAGGCGTTCTCTACAACGGTTAACCTAGTACCAAAAATCCTTCTCTTTTTTCTTGGACAAATCCTGTTCAAGTTAGCATGGCATTTACTACGTCCAAGACATTGTCCAGATGCTGTGGAAAATACAACCTCTAAGTAAACAAAACAGAACCTTGTTCCTAAGAAGCTTACCATACATTAAATGTAGAGGCTTATAAACAGACTAACCATAAACTGAGGCCAAATGAAATAATTAGTAAACATAAGTATAAAGGAATATGATTAGAGAAAAAGAAAGAAATGCCTTCTAATGCTAGGAAAATCTGAAGAAGACTTCCTGGAGGAGGTAGCATTTGAGTTGGCTTTGAAGAGATAGAGAAAATTTAAATGGGGTATAAGAAAGGAGAAAGGCATTCCAATTGGAGAGAATATGGAAAAGTCACAAAATCATGCAAATCTATGTATGTATAGTTAAAGTGTAGTAGTGTGACAAGATAACATAGCAGGAGGAAGTATAAAGAGAGAGATGAGGCATGGAATAGCAGTTGGGTTTTGATTGAGGAAGATCTGAAATACAATGGGTTTGTACTAAACTGGGAACAAGAGAGAGTCTTTTTCTTACTATTTGCTCCTGAGAATGTAAATTATGTTTTATGTTTTTGAACTGAAATGAAGAATTTGGGCTTTAGCACAGTACTCTTTGGTCCTATAAAATTCCATTTAGTCTATGGACCTCCTTCCAGCCCAAACATCCCAGTTTCTTTCCGTAATAAAAGGTATCTGATCTCCCCCTCAAAGAGCTTAGGGGAGAAACAGCTTAGGAATGGGGGCTTCTGTATCATTTTCCTATGCCTCTTACTACAGGAAAAATACTTCTTTTTGCTTCCTAATTCACTTCAGAGAAACAAACTCGTCTCCAGCTGTTGCAAAACAAGAATGTGATTCTTAGAAATGCAACCATTATAACAAAATTTTATTATGTGGCATTTGAGCAGTATCTGACCTTCCTTCTCATTTCTGTGAGCTGAGTCTCCAACCTTAGGGATTCATAGTCTCCATGTGACACTCTTTCCACATGTACGAGGTCTGGTTGCTAAGCCACAGAGACAGCACAACCTAATGCTGTTTTCGAAAGATCAATTATTGTTTATCCACTCTTGTATCTGTGTCCTTCTAAAATATAATACAAACAGATCCTTCTCTACCAGGATCTGTATGAGGGACAATCTGTCCCTGCTGACACACCCAGAGTAACATTAAAGTTGAGAGCAACTTTACATGGCAGAGTCAAGAGTCTTTTGAACTTACTAGAGAATGTACATTGCGTGTGGACCCCAATCTATATAAATTTGAGGGAAGCCCATGAGACAGTGTGGTTGTAATCAAATATGAATGGAGGTAGAAATCCTTAAAGGTGTTAAGATCAGAAAATACATGATGTCCTATTTTTTAAAAATATATATCATTACTTGGTGGTGGTGGTGGTGGTGGAGGTGTGTGTGTGCCAATGAATGGTGGTATAGTAAACAGACATAGAAAATTCTATCTTAGGAATGAGATCATGTCCTTTGCAGGGACATGGATGGAGGTGGAGGCCATTATCCTTAGCAAATTAACGCAGGAAAAGAAAACCAAATACCACATGTTCTCACTTATAAATGGGAGCTAAATAATGAGAACACATGGACACATAGAGGGGAATAACACACACTAGGGTCTTTCAGAGGGTAGAAGGTGGGAGGAGGGAAAGGATCAGGAAACATAACTAATGGGAACTTGGCTTAATACATGGGTGATGAAATTAATCTGTACAACAAACCCCCATGACATAAGTTTACCTATGTATCAAACCTGCACTTATACCTCTGAACTTAAAAGTTAAAAAAAAAGTGAAAAAAAATCTATTTTAGGAGGTTTTTCAAACAGTGGGTCTCAAACTTGTCTGAACATTAAAATCATCTGAGGAACTTTAATAAAGCCCTATGCCCAACCATATACTGAGAATGCCAAGTGAACACTGGTGCAGCCACTTCTGAAAAAAAGTTTGGCAATATCTACTAAAGCTGTCCCTGTGTGTCTCTGATAACTCAGCAATATCATTCCTAGGCATATACTCAAAAGAAATGCAAACATCTGTTTGCCAAAAGACACATACTGGAATGTTCATAGCAGCACTGTTATATAGGTCAAAACTAAGCCTAATCAAATGCCCATTGCTGTAATATTAAACAGTAGTGAGAATGAACTAAAACTGTATACATGAATATGGATGACTCTTAAAAACATAATGTTGAGTGAAAGAAGCCAGACACAAAAAAATGCATATTCTCTGATATTTAAGTAAAAAATTTAAAAGGTATAACTAACCAATGCTATTGGATGTCAGGATTGTGATTATCCTTGGAAGATGTAGAAACTGAAGGGAGAAAGGGAGCTTCTGAGGTGCTGGTAATGCTGTTTTCTGATTTGGGAGCTGGTTTCACAGATGTGTTCACTTTGTGACAATTCATTGAGTTGGACACTTGTGCCTTATTCACTTTTGATATGTATTATATTAACATGAAAAGTTGAAAATAATTCCAAAAAGCATTATATTGGCAACAGAATAAACACATAGACCAGTGGAACAGACTTGAGAATCCAGAAATAGGCCCACCAAATATAGTCAACTGATCTTCCACAAGTGAGCAAAGGCAATTCAGCGGAAAAAGGATAATCTATCTTTTCAACAAATGGTGCTGGAACAACTGAAAATCCATATTCTCCCAAAAAAGCATGTAGACTCAAACCTTACACCATTCAAAAAAATTAACTCAAAATGGATCATAGACCTAAATGTAAAATGCAAAACTATAACATTTCTAGAAGACAGCACAGGAGAAAATCTGGTGACCTTAGGCTTGGTGATAAATTTTTATGTACAACAGCAAATACATGATCCATGAAAGAAAAAAATTGATAAGCTGGACTTCATGAAAATTAAAATATTTTTGAGACACTGTTAAGAGAATGAAAAGACAAGAAACAGACTGAGGTAAAATACTTGCAAAACACATATCTGATAGAGGACTGGAATCCCAAATATACAGACTTTTAAAGCTCAACAATAGAAAAGCAAACCACCCTATTAAAAAATGGGCAAAAGATCTGAACAGATATTTCACCAAAAAGAATATACAGATGGAAAATTCACATAAAAAATCTTAATCATTAGACATCATTAGGGAATTGCAAAATAAAACAACAAGGAGAGACCACTATACACCTATTAGAATGTTTAAAATTCCCCAAACCTGGCAATATTAAATATTGGGAAGGAGCAGAGGAACAGGAACCCTTATTTGTTACAGAAAAGAATGCAAAATAAGTCAGCCATTAAGAAGACAGTTTGGCAGTTTTTTACAAAGTTAAGCATAGTCTTATGCAATCAAGTGATTGTGCTCCTAAATACTGACCCAGTTGAGTTTAAAACTTAGGTCCATGCAAATTCCTGGACATAAATGTTTATGGAAGCTTTGTGTATAATCATCCCAAACTGGAAGTAATGAATATGCCTTTTAATATGTGAACAGATAAACAAACTGTGGCAAATTCATACAATGGAATATTGTTCGGCAATAAAAAGAAGTGAGCTATCAAGACATGAAAATATATGGAAGAAACTTAAAGGCACATAGCTGAGTGAAAAAAGCCAGTCTTAAAAGGCTATATATTCATCCTGGCTAACAAGGTGAAACCCCGTCTCTACTAAAAATACAAAAAATTAGCCGGGCGCGGTGGCGGGCGCCTGTAGTCCCAGCTACTCGGGAGGCTGAGGCAGGAGAATGGCGTGAACCCGGGAAGCGGAGCTTGCGGTGAGCCGAGATTGCGCCACTGCAGTTCGCAGTCCGGCCTGGGCGACAGAGCGAGACTCCGTCTCAAAAAAAAAAAAAAAAAAAAAAAAGGCTATATATTATTCCAATTATATTACATTCTGGAAAATGGTGAATCTATAGAGATAGAAAAAAGATCAGTGGTTGCCAGGGATTTGGGAGGTGGGTGGCAGGTGATGGCAATGAATAGGTGAAGCACAGGGGATTTTTAGGGCAATAAAACTATTCTGTATGATACCGTAATATGGATACACGACATTATGCATTTGTCAAAATACATAGTACTATACAACATAAAGAGTGAACTTTAAAGTAACAAAAATTTTAAAAAATATTTAAGCGGTCTAGGATCACCTAGTAGACTGTGACAAGAGAATCTAACTGTATTATAAATATATGAAGCAACCTCACTAAAGAGGCTGTGGAAAAGGTGCTAACCTAAGTGACTTTAGGAATAAATGGAGTTTGTAAGACTAAAGGCAAAACTACAGATAAGCACTTTATTCTTGTTGATAAAACTGTTTCCTATTAAAGGTACAGGTTAAAAATTTTGATACCACTGTACATGTATACTTTGAATTAAACAATTAAGTAAATGGCCTATGGTGGGAGCCAGGTTTCTGACTGTTGGAATTGGAGGTTAAAGACAAGCAAAGTGGGGAGGCTAGAGTGATCCATATGTGAAAGAGCTCCCAATGTCCAAATATGGAATAATTTGAGCAAATTTTTTGAAAAAAATACTAGTGAATAGAGGAAAAGAGACAAATCTGTGCAGAATTCCAAATAAATTATGTGCTGAATTCCAAAGAAATTACTCCACCAGTGAGGAGAGGAAGCATAACTCCCCATTCCTTAAGTGTGGGATGATCATGTTAACATCCTTCCAAAGACAGTATGGACAGAGGGAACACATTTTACAATGGAGGAACCTGACAATCACTACTTTAGACAGGTCATCAATATCAACATCGACAGACATTTATCATGTTGACATTATACACCCTTAACAGATGAAAATGGCACTTTACCTCTGTAATCTTCCTCTTCAAAACCCATAACTCCAGTCTCACCATGAGGAAAACATCGGACCAATTCTAGTAGAAGGGCATCCTATAATATACAAGACCAATACTTCTCAAAACTGTAAACATTGTCAAAGACAAAGAAGGTCTGAGAAACTGTCTGAGCCAAGAATAGCCTAAGAATGCATGATGACTAAATACAATATGGTAACCTGGATGAGATCCTGGAACAAAAAAGAAAATTAAGTAAAAACTAAGAAAATTTGAATTAAGTATAAACTTTTGTTGTTAAAAACTGTGTCACCATTGATTTGTTAATTGCAACAAATGTAACTTATATAATATATTCATAATAGGGTAAACTGTCTGAAGGGAGTGATGGTATATCTGTACCATCTGTACCATGTATAACTCTGTACTAGTAGCTTAATATTTTTAATATGTTTGGTAAATCTAAATAACTCTAAAAATACAGTTTATTAAACATAATTTTTTAAAATAAAGTGTATTAATTTAAAAAATCTCAAAACTCAGGCTGTACCCTAGACAAATAAAATCTGAATTTCTGGTGTTGAGATCCAGGCACCAGTATTTTTTAAGCTCTGCAGGTGATTCCCGTGTGCAGCCATGGTTGAGAACAACTGAACTAAAATCAGTTTTGCTGCAGCAGAAGATCCCAAGACCCAGGTGATTCTTAAGTGTTTTTTGTTTGTTTGTTTTGTTTTGTTGTTGTTAGCTAACAGGCACCTTTGAAAATCCAATGAAATCTTTATATTCTCTTTACAGGGAGAAAAAAACGTATGTATGTATATCACCATATTTTGTATACATGAAGGGATCTAGAGGGCCTTGGAAGTACATCCATAGGCTCCCATATTCCTCAAGTAAAAAAAAAAAATCTGCTTTGGACTATGAACACTTTGAAGTCAAGAATTATAACTTATTCATCTTTGTATCTCTAGCACATTCCCTGGCACAGTAGATGGTCAATAGCCATTTGGTGAAGACAAGGTTTTCAGAATGGAGGGTGGAAGAGGAGAAGGGCAGCTAGGGGGAGGTAGATGAGAAGGGAAGAAGGCTTTGTCCAATAAATAGACTCGTTCAGTTATAACCTGTCAGGGTAGGGCAATAACCGAGGGCTGGCCAGAATGGGCCAAGATGCAGTGTTTGGTTATCTGGAGGGGTCTCAGAGATAAATAAAAGGAAACAGAAGGAAGAGGCAGACCTCATAGATCTGGGCAAGTGGAAGTACAGATGTTTGAATTTCAGAATAGCAACTCGAAGGAGATTCCAATGCAAGTGCAACCAAAGGCAGAAGCCACTAGTTCACAGCCCTGTATTGTGCTTCATTCTGAATGTGGTGGCTGTAAGACAGCAAGCATTAATTTTAGCTAGAAGGAGGTAAGATTACTACAAATGAATACTTCTGTTGGCAGAGGAGTCATAGGCCCCAGTATGGTGTTTGGCAAATAGTAGAATGATAAATATTTTTGAATAGAAGAATAAGTAAGTACAAAACATCCCTTTCTCTGTCCTTTGCCTACTAGTTTAACTGTCTAGTTTTATTGTATTTTTCTACCATAGGAGAACAAAAATATTTTTAAAAAGAGAAAGAAAGGCAGGCAGCAAGGAGAAAAAACATTTTTTAAAAAAAGAAAATTAAAATCCATGTAATGTCTGATATCTGTTCTGCTGTATGTGTAGATCTTTCCATATACCAACTCATTAGCCTTATTTTACAGGTGAGGAAAATGAGACCGAGAGTCCTTCTTACTTGACCAAGTTCACACAGCAAGATCACACATGGTAGAACCAATGTTAGAACCTAGGTGTATACTTGCTCATTCAATATGTACAATAATTGCAAAAGTTTCCATAGGTCTTATTATATATCAGGCACTATAAATGCTATGCATGTGTCAACTAATTTAAACCTAAGCAATATTATAAGGAAGGTACTATTATAGAAATCTCAGCCTTACAGGTAAGGGAACAGGAATAAAGAGATGTGAGGTAATGGCCCAAGGCCACACAGCCAATAATGGCTCACAATTTTGAATCCAGCACAGTCCATCTTCAGAGGCCATACTCTTAATTACCATGCTCAGCCTAGGGTGACCATACATCACGGCTTCTACAGGGAAGTCCCAGTTTATGTTTGTTGTCCTAGAACAACTGTTAATACCATGCTCTTCTACCTGCAAATGTGCTTGGTTTGGGCAATAATGATAGTCATCCTAGCTATAACTGGCTCTTTCAATTTGGCCCATTTTTACTGTAAAATGCCATCCCTTAATCCTAATGACCAGAGTGAGCTAACTTTTGGCTCTTTGGATAAAACAAAATTTGAACTAACCAGGAATACCATTTCTTGTAGCTACTAGCTCTCTGTGTTCTGCAAGTTGGGTGCATGTTTATGTCAGTAGACCAGTTGCGTTGGTCAAGAAATATTATTACACCCTTCATTGCGCAGCATGGCTGAGTTCTCAGACATGTAACCAAAATCTCAATGTCAGGTGTCCCTAAAAGAAATAATTCTAAAATAAAAGTTCTTTTATTCTAAACCCATGTTACATTTTTACCTAAGACTATAGTCAACTAAACTTGACACCTTTTTGTTTTGTGTGTAGCTATTGAGCTATTTTTTCTTTAGCATTCTGAAATTGTACAACTAGATTTTCAGCCAAACCAGAGGGGGAGGTTACCTGTATGTACAGTATATTTTCTCTTGTTATATTTGGACTATAATTAACAATTTGCTACGTTGGATATTACTCCAGCTTAAAGTATTAGAAAACTGTCAGATAATGTATTCACCTCTTTTCTCGCTTTGTAATTATTATTTTTATAAGCATGTCATTAACTTAATGTAATAATAAGATAATATTAATTATTCACATTCAACTTGAGAATAAAATTGTTAAATAAGATAATGGCTATACTGAATGTGTTCTGTTTGCCCCCATACTCTCCTTCTTCCCCTTGCTCTGTGCCCTGGGAGGCTGGCTCATTTGGGCTGCATCAACAGACTCCCTTGAGCTCTGACTTCCAGAGGGTTCTGCTCACTGCCTCCCATCGGAGGCACTTGCAAGAGACCTGAGGTCAGAGTGTTTATCCCTCTGGCTCCATCCCTGCCTTATTTCCAAGGCCAACGACTATAGCTCCTGTCAGCAGTCCTGCTTTAGGTGTGGGTAACCATCCCCTCCCCTTACCCTTTCAGGCCTTGGGTGGTGACAGAACCAGCTCTTTTTAGCCCCTGGGGCAGTGCTCTATTCTCTATTGGTTTACAAAAAAACTTGCGACATATTTGTAAATATCCCTTTATTAAACTCTCCTCAAATTACCCAGTTATTTATGCCATTTGTTTCTTTCTGGGAATCATTCTGATACAATGGCTAAGGCCAGAACCCTGAACAGACCACCAGATACATCCTCCTATATCCTAACCACACTCTAGGTTTAGGACCTCCAGTTCAGCCACCTATACAATCACCCAGCCCAGGTGAAGCTGATTTTCCTCTTGGCCCTGCTTTCTTTTCATTTTATTCCTTCTCCTTGTTGTGATGTCATTGCCTCAGCCATAACCATGCACTGAAGACCCTTTCTTCCTCGCTTTCCCTCAAGCCTCCTTATCAGTTCTTCACATGAAAGGTGATGTTTTCAAAACCATCATGTCACTTCAGTATTTAAACTCTTCCACAGGCTCCTGTGGTGCTTAACATCCAAACACCTTATTAGGTAATAAGGTCCTACAGGCCCTGGCTCCTGACTCCCTCTCCAGCCTCAGGACACAGTCCCATTGCTAACCTCTTGCAGCCACACTGCCCTTCTGTTCAGTTCTTCAAACAAGCTGACACTTTCCTGTCTTGGGTCTTTGCCCTTGCTAGTCCCTCTGTCTGGGATGTTTGTCTTACCTCCACTCTGTGCTGGGTGGCATCTTCTCATTCGTCATGTCCCAGGTTTAGTATCTTCTGAGTGTGGTCATTCGAGACCATGTTGTAAATAGTAACTATGCTGTATTACCTTCGAATGTTTGAAGTTTTATTTTAATCAGGGCATTAAAAGGAAGTTATGCTAGCACTAACAACATAATTTCTTCCTCTAGAATTTGTCTTTGTTTAAAAGGAAAGACAGACTTGAGTGTACATATTGGTTCCTCCACTTAAAAGCCATAATATCTTGGCCAATATTTTTCACTTTTATGAACCTTAGATGGAAAGCATTCAATACGAAGCATTTCAGTATCAGCCAAGTGTTATCAATATTTATCATACAGCAGGCATTAGGCTCTGAGAGTAGAACAGGACAGACACAGTTCCTGTTCTCCATCCTCCAGAATTTAGAGCATAATGGAGAGACAGACATGAATTCAGTAATCACTTGCATGAATAAATGTATGACTGGGCAAGTGTGCTAGATGCTGTGATGGAAAGACACAAGGAGTTACAAGAGTATATAGCTGGGTGCCTATTTTGAATTCTAAAACTGGTTGTATCAATTAACTATGGTTATGGAACACTTCATTCCTAAACTCGGTGTCATTTTCTTCACTTAATATTTTTTTAAATTGCCAGATAACATTGTATGTGTTTATCATGTACGACATGACATTTTGAAGTATATAAACATCGTGGGATGGTTAAATCTAATTAACATATATATTATCTAGCATAGTTGTCACTTTGTGGCGACATCACTCTCTTTGCATTGTTCAAGGATACAATATATTTATCTTTAACTATAGTCACCTTGCTGGGAAATAGATCTCTTGAATGTATTCCTCTTATCTATCAGAAATTTTGTATCCGTTGACCATATCTCCCCATCTCCCCATACTCACCCCAACCCCCAACCGTCCCAGCCTCTAGTAAGCATCATTCTACTCTACTTTTCTACATTTCACATATGAATAAAATCATTCAGCGTTTGTCTTTCTGTGCCTGGGTTATTTCGCCTAACATAATGTCCTCCAGGTTTATCCACATAGTCACAAGTGACAGAATTTACTTCTTTCTGATGGATGAATAGTATTCCCTTGTACATATATACCACATTTTCTTTATTCATTCATCCACTGATGGACACTTAAGTTGATTCCATATCTTGCCTATACTGCAATAAACATGCAAGTGCAGATATTTCTTTGATATACTGATTTCATTTCCCTTGGATATACACCCAGTAGTGGAATTGCTGGATCATATGGTAGTACTATTTTTAGTTTATTGAGGAACCTCACACTGTTTTCCACAATGGCTGTACTAATTTACATTCCCACCAATACACTAGTGTTCCCTTTCTCCACATCCTTGCCAACACTTGTTACTTTTTGTCTTTTCGACAATAGCCATTCTAGCTAGAGTGAGGTGATATCTCATTGTGGTTTTGATTTACATTTCCCTGATGATTAGTGATGGTGAGCACTTTTCCATTTCCTGTTGGCCACTTGTATGCCTTCTTCTGAGAAATGTTTATTCGAGTCCTTTACCCATTTTTTAATTGTGTTATTTGTTTTCTTGCTATTGAGTTGTTTGAATTTCTTATATATTTTGGATATTAACCCCTCATCAGATGTATAGTTTGCAAATGTTTTCTCTCATTCTGTAGGTTGTTTCTTCACTTTGTTGATTTTTTTCCTTGGCTGTGCAGAAGCTTTTTAGTTTGATATAATCCTGTTTTTCTATTTTTGCTTTTGTTGCCTGTGTTTTGAGGAGATATAAAAAATATCATTGCCCAGGCTAATGTCATGGGGCTTTCCCCCTATGTTTTCTTCTAGGAGTTTCATAGTTTCAGGCTTTACATTTTAGTCTTTAATCCATTTTGAATTGATTTTAGTATATCATGAGAGATAAGCGTCTAATTTCATTCTTCTGCATGTGAATGTCCAGTTTTCCTGACACATTTTGTTGAAGAGACTTCCCTTTCTGCATTGTGCTAACCTCCCATGTCTTGTAAGAAGAACCATTTATTACCTCTTACATGCTGCAGGTCAGTTGGAGTCCACTGATCCTGGCTGAGCTCTGCTGGTTGCCGTGACTAATTTTAGCAGAACTTTCTCTGGTGTCTGCTGGTCAACTAAGGGTTGGGTGGCCCAAGCTGGGCTCCACTGCTGTGGCTGTGCTCCACATGTTCTTCATGCTCCGTGGACCAGTGGGCTAGCCAAGGCATCTTCTTCTCATAGAGTTGGTACAGGTATCAGAGTCAAGCACAAACTCATTGTGATGGTTAATTTTAGGTGTCAACTTGGCTAGCCATGGTATCCAGTTTTTTGATCAAAAACTAGTACAACTGTTGCTGTAAAGATATTTTGTAGATTAACATTTACAATCTATTGACTTTAAGTACAGCTGATTACCCTGTGTGGGTGGGGTCTAAGAGCAAAGATTGATGTTTCCAGGAAAAGAAGGAATTTTGCCTCAAGACTATAATATAGAAATCCTGCTGGAGTCTCCAACTTGCTGTCTTGCCCTACAGATTTCAGACTAAGACTGCACCATCAACTCTTACCTGAATTTTCAGCCTGCTGGCCTGCTGAAAACATTTCAAGAATCACAGCTTCCACAATTAACTTCTTACAATCTCTGTCTCTTTCTATATATATGTATACGTGTCTGTGCACGTACACACACACACACACACACACACACACACACACACACAGTATTGGTTCTGTTTCTCTGGAAAACCCTGACTGACATATCCATTGAAATCTCTTAAGACCTGGGCTTGACCTAAAAAATTGTCACTATTAGACAAAGTAAGTCACATAGCTAAGCCCAAAGTCCAAGGCAGGGAACATTCTCTGCCCATGATGAGGACATAGACAGGGCACGGATGCAGAAGGGAGAAAATAATTTAGGTCAATAATGCACTCTATCATGCTAGGGAAGATTTTCTTTCTAAAGAAGCAACACTGAAGTTGACGCCTAAAAGATAAGTAGCAGTCAGTGCAGAGAAGAAAAGGAGAAGGAAAATCCAGGGAGAACACATGGGATAGAATGCAGGAAAGGCTCGAGGAGGGAAAGAGAGTGTATGTCAAGAGACTAGTAATTCTGAAGAAAGGTGGGAAATGATGCTGGAGAGAGAGAAAGGTACCAGATACCACAGAGCATGGTATCAGATGAAGAATTTCGGATTTTATTCTAACTGTAAATAGAAGCCATAAAAATGTTTTAAGTACAATAGTGATATGATAAATTTGCTTTTTGAAAATTATTACTCTAGCTGCTATATGGAAATTGTATAGCAGGAAATCATTATATTAAAATTATTTTTAAAGTTATTGCAATAGTTCAGGCAAGAGACAAATTTTTTGTGACTGGTTTAGTAGTAGTGAAGGAGAAAATGAAAATATGAGATACATGTTGCAGAAAAAATTAGTAGAAATTGGTAACTTCTGGAAGGAGATGTCATTTTCTGAGACAGAAAACATTACAGGAGAAACATGTTTGGGAGAGATTGATAAATGAAACGTTCATATAATTAGTAATAATTACTTAAGGGATAGGTTTCATTTTAATCAAGAATATCATTTATTTATAAGTGTTAAAAAAGAGGGGATACTAGCACACTACTAGGTTGAATAAAATCTCAAGCCTCCTTTCTCATTACTTAATGAAACTGGGTCTGGAAAATTACTTTTCATGTGCAATTTGATATCAGTTAATATAAGTGAGCCTAAGCTAATTTAATAATTTGTTGGTATGCATAATGAACTAGAATCTTATGTTATATAACTGTTTCAACAAAGTGATCCTATTTAAAGGCTATTAATAAAAGATGGTAGCACAATTGAAAAATACCTTTGCGAGGCTCCAAGGCAATGGACTTCAGTATGATCATTAACTCCAGATCTTTACAATGAGTTGTTCACAGCTGTTTCCATAACAGCCATTAAAATATTTACAACAAAAATGCTTTAAGGTAGGCAGGTGTCATTGAGTACATCCATTATTAACAAGGCTGGTAGCAAAACAAAAATGTAAAAAGTGCGAAAAGAAGAAATAGAATATCACTGTGTTTTCTGACAATCTCTGATTGCACACACTATCCATATGCTTTGCCCGATAAATAAATTTTCCCCAAGCTGCATGATTTCTTTTCTCTTTGTTTAGGAACTTTAAGAGATGTTAGCTAGTGAATAGAAATAGCATCATTATTTTTAGTTTAAATCTTGCTATTAATACATGTTTTGCACTGACATATTTTCATAAATATTCAACTTTGAAAATTTAGAAAAAATTCATGCATTTCCATTTATAGGAAGCGAACACCCAAGAGAAATTCCTACGCATAAAAATTAAAGAAGGAATAGATAAATAGGTAGATTTCAGTTTCGTGTGGGTGGGGAAACTGACTGGCAGTGGAGTGGCAGGCAGCTAGCTCTTAATGTTCTATTTCAAAGGCTTTGGAAGTCATAATTAAAAACAACAGATATGATCAAAATTTTCACATTTGACTACGGTACGTATTTATATATGCAACTTTCAGATTTTATTATTTTGAGATTTTGGAAATCCACAGTATTTCCAACAACGTAATGGAAGTACGATGTGAATACTTGCCTTTGGATAAAGAGGAAGCTGCCTAGCTCTTCTCACTTCTCCGAGTCTCTGTGGCAGCCATGATGGAGCTCCTCTCAGATCTTACTTCTAGAGAGAATGTGCCAAACGGAGGGCAGTCAGTTTACAGCCTGCAGCACCTTCAGGATCCATTGCAGTATTCAAGCCTAAGCCACAGTCTGCCTAAGCAGTGCTAACCAGTGCCTGCGCATAGTGGGTGTGTTAGTGATTGCTCATTTCTGTGCCATGTGGAAATTCTCTAAAGGATAATTTGCTCTGGAACCTCATTTTGGGCTGGCTGAGACCTCAAAGCTGTTTGAGCATCTTCCTACCCAATCTTCCTTCCTACCCTCTCTATTTTCATAGTATTGAAACTGCATTCTAGTCTGGAAAGTTCCTTGCTTCCTCTTTCTTATCTTTCACAAGGATTGTCCCCAATAATCTACTGGACTTTTATCTTCTTCTTGGCATCTGCTTCCTAAAGGACCTAAGCCGCACAATCCCTGATTTCTTTGGTGTCTGAATTCCCTCCTGTGTAATTCACTGTCACTAATGAAGCCCTGCCTTAAAGCCTGTATTGAGTTAACTTTATTTTCAAGACATATAAGTGACAAACATAAATAAGGCACTGTGCTGGGCATGATAGAAATACTAAGATGGTATGAAACGATATTACTTTTAAGAAGTCTATATAATTGTGGACAGCAAACACATGAGAAAAAAAAAAGAATAAAGATATCCAAAAGGGCCTTTGAAAATGCAGAAAACAGGCCGGGCGCGGTGGCTCACGCCTGTAATCCCAGCACTTTGGGAGGCAGAGGCGGGCGGATCATGAGGTCAGGAGATCGAGACCATCCTGGCTAACGCGGTGAAACCCCGCCTCTACTAAAAATACAAAAAATTAGCCGGGCGTGGTGGCGGGCGCCTGTGGTCCCGGCTACTCGGGAGGCTGAGGCAGGAGAATGGCGTGAACCCGGGAGGCGGAGCTTGCAGTGAGCCGAGGTCGCGCCACTGCACTCCAGCCTGGGCGACAGAGCGAGACTCCGTCTCAAAAAAAAAAAAAAAAAAAAAAAAAAAAAGAAAATGCAGAAAACACTTAGAATATCCTAGAAGAAAAGATGTCGAAGCTGAATCCCAAAGATAAGCAAGCGTTACGCAGGTAAAGAAAAGTGAGAAGGACATTCCAGGCACAACATGAGCAAAATTGCAACGTCCCGGAGCAGCATAGAGTATGAGGAGCATGAAGCATAGAGTGTTCAGGGCTAAGTATGTTCAGTGTCAAACATGTTCAGTGCTAAGCATGCCCAATACTAAGTATGTTCAGTGCTGAGCAGCATGGAGTGCTCAGTGCCAAGTGTGAGAGTGGTAGGAGATGGATAGTGAACTAGATGCCACAGGAAAGGGATGGGAGCACCATGTACCTGACCAAGAATACAGTACTTTGTCTCTAGGTCACAGGGAGTCACTGAGGGTTATTGACCAAGTAGATGCATGCACTTCCATTTTCAGGAAGACAGTACCCTAAAACTATATGATCAGATTGGAACTTTAGATAAATTACTCTGGCCATAGTGTGGAAAAAGGATTGACAGAGGGGCCTGATCAGAACCAGTGAAAACAGGTTAGCTTGGCCAGGTGTGGTGGCTCACGCCTGTAATCCCAACACTTTGGAAGGCTGAGGTGGGGGGATCACTTGAGGTCAGGGGTTCAAAACCAGCCTGACCAACATGGTAAAACCCCATCTCTACTAAAAAAGAAAAAAAAAATTAGCCAGACATGGTGGCATGCACCTGTAGTCCCAGCTACTCTGGATGCTGAGGCAGAAGAATCGCTTGAAACTGGGAGGCAGAGATTGCAGTGAGTTGAGATTGCACCACTGCACTCCAGCCTGGGAAACAAAGCAAGACTCAGTCTAAACCAAACCAAACCAAACCAAACCAAAACAAAACAAAAAACAAAGAAAACAAGTTAGCTGAAACATTCTTCCATATCCTGAGAAAACTTTAATTTTCTCCCAGGATTTCTGCAAATTCCTGAGCTTATGGTGGAAGGCTTGTATTTTCATGGCCGCCTCAGATTCTAAACTTCTGCTTTGATTAGATTAGTTAAGTTCATCAGCTGTCCTGATGTCCACACCCTGCTTTCTTCATTCTACATTGTATCCATCCAGACAGGCACTTAGTTTCCAGTTCACTTCCTGCCACCTCCATTCCCAAAGACTACTCCATATTCTCACCTTTCAACACATCCATGCCAACATGGCTTTTGGACATATAGAAAATTTTGCTTAAATATTTTTTTAGAAAGGGGGAGGGGAAGGATTTGAAGTGGAGCTACTTTCTTTCTTTCTTTCTTTCTTTATTATATACTTTAAGTTCTGGGGTACATGTGCAGAACGTGCAGTTTTGTTACATAAGTATACACGTGCCATGGTGGTTTGCTGCATCCATCAACCCGTCACGTATATTAGGTATTTCTCCTAATGCTATCCCTCCCCTAGCCCCCCACCCCCCGACAGGCGTGTGATGTTCCCCTCCCTGTGTCCATGTGTTCTCATTGTTCAACTCGAAGTGGAGCTACTTTCTTTGAGCAAATGAAAAAAAAAACTTCTTTTAAAAAATCCTCTGATTGACAGTTTCTTATGAAGGTAAAATACTCTTACCATTTGATCTAGCAATCACATGCCTGTTTACCCAATTGAGTGAGAAACTTCTGTCCGCACAAAAACGTGCACATGAATGTTTATAGCAGCTTTATTTAATAATCACACAAAACTGGAAGCAATCAAGATATCTTTCAGTAGGTGAATGGATAAACAAACTTGGTACATCATACAATGGGATATTATTCAATGCTAAAAAGAAATGAATTGTCAAGCCATGAAAAGACATGGAGGTGGCGGGGCATGGTGGCTCAAGCCTGTAATCCCAGCACATTAGGAAGCTGAGGCAGGCGGATCACCTGAGGTCAAGAGTTCGAGACCAGTCTGGCCAACATGGCAAAACCCCAACTCTACTAAAAATACAAAAATTAATTGGGTATGGTGGTGCACACCTGTAATCCCAGCTACTCGGGAAGCTGAGGCAGGAGAATCTCTTGAACCTGGAAGGCGGAGGTTGCAGTGAGCCAAGATCACGCCACTGCACTCCAGCCTGGGTGACAGAGCGAGACTCTGTCACACACACACACACACACAGACATGGCAGAAACTTGCTCACATATTGGTAAGTCAAAGAAGCCAGTCTGAAAAGGATATATACTGTATGATTCCAACTATATGACATTTTGGAAAAGATAAAACAATAGAGACAGTGAAAAGATCAGGTGTGAGGGGATGTGAGAGGGAGGGGAGAAATGAATAGGTAGAGCACAAGTGATTTTAGGACAGGGAAACTATTTCATGTGAAACTGTAATGGTGGATATATATCACTATGCATTTCTCAAAACCCATACAATGTACAACACAGAATAGAACTTTAATGTAAACTATGGAGTATAGTTAATAATCTTAAATATTGATTTATTAATTATAACAAATGTTACAAATGTCAGTCATTATTCTAGGTCAAAGTATTGAAAACAGGGAAAACTGCAGAGGTGGGAGATGGAGGGGATGGATATATGGAAGTATACATTCTATGTCCTCAGTTATCCTGTAAATCTGAAACTCTACTAAAATATCTCTTAATATTTTATAATAATCCACCTCCCATTTCTACCAACTTAGTAGCAGACTTTTCACCTGAAAAATTTTCATTTTGTTTGTCCTTGTATTTTCTGTTCTCCTTCTTGTTCATTTATCCTTAAAAGCAGCTTATTTACTTTAATCCTATCTCTTACCAAGCCACGCCCAAAGTTTTAGCTTCCTTCCCCACATATTTATCGGAGTATTTTCTTAAACTAAGATTGTTACTTCCTAACAAAAATATTGGTGCCAGCTGAAAAGATAATTTTTTTTCACCCTCCTACATATGTATGCTAACACTCTACCCTGACAAACTGACAAAGTGTGACTTTGATGGCTTAAGAACAAGTAATACTGGTTATGTCATCAAACGAGCAAAATTGGGAGATTGGATGATCAGACATAGTTTACCTATTTGAAGGTTTATTAAATGTTAAAAATTTTCTACCCCTTATTTCTTTTTTCCTTTCTGGTCGCCATTTTTTTCTCAGCAATATCCTTTTCATTCAGTTTGCTTTGAATAACAGTTAAGCTGTTCTGCCCATAGAGTAGCCATTCTTTATTCCGTTACTTTCTTAATAAACTTGCTTTCACATTAAAAAAAAAAAAAAAAAGAGGTCAGGCATGGTGGCTCACGCCCATAATCCCAGCACTTTCGGAAGCCAAGGCAGGTAGAGCACTGGAGCCCAGGAGTTCGAGACCAGCCTGGGCAACATAGCAAGACTCTGTCTCTATTTAAAAAGAAAACAAAAAGCTAAGATAATAGTCACTATAAGATTCCTTCAATAGATGCTTGACCATCTCCTCCATACCTCAATTAGTGTGGCTGTTCGATTAGTTTCTCTTGAGTTCAAAAAAATTTGTATATATATTTACTGACAAAACTGTATATTTTTATCATGTGAAGCATGATGTTTGGAGCTATGTATGGTAGACTCAATCAAGCAAATTAATGTATGCATTAATTCATATATTTGCCACTTTTTTATGGTGAGAACACTTAAAATCTACTCTCAGTGATTTTCAAAATACATTGTTATTTACTACAGTCATGATGTTGTACAATAAATCTCTTGAATCTATTTTTCTTATCTAACTGAAATTTTGTATCCTTTAACCAACATCTCCCAGTCTTGCACTCTTCCACCTGCAGTCCTTGATATTCACCATTCTACTTCTATGAGGTCAACTTTTTTAGATTCCACATATAAGTGGGGTCCTATAATATTTGTCTTTCTGTGCCTGGCTTATTTCTTTTTTTTTCTATTTTAAATTTCAATAGGTTTTTGGGGAGCTGGTGGTGTTTGGTTACATGAATAAGTTCTTTAGTGATGATCTCTAAGATTTTGGTGCGCCCATCACCTGAGCAGTGTACACTGTATCCAACGTGTAATCTTTTATCTCTCACCCCCACCCTTTCCTCTGAGTCCTCAAAGTTCATCATATCATTCTTATGCCTTTACATCCTCACAGCTAAGCTCCCACTTATGAGTGAGAGCATACGATTTTGGTTTGCCATTCCTGAGTTACTTCACTTAGAATAATGATCTCTGATTCCATCCAGGTTGCTACAAATGCCATTATTTCATTCCTTTTTGTGACTGAGTAGCATTCAATGGTGTGCGTGTATGTGTGTGTGTGTGTGTGTGTGTGTGTATATATATATATATATATATATATCTCACAATTTCTTTATCCCTCATCGATTGATAGGCATTTAGACTGGTTCCATATTTTTGCAATTGTAAATTGTGCTGCTATAGGCATGCATTTGCAAGTATCTTTTTCATATAATGACTTCTTTTCCTCTGGGTAGATAGATACCCAGTAGGGAGATTGCTGGGTTAAATGGTAGTTCTATTTTTAGTTCTTTAAGGAATCTCCACACTGTTTTCCATAGTGGTTGTACTAGTTTACATACCCACCAGCAGTGTGAAAGCGTTCCCTTTTCACCATATCCGTGCCAGTATCTATTATTTTTTGATTATGGCCATTCTTGCAGTGGTAAGGTGGTATTGCATTGTGGTTTTGATTTACATTTCACTGATCATTAGATGTCGAGTATTTTTTCATGTTTCTTGGCCAATTGTATATCTTCCTTTGAGAATTTTCTATTCATGTCCTTAGCCCGCTTTTTGATGGGATTGTTTGTTTGTTTGTTTTCTTCCTGATTTGTTGGCGTTCCTTGTAGATTCTGGATATTAGTCCTTTTGTCAGATGTATAGATTGTGAAGACTTTTTCCCACTCTGTGAGTTGTCTATTCTGCTGATTGTTTCTTTTGCTTTGCAGAAGCTTTTTAGTTTAATTAAGTCCCATCTATTTATTTTTGGTTTTGTTGCATTTGCTTTTGGGTTCTTGGTATGAAGCCTTTGCCTAAACCAATATCTAGAAGGGTTTTTTTCTGAAGTCATCTTCTTGAATTTTTATGGTTTCAGGTTTTAGATTTAGGTCCTTGATTCATCTTGAGTTGATTTTTGTATAAGGTGAGAGATGAGTATCCAGATTCATTCTTTTTTTTTTTTTTTTGAGGCAGAGTCTCCTTCTGTCGCCCAGGCTGGAGTGCAGTGGTGCGATCGCGCTCACTGCAAGCTCCACCTCCCTGGTTCACACCATTCTCCTGCCTCAGCCTCCCAAGCAGCTGGGACTACAGGCGCCTGCCACCACACCCGGCTAATTTTTTGTATTTTTAGTAGAGACGGGGTTTCACCATGTTAGCCGGGATGGTCTCGATCTCCTGACCTCGTGATCCACCCACCTTGGCCTCCCAAAGTGCTAGGATTACAGGCACGAGCCACCGCGCCTGGCCCAGATTCATTCTTCTACATGTGGCTTGCCAACTATCCCAGCACCATTTGTTGAATAGGGTGTCTTTTCCCCCATTTATGCTTTTGTTTGTTTTGCCAAAGATCAGTTGGCTGTAAGTATTTGGGTTTATTTCTGGGTTCTCTATTCTGTTCCATTGGTCTGTGTGCCTATTTTTATACCAGTACCATGCTGTTTTGGTGACTATGGCCTTATCAGATAGTTTGAAGTCAGGTAATGTGATGCCTCCAAATTTGTTCTTTTTGCTTAGTCTTGCTTTGGCCCTGAGTACTCTTTTTTGTTCCATACAGATTTTAGAATTGTTTTTTTCTATTTCTGTGAAGAATGATGGTGGTATTCTGATGGGAATTGCATTGAATTTTTAGATTGCTTTTGGCAGTATGGTCATTCTACCCATCCGTGAGCATGGGATGTGTTTTGATTTGTTTGCATTGTCTATGATTTATTTCAGCAGTGTTTGTAGTTTTCCTTGTAGAGGTCTTTCACCTCCTTGGTTAGGTATACTCCTAAATATTTTATTTTTGCAGCTATTGTAAAAGGGGCTGAGTTCCTGATTTGATTCTCAATTTGGTCACTGTTGGTGTATAGCACAGCTATTGATTTGTGTGTATTAATTTTGTATCCTGAAACTTTGTTGACTTCATGTATCAGTTCTAGGAGCTTTTTGGAGGTGGGGTGTCAAAAACCTTTATTTTGTCATATTACCAGAATTCTTATTCTGGTTCCTTCTCATTTGGGTAGACTATGTCAGAGAGAAGATCTGGGGCCCAAGAGCTGCTCTTCAGATTCTTTTGTCCCACAGGGTTCTCCCTTGATGTAGGTTCTCCCCCTTCCCCTAGTGATGTGGATTCCTGAGAGCTAAATTGTATGATTGTTATTTCTCTTCTAGATCTAGCCACCCAGCAGAGCTATTGGTTTCCGGGCTGGTACTGGCGGCTGTCTGCACAGTTCTGTGATGTCAACCATCTTCATTCAGGTCTCTCAGCCATGGATAGCAGCAGCTGCTCCAGTAGAGGTGGCAGGGGAGTGAAATGGACTCTGTGAGGGCCCTTAGTTGTGGTTTTATTTATTGAACTAGTTTCTTGTGGGTTGGCCTCCTGCCAGGAGGTAGCACTTTCAGGACAGCATCAGCTATGGTAGTATAGGGAGGATCAGGCCATGGGTGGGGGCCTAGAGCTCCCAAGAGATTATGTCCTTTGTCCTCGGGTGCCAGGTAGGTAGAGAAAGACCATCAGGTTGGGGGGACAGAGTTAGGCGTGTCTGAGCTCAGACCCTTTTTGGGTGGGGCCTGCTGCAGCCGCTGAGGGGGATGAGGGTGTGGTTAGGAGGCCAATGAAGTTATGTTCCCAGTGGGATTATGGCTGCCTTTGCTGTGTCATGCAGGTGGCCAGGGAAGTAGGGGGAAGTCAGCTGTTTACAAGCTTCACCCAGCTCCCACACAGCCCAAAAGGCTGGTTTCACTTCCACCATGCCCCCCACCCCAACAACACTGGGATTATTTCCAGGCAGTGGATGAGCAGGGCTGAAAACTTGCCCGAGGCCACCAGCCTCTTGGCTGAGAAATTAAGTAGGGGGCTTTCAGATTTTGCACCTCCCTTCCTGCTGTGGCTTCTGTGCTGTGTCTGCACTCCTGATTCAACCCCTCCACCGAGTTCTGTCCAGGAAACTCCATGTCTAGTCAAAATTATTACAAAGTTCAGTTGGAAGTTTCCTTTTCCCCATGGTCTTTCCCAGTGTTTCTGGCAAACCTCCCCAAGGACCTCTGCAAGACAAAGTCAGAAATGGCTTCCCTAAGGACAGAGAGAGCCCACAGGGCTCTTCCTGCTGCTTCCTCTACCCCTGAATTTTGCTTGGCTCTCAAAATTTGTCTCAGGTCCAGGTAAGGTCAAATCCTTTTCCCATGATCTGAACCTTCAGGTTCCCTATTGAGGGTGTGTTTTGGAGGGTAGACGATTCTCCTTTCACACTTTCACACTTTGGGCACTCACAGTTTTTTGGCTGTCTCCCAGGGCCTGCATGAGCAATTCACTTCTTTAAAAGGGTTTATGAATTCTCTTGGCTTTCCTGGTATGTTCCTGTGTTAGTTCTTGGAGCGAAAGTTCACGATGTGAGTCTCCACACGCTGCTCTGTCTGTCCGAGTGGTAACTGCACTCCTATCCACCGTTTTCCCCAATTTCTCCCCATTGGCTTATTTCATTTAAACATAATGTCTTTTAGGTTCATCCATGTTGCAACTACAAAGTTGTGCTTCTTTTTAAGCCTAGGTAGTATTCTATTTTGTGTGTGTGTGTGTGTGTGTACACACATTTCATATACACACACACATATATATATGGCACACTTTCTTTATCCATTCATCTCTTGATGGACAGTTAGATTGATTCTGTGTATTGGGTATTGTGAATAATGCTGCAGTGAATATGGGGATGCAGATATCTCTTCAACATGCTGATGTCTTTTGGATATATGCCTAGTAGTAGGATTTCTGGATCATATGGTAATCTATTTTTAGTTTTCTGAGGAACCTCCATACTGTCTTATATAATGCCTGTACTAATTTACATTCACACTAACAATATTCAAGAAGTCTTCTTCTTTTCACATCCTTGTCAATACTTCCTATCTTTCATCTTTTTTATAGTAGCCATTCTAACAGGTGTGAGGTGATGTCTCATGGTTTTAATTTGCATTTCCCTGATAATTAATGATGTTGAGCATTTTTTCATATAGCTGTTGGTCATTTGCTAGTCTTTTTTAGAGAAATGTCTATTTGGGTCCTTTGCTTGTTATCAGATTTTTTTTGTGTTGTTTAGTTGTTTGAGTTTCTTATATATTTTGAATATTAACTTTTCATCATCAGCAGTATGATTTGCAAACACTTTCTCCCATTCTGTAGGTTGTTTCTTCACTCAGTTGTTTGTCTTCTTTACTGTGCAGAAACTTTTTAGTTTGACGTAATCCCGTTTGTCTATTTTTGCTTTTGTTGTCTGTGCTTTTGAGGTCATAACCAAAGAAATTATTCTCCAGATTGATATCATAAAACTTTTCTTCTATGTTTCTTCTAGTAGTTTTACAGCTTCAGGTCTTATATTTCAGTCTGTAATCCATTTTGACTTAATTTTTGTATATAGTGTGAGATAAGGATCTAATTTTACTCTTCTTCATGAAGATATTCTGTTTTACCAAAACCAATGATTAAAAACACTGTTCTGTCTCCATTGTATGTTCTTGGCACCTTTCTTGCAAATTTATTGACTAAATTGATGTGTGTATTTATTTCTCAGTTTTATATTTTGCTCCATTGATCAATGTGTCTGTTTTTTTGCCAGTGCTATGCTGTTTTCATTACAATAGCTTTATAATATATTTTGAAATCAGGGGGTGTGATGCCTCCAGCTTTCTTCTTTTTGCTCAAAATTGTTTTGACTATTTGGGGGTCCTTTGTGATTCCATACAGAGTTTACAATTGTTTTCCTATTTCTGGGAAAAATGACATTGGAATTTTGATAAGGATTGCATTGAATCTGTAGATTGCTTTGGTCAGTATGAACATTTTAACAACAGTGATATATCTTTCCATTTATTTATGTCTTCCTCAATATTTTTCATCAGTGTCTTACAGTTTTCTTTCTTTCACCTCTCTGGTTAAATTTATTCCTAATTGCATTGAAAATATGGACTCTGAAAAAAAATTCCTATTTTATTTTCATAGCTATTGTGAATAGGATTGTGTCTTGATTTCATTGTCAAATAGATTGCTGTTAGTGTATAGAAATACCACTAATTTTTATATATGGACTTTGTAATCTGTAACTTTATGGAATTTATTTATTAGTTATAACAGCTTTTTGGTGGTATCTTTAGGTTTTTCTGCATGTAAGATCATATCATCTGCAAACAGCAACAATTTAACTTCGTTCCTTCCAATTTCGATGGGTTTTATTTCTTTCTCTTTTCTAATTGCTCTAAGACTTCTAGTGCTATGTTGAGTAGAAGTGGTAAGAGTGAACATCCTTGTCATGTTTCTGATCTTAAATAAAAAGCTTTCAACTTTTCACCATTGAGTATGATGTTAACTGCAGTTATGTCATACAAGGCCTTTATTGGATTAATAAATATTTCTTCTTATATCTAATTTGTTAAGAGTTGATATTGAATTTTGTCAAATTTTTTTTCTGAGGTGATCATATGGTTTTAGGTTTTGATTCTGTTAATATGGTTTACTGCATTTATAGAATTTTGTGTGCTGAACCATCTTTGCATCCCTCGAAAAATCCTACTTGATCATGCCGTATGATTCTTTGAAAGTGCTGTTGAATTTGGTTGCTAGTATTTTGTTGAGGATTTTTGCATCTATATTCATGAGGGATGTTGGCCTATAATTTTCTTTTCTTGTAGTGTCTTTGTTTAGCTTTGGTATCAGGGTATTGCTGGCCTCATAAAATGGGTTTAGAAGTATTCCCTCCACTTCATTTTTTTGGAGGAGTTTTTAAATGATTGTTGTTAGTTATTCTTTAAATGTTTAGTAGAACTCAACAGTGAAGCCATCAGTTCCTGGGATTTTCTTTGATGAGAAACTTTTTATTACTGATTTAATCTCCTTACATGTTGTAAGTCTGTCCAGATTTTTTTATTCTTCATGATTCAGTCTTTTATTTCTTCAGTATGTGTCTAGAAATTTATCCACGTCTTCTAGGTTATTCAATTTGTTATCATATAGTTGTGTATAGTAGTCTCTTAGGATCCATTGTATTTTTGTGGTACCAGTTATAATGTTTCTCTTTGATTTCTGATTTTATTTATCTGAGTTTTCTCTCTTTTTTCTTAGTAAAATGTTTTTACTAAAGGTTTGCCAAATTTGTTTACCTTTTCAAAAAACCAACTCTTAGTTTCATTGACCTTTTCTATTGTTTTTCTAGGCTTACTTTAATTCTGCTTGATCCTTATCGTTTATTTACTCTACTAACTTTGGACTTAGTTTGTTCTTTTTCTAGTCCCTTGAGGTCTAACATTGGATTGTTTATTTGAGATATTTATTCTTTTTGGTGTAGGCATTTATTGCTATAAACTTTCTTCTTCAACCTGCTTTCTTACATCCCATAAGTTTCAGTATGTTGTGTTTCCATTTTTAATTGTCTCAAGATATGTCTAATTTTCCTTTTAACTTCTTTGATTCATTTGTTGTTCAGGAGCATGCTGTTTAATTTCCATGTACTTGTGAATTTTCCAAAATTCCTCCTGTTATTATTTTTACTTTTATATTATTGTGGTCATAAAAGATTCTTGATATGATTTCAGTCTTTTTAAAATAAATATTAAATACACATTGCATTTTATTATTCAGAGTATCTATCTCATAGATTTGGTATAAAGATTGGATAAAATAAATTTGTGTAAAGTTCTTCACATAATAAATGCTCAATTGATGTATTTCTGTATTTTCAGGACACTTGCTTCCCCTCCCAAGGAAGCGGTTGTAAAAACATCCCAATTTAGTGCACGATCTATTTTTTATTTTAATTAAAGACACAATCTTGTTATGTTGCCTCCAAGCTGGCCTCAAAATCTTGGGCTCAAGTGATCCTCCCACCTCAGCCTCCTGAGCAGCTGAATAATGTTTTTAAAATAGCCTTTCCTTTATGAAAACCCAAAATAAACCCCATCTGTATACTATTTATCAATTTAACTGAGGTCTTTTCCACAAGAAACTTCCAGGTTAACGGTTGTTGGCCTGTTTTCTTTTTTCCCTAATGTAATATCCCATGGATATAATATTTCTCCTAAGAAGCCATGATTTGTTTCTTTAATGAAGGGGTTGTATGTGTTTAGTTGTAAAAATTTACACTAGCCAACAGAGACCTGCACTTAATGAGTTATTTAAAAAGAGATTGTTAGTGTTCTTTCATTATTACTAGCATACTATTACTATTACTATTTTTGAATCCTGGAAACCAGCTTAAATTAATAAAGGCCAAGTAATTGTCATTTTCTGTGTTGACTCTTTGTTATACTGGTTATTAAGCACATTGCCTGAGAATACTTACTCGCTATCAGATTTTCTCCTAGAATGGAGGACTCTATTATGCTGCGAACACTCATTATTTTAGACATTATGCTGAGAGAGAGCAGAGAAGGCATTTGGGGAGATTGCTTTCCCACATGCCATTGGATCATCTGATTATTGTTTTTTGCTTTATTGATCCATATAGACTCTCTTTGCAGGTGTGAACAGTTACTAAATTCAATAAAAATAAAATTAAAGGCCCCCTAAGAGCTAGAAAGATAAAAATAGAATATCTCATTTTGCTGGTCCTGGGAAGTGTCCCACTAACTTGTCTGCTATTTCATTCCCCACACCCTTCTCAAGTATGCTGCATATTCACAATAGTAAAGGCATGGAATCAACCTAAATGCCCATCAATGCTAGACTGGATAAAGAAAATATGCCACATTATACACCATGGAATACTTTGCAGCCATAAAAAAGGAGATCATGTCCTCTGCAGCAACATGGATGGAGCTGGAGGCCATTATCCTTAGCAAATAAAGGCAGGAACAGAAAACCAAATACCACATGTTCTCACTTATAAGTGGGAGCTAAATGATGAGAACACATGGACCAATGAGGGGGGGAGCAACAGACACTGGGGCCTACTGGAGACTGGAGGGTGGAAGATGGGATGAAGGAGAGGATTAGGAAAAATATTAATGGGTGCCAGGCTTAATACCTGGGTGATAAAATAATCTGTACAATAAACTCTCATGACACAAGTTTACCTATGTAGTAAACCTGCACATGTACCCCTGAACTTACAAGTTAAAAATAAAAATATTTTTGTATCATAAAAAATTATAGTATAGCGGAATTTTAAATTGAAAAAGATTCTTAGCAATTATCCAAACATGAATTCCAGAGAGATATTGTAATTTGCCTAGGGTAGGACACCTGGTAAGTGGAAAGGCTTGTGTGTTCTCATTAGCTCAATACTTTTTTCACCAACCACTCAACAGGTCATGTACCTGTTTGTTAATAAAATTGAGTTTTCACTCCTTGAAAGAGAAAAATGATTAAAGTCTCCATTAATATACTAACCTTTGGAAGATTCAAGAATCTCCAAATTCATTGCCATATATATGAAGAAGCTTGACTTCCTTTCTTAGCATATTCAGCAACACACACACATGCACACACACACATATGTACACATGTACACTACCAACTGGTTGAAGTGGTGATTTCAATATAGATGTTAATAAAAGTGATGGTGATGAAAGAAAGAAACTCGCAAACTCCCTTCAGTTATGCAATTCTATGAATTCCAGTCTATTCACATGATGATATACTCAAAACACTGTTACCCTCATCCACAGTATGACTTTCTTAACTTTTGTTTTACTTAAAAATTAGGATCATTTTGTTCATGGTTCATTTCAGTTTATGGTGATATGAATATTCTAGAAGGATTGTCAGCACTGACCACTCTGATGTGAGAATTGGAAAAATGAATGTCTTAAATATCATGCATTGGTAGTAAATGTTATTCTGGCATGATGAATTGTTTCCAGGAATTGAAATATGAGAGACTTGGTTTTGCTGGGAAGAAAGAACCCTCAATCTTAAATTTGTTAAGCCTTGTTTTTTGCCTAACTTATGATCTATTTTCAAGAATACACTTGAGAATAATATTATTCTGCAGCTGTTGGAGGGAATGTTCTATATATGTCTTTTAGAGCTATTTGGTTTAAAGTGTAGTTTGTGTTTAATGTTTCTTATGATGTGTCCATTGTTGAACATGAGATTTTGAAGTTCTCTATTATTATTGTATTATCGTCTACTTCTCCGCTCATAGCTATTTATATTTGCTTTATATATTTATTGCTGATGTTTGTGTGTATGTATATATAGATAGATAGATTAGATAGATATAATTGTTATATCCTCTTAATGAATTGACTTCTTTATTACTACATAATTATCTTCTTTGCCTCATTTGACAGTTTTTGACCTAAAGTCTATTTTATCTAATATAAGTATGGCTACCCTGCTCTTTTCTGGTCTCCATTTGAATGGACTATCATTTTCCATCTCTTCACTTTTAGTCTATGTGTGTCCTTAAAGGAGAAATTAGCCTCTTACAGGCAGCATACAGTTAGGTCTTTCGTTTTGTAAATGTATTCAGCCACTCTAGGTCTTTTGATTGGAAAAGTTAATTCATTTACATTCAAGGTAATTATTGTTAGATAAAAACTTAATACTGGCATTCTGTTAATTGTTTTCTGGTTGTTTTACAGATCTTTGTTCCTTTCTTCCCCTCTTGCTGTCTTCCTTTGTAACTGGGTGATTTTCTCTAGTGTTATGTTTTGATTCCTTTCTTTCGTCTTTTCTGTATCTAAGATAGATTTTTGTTTTGTGGTTACCATGAGGCTTCTATAAAATATCTTACAGTTAAAATATGCTATTTTTGTTCTCGTTTATTTGCGGGAGCTAAAAATTAAAATAACTGAACTGAGGAAGATAGAGAGTCAAAGGAGCCTGGGAAGGATAGTAGCTGGTGGGAATGGGAAGTGGAGATGGTTAGTGGGTTCAACAATAGTTAGAAAGAATGAATAAAACCTAGTATTTGATAATGCAACTGGGTTACTATAGTCAAAAATAATTTAATTGTACATTTTAAAATAACTACAAGGGTATAATTGGATTGTTTGTAACACAAAGGATAAATGCTTGAGGTGATGGAAACCCCATTTACCCTGATGTGATTACTACACATTTCATGCTTATATCAACACATCTCATGTAACCCATAAATATATACACCTATTATGTACACACAAAAATTTGAAAAATTAAAAAATAAATAAAAATAAAATATGCTCTTTTAAGCTGATAACACCTTAACTTTGATCACTTTTTAAAAACTTACACTTTTACTGTCCTCTACATTTTATTTTTTCAATGTCACAATTTAGACATTTTTATATGTATCCCTGAACAGTTACTATATGTATTATTTTTAATAGTTTTGTCTTTTAACCTTTATACTAAAGTGATTTACCCACAACCATTACAGTGTTAGAGTATTCTGAGTTTGACTTTGAAATTAATTTTCCCAGTGTTTTTTATGTTCATTTTTTCATTCATTCATTTATTACCTATTAGTGTCCTTTTCTTTCAGCTTGAAGAATTCCATTTAGCATTTCTTGTGAGATAGGTTTGGTGGTGATAAACTCTCTCAGCTTTTGTTTGTCAGGAAATGTCTTTAACTCTCCTTTCTGAAGGATAATTTTGCTAGGTACAGTATTCTGGGTTGGCAGGTTTTTTGGCTTTTGTTTTGTTTTGCTTTGCTTTTCCCTTCAACCCATTGAGTATATCATCCCATTCTCTCCTGTCCTGTAAAGCATCTGCTGATAAATTGGCTGCTAGCCTTATTGGAGCTCTGGTACATGTGATTTTCTCCTTTTCTCTTGTTGCTTTCAGGATCCTCTCCTTTTGTTTTCTGTTAGTTTGATTATAGTATGTCTTGCTGTAATCTTGTTTGGGTTGAATCTGATTAGAGACCTTTGACCTTCCTATAACTGGATATTTATATCTTCCAATTTGGAAAGTTTTCTGCTGTAATTTCTTTAAATAATCTTTTTACCTCTTTCACTCTTCCTTCACCCTCTTGAATTCCTATAACTGAAATATTTGCTTTTTTGATATTGTCCCTTAAATCCAGCAATATTTCTTTATTTTTTATTCTTTTTTCTCCTCTGACTGTATGTTTTCAAATAAACTGTCTTTGAGTTCACAGATTTTTCTGCTTGATCATTTCTGCTGTTGATGCTCTCTATTTTTCATTTCATTTATTATATTTTTCAGCTCCAGAATTTTTTTGATTTTTTTTTTTTAAAGATATTATTTTAATGTCTCCGACAAATTTTTTATTTTGGTTGTTCATTGTTTTCCTGATTTCACTGAAATGTTCTGTATTTTCTTGAAGTTTACCAAACTTCTTTAAAATATTTATTTTGAATTCTTTGTCAGGCTGTTCATTTATCCCAATTCTAAAGGTCAGCTGCTGAGAGATTATTGTATTCTTTTAGGGTTATTTATATCTCTTTGATTTTTCATGTTTCTTGTCTTATGTTGACTTCTACACATTTGAAGAAGTACAGACTGATTTCAGTCTTTGCAGACTGGAGTTGTCTGGGAAATCTCTTTACCAGTCATGTTGTTCAGAGATTCTGAGAAGGCTGTCTGGCATGGTTCATGGGCAAACTTGCTACTGGAGTCTTCAGGCAGGCTGGCCTGGTACCTGGGTCAGTAGGTGGATGAGACTAGCACCTGGATACACTAGGATAGATCTGTTAATTTGGTCCACATGGATGGGCCTGAAGCCTATATCTGTAGGGGCCAGCCTGATGCCTGGGTTTATGAGGGCTAATCTGGCACTGGGGTGGCCCCTGAACCTTAGTTGGCGGGGTGCAGCCAGATGGTGACATGGTATGGTGGGCTTGGCACCTGGGTTCACTGGGATGAGCTGGAGCCTGAATTCATGGGGGCTAGCCTGATGCTGGGATGAGCCTGGGGACTGAGTTCACAAAGTTAGGCCTGACTCCAAGGTTTGCAAGGGTGGCCCTGGGGCCTCAGTCTGTAGGGGCTGACCTGACACTAGGGTCTGCTGGGAGGGACTTGGACCTTGGGTTTGCTACAGAATACCTGTACTCTAAGTCTACTAGAGCATTGAATGGCAGGGGCTGGCCTGGAAAGTAGAGCTACAGGGACTAGCCTGACACTGGAAAGGCTTGGACCCTCTGTCTGTGCATTCTGGCCTAGTGCCTGAAGCCAGGGATCCCAACCTGGCACTAGGGTAGGCCCAAAGCCTGGGTCTATGTGTGCCAACATGGCCCTGGGCTGGTCTGAAACCTGGAGCAGGCTTAAAGCCAGGGGCCATAGGGGCTGGCTTGATAGTGGGTGGACCTGGATCCTATATCCACAGGGATTGTCCTGGAGTCTGGGTCCATGAGTGCTGGCCTGATGACTAGGGCTTTGGGAGGTAGCCTGGTGCTGGGGTGAGCTTGAAGCTTGGGCTAGGGCTGATCTGAAGCCTGAGACTGTTGGCTCTGCTCAGCAGAGCCCCACTCAGCAGTGGGGAAGGCCAGAGACCAAGTCTACTAGGCAGAGCCTGGAGCCTGAGGCCTTTGCAACAGCTTAATTTTATTTGCAATTGTCTTAAAAATCTGTTTTCTTTGGGGCTTGTCTTTAAACCCTCCTGTCAGGTATTTATATTCTTATTTGCTTTTAATATTTCCATTATCTTGAATTCTTAAATCTTTGCAGCATCTTGAATTCTTTAATTTCTTTGGATTCTGGAGCCTGAGGCTGCAAAATCCTGTCTGGCACCAGGAAAGGCCTGGAAGCTTAATCCTCTGGTACTGGCCTAGAGTCTGGGACCAGTGGTGGCCTGCATGGCACTGGGTTTACTAGGATGGGTCTGGTACTAGGCTCTGAGGCAACGTCTGATGCTCACTTCATTCTCATTTCCCCTCACAGAGGGTGTCTCTTTCTATGTGTGTTACCTGGAATTGAGGAAAGAGTCATTCAAACAATATAAAACTGTCCTTTCTACCATCTTCAATGTATCTCTTTATTTCTGTGCTACATCTAGGTACAGTAGTCTCTCACCTATTTCCTTTAGCTCTTATGAATGCATTTTTTTTGTGTGTGTGGATAGTTTTTCAAATTAATGTTTCTGTAGGGGACTGAGCATTGGAAAGTCTTATGCTGACATCTTGCTGACATCTTTCTCTAGTCACTTTTGTGTCTCCTTTTTTACAGAAAAGAGCATTCACACAGACACACTTCCACACAGCACAAAACATACACATTTCCACAATAATTCTTAAAACTTAACACATATTAATAATTCTCAAATTAACCATAGTCAGTGAGGCTAGAGGAGAGCAAGTCTGGGCCATCTTTTAGTAAAAGTTGAGTTTTGCAATAGTTTCATTTTATTTGCATTTGTCTTCAAACTCTGTTTTCTCTGAGGTTTGTCTTTAAACCCTCTTATTGGGTATTTAGATTCTTTTTTGCTTTTAATATTTCCACTATCTTGAATTCTTAAATCTTTACAGCATCTTGAATTCTTCAATTCCTTTGGATTAGTGATACGGTTTGGCTCTGTCCCCACCCAAATCTCATCTTGAATTGTAATCTCCACAATCCCCATGTGTCTAGGAAGAGACCTGGGGGGAGATGATTAGACCATGGGGGCAGTTTCCTCCATGCTGTTCTCATGATAGTGAGTGAGTTCTCATGAGATCTGATGGTTTTATAAGGGGCTCTTTCCCCTTCATTCCTTGCTTCTTCTCTCTCCTGCTGCCCTGTGAAGAGGTGTCTCCTGCCATGATTGTAAGTTTCTTGTGGCCTCCCTAACCATGCAGAACTGTGAATCAATTAAACCTCTTTCCTTTATAAATTACCTAGCCTCAGGCAGTTCTTTATAGCAGCGTGAAAACGAACTAATATAATTAGTATTCTGGTCATGTAGAAAACATGTTTTTACTTTGAACATAAGTTCAATATGTTACATTCTCTGGTCACATTTAGACAGTAATAAGCTTAGCCAAAAACATGGGCTGCTGAGGATACTGTATGCCTCGTTTGCTCATTCATAACATCAGAATGTTACCTAAAATTTCCAAGCAGGGTTCAACTAGTTCCCAGTATAGAATAATGATTATGCATGGAGTGCTTGTAGACTTATGATTTTGCAATGGCAATGAAAAGATGAAAGAATGGAGAAGGACAAACCCAAACCATGAAATGACAACAAAAGATATTTTACTAATGTATATCTAACAATCTTTAAATAATAAACAATGCGGTTCTGCTTTAAAATTCTTAATGAAAACCCTTAGCCAGTTGTGGATGAGGAAAATTCTGTGCTTTCTTCCTATATTGTTTTTCATTGCTTACAGGCCCTGAATTGCCTATTTCCTTTAATAAATCTATATATTGTCCATTGCAGACAACTATTTCTGCACTTCAAAGTAGCTCAAGTTCTAAGATTTTAAATAAAATGGCCCCATCGACTTGATTTCTGAGGAAGTTTTGCTGCTTACATTTTATAAAATGTAGGTCTCCAGTTGATTATTGTTTGGGGATGGTTTCTTTCTTCATTTACATAAACCTGAAACCCAAACTTGCTATTTTCCTCTAAATATGACAGGACTGCTACCTTTCTATTTTGCCAGGTACCACGTGTTCTTTCTCATTAATATCTTTTGCTTTGAGAGGAATGATCTACAGATCAATAAGGGTGAAAAGGCTTCCTTGCGTTTTGTTTCTTCATATGTAAAACAACTTTGTAGCTCTCTAATCTCTTGGCCTTGCTTTAATGATCCTTAGTTTTAGATCATCTAGTCATTCTCTCTGGTCCTGGTTCAATACAATTTGGTTCTTATTTCTTTTATCTTTTCAAGGAGAAAGCCCCTGGTGAGCCAGGTGGAATGTGATGGTGTAGATATGATTTTCCACTATCATCGATTAGATCAAGGATCTTGAGCAAGTTATTTAAATTCTCTGAGCTCAGTTTCTTCAATTTCAAAATGCTACAAATAATAGCTACTTGTCAAGGCTGTGAGAATTAAATGTGACAATAGTAAAGTATAATTAACAGATGCTAATTAAGCTTGAGGAGGTAATGTTAGAAGTGCACCACAAAGGCTTGATAAGTAAAGCTGGATATAGATTGATGGGGAGGGGGTCAGAGAGTGCCTTGTGACTGGTCAGATTTGAGTCATTATTAGTTATTTCAGTTTGGTCTAAGTTAGCATTTTCCTAAGTATCGACCACCCACACAAGATTAACCCCAATCATGTGTCTCTGTGTGTGTGTGTGTGTATATATGCATGTGTGCTTGCATGTATATACTTATATATTCCACATATATTCACATAATATATATCTATAAATACATACTCTGTATTCACTTTTATCGCATCCATTGAAATGATGTATTTATGTGTCACTTTCCCTCTGAGTTCCTTAACCTTACATCATTCATCTTATGTTCAATCCCTTGGAAATTGTAGTGGTTCAGTGAATGTTTGGGGAAAAAAAGTAAGGGAGAGAGACAGAAAGCCAGTAGAAGGAGAGAGAGGGAAAGAAAGGAGGATAAGTGGAATAGAATGGAATGAAAAGAACAAAATTGAATAAAATTAAATGGTATATTATAATCTGATGGTCAAGAATTTCTACTTTAAAGCCAGAGTATCTAATTTTAAATCGTACTGTGGCTGCCATGTAATAGCTATGTGGTTGGGGGAAAGTTATTTATTCTCCTCTTTCATCTCTGAAATGAGAAAAATAATAGTATGTACCTCATAGGGTAGTTATGAGGATTAAAGGAATTGAACATATAAAGCACTTAAAATAGTGCCTAGACTATAATACACACTCAATAACTTTTGACTATTATAATCTGTTCTTAAAGATTTAGTCCAGGAAGCAGCAGAGTATGTAGGATGAACATGGAATTTTTAATCAAATAAACTTAGTGTTGAATCTCGTGTTTGACAGTTACTATTGTAGGAGCAATTTTTGAACTCCTTAATTTTTTTCTAATAATTGTAAAAGTGTGGGGGATAATAATTAATAAACTACCACTAAGGTTTGATATGAATATTAAATAAGATAAAGTATGTAAAAATGCATAATAGACTTGGCACATTATAATGCTTCATTTTCTTAAGACATGTCATTATTCTTTCACTTATCCACCATTCCATTCTGATATTTAGGAACACTGACATCTAAAATTGCAGCAATTGATTTCCTTGTCTTGTCTACTTATAGCAGTGTATTAGTTTTCATGCATGCATTGATAGATATATTATTTTTCCACCTCAACAGGGAGGAGTAAGTGTGACATTATAATTTTTACCTATATTCATGGAGGCCCTTCTGTAATTAACAAGGACAGGGGAATTCACAGTGGAGCCATAAGAAAAAATAATTTAAGTCTATTCATTATGTTCTTATTTTTGCCTACATTGTCTAGGAAATCAGTCTCCAAATTGTTCAAAAAGCAGATGCTTAGATACTTCCCCAATGCTTACAACTCTAGCTTTCCATCAGTGTGGAGAAGCCTCTAGAAATTTCCAGAGAAGCTGTCACTCTTGAAATGGAAGCAGATACTGTCCTAGTTTTGGTGGGATTTGGACATGAGGGTGGTGGAAGGAAAAATAGTAAGAGAAAGGTGAAATCAAGTTAAAATAGAAACGAACAGTAAGGGTAACTCTGAAAAGCACAGGAGGTCATAGAGGCGTAGCTCGGGAAAGGGGATCTGACTGTGGAGGAAGGGGAACATTGTGAGAGGGACTATGTAGACTGTACATCGAGAGGAGTCCTAGCATTTTTCATATCATCTTAAGGACCCACATCTCTACTCCCAGCCTACGACAGCTGCTGGTCACTGGGTATGGAAAGTGCTTTTCCTAATAGCCTGCTTGTCTGGGCACTGAGAAGCTTCAGGCAGAACGATGAATGGTTTAAACAGAAGAGGGATATAATTGGGAAATAAAGAAAATCCACACCCTGGTTTTGCAAAAAACTAACAATAGACTTTGGGCAAGTTATTTAATCTCTTTGGATCCAATTTCCTCATCTCTGGGATGAAGAGATTGGAGTCCATGACCTCTAACGTTTCCTCCAGATTTGTGAGTCTTTGTTTCTAATGTATTTCTCTTATCCACCTACTCACATTACCTTCTAGATTTAGGATTTGTGGCATTTCCAACTTAATGGAGGGTATTTCTCATCTAGAGCCGTATACCCCAAAACTGGTTCCTAACTCCTTCTCTGGGAATGAAAGAGTTCTATCTATACCAAGTGGCCATTTCATAAGCTTATTTGGTCAGTCTTCAGTGATCTTAAAAAAAAAAAACAAGCAAACAATTTTTTTAAACCCCAAGAATTAAATTTTTGTTTATTTTAAGCTATTGTTTGGAATGAAGACCACCAAATCTTACTCCTTATGTTGTACCCAGTTTAAGGCAGTGGTTCTTACATATTAAAATATGCCTTTCAGATATTCAATATTTAAACAAATAAAAAACTTTTCTCTCTTCTTTTTTTCTCCCAATTAAAATGTGTTTTTTATTCTTGTTGACATCAAGCGAGTGGAATTTTTTCAAAAATATTTTCAAAAATCTGCCTCAGATATGAGATTTCCCTTCAAAAACTGGGACCAGGATAAATAAGTATGAGCAGCCAAAATAGAAAATGTTTTGCAAACTTAATTGCAGCATCTGCTAAATTACGCTGCAGGTGATAGAGATTCCTTTGCCCAGTATAGTCATAGCTGTTACCCTCCCACTGCCTCTGCTCTGATTAGACTTTCATCCTCCCACTTTGATTACCAGAACAGCCTTCTTGCTGGTTGCCCTGCCTCTAGTCTCCCTTGCTCCCAGCCACACTCTCTTTTGCTCCCACGTCACCTACCTAAATCTGTAGACTCCTATCACTGAGCATAAAGGCCTTAGAAAATGATCACGCAAAAATCACATACATCTTTTTCCCAAAACGTGGCAGTGAATCTAGAAAAAACAGCTGAGTCCTTACCACAATGTTTAGGATTCTACAAGATTCAATATGGAGCCGAAGCTAGCTTTCCAGGTGCCTTTCAAATTTTTCTCTAAAAGCCTTCACTCCCTGCTACATAGAGAATTCTTAAACCCCAAATCTATCATACACTATCTCATATATTAATCTTTTCCATTCCCAGAGCCCAGAATATTTTTTTTTCACCTGCATATAGTTTGCCTCTTCTTCAAAGCTTAGCTCAAATGCTTTATTTTCCAGAAAGCTTTCTTGATGGCCACAGATAAAACAATTGTTTATTGTTATTTATTTCCAAACCACATTGCTGTTTAGCACATATTTCATTCCAACTTGTCTTAGAATTGCTTTTATTCATTTTTTTCCTTACTTGAAAGTCAGTAAACTCCACACAATAAGGGTACGAGTATGCCACAATCATTTCCACATCCCATGGGACTTAGCGCAATGTCTGAAACATAGTGGAAGCTAAAAAAATATTGATTGAAATTTAAGGCTGTTCCTTAATTCCAACCCGCTTCCTCATCTCATTGCACTCATATTAAGAAAGCAGGAGAATGAGAAACAATAACAAACGGAGATTAGCAGGGACTCTCTTGGGTGGATTTAGGAAACAAACAGGGAAGATTTCTGGAGAGGAGCACTAAAGAGAAGACATTAGGGAAAATCATATCAGAACAACCGTGGTCCTGACAGGAGGTCTCAAAGCCAGAGAGATTAAAAGGCAAGTGTTGACCAAGCACCATGGCATTCCAAGGTTGAGAGAGAGATTTTAAGTAGTGTTGGTAATGTGTGGGTGTCCTAACGGGAATACTAGCCATACAGTGAACCTTGGCAGTCAAGTGGTGACAGAGAATATATGCTGAGTATGGTGTCAGGGAAGAGGTTGGGGAAAAAGTAAAGCCTCAACTAAGTAAATCGCAGTGGACGAAAGTCCTAGAAAACAAGCTGCGTTTGGTCAGGAAAAGCAAGTCAGAGGTCAACCTTACAAACAAGACTTGGCCCACACCATTTGAAAGTGGGAGACATAGAGGGCCAACCGTGTGGTCATACTCAAGACCTATCTTTATCACACTGGATAGTGTCTCTGGCCAGTGAGTTGAGGTTGCCATTGTATTATTTTCCTGGCCAAGATTTGCTTGAGTTACTTAGTGGGACAGAGCATAATGTAATAGGCTTTAGTGACTGCAGTTAGCGAATCTGAGGAAGGTAGGGACTGGTGGCGGTGATCAGCTCTGACTTCTTCCAAGGTGAATTATAAACTTAAATATCAATCTATCAGGTTTTAAATTGTCTTCTAAAACCTCCATGCAACAGCTATGGTGATAATAGAAAATTTTCCATTAAAAAAGTAGGAAGTACTAAGGATTGTGTTAAAAATTTAGACAGAATTTTCCACTTCTTAATCCACACTGCTCTACAGAATAGATATCTCAGCTCTATTGGCACCATTGCCCAGAGAAAGGAACAAATAAGGGATTTACTTTTCTGTGAATTTGTTGCCTGTATCACATCTGCTTATTTTGAGGCTTTTTGCCTTTCTCTTCTTGGAAATGACCTGAAGTTGCCCTGATATAGTTACTTAGCTTAGCTGAAAGGACAAGGGTAGCATTGTGTCTTGGCTTCATTGATTATCTGTGAACCTGCATAAATGTCTTAATCATGGCAAGATTAAGTTTCCTTATCTGAAGCATGTAGACAATACTTAACTCATAACATTGCTGTAAGGACAAAAATAAAATAAAATAAGATGATCTAGTTGCCATAATTGTGACTATTAATGATAAAGGCTCCATGAAATTCTGCTTTTAAGTAACCTATACAAGTAAGTATTTGACTACAGGATTCTTTTAAAATA
Organism: Homo sapiens; assembly: GCF_000001405.40. NCBI lineage: Eukaryota > Metazoa > Chordata > Mammalia > Primates > Hominidae > Homo > Homo sapiens. The sequence continues at coordinate 163,031,463 of NC_000001.11, forward strand.
ACACCTTTTTATACTTTGCATAACTAAAGTTTAATGCTCCATTTTTATATAATACAATTATTACCTTGCTAGCTTCCTAAGCCTCGGTTTTTATAACAGTGAAATGAAATTAGAAAGCCTAGCAGGCTTCTAGAATGTTAAAACTTGGCCTTGTAATTATTTCTTAATTCCATATTTTAGTAATTTCTCTTGTTCAGCCGATGACTAAAAATTTTTTTGAATACAGACAGGAATACAAGTTCCTTATATGCAATGTAGAAAATGTAGAAAAATAAAAAGAATGAAATTTAAATATCGTATATCCACTGTTAACATTTTTATGTACTTTTTATTATTTTTTATATTCCTACATATAAATATATTTTTACAAACATTCATTTGTATACCCTGCTTTCCCCATTCCTTAACAATTTTTCTACAATGTAACAGTCAATAAATGCAAATATTATATCATAAGAATGTAATTTAATCAATCATTTAATTGATTGTTCTCCTACTCTGCTCCTACTTTGGAGCAACTTTCCATTTTTACAAATAAATTCCAGATGTTACCTGGGATAATTTAGATAAGATTTTCTTGACTTCCTCTCCCCATTTTCACATCCTGTGGAAGTTACAAGCTGTTTCTCTATAGTGTTGGACAAATTTCTATGGAGATCACATTCTCATGGCCAGCTCTGGCTCTCTGCTGTTACAGATACCAAGCTAGCTTAATTTCTGGATAACTTTATTCTCTCCCCTCTTTTCACGCCTCCCCCTCTTCATGCCTTTAACACTGGCAAGGAGCTTAGGCCTCTTCTGGGATGCACACACAGACATGGTACACCCCTTCTGTTCCAATGTGTGATAGCAGATCTAGCTGAAGCTATGCTGGAGCTTCTTTAGTGTTCTTCCAGTGGTGTAGTTAAAACTGGCACTAATTTCAAATACATTTGTTTGCTAGATTATATGTCTTTGAATGCGACACCATGGTGAAATGAAGAGGGCCCATGAGGACTGGGTCTCTCTTTAAATTACATTTGAGATAGCCTTTTATAAATACAATTGTTTGGCAAAAGGCTATGATTTTTTTTTTTTTTTGAAATGGTGTTTCACTCTTGTTGCCCAGGCTGGAGTGCAATGGCGTGATCTTGACTCACTGCAACCTCTGCCTCCCGGGTTCAAGTGATTCTCCTGCCTCAGCCTCCCGACTGGCTGGGATTACAGGTGCCTGCCACCATGCCCAGCTAATTATTTTTGTATGTATTTTTTTTTTTTTTAGTAGAGATGGGATTTCACCATGTCGGCCAGGCTGGTCTTGAACTCCTGACCTCAGATGATCCACCCACCTTGGCCTCCCAAAGTGCTGGGATTTCAGGCATGAGCCACCGAGCCCGGCCAGCTATGAATATTTTTATGTCTATGGAAACATATTGCCAAGTTCCTTCCCATAAGTGTTATATTAATTTAGACTCCCACTAGCAGTGTATGAGACTGTCCATCTCACAGGCACTGACTCTTAAAATAAGCTGAAACTCCCACTACTTGTTTCCACACTTAGCCCTGTGAAAGTATTCACAATTCTCACAAGCAGGACTCATATATTTTTCCTTTGTGCACCCACTTCTCTGTGTACATAACTTGTGATAGAACTAATCATGGGGTATCAAAATTATTTGTACATCTAGCTGCTTCTTTAAACCAAATCTCTCAAGGTCAAGGTCAAGTCTTTCTCTCCTCTGTGACCTTAGCACAGAACATAAATGCTGACTGGAACTGGTCAGGTCTTCAGTGCACATTGTTGCTAGACATAGAAACTGATCTGATGAGTGTGAATCAACTACTTCTGAACTCTGAGAAGTACTCAGTCTACTTAAGGCCATTTCGCAGCACAGTTGTACTTTTCCTGTAAGTCCAAACCAGCATTCTCCCAGCCTTCCTGCAATACTTGGACTCACTTGCTTGGCTTTCTACCATTCTCTCTCACACCTACACACAAATCACATGCTGTTTCCTTTGCTTGGAATGTCCTTCCTCCCATTTTCCACATGACAATTTCCCCTTTATCCCTTAAGACTCAATTCAGAATGCACCCCAACATCCCCCAGGAAGAGTTAGTCTTTTTCTTTGCAGTTCAAGGCCTCATTGTTCATACAGCTCTTAGAGTATTTCCATATTATATTGAACTTATTAGTTTAATTGCCTTTCTTTTTCCATAGATGTGTGTTCTTAAAATTATAGGTCACAACTCATCAGTACCTTGAATTAATTTTAGTTATGGCATTCCACATTAAAAGGAAGAACAGAATAGAATACATAGAAAATATCAGAGTACATTTCATAGAGTAAGAATAAATGTTTCATAAAATTTTGAGTGTGTTGTGTGAGTAGGAAGTGTATGGGGCTGCAATACAAAATGTATTTTTTGAGTTTTATTTTTAATTGACAAATAATAATTGTATATATTTATGGGGTACAAGGTGATATTACAATACATGTGTACATTGTGGAATAATCAAATCAGGGTAATTAGCATATGCATCATCTCAAATATTTATCATTTTTTGTGGTGAGAACATTTAAAATTCTCCCTTTCAGCTGTTTCAAAATATTCAACACATTATTAATTATTAACTATATTCACCTTCTTCCTTTGGGTTGTGATTGAATTACTTAAAGGCAACTGCTCTATCTATGAGCTTTAAGGATAGGGATGCTGCCTTATAATCTTTGTATTCCTAGGTTCTTAGATAGAATCAATTCAAAAATTCTTTATGGTACAATGAAAGAATGAATGCAAGACTGAATGAATATACATAACTTGCCTTCAAGCCAGAGAAAGTTTCTTCCTTAAGATCAAAATACCAAGACTGGAGACTATATTTGACTATGCTTTAGTCATAGTTATAGAATGAAGTGCCAGCCAGAGATCCAATCACTTTAGCAAAACCAGTATCTTCAAACACACGACTGATTGGCATCAGCAATTCCATCAAATAACTGACCATTTTATGCTTTAGAATTTCAACTTTCCTATTGGTATTTGGAAAATCTATTAAAACTATATGTGAGAATCCCCAGCCATAGCACTGGACAGCAGCTCACTTAAGAAAGTTGGCTCTCCTGACACCCTGCCTTGGTGCAAATCCTAGCTTTGCTGCTTATTAACTTACCCTCTTTAAGCCTCTGTTATATCATCTCTAAAAGGAAGAAGAGAGTACCTACATCATGAGCCCCAAATGCTTATGTTAATAGTAACCACTCAATAAACGTTAGCTATTAGCGTGTCATAATAGCTAGTTGTGGCAGAGACTACTGATTGCTTGCTTAATATCAGTTCTCTCCTTCATCCTTACTAACAGAATATCATCTATATTTGGGGAAGCATTGTACCTAATTAAAATATTTCTCAGTCTTTGTTTAAAGTTTTTTATTTTTAATTATTATAGATATATACTAGTTGTGCATATTTGTGGGGTACATGTGATGTTTTGATGTGAGCATATAATGGGTAATGATCAAATCAGGGTAATTGGGTGTTGCCCTTTCCTTCTACCTTTCTTTATTCTGCCTGGAATTTGCATATGACGGCTGTAGCTGAAGCTACCATCATGGACCATTAGGCACTCTTGAGCATGAAAGCAATGTGCTAAAAATGGCGGATCAGAAATACAGAAGGAATTTTGAGTCTCTTCTTTTGAAACCAGCTCTGGACTATAATCCTTCAAATTTCTCTTACATGAGAGAAAAATTAAAATCCATCCTGTTTAAGCCACTGTTATTTTATTAAGTACACTGCTGGAACTAATTCTAAGTAATGTAGAACTCATAAATATTGGTGTTTTTTTCAGATTTTAAAACAATTTTAAAGTGAAAAATTTAACACTTAAATTAATACCCATTATGTGAAAGGTACTGAGATATATTTTTTTCTATTTAGCTCTCATAAGATTCTAGAGAGATGAAATTACTATTTTCCTTTATAGATGTTAGGAAAGTTGCAGTTCAGGTATTAAATAACATGAGCAAAAATATGTGACAAGCAGATCAAAGCCAGGTATGCCTAATTCAAAACCTCCTTTCTACCCAATAATAATTGAATATGCCTTAGGGAATACACACAGCTTATTTTCCTACTCAACAGATATCATTGAAAATACAGGGAACACAAATTATTTTTCTACTATAACCAACACAGATGAGTCATAGAATAGGATTTAAAAATCATGTGGATTTAAAGAAAACATGAGACACCAAGTTCAATTTGTAGGGAGGCACATCTAATGTTAGGAATTCTTAGGAAGTAAAAAGTTTGAGACGCACATTTTTCTACCACCTCCTGGGAACATAGGTGGTTGTCTTGACCCTCAAAGTTCCTTGAAAAATAATCAGCCTCCGGAGGTGGGTGGGACATTTCCATGGGTGATTTGCTGCTGAATCATCAGCCCATAATTCACTTACCTCCACTTCCGGCACTATCCTCATCCCTGGAGAATTTGCCTCCTCCTATCCATTTACCCTTCCTTGGCAATAGAAGTATCTTGACCTCAGTGTGGGAAATGCAGCTTCTGAAAAGCCTCAGTTTTGTCAGACAATGAGAGCTGATATTATCATCATTAGTAAGAGAAAGCAATGTGCAGCCTCATGGTTGGTGATGCTTCATCCTCAGATACTTTCTCAGCCTCCTGCCCTTCCTTCCATGGCTCTCTGCCACCTCTCACAGAGGTTTCCCTTTGTTTGATGGAAAGCAGGGGGGCCATTAAAGCCTGCCTTGGGAACATCAATGTGCTGCAGAAAAGCCTTGTTTCTGCCCAGAGGCAGCATGGTATAGAAGACAGAACCTGACTCACCTGTTACTGTGTCTCCTAAAAAGCAAATTACTTTTCAAAGCCAATGTTACAAAGTTACTATTAATTATTTTTATTATAAAAGTAATACATGCTACTATACAAAAATAAAAGTAAAAAGCAAAAAATAAAAAGTAAAAGTTAACCTTGCCCTCAAGGCCATTTCTATCTACTAGAAACATCCACACCCACATCTTACTATTGTCCATAAATTCACAAGTGTATATAAGTATATGCATAAGTGCTTTAGTGGGGAGTCTACTATATATATAATCCTGCCATTTTCTAGTTCACTTAACAATATATTTTGAGCATCTTTCCAAATCAGTCCATTGCCTTTTTCAATAACTTCTGTAACAGTTGTGAACTAGAATATCACAGACTGGGTAACTTATAAAGAACATATATTTATTTCTTACAGTGCTTGAAACTGGAAAGTCAAAGGTTAAGGAGCCCACATCCAGAAAGAGTTTTCTTGCTTTGTCATCCCGTGGTGGGTGGCAGAGGAGTAAGGGAGTGCACACAAGAAAGAGGGGAAAGAGGCTGAACTCATTCTTTTATCAGAAATCCACTCCTGTGATAACTCACCCACTTCCACCACAGTGACATTAACCTACCTATGAGGGCAGAGCCCTCATCCCTAGTCATGTCTTAAAAATCCTGCCTCTCAAGGCTGTTGTCTTGGAGATTAAGTTTCCAACACATGACCTTTGGGGGACACATTCAACCATAGCAGTATCTCATTGTATGGATACACCATAAATTATAAATTCATTTTCCATTGATAGAAACCTAGATTGTTTTCAGTTTGTTTTAAATTCACAAAAATATTTGCCAAATACTTGATAGAGTCAAGTTGTCTTCAACAAATAGCCAAAGAAAAAGAACCCCAAAGGAAAGCATATATTAGTTAAAAAGAAAAGACTCTAAGTGTCCAGCATATGTATTAAAAAGTTACTAAACCTCATGATTCATGAAATATAAACTAAAGAACCCTTGATGGGATGTCATTTTTACCCATCAAATTGGAAAAAAAATAAAGTATATAATAAACAATATTACCAGGGTGTGGGGAAAAGTCACAATCGATTTTGTGCAATCCTTTTTGAAGGGCAATTTGGTGGAATCTTGTCACAATTTTACATGAACATAGGCAGGAATATATAAATATATGTATGTGTGCACACATATATGTGTATATATATGCATGTGTGCACACATATATGTGTATATATATGCATGTGTGTACACATATATGTGTATATATATGCATGTGTGTACACATATATGTGTATATATGGGCATGTGTGTACACATATATGTGTATATATGTGCATGTGTGTACACATATATGTGTGTATATATGCATGTGTGTACACATATATGTGTGTATATATGCATGTGTGTACACATATATGTGTGTATATATGCATGTGTGTACACATATATGTGTGTATATATGCATGTGTGTACACATATATGTGTATATATGTATGTGTGTACACATATATGTGTATATATGTATGTGTGTGCACATATATGTGTATATATGTATGTGTGTGCATATATGTATATATGTATGTGTGTGCATATATGTATATATGTATGTGTGTGCATATATGTGTATATATGTATGTGTATACATATATGTGTACACACACACACATATTGACATTTATTGAAGTTTATAATTGGAATAGTTACCTAACAACTCTGAATTGTCATTGTCACATATGTAAGAAGAGAATAACAATACTTACATTGCCAGGTTGTTATTGTTAGAGATCATATACTTAAAGTTCTTGGAATGGTGCCTGAGCATAGCCAGGGTTTAGTAAGAGGCAGCTATCATGATTCTCAGGAAATCCAATTTCTTCTCATCTCAGCTGGAGACATAGATTTGGTGACTCCTTTACAATATCAGACTAGGGGGAAGCAGCATGAAACACAGGCATAGCCCCGTAAAGTCAGAAGTCTGGTCTCCTAACCCCGCCTTTGCCACTTGCCACTGTGGAGCCCTGGAGAAGTCACTTAACCCTATCAGATCTTCTTTTTCCTTTCTGTAAAATAAAGAAAGTAATACTTTACTACCATTTTGCAAGGTCCTTGCAAACAGAAATAAGTCTAGGTTTATATAAATTACTTAGTGAGATGATTTAAAAATACCACCCAGAAGGAACCTAGACAAATCACCTGTCAACTTCCACGAAATCACATTTGATCCTATCATTACTATTGGGTTTTGATGTATGAATGGGAGGTGCCATAGAACCATTAGCAATAGATGTTTATTTTTTTCCTGTCCATTTCCCAAAGTATTTTCCACAGTACTGACATTCCCTAGTATGTTAAAAGATACAAAGTAAGGAAGAAAAACATTAAAAACAACAACAACAAAAAAAATTAAAAAAAAACCTTTAGGCCAAAAGGGTATAAAAGACTTGACCAAATAAATTTAAACAGTCCTCCTTACTTTTCTTTAAGCAGACTTTTCACAATACTATTCTATGTGGTAAAACTCTTAGGGAGATATAATATGAGTCTTCAACTCATACTTGACTATAGATGCCTTTTGCATGAAACACCTCAAAGAGCTGAGTTCTGTTGAACTCAGGCAGCAAAAAGGCTGTTATGAAGCATCTTTCTAGAAAGATTTAGCTTTAAATTCTAACTCAAATATTTCTTCCAAAAGCCTGGTGTTGAGGGGGTACTATTTCAGAGGATCCAATGCTACCTGAGCATAAAATGTATAAAGGGCAATGTGGTTGATTGTACTGGGGCAAGATGAGATCCTTGAGCCGAGTCTTAAAGGATGAATAGATATTTGCCAAGTAGGCAAAATGGAACCATCTCCAAGAGTAATTATTTGACATAATTTAATGTGCAACAACATCCTCATCACTTTCTTCCAGATATTTCACAGTTGCAATCAGTGGAAATTATGTGACTAATTCAAGCCAATAAACATCATTGCATTCCAACTCATTGGGAAGAATAGGAATCATGAAAACACAGTCATCATCCTAAAGAAATTAATAATGTAATGATGAGAAAGGCATATAAAAATAACTCTAACAAGCAGAAAAAATCAATGTATGCTATTAATAGAGGTATAAGGTGTTATGGAAGCACAGAGGAAATAGTTTAACTTTGATTTATGAGAATGAGTTAGGGGAAGAATTCAGAGGAGGAGGTGGAGATAGATGCAACTGATCATTTCCCTAAATTGCTTTTATATGCAACTGAATTATTTTTCTCACTCCAGGCCAGGAGCTGAAGCCATAACAGACTGTTAAAGTAGAATGTATAAAGGCTGAATGAGGTTAGTCATATTTTATTACCCTTCAGATGACACATTTTTACCCTATACTTGCTTTTACTAAGACTCCATTGACAGGCAGGACTCACAGAGAAAACGTTACGGGAAGGACGAACTCTTTCTCATTAATATCTGGAATTTAAGATTAGTAAAAAGGAAGAGTTAGAGTGGCTTTAGAGTTCCCCATTTTAGTTTACTGTTGGGAAGGAAAGGGTTCCCTTCTATCAAGCTCACTTAATGTATCCAATTTTTAGAGGGTTTTATGCTTTACAAATTAGTTTTGATTACTCAGCAAGAACTTAATGCTACCTTCCTTGGGTTAGGAACAAGACAGACTCTTGAAGGATTGGTATGAGATTGAATTTATTCTGACCATCTGAGTTTATAGAGAGAAAACTGTGGTTCAGAGTTGATAAAGGATTTGACAGAGTACTGCCTTTAGACCCAAGAAACAGAGGGAAGAGGTCTTTTGTTGATTCAAAGGGCTCCACTATGGCCCTTTTCTGACTATGTTCCTCTGGGAATGGAGAATCTACAAGGTAGAGAAGGGCCCAGCTGGAACCTTCTATTTTGACCAAGCCATGAGTACCTGGAACCCTGGATTTCTTGCCCAAATGGTCCAAATCCTGCCTCCAGGGCCTACATAGGTTTCTTCAAAGTGTCTGTCCTTCTGAAAGTGGATGTCGCTGTAGATATGCATACCCCTAGGCCCAAAAGGTGGCCAATAGGTAGCTGTTTGCAGCAGGTGGGTATCTGCTTGGACTTGTGATCTGGGTGTTCACCTGCATGCCCTCAAGACCCCTTGTAGTCCATGGAGAAGAAAAGGGGGACAGGCTTCAGGGTGGGGGTAATGGCTGGCTCACCCCACACCCTCGTAGTCCAAGGTAGTTTTCTGAGGAGTAGAAGAATTTTAAATTTAATTCTGAATTGTCAAGATAGGATAATAGAACATATTCTATCTAATAGTTTGTTGGCTGGATGTTTTGAAAGTTTTGGGTTTAAGACCCCTTTATACTCTTAAACATTATTGAAGACCCCCAAAGAGCTTGTATATATGTGGGTAATATTTCTTTATATTTATCACATTAAAAAGCAGAATTAAATATGTTAAGTATTTATAATTTATTTATTTAAAAAGCAGTTAAGAACTTATAGTTGATATAAATAACATATTCTTATGAAAGATACTATATTTTTCAATACAAAAAGTTAGAAAGAAGAGTGGTATTGTTTTACATTTTTGCAACTTCATCACCTGATTTAAAGAAAGACAGTGGGTTTTTCTGTCCACTTCAGCATTCAATCTGTTGTGATACGTAGTCTTAATTGACATATTTGAAGAAAATCTGGCTTCACGCAGATACATAGTTGGAAAAAGAAGAAATATTTTTATAGCCTTTTTACATAATTATGTATATTCTTTTTTTTGCTTCCACACCAATACTGACAAATAGTAATTTCTTAAAGATGTTTCCCAATGTAAATTCTGAAACCATGTGAAATAAATTTTAATACTTGTTACATTATGCATTAATTAGTTGTTTGGTAAATATTGGTTCACTAAGTTACACAGATCTCCCAAACATTGATATATTTCCTTACACAATATTTCTTAAACAGCTTTATTGAGGTATGATTGACATGTAAAAAGTGGTACATATTTAAAGTGTACAACTTGATAAGTATGCTCCCATGAAACTATCACCACAATCTGTGACATAAACCTATCCATTACCTGTAAAATTTCTCCCACCTTTTTATTTATTATTAGTATTTGCATGTGTGTGATAAGAACACAACATAAGATCCACCCTCAGCATCTTTTAAGTATAAAATATAATATTAACTATAGGCAGTATATGGTACAGTAGATCTCTAGGACTTACTCAATTTGTACATCAGGAACTTCGTACCTTTTGACTAATATCTCCCTATTTTCCCTTTCCTCTGTCTCCTGACAACCACCATTTTACTTTCTGCTTCTGTGAGTTTGACTATTTTAGATTCTTCGTGTAAGTGGCATCATGTAATATTTGTTCTTCTGTATCTGGCTTATTTTACTTAACATAATATCCTTCAGGTTCATCCAAGTTGCCACAAGTGGCAGGATTTTCTTCTTCTTTTTAAGGCTAAATATTGTATGTGGATACTATATTTTCTTTATCCATTATTCTGTCAATGAACAATTGGTTGATTCCATATCTTGGCTGTTGTGAATAATGCTGCAATGAACATGGCAATGAAGATATATCTTTAAGCTTCTGATTTCAATTCCTTTTGATATACACCCAGAAGTGGGATTGCTGGATCATGTAGTAGTTCTATGTTTAATTTTTTAAAGAAACCTCCATATTGCTTTCCATAATGGCTGTGCTAATTTACATTCCCACCAACAGTGTACAAGGATTCCTTTTCTCCACATCCTCATAAACATTTATTATCTTTTGTTTTTTGATAATAGCCATTCTACAAAGTGTGAGGGGATACCTCATTGTGGTTTCCAATTGCATTTCCCTGATGACTAGTGATGTTTAACACCTTTTCATGTACCTGTTAACCATTTGTATGTCCTCTGTGGGGAATGTCTATTCAGTTTGTTTTGTCCATTTTTTAAATTGGGTTATTATTAATATTATTTTGCTATTGAGTTGCATGAGTTTCTTATATATTTTGGTATTAACCCTTTATCAGATATGTGGTTTGCAAATATTTTCTCTCACTCTATAAGTTGCCTTTTTATATTGTTGATTTTTTTCCTTTGCTACGTAGAAGCTTTTTAGTTTAATGTAACTTGTCTATTTTTGCTTTTGTTGCTTGTGCTTTTGGTGTCATGTCCAATAAATCATTGCCAAGACCAATGTCAGGAAGGTTTTCCCTATGTTTTCTCTTAGGAGTTTTATAGTTTCAGGTTTTATGTTTAAGTCTTTAATCCATTTTGAATTGATTTTTGTTTATGTTGTAAGGTTGTAAAATAAGGGTTTAATTTAATTTTATTTTTTCATGCGGATACAATTTTCCCAACACCATTTATTGAAGAGACTACTCTTTTTCCAGTATGTGTTCTTGGCACTCTTCTCAGAATTCGTGTCTGTATATGTGTAGGTTAGTTTATTTCTGGGCTTTTTATTCTGTTCCACTGGTATATTTGCCTGTTTTTATGTCTGTATCATACTGTTTTGATTACTGTTGCTTTGTAATCTATATTGAAATAAGGAAGTATGATGCCTTGAGCTTTGTTCTTCTTGCTCAAAATGGCTTTGGCTATATAGGATCTTTAGTAGTTCCTTTGATAGTTCCTAAAATCCTATAAATTTTAGGATTGTTGTTTCTATTTCTGTAAAAACTAGCATTGGGATTTTGATAGGGATTGCATTAAATCTGTAGATCACTTTAGGTAGTATGGATATTTTAATAATATCAATTTATCCAATCCATGAACACAGGATATCTTTGCATGTATTTGTGTCTGCTTTAATGTCTTTCATCAGTGTTTTTTAGTTTTTAGTGTATAAGCCTTTCATGTCTGTATTAATTTTATTTCTAAGTATTTATTCTTTTTGATGCTATTATAAATGAAGTTGTTTTCTTAATTTCCTTTTTGAATAATTCATTGTTAGGCAGTACAATATTTTAAAAATCCATTAATTGTTAAGTACCAACACTGAAAGAAAAGAAAACACTAATATAACCACTCATCTCATCAGAAAAGTCATTCAGTATAGGGAAGCTGACAAGCTCATGGTAACAGATACAAGTTTTCTAAAATTTTATTTTTACTAACAGGTCCAATTTTATCTTAGGCAACAAATACTATCAGTTGTTTTCTTTGAAGTGATAGGTTCATTTCGTTCATATTTGAGAAAATTTCCAACAAATACTCAAGTCTGAATTGCTATAGTTTGTCTGTCAGTCCTTTTTTCAGGTAAAAATGTTTCTTAAAAATGGGGGATGAGGAGTAGGTCACCCACCACTCAAGCAATTGCACAAGTGCTTTTCCTCCAGATAACATTGTATTTTAGGCTGCAGCAAAGTGCTTTATGAGAAGTTTCCATTTCATCTTACAGTGTATTTAAAAGATCTTACAGAATATTTTAAATACAAGAACTCAAAGATTAAGATTTAATAAAATTAATTTTACTATTTACTGTTTTTACCAAGGAAAATTTTTAGAGAAACCTTTTTATTTCTTTTCTGTGAGTAAAGGATATGACTACAAGAACAATTTAGTGCCTCAATTCATGCAAAAATATCAGCACTTTTATACTATATTTCTTTGCAAGCAGCAGTAGCAGTTTAAATGTCAACAGAGTTAAAAAGGACTCAGGGACCCCTAGGAGTCTGTGGACCAGAGGCTGATTTAGACACATAATATGTGTGCTGCCATTTGTATTTTTGCCTTAAGCCATGAAAATAAATGTTAGGGTTTGAGCCTGTTGCCAAAGGTGGCTTACAGAAAGTCAAAATCAACATATACAATATAATTAAATATACATATTTTTACTAATGTGTGTATTGTATGCATTAATAAATTATATGTGTACACATATATTGTATGAACATATACAATATAATTAAATAATAAGGATGTACTTTGCCATAGTATTGGTTATAAGCACAACTGAATTTAAAGAATAGCAATATCAGTATGGACTGGAGTATTTGAGAGAAAGTTCAAGAATAAATGAAACTTTATCTGGATCTTTGTAAAGATGAACAGATTTAGAAAAGTGAAAGAGCAAAGGGAATGAGAGGAAGAAGATAACTTTTATACTACATATATTAAGATTTCCCATCCTGTTTTCTCTCCCAAATTTCAACACCCCATGAGTATTTCCACTCAATGATGTTCAGACAACTCAATCTCAATTTGTCCAGAAGTAAAATCAGCATCCAGGACAGTTCCTAGAATGCTTCCCCTGTGTGCCTACCTAAGATCACTCAAAGCTTTGTGACTGGCTCTTACTTCCCGTTCCCTCTATTTTCTCTCCTTACCCTCCTCACTAATAAGATGCTATTTCCAAATAAGGATCAGATGTATGTCATTTTCTTACTTGTTTTCTGGCTTCGACTCTTATTCTCTTACTGCGGTTCTACCAGAGATATCATTCTAAAGCATAAAACCTGAAGGTGAACAAGGAACAAGTCTCTCTTTCTTCCCTCCCTCCCTTCCTTCCTTCCTTCCTTCCTTCCTTTCTTCCTTCCTTTTATTTTCTTTTGATGGAGACTCACTCTGTTGCCCAGGCTGGAGTGCAATGGCATGATCTTGGCTCTCTGCAACCTCCGCAGCCCAAGTTGAAGCAATTCTCCTGCCTCAGCCTCCCAGGTAGCTGGGATTACAGGTGCACACCACCACGCCCAGCTAATTTTTGTATTTTTAGTAGAGACAGGGTTTTGCCATGTTGGCTAGGCTGGTCTCAAGCTCCTGACCTCAGGTGATCAGCCCACATCAGTCTCCAAAAGTGTTGGGATTACAGGCATGAGCCACCATGCCCAGCCCATGTTTCTTAGCCTGCTGTGTCTGTTAGACAAACCCTGTAGACTAACCTGCTGCTCTACTCTTGCCTCATGATCTAAATGGTTCACCACTCTCTGAATACACATGCAGTTCAATGCCTTTTGCCTTCCCGTGGAATGCTTTCTGTCTGAAACATTTTTCTATTTAGCTTACACATTTGGAAACATCTGACTGTGTTTTAGAACTCAATGCAAGAGTCACATCCTTGGAGGCAAATCACCGACCATTATCTGAGCCCTCAACTGTCCCACTCCTGTGGAACCTTATTAATTTTCTTGACTCCTTGCTCCAACTAGACTGTGTGGTCTTCTTGATTTGAATATGATATCTGATTGGTCTTTGTAATCCCAGTACTACAGTAAGTTCTCAGCAACATTTTTAAAAGTAAATAAATAGTATCAAGTTCTTTTCTGATTTTCATGGGGCTAAAGGCTAAAGGGGCATCAGAATATCTAAAGGGCATGGAGGAGAGGATGGAAAACAAAGTTGGGAGACTTTTTAATGTTGCCAAATTTCCCATGGGTGTGCCCTTTATTTTAAGTGGGAAGATAGAGGTTTCAGTCCCGGAGCCATGTAAAAATTGAGAAGCACTGCCTTGAGCCTTTTGATACATAACAGTAAACTGAATGGATTAAGAATTTATTATAACTTCATTTTTTAAAATATAGTTCACTTTGCTCAGAGAACACTTGGTATTGAGGCATTCTTATATGGATGGGGTGAAATTTGAGGACTGGGGAGTGATAGCAGATATTGAGATATATGGGGGGATATGCTTGATGGTCCAGGTTGATTTTTTAAAGTAAGATGTCAACTTCCCCTTAAGAAAGTTAATAAATTGTACAAAGAAGAATTAGTGATTAATTACACAGAATAAATGAGGTGAGAGTATATTTAGGGCAATAATGAAAGACAAATACCATGTTGCTAACTACCATCAAGTTCCGGGTTAGAGCCTAAGTTGAAGAATCAGTTTTGCATGATGCTGTTAAGTGTTAGTCCTAATTTTTAGATAGAGAAACAGGCTTAGAAGAGGAAGGGAACTTGTTAAAGGTCATGTGGTAAATTCATGGCAGCTCCAACACAGTCCAAATTCTTAGACTGGAGTCCATTCCAATGTGCTTTACTGTTCCCTTAGTCACTGCACTGTGCTTTCTGACAAGCTAGAGCCCCACGAGTCATGAAACAAACTACAGGATGTTCCTGAGGGCAATGTTTTTGTTTAGATGACAGCTTTGGAAACCAAAACAGAAAACCAACACAACAAAACAACAATGACATTCTAAAGGCACTACCTAGTGACAATGTGGCTACATTGTTTCAGATAATGATGATAATAAATTCTGCTTTTAATCTCCCCTGTGGGACCACTTCTTTAGGAATAAAAACACTTTGTAACACATTTTACATGGCTAAAAAAGCCAGGCTGACAGTCCTGCAAATATAGGACCACAGTTTATTCTATCAGACTCAGCTTTGTAAAGTATCACTTTAGTTGGACTGTCTCTAACACGATTTCCTTTAATTTCTCCAAACCTTGCACAGGTTCTGTTTGTCTCATTTCACAGACTGTAACACAAGTATAAAATTGGAGGTAGATTGTCCTTTGATCAGTGGTCCCAGCAAAAAGCTGTTAGTCCCAGGTCAGAGAGGCTTGACCTCTATAAGTAGGAAGCTATGACCTAGTCAGTTGTTGTGGGTTGAATTCTGCCCTCAAAAAAGATATGTTTAAGTCCTAAATCCCAGCATCTTGAATGTAACCTTATTTGGAATTAGGATCTTTGCAGGTGTAATCAAGTTAGATGAGATCACACCAGGTTAGGGTGGTCCCTTAGTTAATATGACTGGTGTCCTTATAAGAAGACAAAGATGTGGACACAGACACAGAAGGAGAATGCCATGTGACAGTGGAGGCAGAGATTGGAGCAATGCATCTACAAGCCAAGGAATGTCAAGGACTGCTGGCAACCATCAGAATCTAGAAAAGACAAGGAAGCATCTTCCTTTACAGGCTTTGGAGACAGCTTGGTCCAGTTGACACCTTGATTTGAGATTTCTAGCATTTCTAACTTTGAGAGAGTCAATTTCTGTTATTATAAGCCACCCCATATTTTGTTATGGCAGTCTTAGGGAATGAATACATCAGTATATTCTTATGAGCAGTTATTGGATGGGGATATATAGTTGATCCTTAGGCTGGGATAATCCTGCCTTTACTAAAAGGAAACTGAGAGCCAATAGGGCAAGCTCCCTGACACCTAGAAGACAACATTGAAGCTCCACACAAGGCCCTCTAAGGTGAAACTCCTATCTACCTGCTCTGCTTCTTGTCTTACCGATCCCTCGTGCTCTAGGCCCTTGGAGCATACTTCTTCCCATATAAGCCATGCCCTTTCACACCCCCAAGACATAGCACTCACTCTGCACTCTTCTCAGAAAAGCTGACCCTTCACTTGTGCACCTGAGGAGTGCCTGCCTACGTTTCATGTCTGAGGTTAAGCATCACAACTTTCATGAAAGCAACTTCCTCTGATTCCCTAGACAAATACCGTGTCTCCTATGTGCCCTCTGGAAAGATGTTATATCATTTTATGACGTTTCTTATTTTTCTGTCCACTATAGTAGTGTTTCTTGTGTGTTGACACCCACAAAGGGCTCTAATGAAAGAAAAAGGTTCAGATCCCTCCCAGGCATAGGCTTGTGTTCTACCTAAGTGAAGACCAGGTAGATTTCAGTGAACTGAATTCCATAAGTAGAGGGTACATGCAATATTATCCAGTGTCTGAGAATCCACAGCGTTTGTCTAAATCCATAGGTTTGTTCTCAACCTAAGCCATGTTGATATTTTGGACAGGAGAATTCTTTGTTGTGGGGGCTGTGGTGTGCATTGCAAGATGATTAGCAGCATCCCCGGCCTTGACCCGCTAGATGCCAGTAGCACTCCCCTGTTGTGACAAGCAAAAATGGCTCCAGACATTGCCAAATGCCTCCAGGAAAGCAGCAGTGAGACTCACCAGTTGAAATGAATAGATACAATTGTTAAAGAGCCATAGAGCATGCCAAAGCAAGGCAGGGGGAATGAGCTATTGGCCCTTTCATATCTTAAATATATAAGCCCTCCTTAAGTAAGGCGGTGTGGTATAATAGAAAGAATGGGCTTAGCCAGCCCAGAGTTTATACTCCAGCTCTGCTATTTAATAGCCATGTGATTCTAAGACTTTAACTTCTGTGAGTCTCAGTTCCTCATGTTTGTTATCATGAGGATGGACTAACTGATAAAATACCTGAAGTGCCTGACTAAAGGCCTGGCACATAGCAAGTGCTCGATAAATATCAGTGTTTTAAAAATTGTGTTGGGAGGGGATGCAGGATAAAGCCCAGGGAATTAGATAGTCTCTTTGGCAGCATGCTCCTGGGATGAATAAGCAATTCAAGGAGAGAGTTCTAGATTTCCGGGGCCCAGAGGATGGGGAGGGTAGCAGTGGCGCCTGATTGGGTGGGTCAGAATGCCAGGCATTAGAAATAGAAGCAAAAAAACCTTTCAGAAGCCTTGGGAAATGACAATCTGAGTCAGAGGGAATTGGAACAAGCAATATCGAGATGCATTTAAATTTAATTTAAAAAGAAAAAAACAAGGCGCAAGCAAATATTGTTCCCATACATGTACTCATAACCCCCGACAAGCGTAGTTTGAGTTTGTGCGTGTATCTTGCAGTCCCACATCTTCTTTTCTCATATTTGCACTTGAGTGGGAGTTTGCCATATGGTGCCACTTGCTAAAGGGCACGGGGGGCAGGAACTAATTAAAAATACTACCCCCACGAGACCCACATATCACATACACATGCATACACACAGAGACACAGACACAAACACGCACAAACTCATTGCTCTAGGGAGATTTGCTATATTAGGCAGAACCTGGGAGCACAAGGCACAACAATAAAATGGTAATCATTGGAAAATGACTGCATGAAACAACGCAGACTCACTGCTCTACTTACCTAATTACTCTGCCCTTTAGATATTTTTGTTTAAAGCTACTAACATAAGAGTGGCATTGTCATAGCAACCTTCTGTTGGATGTTGTTGGGTAGTCTCCGAGCAGATTAAATCACTCACAATTCTCATCAACAATGCTCTAGTGGGATAATTTCTAATAGCCCAGTGCATTTTCCCACTTGATCTTTCTATAATGTAGAGCGGAAACTGGATGGTCATTGTCAAAAGGTCCCTGTCATTTCTATGTTTGTCTCCAACAGGGTTTCTAAGAGGCCACATTTCGGGTAGCAGCTGTGATTTACTGGGAGGAGCACTGGAACTGGAGTCAGAAGATCTGGACCCTAATTTTACTAGCTCAGCGATTTTCAATAATCCCCAACTTAACTTCCCTGAATCTCAGATTCCTCAGCTGAAAAACAGGCTCAAGATTGTTTTCCATCCTCTTACCGCACTCCCAGCCCACAGCTTGCTGTGAAAGCTTCATGAGAACATGTGTGCGGAAGCACATGAGCACTGACTGTGCTAGGGCCTGGGTCGGGGCAGAGGAGGTAGCTTTCCTGACATTTATGCCAGTTTTCTGAGCTTATAAGACATGGCCCATGAATATTTTTTCTTTTCTTGGGATCTCTAAAGATCTCTCACTCCATTTTGTTTATAAGTTTCTGTAGAAGCCATTCATTCCTTCCCTGATTATTAAAAGCAGATGAAAGACTTCATATAGATTAAGAAAAATCCCCGGTTTGCTTTTTTGGATGAATAATCAAAGACTAATGTACTTCTTCTTCAAAGATCTCCAACAGCAAACTCATCTCCACTTCCTCCAAAGGAGGAAAAATAGACATATTTCCTTAATCAAAGTGTGGAATCATCTTGGAAATGGAATAAACATTGAAAATGGCAAGGGGCTATTGCTACTTGTCTCATGACATAAGCAGTCTCTCTCTTCGTAAGTTGGAAGGGCTTGGAATATAGCAGATGCTCAATAAATGCCTATTCTTTGGAGAAATAGCAGTGATTAGGGTCAGAGAAAGAAAGATAGGTGTCTAGATTAGCCGAGGGGAATGGAGTGCTTGAATAAAAGTAGAGTTTGAAAAAAAAAAGAGAGAGGCAACAAATTTCTCCCATTGTTAACACTTTCTCCTTTCATCGCACCTTTTACCCAGAATGACACAACAGAAAGACAAGGAATAAATAAGATAATACTGGAATTAATAACTTCTCTACCTCTGGGTTTGAGTAAGATACTAACTTTGCTTCTGGAATCATGACAGGATTTAAAATTGGAACTCATGATAGCATCAATGTCCAGATGAAACATTTGAGGTTTCTGTATCACATTCTGCTCACATTCTCAATGCTCCTTCTTTCCCTCTCTTTCTTTTCATGTCACTATTTATATAAATGTCTATTTTTGAGATTAGGAGCCCTATCTTCTTTGCCTTCAAAACAGCCATGAAACTTAGCACTGAACTTTTTAAATAGAATTAGGCCAGGAAATATAGTTAATAATAATCATGGTCACATTTTTCAATTACCTGACATTTAAAGTGAAAAACATCCTAGCTTCAAGACTTATTACCAAATATCTTTCTAAAATGCATTAGTCCATTTCTGCCTTAAGATGGAAAATGTGGAAAGCATAATTGAATCTCTGGTGACTCAGTAGCTTGAAGGAACATTAGCATGAATGTGAATTCTCACTTGTCAGTGCAATAGGGTCCTCAGAGGTAGGGTGAAGGGCTCAGAGATAGAGCTTGGGCCAACTATATGCTGATTTTAGATCCCTCTCTGGGTTTTAAAAAATAGGTCTCTGATGGAAATATTTTTCCCCATGACCTGCCTTTTTCTCCCAAAAGTTGAATACTGCTTCAACAGTACAACAACAACAAAAAAATAAGGTATATAGAGTTCAGCAAATACAGGCTTTACCTGCTCCCTTTCTTCTTCCAGCAAATGAAGTGCAGTCATTTCTGTTTCTCTCTTGTATCCAAATAGTGAAGTCCCTATGCCACATACTGTAACACCTACTGAGACCTGGTAGGACAAACCTACACAGAGTATCCTGAGATGTACTGTCAGTCTTTATTCATTCTACTCAGCTTCTGATTAAGCTTCCTAAAACAGACCTCAGTGATTCCCCCTCTATTTTATTGGGACAGAAAAGATATTTCTTAACAGGTGAGTCCTCTTATCTGCTCCTACCCCAAACTTAGTCCTTTGAAAAGAGTTCTGCCCTAGCCATTGTAGTTCTCAGGCTTTTGCGAAGCAAAACCAGATGACAAGTGCCTCAACTGGTCAAAGAAGAAGAAGGAGCATGGGAAAGAAAATATCAAGGTTTTTGAGACAGCTAGGTTTCTAGAGAGGAAATAAGTGGAATAGAGGAAGAGTTCAAAGTTGCTGAAGATGTAAGATAAGTGGATAGGAGAGAAAGGAGCTCTCTAATAAATGCAGCTGTTGGTTATAAACTGGATAATGTTCAAGATTTGAATTTTCAATAATTTTTTCCTTGATTTTCTGAGGATATTTAAAAGTGGCACCAAGAGGGGCCCTAGGATTAAAGTTTTATGTATATATAGTTATCATTATATACATACAGTTATATAGATAGATACCTATCTATATGTGTGAATATATATATGGTTAGAGATCCATCTTTGTGTGTGTGTGTATATATGTATATGTGTATATGTGCATGTGTGTATATATATATGTGTGTATATATATATATATATGCTCTATTTCTTGAAATCCTAGTCATACTTTAAGGACTACTTAAAATGACACACCTATAAAATCCTTTCTGTTGTTTTCTAAATGGATATTATCTCAATCTCTCTCTTTCTCTTGCTCCATTGAACACCCTTAGCATTTTGTACCTATCCATTTATGACACTCACCTGATACTATTCTGTATTGTATTATTTTATTTATTGTTGTTTATTTATTTATTTGAGACAGAGTCTCATTCTGTTACCCAGGCTGGAGTGCGATTGTGTGATCTCGGTTCACTGCAACCTTCGCCACCCAGGTTCAAGCAATTCTCCTCAGTCTTCCGAGTAGCTGGGATTACAGGCATGCACCATTATGCCTGGCTAATTTTTGTATTGTTTTAGCAGAGATTGGGTTTCATCATGTTGGCCAGGATGGTCTTGAACTCCTGACCTCAGGTGATCCACCCGCCTCGGCCTCCAAAAGTGCTGGTATTACAAGCATGAGCCACCGTGCCCAGCCTGTATTGTGTTATGTTTAACTTTACTTGCTACTTCTTCCTGTCATAAGACTGTAAAGTGCTTTGGAGGACAGATTGCAACTGCTCATCTGTGTAGTCTGCACTATAAAACTATTGAATTGAATTTAGTTAAAATGGGCAAAGGTAAATTCTGATACAGTGTGGGTGTTTTGCAGGCTCTCTCAAACTAGCTTCTCATCTCGTATTCCCTCAGTAAATAGTACCTCCACCCATTCAACTGCTCAAGTTTGAAATGTAGGATAATGTTTTGATGCCTCCTTTTCTCTCAGTTTCCAAACACAATAGATCAAAAATACAGATTGATTTTACCTCCAAAATATTTCTTTGATCCAACTAGTTTTCCCCATTCCCATTGTCATTATTCTAGTCCATGATCCACACGTATTCTCCTGCAAAGGACCAGACAGGGAATATTTTAGGGGTTCAGGACCACATATGGGCTCTGTTACATATTCTTCATTTTTGTTATTATTGTTTTAACAAGTGTCTTAGTCAATTTAGGCTGCTACAACAAAGTACCAGAGAATGGGTGGCTTATAAACAACCACAATTTATTTTGTACAGTTCTGGAGGACGATAGTTCAAGATCAGGGTGCCAGCATGGGCAGTTCTGATGAGGACCTTCTTCTGGGTTGCAGCTTCCCAGTTTCTCCTTGTATCCTTATATGGTGGAAAGAGGGTGAGAATCCCTTCTGGGATTTCTTCTGTAAGGGCACTAATCCCATTAATAAAGGTCCCATCATCATGTCCCATTACCTCCAAAAGGCCCTTCCTCCTAATAGCATCACACTGGGGGCTAGGGCTTCAACATATGAATTTAGAAGAGGCAGGTCACAAGCATTCAGTACATTGCAACAGCCCTTTAAAAATGAAAAATTTTTCTTTGTCTTTGGGCCATACAGAAACAGGCTGTAGGCTGTGGTTTGCCGACCCCTGCTTCAGTCTGAGCCACCCTAGTCCCGCACCAGACCAATGCATCACTTTCTATCTGCTCTCCCCTCTTCTATGCTACCCTGCAATTAATGTTCCAGAATGATGTTTTAAACATGCAAATCTGATCCTTTTGTCTCTCTGTTTAAAGTCTTACGGTGGCTCTTTACTCTTAAGGAAAGATGAAAATCCTTAGCACAGTCAACTGGGCTCTTCATAGGTGGCTTCTTCCTTCATCTGTCACTACATTAATTATTAATTGCTCCTTTCTTTGACTCTGACATTTTCAGTCTTGCCTGCTAACTTTTGAATATGATATTTCTTCTACCTGGAAAATCCTGCCTCTTCCATCCTTTTGCCTATTAATGTTTACTATTCTTTCAAACTTCAACACAACTGTAATGGTAATTGATTAGATTCATTTATTATGTATTCCCATTGAGCCCTTGTCATTACATTGGATTCCAGAGAAGCAGACCTTGAGAGGAGGATTCATGTGCAAGTGCCCGCAGGAGAAACCATAAAGAAGTGCGTGTGAAGAGTAAGCGTAGGGAAGCCCAGTGTGTTCTTCTGGATCCTCTGAGGAGCAGATGCCTAGATGGAATTAAGCATCTGAGGATTTTATCAGGGAAATACCTATAAAAGTAAATTGGCAGAGGGTAATCAGGATGGGCTGGAAAAGCCATAAGGCTGTGATACAGGTCTGAGCCCATGTGAAGGAAGAAGGCAATGAAGGGTCGTGGGAGCATCCTAGACCCCTCTTCAGTCTAAGAAAAATTGGCTGAGGCTGTCAAATAGTTGTTGAGCCAAAGTTACCTGTCATGGGAATCCTAGGCCTCCTGGGAATGGGCCTGTCTTAGTGTCCCTGCCACGCTCAGTTGTTGGCTGGGAACAGCCTGGGGGAAGTGCAGCCCTGAGACAAACTCAGTGATGGAGTTCAGAAGCAGCAGCTGGGGCCATCAGTCAATTATGCTCTTTATAGCTGGAGGTCGGTGAGGTGCATTCTTAATGGCCACAACATCCAGCAAGGGTTCAGTCATCAAAGGCTCATGCTCAGCCTAATCAAGAGAACTCTGTAGTGTAAATGCTGCCCCTAACTTTGTTTTTCCAGAAGGCAAGGAGGCTGGGATTTTAGACTCTCCTACCAATCATTGGATAGGGGCACTTAAACTCCTAGGCAACTCCCACTTTCTATGCTTGCAGGCAATCCACTCCAGTGTTCTGAAGGCAGCCGTCCAGAAAATGATCAAGTGCAGTCAATTGGAAGCAAAGGCCCTCAGAAGCTGGGAGAGAAGTTCACAGAAACAATTCAAAGGTTTCAAAAGAATCTTGTCACAGCACCAATAGTGTCCAGTACAATTCTGTTCCTCCTCTTTTGTTTTCAACACCCTTGAAATGATGTGTTACTTAATATCTGTATTTTGTGCTACATTAGAATCTCCATGAGATTAGGGATTATATCTGTCTTGTTCCCTGGGACTAACATAATACCTGAAACAGCAGAAACTCAATAGCTGTTGAATTCTTCATAGAACTAACCAGAAACCTGCTTTGATTATACAGACTAAATTGAAGCAATTTTGCCATCGATTGGAAAATTAATAAACTAAAAAAGACTTATGAGCAAAGGCACCCTCAGCCTTACTATGTCTGTCTAATCCTTGTGCTATCAGGCTTCCCCAGGCCTTTTCACTCTTGAATGCTGGTAATAATATTTGGAGTTCAGGTAATGCAGCTGGAGCTTTATTCCATTTACTGCATTCTCACTGCTTCTAGCATCCTCTTAAGGCAATCAAGAGTCAAATAAGCTGTCACTTCCTGTATTTCCATCTATGGCCACAACAGTTGACTCTCCAATACTGATATACTGAAAGAACCGACCTTAAGAAATCACTTATCTCATTTGTTCTCCACCTCTTCAGATGTTTTTGGCTGCTGGGTCAGTTAAGGGCATTAGAGAACGGTTGCTTCATAGTCACTCCATTATTCCCTCTGATAGTCAGTCTGCTTTATGATGAAATGAAGAGAAACTGGATTTATAAGTCAAATAATCTCCTTTCAAGTTTTTATCCTGTCACTTGCTAGTTGTGTGATTTGGGACAAATCATTTAACTCCTTGTAAAGGGAGAGAAGGAAGGCTGTAAAAAAATTAAGTAATAAAAAGATAAACTCCTTGTGGTATATTTTGTTATTGTTCAAAAATATTTATTGCCCCTCTTAGGATGTCTTAGGTCATTCTTGCATTGCTATAAAGAAATACCCAAGTCTGGGTAATTTATAAAGAATAGAGGTTAAATTGGCTCACAGTTCTGCAGGCTGCACAGGAAGCATCCCACTGGCGTCTACTCACTTCTGGTGAGGACTCAGAAAGCTTTTGCTTATGACAGCAGGCTAAGTGAGAGCAGGTGTCTCACATGGCAGAGGGGGAGCAAGAGAGAGAGCGAGTGGGAGGTTCCACACATTTTTAAACAATCAGATCTCATGGGAACTCACTCATCAAGAAGGGGATGGTGCTAAGTCATTCATGAGAGATCCACCCCCTTGATCCAAACATCTCCCACCAGGCCCCACCTCCAATGCTGGGGATTACATTTCAACACGGGATTCGGTGGGGACACAAATCCAAACCATATCGTAGGGGAAAGATTGTATTTACATGCATTTTTGACATCAAGTTTGCCCAATGAAATATATAATGAAATATAAGTAGAACTAATGTTTGTTCCTTCTAAACAGAAGCTTTCAGAGACAATGCATATTGCACTATGCTTTCTCTTTGTCTCTGCTATGAGTATCAGCCATGTTTCAGACAGAGGCTGTTCCAATAACCTGGACTCTGCAGCAAAGACAACAATGAACAACACAGTCATATTTGATATAAAAGGACATGCAACGAACAAGAAATGAGCCTTTGTTCTTTCAAGTGTACTGTGATTTGGGGGTTGTTTGTTACTGCAATTTAAGCTAGTTTGTCCTGATTGATACACATTTCTTAGTTTTCTCCTCTGTAAAACATATGTTAAAATAATTCTTAATCTTCAAATTTGTTCATTCAGCAACTCTTTAGCTTGATCTTACTAAATTCAAGATACATGCTAGAAACCAGTAGGTTCCACAAAATTGAAATGGTGTCAGCCTCTTGTTATCGATAAGTTTATAAAATAATAAAAAGAACAGTAGTATATACATAATTAAATATATGTCAGAAATTTCTCAATACTACCAGATAGGAAGTGATAAAAATACTTTGGAAAATTAAAAGAAAGAGGTCCCTTTTTAACTGATAGCTTCAGAAACTCTTCCTTTAGGAGTATTGAGTTTGAAGGTTGGACAGCACCAAACTTGGGAAGCTAAAGTGGAGGAGGTTTTTCCTCCTAGTAGAAATGACTTGGGTATCAGGAAGCACAGATCATTTAAAGAGAAAAATATTTTAGTGATTTTAGTGTTTGTGAAGGGAGTAGAAATTAATATAGAATAGTACTTGGATGTCATGTGTTGAATAGTCTTAGCTAAGAAATTTGAACTTTATTTTATAGAAACTTAGTATTACTAACTTTTTGAGGCAGAGTATGACAGTAGTTTGTTAAATTAATTAGAAAGAGAGAAGTTAACATGGAAGCCCATTTAGAATATTATTGCTGTTTTGTAGACTAGCAGTCAGCATTTTTTTTTTGTAAAAGGCCAGAAAGTAAATATTTTAGGCTTTGTGAGTCATATAGCCTGTGTTGCAACTTCTCTACTCTGCCATCATAGCATGAAAGCAGACATAGACAAAAATAAAATAAATTAGCATAATTGTGTTCCAATAAAACTTTAGGGCTTTCATAGAATGTCCTGAAGGAATGGAAAACTCCCCTTGCCTTCCTTCCCTCCAGAGGCTTCATGTCACTCTGTACTATGCACTAATATTCTGCATGAAGACTTCCTTTAAAACAGGGTCATTTCTGCTTAAAAGAGAAATGATGACATCTGTTCCAGGGGAGAAAGTCTAAAAAGTAAAGAGAATCTAAACTAGGGCAGTGAAGGATGGAGAGGAGGAACAGAGTGAGAAATATTGATAGAGGGTGGATTTACGGGAATAAAGAACACTAAAGGCAGAGTAGCTTTGAGAGGGGAAAATTATTTCAATTCTGAACATATTGAGTTTGATGTGAAAGGCAAATGAGATAATGTAGTAAAAGGTGCTTCACAAACTGAGAAGTGAAATGGAAGGGTTGTTTTAAAAGGAAATGGCTGAAACAATTTTATGACTCAACACAAACCCAATCAACACTCCTGCAAAAACAATCAAAGCCCATGAGCTATATAGATTGTGGGACAGTCCTATTCAATTTCTAGGTCAACATCATGGCATTATGATATTATTTTTATCTCTACTATTTCCTTTGAAATGAAGGGCAGCTGTTCCAATAGACTGATGTAGGTGAATACATTTACCTGTTTACTCATGAGCCTAGATAGAACTGCTAAAAGAGTTGCAAAGCTATTTGTCTGCAAATCTTTAGTGGGTGAGATATTTAGTTCAGGAGTGAGGGATAAAATTTGATAAGCCCTCCTCAGCTTGGTTCTCCTTATTAGTTTTTTTTTTTTAGTGTTTCTTTAAAACTTGACCTTTATAGAAACAGATAAGATTACTTCTTCGTACCTTAATTATCAAGTCAAATGATAAGTTAAAAAAATGCAGCTTTTAAAGGTTTGTACTCGCGATAGTTTGCTGAGAATGATGGTTTCCAGCTTCATCCATGTCCCTACAAATGACATGAACTCATCATTTTTTATGGCTGCATACTCTCACAAGGACAAAAAACCAAACACCGCATGTTCTCACTCATAGGTGGGAATTGAACAATGAGAACACATGGACACAGGAAGGGGAACATCACACACCGGGGCCTGTTGTGGGGTGGGGGGAGTGGGGAGGGATAGCATTTGGAGACATACCTAATGTTAAATGACGAGTTACTGGGTGCAGCACACCAACATGGTATATGTATACATGTGTAACTAACCTGCACATTGTGCACATGTACCCTAAAACGTAAAGTATAATAAAAAAAATAAAATTTAAAAAATAATAAAAAAAAATAAAATAGAAGTTTGTACTCATAGGAATTCATTTACTGGGAGGAACTACTGTATGCATTTGTAAAACTTAAAGAATTGTCCTTTCCTTATTATCTTGCCTTACTTTAACTTTTTAGTTATATTAATGCCAGTTGAAGACTGAAGATTAAAGTCATTA
Source organism: Homo sapiens (assembly GCF_000001405.40). NCBI lineage: Eukaryota > Metazoa > Chordata > Mammalia > Primates > Hominidae > Homo > Homo sapiens. The sequence continues at coordinate 163,058,547 of NC_000001.11, forward strand.
GATAATTCACTGACACCAGAGACATTGACTCCATCATCTTGCTTCCCTGAAAGGAAGGAAGCAATGTACACATGCTAACCATTGTTAGAACGAGCAAGCTCATGAGATAGGAAACTTCTAATAACTTATTATGGCAAGGAAAAGAAGCAAAACCAGCAACAAGTAGCATTACATGGTGGTTAAGAGCCTGGCCTCTGGAGCCAAGCAGGCTGAGCTTGCCCTGTTATTTCTTAGCTATGTAACTGTTAAGCAAATCACTTAACTTCTTTGTGCCTCAGGTTCATCATTTGTTAAGTAAGAAAATAATACCTGGCCAGGTGCGGTAGCTCACGCCTGTAATCCCAGCACTTTGGGAGGCCGAGGCGGGTGAACCATTTGCGGTCAGGAGTTCAAGACCAGCCTGAGCAACATGGTGAAACCCCATCTCTACTAAAAATACAAAATTAGACAGGCATGGTGATACACGCCTGTAATCCCAGCTACTTCGGAGGCCGAGGCAGGAGAATCACTTGAACCTGCTGGGGGTGGAGGTTGCGGGGAGCAAGATCATGCCATTGCACTCCAGCCCAGGCAACAAGAGCGAAATGTCATCTCAGAAAAAAAAAAAGGCATTTTATATATATATATATATATATATACACACACACACACATATATATATACACATATATATACACATATATACATATATACACATATATACACATATATATACACATACATATGTACACATATATATACACATATGTATACACATATATACACATATATACACACATATATACACATATATACACACATATATACACATATATACACATATATACACATATACACATATATACACATATATACATATATACACATATATATAATATACACACATATATATACACATATATACACACATATATACACATATATACACATATATATACACATATATACACATATATACATATATACACATATATATACATATATACACATATATACATATATACACATATATACATATATACACACATATATACACATACATATACACACACATAGATATACATATATATACACATATATATACGTATATATATGTATATATATATGCTCCAGAGTTCATAAGAGGTAGCAGTTGATTACCACTGGGGATAGAGGAAAAGAGAGTTTGACAGCAGTGTATTGTGAGAAGGACATTTCAGGTTGATGGCAAATAGTAGGGGAAATACATAAATGTGTAATAAAACCTATCTGTAAGGTAGTTAAGAAGGTAACACTATATATATATATAGTGAAAGCAGTGTAAACCTAAAGGATGGGCCAAGGATTTAAATGTTATAGAAGAATGGCTAAGATGCCAAAGCTCAGTGTATGTGGCAGAGGCATGGTGGAGGGTGTGTCCAGGTTCATATATTGCATTAAGTGTGAGAAACCCTGGAGTATGAACCAAGAAAATGCAAAAGCCAGAAGTGATGGAGGAAATGAGACACAATAATGAAGATATTGAGAGGAGGGTGTGGGCCTAGAGTGAAGCTTTTCGTGCCAGTACTTCTTTTGAAGGCCCAGTTCTCTTCTCTCTCGGGGGCTCCTTCATCTCTCATAGAGTCCACAGCTTTTAAGGGCCAACACTTGAGGTCAGCCTGGCTCTCTCATTTGAGCTGGATAGAACATTTTAGAGCACCATCTATTCTTCAAGAGGAAGTTTAAAAATAAAAGAACCTTGAAGAGGAAAAAATGTAGACATTCAATCTAACCTTTTCATTTTACTAGCCAAAGCTAAATAGAATGCAGGTTACCTGTTTTTCAGCCAGGCACCATCATTTCCTAATTGTTATAAAATTTATTATTATTGTTGTTATTATTATTATTTGCCATAAGAAGTTTCCCATATCCTTTTAGTATAACAAAAACACAATTCACAAGCATTATAAAACCCATGGTGTCTAACTATTAAAAAAATTAAGTGGAACACACTTGTCCCAGCTACTGGGGAGGCTGAGGAGGGAGGATCACGTGATCCCAGGGGGTCAAGGTTATGGAGAGCTATGATTGTGCCACTGCACTCCAGCCTGGGTGACAGGGAAAGACCCTGTCTCTAAAATTTTTTTTAAAAAAACTAAACTGGTTTTATTACAGAGATTCTGGAGACAGCTACACATAAAAGGGTGGTATGCCTCATATTAGCTACCCAGGGAGGTGGAATGCCAACTTAGGTGGTGTCACCACTATTAAAAATGCCCCAAAGCAATCAAAACTGAGAACTTCCTGGGAGCTTAGCATTGTGCAAAAGCAGCACAAAACACTTAAACAATTCACAGTTGTGTTGGAATGGGAAGGCCTGGAAATATAAACCAAAGAGTATATTGTCTAAATTGATAGAGATTACAATTGCCTGAAAGAAAAAGTTGACTTTTAACTAGAATGTTCAGAGTAGGTTTACAGAAGAAGCTCTTAAACTGGGCTCCAGTGGATTTGTCAATGCTTTGGAAGCTGGTGGGGTGGGAGGGTTGGAGGGGGCATAAAAAGTCATGTTGGTATGCTCTGCTCAAGTCTCCATTCTGTTTCCTTTTCCTCTTTTCAATGTCATGTCCCATTATTTCATTATGGGCTTCCCTTTATCCAGGATCAATATGCCACCTCTTGGTTGTCTTTTACCTACTTCTCCACCTCACTATGGAATCGTCCTTGGGTAGCTCCTGTGCTTGGGAACCTGCACGGGCACTTTTCTGATGTCTTGATTCCAGCTTTACTCCTAAAACTTAAATGCTGAGGGGCCAACACCATGGCAGTGGTAGGGATGGGAATGGGGGTCTTGTAACACACTACATAAACTACACGAAATAAACTACATGAAACTCAACATGTTTGCAAGACTCAGTTCACATCCATGAGGAGCTCATGCTTCTCCCTCCTGCTCCCCTAGCACACATGATTATCTCTATTTGGAAATGTTTGGCATTTTTGGTGAAGTGAATGGTTCAATAACTTTCTCCACCATCAGAACAAAAGCTCTTTAAGGTTAGGGATGGGATCATACACACTTCCCTTGTCCAAGTCCCCATCACCCCTTATCTAGACAATTGCTACAGTTTCCTACACACTCTTCTAACCTCTTGCAGTCTATTTTCATAAAACAGCTAGAGAACTTTGAGATGTAAGTCAAAAAATAGAACATGTCGCTCTTTCCCATTGTTTTTGAAATAAAGTTCAACCCCCTTACCAGGGTCAACAAGGCCCTGCAATGATTTGGTCCTGTTAAAAATTCTTTAGCCTTAACTCATGCTGTTCTTCCTTACACTCACTGCATTCTAGCCATTGAGGTTTCTATGCATCAAACTTTTTTTGGTCCCAGCACTGTGCACATCCTTCTGGGTAGAATGCCCCTTGATTTGTATAATTAGCACCTCCTTCATCATTTAGGTCTTAGTATAACTACTACCTTCTTAGAGAAGCTCTGCTTCTTCATCCTATAAAAAAGTAAAATTCCTTACCCTGTTATTTTTTAAGTCATCCGTGTTTCATTCTGTTAAAGTTCTTATCACAATTTATCATTATTTTATTTACAGTCATGTGCCACATAACAATGTTTCAGTCAGGGATAGAACACAAATGTATCTGGCCCCATAATATTATAAGCTGAGAAATTTCTATTAACTAGTGATATCGCAGCCATCATAAGTGTAATGCAGGACATTACCTTTTCTATGTTTAGATATGTTAGATACACAAATATATTTCATTGTGTTATAATTTCCTACAGTATTCAGTACAGTAACATGCTGTACAGGTTTGTAACCTAGGAGTAATAGGCTATACCATACAGCTTAGGTGTGTAGTAGGCTATAACCATCTAGGTTTGTGTAAGTACATTCTATGATATTCCCACAATGATGAAATCACCTAACTACACATTTCTCAGAATGTTTCACTGTTGTGAAGTGACCCATGACTATATTTTCCTATATACTTGATATTTTTGTGCATCTGCCCATGAGAATGTAGTGTAAGATCAAAGGATGCAAGAATGGGTTCTATCCAGTATAGTACCCACTACACTGGTGGATGTCAATATGTATTTGTTAGATTAATATCTCAAGAATGAGCACCTTTCTCAGACACATAAAAGATGCTCAATATAAAAGTTTGTTGAACTGAACGTTATTGGCAAATGTAACATGATCGGATTTAAAGAGGAGCGAAACAGAGGTCTGGCTCAAACACCATACTTCTAGAGTGCATAAGAGGTAGCAGTTGATTACCACTGGCGACAGGAGAAAAAAGAGCTTGACCGCAGGGTACTGTGAAGACATTTCAGGTTGATGGCACAGAACAGGGGAAATACATAAATGTGTGGGAATATTCAGTGGTCTGGGATGACTACATAGTAGAATATAATGAAGAAAAGAGTGGAAGGGAAAGATGAAAAGTTGGAATGGGGATGAATTATGAAAGTACCAGAATGTTATGCTAAGGAATCTAGATTTTAAAATGTGAGGGCAAATTGAAGTCCTGGGCACGTTACAAAACTAGAGGTCATAAAGTTTACCCTAATTTACCAAGATTTCCTAGAGGATCTAGAATTGGAATCCAGATCTGCCTCTCTGTAAAGTTCAAGCACTTTCCATGACACCATACTGTTTCTTTCCACCTGCACAATGCAAATGAACTCTTATGAAACTGCTGTTTCTATCCTGGGCTAAATGTTGCAGAAAAAAGATTTAATCTTTGGGATAAGGCTATTTTGGGTTTTCTCCTACTTCTTGGGAAACAAGGTTTTCTTCCCCTGGCTAATTAAGTGTGGTATTGTTCTTCCAGGGAAATCAGTGATGCATCACCTGCTGCTATCAAATGTCAGGGTTGGAGTTCCTGATTTATTGCATGTGCCCACAAAGCTTGGTGCAAAGAATTGGACACATTTCCCAAAAGTAAGACATACTGGGAAGTCCCTGTTTACCTTCCTGGTATACAGCATCCTCCAGCCCCATATCTTTGCTTTTTAGTCCTAAAAATCAATAACTGAACTCTCATTGATGTCTAGGCCATTGTAGTAAACAATAAAGAAGGAGGGAGGCTTCTGACAACTGAGAGGAAATTGTCATCTGAAGTGGTGCAAGCACAGCCTGGGGCTGAGCCTTGGCCTACATCCTGCCCAAGTGGAGGATCAGTGCCCCATTTAACATCTGGTAGAACTAAAGAACGCAACGCCTGCCACAATGACTTATTTCCCTGCATTTGATACCGTCAATCCTTGAGAAATGTTTTCTTTTGTTCTCCCTGAGCAAAGGTTGGAAAAATTTGAAATTTACCTAGAGACCACACATAGTTCACATCCTGCTGTGTGGCTGAATGTCTGCCCCCCAGTAGGAAACAGTTCTTCTAAAGCCTATTGTCAACAATACCTTCCAGATGTTAGCATTTTACAATTTAAGGAACTTAAAATAGCCTTCAAACTTTTTGCCAGTTTCTCTGATATCCAATCTATTCTTTTACTCTGCCTCCCAAGCTTTCTTTCTAGAATGCTAACCTGATCGGCTTAAGTACTTGAACTACCTCTTCTCCTCCATTAACTACAGAGTAAATTCTGGTCTTCAGAGTAACAAGAAACACCCTTTAGTTCTCAGCATATTCGTGCACCTTCATTTATCTCTCCTTCTCTCTCAAAGCTGCAGTAGGGGTGAAAACGTGTGATACATTTTCTCTTCCATCATAAGGGTCGCAACCAAAACTCCTATAGTAAAAGACAGGTTAATAAGAGCAAAACCTAACAAATTTATTTAATCAAAGTTTTACATGACATGGGAGTCTTCAGAAATGAAGACCCAAAGACCCAGGGGAAACTGTCTGTTTTTTTTGCTGAGGTTCGATGAAGAATGGATAGCATGTAGCCATGTAGATTAGACAAAAGGATATGATCTAGTGGTAAAGGACTCAGGGGGAAACACAGCAAGGCCTGTCTATTCAGATTCTTCTTGATCTCTCTCTCTCTATGTATAGCATTCTTTCCTCCTGAGTATGGGGCAGGACTCTTCTTCAATGAGGGTCTTCAAGGGAGAAGGGAGAAAGTGGCCTTTTTAGATTTTATGGCTTGCTTCGGGGAAGAGGAGTTCTAGTTTCTATGACCCATCTTGGGGAAGAGGAATTCTGGTTTCTGTGACTTGCTTTCATGAAGAAAGAGGAGTAAGAGGCAGGAGGGCAGGAGATGGTCAGAAAGAGACTTGGCTGCTTCTGAGGGCTTCCGCTCTCCTTTAGTTCCAAGTACTTCTTAGCATACCAAAGCACTATACTTTGGCATATGGTTTTCTGAGCTCTAACACTGCAATCATGCTAAACTCCTCTATGACCTTCAAACATTCCACTTGCTTTTATTCTTTATGGTTGTGATGGCATAGAGGTCAATAGCAAAGACCCTGGAGTCCCACTGTCTGAGCTGGCATAACATTACTACCACTTAATCAATGTGTAAGCTCAGGTAAGTACTTAAGTCCTCTATGCTTCATCTGTAAAATGAGAATCATTGAAGAACATTCTCTCAGGATGGATCATGAGGAATAAGTGAATTAACTGGCATATAGTGCTTAAACCAGTGCCTTGCTCAGTTAGTGACAGATAAAATCATCTGTTATTACTGTGCCCACTATTGTGATGCTCTTCTCTTCTTTGTACAACGACTACATCTCTATTTATCATTTTAGGGTCTCCTTGTGAAAAACCACTCCAGATTCAAAAGATTGAGTTTAATCTCTATCCTCTGTGCTTTCCTGGAGTTTTGTAAAGTAAATCTTCACTTGACATCATGGATAGGTTCTTGGAAACTACAACTTCAAGTGAAAGGACATAACTAAACCAATTTTTTTCTCATCAACGTTATAATGAAATGGCATTGATGAAATGATGGCATTCAAGGACCTGCTGTACCTTGTTTCACTTAAAGTCACTGTTTCCAATAATCTATTGATGACATTGAGGACTTACTATATAATAATAAATATATATATAATCGACGAAACAGGAATCAAACTGCTAACTCTGCTAACTGGTCTCCCTGCTTCCACACTCTGCCCACTCATCTCAGTCTTTCTTTCACAAGAGTCAGAATGATCAGATGAGACCCCTCCTCTGCTTCTGTTTCTTCCATGGATTTCCACTGCACTCTGATAAAGTCCAGCCTCTTGACCACAGCCTACAAATCCTTGCACGATCTATCGTTTACTTTTCCATCTCCTTTTATGCTACTTTCATCTTGTTCTCAATTCTCTAGCTATGCTGGCCCCTTCTTGTTCTTTCCCATTTTTTTTTAATTTTTAAAATTTGTATATATTTATGGGTTATAAGTGAAATCTTTTTAGATGCATAGGTTGTATAGTGATAAAATCAGGGCTTTTAGGGTATTCATCACCTGAATGATGTACATTGTACCCCTTAAGTAATTTCTCACCATCCGCTGACTTCTTGCCCCCTGGGTATTCATCACCTGAATGATGTGCATTGTACCCCTTAAGTAATTTCTCACCATCCGCTGACTTCTTGCCCCCTGGGTATTCATCACCTGAATGATGTGCATTGTACCCCTTAAGTAATTTCTCACCATCCGCTGACTTCTTGCCCCCTCATCCTTCTGAGGCTCCATTGTCCATCATTCCACACTCTACATCTATGTGTACACATTATTTAGCTCCTACTTATAAGTGATAACATGCAATATTTGTCTTTCTGTGTCTGTCTTGTTTTACTTATGATAATGGCCCCCAGTTCTATCTAGGCTGCTGCAAAAGGCATGATTTCATTCTTTTTTATGGCTATGTTCTTTCCCAATTTAGATAAAGAACACTCGCACTTGCTCTTACTTCTATTTGGAATACTAATTCCTAGGCTTCTTGCATTGCTTTCTCCTTCTCACCCATCAAATCTCATTTTAGATACCACCTCTTCAAAGAGGGCTTTCCTGACCACCTTGGCTGAATTAGCCCTTCACCATCTGATTACTCTCTAGCACATCACCTGCCCATTTTATTCATGGTACAGGTCAAAATCTGGAATCACCTGATTTGTTTATTTTCTGACTCCTTCTACTGAGATGAAAACTCTACTAGAGCGGAGATTTTATCTGCTTGTATCAGGTACTGCTTCAAACAGCACCTGATACAGAGTAGGTGGTCAAAAGATATTTCTTAAACAAATGAACAAATAAAAAGTAGATCTTTTGAGAGTAAAGCTCTTCCACACTACCAGAGTCATTCAGGAATGACAAATCATAGAATAACAGAATTTGATGCTTTGTGCATATCAGAGAAAGAAGGTGGAAGGTTGTCAAGGTATCATGATGTACCAGTCCTCGCCTCCTCAAACACAATCTGCAAGTCCCACAGTGAAAAAGTAAGTTAACTCATGTGAAGCGTTTTACAAACACTTTTTTAAAAGTCTTAAAACTCCTAAGAAAGCAAGATTTAATAGTCAAAGAAGTGAGTAAACATGAAATGCCTGAACAGAGTAATGAGCTAAGCACAAAGTTAGAGACATGTTAGTTAATATGTCTTGAAAGCAGCAGCTCCTGCTTTCAAGGAGCAAGAACAAATTGGGCAAGTGAACACTCCTTGAATAAAATGTGTAAAATTAATTTTGGGTTATGTTCTATACTGTGTATAATAGAATGATAAAAATTATTTGACTAGCACTTTGTAGTTTAGAAATATCTCTATTTACACAGTTTACCTTATTTGATAAGACTGTTGAGTGATGGGATAGCATGGTGGACAATCCACATAACTGAGTATCGAGACACCTGTATCTGGACCCAGCTCTGTTAGTAAGAAGCTGTAACCTCAGCAAGTCACTTTCTCTTTCTGGGTCTCTATTTCCTTTTTGGTGAAATGAGAGTGTTAGGCTAGATTGCCTTTGAAGTCCCATTTTGTCTTTAAAGTCCCATCTATTGCAGTGATTTATATTTAACTCATGACAAATCAGGCTTCTCTTATTCTAAGTGCAAGACATAAAACTTTTATTGTGGAATTTCAGGCATCAGTAAATCTTTTTGGGTACTCACTTATGTTCCTGAAATCAATCTATTTGAGTGATCACTCTTTTAGGTGCCCAGGTAAACAAAGAAGGCCATGGTCTTTCTTTGAGTGACCTTCTTTCCCTTTTAATTAGTCTGACCTCTTTAATGTCAGTTCTGACTGATTCATTTCCCTGGTCCATCTTCCTTGGTCTGAGGGCCTTCCTAGTTTCATATTGCACTTCAGTTCCTTCCACACCACCATCAAGGATGGCTGTCAACATTCATTTGTTCTATGTTATAATTCAAGGAAAAGTTGCCCAGTAGCTAATCCAATAAATGCCCTCTTATGGGCGGCTAGAGACTTTTTCCTATAATTTAAATGCATCTTCTGTAGATTATGGTCCCTCCACCACTTTACATTTGTCTGCTGTCTCCTTGCTCTGCTAGTCATGGAACGTGTTGGTAGTGGGGGCAGTGTGGGATGTTCAAGGGCACGTATTGGGTAGGGCCACATATGGGCATTGCTTTGTGCCATTCTTTCTATATTTTTGGTATTTTGCATCTCACTGGAACCCAACTATTTTTCATCTCTTCCACCTAAACTATTTGATGCCTCTGTTTCTTATATATAAAGTATAGCTCACTGTAGCCTATGATCAGGAACCTATCTGCTTTCTAAATGAAAGCTGTTTTGGTCAGATCTAGCAATTAATTCCCTTCTTCCACTTATAGCTTTCCTCTGTAACTCTGGTGTAGGTATTTGGTTTATGGCTATAAGATGTGAAACACCTGAATGATTCTGTCCATGCAGGCATTTCAGTTCATGATATTGTATGTAAAAGATACTGATTGTCTAGGTGTTCAGAAACACCTATAGGGCTTAATATTCTTACAATCAGTTTGAAGGCTGGTGATACGCAAAGCAAACTACATATTTTTCTGCCTGCTCTCTCTCTTTCTCTCTACATCTCTCTTTCTTTATCTTTTGAAATATCAGTTTGGAGACTTAGAATTACATAAGACATAAACCCATTTGATATAAGAATTGCTGTGTATATTTGCTCATCTACTCCCTCCTTTGGTCCTCGAGCTGCCGGTTTAGACTTTTTACAGGACGCAGGCATGTGAAGGAGAAACTGTCAGTGCTAGGCTGAATTCTGTTGTTACCAAGATTTCTAGAAAAGTATTCCTCAGTCAGGTTGATTACAGATATAGCAAATCTATTTTTCCTAGGGTAGTTTCTGTATGCTGCCGGGCTTATAACTGTCTGTCATCCAGCTATTTCTCTCCACCTTCTTGTTTGCATAACAACCAAGGCAACTTCCGCAAATCACTGCGTGGAGACGATGATCCTGCCAGCTCCCTTTTGGAAATCGTGAGGATCAGATCTTGGACCATGTATAATATGATGCTTCTAATCCAAAAGAGGAAAGGCATTGGGAGTCAGCTCCTAAGTAAGCTCCAGAATTCCTGCTGGTACTTTTCCTTCCAGGAAGCAACTTCCTTGATATTTTTTTTTTACAGGCATATGAATAAAAACTATATTTTGCAGCATTGTACACTTTTTTTCCTTTTCTAGAAATTCTAAACCTCTGACATTGGTGGAGACATTGAGTACATTTTTTCCCATATCCCTACTTTTCAGAAGGATTTTCTCTGCTCGTTCACTTAACATTGCTGATGCGTCAGTCTTTTCTTCCTCATCTCTTTCAGGGGCTGGAGAGGCAGAGGGAGACAGAGGAGCTGGTACTGCAGAGCGGTCGTCTGATTGGCTGGACGGTCGTAGCTGGGCTATAAAAGAGACCCCTACAGGCTTAGCAGGAAGACGCTCAGAGGATTCTGACAATATCTTTACCGGAGAAGAGGCAAAGTACGCTCAAAGCCGAAGCCACAGCTCCTCCTGCCGCATTTCTTTCCTGCTTGCGAATTCCAAGCTGTTAAATAAGATGTGCAAAGGGCTTGCAGGTCTGCCGGCTTCTTGCTTGAGGAGGTAAGATTGCTTTCAGCCATTAACCATATTAAACTTTTGGCTAGACTTTCTCAGTTATTTACATGTTGTACTTACTAACCTAGTTCTGTGCAATTAGAAACAGTGTGGTCAGGAGAGCACGACTTTCTAACTTTCCTCCAAGACTAGCTAGATATTGTGACTTAAGACATGTGCTCCCCAAATTTCAGCCCTTATGTGTTGTTTTGTGTGACCTCAGTTTTGAGAACTGTTCTATTCTTTAAGCCAGGTCTAAGAAAGCTAGTTTTAATTAAGAAGCGAGATGAGGTTTGAGGCTATGTACAGTGATCTGTAATATCTCCATCTGTGATTACTACTGCTATTTGAGCATCCCTGGAGTACATAGAAGCCTGGCTCTGGGCTTTCTGATTGTATGCTACAACTTGTTTCAGGAAAGGTACCCCAGAATGAGGTTTGGCTCCATCATCAGAAAGGCACTATGCTTTCCGTGTGGTGGTGCAGTAACTTTCACTCTCTATGTTCTTATAAGCAAATGTTACAATGAGATATGAGTTTTAAAGCCAGATCTTCCTTATCTCTCTGCCCCATCTCTAGTTCTTGAAGTGTCTCATATGAGTTTGGTTGAGAAATATTGATCATTACAAATCAGTTAATAGTTTTGTAGAAGATCTCATCTTAAAGACATTGTTTTGTTAATATACTCCCTTGATTTTTTTAAAAGACCTTACAGACATACAGCTATTCATTTGTTTTTGGTTTGTTCAAAAAAGGTATAAAGAAATGCATTCAGAGAAAGATCATATATTAGCCAGTTGAAAATTAAACACAAAATGAGTGCATATTACATTACTTAATCTTGCAGTCAAAGGTAAAAAGTCAACCTAAAGGTATACTACCTGCTTTCTTATCGCACTGCAAATAGAAATTACCACAAATTTTATTTTGGAAATAATCTCAGAAAACATAATTTTTTATGTACTATTAAAACATTTACTTTCCAAATATTCTGTCATTCAGGAGTATGGAAGTATCGATGGCTTCTTTAAAATGAAGCAGGAGGGTCTGGCAGAGAGTATCTATGAAATAAGTTCCTCTGACCTTCACGCTTAATTTTCTGAATGGAGTGGAGCAAATTACTTCAAGCTTCACTTAACTTGCATATGAAATGAACCGTACAAAAATACAAGAGTGTCAGGAGAAAGTTATGCTCTGGTAAATATTTTGCAAAACAGATAAAAGATAATACTAGAGCTCTGTCCTCAAAGAGTTAAGCAGCTAATCTAAGGAGGTAAACTCTATGTCAGCAGGATGAACTGCTCTTCCCTTTCCTCCTCAATAAATTGCAAATCATCTAGTCCAACATCTTTACCACCAGTGCCTGAGGCTCCAGAGGAGCCATTGCCTTCTCAAGGTCACATAGGTGGTGGGTGAGTTAGGACCAAATCTAGAATTCCTGACTCCAGTAACTTCTGAAGTCATTTTGTTTTTTATTTTTATGGTTTTATTATAAGAATACTTGCTAAGCACACTTACCCCCTGCATTGATTAATAACTCTAGGATCTCAGGTGGATCCAGCACATAGAAATATGAATTCGTTTCTATTTGGACTTCATGATATATTTACATTATCACCTTGGAATCACCCTAACATTCAGGATTGTATCTTGTTATAATCAAAAAGGATGTTGCATCCCCTGAACAGTCATCAGTCAGGGAAGCAGAGGAGGGAAAGTAATCTTGCGAGGAAGAGAAAATACTATTTAAGGGACAGTCAGAGAACATAATGGAATTCAAACTTTCTGGGAAAACCTACATACATAAATGTATTAGTGGCCATCCTAAATGTCTTTATATCTTTGAGGCTTTATTTTCCCTACTCCAAATAGACACATTTAGTTATTCATTTCTTTTAAAATGGTATTTCTCTTTTTAAACTATTTCTTGACTTTTTTAATAAAAAGAGATGCAAGCAAGAGGATATTTAATAAAAAGTAAGAGAGTTGAGCTTAAGGCTTATTAAAAGACCCCCTTTTTCTAGTTAGTCAGGAGCTCTAATGTGCCCTGGCTACCTATTAAATGGTGGCAATAAACTGGAAGCTCAGTGATGACTCTAGCCTGCTTCTCCTAATAGCTGTTAAGCCTCAAATGCCCTTTAGAGTGTGTATGTCCTTTAAAGTAGCTATTAAGAAGGAAAGCAGCAGCAGCAGATATTGTCTAGAAAGAAGCCCCAAGAAGCTGAGGTTTCAGCTTGGGCATTTGTTTTCGCCATCCCATGCTCCATTTCCCTCTGCTGGAACTGTGCACCTCAGTGTATTCTCCCTCTATACCTCACAGCAGGAACTGCTTGCCCCCCCCCCCCCCCCCCAACATACATGGCTGGAACTGAATAGACTTTTACTTTCCCGAGGTGCTTCTACAGTTCCCTCTGCCAGCAGGGGAACAGATGGAAATAGCAATCACCTGCCAGAAGGTGGCGTGCAGCAAGGATGTGCATCTTTTGCCGCTACTGCTTTCTGATTCCTAAAAATTACTCAGAGATCACTCATGTGTTCAGTGATTCAGGTTCTGTTGAAGATACCAAAGATATTCGGTTGGTCAAAATGACGGGCATATAAAGGCTTCTCAGGTTTCTGAGGTAAACTGAAGGGTCAGAATTCCAGTTGTGGATGAAGGAAATGGTGTTATGACTGCCTCAAGGTTTTGTAGCAAGTCATAGGGAACCAAGAGGAATCTTGTTTTCCTCAGAGGTCATGCCAACTCCAACTCCCGTTCCCTAAACTGTCTCTGAGCCATAGACTAGTAATGGACTCTTCAAGCTCTACCATTAGGTATCTTTTAAAGAAAGCTGGTTATTACTATTTATTCATTTTTTTCTCTTCTGTGCAGTGCAAAAGATATGAAACATCGGCTAGGTTTCCTGCTGCAAAAATCTGATTCCTGTGAACACAATTCTTCCCACAACAAGAAGGACAAAGTGGTTATTTGCCAGAGGTAAGAGAAAAGGCCTTGGTGAAGATGTACTTAGTATTAACTATCTGATGATGGGGATGTTCTGTGAGAAGGAACTTGTGCTCCTAGTTAAGCCAGATTTGGATCAAGATAGCCTCCATTTTCATGGAGATCATAACTACATTTGAAATTTCTATACATTTAGTGAAAAACTGCCCTCATCAATAACATATTTTGTCATAACGATGGAAAATAAAATCTTTGCCTTCATTCAGGATCTTAGATTTCTTGCCCCAATTTTTTTACCATGGCATTCCAATTATTCTGTTTCTCTCTATTTTTTCTAGAGTGAGCCAAGAGGAAGTCAAGAAATGGGCTGAATCACTGGAAAACCTGATTAGTCATGAATGTAAGTCTGACAGCAACCTGGGATGAGGTACTCTGGATAAGACAAGTTATATTATGCTGGTCTAATAGAAACTGCAGCAAGGCCTGGCTTCTTTCTGATGTTCAGACTCAGGAGACTCTTTAGGTCTTAAATTCAGTCTGTTTAAAATTTTAATATGCCCTAGAGCTTTGTGATATACAATGAAAAGTTTATGCAGGAACCATGTGGAAAACCATCTCTCTCATCACAAGGAAAAACGGAAGAGAGAAAAAAAATGATAAATATCAATACCTTCTTGCAAAATCAATCTCAGTTTCTCTTTCCCAAATTGACCTTGGTAATTGATAGCTGCATAGGCATTTCAGAAGCAAAATACTTCCTTGAAAGAGGCTTCCAACTTGAGTAAGAATCATTAGGTAGAACTGGGAACCACTGGATATCAAACACAGATTAGGGTTACCTGACTCCAGGTGACTTGAAAAAAGCAGGGGAAAAAGGGATTGCTTGAATCCATGCTTTATCCCCCAAGTACCTCAGCTTTATGTGAAATAGCATATCCAAGAGGCCAACCAGTGTGATGACAACTGTGGTCCTTTCTCCTGTATCATAGGTGGGCTGGCAGCTTTCAAAGCTTTCTTGAAGTCTGAATATAGTGAGGAGAATATTGACTTCTGGATCAGCTGTGAAGAGTACAAGAAAATCAAATCACCATCTAAACTAAGTCCCAAGGCCAAAAAGATCTATAATGAATTCATCTCAGTCCAGGCAACCAAAGAGGTAGGTTTTTTATGGATACATAAAAATTGTACGTATTTATGGAGTATGTGTGATATTTTGATACATGCATACAATGTGATAACAATCAAATCAGGGCAATTGCTATATACATATCTCAAACATTTATTATTTCTACGTGTTGAGAACATTCCAAATCTCCTCTTCTAGCTATCTTAAAATATACAATAAACTATTGATAACTATATCACCCTAATGTGCTATCAAACACTAGAACCTATTCCCTCTACCCAACTTTCTATCTATTCCTTCTACCCATTAGCCAACCTGACCAAAAAGGTAAGCTTTTATGGCAGAGAACTCTCTGGATCTTAGTGAAGGTTCCTAGAATAGTGGAGCTGACTATCATAATCTTGACAACCCCAAATAAATCAGTTTTTTAAAAAATCTCTTTTATCCATGTGGCTTACCATAACCTCCCTGCATGAATTTTTCTGATGAATCTCCCCAATTTGTTAGACAGAACAGAAGATCTTGCCCTGCTCTCTCTAAAGCAGAAAGGTTCATTCTGAACCTTTCATACTCTCTCACATGTGCCAAGGAGGACCCCAATGTCACTTTTGTTTTTTGCTTCTGAAATACAGAGGGTGCACTGCCACTTACAAGTCACTACAAAGCATACAGGCTTGCATCCTCAACAGGGATATAGGTCTAATGAAGCCTTGGCCTTTGCCCCTCAGGTGAACCTGGATTCTTGCACCAGGGAAGAGACAAGCCGGAACATGCTAGAGCCTACAATAACCTGCTTTGATGAGGCCCAGAAGAAGATTTTCAACCTGATGGAGAAGGATTCCTACCGCCGCTTCCTCAAGTCTCGATTCTATCTTGATTTGGTCAACCCGTCCAGCTGTGGGGCAGAAAAGCAGAAAGGAGCCAAGAGTTCAGCAGACTGTGCTTCCCTGGTCCCTCAGTGTGCCTAATTCTCACCTGAAGGCAGAGGGATGAAATGCCAAGACTCTATGCTCTGGAAAACCTGAGGCCAAATATTGATCTGTATTAAGCTCCAGTGCTTTATCCACATTGTAGCCTAATATTCATGCTGCCTGCCATGTGTGAGTCACTTCTACGCATAAACTAGATATAGCTTTTGGTGTTTGAGTGTTCATCAGGGTGGGACCCCATTCCAGTCCAATTTTCCTAAGTTTCTTTGAGGGTTCCATGGGAGCAAATATCTAAATAATGGCCTGGTAGGTCTGGATTTTCAAAGATTGTTGGCAGTTTCCTCCTCCCAACAGTTTTACCTCGGGATGGTTGGTTAGTGCATGTCACATGACATCCACATGCACATGTATTCTGTTGGCCAGCACGTTCTCCAGACTCTAGATGTTTAGATGAGGTTGAGCTATGATATGTGCTTGTGTGTATGTCTATGTGTATATATTATATATACATTAGACACACATATACATTATTTCTGTATATAGATGTCTGTGTATACATATGTATGTGTGAGTGTATGTATACACACACACACACACACACACACACACTTTTGCAAGAGTGATGGGAAAGACCCTAGGTGCTCATAACTAGAGTATGTGTATGTACTTACATGGGTGTTTTGATCTCTGTTCTTTCATACTACATTTGAACAGGGCAAAATGAACTAACTGCCATGTAGGCTAAGAAAGAAATGCTAACCTGTGGAAAGTTGGTTTTGTAAAATTCCATGGATCTTGCTGGAGAAGCATCCAAGGAACTTCATGCTTGATTTGACCACTGACAGCCTCCACCTTGAGCACTATTCTAAGGAGCAAATACCTTAGCTCCCTTGAGCTGGTTTTCTCTGATGGCACTTTTGAGCTCCTAAGCTGCCAGCCTTCCCTTCTTTTCCTGGGTGCTCAGGGCATGCTTATTAGCAGCTGGGTTGGTATGGAGTTGGCAGACAGGATGTTCAACTTAATGAAGAAATACAGCTAAGGCCTTGCCAGCAACACCTGCCGTAAGTTACTGGCTGAGTGAGGGCATAGAAGTTAAAGGTTACTGTTTTTATCCTCTATCCTTTTTTCCTTTCCTGATCAAGGTGCTCTTCTCATTTTTTCCTGAGAACCTTAGCCATCAGATGAGGCTCCTTAGTTTATTGTGGTTGGTTGTTTTTTCTTTATAATGGCTCTGGGCTATATGCCTATATTTATAAACCAGCAGCAGGGGAAAGATTATATTTTATAAGAGGGAACAAATTTTCACAATTTGAAAAGCCCACATAAGTTTTCTCTTTTAAGGTAGAATCTTGTTAATTTCATTCCAAACATCGGGGCTAACAGAGACTGGAGGCATTTCTTTTTAGGCTCTGAGACTAAATGAGAGGAAAAGAAAAGAAAAAAAAAATGATTGTCTAACCAATTGTGAGAATTACTGTTTGAAACTTTTCAAGGCACATTGAAATACTTGAAAACTTCTCATTTATGTTATTTATGATGTTATTTTGTACGTGTTATTATTATTATATTGTTTTATAAATGGAGGTACAGGATATCACCTGAATTATTAATGAATGCCCAGGAAGTAATTTTCTTCTCATTCTTCTAAAACTACTGCCTTTCAAAGTGCACACACACGCGTCCACATACACTGCATTCGTTGCTCCAGTATAAATTACATGCATGAGCACCTTTCTGGCTTTTAAGCCAATATAATGGGCTGCAAAATGAAGACACCAGAGTGTATGCATACAAATCTCACTGTATTAAAGATGCAGGTTTTCTAATTGTACCCTTCTTGTCTCTCTGGCAATCTTGCCCTTAATATCCCTGGAGTTCCTCATCAGTGTCATTTTCTGTTATACACAGTTCCACAATTTTGTCTCTAGTTGACTTCAAATGTGTAACTTTATTGGTCTTGCCCTATTATAATTGTCATGACTTTCAGATTGTATCTGAACTCACAGACTGCTGTCTTACTAATAGGTCTGGAAGGTCACGCTGAATGAGAAGTAAATTATTTTATGTAATACATTTTTGAGTGTGTTTTTCAGTTGTATTTCCCTGTTATTTCATCACTATTTCCAATGGTGAGCTTGCCTGCTCATGCTCCCTGGACAGAATACTCCTTCCTTTTGCATGCCTGTTTCTATCATGTGCTTGATAGGCCTCAAAGCTAATGCTTCCAGTGAAACACACGCATCTTAATAATAAGGGTAAATAAACGCTCCATATGAAACTATTTGCTTGGAAACACATTAATGATCCAGAGACATGCTATGAGAAACATCAGGGTGTAGGGTGACTTTAGAAAAATACTCATACTGAGTCTTTAATCCCTCCTGTGCCAGTGAACTCTGGGAAAGAAAGTACAAACTGAATATTGTTTATTCTTTAGTTCATGCCACTGCTCTGCTTGGCTCTACTCATAGAACCAAGGCAATCTTAGCTTCAGAGACTGCAAAACAGATTAAGTGATTTGCTTGCAGATTCTCAATCAATTTTCAAGGGATAGAGTTCACCTTCCAGAGCCATTCTTTTATTTCCAGTTACCCGCCTGTTTGAGAGATGATAGAGCAGTGGGAAATTGAGAGAGTTGAAAGGAGCTATAGATTCTTACCCAAACTTCAAAAATCCTTCCCTCCCTTTTGTTAATTCTCTTTCCTGGAAAAGAGGTCATAAAATGTTCACATCCTCAGTAATAGGCCCTGTGCTGTGTCTATTATGTCATGAGACTCCCATTTCCTGACCCTTCTTTCCCATTGTAAGAGTAGTAGTTACAAGGTGTTAAGGATAGATGATCTTCAACACTTTTGAGAAATAGATCCATTTACGGATCTGGTAAAAACTATGGACCGAACCATCTTTTAAGAAAAAAATTCAGAGAGGAATCTAAATTTTGTGTGCTTTGAGGGGAAACTCTCAGAATCTCCCCTCAAAACTATCATTCTTCTCTTATACTATAGATGTGTCAGACTCTCACTGGGACTGTATAGTTGCTGCTCCCTGTATTTGATAATATCTATCAAGAACTGCAGGGTAATTCAAAGTCACGCTATTAGCAGCAAGTGTGAGCAGTGTTGGTTTCCCCAGTCTCTACATCCCTCATCCTTTCTTTCTTCTTTATGGTTGTCTATTAAAGAAATAAAAAAAAATATTGGCTGACCGTTTTTCTGAAGATAATGTATATCAAGGACCACCTTTTGAAAAACACTCATTATTCGAGAACAAAGACACAACATACGAGAATCTCTGGGATACATTCAAAGCAGTGTGTAGAGGGAAATTTATAGCACTAAATGCCCACAAGAGAAAGCAGGAAAGATCTAAAATTGATACCCTAACATCACAATTAAAAGAACTAGAAAAGCAAGAGCAAACACATTCAAAAGCTAGCAGAAGACAAGAAATAACTAAGATCAGAGCAGAACTGAAGGAAATAGAGACACAAAAAACCCTTCAAAAAATTAATGAATCCAGGAGCTGGTTTTTTGAAAAGATTAACAAAATTGATAGACTGCTAGCAAGACTAATAAAGAAGAAAAGAGAGAAGAATCAAATAGACACAATAAAAAATGATAAAGGGGATATCACCACCGATCCCACAGAAATACAAACTACCATCAGAGAATACTATAAACACCTCTACGCAAATAAACTAGAAAATCTAGAAGAAATGGATAAATTCCTCGATACATACACCCTCCCAAGACCAAACCAGGAAGAAGTTGAATCTCTGAATAGACCAATAACAGGCTCTGAAATTGAGGCAATAATCAATAGCTTACCAACCAAAAAAAGTCCAGGACCAGATGGATTCACAGCTGAATTCTACCAGACGTACAAAGAGGAGCTGGTACCATTCCTTCTGAAACTATTCCAATCAATAGAAAAAGAGGGAATCCTCCCTAACTCATTTTATGAGGCCAGCATCATCCTGATACCAAAGCCTGGCAGAGACACAACCAAAAAAGAGAATTTTAGACCAATATCCTTGATGAACATTGATGCAAAAATCCTCAATAAAATACTGGCAAACCGAATCCAGCAGCACATCAAAAAGCTTATCCACCATGATCAAGTGGGTTTCATCCCTGGGATGCAAGGCTGGTTCAACATACGCAAATCAATAAATGTAATCCAGCATATAAACAGAAACAAAGACAAAAACCACATGATTATCTCAATAGATGCAGAAAAGGCATTTGACAAAATTTAACAACTCTTCATGCTAAAAACTCTCAATCAATTAGGTATTGATGGGACGTATCTCAAAATAATAAGCACTATCTATGACAAACTCACAGCCAATATCATACTGAATGGGCAAAAACTGGAAGCATTCCCTTTGAAAACGGGCACAAGACAGGGATGCCCTCTCTCACCACTCCTATTCAACATAGTGTTGGAAGCTCTGGCCAGGGCAATTAGGCAGGAGAAGGAAATAAAGGGTATTCAATTAGGAGAAGAGGAAGTCAAATTGTCCCTGTTTGCAGATGACATGATTGTATATCTAGAAAACCCCATCGTCTCAGCCCAAAATCTCCTTAAGCTGATAAGCAACTTCAGCAAAGTCTCAGGATACAAAATCAATGTACAAAAATCACAAGCACTCTTATACATCAATAACAGACAAACAGAGAGCCAAATCATGAGTGAACTCCCATTCACAATTGCTTCAAAGAGAATAAAATATCTCGGAATCCAACTTATAAGGGATGTGAAGGACCTCTTCAAGGAGAACTACAAACCACTGCTCAATGAAATGAAAGAGGATACAAACAAATGGAAGAACATTCCATGCTCATGGGTAGGAAGAATCAATATCATGAAAATGGCTATACTGCCCAAGGTAATTTATAGATTCAATGCCATCCCCATCAAGCTACCAATGACTTTCTTCACAGAATTGGAAAAAACTACTTTAAAGTTTATGTGGAACCAAAAAAGAGCCCGCATCACCAAGTCAATCCTAAGCCAAAAGAACAAAGCTGGAGGCATCACACTACCTGACTTCAAACTATACTGCAAGGCTACAGTAACCAAAACAGCATGGTACTGGTACCAAAACAGAGATATAGACCAATGGAACAGAACAGAGCCCTCAGAAATAATGCCACATATCTACAACTATCTGATCTTTGACAAACCTGACAAAAACAAGAAATGGTGAAAGGATTCCCTATGTAATAATTGGTGTTAGGAAAACTGGCTAGCCATATGTAGAAAGCTGAAACTGGATCCCTTCCTTATACCTTATACAAAAATTAATCCAAGATGGATTAAAGACTTAAATGTTAGACCTAAAACCATAAAAACCCTAGAAGAAAATCTAGGCAATACCACTCAGGACATAGGCATGGGCCAGGACTTCATGTCTAAAACACCAAAAGCAATGGCAACAAAAGCCAAAATTGACAAATGGGATCTAATTAAACTAAAGAGCTTCTGCACAGCAAAAGAAACTACCATCACAGTGAACAGGTAACCTACATAATGGGATAAAATTTTTGCAACCTACTCATCTGACAAAGGGCTAATATCCAGAATCTAAAATGAACTCAAACAAATTTACAAGAAAAAAACAAACAACCCCATCAAGAAGTGGGCAAAGGATGTGAACAGACACTTCTCAAAATAAGACATTTATGCCGGCAAAAGACATGAAAAAATGCTCATCATCACTGGCCATCAGAGAAATGCAAATCAAAACCACAATGAGATACCATCTCACACCAGTTAGAATGGCGATCATTAAAAAGTTAGGAAACAACAGGTGCTGGAGAGGATGTGGAGAAATAGGAACACTTTTACACTGTTGGTGGGACTGTAAACTAGTTCAACCATTGTGGAAGTCAGTGTGGCGATTCCTCAGGGATCTAGAACTAGAAATACCATTTGACCCAGCCATCCCATTCCTGGGTATATACCCAAAGGATTATAAATCATGCTGCTATAAAGACACATGCACATGTATGTTTATTGCGGCACTATTCACAATAGCAAAGACTTGGAACCAACCTAAATGTCCAACAATGATAGACTGGATTAAGAAAATGTGGCACATATACACCATGAAATACTATGCAGCCATAAAAAAGGATGAGTTCATGTCCTTTGTAAGGACATGGATGAAACTGGAAACCATCATTCTCAGCAAACCATCGCAAGGACAAAAAAACAAACACCGCATGTTCTCACTCATAGGTGGGAATTGAACAATGAGAACACATGGACACAGGAAGGGGAACATCACACACCGGGGACTGTTGTGGGGTGGGGGTAGGGGGGAAGGACAGCATTAGGAGATATACCTAATGCTAAATGACGAGTTGATGGGTGCAGCACACCAACATGGCACGTGTATACATATGTAACAAACCTGCACGTTGTGCACACGTACCCTAAAACTTAAAGTATAATAATAATAAAATAAAAAAAAGAAAAACACTCGTTATTGCTTGTTCTTAACAACACACTTAATTCTCACAACAACCTTAAGATATAGATGCCAACCATGAGCATTTCCCCTGAAAATTTTTATAGATGGGGAAACTGAGGCACAGAGAAATAACTTGCCAAGGTGCCTCGTGCTGTGTTCTGGCACTCCATGTTAATAATGCTTAGATTTTTAAAGTTGGAAATGTGACTGTAGAAGGATGAAAGAGGAAAGGGGAAGGAAAAGAAATAAAAAAAAAGTACCTTGATGGTAAAATCAACTACTTATCAGCCCATGCCAAACATGTGGACAAAAAGAAAAGCATCAGAGCAAAGCCAGTCAGACAAAGTGGCTCATGTAATGAGCCAGACTCAAAAACACATCATAAAAACTAAACTGTGCCATTTATTTAATTCAGAGGCTGAGTTCAAAACATGAATCTGCTTAGGCCATTAAACCACAAGATGACCTATTAAATTATCTGATGTTTTAATATGCATTGCTTTGCTTACCTAGATGTTACATGGAAATATGACACAAGGAAGGAAAATACTGGATTTTCTTCTGTTTGTGATATGAATTGACAAAAAAATTGGTGAGATGACTTAGAATCCATTCAGAATTACAATATAGCTTTTTAAAATTTTGCTGCCCAGCTAGCTCAGTCGGTAGAGCATGAGACTCTTAAAATTTTGCATGCAAAGCAATTATTGGGAGATTTGAGATCAGGAATTATTCCATTTCTAAGGCACCCAAATGGAGGCAAATAATGCCTAGAGAGAGAACTAGGTTTCCAAAGGAGACTTAAAATTGAACAGTAGGGCTGGGTGCAGTGGCTCACACCTGTGATCCCACCACTGGGCACAGTGGCTCACACTTGTAATCCCATCCTACTTGGGAGGCCTAGGCAGGCAGATCACTTGAGGTCAGGAGTTTGAGATCAGCCTGGCCAACATGGTGAAACCCTGTCTCTACTAAAAATACAAAAATTAGCTGGGTGATAGTGGGGCGCGCCTGTAATCCCAACAACACGGGTGGCTGAGGCAGGAGAATTGCTGGAGCCTGGGAGGCAGAGGTTGCAGTGAGCCGAGATCATGCCACTGCACTCCAGCATAGGGGACAGAGTGAGACTCCCTCTCAAATGTGTGTGTGTGTGTGTGTGTGTGTGTGTATATATATGTATGTATATACACACACGTACATACATACATATACATATATATATATATAAAACAGTAGTATCTTACATTATGTCCTGCCTATGCTGAGTGCATTACAGCTTTACATTATCTTATTAAATCCTTATAACAAAATTCTAAAGCATATGGTATTAATATAATTTCATTGTAGATGGGTAAACTTTGATATAGGAGAATTTAAAAATTTACCCAAGATCATATACAAAAGAAGTGGTAGAGCCTAGGTCAAACCCAGAAGTTCACCTCCAGAGCTCACACATTTGAGTACCTTAGTCAAAGATGGCAGAAAAAGGGGACAAATAGAAAGAAGGAACAAAAGCAAGCAAGGGAAGAATAACAGGAAGAAATGGAAATGGAGAGAAGAGGTAAACAGATGAAAAGACTGGAGAAAAGAAGCGAAGGAAAGAAGGAAAAGACAGGAAAGAAAATGGGGAAGAAAGGGACATGAAAGAGAAGAAGAAAAGAAAATGAAGATACATGTGATAGGGAAGGACAAATGCCAAATATGCCCAGGTCTTCATGTCATAAGTCAGTTGTGCCTCTCCTAGAGCACCATGCTACTACTGGCTGATCTGCATGTAGTCAGCTGTACCTATCCTAGAGCACCATGCTACTCCTGGCTGGTCTCCATGTCCCATCTGAGATGGGGCAGGTAAGAAGTTTCCCAAGGACTAGTAAAAAGTAAGTTTTGGAGGCAAGAAATAGATACCAAGGCCAGATTCCTCTCTAAGAATCACTTTTCTGTATCCTTTTCTTTCTCTAAGTTTGCTAGATATTGAACCATCCACAGAGTGACTCTTTGGTTATTGCTGTTGTTTAACACCTGAAGCAAAAAAGAAAAAAGATAAAGGAATACCCCAACTGTCTTGATTTTATTTTACCACTGTTTGGGGAGGCATTTTACAGGGAATCTGAGTTAGCCACTCCAGGAATCACACTCGGACAGCATGCCGGCAGGAAATAGGCACTTGGCACACTGTCCTGGTCACGTTGTTCCTGTTCCCCTTCTTGGAGGAGAGCCAGTGGTGACCAGAAGGTTTGGGTCAAAGGGAATTGCCTCCAAACACACGCACACACACACACACACACACACACACAAGTCCAGTAAAGGTAGCATGCGCAAATCAGTGGTAAGTTAGACCGTGAGAATTAGTGAGTAGTGACTTCTTGAGAGTGACTTTGCAGGGTTAACTTTGAAGCCGTTGCTTCTGAAAAAAGTAAAATTTTTGTTGATTTTTTTCAAGTATTATTTGTAAAATTCCTAGATTATTCCACGAATCTATTTGGTCTTTGTGTAGCTATCTTCTTCCAGGACAGTGTATCCCTGAGACATCTCCTCAATAAAAACAAATTATGGGAAACACATTCTAGTGAAGTCACATTCAAGACAAGATTTGCTTATCTTTTTCTCTCTCCACCATACCTTTGAGATCTGCCTGCCTTCTCTTCTTCTTGTTTCTCCTCTGTCAGGCCATGGTATTTTTACTACCCATTGCCTTCTAGGAAAGGGTATAACAAATAGGAAATATTAATATTTTTAATGCCTTTGAGGGTGTTAAAAAGCACAACTCTAAGGACTGTTTGTAAATTCCAGGTCAAATGTTGTTTCTCCTTCTCTATTTCCTACCTTGGTGATGGCCTGATCTTATATGGAGTCACTCCAACTAGAAACCACAGAATCATCCCTAGTTCCTACTTCTGACTCACTCCATACACTCAAAAGTCACCTGACTCTGCAGAATTTCTCTAGAAAAACTCTATGAAAACCTATTCCTGCCTCTCCACCTGCATAGATGTAGCTTCATCCAGGCTCTTATGGTGCATGGCCTCGGTTACTGCCTTATCCTTTCTACTGGCCTCTCAATCTCCCATCTGATACCCATTAATGTACTCCAAATAACTACTAGTCTGCTCTGAGATGCACATTTGGTCTATTACCTGCTTAAAATTTGCAAAACTCTCAACTTTAGCCTAATATTCAATGCTCTTTATGATTTTGAATCTCCCTTTTTGGCCTCATCTTCTACAACTCCTCCTTTGATTTAGCCATAAAGATTTGCTGCTCCTGAAATAGCACATTCTTAATTGCCACTGTCATTGTCCAACTTGGTCTTCTGATCTTTTCCTTTATCTAGCTAACCCCTACTCTTTATTTTAAACTCAGCTCAAGACTACTCACATTGAGAAGCCTTCCCCCACTTTCTGGCATGATTTAAATGTTCCTTTGTGGGATTCCCTTAATACTCTGGCATGCTTTTATTATTACTAGCACATTGTTCTGTGACCATTAATTTATAATTGTATCTCAAGTGACACTGCCAGTTCCTCAAGGTTATGAAACATGTCTCATTTGATTTGCATCAAGACATGAGCCTAGCACATAGAAAATGACCATTTGTTGACAGAGTGACTGACATCAGTTTACGTACTCCTAGATGCAAACAGGAAGTTTGCATCCTCCCACTCCCTGAGTACTTACTGTGTACTGAAGTTTATGTGACATAATCCTGTTAGAGTCTACTATATTCCTGCCATTTCCCTCTTGAAGAATAATACAAGGGTGTTTTTCCTAGCCTTGTGCTGGGGGCTGGGGTAAAATAATCAGAATAAGGAAGATCTGGTTGAAGCCACTTTACAGAGAAAAGATTTTAAAGACATTACCGGAGTACAAAGTGTCTTCATATAGCTATTTTATACGTATTACAAAAGTTTACATATATTTTATATAATTATATGTAATTCAAAATAGTATGATCCTTTATATGTACAACCTTCTCATTTATACCCACAGCATAAAATCACTACAATTTATTATTTAGTCTCTACTAATACCACTTGATTTATTTTAACTGATTTAATACATGGAACAACTCTTTGATGACAAGACACAAAAATTTATTATCTTCTTTTTACAAATGAGAAACTGAGGCACAGAGGGACAAGTTTACTCCAAGACCTCATGGCTCATAAGCAAAAGAGCCAGGACTTTGCCCCAAGGCCATGTGGCCCCAGAACTCATACTCCTTGCTAGACTGCATCTCACACAAGCCTGGAATTTTGTCCACATGGTGATTACTCAAAGAGTGTGGATTAATTGACCACTCTTTCCTAAAAAAACATTTCTCTGAAAGTTTCTTCTGTTAATCTTGTACCACACTCATTTCTGGGTATACTCCTATTTCTGTTTTTATTCTCTATTTCTTGTAAATTTTTAAATAGCTTGCTTAAGATTATCATCAAATACTCCACTCCATGCTGCCTTCAAACCCTCCTCTTGTGACCTACACAGTATATTCTTACCATTGGAGTGATAGTTAGGACTTCTAAAACCAAACTGAATCTAGAGCGGTGATATACTGGCATCCCCATGACAGCCGGCTCACTAAGCTGTCTCCTTAATTTCTACATCCCATTGACATCTGGATTCGGCCCATGGAATAATTATAGATGTCAGGTGGGGCAGGCTCCACACCGGCCTCCAATTCTGTTCACTGATTTATGACTCTTTAGCACATGGATAATTGAGAAAATAAGTTGGGTATTCTGTGACCTCAGCACTAAAAATGAGTGCTGAAAATAGGCTCCTGGCACTGTTTACTTTTCAGGATGAAATATTTTGGGAAGTTTGAGTCAGATGAATAACAATGTATAAATAGAAAGCTCCATGCAAAGCAAAAGGAAATGAGGGAATAATTAAAGGTAAATGTTTAAGTCTATATTTTAAGGTAATAATCGTAGTTTTTGTTTATTGGGGGCTGCCATTAAGTTTATCTCTGGAATTGTGCTTTACATATGTTATTCCACTCAATTCCTCCAATATTTTTACTTTGCATATTAATAAAGCTATTCAGAGTTGAGTGAGGTTGAGTCATTACCTCAAGATCTCACAATCAATGAGCAACAGATTCCAGATTAAAGGTCATTTCGAATCCAGAGCTTGTTGGATAAATTATACTTCTTTCAATAATCAACACCAAATGGCTCTCTCAAATAAGAGTTACCAGCATTTGAGGTTAACTCATCTAGTTACCCATCTAGTTCTAGAAAACTAATCTGGGGCCAGAAAAAGTGTTGGTCTGAAGTAGAAACTGGGGAAGCTTTATATAAATGATAGATTCCCAGGCCCCAACTCCAGAGATTTGGAATTTTAGGGACAGGTACCTAAAACAAAACAAAACAATGTAACAATATCTCTGTTGAGTTTGGAAACCATTGATCTAGAGGACAAAGCCAAGAACCAGGAGACAGAGGTTCTATTTTCATTCATATTAGGTAAGTTTCTACCACTCTTTGTATGTTAGTTTCCCCACTGGCAAAATAAACTTAAAAATTTCCCACCACATGACCTACAGGAGCTCTGCAGAGGAGAACAGTTTGCATGAAGCACTTGAGGGATCATGGTAAAGGGCATCTGTCCAGTAATTTACATTCATAATTACTCTCAAGCATAACATATTAGAATTCACAAAGCACATTGGCTCATTCAACATTCACAACAACCTCTGTAGTAAATATTATTTTATGATGTCCATTTTTCAGACGAAAAACAAATTTACTTAGCTAATAAGTGGTAAAGTCTTCAGTCACCTAATTGTGTGTTCTTCCTATGACACCACACTGCTTTCTAAATTATAATTGTTGTTTCCTGGGTAAAGTAATAATAATGATAATAACATAAAGGAAAACTTGACAGGGCAAATATGTGACAGTAAATTGAGATGATAAGGTTGTTGAAGAACTTCAAAAGTCATTAATCTTTAGGAGTAAACAAATCCAAAAATTGCTGGCTTATATCATGTACCTTCAAGAGACAAGTTTTGAAAATCAAGGATGTAATGTGGACAAGATACTCAGAATGCCTATTCCTTCCAATAAGGTCACTCTAGAACCATTAATGAATAATAATAAAGTCTCTTACTGAATGTTGAACCAAAGTGAAAGGAAGTTAGTTGAAGACAGTATTTCCCTGAGTTGGCTAACCATTCTCATAGAAATATATCTGCCTGGAGGTCATTACGAGACTTTAGGATAACACCTGTTACATATAATAATTGTTTAATAAATGTTGTCTATTATTATTATTATTATTATTTTACCTGGAGACCACTTCCTTTGTGAAGTGTAAACTTTAGAGAGCAAACGACAAATTATTACCCTTCAGTTCTTTTTGCTATTCCATAATGGCCATTCTTTATGTCTCCTAATTAATGCATTTTCTCTCACCTATTTCCACAGCATAATCCACCCTGTCATTAAAGCTGCTTTCGTGTGTGTTTTCCAAAATTTGGAATAAAAATTATTAGTGATGACAATGTGTGGCCAGGATCCACCTGTTCTATAGAAGTGCTAGAAAAATGGCCCAGAGGATGGCAACAAGCAAATCCATGTTCTAAGAGGCTGGAGTTTGTCTCTGAGTTGTATTCCCAACAGCAGTGTGCAAGAGTCTCCTTTGATTCACATTTTTGCCATCATTTAATATGATTAGACATTTCAATGTTTGCCAGTCTGCAAAATAGAGATTGATGGCTCATGATTTTAAGTTGCACCTCCCTGATAACAAACGTTGCACATCTTTTTGTTTCCTTGCTTTGTGATTTTTCTTCTGCAAAGTAGCTGTTTCAGTTTTTGTCCATTTTTTTCTATTTGGTTTTATTAAATAATGATTTTTAAAAATTTCTATATATCGTAGATGCTAATTCATTGTCAGTTGTACATATTACACACATTTTCTTCCAGTTTTTGTTTCTTGTTTTTTCCAAATATTTATGATATCTTTTAATGAACAGAAATTTTCATTTTAAGGTAGCCGAATACATCAGTTTTCCTTTTATGGTTTATCTATAATGCTAAGATCATATATATTTTTTCCTATATGTTTTCAAAATTATATACCTATGCCTTTCATATATAATAACACCTTTAATCCACAGGAAATTGATTTTTTTTCATGAAGTAGTTGATTAAGATTTTCTTTTGCATGTATCCAGGTAACATTTACTGAAAAATCCATTCACTCGACACTAGGTGTGAGTGTTAGGTGTGTCATAAATTAAATTGCCATAAGAATAAGGATTTATATCTGGAATATTCTATTCCATTGGATTGTTTATTTATCCACCTTTCCTAACCTCATTCCCTCAAGCTTTTTTTTTTTTGTTTTAAGGAGTGTCTTGGTTATTTTTGAGTCCTTATTCTTCCATCACCCTTGGAATTAGCTTGGCAGATTCTCCAAGAAATTTTGATGAACAATTCTTAATACCTTGGCTAAAATTTTAACTGGAATTGAATTATACTTACGAATTCATTTGAAGCTAATTGACATATTTAATATCAATATTCCTGTTTATGAACATCGTATTCCTTCTCTTTGCATCTTCTTAAAATCTTTCTAAAGGTTTACAACTTGTCTGTAAAACAAATCCATACTTTCTAAAGATGTATTTCTTGATGTTTTATATCTTTACTGCTAGTTTGAAGGCACTTTTAAATTACAGTTTGTTTGTTGTCGATGAGAAGTGTATTTGAATTATAAATATTAATTTTATATTCAGTGTTCTTTCTAAATTGCCTTATTAATTCTAATAATTTATTTGGAAATTAATTTGGATTTTCTCCAAATATAATCACATAATTTGCAAATACTTGCAATTAAATGTTGTCTTTAACCATTTTGATGTACTGTATTTTTCTCATTTTACTCCAGGTTGAATGAAAGTAGTAATAGTGGTCATCCTCACCATGTTCCTAATCTTTTTTTTTAATTTTTTTTATTATACTTTAAGTTCTAGGGTACATATGCACAACCTGCAGGTTTATTACATATGTATACATGTGCCATGTCGGTGTGATGCTCCCATTAACTCGTCATTTACATTAGGTATATCTCCTAATGCTATCTCTCCCCACTCCCCACACCCCACGACAGGCCCCACTGTGTGATGTTCCCCACCCTGTGTCCAAGTGTTCTCATTGTTCAATTCCCACCTATGAGTGAGAACACGTGGTGTTTGGTCTTCTCTCCTTGTGATAATTTGCTCAGAATGATGGTTTCCAGCTTCATCCATGTCCCTACAAAGGACATGAACTCATCCTTTTTTACGGCTGCATAGTATTCCATGATGTATATGTGCCACATTTTCCTAATCCAGTCTATCACTGATGGACATTTGGGTTGGTTCCAAGTCTTTGCTATTGTGAATAGTGCCACAATAAACATACGTGTACATGTGTCTTTATAGCAGCATGATTTATAATCTTTTGGGTATATACCCAGTAATGGGATGGCTGGGGTGATCTTTGACAAACCTGACAAAAACAAGAAATGAGGAAAGGATTCCCTATTTAATAAATGGTGCTGGGAAAACTGGCTAGCCATATGAAGAAAGCTAAAACTGAATCCCTTCCTTACACCTTATACAAAAATTAATTCAAGATGGATTAAAGACTTAAATGTTAGACCTAAAACCACGCTCCTAATCTTAAAGGGAATGCAACTTAATGCCAGCTTTAGGCTTTTTGGAGGTACTCTTTATCAAGTTGATGCAGTTCCCTTCTATTTCAAGATTTCCAATAGAACCATAAATGAATGTTGAATTTCAGTGGATAATTTTCTGAATTTATTGAGATGATTTAGTTCCACCTATTTTTGCTTTATATACTTCAGCCTATATTATTTGGTACTAACAACTTTAGAATAATTTATATCTTCTTGAGATCTAAATATGTTATCTATTAATAACTCTTGGATATTTGTTTTTTTCCTGTAAAGCCTATTTAT
The DNA here is from genome assembly GCF_000001405.40 of Homo sapiens. Taxonomy (NCBI): domain Eukaryota; kingdom Metazoa; phylum Chordata; class Mammalia; order Primates; family Hominidae; genus Homo; species Homo sapiens. The sequence goes on from NC_000001.11 coordinate 163,089,976, forward strand.
CTGATATTAATATCGTTACATGAGCTCTGTATTGGTTATTACTTGCCTAGTCTATATATACATATATATATATAAAATTTTAATTTTATCTATTTTATATCCATATATTGCCAATGTGCTTTTAAATATAATGTAAATAGGGTATTACGTCTAGTTTGATATATTTTCTCCTTTCAAGTATTTTAGTAGAATATACATTAACTCTTATTGCTGATATATTTCGATTCATTTTTACCACTTTTTTGGGGGTGGGGTGGGGTCTGTTTTTCCCTTGCTTGTTGTTTCTCATTTTAATTGTTTCCCTCATTATTATTTTGCAACTTAAAATTTCTATTCCAATTATTTTCAAATTTACTCTGTATACTTTAACACATACATTTAACCAAGCAATGTATTAACTAGTATTTACCCTTTAACTGGATACAGTCATGTATCATTTAACAGGGATACATTCTGAAAAATGCATCGTTAGGTGATTTCATTGTTGTGTGAACACCGGAGTGTATTTACACAAACCTAGATAGTATAAGCCTGCAATACACCTAGGCTGTACTCTATAGCCTGTTGTGGCTAGGCTACAAACCTGTGCAGTATGTTACTGTACCACACTGTAGGCTGTTGTAACATAATGGAAATCATTTGTGTATCTAAACATAGAAAAGGTACAGTAAAAATGCAGTATAAAACATAAAACATAGTACAGCTTTATAGGGCACTTACTGTGAATGGAGCTTGGAGGACTGGAAGTTGCTCTGGATGAGTCAGTCAGTGAGTAGTGAGTGAATGTGAAAGCCTAGGACATTACCGTACACTACTCTAGAGTTTGGAAACACTGTACACTTAAGTTACACTACATTTATGAAGAAAACATTTTTGTTTGATTATAAATTAACTACAGCTTAATAACATTTTTATTTTATATGCTTTTTAATTTTTTTAACTCTTTGACTTGTTATAACACTCAGCTTAAAACAAACACATTGTACAGCTGTACAAAAATATTTTCTTTTATATCCTTATTCTATAAGCTTTTTTCTATTTTTAATTTTTTATTTTACTTTTCAACCTTTTTTTTTGTTAAAAAACTAAGACACAAACACACACGTTAGCCTAGGCCTCTACAGGATCAGAATCATCAACATCACTGTCTTCTACCTCCACATCTTGTCCCATTGGATGGTCCTCAGTGGCAATAACATGCATGAAGCTGTCATCCCCTGTGATAAAAATGCCTTCCTCTGAAATACCTTCTGAAGAACCTGCCTGAGGCTTCTTTACGTTTGCCTTTTTTTTCCCTCTAGATCACAGTTTCACAGTAGTGCTGAGGGGGCTACATTTTTCATATATGTAAGTAGACGGAGTACACTCTAAAATAAAGATGAAAAGTATAATATAGTAGATACATAAGCCAGCAACACAGTTTATTATCCTTATCAAGTATTATGTACTGCACATAATTGCTTGTGATATACTTTTATATGATTAGCAGCACTGTAGGTTTGTTTATACCAGTATCACCACAAACACATGAATAATGGTGTTGCACTGTGACATTATGACAGCTACAATGTCACTAAGCAACAGGAATGTTTCAGCTCCATTATAATATTATGGAGCCACTATCATATATGTAGTCTTGTTGACCAAAATGTTGTTATGCAGCAAATAACTGTATTTCAAAGACCTTAGACTATTTTAAAGTCTGATTATCTTTACCCCAACTTATATGGCATTGCTGTTCATTACTTTAATTTTATTTTTTTCAAATACTCCTACCTGAATATTGTTGTATACTTATACAATCAATTCTGTGTGCTGAGTTTTTTTTTTTCACCATTCCTTCCTGCTGAAATAATTTTCCTTCTGCTAGATACAAAGCCCTTAGATTTTGTTTAGGGGAAATCTGTGAGTGGTAAATTCTCAAAAAACAAAATTTGTGATCTAAGAGTCTTTTTAATTTATTTTCATTCTTTAAGGAGAAATTCACTGGATATAGAAATTTTAGTTGGAATTTTATTTCTCCTTAACACATGAAATATAATCTTCCATGATCTTCTGATGTCCATTGCTGCTAATGGAAAGTCAGCTATAAGTGTAATAGTTTTTCTTTGTTTGATAATCTGCCTTTTTGCTATCTGCTTTTACAATTCTCTTGTCTCCAATATTTTTACTTGTAGATTTATTTATTCTGTAAGAAGTTAGTAGGACTCGTTAAACTGTAGATTGTCTTTAATTAATTCTGGAAAATAATCATTATGTGCTTGATAATTAATTCTCCTCCCACTATCTCCCTTATTTTCTTCTGGAACTCCTTACACATATTGATCTTTACATCCAATATTTTATGCCTCAACTCTCTGGCATTCTGAAAAATTTCTTCAGATCTGCCTTCCAGTGTACTAGTTTTTTCCTTCCACAAGTGTCTAATGATTTGTTTAAGCTAATCTGTTCAGAGTTTTTTCTTATAAAATTATTTTATTATTTTACTACTTTTGTATTTACATTTAACATACATAATTTGTTTTTATATATGGTGTACTGAGAAAAATATCAGAAAATAAGATAAAAAAATCTTTTTATGTAATGATCAACCTGGATACCCAGAATCCCAAAGTTGCAGTAAAATCTATTAGAACTAATAAGATTTGGTCAAGTATCTTGATTAATATATCCAATATGAATAACTTTTCCTTTCTGTACCAAAATGTGACTGTAGATGAAAACGAAAGTATTTTATTTAGTATATTACCTTTAAGAACAAATTTAATAATAAGTTATCTAATAAAAACGTTATCAGGAACATATAAAGAAAACTGTAAAATATTATCAAACATATAAAGTAAGAACTAACTAGAAAGATTCATAGTAGTGGATAAGAACTCTTAACAACATCCAAAAATCAATTTTCCCCAAATTAATAAGTATAATGCAACTGCAATTACATTCTCAATAAGATAATTTTGAAATTGCATAAAATGTTCCTGTCAAATGGGAGAAATGCTCAAAAAATAGCAAAGAAAAAAGTATGAAAAACGAGAACAGTGAAGACAGAACTTGTCCTACCAATATCAAATATGAGGTGCTATATTCATATCAGTAACAAATAATATAATGTATATTTTGTTTCAATAGGAAAATATTACATTCTCTTTCATCTTCCTTTTTCACATTTCTATCTGTATTTTCTAATCCAAGTGATGTTTCACTCTTCTAGGAAAATATTAATGACCCTATTGGTTTTAATGACTCTCTTCTGTATTTCCAAAGTACGTATCTTTAATCAAACTCAGTTCTACCTACTTTATGTCATTCTGATACGGAAGGGAAGTGCTGGGAAAGGAAGGGCATGGTCCCTTTAAGTGATATGGAAGGTGGGAACGGAAGTGCTGGGTAGAGGAGGGCGTGGTCCCTGGCTAGGTTTCCACCCCAGGGCCTGTGCCCATGGACCTAGGTGAAGACAGCATTTTTGTTTTCCTGCCCAAATGTTGGATTTCCCAAGGCCACCCTGGTCTGCCATGCCCCCATCCTGTGCCTATAAAACCCCTCCCAGACCCTAGCAGGCAGACACACAGGCAGCTGGACATCAAGAAGAGCACATCAGTGAAGGAACACACAAATGTCTGGACGTTGAAAGGAGCTCACCGACATGCCTTCACGCCAGCAGGCCACTGACCAGCAGCCACAGAACCATGTGGAGTTTGGCTGGGGCAGTTGGAGGAGAGCCCGGGCCACCAAGCGGCCCAACTCCAAGAGAAAACCATCTCCCTTCTGGCTCCCCCATCTGCTGAGAGGTACTTCCGCTCAATAAAACCTTGCACTCATTCTCCAAGCCCACATGTGATCTGAGTCTTCCGGTACACCAGGGCAAGAACCCCGGGTTGCAGACAGCCTTCTGTCCTTGTGATAAGGCAGGGGTCTAATTGAGCAGATGGCTAAACTAAAAGAGCATCCTGTAATGCACGCCCACTGGGGCTTCAGCTGTAAACATTCACCCCTAGACACTGTCGTGGGGTCAGAGCCCCACAACCTGCCCATCTGCATGCTCCCCTAGAGGTTTGAGCAGTGGACGCTGAAGAAGTGAGCCATTCGCCCTGTCGCATGCCCTGTGGGGGACACAAGGGAACTTTTCCCGTTTCAATTCTGTGATATTTTCCTAAATTCCTGTTTATTTTATTTTTTAAGATAGGTCTTTGAAGGCAAACCACATATGGAAGATTTCTTCTGTATATGCTATAGCTCTAGAACGTTGGTAGGCAGAGAAACTAGTGTTCAGCAAGTATTTACAGATGTAGTGACATTGATTTGCAAACAGTTAAACTTAAGATGTGATGTTATTTAAGGTGTTTCCCATGCAAGCACCAGAACTCACCGGAGACATATCTCCCTCTTCACATCACTGCAGGACTCTAAGCTCTTGGAAGTGAGTCATATTATTTTCTGGAAAACCCAAAGGGGGATAGGAGTAGGTATTCAACGAATGTTTGCTTACTGAATAAAAGAAAACTGAATACAAAAAAAATTTTTAAATGAGACAGAGAAAGATAAATATAGGAAGGAAGAAAGGAAGGACGGATGGGAGGAAGGGAGAGAGGAAGGGAGAGAGAGAGAAGGGAAAGAAAAGTTGATTAATTTAATCCCTGATAGATTTGTAACAATAGAGTTTCAGGGGAAAGAAAGGCAAAATTTTTAAAAGCCAATACAGGAAAACGAAAATACACTAGAAAGCATATTTAAGTCAGAAACATGTTGTGCTTGGCAACCATTTGGTGCACAAATGAAAGCTCTATTGCCCAGTCAGCTAAATGCACATTAGTCACAGTTCAATTAAGAGGTGTTGTCAGATAGCCTGTTTTACTGGAAAAGGTGTTTTGGTCAGCTGAATTTTCCCTTCACAGATCACTGGGAGAAAAGAAGTTCCAATGGTTCCAGTCAAGCAGATGTACTTGGATTAGCTTCTTCCACGAACTGGACTATTCCAAATACTTTTTAGGCACACTGGGAAGTTACATTGTTTCTTGCAAGTGACAGGTTGTCCTTTAATTAGTTCTTTCTCTCAAAAAGAGACTGCTGACTCCAAACTGGGAAGAAACCCACTCACCAGCAAAATGCTGCTGAATTCACTCTGATAGTTTTCTAATCTCTCATCAGTAGATGACAATAATGAAGCCAGTATTGTTACCACAAGACTCAGATATGTCTATCACCCAAGATGATTTCTCTTTAAGACGCAATAAAAGGGAACTTTTCTCCCCATTTATTAGCAACTAAGATGAAATGAGAGCCAGAGAAATAAAGTGAGGAAGGAAAGAGAATTTACTACCTTTACAAGCTGAAATCGGAACTATATTTTAATAAATCTCTTTTATTGCTTATAGTTCATCAGTTTTAATTCAGAATGGGATGAGGCCAGTGATGGAATAAAGATAAGCAGACCTTGTTAATCTTCAATGAGTCATGCTTATAAAAAAATACCTGCTATCAGGGTCATTTAGCCATGACCAAATTATCATCCTTTCTTGTTAGCAATATTTCTCAATTTTATCTTCAGTTCTTTAAATAGGAGCAGAAACTTCTTGAAATTTATATTTACAGAGTAATAATTAAAGTGAAAGCAATGTTGCAAAGGCTGAAGTGTAATGTGTTCATCTGTGCCTGCCCCACCACCCCCCCCGCAAATATGAAGAAGCCTTTATCTGCAGCCTGAAAAAACAATAAGAAAAAAAAAAATAGACAACGCAATCTATGTTTTCCAGAGACTGGTAACAATGTATTAAGAAAAATATTCAGAAATGAGCAGGAGACAAGTTTTGAGGATTTTTTTAAAATTTTTTTTTCTAGAGTAGAATCAAAGAAGACAAGCTGACACTTAATAGGCTATCCTGAGAATTAAATTATCTATTGGCTGTGAAGCCCTTAAAAAGCATTGTGTGATTTACTTATGTAAGGTGCTATAGTTAAGCCTGAGAGGAAACGGAGAGTGTTGGATGGCCCCAAGTAAAGGTACTCTAAAGTCTGATTATGAAATTCAAAAATTTTATTTATAGAGTAGGTATTCACAACATTCAATAATCAATGAATTAATGTAGTTACAGGTCATCTTTCATTATGGTTTAGAAATAGTTTCTTAAAAAGAAAATCAGGCACCTTCTGATTTGATAAAACTTTGATGCAAGTTGGAACATGATGTAATGTTTTAATACTGGGATCCTTAGGTAACTTGCTAATAGAAAATATTGGGAGTAAGAGGATAAAAAATTATCTAGGCCATTCAAGGGGTGAGAAAACTGGGAACTGTTTTTTTTTTTCTGTGTGTGTGTGTGCCTCCTGAGTGGCTGGTACTACAGGTGCGTGCCACCATGCCCAGCTAATTTTTGTATTTTCTTTTGGTAGAGATGGGATTTCACTATGTTGGCCAGGCTGGTCTCGAACTCTTAACCTTAAGCAATCCGCCCACCTCGGCCTCCCAAAGCGCTGGGATTTCAGGTGTGATCCTGCACCTGGCCCAGAGAATGGTTAATGATCAATCGTCTTTCCTTCACTTCATGTATTCCTGGTGATGCCATCAGTCATAATAGCCTGCCCCCACCCTTCTCTCCATGAGATTGATCTCATGAAATAAGCAAGGCTATCAGACTCTGGTCACTTGAATGTTAAGAATAAAACTGTCTCTGAGTTTCTGCTGCTAAATCAGTTCGCTGGTTTTGAACTTCTCAGAGTCTGATAACTCAGCTATTCCTTTAATTTTGTCAACTATATAATACAGTATATACTATACAACTACAGTATCAGACTCTGGTTATTTGAATGTTAAGAATAAAACTGTCTCTGAGTTTCTGCTGCTAAATCAGTTCCCCAGTTTTGAACTTCTCAGAGTCTGATAACTCAGTTATTCTTTTAATTTTGCCAACTATATAATACAGTACATACTATACAACTACAGTGCATTCTTTTTGAGTCTCCTTGAGTTTGCCAAAGTTGATTTCTGATATTTAAAATCAGAGGTGACTACTGCTAATAACATTGCCACTTGCAGAAATGTGTTCTGGTGGGTAGGTATTTCATAAGAGTCTTAAACTCTCTTTATTTAGATTTCTTGTATGTACTCCAAGCAACCTTCTGATTACTATTTTAGTTTCCTTATTTCTTGACCATTGGAGGCAGCTCTTCAGAACACCATCATTTTTTTTTCATTTTTATATCAATTAGTTCTTGCTGCACAACAAACTGCTCCAAAACTTGAAACTTAATGGCTTAAAACAATTACTCTCACTTGCATGCTTAGGGAACTGCTGAGGGTCCTCTGATCCAAGCCAGGCAAAGTTGGACTTGTCCTCAGGCTACAGTGTTGTGCCTAGTTCTTCTCCATACACCTTCTATCCTTGGCCAGCAGGCTATCCATGCTATGTTCTTCTCAGGGAGCAGGGCAAGATAGCAACACCCACTGTGCAAACATACTTCAAGTCTTTCCTATAATAATACCCTTCTACTGACATCACATTAGCCAAAAGGTCACATGATCAAAGCCATGCCGGGAAGCTATCTTAGGAAGTTCTTTTTACCTATGGTAGAAAGAAGAACAGAGTGAATATTTGCTGTAAGGTATTCTAAATTATCACATTCCACCTTTCATGCATATTTTAATATCTTTTCCACATATAAATATGGGTCCCCCACGAGCATCCCCAAGAGTCTCATTCAATCCCAGCCTCAAGATCAAAGTCCAGAATCACGTTCTGGTCTACATCACATTCAGATGAGGCTCATATTCTATAGACCTAAAAGCTTTCAAGACAATCTGCCCTCCACACACTGATTATACAATGGGATGGGGACAGAATAACTGTGATATATACTCCTATTTTGAAAGGGAAAGCGTGGAAGACCCCTCATAGTCACTGGTCCAGAGCAATTCTGAAATCATGCATTCCTACTTAAATTATACAAACAGAAAAGTTCTAGGTCAAATGGACAAAAGACAAATTTGATTTATAAAAACAGAGAATCATGGTCCCCCAATCAACTTCTAGACTTAAGCCAGTTTAAAGACCCAGAATCCCTTGAATGAAGGGGAGGCTGGGTCCCACTGAGGAAGGACTCCACTTCATTACTGACAATTTATGCAGTGAATCTCTCTCGCACCCTTCCCCAAGGAGACCTCCGGGTTTTTACCAGGGTAACTGTGCAGTGGGGAAAGGGAAATGATCAGACATTTCAGGGACTACTGGACACTGATTCTGAGCTGATGTTGATTCCAGGGTACCTAAAATGTCATTGTTGTTCTCCAGTTAAAGTAGGGACTTATGGAGGTCAGGTAATTAATGGAGTTTTAGCTCAGATCTGACTAACAGTGGGTCCAGTGGGTCCCTGGACTCATCCTGTCATCATTTTCTCAGTGCCAGAATGCATAATTGGCATAGACACACTTAGCAGCTGGTAGAACCCCCACATTGGCTCCCTGACTGGTAGGGTGAGGGCTTTTATGGTGGGAAAGGACAAATGGAAGCCATTAGAGCTGCCTCTACCCCAATTTACTATTTCTAGAAAATTTTCCAGAAAAATTTTCTACTGTTTTCTAGAAAAAGAGTAAATCAGAAACAATATTGCATCCCTGCAGAGATTGTGGATATTAGTGCCACCAACAAGGACTTGAAAGATGCAGGGGTGGTGAAACCCACCACATCCCCATTCAACTCTCCCATTTGGCCTGTACAGAAGATGGATCTTGGAGAATGACAGTGGATTATCATGAGCTTAACCAAGTGGAGACTCCAATTGCAGCTGCTATACAAGATGTGGTTTCATTGTTTGAGCAAACTAACACAACTCCTGGTACCTGATATGCAGCCATTGACTTGGCAAATGCCTTTTTCTCCATTCCTGTCCATAAGGCCCACCAGAAGAAATTTGCCTTCAGCTGGCAAGGCCAGCAACATGCCCTTGCTCTCCTACCTCAGGGTGTATCAACTCTGGCTTTGTGTCATCTTATTCGGAGAGACCTTGATCACTTTTTGCTTCCACAAGATATCACACTGGTCCACTACATTGATGATATTATGCTAATTGGATCCAGTGAGCAAGAAGTAGCAAATACACTGGATTTATCAGTGGGACATTTGCATGCCAGAGGATGGGAAATTCAGGGACCTTCTACCTCAGTAAAATTTCTTGGGGTCTAGTGGTGTAGGGCTTGTCCTTCTAAGGTGAAGGAAAAGTTGCTGCATTTGGCCACTCCTACAACCAAGAAGGTGGTACAAGGCCTAGTGGGCCTATTTGGATTTTGGAGACAACACAGTCCTCACTTGGGTGTGTTACTCTGGCCCATTTATCAAGTGACCCAAAAGGCTGCCAGTTTTGAGTGGGGTCCAGAACAAGAGAAAGCTCTGCAACAGGTCCAGGCTGCTGTGCAAGCTGCTCTGATACCTGGGCCATATGACCCAGCAGATCCAGTGATCTTTGAGGTGTCAGTGGCAGATAGGGATGCTGTTTGGAGACTTTGGCAGGCCTCCATAGGTGAATCACAGCAGAGGGCTCTAGGATTTTGGAGCAAGGCCCTCCGATCTTCTGCAAATAACTACTCTCCTTTTGAGAGACAGCTCTTGGCCTGTTACTGGGCTTTGGTGGAAACCGAACATTTGACTATGGGTCATCAAGTCACCATGTGACCTGAACTGCCTATCATGAACTGGGTGCTTTCTGGCCCATCTAGCCATAAAGTGGGTTGTGCATATCAGTATTCCATCATCAAATGGAAGTGGTATACGTGATCAGGCTCGAGCAGGTCCTGAAGGAACAAGTAACTTACGTGAGGAAGTGGCTCAAATGCCCATGGTCTCCACTCCTTCCTTCTCTCCCCCAGCCTGCACCGATGGCCTCATGGAGAGTTCCCCATGATCAGTTGACAGAGGAAGAGAAGACTAGGGCCTGGCTCACAGATGGTTCTGCATGATATGCAGGCACCACCCAAAAGTAGACAGCTGTAGTGCTACAGCCCCTTTCTAGGACATCCCTGAAGGACAGTGGTGAAGGGAAATCTCCCCAGTGGGCAGAACTTTGAGTAATGCACCTGGTTGTGTCCTTTGCATGGAAGGAGAAATGGCCAGGTATGCGATTATGTATGGATTCATGGGCTCTGGCCAATGGTTTGGCTGGATGGTCAGGGACTTGGAAGAAGCATGATTGGAAAATTGGTGACAAAGAAATATGGGGAAGAGGTGTGTGGATGGACCTCTCTGAGTGGTCAAAAACTGTAAAGATATTTGTATCCCATGTGAGTGCTCACCAATGGGTGACCTCAGCAGAGGCGGATTTTAATAATCAAGTGTATACGATGACCTGTTCTGTGGACACCACTCAGCCACCTTCCCCAGCCACCCCTGTCATCTCCCAGTGGGCCCATGAACAAAGTGGCCACAGTGGCAGGAATGGAGGTTATGCAGGGGCTCGGCACATGGACTTCTACTCACAAAGGCTGACCTGGCTACAGTCACTGCTGAGTGCCCAATTTGCCAGCAGCAAAGACCAACACTGAGCCCTTGATATGGCACCATTCCTCGGGGTGATCAGCCAGCTACCTGGTGGCAGGTTGATTATATTGGACCTCTTCCATCATGGAAAGGGCAGAAAGTTGTCCTCACTGGAATAGACACTTACTCCAGATATGGGTTTGCCCATCCTGCATGCAACGCTTCTGTCAAGACTACCATCTGCAGACTCATAGAATGCTTTATCCACCACCATGGTATTCCACACAGCATTGCCTCTGACCAAGGCACTCACTTTACGGCTAAAGGAGTGGAACGGTCAGCTCAGGCTCATTGAATTCACTGGTCTTACCATGTTCCCCATTATCCTGAAGCAGCTGAATTGATGGAATGATCTTTTGAAGTCATAATTACAATGCCAACTAGGTGACAGTACTTTGCAGGGCTGGAGCAAAGTTCTCCACAAGGCTGTGTATTCTCTGAATCAGCATCCAATATATGGTATTGTTCCTCCCATAGCCAGGATTCACGGGTCCAGGAATCAAGGGGCGGAATTGGAAGTGGCACCACTCACCATCACCCCTAGTGATCCACTAGCAAAATTTTTGCTTCCTGTTCCTGCGACATTGTGTTCTGCTGGCCTAGAGGTCTTAGTTCCAGAGCAAGGAACACTGCTATCAGGAGACACAAGAATGATTCCATTAAACTGGAAGTTAAGATTGCCACCTGGACACTTTGGGCTCCTCCTACCTTTAAATCAGCAGGCTAAGAAGGGAGTTAGAGTGTTAGCTGGGGTGACTGACCTGGGCTATCAAAATGAAATCAGTCTACTACTCCACAATGGAGGTAAGGAAGAGTATGCATGGAATACAGGAGATCCATTAGGACATCTCTTAATATTACCATGCCCTGTGATTAAGATCAATAATGGGAAACTCCAACAGCCCAATCCAGGCAGGATTACAAATGGTCCAGACCCTTCAGGAACTAAGGTTTGAGCCAGGACAAAAATCACGACCTGCTGAGGTGCTTGCTGAAGACAAAGGGAATACAGAATGGGTAGTAGAAGAAGGTAGTCATCAATACTAGCTACGACCACGTGACCAGCTGCAGAAATGAGGACCGTAACTGTCACGAGTATTTCCTCCTTCTTTTGTTAAAAGCATGTTTGTGGATGTATGCACTTGTACTAGAAAATATCTTCATTTTATTTCCTTTCCCTTTATCATGTGACATAAGATTTATTGACTTCATATCAGCATTTAAGTATTGTTAACTTTATGTAGTAGGATTTGGGTTGGGGATCGGTGCATTTCCAGTTGTACGAAGGATAGTTGTATTATGTTAGGCATAATTATGACCTCATTGTTGTCTTTATTTGAAGATTATGTATGATCTCAGAAGATGTGTATGGGTTCAGGTTCACAAGGGGTTAACTCGTGATGGTTAACACTGAGTGTCAACTTGATTGGATTGAAGGATATGACATATTAATTCTGTGTTGCCAAAGGAGATTAACATTTGAGTCAGTGGGCTGGGGAAGGCAGATCTACCCTTAATTTGGTGGGCACAATCTAATCAGCTTACAGATACAAAGCAGGCAGAAAAAATGTGAAAAGGAGAGACTGACCTAGGCTCCCAGCCTACATCTTTCTCCCGTGCTGGATGCTTCCTGCCCTCAAACACCGGACTGTAAGTTTTTCAGTTTTGGGACTTGGACTGGCTCTCCTTGCTCCTCAGCTTGCAGACAGCCTATTGTGGGACCTTTGTGATCATGGAAGCTAATATTTAATAAACTCCCATGTATATATATTATATATATATATAATAGGATGTATATATAATATATATCCTATTAGTTCTGTCCCTCTAAGAGAACCCTAATACAGAGCCTCCATCTCTTCTTCAATTGAGTAAGCAAAATGGTACGTACTTTACAGTGTTTCTGTGAAGATTGAATAAAATTATGCACTAACAAGTGCCTAACATAGGACAGTGGATTTGCTCTGCCAACAAGGTTCTGAGCCCCTTATAAGCTGCCTTCCAGTCCTGCTAGCCTGGGAAACCAAAGAATTATATTCCTCATAACCCACTGCAGCAAACTTTCTGAATGTGAGTTGAACTTCACCAATTAGATATGATTGTGTGAATCTTTAATATAGAAGGGAGATAAATAGAAAGAGAGCCAGGATATGACATAGTTATTTTGCTGGTGAGGATCATGGCAATTGTGGTAAAATTCTGGATCTGGCACCTGTAGTGGTGACTTCTCTGATTCAGCAGGTTTGTGTTCATGGCCGAGGTGTTGACAGGATCCATGGCAACTACTTTCTTGATTCTGCTATTCCTTGAAAGTGGAAGGAGCAGCAGCTCCCTGGCAGGCCAGTTCTTTGGTGTGCTGTTAAAGTCATTTCTGGAAGCTCAATACAAGTCTGTTTCTTCAGCCTTGCCAATAATTCTGTGAATGGTCTGTAACTGTTAATAGATCAATTTTTGCTTAAACTAGCTATAGAAGATTTGGTTTTTACAATTAGGAACCATGATGAATATTGTAAGCAATAAGCTTATGAGTTATGTCTGAAGATATGTCTCATGGAAGGCATCCTTTTAGGGAATAAATTTTGGTATAGTGGGAAAATCATGGCTTTGGGGGACATCGTATGTTCAGATCCAGATGCCTTATGAGTCATGGAACCCCAGGCAAATTATTACACTTGTCTGAAATTCGGGCTCCTCGTCTGTAAAATGTTGTTAGTAATATAAATATAAATGATTTATTATTAAAACATCTATTAACTATTTACTAAATATCAACTCTTTTTTAACTTTTAGGTTCAGGGGTACATATGCAGATTTGTTATATAGGTAAATTGCATATCCTGGGGTTTGGTGTATGGATTATTTCATTACCCAGGTAATAAGCATAGTATGTGAGTTTTGCAATCCTCACCCTTCTCCCACCCTCTACCCTCAAGTAGGTCCTCATGTCTGTTGTTCCCTTCTTTGTTTCCTTATGTACTCAATGTTCAGCTTCTACTTATAAGTGAGAATATGCAGTTTTTGGTTTTCTGTTTCTATGTTAGTTTGCTTAGGATAATGGCCTCCGGCTCCGTCCAGGTCACTGCAAAGGATGTGATCTCACTATCTTTTATAGCTGCAAAATATTCCATGGTATATATGCACCACATTTTTTTAATCCAGTTTACCGTTGATGGGAACTAAATGTCAACTCTTTAAAAAAACTTTATTTGAACCAAATAGACTAATGCCTGACCTCATAGAGCTCAAACTCCAGTGGGAAGATAAAGACAATTAAATATAGAAATAAGGATACATACTATGTCAATGAGTACTTTGAGAAGAAAAATAAACTAGAGGAAGAGATTGGAGTACAATGTGGGGCAGGTGGATCCTGTTTTATGCAGTGTGGGAAGGCTACTTTGAGTTGAGACCTGAAGGATGTCAGAGCAAAAGAGACGTGGATATCTGAAGTAAAAGAGTACTACGCAGATGGCAAGCATGCTTTGCACATTTAAGGACCAGCTGGAAGGCCAGTAAGTGATGGAAAGAATGGTTGGCAATGAGGCCAGAGTGTTAGCAGGTTAGAATCATGAACCAGATCATGGTTCTCAAAACACTGAAAGGCCTTTGTATTTCATGGGGATTGAGAATAAGATATAGGGTTGGGCACAATGGCTCATGCCTGTAATCTCAGCTTTTTGGGAGGCCAAGGTGAGAGGATCACTTGAGGCCAGGAGTTCAAAAGTAAGATATAAAATGTCCACCTCCTAGCCTAGCACAGCAGAGTTCCTTTTCTTTCCTCCACAAAGTTAGTTTAATACGATGATATAAATGGGACTCCTAGGCACCATTGCAGTTGTTTTTTTTTTCTGTGCATTCTTCTCCTCTCTCCAGAAAATTTTAAAAATCTTACTCATCTTCAGAGGCTACCAATTTATTTTTCTTAGAACAGACCAGTTTTTAATAACCCAGTGAATATGAGGTATGTAAAGGGAAAGAAAAGTAGATAAGGTAAAAAATGTAAGAAATTAAAGAAAAATATTGATGTCATCCTCTGGACCGAAATCCTGACACTTCACAAGAGAACAGCTTTGACAAATATTTGTAGCATGTGAGAAAAGTAATTTATCAGCTGTTCTGCTAAAGTCAACAGACTTCTCTGCATTGCATCTTTGACACAGAGCAGAACCAGCGGTCTCCTGGCCTTGCCTCTCCTGTCAGACCTTTACGTGAAGCCCTTCTTTTGTCTGTGATGTTTCTTCTCTCTGGATGGACCTTGTTTCTTTTTGCCTGACAAAATCTTTTTGATTTTTTTTAAACAATAATTAAGACCTACCTTCAGTGCCTCCTTCTCTGTAAAGCCTTCTTTGATTCCCCAGGGTAGAGTTGGTCAACTCTGCTCTCTGTTCTCAGAGCATTTTCTTATCTTTATTGTTATACTTAGTCTTTCCTGTCTCTCCCACTAGGCTGTCAGCTCCTCGAGACATGATTATGTCTCATTTATATTGTTTCTTCATCATCTTTTCATTATTATCATTCATATTTATTTTAAGTGCTGGCAAAAATGTTTGTTGACAGATGATGGAAAAGAAGAAAAGGAAGGGAGGAAGGAAGAAATGAAGGAAGGAAGGGAGGGAGGAAGGAAAGAAGGAAGGAAGGGAGGAAGGAAGGAAAGTTGGTTATTTATATTCTTTGTTGCATGACTTTCAAACACTTTTTGAAAGAGACAGAATATTTTAAACATTCAAGGAAACATAAGACCCTTAGAAAACTATAAACATATGTGGGCATTTGGTGATGATGACAACCAAGGATTTTTGCTGGAGATAGACAATTTTAGAGAGAACACATTTTCTATAAGAAATACTTGTTTTGAAAAACCTTAACATTCCTAATTCACTCTGCCTGAAGTTATGCTAAATTTCTTCCTGTTCCCTAAAAAGAAAAAAAGATTTGCATATTTTCTTTAAGATGAGCAAAAATTTCTTAATTATCTTTATTCAAACAAAACATTGATCTGAGGAATCTGACTTGCCTAATAAAACATTGAGTCCTGATTTATGTCATCACTTGGTATTCTGGCAGATGTAATAAAGACAATTTCCACTGAAGGACAGTTTTCTTTTTTCAAGTTGTTTTGTCTGTTCTGAGCTTTATTTCAACAAAACTGAATCAAAGATCTGAAAAGAGCCAGAACATTGTTGATAATAATAAAGCTTATATTTATATAAGTCTTTTTTCTGGAAGGTTAGTGGATCAGATCATATTATCCAACCATTTTTTAAAAAAAGGAAACAGAGATTCAGAAATTACATTATTAGTCTAACTTGTATAATTCTATACTGGAACAGTGAATTTAAGCATTTATGAAGTGTTACTTTGCACCTAACATTTTCACTTACTTTTAATTGTTAGTTTTGTAGTTACACTCTCTTTATTTTAAAACTACATTATTCTTAACAACACATTTTATTGATTTATGGATATTAGGCAGGGTTTAAGCTGGCAAGAGGAGAGTCCTGGTAATAATTAGATTTGCTGTCTATACTTAAGAGAAAAGATGGTATAAGAGTGAAAAAAAAAAGGTAGGTATGGTCAGATCACTCAAATTTTTGAAAATGTAAATGATTAAAAAAAGATGAGAAGTTCCAAAACATGAGTGCCAAAAAGGTGAAAGTTCAGTAGTATAAGACACATGACAAAGTTTTCTAGGAAATAATAACTAAGTTCTAAAAGAGTGCATACAGTGGCATTTATTTTAGGGAATGCAACATCATTTTAGCAAGCTTAACCGCTGCCTAACACCTAGAAATCAATAAGATACTGTTACAAAAACAATGGCTATATTTTCTATCTCCACATCTGGCTTGCTGCCATTCATAGCCTAGTGTGAATGTTGATCAACCATTTTTCATAGCTTCAGCCTCTACAAAGTGCTAAACAGAGAGGATTAAATTTTTCTCTCCAAAATAGTTATAATCCCCACTAACATAATTAATGGATTATGAAATTTTTGTGGAGAATCAACCTGCCATTTGAGCCAAGAATTACAAAAGCAGAGATGAAATCGGCAGAGAAGTGTCATTTAGCCAGAAGCAACAGAGTTAGTAATTTCTCACTTTGGCTTGATAGCAATCCCACTGCAGAGAAAAAAATGCTACCCTTGAGTTAAGAAAGAACTTGGTGATTAAAGTCATCAGAATCTTTAAATAATAAGATGAACTGGAGTTAATTTAAGCCCTTATTATGTAGCTAGAAAAGTAATAAGCACTTTGGCAAGTATGTATCTTGTTTAATTATTGCTGCTTTAATGATGTCATTATTATCTCCACTTTAGAAAAGTTAAAATTGAGGCTCAGAAAGACTGAATAACTTGACTGAGGTCACAGGCAAGAGTGCAAGCATGGACATAGTCAGATTTATGACCTACGCTTGAGCAGAGAAGATTATATGGACTCCAAAAGAAAATTTGGTGTGATTTTCTGTCCCAAATTTTTTTTAAATAGAAAAATGACTCAAAAGAGAAGGGATATGGCCGGGTGCAGTGGCTTATGTCTGTAATCCAAGCACTTTGGGAGGCCAAGGCGAGTAGATCAGCTGAGGTCCCGAGTTTGAGACCGGCCTGGCCAACATGGTGAAACCCCCTTTCTACTAAAAATACAAAAATTAGCCAGGCATGATGATGGGCGCCTGTAATCCCAGCTACTCAGGAGGCTGAGGCAGGAGAATCATTTGAACCCGGGAGGCGGAGGTTGCAGTGAGCAGAGACTGTGCAATTGCACTCCAGCCTGGGTGACAAGAGTGAAACTCCATAACAACGACAACAACAACAACAACAACAGCAACAACAAACAGAGAAGGGAAGCAAATGAAAGCTATCAGTATAGGAGTTGAATAATATAAGCATGTTACAGGGTTCTCTAGGAAAGAATAGCTGAATGCTAAAAGGTCCCATGGTAAATTTAACATGAATTAGGAGATGAACCTCAGCTTCATAGGTTCAAAGAAGGCTGGTCAATAATCTGAGTCAGTTCTTTTTCTTAAAAAATTTCAACTTTTATTTAGACTTGGGGATCCATGTGCAGGTTTGTTATATGGGTATACTGTGTGACCCTCGTTCCTTTCTCCCACAACTAGTAGTCCTCAATGTCTATTGTTCTCAACTTTATGCCCACGTATACTCAACGTTTAGCTCCCACTTACGGGTGAGAACATGCGATATTTGGTTTTCTGTTTCTGTGTTAGTTCGCTTAGGGTAATAGCCTCCACCTGTGTGTTGCTACAAAGAACATAATTTTATACTTTTTATGGTTGTATAGTATTCCATGGTGTATATGTACCACATTTTTTTCATCCAATTCACCATTGACAGGCACCTAGGTTGATTCCATCTGAGTCAGTTCAATTCAAAAAAGGTGACTCATAATGATAGAATTCACCTGAAGCTTACACTCTTCATAAATAGAATGCCAACTAATATAGGAAAATGCTCGTTAGAACAAGGTATTTATGTTCACTGGATTGGAGCATTATCCTCCCATAGACAAGGAAAAAATCAAAATATCATGAAACTCAGCAGCTCAAATCATCTGTTATCTCCATCTCCACCTTTTTATGTGTGCTAATGGGCTTACAGTTTACAGTCAGTTCTGCCTCATGGTTCATTCTTTCACTGGTTACCTACTTAAAATTCCTGTAGCTCTTTCTTTTTCCATGATCAAGCTAGGCAGAATAGGACACAATCTCTTATTCTTGGATTCCCCTCTACCATCATACACACATATAACAAGGCTAAAAGGCAAAGATATGTGTATAAGACTTTACAGAAGGCATTGGGAGGCAGATAGGGTTTTCAGTACAAGAAAACATAAAACTTGTAATTCTAAATTAGCTATCCCTGTTCTTAAAAGTACTTTGGCCACTCTGCTAAGATACCCGATAACATTTTGTCCTCTACTCCCCTCTCTTCCCTGATTTCCCCAGTATCCAGATTTTAGTTCTTTGTTTTGTTGATGCTACTTTTTTATGAATTTTAAATTATACACAAGTGACACTTGGTATTAGTCTGTGTTCATGCTGCTAACAAAGGCATAGCTGAGACTAGAAAGAAAAAGAGGTTTAATAGGACTTACAGTTCCACATGGCTGTGGAGGCCTCAGAATCATAGTGGGAGGTGAAAGGCACTTCTTACATGGCGGCAGCAAGAGAAAATGAGGAAGAAGGAAAAGTGGAAACTCCTGATAAACCCATAGGATCTCATGAGACTTATTCACTATCATGAGAATAGCACAGGAAAGAACAGCCCCCATGATTCAATTACCTCCCCCCAGGTCCCTCCCACAACACGTGGGAATTCTGGGAGATACAATTCAAGTTGAGATTTGGGTGGGGACAGAGCCAAACCATATAATTCCACCCCTGGCCCCTCCAAATCTCATGTCCTCACATTTTAAAACTAATCATGCCTTCCCAACAGTCTCCCAAAGCCTTAACTCATTTCAGCATTAACCTAAAAGCCCACAGTCCAAAGTCTCATCTGAAACAAGGCCAGTCCCTTCCACCTATGAGCTTGTAATATCAAAAGCAAGCTAGCTACTTCCTAGATACAATGGAAGTACAGGTATTGGGTAACTACAGCCATTCGAAATGGGAGAAATTGGCCAAAACAAAGGGGATATAGGGCCCATGCAAGTCCAAAATCCAGCAGGGCAGTCAAATTTTAAAGCTACAAAATGATCTCCTTTGAGTCCAGGTCTCACATCCAGGTTACGCTGATGCAAGAGGTGGATGCCCATGGTCTT
Organism: Homo sapiens; assembly: GCF_000001405.40. Lineage (NCBI taxonomy): Eukaryota > Metazoa > Chordata > Mammalia > Primates > Hominidae > Homo > Homo sapiens. Next base: position 163,109,279 of record NC_000001.11, read on the forward strand.
GGGCAGCACTGCCGCTGTGTCTTTGCAGGATACAGCCCCCGTCCTGGCTGCTTTCACAGGCTGGTGTTGAGTGTCTGTGCTTTTTTCAGGTGCATAGTGCAAGCTGTCAGTGGATCTATCATCCTGGGGTCTGGAGGACGGTGGCCCTCTTCTCACAGCTCCACTAGGCAGTGCCCCAGTAGGCACTCCATGTGGGGGTTCTGACTCCACATATCCCTTCCACACTGGGCTAGCAGAGGTTCTCCATGAGGGCCCCGCCCCTGCAGCAAACTTCTGCCTAGGTATCCAGGCGTTTCTATACATCTTCTGAAATCTAGGTGGAGGTTCCCAAACCTCAATTCTTGACTCAATAACACATGGAAGATGCCAAGGCTTGGGGCTTCCACCCTCTGAGGCCACAGCTTGAGCTCTATGTTGGCCCCTTTCAGCCATGGCTGGAGCAGCTGGGACACAGGACACCAAGTCCCTAGGTTGCACACAGCATGGGCACCCTGGGCCTGGTCCATGAAACCACTTTTTCCTCCTGGGCCTCCAGGCCTATAGTGGGTGGGGCTGCTGTGAAGGTCACTGACATGGCCTGGAGACATTTTCCCCTTGGTCTTGGGGATTAACGTTAGGCTCCTTGCTACTTACGCAAATTTCTGCAGCCAGCTTGAATTTCTCATCAAAAAATGGGTTTTTCTTTTCTACTACATCATCAGGCTGCAAATTTTCTGAACTTTTATGTTCTGTTTCTCTTTCAAAATGGAATGCTTTTAACAGCATCCAAGTCACTTTTGAATACTTTTCTCCTTAGAAATTTCTTCTGCCAGAAGAATCATCTCTGAAGTTCAAAGTTCCACAAATCTCTAGGGCAGGAGCAAAATGCCACCAGTCTTTTCTAAAACATAACAGGAGTCACCTTTGCTCCAGTTCCCAAAAGTTTCTCATCTCCATCTGAGACCACCTCAGCCTGGACCTTATTGTCCATATTGCTATCAGGCTTTTGGTCAAAGCCAATCAACAAGACTCTAGGAAGTTTCAAACTTTCCCACATTTTCCTGTCCTCTTCTGAGCCCTCCAAACTGTTCCAACCTTTGACCGTTCCAAAATTGCTTCAACATTTTTGAGTATCTTTTCAGTGATGCCCCATTCTCCTATTACCAATTTACTATACTAGTCCATTTTCATGATGCAGACAAAGGCATACACGAGACTGCATAGAAAAAGAGCCTTCACATGGCTGGGGAGGCCTTAGAATCATGGCAGGAAGCAAAAGGCACTTCTTACATGGCAGCAGCAAGAGAAAATGAGGAAGAAGCAAAAGCGGAAACCCCAATAATCCCATCAGATCTTGTGAGACTTATTCACTATCATGAGAATAGCATGGGAAAGACCAGCCCCCATGATTCATTTACCTCCCCTGGGTCCCTCCCACAACACGTGGGAATTCTGGGAGATATGATTCAAGGTGAGATTTGAATAGGGAAACAGCCAAACTATATCACACATTAATACATCCACCTTCAAAAACAACACAGAACATTGACAATAAAGATACCTCCCAACCTCAAATAATTTTCTCTTTATTTCTGGAGCAGAGAACTTTATCTCGATTTCTTTGGTTTTCTTGTTTTTATTTTTTTTTTGTTTTTTTTTGTTTTTTTTTGTTTGTTTTTGACAACCGATACTCATAAGATCTCACCTACCAATTCAACTTTATCAACTTATTTTCCAAACAATAATAGTTTCTTCCTGAAGAAATGCTCTAGTTCCAGCTCTAGGGATAGTTTTTAAAGCTGTGTGATAATCAGATTTCATAGTAAGCATGGAATCAAAACATGAAAACGTTATTTATATTTTCAAGGGTTTATTGGATTTTGTCTCTGATACATACAATTAGACACTGACATGACAGAGCTCTTCTCACTTGGCCATTGATTAGGGTGCTGCTTACATCTGCCTCTGTGATTCTTCTTATTCTATGCTTCTGTTGCATGAATTTTATGCTTCCAAATGAGTTCAAGTCTTCATGTTCAAGGGAATTCTGTTTCAGAGTACTAAAAACACCAGAACCATAGTCAATAATTTTGGAAAATTTGATGGAATGAAAATGGTACTCAAGTGGAATATTCTTAAAGGATCTAATGAAGAAAAAAGAGTTTTTATCTGTACTAGAGACTAATCTGCTCAATACAACTCCTAAAAAATTTTAAGAAGTTGATTATGCAGATGCAGATGGCTTGATAAGACATTGTAGTGAAAGAAGTAGTTATTACTGGAAAAAAGCATTGATTCATAGGAAACAAGTAATTGCAAATGGGCCTCATTATTCTTTTTTGAGAAGATTTACTGGCATATCAGAGAATGTCAAAACAATATATTTAGATTCCAGCAGAATTTTTAATATATATTTTAAAATACCATTGGATACCAGGTGGAAAAATATGGAAAAAGCCAACAATTTAGTTAAGTGAATGTGTAGTTAATCAAATAGGAAATATACATACATATGTGTGTGTGTATGTGTGCACATGTGTGTATATAATATTGTGTAAAGAAACATAAAACAGAGTAAGAAAATAGAAAGTGGCAATGTAATATTTTAGACAGGTATTAGTAAAAGGTCAGAGAAAAGAACATTTGAATGAAAGTTTAAATTGACCTAAGAATGTGAGCCATGTGAATATCTGGCAGAAAAAAATCCAAATACTTTATTATTTTATTATTATTATTATTATTATCATTATTATTATATTTTTTAGATGTAGTCCTGCTCTGTCACCCAGACTGGAATGCAGTGGCACGGTCTTGGCTCACTGCAGCCTCTGCCTTTTGGGTTCAAGTGATTCTCTCGCCTCAGCCTCCTGAATAGCTGGGATTACAGGCGCCCACCACCACTCTTGGCTAATTTTTTTGTATTTTTAGTAGAGACAGGGGTTCACCATGTTGGCCAGGCTGGTCTTGAACTCCTGACCTCAAATGATCCACCTGCCTCGGCCCCCCCAAAGTGATGGTATTACAGGTGTGAGCCACTAAGCCTAACCCCAAAAATCCAAACACTTTAAATAAAATAATAGCAAGCACAAAGTCCTAGAGAAAAGAATGTGTTGAATGTTTGAAGAACATTGAGATGGATAATAAAGAATGACTAGGGGAAGAGTGGTAAAGAAGGAGTTTGGAAGGTGAGCATTAGATCATATAAGATCATGGTATACATTTTAGATTTTATCCTAAGTCTTATGGGAAACCATCATATGGCTCTTAACTGATTTAGGTTTTTAAAAAAATCACTTTGGCTGCAGTGTGAAGAATCGAATATATGAATTAAGAAAGCGAAGGCAAGAATGGAAGCAAAGAGACAGTTAAGAGGCTATTTCAGGAGCCCAGAAGAACATATTGATAGCTTGGACACAAGATGATAACTGTGGAGGTGGTGAAAAGTGGTCAGATCCTGTATATATTTTTGAAGGTGACACAATAAAATTTGTAGAAGGAATGGGCAATGGGTTTAAAGAAAAGAGGAGTAAAGGATGAGTTTAAGGTTTTGGTCTAACAACTGGGTGACTAGTGGTATCATTCATTGAAATAGGAAACATTGGAGAAGGGACAGAGGAGGGTGAGTTTGAGAGCAAAATGTCTGACTCTAATTTTGGTTACATTTATTTTAAGACGCCAATTTTCTCTGTGATGAAGATAACATCTCAAATCAGAATATAAAGGTTGATTATTAAATAAGTGGTTCAAAGACAAATGGATAGCCATATGGCAAAAAATAAAGTCTATCTTGGACTTTATGCTGGAATAAGTTCCAAATGAATCAGTTTTAATGGCAAACGAAGCTATAAGATTGTGAGGGAAAAAAATTGGAAAATTAGATAATCTTAATTTAGACAAAGTCTTCCTATGACGCAATGTTATTTTTAAACCCTCAACACTGTCAAGATCTCTGCTTTAGCAAATGCAAGATGCATTCTGCTTGGTTTCATAGCCTCCATACCATGCATATGCAGCATAGGAATCTATCACTGACATAGGGGGAACTGAATTCAGAATTTTGTCTAATTTCTCTACCATTTCTTCCATCTCAATGATATTGGCTCCTCAGTCCTGGCTGCTCCCAATGTTTGTCCCTCAGCCCACTGATGACACTGCAAACTGTAGGGTTCTACTACTCTCTTTTCAGAATTTACACTCCATGCCAAGAGTCAACAAATTCTCTGGGAGAAAAAAGCAATGGATAAATGTAGGATTTATCTCAATATATTTTTCTTCACTCTAGTATCTTACCATTCAATTACTGACTGTTTTGGGTGCATTTTGATGACCTCATATGGCTATTTTTTATTTCTCCCACATATTGTAGTTGTTCTCAGTAGGAGGGTTTGCATGATACAAGTTACTCCTCTGTCATGGATGAATGTTCCTTCTCTTAGTAATTAATTGATCACACAAACAATAAATCAGTAAGAGTTTCGATGATTTAAAAAGTACAATCTATACATCTGAGCATTTATAAACTTAACATGAAAACCAACAACTGGAGAATGCACATTCTTTTGAAGTTTTCTTGAAAAATCTTCAAAAATTTACCGTGTGCTGAGATATAAAGTGAACCCCAACAAATTTCAATGAATTATTTTCGTAAAGACTATCTATAATTAAACAATATAGTCAGGTTATGAATCAAAACCAAGAATGACTGGAAAAAATACATTTGAAGATTTAGAAACATACTTGTAAATAATTAAAGGTAAAATTATAATAGAAAACAAAATTTTATTAGAATTAAATAATTATGAAAACACTATGTATCAAAACTTGTATAACGGAGTTAAAGCAGTACTTAGGAGATTTATTCTATAGCATGCAGTAAAAATCAAGAAAGTCTAAAAAATAATGAGCTAAACATCCAACTTCAGACATTAAAATAAGGACAGCCAGGTAGACCACAAAAACAAAGAAGGTAATCATAAAGACATGAGCAGAAACTAATCAAATAAAGAAAAATTATATAATAAAAATGATTTGTAAAGCCAAAAGTTTTTTTTAAAAAGAGGCCAATGAAATGAAAAAACTTTCAGATAATTATCAGAAGAATTCACAATCAAATAATATTTAGAAAAAGTTGTGTGTGTGTGTGTGTGTGTGTGATAACTATGGATCCCAGAGATTAAAAACAATGAAGGATATTTTAAATTAGCATGTAATATGTAAAACATATACGAATAAGTTTTTTTAAAAATGTTGAACACAAAAGAGACTAATTTGTGAAAAATTAAGAACCCAAGGAATCCAATAACCAATAACAAAACTGAATCAGTCTCAAATGGCTTTTACTGATAAATTCTACCAAATAGTCAAGGAACAGATAACCCCTACTACATATAATTTCTTCTGGCAAACAGAAAAAGAAAGAATGTTTCTCAACATATTTAACAAGGCTATCATAATTTTGATACCAATATCAAAATTAAAGGCAGATCTCACTCATGCAAATGGAAACAAAAATTTAAAAAATATATATTTACACAACACACCACAAGAAAATAGAGGAATACATTATGACTTAAATTTATTCTAGAAATTTGAAGTGATTTAACACTAAAATCAGCATGTTTTTACCACATTAAGCAATTAAAGGGGGAAAACTATATAAATGTCTGTTATACATAGAAACATATTTGATTAAGAATTCTCTTCCATAAAAAGGAAAAAGATCATGTCCTTTGCAGGGACATTGGATGGAGCTGGAAGCCAATATCCTCAGCAAACTAACGCGGGGACAGAAAACCAAACACTGCATGTTCTCACATATAAGTGGGAGCTAAATAATGAGAACACATGGACACAGGGAGGGGAACAACACACACTGGGGCCTGTTGGAGGGTGGGGTTGAGGGAGGGAGAGCATTAGGGAAAACAGTTAATGCATGTTGGTCTTAATACCTAGCTGATGGGCTGATAGGGGCAACAAAGCACCATGGCACACGTTTACCTATGTAACAAACCTGCACATGCTGCATATGTACCCCAGAAGTGAAAATTAAAATTAAAATTAAAAGTAAACCAGCATCTTAATCACACTAAAAAAGAATAATTCTCTTCATTTATAGTGAAATCTGGCAAATTAAAAACTGAAAAGCATTTTCTTTATCTGATAAGTGGCATTTACATAAAAACTACAGTGAATGTCATATCTAAATATGGGCTGTTAAAAATTATTGTCTTAAATCAGAAAAGGGCAAGGATACCTTCTATCATTTCTTAAATTCAACATTGTACTAAAAATCCTAACCATCACAATAAAATTAGAAAAATAAGATATTTTCTAATTTTGGAATTGGAAAGAACTAAAGCTACAATGTTTTTTTAGTTGGTATATTTATCTATACCGAGGAATTCAAAAGAATCTACAAATTGTTAAACTAATGAAAATATATCAATACCAAAACTCAATGGACTTTCTGTGTGCTATACACAAATAGTTAAAATACAACAAAATATTAGTTTTCTAGAACTGCCATAGCAAATTATCACAAACTGTGTGGCTTAAAACAATAGAAATTCATTTTCTCACAGTTCTGGAGGCTAGATGTCTGAAACCAAGGTGTTGGCAGAGCCATGCTTCTTCCTAAACTTTAGGAAAGGATCCCTCTTGATTTTTTTAGCTTCTGGTAGCCCTGTGCATTTCTTGTCTTGTGGCAGCTTAACTCTAATTTCTGTGCTTCACATGGCTGTTTTCTCTTTGTATGTCTCTCTCCCTTCCTTATAAGGACACCATTTACATCAGATTAGGTTGTACTCTAATTGAGTATAACTTCATTTTAATGTGATTATATGTGCAAATAATCTACTTCCTAGTAAGATCACATTCACTGATACTGAGGTTTAAGACTTTAACACATGTTTTAGAGGGATGCAATTCAACCCATAACAAACGTGCATGGACTTTATGAAGACAATTATAATGATCTGTTGAAATATAATAAGGAAGATATTCCAAAGTGGAGAGATATGTCATATTCATGGATAAAAACTTGCATTATCAGAATAATGGAATTCAATCTCAATTAAATCATTGATTCAATACAATTTCAATCAATCAATGGTTTTGTTTGCTGTTTTCTTAGTGAAACTTGATAAACTGTTCCCAAAGTCTGTATGAAAAAATGAAACAAAAAATAATCTATGCACTTCTTAGGAGAAAACTGAGAATCAGAACTTGCTCTGCTAGTATTGATTTTAATTATCTTATTTCCTCAAATCTAAGGTGGCATAATTTGTAATATACGTTACTATTTATGTACTGTTAAGAAAGAAAAAACACTATCACTCTATGTGATGAAGCATGATAGACTTAATGATAAGCTGCATAATGCATGAATGAGTCACACTAGCCTTTCAATGCTTTGAAATTTCTTTTATGTATTTGACCATTTTTATCTATTAGACCATTTCTCCTGTCTCTTGATTAATTACTTTGATTGTGATAGAAAATTTTTTGCATGTATCTTAATAAATAAATGTAAAATAGTGTCACCTACTTATGATTATCTTAATTTATTAGGTTCTATTAAGCATTTGATATTGTCTTTAAAAATATAAAATTATGGTTATTTCTCCAACAATAATTTGTTTTGCAACTTTATGCCCAACTGCTATGTTTTGGGGATGTTATGAATATACAATGAATCTTCCTTTCAATGAGAAACCATAGTGCATATTTTTAAAGCAATTCAAGTAGTAATTACACACATCACATGTATAAATCATAATGCATATAACTTAATGTAAGTGACTACAATATGACCATCTATAATTAAATTTGCAGTTGCTTAGGAAAAAAATCTGCATTATGACTGCCCTCTGGCCAAGTGATATTCCATCATCAGATGGGCTAAACATAAAATAAACATGCATCTTATAATTTATTAAATATAGTATAAAACTCAAACAATTAAGATAGTATGGTACTAGCATAAGAGAGAAAGATAGACAAAAGGAGTACAGAAACAGACCTACTCACATACCAAAAGCATGATAAATAACAGATTAGGTAATTAATATCAGTGGAAAAAAGACTAATCAATAAATTGTGCTGGGGTAATCAAGTGTCAAAATGAGGATGGGAGTAGGAACCAGTCATAACATTTACAAAATCAATTCTCGACATATCTCAAAGATTTAAATGTGAAAGCAATACTTAAACATAATTAGGAGAAAACAATAGAAAATATGAATTTAAGATAGGGAAGATATTAAAAACAAAAAGTACAGGGCTATTAAGGAATAGATGGGCATATTAAACAATATCAATTAAAAAAAAAACTCTATTCATCAAAAGGCAAACTCTACACCAGGCATGGTAGCTCATGCCTGTAATCCCAGCCCTTTGAAGGCTGAGGCAGGCAGATTGCTTGAGCTCAGGAGTTTGAGACCCACCTAGGCAAAATGGCAAAACCTTGTCTCTTCAAAAAATAAAAAAATTAGCTGAGTGTGGTGGCATGTACTTATGGTCCCAGCTACTGGAGAGGCTGAGGTAGGATTGCTTGAGCTTGGGATGTTGCAGTGAGCCAAGACTGCACCAATGCACACCAGCACGGGTGACAGAGTGAGACACTCTCTCAAAAAAAAGAGGCAAACTCCAAACTGGAAGAATTTTGTAACACAAAATTATATGTATGTATATTTCAAAATTATATGTATGTATGTATATATGTATGTATACGTATGTATATCTCACTTGTATGTGTGTATATATATATATACACACACACACATATATACACATAATGCATACAAAATTTGTAACTCCTATAAATCTATGTAACTAAATATGTATTAAAAGTAACAGCAAAACTCGCAATTACTTTTGCACCAATCTAATATTTATATGTATATACATGTATATACAGTATTTACAACTTCTATGAATCTACTTGAATAGACATCTCTTCAAAGATAACACACAAATTGCCAACAAACATATGAAAAGATGTTCAACATCACTATTCATTAGGGAAATGCAAATCAAAACCATAATGATGTATCTTCTTGTGGGGAAACTGGAACTCTTGTGCACTGTTGATGGGAAGGTAAAGTGGTTCCGCCACTATAGAAACCAGTATGGTAGTTCTTCAAAAAATTAAAAATAGAATAACCATATGATCCAGCAAGTCTACTTCTAGATATACATACAAAAGGGTTCAAAGCAGGGTCTTGAAAAGATATTTGTATACCATGCTCATAGTAGCATTATTAACAAGTGCCAAAAGGTAGAAGCAACCCAAATGTCTACTAATGGATGAAGGGATAATCAAAGTGTGGTATATATAAGTACAATGTAATATTATTTAACCTTAAAGGAAAGAAATTCTGAAAAATGAAACAACGTGAATGAACCTTGAGGACATTATGGTAAGTGGAATAAGCCAATCACAAAAAGGCAAATACTGTATAATTTCATACATACAAGTCATCTAGAGTATGCAAACTCATTGAAATAACTCATAGAAATATAAAAGTAGAATGGTGTCTGCCAGGGCCTGGGGTAGGGGGAAATGGGAGCTGTTGTTTTATTGGTATAGAGTTCTGATTTTGCAAGATTACAAAATTCTGGAGATTAGTTACATAACAATGTAAATATACTTAACACTGCTGAACTGTACATTTAAAAATAATTAAAACTATCACAATAATGAAAACATAGGAACAATCAAAGTGCGCATCAGTAGATAAATGGATTTCTTTAAAAAGCAATATATATACACAATGGAATACTATTCAGCCCCAGAAAAGAAGGAAATTCTTTTATTTATGACAACATGAATGAATCTAGAGGACATGCTCAGTGAAAGAAGCCAGGCACAAAAAGAAAAATAGCACATGATCTCACTTGTATGTAGCATGTAAAGAAGTCAAATTTATAGAATTAGAGAGTAGAAGGGTGGCTACCAGAGGCTGAAGAGGGTGGGGGCGAATAAGGTGGATGGAGAAAGGGAAGATGTTGGTCAAAGCGTAAAAAGTGTCAGATAGATGGAGGAATAAATTCTGGTGATTTATTACACAGCATGTTGATTGTAGTTAATAATAATGTATTATATATATCAAATTGCTAAATAAGTAGATTTTAAATGTTCTCACCACAAAGAAATGATAAGTATGTAAGGTGATGGATACATTAATTAGCCTGATTCGATCATTCCACAATACATACATGTATCAAAACATCATATTGTAGCCACACATAAAAAATAAAATGCCCAGAAATACATGTAACTGAAGAGATGAAAGATCTCTACAAGCAGAACTGCAAAATATTGCTAAAATAAATTACAGATGACACAAACAAATGGGAAAACATTCCACACTCATGGACTGGAAGAATCAATATCATTAAAATGGTTATATTACCCAAAGCAATTTAGAGGTTGAACACTATTCCTATCAAACTGCCAATGCCATTTTTTTTTCACAGAACTAGGAAAGCTATTTTAAAATTCATATGGAAATAAAAGAGACCTTGAATTGCCAAGGCAATTCTAAGCAAAAAGAACAAACCCAGAAACATCATATTATCTGTCTTCAATCTATACTAAAAGGCTACTGTAACCAAATCAGCATGGTGCTGGTACAAAAACAGACACAGACTAATGGAACAGAATAGAGAACCCAGAAATAAAGCTGTACACTTACAGCTATCTGATCTTGGACAAAGTTGACAAAAATAAGAATGGGGAAAGGACTCCCTATTCAATAAATGGTGCTGGGATAGTTGGCTAGCCATATGCAAAAGAATGAAACTGAACTCCTACTTTTCACCATATGCAAAAACTAACTCAAAATGGAATTAAAGATTTAAATGTTAAGACCTCAAGCTATAAGAATCTTAGAAGATATTTAGAAACCACCACTGTGGACATTAGCCTTGGGAAATAATTTATAACTAAGTCCTCAAAAGCAATTGCAACAAAAACAAAAATTCACAAGTGGGAATTAATTAACCTAAAGAGCTTCTGCATAGCAAAAGAAATGGTCAGCGGAGTACATAGACAGCCTACAGAATGGGAGAAAATATTTGCAAACTACACAAATACTAGACACAATTCTAATATCCAGAATGTAAGAAACTTAACCAACTGAACAAGGAAAAAACAATTAACCCCATTAAAAATGGGCAAAAGACATGAACAGATACTTCTCAAAAGAAGCCACACAAGGAGCCAACAAACATATGGAAAAATACTCTACACCACTAATCGTCAGAGAAATGCAAATCAAAACCACAGTGAGATACCATCTCACACCAGTCAGAATGGCTCTCATTAAAAGTCAAAAAACAACAGATGCTGGCAAGGCTGTGGAAGAAAGGAAAGGCTGTTGATGGAAATATAAATTATTTTAGCCACTGTGGAAAGCAGTTTGGAGGTTTCTTAAAGAACTTAAAACTACTGTTTGACCCAGGAATCCCATTATTGGGTACATATCCAAAGGAAAACAAATCAGTCTACCAAAAAGGCACATGCAGTCACATGTCATTGAAGCACTATTCACAATAGCAAAGACATGGAATCAACTTAAGTGCTAATCACCATGGACCGGATAAAGAAAATGTTGTACATATACACCACAGAATACTATGCAATAGTAAAAAGGAACATGTTCTTTGCAGCAACAGGATGCAGCTAAAGGCCATTATCCTAAGCAAATTAACACAGGAACAGAAAACCAAATACCACATGCTCTCATGTATAAGTTGGAGCTAAACATCAGGTACTCATGGACATAAAGATGGCAACAATAGAAACTCCTAAAAGGGACTACTAGCAGTGGGAGGGACTACTGGGGTAGGAGGGAAGAAGGAGGGCAAGGGTTGAAAAACTACCTTTCAGGTACTCTGCTCAGTACCTGAGTGACAGGTTCAATCATACCCCAGACCTCAGCATCACACAATATGCCCAGGTAACACACTCTGAATCTAAAATGAAAAAATTTTAAAAACATATTTCAAAAATTTAAAAATATATTTCAAAATGATAAAAAAGAAAATTTATTCTCTACCCTGAAGACATAATCTTTTCTATTATATTCTAAAAGTTGCATTGCTTTGCCAGTTACTGCATGTTTTTGAATGCCAAAAATGATATCCATCTATGGATGGATTAAATTGTAACAAAGAAATATTCCCATTTATTTGCCTTCAACATAAGGCATTTGGTATTTATGAAAAAGATCTACTGTTTTGTTTAGTGTTTGAAAACAAATTTTATTTATTTATTTATCTATTTGAGATGGAGTCTTGCTCTGTCGCCCAGGCTGGAGTGCAGTGGCATGATCTCAGCTCACTGCAACCTCCGCCTCCCAGGTTCAAGCGATTCTTCTGCCTCAGCCTCTCGAGTAGCTGGGATTACAGGCACGTGCCACAACGCCAGCTAATTTTTGGTTTTTGTCTTTTAGTAGAGACAAAGTTTCACCATATTGGCCAGGCTGATCTCAAACTCCTGACCTCGTGATCCGCCCACCTCGGCCTCCCGAAGTGCTGGGATTACAGGCATGAGCCACCATGCCCGGCCTTTCTCTGTATATTTTAACTGCTTAGAAACAAAACATTTGAATCTCTTAAAAAATAAACATTATATTGTACCCCATAAATTGTTTGTCAATTAAAATTGAAGTTGAAAAAAGTTTACAATAATAAACACTATTTCATGTATATTTTATGACAAAGTTTTTAAAAAATAAAAAAGCAATTATATAAATTATAAGAAAGCGACAAAAAAGAAAGGCATAAAAGACATGACTAGGCATCCCACAGGAGAAACAAGAATAGTGTATAGATAAATGAAAGCGTATTTTTAAAATGCTCATACTCAATAATAATCAGGGAATGTAAATTAAAACCATAATAAAATAGCATTTTTCACCATAAAGGTTGGCAAGAATTAATAACTCACCTACATGCCCAACCAGGCTGTAGGCAGCTCAACCATGCACTGTCTCCCACTCTATCCACTGTCTTCACGTGCTTCAGGTCTGAAGGCTGGCACCAAGCTGTGGAGGAGGCCTTAGTCTGATAGAGAGTGGTCCCTCTCTCCCTGAACAGCTCCTTGAACCCTATTTCCACTCTCAGACACTAATTGGCCTCACTGGGACATGGGTAGTTAAAAAGTGGCCCTCTTCAACCCTGCTGTTCAGACTTGCTAAGCACTCAGAAATGACAGGAAAGAAGTCTCCTTTTAATAAAAACACCCATGATAGTAAAAAATAAATTAATAAAAGAATAAGTCACCTAATACCAAGCACTGGGAAAGACATAGAGAAAAAGGACACAAGTATTGCTTGTAGGAGTATAACTGGGAAAAACACTTTGAAACACATTTTGGTATAACCTATTCAATTTTAACATTAACGAAATCTAAAAGTCAGTTATTCTGTTTCTAGGTACAATCTTAGGCAAATGATTGCACATGTGCATCAAGAGATGTAAAAGATGCTCACTGAAGCATTATTCATAATAGCAAAATGAATAAATGTACAGATAGATTAGAAAAGCAAGTCAAATATCTGTCAATATCCATATTAATAAATTATGATATTTTCTATGTAATGTAATACTATACAGCAATAAAAATTAATAAACTAAAGGGACATACATCAGCATGACCTCAAAAACATCATATGAGCAACAGAAACCATGAACGCAAAATATATATAATTCCATTTATGTAAATTTCAGCAACAGACAAAATTAAACAATATTTTATTTAAGGATATATGAACATAAGCTTAAAAAGAAAACCAAAATGTAATTAATAAAATTTAGGATAATAGTTGGAGAGGGTAATACATCATTTAAGATTAGCATATAGGGGACTATGCAGAGATACATTATTTGTGTATTATTCTTTAAATGGTGCCTATAGTTTGTATATTCTATTTCTAAATATGTTTCTAAAAGCCACAAGCAAATTCAAAGACAAAAGACACGTGAAAGAAATGTTTGGATCATATTACAATGGATGAATTTTCCTTATCTATAAAGAGTTTATATGAATCAATAAGAAAATTACCAACAATCTAATGAAATGAATATGAAAAGTTCACAGAAAAGAATATACTGTACATATGTTAATTAAACATAGGAAAAGATGTCCAGCTTCACTTAAAATAAGAAAAGTGCTAATTACAATTTCTGAGAGATATAATATTTTTACTTATCAGATTGACAAAATAAAACAGTTTAATACAACATTATAGGCAATGTTAGCAAGAGTGTGGGAAAACAAGATATTTCATACATTGCTAATGGGAATGTAAATTTTTGAAATCCATATGAAGAACAGTTTGTCAGAAATTGATCACAATTAGAGTTGCTTCCCTCCTTTGACTTAGAAATTCCACTTTTGGAATCTATCCTAGAGATACACCTGCATAGGTGAGAAATAGCATGTGTATAAAGTTATTCATTGCAGTATTGTTTGTAATAGCAAAAGATGGAGACAAGCTACTACTGATTAGCAGTAAAGAATTGATTAAGCAAATTAAGATACAGCTATATAATAAAATATGCAGTAAAAAAGAGATAGATGAGAAAGATCTATGTTCACATGTTGTGATGTCCAAGATGATATATAGTTGTGGATACAAATGTACAAACTAGCAAGCTAACATTTGTATAATGAGGAGGGGAAGATGTATACATTTGCTTATACATGTATATCTATCTCTGAAAGACTATTTTTAAATGATAGCATTTATTAACCCCAGAGAGGGGGATTGAGAGGCTGGTGGATAGAAAGAAGACAAAATTTTTCAATTTAAAGCAATGTAAACTAGTTATCTGTTCAATAAGTGCATGATACAAGGTAAAATGTTCAGGTCCATAGATAATTACATTTTTAAAGTATTTTAAAGTTTGAGATCCCTATTCTATTACATAAACAGAGGCTGGAGATAACATATTTTGGTGTTATCTGTGTATGGGTTATATTTAAAACTATATGACTGTATGTCATTCAGTAAGGAAGAAGAGGAAGAAGTCCAAAAACTGAGCCCTTGAGTGCTTCTTCATTTGAAAGTCAGAAAGATCAAACTAAGGACACTAAGAAGTGGCAGTAGAAAACAAAGAAGGTAATACAGCTTAAATCAAGTTAACAAAGTGATTGACTCTGTCAGATGCTGCTGACTTTGAATAAGGCAATATCTATGAGTTCACTGTTAGATTTGGCAATGTGGGAGTTAGGGGGTGATGTTGACAAGAATGATTTCAGTGGAATTATTAAGATAAAAGCTTGACCAGAACAGTTTCAAGAGAGAATAAAAATAAGTTTGTGGAGACTGAAAACCCTTTCAATATAGTAGGTCATACCTAAAGGATGATAATTGTTTTAATTTTTCGAGTTGCTGTTTTGAAAAAAGGGAGATATGGCATCGTGTTTGAATGCTGGTGGAAATGATCCAGACAGAAGGTAAAAATTGATAGTGCAGGAGAGTTGGGGTACAATTTGTAGAAGCAAAGTGACATTTGACTGCCCCCCACTCCCCAGCCTAATGTTTTTCTTAAGGCAAACTAGGCAAAATTAAGAGAAATAGGATTCAAATTGGGGAACTATCAATACTTCCACACTTAGCCCTATAATTTCCATCTGGAGGATTAGGCCATGGATATCACCTATTCCTATTCTCTGTGGATGACAAGAGCACAAAAACGTGTGGCAAAAAAATGAGGTTTAAAGCTGGATGGAAAATGATCTAAAAATAAAATTGTACGGAGAACAGTTGAGCCTGGAGGAATGAGAACTTGGGAGAAAACGAAAAAGTAACCTTCAAATAGATGTCACGTAAAAGAAGGAGTGCATTGATTTTCTAAACATGTTTTTAAAAGGAAAAGTAGGATTAAAAAAATCACAGAATCACAGTAGGTAGATTTTGGCTAGTTATGTTTAAAAAGTGTATCCATGTGCTTTGTACATGTATGAATGTTTAACAATTAAAGCTTTCAGCATTTACAGAATTATAAATATGTTATAACTAGATATGTAAAAATAAAGTTTAAATATTTTTCCCATTTGTATTTGGTCATTTGTTCTCTTACTGCTGTTTTTTGGTGTTCTTTATGTATTCTGGATGCACTCCTCTGTCAGATATATAATTTGCAAATATTTTCTCCCAGTCTGTGAATTGTCATTTTATTCTCTTTTGTACTTTTTTATGATCTTGTTCATTCCTGTTTATCTCTTTCCAATTTTGGTTTTCTCTCCGTTTGTCTTGTTCAGTTTCATTAGCCTTTATGAATAACAAAATATTATTATTTTATATTTTAATAAATATATAATATTTATTATGTAATATTCTACTACATAAGCCTCTGCTTATGTAATAGAATAGGGATCTCAAACTTCAAAATACTTTAAAAATGTAATTATCTATGGACCTGAACATTTTACCTTGTATCATGCACTTATTGAACAGATAACTAGATTTACATTGCTTTAAATTAAATTATCATTAGCCTTTATGAATAACAATAGCATCCTTGATTCATTTGATTTCACTTTTAAATTTTATTTAGTTATTTTTTATTCTAATTTTCACCTTACTTACTCCAACCTACTATCATTAGGTTTATATTTTTCTATTGTTTTCCTTTTCAGATATCTGTTTAGACCATTGTTATATTTAGATACTATTTCGCTCTAGTATAAGCATCTTAAGCTGCAAATTATTCTCTAAACATAGACTTGGCTACATCTCACAAATTTTATGTTATAGTTTTGTAATTATTCAGCTAAAATATTCTCTGATCTTCTCTAGTCTTATTTGACTCATGGAGTATTTAGAGGTATATTGCTCAGTTTCCTAAAATCTAAGAATTTTTTAGTTATCATTACTTAATTCTGATAACTGCATGATTTTAATATCTTGAAAAGTTTTGAGGCTTGATGCATCTGCCAGTTTATGGTCCCTTGTGCTAAATGATCCATGTCCACTTGAAAACAAATACACTTCATTGTCGTGGCATATTGTCTATATAGGTTATCTAAGTCGACTTTATTCAGTACATATTCATGGCAAATAAGCATATGTAAAGATGTGGAAACTGCAAATAAAGACAACAACGAAGTACTATTACATTCTTATTAGAATGGCTTAAATTAAAAGGTAAGAAACCAAAATTACAATATCAAATGCTCCTAAGGATGTGGAGAACAGGAACTCATATTTATTGCTGGTGAGAAATACAAAATGGCACAGTAATTTTGGAAAACAGTTTGTTTCTTGTAAAGTTAAACATCCACTTACATATGACCCAACAATCCATTAACTGTGTATTTACCCAAGTGAATTGAAAACTTATATTCATACAAAAATCTATACATGAGTATTATAGCAATTTTATTCATAACTGTCAAAAATTGGAAACAAGATGATTTTAATAGGTAAATAGATAAAGAATCTGTAGCAATTCATACAGTGAGATACTATAAGCTATAAAAAGAAATGAACTATAGATTCATGTAACATGGATAAATTGTAAATTCATTTTGCAGAGGGAAAGGAGCAAGATCCAAAAGACTACAATATTGGATGATTCTATGTACTTGATATTCAGGAAAAGGCAAAATTATACAGATGGAAAACACGTCAATGGTTGTCAGATGCTGGAAGAGGGTGGACAGAGTTTATTACAAAGAAGTCCCATAAAAGAAATATTAGGGTGATAGAACTGCTCTGTATAGTACTGTGATGATAGTCACACAAGTCTATGCATTTGTCAAAGACTCATGGAATAATGCAACTCAAAAAATGAACTTTATTGTATGCAACTTTAAGAAAAATTCAACCAGAATTTTTAAAATAATAATAATAACAGGGGGCTTCCCATTTACACCATTCTGGAATAGCAGGTGTCAGATTTACCTCCCTGTCTTAAGCAAGTATAAAATTGGAGAAAATGTATAAAGCAACTAGTTTCAGACATTGGACACAGACAGTGGTCCTGTGATCCTGGAGAGAATGGAAACACACAAACTGAGCTCTACTTTCACCCCAGCTTTCTGCTTAAGAACATTTTCTAAACGGCAGTTGAGGAAAGTGAAATCAAAATAGAATGAAATGATTTTTCCAAGTGGAAGAAAAAATAGAGTTTGAGACTTCTACAGAGGCTGGAAATTACAGGTCATAGTACTCAAGAGATAAGAACTGCACAAAAAAGGAGCTCCAGAAATCTGAAAATTAGTCTCACTGAGTCTCTAGTCAAATTTAAAATTGAGCATGCACAAAGGGATACTGCACAAGACTGAGAGGAAAGCCACTGGGGGGCTGTGAGCCAAACAGATATTGTGGAGTTCACACAGTTCTAGGGTTATTAGAGTTTTGAACACTTAAACAATCCTGGTATAACATGTGGGATATATAGCTGAAACCGCAGAAGGGCCACAATGCTGAATACAGCTCAGAAGTAAGGGGTATTATTTGTCTGATCCTAGCAAAGCCTAAAACAAGCCTACACACACACATAAAAGAAGCCAATTTGCGAACAAAAAAAGCTGATTTGCCAACAAATTATCTGCTTACCAGTAAAATCTCAACACTGTCTAAAAGAAGACAACATCACTCAGACTCTCAAAAATGGGGCACTCATAATGCCAGGCAAATATTATAGGAAAATAGCTATAAATTAATGATAAAAAAGAAAAAAAAGACAATTGATGCACAAAGTTAAGATTGACTACTGGCTTCTTATAAGAAGTAATTCAAATTAGAAGACAATCCAAAACAACAACAAACAATAAGTAAAAACAAAACAAAACAAAACAAAAAAAGCATTTTTAATGTATAATTCTCTTTCCAGAGAAATGTACATCAAAAAAGAAGACAAAACATTTTAAGACGAAGGTGGCAGACGTATTACTAGTAAATATGCACTACAAGAAATGCTAATGTCAGTTCTTTAGGCAACTCGTACCTAAATAAAGGAATAAAGAATACTGAAAACGATAAATACGTGGGCAACTATAAAAGTGAAAGCAGGAAAAAGTATAAAATGCAAACCTTATTAAACAGTAGAGAAATCAATGAAACCAAGAGCTGGTTTTCAAGATGTTTTCTTAAGTAATAAACATCTCACTAGACAAATCAAGAAAAAGAGAAAGAAAACGCAAATTATTAATCAGAAATAAAAGGGGAAATATCTTATACATCCTATAATACCTATGTCAGCAAAATCAATAGCTTAGATGAAGGAGGAAAAGCCCTTAAAAATTGAAACTTAATAAAACTGGCATAAGATAAAATAGAAAATTCAAATAGCCCATATCTGTCAAGAAATCTTCAGGCCCAGGTGACTTCAATATTATGTTCTATCAAACGTTTAAGGAAGAAATAATACTGATTTTGCTGATTTTGTAAAAACATTTTCAGAAAATTAAAAAAAAAAGTGTATCAGCAAGATGGAAGAATAGGAGGCCCCCTGCTCAAACTCCACCACAGCAATAATTTAGCAGGCCATGAACAAAGTGCCAATGCTGGAACATTGAGATCAGGTAGAAAGTTGCAAAACCCTGGTGGACCCCAAGACCAAAGACAGTAATTTTGAGAAAGCAGATCTACTCCCAAGTAACAGATTGTGATCTCAGGTACAGACCCAGAAATAGCCCTGTCCCTCTGTGGACTCAGCTATAATTCTGTTTGGTTTTGCTCCTGTCACCAGTAGCATCTGACTAGGTACCCAGGGGAAGTCATGCCCACCTATACCATGGATAGCAGGCCTGCCAACCTCAGTCTTAGCAACAGACCCTGAAGCAGCCTGTGACTAGGCTCTGGCCCCTCTCAGCTGCAGTTTTGGGGCATTTCTACCTTCCTAGGAACTTGACAGAAGGCACACCCATTCGTACCCCCAGAGGCTGACCTGTAGACCTCTGTTCCAGCTGTGGACTCTGAGGAAGCCCTGTGACTTGGTTCAAGCTCCTTTTAGCCACAATCCTACTTCCCAAGAACCTGCACAGTGACCTGCAAGGAGGCAACAAGGATAGACAATAAAGAAAGGGTAGTATTTTCAATAAATGATGTCAGAAAAACTGGATATCCATACGTAATAGAATAAAATTGGCCCTTGACCTTATACCATAAACAAAACTTTACTTGAAATGAATTAAAGACTTAAATATAAGACACTAACTTGTAACACTCCTAAAAGAAAACTAAGAACAAAGCTCCTGGACGTTGGTCTGGACAGTGACTTCTTGGACATGACACCAAAAGCACAGGCAACAAAAAGCAAAAATAAACAAATGGGACCACATCAAACTAAAAAGTTTCTGCACAGCAAAGGAAGCAATCAACAAAATTAAAAGGCAACCATTGAAATGGTAAAAATATATGTCATTATTTTAGAGATAATGTACTAGGCAAAAGGAGTCAATCTTAATTTGGAAGGGTATTGTCAGAATATCTCCATTAATCAGTGACCCTTCAGTTGAGCCTTTAAAGAATGGCTCACCTGGGAGAAGATGGAGAAAGTTCATGCAAGTAAGGAGAATGCATTGCATGAGGAGTGAGGAGAGTAAGAGTGATTGTTTGCAGTGCAGCACCTGTTTAACTCATTCAAGTAGGAGGTAAATGGTAGTGACAATGTAGTATGGATATACCATGAAATTCATCTACTGTGCTGCACTATACAGGGAGGGCCATTTGGGGCCCCCTCCTTGAGGATTCCACAGTCATGAGCTCTAGCATGTCACTTATCACATTATGTTGGAACTGTTTATACATATATCTTTCCAAATAAATGCCAAGCTCCTTGGAAATCAGGGATTGGATTTACTTCATATCTGTATTCCTAACTTGCATAGGACTTGGCACATGGTTGGCATTCAATAAAGGCATGTATATTAAACAACTGTGATGAATGCTACACTTGAGTTCAGAACAAAGTGTTAAAGTGCAGAAAAGCATGAAGCCACTGGCTTTGCTGAGTGTTGGCAAAGGTTTCCTAAGCAGTAATATCCATAATGATCAGATCAAAATCTTTTTGTTTATCCTACTAGACTGCAACTTTCTAAAATAAAATGTTTTAGGCATAATGTGACTTATTCCATAGATGCCTCAGGATCTAGAAAATTCAGCTGCTTGTCTCTTGAAGCTTAGGAATGCATGTTTCTACAGCTGCTGACTTGTTAACATTACTAGGGTTATATGAACTTGGCCTGTCTGGGTTGAGTTACAGCTGGGCTGGAAGAAATATATTTTCTAAACTCAAAATCAGAACACATAGTCTGACAAGTGCATTTCTGGAAAAAACAGAGTAAGATATTTAAAATGGCAACTGTCTTGGAAAATCTCTGTAACCTCCAGTTGCTATTAGCATAGCCTATTACTTACTTGTGCCTAAGAATGTGTGAATCCCTTTGATTCCTGTGGGATATAGTCTGTGGTTGATAAGAGTGAAATTGGAGCTGGATAGGATTCAGTGGAATAGTGAATAAATGAGGAATATCAACAAAAAGTGGATAGGAAGGGAAAAAAGAACAGGCACTCTGCACATAAAAATTACACGTTTTCTAAAATAAGTAAAAGAGAAAATACAGGGCTTCTTCAGTGTAAAATAACTTTGTTTGACGATCAAAAAAAAAGGCGTAATAAAATTAAGAGAGGAAAGAATGGAAAACAATAAACTCAGTGTTGATAGCTCCCAAGGATCCAACTTGGCTCCTTTCTAGCTGCATGAACATGGAATTATCACTGACTCTCTCTGAGGTTTAGTTCCTGATATGGGTCTTGATGTTTGTCTCCTCCAACTCTCATGTTGAAATTTAACCCTTGATATTGGGGATAGGACCTGGTAGGAGGTGTTTCGGTCAGGGGGAAGACATCTCATGAATGGCATGTTGCCCTCCTTATGGTAGTGAGTGAGTTCTCATTCTATTAGTTCACGTGAGAGCAGGTTGTTTAAAGAGCCTGGCATCTCCTCCCTTCTCTCTCTCTTTCTCCTGATTTTGCCATGTTATGTGCCTGCTTCTGCTTCATCTTCTGCCATGATTGAAAGCTTCCTGAGGCTCTCACCAGAAGCTGAGCAGATGTTGGTGCCATGCTTGTGTAGCCTGCAGAACTGTGAGCCAATTAAACCTCTTTTCTTTATAAATTACTCAATCTCAGGTATTTACAGTAATGCAAAAAGCAGACTAATACAGAAAACTGGTACTGAGAAGTGGGGCATTGCTATAAAGATACCTAAATATGTGGAAGCAGCTGTGGAACTGGGTAACAGGCAGAAATTGGAAGAGTTTGGAGGGCTCAGAAGAAGATGGGAAAACCAGGGAAAGTTTGGGATTTCTTAGAGACTTTTTCAATGATTGTGACCCAAATGCTGATAGAAGTATGGACAGTGAAGGTCAGGCTGAGGAGGTCTCAGATAGAAATGAAGAAGTTATTGGGAACCAGAGCAAAGGTCTCCCTTGTTATGCCCTAGCAAAGAGCTTAACTGAATTCTGTCCACATCTTAGGGATTTGTGGAAGTTTAAACTTAAGATTGATGACCCAGCTTATCTGGCAAAAGAAATTTATAAGTAGTAAATCATTCAAGAAGTGACCTGACCGCTTCTAACAGCCTATAATCATATATGGGAGTGAAGAAGTTACTTAAAGATTTATATTTAAAGGGGAAGCAGACCATAAAACTTTGGAAAATTTGAAGCCTGATCACATGGAAGAGAAAGAAAAAGCATTTTCAGGAGAAAAATACAAGTAGGATTCAGAGCACTCACTTGCTAGAGAGATTAGCATGACTAAAAGAGAGCCATTTCTAATATCCAAGACAATGGGAAAAAGGCCTTGAAGCCAATTAGAAGTCTTCAGGAAAGCCCCTCCCATCACAGGCCTAGAAGCCTTGGAGAAAAGAATGGTTTTGGCAGCCAGGCCTAGGGGGCCACTTCACTGCTCAGCTGCAGGACACTGTTCCCTCATCCTGGCTGCTCTAGCTCCCGCTGTGGGTCAAAGGGGCCTAGATACAGCTTGGGCTGCAGCTTTGGAGAGTGAAAGCCACCATAAGCCTCGGCATCTTTCACATGGTGTTACATCTGATGGCTTGCAGAATGCAACAGTGAAGGAGGCTTGGCAGCTTCCATCTAAATTTCAGAGTATGTATCAGAAACCCTGCCACAGAAGCAGAGTCCCCATGGAGAGACTCTACTAGGACAGCACCAAGAGGATCTGTGGGGTAGCCCCTAAATAGAGTCCCCCACTAGAACACTCCCTATTTGAGCTGTGGGAAGGGGGCAACCACCCTCCAAATGGTAGAGCCATTGGCGGCTTGCATTTGGAACCTACAAAAGCCTTAGGCATTCAATTCCAACCTGAGAGAGCAGCCATGGGGCCTGCACCCTGCAAAACTAAAGGAGCAGAGCTACCCAAGGTTTTGGGTGCTCACCTCTTGCACCAATGTGCCCTGGATGTGGACATTGAGTCAAAGGAGATGATTTTGGAGCTTAAAGATTTAATGACTACCCTGCAGAGTTCCAGATTTGTGTGGGGCCTATTGCACCTTCTTTTATGAATTTCTGTCTTTTGGAATGAGAATGTATATCCAATGCCTGTACCACCATTGCATCTTGGAAGTAAATAACTTGGTTTTGATTTTACAGGTTCATAGGCGGAAGGAGCTTGCCTTGAGTTTCAAATGAGACTTTGGAATTGATGTTGGCATGAATTAAGACTTTAGGGGACTCTTGGGAAGATATTACTGTATTTTGCAATGGGAGGAGGATGTGAGATTTGGAGGGCCAAGGGCAGGATGATATGGTTTGGATGTTTGTCTTCTCCAAACCTCATGTTGAAATGTAATCCCTAGTGTGGAAGGTGAGGTCTGGTGAGTGGTGTTTGGGTCAGGGGAATACCTCATGAATGGTGTGCTGCCCTCCTCATGGTAATGAGTGAGTTCTTATTTCATTAGTTCACACGAGAGCTGGTTGTTTAAAGAGCCTAGCACTTCCTCCCTTCTCTCCCTCTTGCTTCTGATCTTGCCATGTTATGTGCCTGCTCATACTTCATCTTCAGCCATGATTGGAAGCTTCCTGAGGCTCTCACCAGAAACTGAGCAGATGTTGGTGCCATGCTTGTACAGCCTGCAGAACCATGAGCCAATTAAAGCTCTTTTCTTTATAAATTACTCAGTATCAGGTATTAATTTATAGTAATGCAAAAATGGAATAATACAGTTTCTCATAAGAAAAATGGAGTAAAAATTCTTGTCTCATAAAATCACATGTGCAAGATATCTGGCATAGTATCCAACAAGAATATAAGCAAATTAAATTTGAAGTAAGAGGAATTTCTACCATAGAAATTAGAAAGAAGTAGTAGAAAGGACTCAAGTAGTAAAAAGAGGAAGTTCAGAAAAAGATAGCAAAGATTAAGCCCAAGAATAAATGATATAAACATATCAAAAAAATAAAATTGTGGAACATCAGAGACAGATTAGCTACAAAGACTCTGAAGGAAGAGAAACTGGACTTTGAAAGCTAATGAAATTACAAATGTAGAAATGATTTGGAAATGTAAAGGAAACATCCAGATGTATGAAGTCATTAAATACTAAAGTGAGACAACCATGAACAAAATGAGACAATATTAGGCTTCCATAAGTGGACATTAAAGCATAACCTCAAATGTTAGTAAAGAGCTCCAGACTTTGAGGAAACAAGAGTGGCAGATGGTCCAGCTGGCTGTAATCTGAGATCAAACACCTTTTTTAAACAAAGAAAGCTAGGCAAAGTCTTTGTATGCAAGCCTGAATGGCAGACTAAAGAACAGTCCTTCACATATGTGCTACTCTATCTTTCTCTTTTTTCTTAACCACTTAGATAAACTTTGAACCTGTTAGTGTTAATCTCTAATGAGAAGGATTTATTATTATTATTACTATTATTATTATTTTTAGAGCTGGGGCTTTGCTCTGTCACCCACACTGGAATGCAGTGGTACAATCATAGGTTACCACAGCCTTGAACATCTGGGCTCAAGCAGTCCTCCTGCCTCAGCCTCCTGAACAGCTAGGACTACAGGCACCCACCACCACACCCAGCTAATTTTTATTTTTTATAGAGATAGGGTCTTGCTATGTTTCCCAGGCTGGTTTCAAACTCCTGGCCTCAAGCATTCCTCCCACCTCAGCCTCCCAAAATGCTGGGATTACAGGAATGAGAAACTGTGCCCAGCAAGAATAACTCTAAAAGATTTTATATATATATACATATATATGTGTGTGTGTATATATATATATTTCATATATAAAATATATATTATCTAATATATACGTATTAGAGAAATGCAAATCAAAACCACAATGGGATACCATATGTATAGTATACATACACACACATTTATACCACAGATCTCCAATACAGAGCACACAGATGTCACCCAAGATTTTTTTCTGTCTCTATCACTGGCCCTGAAAAGGTTCTATAATGCTGAGTTTGTTAGCAGCACGCTGCAGAATCTGGTATAAGGAAGGAACTCCAGAGCTGGAGGTGGAGACCCATGCTCTAGGCTCAGCTCTGCCAGTACTATCCATGTGACTTTGCCAAGTCCCTTAAATTTTCTGAGTTTCAGACTTCTTATGTGTAAAATGAGCACTTGAATCCTATCTACTTTAACCAAGTCACAGAGTTGCGAAGATGATCAAGTGAAATACCATAGGGAAAAGTTACACAAAGAGTAGTTATTATTAGGTCATCGAGAAGACTGTGGTACTGAGGAGGCCAAAGCATCTGCAGTAGATGTCCAGTAGAACAGCTAACTGACCATAATTCTGTGTCAACTGGCTAAGTTATGTTCTAGGCTTTCAGAGCACAAGAACACCAGGAATAAGGCATGGTTCTATGTCTTTTTCTAGCTCACACTTAGGAAATGGCAGAAGGAAGGAGGTAGTGGGACAGAAATAAGGACATATTACTGCTGTCTCTCCTGGTGATACCTATTGCTTACTTTCTCTGATCATGTCCTAATGATTTACACCAGGAAGATAAAAAAGGAAGCAAATTGGCCTGGATGAGGATTTGAGAAAATAGCCTTATTTTACAGGTTAGAAAACCTTTTTCTTTATTTTATTTCATTTGCTCCTCATCACCTCACTGTGTTATAGAAATCTAGGTAGTTCCATTTTTGCAGATGAACAAAAAGAGGTTCAGGGAGTTAAGTTACTTGTGCTGCCCAAGATCACATAGAGAAAGAATCTACCCTACAACTAAAATTTTGTGACTCTGAGCCACATAATACTAATCCAGCTAGAGGGAGATGATGGTGGTAATTAGAAAAGCCATTCTTCCAGCCCTAAAGCCTCATATTACCTATACGCCATTTTTTTTTTTTTTTAGTTTTATTTTAAGTTCTGGGGTACATGTGCAGGATGTGCAGGTTTGTTACATAGGTAAATGTGTGCCATGATGGTTTGCTGAACCTATTAACCCATCACCTAGGTATTAAGCTCAGCATGCGTTAGTTATTTTTCCTAATGCCCTCCCTTCCTCCAACCCCACCCCGACAGGCCCCCAGTGTGTTGTTCCCCTCCCTGTGTCCATGTGTTCTCACTGTTCAGCTCCCAATTATAAGTGAGAACATCCAGCGTCTGGTTTTCTGTTCCTCCCTTAGTTTGCGAGGATAATGGCTTCCAGCTCTATCCATGTCCCTGCAAAGGATATGATCTCATTCCTTTTTATGGCTCCATAGTATTCCATGGTGTATATGTACCTCATTTTCTTTATCCAGTCTATTATTGGTGGGCATTTGGGTTGATTCCATGTCTGTGCTATTGTAAACAGTGTTGCAATGAACATATATGTGCATGCATCTTTGTAATAGAATGATTTATATTCCTTTGGGTGTATACCCAGTAATGGGATTGCTGGGTCAAAAGGTATCTCTGGTTCTAGATCGTTAAGGAATCGCCACACCATCTTCCACAATGGTTGAACTAATTTACATTCCCACCAACAGTGTAAAAGCCTTCCTATTTCTCCACAACCTCACCAGCATCTGTTTTTTTTCTTGATTTTTTAATAATCATCATTCTGACTAGCCTGAGATGGTATTTCACTGTGGTTTTGACTTGCATTTCTCTAATGATCAGTGATGTTGAGCTTTTTTTAATATGTTTTCATATACTGCACAAATGTCTTCTTTTGAGAAGTATCTGTTCATTTCCTTTGCCTACTTTTTAATGGGGTTAATTGTTTTTTTCTTGTAAATTTGTTTAAGTTCCTTATAGAATCTGGATATTAGACCTCTGTCAGATGGATAGATTGCAAAGTTCTTCTTCCACTCTGTAGGTTGCCTGTTGGCTCTGATGAGAGTTTATTTTGCTGTGCAGAAGCTCTTTAGTTTAATTAGATCCCATTTGTCAATTTTTGCTTTTGTTACGATTGCTTTTGGTGATTTTGTTATGCAATCTTTGCCCATGCCTATGTCTTGAATGATATTGCCTAGATTTTCTTCTAGGGTTTTTATAGTTTGGGGTTTTACGATTAAGTCTTTAACTCATCTTGAGTTAATTTTTGTAAATGGCATAAGGAAGGGGTCCAGTTTCAATTTTCTGCATATGGCTAGCCAGTTCTCTCAGCACCATTTATTAAATAGGGAATCCTTTCTCCATTGCTTGTTCTTGTCAGGGTTGAAGATCAGATGGCTGTAAATGTGCAGTCTTATTTCTGAGTTCTCTATTCTGTTCCATTGGTCTGTGTATCTGTTTTTGTACCAGTACCATGCTGTTTTGGTTACTGTAGCCTTGTAGTATAATTTGAGGTTGCATGGCATATACACCATTTTCTGATGTCTGTACTTACAGTTCAAAGAGCCACTGATTAAGTTTTTACTAAAATATGCCATCTATACCTTTGGGATCTCTTTTAAGTCTGTTGCCTATCTTGAGGAATTAGGTTCTGAGTAAATTCATTCATTTGGATTTCAATTGCCTTTATCTTCACAAGCAAACACTTTATAGGCTGCTAATTAATAAAACACAAGGCCCTTCACACAAGCTAAAAATATATGTTATTTTGTTTCCTCTACCTATACTTAGTCATTCTAGAAAGACTGGACTGAGAAAATTTGGCAAAATGAGAGACATAATTCTTAAATGTCATTAAACCTTTTTAGAGAAATAAAGTGCAGTTTCAAAGGAGTAAGATAATCCCACATAACTGCTCACTGCCTTAAGTGAAACAGAATGATATTAAAATGGAAAGTCACAATAGCTACCTGCCATAAAGTAATAAAAAATAACTCATTTATTTTCTCTATTTTTTTAATGGTTAGCAAATTGGCTGGGGATGGATAAAGAACCCAATAGGTATCTAGTCTACTTATCCAGGAAAGGAGCAAAGCCACAGAGTCAAGGAAATTTGATACGCAGCGACTTTGAAGGAGACAGAGTAGGTAACTATCTGCCTGGAGTGGTTTGGGGTTATCAGTGGTCCCAACAGCTTCCTGTCTGTCTTGGTACCAGCCTTCCCGCCTCTCTGACTTGGTATTCATCACATTGGATAACACTGAGACATGGGAGGGATATTGTTTCCTGAGGGCATAGTTAAAAGACATAGTAATTTTAATTTCCTTTCTTGGCCTATCTTCCTAGGAACTTGGGAGGAGATGGGTATCTGGAAGTTTACATGTCCAGATTTTTTTTTCAGAAGTTAAAATACCAGACATTGGCTCTTTCAACACACTTCAAAGAGAATTCTCTAACCATCCCAAACATTTATCTTATCTAATTGGTAGAGACATATCTTTAGTGAAAGTGTGCCAAACTGGAGGAATATCACCCATTTTGGCCAGTTGGGGTCTGATGGGTGTGAAGGAAGTCTTCTTGGTGAAAATGACATCTGTGTGCTAAGTCTTAAAAAATGTGTAGGTGTTGACTAGGTGAAATAGAGGGAATATAGTGAATAGTACTGGCCTGTGTATAGCCTACAGCATGAGAAAGCTTGGTGCATTTGGAGAGCTGCAAGAAGTTGCTGATGACTGGCTGGTTTAGAGAACTTTATCTATGAGGCTAAGGATTCAAGACACTATTCTCCACAGCAGTGGTAATCAAAATTTTAGAATTAAAACAACATTTTAAGACTAAGAGTGGTTTTTGAGGGCATCCACATATGATTGGCTATAATATCATTATCTATTCACTTAAAATATTCAAAATGCAAGCTAACAGAAATTCAGAAATTTCTAAAAGTGAATTTGTATTTTACTGTTAACAACTGCACCTGAGTGAGTTTAAAATAATACATGGGCTGGGCATGGTGGCTCACGCCTGTAATCCCAGCACTTTGGGAGGCCAAGGTGGGAGGATCACCTGAGATCAGGAGTTCAAGACCAGCCTAGCCAACATGGTGAAACCCATCTCTGCTAAAAATACAAAAATTAGCCACGTGTGGTGGTGCATGCCTATAGTTCCAGCTACTCAGGAGACTTTGGCAGGAGAATCGCTTGAACCTGTGAGGCGGAGGTTGCAGTGAGCTGAGATTACACCACTGCACTACAGCCTGGGTGACACAGTGAGACCCTATCTTAATAATAATAATAATATATGGATATGTGAGGTGTTATTCAATCAATAGATAGTGAAGAGTACCCACAGGGATTTATAGACTAGACAAGTCTTTCTCTGTCCTCTGTGTCTGAAGACTACAGGAGGCTGCAAAGCATGGAAAACTATTGAAAGGTTTGAAACAGAAGAATAACATAATCAGATAAATGCTCTAAATTATTTCCTCCCTTGTCACAAAAAGCAGTTAAAGATTGTATGTGTTACTTTTTTTATGAGAATTTTCATTTAAGGGAGAATTCTTAAGTGATGGACAATGCTTAACAAAATGGAATAAATTGCAAATGTCAGTTTGCAATGGGTAGTTGGGAAATTTAGTATGAGAACTCTACCAGTTCTTCGAAACTCAGTAAAGAATAAAGCAAATACATGATCGTTGCTAGAGTAATATTTAGGATAAAAGACTTATGTGTGCATAAATCTTTATTTATTACCTGGTGTTGTCAGAGAATGTATGTAATGGGGATGTATATAATGCATATGAGTTACCAATTTTCAAAAAGTACACTGCAATAGACAGACCTCTCTCTTCCTCAATCAAACCAGTCTTCTCAATCAGAACACCCTTTGTCTCTGGGCTGTCTTCAGAAAGATTTAAAGAAACAAGCAATGTGTATCATCCCATTGGAGTTATATATATTAAAGAATCAATGGCTGCTAACTTCCTAATAGGACATTTTACACTTAAAGGAGTAGTTTGCTAACCCAAAAGGATAGTTAGTTGGGAAAATTGTTACAGAGATACAGGAGAGGAGTCTATTTTGAGAAGCAGGTTGTTTTGGGGTCAACTCTATCCTATCATTTCTCTAGTGTCTTATAGTTCTCTGATATCAACTTTAAGAATATCCATTATTATGTTATTATAGATATGTAAATGTGACATAAAATGAATTTTATTCCAGAAGAAAAAAGAAAAAACACCCACACTAGGAATCAGATCATATTGTAAAGATTATGGCATTATACAGATGTGTAACTCTGGACAAACGTTTCACTTCTATGGGCCTCAATTTCCTCATATATAAAATGGAGATTGGGCTGGGTGTGGTGCCATTGTAGGAGGGCAGAGTGGTTTTTTGTGTGTGATGACCATTACCCGACTAATCGCTATTAGTTACTTGGCTGATATGACTGGCCAGGCGAGTAGGTTCCTCCTTTGTTCTCTGGACTCTCAGTGTCTGTGTCCCCCAAGCTGCTGGCATCTAAGCTGAAAAGAATCTGCACAGAGAGGAGGAGTGAACTTTCATCCTGGGCGTATGAGAGCATTTGTAATGTCTATTCCAACTCTGACATTTTCTGTATCTGGACTTTTTCTTTTATTTATTTATTTATTTATTTTGAGATGGAGTCTCGCTCTGTTGCCCAGGCTGGAGTGCAGTGGCACTATGTCGGCTCACTGCAACCTCTGACTCCCTGGTTCAAGCAATTCTCCTGCCTCAGCCTCCCAAGTAGCTGGGATTACAGGCATGCATCACCACGCCCAGCTAATTTCTGTATTATTAGTAGAGACGGGGTTTCACTATGTTGGCCAGGAACGGTCTCAATCTCCTGATCTCGTGATCAGCCCCCGTCAGCCTCAAGTGCTGGGATTACAGGCGTGAACCACCGCTCCCGGCCTAGACTTTTTCTTTATCACCTTCCTTGCTCATTGTTAGTTGAATTTCTTGAGAAACTCAAATAGTATAGAAGTTAAGGCTTTCGTTTAATGAAATTAAAATAGTCAAAATAAATGTTCAGTTACAAGAAATAAGGGAACATCAATCTTCATTCACGTTTATTCATGAAAGTGTCTAGGCTCCAATTTTTGCTTAAGTGTCTCTTCTGTTTTCCAAGAATTCTGCTTGGAAGCAAAGAGGCTTAGGGCATTTAGCAGCAAAATCTGAGGCAGGCATCTATTTCTCAGTTGTCACAGACAGTTCCTTCTAGTGGCAGTCATAAGGCATCACTTTTTCAAAGCATAACTGACCTTCAAAATTGTCTGTGGGCATACCCACCCCTGTAACCCCGTCATCAACAGCATTTTTCTACGGTGAAAGTGACTTGAAAATGTGACCTCATTAGCAGAGACCAGGCTAACCTGGCCAAGAAGACTGGCTGCCAAAGATCGAGCAAAAAGGTTTACTTTTAAATAAAATTTTCATTGATATCTTTTATTGCTTTAACAAGTTAAGCTGTTAAAAGAGGGCAAGATTTGACCAAAAAGTGGAAAGGTGTGGAAAGTGGACTAGGAACTTGCTGGATGAGACTAATTCAAATGCAGAATGCAGTGGAGGCATTGGGAAGCCATCTGGAAAGTTAATGAACTTGGAAAGTGGTTTATGGGCAAAATAATTTTCAAGGTACTGCTGATTTAGAAAATGTAAAACTGGTACAATGTGCTTTAGAAAGCTGATAACTTGGAGAGCTCGGCCTACCTGACTCTTACAGATGGTAGAATGGGTTCCCACTTGGAGAGTGGTTAATTTAGTCTCTTTTGCTCAAGTTAGAGCCAATAACCCTAATGTCGTGAGGGATTATATGGGGTTACTTTTGTTTATCGGACCAAACGGGCATCTGAGAGACAGTCAAACTGATCTCTAGTCTCTGTTCTGCTACTGATTTGCAGAGTGACCTCGAGAAATATCACTTCTCTGTAGGGGAAACAAAGAGGTGTTGATGATCTTTGCTCTAATAATAGTTCTTGGTGAAAACTCTTGGAAACTCATTCAAGATAATTAAAGTAAAGAGGAGAGTAGGTGATATTGAAATGATTCAGGGGAATTATATCTATATTAAATATAGCTAGGCCTCATGGGGCCTGGGAATGAAAATTAAGAAACTTATCAGAGACCAAGACAGACACCCGCTTTAATCTCTCTTTATGTCTCTCTGTCTGTCTGTCTCTCTCTCTCTTTCCATTGTTTCTCCTTGTAAATCTTCTCCTAATGCTTCTATCTGAATATAAATTTTCCCCTTTTACCCAGTCCCAATCCCACTAGTTGTATGATCCCCTTTTACCCATTCTCAATCCTACATTATCTTAACTATGTGAGCACCAAATGTATGGTTACAGAATTAAGCTGCTTACAGTGGCATCTGGATTTCAAATCTTTCAGATCTTTCACCAGGGGAGGAAGAGAAAGGATTTACTATACTCACTGAATGTTGCAGGATCCAAATGATATATGTTCAGTCAGTTTCTAACAGTGATGGCAGCTGAGTCAATAAATTATTGTCACCTGAATCCAAGGGAAAGTAGTCAACAGAGTTTATGAAAATGGGGCACTTTGTATTTCCCTGAGTTTTGCATGTCAGGCTGTATTATAGTTGTCCTTTATTAGTAAGCATCCTCCCAATTGATCAAGAGCGCACCTGGTGTAAGAAGCATGGTGAAAGAACAAGCCTATCTTAAGGAAGAATATTTCATATAGAAAATACTTGGGAGTCAAGGAGGACTCATATGAGGCTGTTATATAGATATATATTTAATATAATATGTGTGATTGTGGTTACAGATACATATTTGGTGCTTTATTTATCCAGAAGCATGAGTCACATAGTACATAAAGTATTGAATACAAAATTCTAAAGATAAACACAATTTTTCTTGAATTTAAAATATATGGGATAAATGCTTACAAATGGATTTATAAACCTTTCACTTCTACTTCATTCTCCTGGCTGTGTCTTCCGAAGATGAGTTGCTAGTTGCAACATTAAAAAAAAATAGCTCCTTCAAATCCTGACACTATATGACATAAAAAGAACTTTTGGCAAATATTTATTCAGATTGCTTGTCTCCAGTGGCAAATTTCTCAGCATTTCTCTTTGTTTTGTCTATGCCTTAGCCTGTGCATTTTTCTAGAAAGGAAGTTAAATGCTTTTAATGTATTAATTATTACATTATTGAAGTTGGACCCAAATATGTTAAATATTTCCTCTTGCAAAGGGAGAAGAGGAAGGGAGGAACAGGGGCAAGGTGGGGAGGAAAAAAATACCTCAGGTGAGAGAACAAGTAACTTGCAAGAGGCTTATTAAACTGTATATAAATGTTGAAGAGGCTGATTTGTAGTTTCTCTACTAGAAAAATAATAAGATGTATTATTAAAACGTGAGTTGAGAATAATATTCCAAATGTTTGTTGTTGTCGTTGTTGTTGCCGTGGCCTGTGACTCTCTGCTGTAAGTTTCCATTCAAAGCCAGGAGTCTTTTCTCAGTTGGAAGAGTTGATCTTTTTAGTTTTGGGATGTGTAAGTGATGCTGGGAAAGCCTTTCTTTAAATAGTCATTGCTCTCGTTTGCCTCAGAACCTATTTGGTGAAAAGTGTGTTTAACACAAACAGTAGCTGCTAAATTGTTAACTAAAGAGCCTTGTGCGAAGCAAGTGTTCGATACGTGCTTGTCTAATAGAATGAAGAGACTATAAGCCAGAGAGGTTTAATAGCAGTTGAGCCAGCATAAACCAAGATGCACCAAACTTCATGTCCAAAACCTACATAGAATTGCCTACCCCTTGGGTTTCGATGCTTGGATGTTGGAGATTACATTTTCTATTCTCTGCTTTCTGGCACATGCAAGCCAGATATGGACAGGAAACCCTCAATATTTATTCATTTTTCTAGTCAAGGCTTTCTAGGATGATAAAATAAAATTTTACATCTAGCTGCATTGCAAGTCAGAAAATACCTTCCTGCAAATATGGAAGATGACAAAACTCAGTTTCAACCAAGCTGAGCTGCTCTTAAATATTTGTAGCAAAGGGATTACGTTCATAGGTCTGAGCACTTACTTTTTAACCTCTTCCCTTCTCCCCTTTCTTCCCTTTCTTTTCATGACTATTCTCTCCTAAACTTGCTAAACTCCCAGGAAAAAGGGAAAATGGCCTGCTAGGGAGAACAGTTTCAATAATGAAAATCATTTCTCTGAAATATAACTAGCTTTTACAACGATTCTCAAATTTGTTATTGGATAGGCAGTTTGGCAAAAACCTAGAAGGGAATGCTTATTAGTTTATTAATTTATTTGTTAATGGCCCAGTTTTTATTGAAACTTTTGCATGTCTATTACTCTTTGGAAAATAATTAACAGCTCCATCCTATTGAAATGGCTTGTGTACAGAGCACACATCAACCAAATAAAATCCATGGCTTTGTAAAGGATAAAAAAAAAATTAAAATAATTTATTTCACCAAGTTCTCCTTGGCACTGAATTCTACTTAAAGCATAATTCATACAGTAGAGAATTTGAGTACACGGGGTATGGAGAGTAGGGCACAAAATGTTTCCATACATTTGACTTTATTGATTTGAAAGCAAAGTTACTGAAATGCCTCAGTTAGTTCTGCATTTTAAAAGGTGTCTACCTGAAAGAAACAAAAAGTGTGTGTGTGTATGTGTGGCGGGGAAGATGGAAGATTATTCACATGCTTGAAGGCTATTCACACTGCTTTAACAAATAAACATGGAACATACGTCCTTAATTAACTGTGGAGTTAATAGTCTGTCTCTTTGTCCTGATGTAATTTAGATCTTAATCTAACCCCAACCCTAAACTATATCAAACCCAGGCAGAAAAACTGAAGTTACAGGCAACTACCTGGGCTAATCTTAGGTTTTTTTCTCAAGAGTGAGAACCATATTCTCCTATTTCCATTGACCACAATTTGGTTCCACCACCTTTCTACATCCTCAATTCACTCCCAACAGTAGTTACGTTTTCACAGGGGAGGAAAACGCCAGTACAACAGGGTTCTTGCATCAAGCTTCATGCTTTCCCAGACATTTACTCAAGGGAACGTGGAGAGGAGGAGGAGGAGGGAGCTGGAGTGATAAGCAGATGTTACACATGTTTTTCCTGGAAAGATCACCCCACTTTTTCTAATTTCCCAGAATTAAAAGAATGTATTTTATCTGTATTACCATGGAAATTACTAGTAACACTGGATTTTTTTCCCTCTTTTCTAAGTTTCCAAAAACTTTCAGAAGTGTTCAAAGAAATTTTCTTGAACAATTTTAATATGTTTGATTTCTCATTTGGGGCTGGAATATTTGTATTCTTTTTAATTTTTTTACTTCATTTATTAGAAGAGTTTCTAATATGTGTAGGAATACAATTTTAAATGTAAGATTATATAGATGTAGATATAGATAGATAGATATATGTAGATATATAGATATAATGTCACAATATCACTATAAGGCATTCCTTCTTCCATTCTTTTTATATCTCCACAGAACTGCTCTCATGGGACCCTGTCCTGCCCTGTAGGTAAAAGCCCTTCTTATTTTCCGCTGAGAGGTCTACCCACTTTCATAGGGTGTCCAGTCAATTTGTGAGTACAGTCCACTGGAGTCTTCATAACATCAACCCTCTAGGTGAGATCTGTAATAGCTAGTTAATTATCTGGGAATTTTTAAACATTTGGATATTGCAAATAATGTGAATAAAATACTTGAATTTTAAATAATTAAATTGTTTCTTCAAATGTTTTAGCGTTTATGAAAAAATAATGCACCAAGATTTTGGATTTCTAACATTTCTGGCTGTATGAGAGAGTAAAGGGTTGGCACTTTATTAACTTGGGGGCAATGTAGACATATGTTGAAGCTGGTTCTGGAAGTGCACCCTGGAAATTTTTATCTGAGTTCCTTGTCAATCCTACACAATTGCATGCAATGAGAACTTCATGATTGTAGCATTGATCTGGCCTAGCTCTGGACTGCTTGATGAAGGAGTTTCTTTGAAGTGAGCAATACTGGCAAATATGAATGAATTCACACCACTAGCAATTGTTGGCAGAACACCCAACCACTCTACCCAGTTTCAGAATGTGAAATGGCATGTATTCAGCAGGGCATATTATTCTTGAAGTCACAAAAATAGGGAAAATCCAACAAGCGCAGTCAGTGTTTACCTGAAGAATACAGTCACATAGTTGCTTCACTTTCAATATTCTTAGGAAATAACCAAATAAATGAGCTACAAATATGAGAAACTGAGAGTGTGTGAATGAAAGAGAGCAACAGAAGGAGGAAATACAAGACTAGACAATGTAATCTTCTACTTAACATTTCAGAATTTTATTAATCCTTTAAAAATCACCCTATTTCTTTTGAGTTAATATCCTCATCTCGATTACCCTCATACATGGCTTAGTTTGATTCTGTTACTAAATTCTGTGAATCATTATTTAATCAAATCTACTAAAGATTAGAAAAAATTCTAGCAAGACTTATAATCATGAAATACAGAATTAAAAGTTTAAACCTACCAAAAGTCCTATGGCCTATTATTTAGCTGTGAATGAGACACGTCAGGAGTATAAATCTGCACTTTTGACTGTAAGTAAAATTTGCTAATGCAGGAAGCGAAATAGTGAAGGAATACTGGGGTTGCTAAAAGATTACTTTTTTTTTTTTTTTTTGCAAAATGCAGTGTACCTTAAAAGTGTCTCACCTAGAAGGCCTCTACCTGTAATCACATTAATTTTTCTAAAGACAATTTGGTGTTTTGAAGATAAATGTCATTAGTCTATGATAATAGCATCATAGGACAATTAGCCATTTTAGACTTGACCATATTTTCTCTTTTTAGCATATAGCCATCTTGATATTTAGGTGGGAGACTACTCCAATGGAGCAACAGTTTCATTTTACATGATTGGATTTAGAAATTTACAAATTTTAAACTCATAAGAATTCTAAATAATTTGAAAATGGAAACATTTGACCCACAGTCTAGCAGCATAAATACATTTATAAAATACTTCATTGTTGATCTTAGGTCATTGATTTAAAACAGAATTTGGTGACTATGGGCAGGTGGAGGGGGCCAGTGAGGAAGGTATAAAAGAGAAATCTTTATGAATTGTGTTCAGATTGATTTTGTATAAACATAATATATTCATGGTTGTATCTCTTATTTATAATACCCAACTAACATGAAGGTGGTCCAAGGGAAGGATCAATATTTTAAATAACATATTTGCTTAAAATATCATACAGTGGCTGCTTCATAAAAATCTTATAAACTTTTATTAACCAAGTTCAGAAATAATTAGAGGGGTGATCTCCCTGGATCAGAACTAAAACAAGTGAGATCAATTAAGCTCCTTTGAAATAGGTCTGTCCACACTTAATATTCTTTTTTAGACCAATTTAGCTGGAAATCTATTACTTAACCCACATTCATTGATATCATAGTCTTGTCTTATATTTCTTTGCCTTAGGCAGGATTTTTCTGTGATTCTGATTGTGTCTGACTACAAGCTGAAGATATCTTAATTAATAACAGGGCAGGAAGAATTGAGTGGGGAAAGAAGGCCTTCGGACAGTAGATAAGTATCCAAAGCAGTGTGGGCAAAAAGAGTAAGCAACATCCCCTGGGATTTTTCCCATGTGGGTATCACTGAGCAAAGCTGCTGTGGGAAGATATGTAGATTAATGGGAAATGCAGGGTTATTATGGAGGAAATAACTCACAGGATGATTTCATAGCCTGGCTAAATTACTACTTGATTAACTCCTGATAAAACTCAGAGCGCACAAAGCGAGGCAGAGAATCCTTTTCCATCAGGGCATGGATTCTTTTCTGGGCCATGTCAAAGCTGCTCAGGGAAGGTTCCACCAGGTTCTTCATTGTGATGTCCTTAGTGAAGTGGTCAATATTCACCTGTGGGCCAGGAAACAGGGTCACTACATAAGCCTAAGTTATAGAATTTGATGAGGGGTGAAGAGGGAGGTGGAATTTCTCATCAATAAAACATAAGAGGGGAGGAAAGTCATTAAAAACTGAGACATGTCACTTCTCACTTTATAGGCGATGGGATAAGGCAGCTGATGTTCCAACAGATGCATCCAACCGGTATTAGACACCCACCAGGTGTCAGACCTCCCATAGAAGCTAACACACACATTACTTATTTAATCCTTGACAACAATCCTAAGAATGATTCTTTCCTTTTATAGAAAAAAATATTATATGCAGAAGGTTAAGTGGCTTCCCCAAGATCACAGAACTGATAAGTGTATTTGAATCTAGAGAATCAGAATTTGAATCCAGGTGTCCTGGTGCTTTTTTCTTTTTCTTTTTTTTTTTTTTTTTTTTTTGTTGGATAGAGTCTAGTTCTGTCACTCAGGCAGGCTGGAGTGCAGTGGCGCCATTTGGTTCACTGCAACCTCTGCCTTCCGGGTTCAAGTGATTCTTCTGCCCGAGCCTCCCAACTAGCTGGGTTACAGGCATGTGCCACCACGCCGGGCTAATTTTTGTACTTTTGATAGAGACGGGGTTTTGCCACATTGGTGAGGCTGGTCTCGAACTCCTGACCTCAGGTGATCTGCCTGCCTCGGCCTCCCAAAGTGCTGGGATTACAGGTGTGAGCCACCGCGTCCGGCCCTGGTGCCTAATTTTAAAATTCTAACACAACATTTGGTTTCACGTCTATTGGAGGAATTGAACAGAGAGAAGTAAATTCTGTCTGGGGATCCAGGACCTTTTGCATGGCTCCAGAAGAACAAGAAAACTTGTTCTTTCCAAAAACAAACCAGGAAACAGTCATTCTGACAGAATAATAATGAAAACAGCTAACAGCAATTAACATTTATTGAGTGCTCGGTCGGTGCCAGGCACTTTGCACGGATGAACTCATTTAATCTTATAACTCTATGAGGTATAATAGATGCTGTTGTCTACATTTTACAGTTGAGGAAACAGATGCACAGAAATGTTACATGATTTACTCAAAGTTCATTAATGGTAGAGAGAAGATTCAGAAATCCAGTGATGTGGCTCCAGAGCCCAGCCTTTTAACCAGTAGACTCCAGCACTGGGATGCACTGTGGCTTACATGTCCTGAGTGCAGGGCCACTACATTGCAACCATACTAGGGTCTACGTGAATGGTTCCTCTGGAGTTGTACAAGGTACAGCCTATTTGAACTTGGCTGACTATGAGTTTAAAGGAATCTTTATACTCCATGTTGTACGATTTAATGGTTTTTAAGGATTTTGAGTGTAAACAAGACAGAAATAGAATCCAAATCAGCCTATGGTTGTGAATTGAAACACTGATAAAGGTTTTGGGTCTCTCCTGGGCTGTTAGAGGTTTTTGGTACTGAATAGAGCTCTTTGGGCTCAGAGAATTATGAAGCAGCTATTAGTTAGAGTTGGAGACAAAATGCATGATTCCCTGGGGAGCCAGGTCAGAACAGACAGCAGGACTGAGCTG
This sequence comes from Homo sapiens, assembly GCF_000001405.40. NCBI lineage: Eukaryota > Metazoa > Chordata > Mammalia > Primates > Hominidae > Homo > Homo sapiens. The sequence goes on from NC_000001.11 coordinate 163,149,058, forward strand.
TGCTTCAAAGTCTAGGATGAAGGGCGTTGAGCTACATTAAGATTTTCCAGAGGTGAAAGGGGTCAATGTACTTTATGCAGGCCTGTTGGAAGATCAGATTGTCAGAATTGGGATCAGCGTCAGAGTTGATGAAGTCCAATGTCTGCCTTTAAATGTGAAGACCTCAGAGAGGTCAGGTTACATGCCCACAAACAGCTAGTGTGGATTAGAGGTGAGACTATAACATAGATTTCTCCATTCTCAGTCTATTATTCTTCCCGCCACACTGAAAGCAATGCTTCTTCCTTCTCTTATATTAAGTATATATCTGTACTGAGCTTGGTAGACAGGCTTATTCCAAATGATTGAGTTTCTAAAAATTATAAAAGTAGCTCCTAATCTTATTTTTTAAAGGAGTGATGTATTTAAAACCCTCTAGGACATAGTATCCACCAGCAAATAGCAGCTATTTCTCTTGGTATTTTTATGTGCTTAAGCCTTCTTTAATAAGTCATTCTGATACATATTTATCTGTTTAGTTATCCAGAAACAATATCATTTCATTAATTTCAAATATGGTCAAATGATAATTTGCAATGTATAAATTATCTACTTATTGACTTCCACATGGCCATTTCTCTTGTTTAAATTTAATTCCAATTTTTACCATTGTATCTCTCAGTCAGTTTCTTGTATTAAAGAGTTGAGGTGAGTATTCAGAGCAACAAAATTCAGATTACTATTTGCCTGGGTAATCTAGGTCTTATATAGGTCAATTTCATCAAAATTAAATAGTAAATATTTACATCAAAATACAAAAGTTGGAGAATTTTTTAAGTAATAAAAGCTATGACTTAACATACTTCAGGTGCACATACATATACACAAGATGGTTACAGTTAAAAGAACTGAGGATTAGAGAGCTTTAGCTAGAGACTTGCCCAAAGTCCCACATCTAAGAATGTCTGAAGTTGGATATTTTCATGCTTTCATCTCAAAAATATTTCTTGAAAGCTTTTTATGTGCTAGGAGTAGGATTCACATTCTCTCTAATACCCAGCTCAGGATCATTATTCTACATAATCCTGGGATGCCTGTATTTGGGTCTAATGTATACTATTGTACTCTTGCATAAGCATAGATCATTTAGAATGAAGGGCAAGGCTATTTTAATTACAGTCTTTCAACTAGTGACCACAATTTATTTGTCCCTATAACTCAGCTAGCCATGGTATTGTTTATTTTAAAATTATATTTTAGGTTAATGTCTCATATTTTCATAATAACCAATAATGTTTTCCCAGAGCTCAGAGTAACTAACAATTATCTGAGTGGGTTTCTACTATTTGTAGGTATTTCAGCAAATCTTAGAATTCTGTGAAGAGGAAGTCAAGTTGATAGGAAGGTAAGTCGGAGAATCCTTTGAAATGGGGAAATACATGTCCAATTTAATGTTAAATTAATCTTCTTGTCAATATATACAGAGAAATAACATGCTGACAGAAGAAAGGATGGCCCAGCACAAATGGTAACAGAAGTAGGGTAGAGCTAACATATGTGCTTAGGGTGGAGGTTGAGGAGAAGAAGGGGTGATCTGGAGAGAATTTCAAGATTAATATCCACATCAAACTTAAATCTAGATTCTTTCTAGCACCTTTTCATTTTCGTGGCTTTGACCCACAGTACTGTACATTCTCATACTCCTAACCTCCAACCCTGTGTCATGGAGGAAGCACATCTACTAGTATCAAGGTACATAATTTGTCCATCCACTCAAACACATTTAGGGTAACTCATAACTAAAGAAATACATATCTAATGGTGGAACTCCAGGAGTCTAGAGCATCTGTGGTAGAGAAGGGATATTTGGGAGTTTTTCTCTCTCAAACATCTTAAGTAGATTTCTGCCTACTCAACAAGGCTTGCCCAGATCACCTCCGTGCTTGACTCCAAACCTTGATGAAACATTTACTTTCCAGACTGGATTAAAAGAAACAAGTGAAATTAGAGTAACCTGACCATACCATGATGAACAGGGCTTGCTGTGGCCATCCTGAATTCCACAATAGGCTTTCAATGTGGTTTTATAAATAACAAAGAAAAAAGCAGATCAACTTCCCCAAAGTTTCTTTGAAATCAACAAAAATCTGGGCTTTAATAGTCAATCAGTGGTATATTGGCTTTCAACATCTCTAACACTGTTTTCTTGTAATATTTTGATTTTCATGAGTAAATATACCATTGTCCCAAGTACAGTGTAAATGGAAAAGTCCAAGTGGGGAAATAAAGGATAAAGAAGAGTAGAAAGGACAAAAAAAGAGAGGTGTTTAAAGGAAAGACTAGAAATGGGAATGGAAAGAAAAACAAAGAAAAGTTATAGAAATACTCATTAGGCATTAATCAGTTCGGACACTGAGATACTGGTTGATATAGTTTGGCTCTGTGTCCCCACCCAAATCTCACCTTAAATCATAATAATTCCCACATGTCAAGGGCAGGACCAGGTGGCAATAATTGAATCATGGGGGCAGTTTCCCTTATACTGTTCTTGTGATAGTGAGTTCTCACGAGATCTGATGGTTTTATAAGGGGCTTCCCCCTTCACTCCACTTTTATTCTCTCTCCTGCCACCCTGTGAAGAGGTGCCTTCTGTCTGGATTGTAAGTTTCCTGAGGTCTCCCCATCCATGCGGAACTGTGAGTCAATTAAACCTCTTTCCTTTATAAATTACCAAGTCTTTGGTATTTCTTCATAGCAGTGAGAGAAAGGAATAATACACTGGTTGAACATCACTTATCTGGAATGCTTGGGACCAGAAATGTTTCAGATCTTGAATTTTTTGAGATTTTGAAATATTTACATATACATAATGAGATAAGATATCTTAATATGAGACCCAAGTCTAAACACAAAGTTCATTTATGTGTCATATATACCTATACATATAACATGAAGGTAATTTTATGTAATATTTTTAATAATTTTGGGCATGAAAAAAGTTTTGGCTGTATTTTGACTGAGACCTATCACAAGAGGTCAGTGGAATTTTCCACTTGTGGCATCATGGTGCTGAAAAAGTTTCAGACTTTGAGGCATTCTGAATTTTGAATTTTCAGATCAGAGATGTTCAACCTGTATAAGTTTTTACACCCACTATTTAATTTAATCCTCACAACATCTCCATAAAGTAGTCTCCATTATTCTTATTTTCACAAAGGAAGAAATGAGGTTCACAGAGACTCAACAATTCATGCAAGATTTCACATTGGTATGATCTCCACTGGAGGTTAGTGGAGGTGAGACCCATAAAACTAGAAAGCGGTCTGAACAGGATTGTTCATATATACTTGACCATGTTGCTCTGCCTTTGTACTCAATAGGTGCTTAATAAGGTGGTCGACTCACAAATAGGAATAGCCTTTGGCTCCCAACGGGAGGTCTGTGTCTCAGATGTAAATCCTTCCTGAGAGCTAATGAGCTGCCCTTAACTGACCCACCTACCCAGAGACCAACCTCTTTAGGAGCCTCCGTTTGAATGAATTCTTCATAAATTTGCTTTGCCTTCTCAGCCATCTTGGCAGGGGACTTGATCTTCTTGTAATCCTCACAGGCAATCCAGAACTCAAGGTTTTCCTCACTGAATTCAGACTTCAGGAAACTTTTGAAACTGGCAAGTCCATCTGGAAAGAAAAAAACAGTCAGCTGGAGAAATTTATTAATTTACTTAACAAATATTGTATCCATGAGAGAAAGGGAAAGGGCTTAGCAATACTCTTCTATGCACAAAGTTTTAGCTCATTCATGTCTAGCTTCCTTTACTCCTTCATTCAAATGCAGAAGGAATGAGACAGAGATGGAAGATAGACAGCAGAGAACACAGAGCTCAAGCCCTGCTCATCATGCAGAGCTGTATGGAACTCTAGAACTAGACAGAGATTTACCACATTGTCTTTCCAAACAATCAAATGCAATGTCTATTTAAGTGACAAACGTTTACCTATTTACGTATCAAGGAACACTATTAACACTAATGCCATTCTGGACACTTAAACTACCAAGGAGAAAATAATACATTTAAAACTTGGCTTGTCTATGCAAGTAATGTTAATGTTAAGTATCACTATGAACTACTCACAATTCTTTATTTTCTCTTTGTACAGATGATTTTTGTTTAACTATTATGTCCCAAGCACTATGATTTAAGTCACCACGATAAGTAAAATAGACATGGTTCCTGTCCTAATGGAGCTTATAGATTCTGGAAAAAGTAGAAAGAAAATGAAGAAACAGAAGAAACATTTACACGATGAAAGGAAAACTGTATGAAAGGTAGTAACAGAGTCATAGGAGAGTCCTGACTTCATTTTAGGCTAAGGGAAGGCAAGGAAGTAACATTCAATTTGAGACCCAAAGGATGAGTGGGAAAGGGCCAGATGAAGTTACCCCATGTAGCGTACTTACCATGTCCATCAATTATACATCAGGTTTCTTTAACATGTTAAATGCAATATGATTATAGCTATTATGATTCTGTTTCCAGTGTACAATTGCTCATGTAGGATAAACTTTAGTTTATAATTTAAAAATTATATCTATATATAATATGTAGATATTTTAGTCTATATAGATATAGATATAGCCTATTATATATAGATATAGTCTTTAATTGTAAACTAAAACTATAAGACTAAAATTATAAAACTATGTATATGTAAGGATTCTTGGGCCTGATCCAATATTTTCCTTCTCCTTAATGCTGAATATATATGTATTATTCAACATATATTACACACATATATATATATAAACCAAAATTCTAAACAATGTATGGCTATAGGGAGAGAATTCATGTTCATTTATTATCTAAGAAAAATAAAGATTTCAAACAGGAGGAGAGAGAAAAACTCTAATTTTCCAGAAGCTGTGTCAAAATCACAGACCTACCCTCAGTAACATGTTTCGAATGTCACTTTGCCCCCCAGGGCAGAAGGAAGGATTATTGTCACCAGTACTTTAGGGTCCAGTTTTCTCTAATTTGCCCCCACCTGGAAACACTTCTGCAATACATTAGTTCTGCTTAGGGATCATATTTACGTTCTGAATTCATTTCCTTTGGCCTAATTTTCATTTATTCCTTTTACCTATTCTTTTTATAGGCTCTAAAGTTTTATTTATTAGTCATTGCCAATACGTTGATTTCACACAAGCATAAAACGTATGCAATGATAAAAACAAAGACGCTATATATAGTTATCCATTTTCAATTTACCTCCTGTATATTTTTACTCTTCTCATACCCTTCACAGTACCCTGAAACCATACCCAATTTTAAAGAAAAAGAATGGCTAGGATGATCGTTAACTTGTGTTAGGGTCACCATCAATTTCAGGATCCAAGAAAGACACTTTGTAATTTGATCCCTTCTTCCTGTACTTACCCTAAATACATTTTTAATTGATTAACAATAAAAATATATCTAGGAGCAATGGTAGGTATAATAAACAATTTTCAACACTTGTGAAAAGAAGGGAAAAGGAAAACAAGGAAAAAAAAACCAATTTTTTCTAGAAACTTGGCCAGAAGAATTACTTTAAAACCATTTGATAACCTGTAACTGGATAAAATCAGGTGTATTTTCTCTCTCTTCTAATATTTCCTACTATATTTCCAGCACTATTTGTCTTAACTTAGTGACACGAGAGTTAGCATAAGTGCTAAAAGAAAAATATAAAACTTATTTCTCTCTGTGTCATGGTTAAAACGTCCATTTTAACCAATTTAGTTTATAATTTAAAAATTATATCTATATATAATATATAGATATTTTAGTCTATATAGATATAGATATAGCCTATTATATATAGATATAGTTTTTAATTGTAAACTAAAACTATAAGACTAAAATTATAAAACTATGTATATGTATATATGTATATGTATATAAAACTATGTATATGTCCATTGTTTCTTAAACAAAAGGTGTCAGATAGTCTCTGTCAAAATGAAAACATTCTCAGGCATGTTTTAGCTTCCAGGAAATGAAGTCTTATGAGCTCCCACACAATAAGGTCTAAGACGGCTGGAGGCAAAAATAATTCCACAGAATAAGTCTGTGACAAATTTATTCTAATTAGCCCCATATCCCCACAACCTATCTCTGAATCACCCATTCTGCATCTTTGGAAAGCATAGGGACAAAATCTCAGTCCTCCCAAACATTCTTATTTATGACACGGGGATGTATGCCGGGATTCCACAGAAATATTCACATTTACTGACTTTCCAGGGAATAAGCTTGCAAAATAACTTTTCTGTGCAGCAAGTCCATTTCCTGGATACTAATTTTGTAACTTTCATTGAATTCCACAATATTCTTTTAACCTTTTTGTTCATGTATAACTCATAAAATAGCTTTATATTGTATTCGTCTGCAAGATGTGTAAAGCTATTCCTTCTCTAAATCTGTGCACCTGGCTTTTGGGCACTCTCTAGAGGGTCCCTCTAAAGTGACCCCTGAGACTGCTTCTCCTCTTTAGCCTCTGGTTGTCTGTCAGTTCCTTCCTCAGCCACTATCTCTGTTTAGTTCCTATCACCCCTGCGGACAACCTATTGGGTCAGAGTCAAACACAATCCAGGCCAAATGTCTCTATTCTGCAAAGAACACACATTTCTTCTTTGCCCTACAACCATTCCTCTACCCACTCCAGTAGAGCCTCAGCACACCTCCCTGACAAATCACCACATTCTTCCCTGCTGAGCCTGCACAGAGCGTCGGAGTACCTCTCAACCCACCTCGCCAGGCATCCACTCTCTAGAAAGCCAATGAAACCCACCTGATTATCTGGTCTTATGGAAACACTCCAGGTTGTAATCTACATTACAATTCCAGAGTTCGCCCTAATGAATGGTGTCACTTTTGACATCCATGTAAACTAGCAGCCAGCCCTACCTAAGAACAAGATGAAAACACCTATAAAATCACTTTGAAAATTAAAGGAGCATTAGACAAATCCAAGTCAGTTTGCTACAAAGGAAAAATTATTAAAAACTAGATTAGTGCAAATCTCTTCAACCAGGGGGGATAAAAATGAAGTCATTGATAGTTGATAAGCACCATTTCTAGCTTATTGGTTAAAAATTATATTACTGCAATAACTTGAGCAAGTCATCAAATCTCTCTGAGACTGTTGCATCATCTGTTCAATGGAGATACTAATGGAACTTATCTGATGGGGTTGTGCTAAGAAATAAATAATTCATATAAAATTCTTACATGGTACCTGACATAATTATTATTATGTAGCTCAATACATGTTGGTGTTCATTATTGTTATTCATTACAAATTTAAAATTAATCTTTTAATTAATTCAAAGCCCAACTCCAATGTTGCCTCATCTGTGAGGTAGCCTTTACTTACTACCATCGACTTGCTCTTGAAGATTTTTATCATTATGAGAGAAGCAGTCACTTTCTGTTCTTTTGTTGGGATTGTTTGCTTCTATATCTTTTCCATTAGGCTGTTAATTCTTTGAGTATGTTTCACCTGTTTGCCTCTCTTTTGCATCCCACCTCCCAGTCTAAATCTGTGCACCTAACATTTAATAGAGGTTCCCGCAGAAATAAGACACATTCAGGGAAGCATTTCCTTCCAAGTGACAGAATCAAAGAACACTAACTTTAAAAAAATTAATTATGGATTTTGCTGCTGTTATAGCATTTTATTTCATGGGCAAGTTACCTAATTCCCCTTAATCTCAATTTCATTTTCTGAAAACTAGGGATTGTGATGGCACTCAAGTCCTAAAATTATTGCAATCATTAAATTAACATATGCAAAGTGCTTAGAACAGTGCTTGGCACATGATGAGTAATAAGTGTTAGCTATTGCTTTTATTATTATAATAATTATTTTCAAGGAAATTATGGTTGCCTGTGAGGAAGATGATGACAAAAATGAGCCAGAAAAGAGAAGGAAGAAAACCAAAGAGAAAGAAGCAAAAGGGGAGTGCAAAGATAGAAACAAAAAGATGTGTCTGGATTCAGGCTCCTTCATTTCCCATGGACAAATCTAAATCACAAGGGTGTCTCAAGGAGATGCTCTGGCCTTCTGAAACTCCTAGGGAAGGGAGATCCACATAAAAACTTTGCTGCTTCTGGCTTGTTTCATTCTTCTCTGCTCTTAAAAATGGTTGTGGGGAACTATTAAATGTCACTCTTATTTAAACTCCCATGTGAATTCTATTTTTGTGTTTGAAGAACAACACACTGTTTATACGCCCAACGTGCCTATGAAATGAAAACAGATGGTGCCACCTAAAGAATTGAAGGCAAAACATGTAGGAAGTTGATATACTTTCAGAACACAGTCACATATACTGGATGATTAAAAATTATTTTAAAAATGAAGGAAAGTGAGAAGAACCTTGTTAGAAGAGACTGAGTAGCAACTTAACTGTCTTATATTTTTTAGAAGCTTGGTACCAATTAACTTCATTGCCACTCAATAAAAATTAAAGATATGAATGTAAGGAATTCTTGGGGAACTATTTAACACATCAACTGTGAAAGTCAATATCCTACATTAACATAACAATGCCAAATTTCCCTTATAAATTGACAAAGATGCTACTCCTCAAGGTTAAATGGTTTAAATTTATCAAATCAAACATGCAAAAAGAGATGGTGGTTTGTCTTGATTTGTTTTTATAGCAACAGGGTCTCTCTCTGTGGCCCAGGCTAGAGAGCAGTGGTACTATGCTGGGCTCAAGCCATCGTCCTGCCTCACACCTGGCTAATTTTCTTTCTTCCTTTTTTCTGTTTTTCAGAGATGGGGTCTTTTTATGTTGCCCAGACTGGTCTTGAACTCCTGGCCTCAAGCGATCCTCCTGCTGCAGCCTTCCAAAGTGCTGGGATTACAGATATGAGCCACCACACTTGGCCCCAGTTGTGAAGTTTTAGATGTATATATGTCCCAAATGTATCTTTCTTCATTACCTGTTTTGCATCAGCCACAGCTAATGTTGGGTAATTTCTGATTATAGACTATTAGTTTTTGTGGATTCAAATAAGAACTTCTCATAAGAACTGATTTGTCAGTTTGGCTTACAGTTATTCATGGTATTCTATAGCTGATGTCTGGGAAAATAGGTCAAATATTGTCTCTTCAGGTCAGTGATGTTGGAGTAGAATTATCTGGGCAAGCCTGGCATTCCACTGGTTCTTCTCTAGGAACAGCCAGACAGAGAGAAGCAAAGGGCAAAGACAGAGTGGCAAGAGAGACACAGAGAAAGACAAGTCATGGGGAGAAGCAGAGACAGATAAAGAAGAAGAGAGCAATAGAGTGATGGTAAGAGTAGAGAATTAGAGAGGGGTATCGGGCAAAATTCACCCCCGATATTTCACGTAGCTTCTTTTCTATTTTCCCTAAGTGTCAGCTGGTCTGAGAAATAAAGGGACAGAGTACAAAAGAGAGAAATCTTAAAGCTTGGTGTCCAGGGGAGACATCACTTGTCAGCAGGTTCCATAATGCCCCTGAGCTGTAAAACCAGCAAGTTTTTATTAGTGATTTTCAAAAGGGGAAGGAGTGTATGAATAGGGTGTGGGTCACAGAGATCACATGCTTCACAAAGCAATAAAATATCACGAGGCAAATGGAGGCAGGGCAAGATCACAGGACCACAGGACCACAGGACCGGGGTGAAATTAAAATTGCTAATGAAGTTTCGGGCACGCATTGTCATTGATAACATCTTATCAGGAGACAGGGTTTGAGAGCAGACAACTGGTCCGACCAAAATTTATTAGGCAGGAATTTCCTCATCCTAATAAGCCTGGGAGCGCTACGGGAGACTGGGGCTTATTGCATCCCTCAACTACGATCATAAAAGACAGCCGTTCCCAAAGCGGCCATTTCAGAGGCCTCCCCTCAGGGACACATTCTCTTTCTCAGGGATGTTCCTAGCTGAGAAAAAGAATTCAGCGATATTTCTCCCATTTGCTTTTGAAAGAAGAGAAATATGTCTCTGTTCCACCCGGCTCACCGGCAGTCAGAGTTTAAGGTTGTCTCCCTTGTTCCCTGAACATTGCTGTTATTCTGTTCTTTTTTCAAGGTACCCAGATTTCATAGTGTTCAAACACACATGCTCTACAAACAATTTGTGCAGTTAATGCAATCATCACAGGGTCCCGAGGTGACATACATCCTCCTCAGTTTATGAAGATTACGGGATTAAGAGATTAAAGTAAAGACAGGCATAGGAAGAAAGGGTATTGATTGGGGAAGTGATAAGTGTCCATGAAATCTTCACAATTTATGTTCAAAGATTGCAGTAAAGACAGGCGTAAGAAATTATAAAAGTATTAATTTGGGGAACTAATAAATGTCCATGAAATCATCACAATTTATATTCTTCTGCCATGGCTTCAGTCGATCCCTCCATTCGGGGTCCCTGACTTCCCGCAACAGAGGGGAGAGACTGTCTCACTTACTGATGGCTTTGCCTCCCAGAGGGCATGGCTTGCCTTTGTTTCTGTGAGGTCTCCATACCATAACCCTTCTTTTTTAGTTGGGCTACTTCGAATGGATTAGTGTCCCTTTCAAGGAAAGCATTGACTAGAATAGTTATAAATGCTTTCTTATTTGTTGCTTTAGGGAAATTAATTGCCCAGGTCTTAAAAATATTAATTACTTAAGAAGATAATTATGTGGAACTTATATATAAACACACAGGCAAACACACACAGGAATACATACACATACATACTACATACACATATATACACATATATAATTTCAAAATGCATATATAAGTTAAATGAAATATTGTGAATATTATATATATACACATACATACATGTGTATACACACATACATACATGAACACACACAAGTGCATGTATATTTTCCCCTCTGAGAAGTAGAAAATATTACTGTGAGGCTCTTGGGCCTCAATCTCAACACGATGGTAATCATCTGTTTGCAAGCTGAAAATCTTCAGTCCTTCAAACACTAACTGCCTCTAGCTTAACTCTCTTTAACTCTATCTAACCCTAGCTTTCTTATTCTAGTAGCTCTCTGTCTCCTAAAAGCCTGAAATATATAGACATGTAGCCCTAAGGATTTAGTGTGACTGAAAAGGATTATATATGGGCACATAAATATTTATTCTTCTCCTTAAAGGTTTTGAAAACATGAAAATAGTTCTGCTAACTCTCAGGTTTTTTGACAATAGCAATAAATACCTGTGCTCAGAGTACTAGTATTCATAATTTATCAATAGGTCATCTGTCAATCTGCTATTGGCCCAGAAACCACTAAGGCAAGACAATAAGTCCATTAATAAACATAAATATTATTCTACTAGTTGACCTTGTGGAATTTCTAGGTCCAAGAAGCAAAATGAATTTAGTTCATTCACTCATTCACTACATAACTATTCACCAAACATCTTACATGTGTCAGGGCAGGGTACTTTGTTTAGCACAAGAAAAAAAGAGAGAGAATCAGAAATGAATAAGCTAGAGAAAGTTCCAAATTAGAGACTGTGGGGTTCTGTCTCCAAAAATAAAAGATTAATTCTATTGCAGGTAAGCAGAAGCTTATGACACCAAAAGCAAGACATAAGGAATGTTCATATACAATTCAACATATATTCTTTGTCATCTACTCTGTGCCCATTAATCATAATGGTCTTGTGAGAAATATTTTGTAAATCCTTATCTTTGCAAAGCATGTGACAAAGTTTCATATTCCATTCTTGTTATAAAGATGGAGAAATATAGGTAGGGTATTTTAAATTGACTCATACTTTTAGAGTGAATTATTCAACAAATATTTGTTTTCCCGATACTATATACTTCCTGTTTTGAAATTATCTACATGAAAAAGACTAATTCTTGCCCGTTTGTGAGTTTATAACCTATCATAGAAGTGAGCCAACTATGAACAGAACATAAGGCAGCAAGTATTAAGTAGAATAAAAGATGTGCAGACAAATGACTTTGGAATTTCAGAGGGTGGATAAATTGTTCTGGATGGTCAAGGAACACTAGGCATTTCTTATTTGAATTATCTATTATAGGAGAGGGAGAATTTCAAGAGAGAGAGATATGAGTAAAAGATATTCCAGCCAAGGGGATTATATGTAGAAATCCTATATGGAACAGAGAACTGTTCAATTTGCCTGCAGACCGGCCATATAGTTATGGTGATCTTGAACATCAGAAATTTGAACTTGGTACTGTAAGCCATGGGAATCAGTAAGGATTTTGGATTGGGGAAATGCACCTAGTGCTTATTGATGCACTGGTATTAGCTTGGAAAAGAGTCTGCACTGATCAGCACCTTTGTCATTTCTTGAATTAAGATGTAAAAGGCATGGTGCCAGAAGAGGAAACGGAGGCTGGGGGAGATAACAACCCATGTCAGGTCACAAGAGCAGTTGACAGTATAATAGTTTGAACCAGGATGTACTACTCATGACTTGTTAGCGATCTTTATGCTGCTATATCTGATCTTTATCAATTTATTATGAGGCTAAGTCAGGAAATGTAATTTCTCTATTTTACTGATGAGAATGTTGAGGAGGTCAAGCCACTTGTTCTGGCTCATGCAAGTAAGCAGGACAGATGGGAACACAACTGCAATCATGAGTCTTCAGAACACCTTATGTTCACATTCCCTCATAGTGCCACAGACCCTCCTTTTCTTGTGAACTGGATAATCACATACCTGCAGCCCCCTTCCCTTATTGATATCACCTTCAAAAATTGAAGAAATGTCAACATTGGGGAAGAAGAACACAGGTAATACAAAGATGTTTTTTGTTTCTGTCTCTAACCTGACCTTTATTTAAAAAAACAAACAATGGAAACTTACAGTTGTTCTGCAGGAGTTTGTCCAGGGAATCACGCCACTGCAGGGCCTCGTCCAGCGAGGTTCTACATCAATAATAAGGAGAGAAAAGGGGTATGGCGTAAGTAGGCATTGAACCACATGTACCAGCAATAACTACTTCCTGTTTCTCTTAGATGGAAATGATATGACTGCTGGTCTATCCTCAGGACAAGGAAGTTTAAGTTATTTTCTCTCTAACAATTGGGTTTGATGAGCTGGGTTTGCTTTCATACATCTTTATTGCATATCTTCATCTTTTTTGAACATTTTGGTTAGGTCTTTCCCTTTTTAAAAGTAGAGTTCGTTTGACATTAAGCTGTGTCTTGATAGTCTTATGTATCCCATGAAAGTTGTTCCAACTGTGGTCTTTTTTCCAAATATAACTTCATGAAATCCAGTTGTCCCATTACAGAGATTGAACTCCTGTTCTCTGCCTCACCAATACTGCATGTTAACCACCTAACTGAATCAGCAGAGGGCATTGGGGTTCCACATCCACATCCCAAAGCTGTCTAATTAAGGATAGTGGAAGATGTGAGTGTATAATGCTTTCCTTATGTTGGGATTGTGATCATAGCAAATTTACATGTTAAAAACGTAGGCGCATTTTTCCTACCCACTTATAACAGGATCAGACTTTTTTTTAAAGATTTACTCTTTCTAATTTAAAAAAAAAAAGAGTGGTTAATATATCCTGAACAGGAATGTTATACACAAATGCTTGAGATGCTGACTCAAAAGGAGAAGGTTATAGCCAACATATAATTTCTCCTTAGGCTGTTTCTATTTTAACATTTATATATGCAGAAACCCTGAAGCTATTTCATCTCAACCACCAATTTTTCTCTCACAGCAGGATGTGTCAAGTGGAGCTGATATTGTCCGGGAAAAATGGCTGACTGCACACTCTTCGGCTCACCCAGCTCGAACTCTTGCATTATGATGTGAGTTCTTCGTTGCCAAATCAAAACAGACTGACAAAGCATTTACTAGAATATTAAGGCCAGTTTTTCCTAAACTGGAATTTCCTTAGCTCTTAATTTGTTTATCAACTGTCCAGGCAATCAAAAAAAATTCCTGCTTCTAGTTTTTATACAATGATATTTCGGGGGGGGGGGTGGTTAATTATTCAGATTTGCAGCTTTGGTTGATATGACAGCTGCTTGTTCTACTTTTCATTTTGCTGTCCCAGGCGCAGAATCAGCCTCACTTTATTTATGTAAGGAGTCCAAGACGGCAGTAGGTTTTGGGCTAAAGTATTGTGAATAATCCCTTTACTTCTCTATTCCTCATTGCAGAACATGCATCGGTTGTGAGTCCTGATTATATGATTTTTCATAAACTTTCATGTGTTCACTCTTTGCAAGTTAAACTTGCCAAATTGAGGGTAACAAACCTTGTGAAATAATCTTGGGTGATTTCTGTTTTGCTGGCTAGAAATACAGGCATCATAGATGGAAAACATACTGATGCCTCAGAAATTTATTTCTAACACGTGAGCTACCCATCCCTCTTCCCATTTCCTCTGGCTAGTATAAAGGAGCACACAAAGAAAAAAAAATGGCATGAACGGGGTGATTATAATTATGTCTCTATAGCATTCTTGTTCATTTTATTTCTAACCAGAAAAGGACCTATCTACTAGAGGTCAATAACTCCTCTTGGCTCTTTTATATTACTGCAAGTGGAGAACTGTTTTATGTACATATTATTTCATGCCTACATGTTTAGCACAAGGTCTTACACATCTTACCTTCTTCACTATAGTAGGTTCAATATTTTGCACACAATAGACACCCACCAAGTCCCTATTCATTGTTGACAGAAGCAGCAGGACATTAAATTATTAGACAAAAGAAAGTAGCTCAGAGCAAGAGGAAGGCTGATTTACTCACAGGATCTCCTGATTTTATAAATATTCTCATTAAATGAAATCACTTTCCTGCCCCACTTTTCCTCTGGTTAGTATAGAGGAGCAAAGGAAGAAGAAATGACATGAGCAGGTATACCAAACTTAAGCATGTTATCCAATCTGATTTTTCCCAAATGGCCTTGTTGGAACCAGGCTAATGGTCAATAACAGCAGCACATCACAGCCAAGATTAAATTCCTGAAAAGGAAATGTGCAGAGCCCGCTTGGGGGTGAAATTGGTCCAAATTGATTTAAGGGCACAGTCAAGTAGGATACATCCCCCACAGCATGAAGCCCAGCATTTTGATTACCAGCCTAGGAGTTAACAGAGGTTCATCCTGTCCTTATTCTCAGAATTTGCCAGTCCTCATTAGGTCTGACTTCATTGGAAACAAGATAGATGCAGATCTAAATGACCAATAAATGTTCTGGTTTGCAAGGTCATAGCTGACCACAGAGGATGGGTATGGAGTTTCTGTGCGTGGGAGTGTGGGGGAGAGAGAGAAAGCTATTTCAAATGAAACTCAAAATAAACATTTATAGAGATGATTAACCACATGTTTTATAATGCCTAGTATAAATGCCACCTGGCCCAGGAAGTGGCCATCTCTGCTGGAAGCGCTGTCTCTCTTTTTACTCTACTCTTACCACTTTTACTCACTGAATCTCTCACATGACAATGAGGCACTCACTGCCGAAGGGTATAGGTTGTCATGCACAGAGAACTTTTCCCATTTCACCCTATCCTGTGGTGTACCCTTACAGCATCAATCCACCTTGCAATAAATGTGTGTCAGATTAATAAGTAAATGAATGATGGTTTTGCCTTGAGTTAGCCTGGCTGATGAAAGCCACAAATAACCCCAAACTCAGATTTTAATGACCAGTCCCATGAACCATTATTACTGCTATTGGCAATGCTGGCACTTACTAGCTATAACCTCAAGTGCCTGTGGTTGGGTTTTTTGTTTGTTTTTGTTTTTTGTATTGTTTTGGTTTGATTTGGTTTTTAATCTGCGCAGTGCCTGGCACATACTTAAATGTCTTAAAAATGTTCTTACACATTGGTGCTCTTAACAAGGAAAAGAAAATTCAAGTTATTTACTGTCAATTAGATGTGCCTAGTCCCCTCTCCCTTCCTGCCCAACAGTACAGTCTGCTCATGACCAGGCTCAAGTTTATGAGCATTTATTGAGCCCTTACCTGATAACCAGTGGTGACCTGGGCATCACGGTTGGGCATACAGACTTAAGAACAAGCAAAACATGTCATTTTTTGACATCCATATGCGGGCCTGAAATTGTACATAGATCTTTAGTACTCACAACCAGGCTCATCCTAACCAGGTGAGCGTATGCAGGACAACTTTCTGTAACTGTTTTCCACTAGCACAGGCTAGGTACTGTTTATGTGTGGAGGTCATTCTTTAGTATAAAATGATCACTACAACAACAAACCAGAAAAAGGGGTTAAAAATTGCTGACATAGGCAGGGGAAAGGGAGACATTTATAATATAAAATAAGCTATATGAATATCTATATCAGCTCCTAACATTTTACAATTGATGATTTTGTAAGCCATGATAACAGTTATCACAAACTAAACCTATGTGGTTGGCTAATGTTGTCTATTGTTTCTCAGGAGGACCTACAGCAGAGCCTTAAGGAATGCTCACATCCAGAGGGTGAGCAACAGTGGGAGCACTTAGAGAAAGAGAAGGCAGGTGGGGAATGCGGGACTAGAAGTTAAGGAAGAGAGTTTTAAGAGTAGGTCAACTGGGCTGGGCGTGGTGGCTCACGCCTGTAATCCCAGCACTTTGGGAGGCCGAGGTGGGCAGATCACCTGAGGTCAGGTGTTCGAGACCAGCCTGACCAACATGGAGAAACCCTGTCTCTACTAAAAAATACAAAATTAGCCGGGCGTGGTGGCACATGCCTGTAATCCCAGCTACTCAGGAGGCTGAGGCAGGAGAATCGCTTGAACCCGGGAGGTGGAGGTTGCGGTGAGCTGAGATCATGCCATTGCACTCCAGCCTGGGCAAAAGAGCGAAATTCCGTCTCAAAAAAAAAACAAAAAAAAAACAGTAGGTCAACTGGTGAACTGTCAAATGCTGCAGACAAGTCACAGATGGGGCCTTAGAAACAACAGTTCGGGTGAGGTAGTAAGGTTGAAGCTGGTTAAGAAGGAGATACAGAAAAGACTGAAAGCCATGAGTACAGACTTCTGTTTCTACAGTTAGTCAGTAAAAGTAAGAGAAAGGCATAGAAGCAGGAGAGAAAGGCGGGAAGAGAATTTTTCAGCATGGAACATGGGTACCTGTTTGCTCCTGGGGAAGAGGGTCCACAGGGAAAAAGGGCTACTAAAAGTGCAAAAAGGGGAACAGAGCTGTCTTTAGGGGGTAGGAATATAAGCACTTATTTGTTTTTCTCAATGGTCCATTTTTGTTTTTAAAAGTGAGAACTCAAAAATACATGTTAAAAAATAGAAAATACTTTTAAAAAAACGGATTCTACTGATGTCAGTAACCCAAAGAATATGAGAAGGGTTAAAAATACCTCCAATCAAGAGAAGAATTATTTTCCCCTCTGAAAGAAGAACATGAGTTAAAAATACAGAGAAATTTTAAAGTGAGAGAAGAGAGAGAGAGATGGAGCTTATGCAGAACACAGTATTTCCTGTCAGATAAATGGCATAGAAAGTTGCCAAACATGAGGAGGTGGGATGGGGTCTGTGGATTCAGAAGAGAGTGGGAAACTTTTTTATTGGTCACTGTTGAAAATGCAATAGATACAGAATTATTCTCTAGGGATATGAAGGAATTTTCCAAAACAATTTAGGCTTCTGGAGGAAGAAAGGGGATGGAAGACAAGAGAAGTAAATAATCCAATAAATGGTCAGCCCCAGGGTTTCTTCCAGAACAGCTTCTCTCTGAATCCCTTTTAATCTCAACAGTTTAAGGGTCTATGTGAATGTTAAAGCAGAGATTTAAAGCAGGAAATGTAGAACTCTATTTTTTTAAAGTTAATACCAACGGATCAATAAATTGTCACATTGTTTACTTCAAAATAGATGTTTTGATCTGTTGCTGCTATGAAATGTGGTTCTTATTCTCCACTACCGCTTGGTGCCTGCTGCTCCACACTGAATTAGCTTCTCCTTTTCAAATGCAGAAAACGCAATTATGCCTCACTTCCTGTTTAGAATCACTTTGAAGTAATAAAAAAAGGAGGAATGGAAATATTCACTTAGGCTAATGGAAAAAGATTAAAAAAAGAGAAAGAATAACTCATCTCTTTATCTCCCAATCAATCCAGCTATGGTAAGTTGAGGTCATTTGGACAAAGGACAGGCTGGCCAATTTACACAAATATTCCATTTAAAAAGAGAAATGGAGGTTAAAGGGACTCCTATATTTTTACCACACTTCTGTGATATCCTCAAAGCTCTAAGATAGCAGAGCGAAGGAATTTGAATGCCTTGGCCTTTTCTTCTTCCCATTTTCCTTTCTTGATTTTTCATGGATATCTCTGTTTTAATGGGAAGATGGAGTGTATCTGTCTAGGTAGTGACAGTCTCTGCAGCTAGCAGGGATGATGATGAACGATGGGAATGCTGGGAGTCGTGTTCCTGAGTTAAAGCGGGGCCAATGCACACTGTGAGACCTGGATTCACTGCCATAACATCATGACTCTTTAGAAGTAATAGTTCCCTAGGATGCCTAAATTGACAGGAGGAATGTGTAGGGAGAGGAGAATGGGGATGAGGGAGGATTGCAGAAATCCAATCAAGAATATTAATTTATGAATTGGGAAAAATACCTGGTGTACATTAAATAGAAATAGCTAGTCCAGTATTCGTTCTTCACTTAAGTAACAGACTTTGTTCCTCTGTTGGAACTTGAGGGGCACTATCTTGGAGAAGGAACGATTAGGCTGAAATTGTCTGCCTTGTCCTTAGTATCTTTCTGAGGGAAATGTTCTCACATCACCCTGCTGAGGAAGCAGCTTTAGATAGTTCATCAGCAGGTAAGCATCCAGGGCTCATAATTAACTGGATCAGGAGTGGTTACCAAGGCAGTAAATGAGCAGGTATTTTTACCACACTGCTGTAGTGGCTGGTATCATTTTATAAGTATGGTCTGTCTATTTTATAAGTATGTCTGTCTCTCAAAAATAAGGCAGAGTCTTATCTTTTATTTTTTATGTATTCTGCCTGTATTCAATAAGATGCTCCAGACATGAGATAGTTGAGAAAAAAAAAAAGAGCTTCTTTGCAAACCAACTCTCTGAGGGCTCTTATGATCCTTAATGAGTAATTGAAGGGGGTAGTTCTACAGATGAGGAATGGTGCTAAACACTTGGAAAATAGCCATCCTCTGGAGGAAATGAGTGGAATCCATATTCATGACTCACTTCTGGGTCTTGGCTGGTTTCTCTGGCTTCTCATTGTACGGAATGACAAGGTCACCAACTGAGTCTGGCTTCTGGAGGAGAATTCCCAACTTGATCTTAATCTCCTTGGCCCTGAAAGAAGAGACACAAGGGGAAATGAGGACACCACATGTGCATACAGATTTTAAGAAGAGATTTCTTCCTGTGTCAGAGAAACAAAAATGAACAAAATCCCATTTCACTTTTATTTTTCTTGTGGCAGAAAGAATACTAATGCAGAAATTAGGATATATAAGTTCTAATAAATAGCATTTATCAAGCTCTTAGTATGTCCTTCATTAATTTGCACTACATTTTAATCCTCATTATTGTTTTATATGTGTTCTCTCATTTTATATCTGCAGACACTATAGTACTATTTCCATTTTGCAGATGAGGTCACGGAATGACAGGAGTTTAAATAACTTAAGATAACCCAGCCAGTATTTGGTGGAGACAGATGTGAGCCCAAGCTGTCTGATGCTAGAGTTCCCAGGTAGAACTCTGCATGCATTGCCTACTAGTCTTCTGAGGGCTCTGGTCTTCACTATTGTTAGATATATGACATTTGGAAAAAATGATCACTTTTTTTTATTATTATTATACTTTAAGTTTTAGGGTACCTGTGCACAACATGCAGGTTTGTTACATATGTATACATGTACCATGTTGGTGTGCTGCACCCATCAACTCGTCATTTAGCATTAGGTATATCTCCCAATGCTATCCCTCCCCCCTCCCCCTACCCCACAACAGTCCCTGGTGTGTGATGTTCCTCTTCCTGTGTCCATGTGTTCTCATTGTTCAATTCCCACCTATGAGTGAGAACATGTGCTGTTTGGTTTTTTGTCCTTGCAATAGTTTGCTGAGAATGATGGTTTCCAGCTTCATCCAGGTCCCTACAAAGGACATGAACTCATCATTTTTTATGGCTGCATAGTATTCCATGGTGTATATGTGCCACATTTTCTTAATCCAGTCTATCATTGTTGGACATTTGGGTTGGTTCCAAGTCTTTGCTATTGTGAATAGTGCCACAATAAACATATGTGTGCATGTGTCTTTATAGCAGCATGATTTATAATCCTTTGGGTATATACCCAGTAATAGGATGGCTGGGTCAAATGGTATTTCTAGTTCTAGATCCCTGAGGAATCGCCACACTGACTTCCACAATGGTTGAACTAGTTTACAGTCTCACCAACAGTGTAAAAGTGTTCCTATTTCTCCACATCCTCTCCAGCACCTGTTGTTTCCTGACTTTTTGATGATCGCCATTCTAACTGGTGTGAGATGGTATCTCACTGTGGTTTTGATTTGCATTTCTCTGATGGCCAGTGATGATGAGCATTTTTTCATGTGTTTTTTGGCTGCATAAATATCTTCTTTTGAGAAGTAAAATGACCACTTTTTACTGCCAGACCTCAGTTCCCTCATCTGTAAAATGATGACGTTATCCATCATTTTAGATGTTTTTTGAGCTATTTCCAGCTATAAAATTAAATCATTCCACTTGATTATTTATTTCTCTATAAAATTTTTGTTTCCAACTCCTTATCCATTGTTCTCTATGGCTGTCAGACTATCTTATGTGCAGTAAGCCTTGATAAATGAGTACTAATTGCCAAACAACAAACTACAGCAGAATTTACTGCTTCTTTGTATCTTCAGTATTTTAGTGAGTAGATATGGTCAGAATTCTGGGTACTCCTCCATCACGGGATGCAACTATTTTCACGCTCAGTTTTAAAACTAACCTTCTAATCTATCCATCACTTTATCACAATTCTATACTAGAAAAGCACCAGGCAAATCTTAAATATTAATCCATAGGACAAGTTGTTGAATATTGGGAGACCCAAAAAGCTACCCTTTCCCAGTCACCTTAGCACTTTACCCATGCTTTTAAGACAGGGTTCATCATATTGCATTATGGTCATTGACTTATGTTTCTGTTTTTCTACTTGGATATGAGAACTTTTTGATGGTAGGAATTTAGTCTTAAATACTTTTTAACCCCTGTGCCTAGCACAATGCTTGGCAATATAGTAAACATTTAAAAATATTTGCCAAAGTGAACTAAAAATATCTTGATTTTGTTCTTTACAAATCTGCTAACATTTACCTCCCAGTCAATGCTAATCATAACCAAAGTTTTAAAGAGATGTGGTGAAGTTCACATGGCAGCCAAATAGGATTTTACTATTGTACACATACTTTCCTCATTTGTTCACAGGGAGGCTGTGATGAGGCAATTTAAGTAAATGCCTAAGATTTGCAGTTACGGATATTAGGGAAAAAAAATGTAAGGAAACCTGTGGTAACTTATAAAAACTCCATAAATGCCTAATTATAACATATTTTCCTTTAGGCTAGTAAATATGGTTTTGAAAACTATGTTTTAGGAACAGTCATCTCTACAGTGTCATTTCCTTTTCATTTTGTTCTGCTTTCACTCTTTCCCTAAGACCCTCTCATTGACTAAAGCCAACTCAGGTCCCATAGTACCTCAGATCAAGCTCAGCACGGCATTAGGGTAAAAACTGGGACTGTTCTGCCGAGGGAGCTTATATAACATTGTGAATTAGAATAAGTGTCGCTTTAATTCCAAGTGTTGCAAGTTACTTAAATTATCTAATGTTTAGTTCTTTTGCCTAGAAATTTGGACTGATAAAATAGTATATCCTAAGACTTTTTGAGATGATTAAATATACTAATGCATGTGAGTCACTTAGCACAGCATTTGGCATAGAACACGGCTTCTTTAAAGTTAGTTCTAACTACACAATCATTTTTCCAACCCACCGCCCATGTTCCCTAGCTTCGAACATTACATTGAAACATACAAAAAATTCCCCGCAAGTTACTAAGGAATTACTACACCCACAACCTTCTATATTCTACCTCTGGGGACAAGAATTGCCAATTTTATATTTATCTGAAAAATGAAGAAAACATTAAGTGGGGAGGAGAAATGCATGCAATATTTGTGGCTACCCTCTGCTGACTAATGTGCAGTATTACAGTCAGAGATGCAAGGTGCACTAGGACACAGTATCCCACCCAGTCCGTGAAAACCTTCATCCATAATCCATATCCTCCTGGCTCCATAGGTCCCTCCCTTCCTGTGCACCCATCTGTGGAATCCATGCTGCAACTGTTTTCAGTTTCAACCTTGACACAATAGTCCACTCACCAATATTTAGATAACAATGATGTAATGAAAGTCTCTCATGTTTAGGTTTCTGTTTGGTTGGTTGTTTTGGTTTTAACTTTATCCCCCCTCTCAAATTTAGTTCCTTTTTTTTCTATTTCTTGCTCCATTTGAGCCTTTTGCTTTTGTAAAAGGCAGAAAAATATTTGTGTTTGATTTCCTGATGCAAGAATAATAGTTGGAGATTAAGGGATAATTAGAACAAAGAAATCGAATGTATGTAAAAGAATTATTAGTGACTTAATTCATTTATTCCTTACTGATTAACTCATTGGTCATGTTTACTGTGTCAGGCAGTATGCAGTAAATATACAAACACCATTAGGTTTGCTCCTTGCTTTCAAGGTGCTTTTAGCCCGGAGAGGTCTTAGATGTGGAAACAATCACAAACGGGTGCTTAAAGACAGACTGTCCAGAAAGCAGCAGAACTCTCACAGAGGAGCACCAGTGTCCACAACGGTAGATCAGGGGGAACTTCTCAGAGGAGGCAAATGTGGAACTAGAGAATGAGCAGCAGTCAGTCAGTTGGGCTAGAAAAGAATGAGCGTTCCAGAGGGAAGGGTGGGTGCGTGTTATTTTAAGGGATGTAAAAGTAGTTTGTACTGCAAGAGGGTGAAATGTGAGACAGCAGAAAGCCCATTCAAAGAAGTTACTCTGCTTCCCTTCCAGATAGAGGGATGGATGTTGGAGGGACCTCTATACAGTACCTAGCTTGCAGCAAAGTTGGTATGAAAACAAACAAGAGATAAAACTATTGAAAAGCGCCTTTCAAAAACTGTCTGTATTTAAAGACGTGGCATCCTATCATATGAACACAATGTATCTCACATTTTCTTTTACTATTTCAGAATGCATTTTCTGTGAAAACACCATTTATAAATGGTAGTTAAATGCTCAAGACATACCACAAAATCCTTTTAAAACCAGGATGAATCAGTACCCTACTACTATTTTATCTATATCACTGCTTAAATAGAGTTTTTTGTGGAATGATCTAGAAATCAACTATCATTTATAACATTGCCAAGAGAAAATCGTATTCCATTTCTTCAGAGCAGACTAACATACCAGAACATCAGGTTACTCTTTTCCTCATATTTGCCCTGGAAATGTAAGGGAGAAAAGATATTCAGTGCTTTGGAAAACACTTCTTTCTATGGCTTCAGTTTCTGGCTTGGTATAGGCTCAAGTATAGAGCATTATAAAGTTAAGAGTATTTAAGTTGTGAAGTCTATTAAATTTAATTAGGAGTTCATTGTTCAGGGAATGACTAATGTTATTGCATTTCTGCTCATACAACAGTAAAGTTTAAAGGCCGAGGAGCTGAGAAATGCTGAAGTTCAAATCACTTTAAACATTGCACTCTTTTCACAAGACTAAATAATGTTAGATTTGTTTTACTCCTCAAGAATCCCTGGAATATTATTTCATCCCCCGTTTCCCTTTCCTCCCTACCATAGCCTCACAGACATATGAAAATAAAACAAACCAAATGAAAAATTCAAACAAAACAATAGCTCCAGCTTACCAAACTATTTTCCCTTTATAGATAAACTTGAATGTATCTGACATTAATTTGGCATCAAAAACAACACCATCCAGAGAAGATAATTTTCTAATTTGTTTACAATTTCCTGCTTGGTCTCGGGCTCTATTTGACTGCACACTAGACATTTTTTCCTGGCCACATTACATTAATGCTCATTAACAAGAAACTATTTTTATCTCCTGTCATCTCTCTTCCTCCTCTTGTTATTCTTTTGTTTTACAAAGAAAAACTTGTTTTGAAATAAAATCAATTGAAAATGCTTGAGTTAAAGTTTAATTAAAGGCTCAGAGGAAGATAATTCTTTGTCTAGATGACTCACATTAGTGATTCCAAACTGAAAACGGTTTGAATAATTCTGGGGCTTTGCAGTTTTAAATCTGCTCCCTGTGTGGGTATGCTGGCTGGCTGGGAAGTCAAAACTCAAAAGGCCACGGACCACCTCAGTCCTTCCTGCTAGTGCGTGAATTTAATGGGTTATCACCTTAAGATGCATAAGTGTGGAAAACCAGCACAAGCAATCACTAAAAACAGAAACATGGTTAAATTTTGAGAAATACAATTATATTCCACCAGAATGTGTGAAGAACCAATTATATATAAAATCTTATACTAGGTGTTTCAAGGGTTACAGAGTTGTTTCTCGCTTCAGAGACACTTGGAACAATTGAATATAAAACACATATATGTAAACTGTATAGCAGATATTTTTCCAATCACTGATGAAGGTAGGTGGAGTATAAAAACAAAAGAACGTAGGCCTGGCACAGTGGCTCATGCCTGTAATCCCAGCACTTTAGGAGGCCGAGGTGGGTGGATCATGAGGTCACGCATTCAAGACCAGCCTGGCCAAGATGGTGAAACCCCATCTCTACTGAAAATACAAAAAAAATTAGCCAAGCGTGGTGGCAGGCACCTGTAATCCCAACTACTCGGGAGGCTGAGGCAGAGAATTGCTTGAACCCAGGAGGTGGAGGTTGCAGTAAGCCAAGATCATGCCGCTGCACTCCAGCCTGGACAACAGAGCAAGACTCCATCTCTAAATAAATAAATAAACAAACAAACAAACATAGACTGTAACCTCAAGGAGCCCTAACTTCCCAATGTGCAATGGGAGATATTATATACCTAAAAACTGCTCCTAATATATCCTCAGAGCCCTCTGAATTTTCCATTCATGGCATTTTTCAATTGGCATTTATATCTCCATATGTATATGTATATGCGAATATTGTCTATCTCTCCCATTAAAGTGTCAGGTCCCCAAGAGCAGAGTGAACATTTGTTTAGTTCACAATTACAGCTTCAGCACTTAGCACAGGGCCTGGCATTTAATAGCATTCAATAAAGATTTGCCATGTAAATTGATGAATGAGCAAATGAATGAATGAACTGAATTGCTAGGTTATAGTAAAGCTGCATTTTGGGGTGGAGTAGGTGAAATATTGGAGTGCAGCTTAGAATGAGTCACGGAGGACTAAGATGTCTCTAATTTGCTAACTGGACAGAGGTAACACCATTAAATGACTATAAGCACTATAAAGTAAGTGAATTCAATTTCTGTCCTTGAAAGAGATTGAGAATGGTCAAGTGGGGCATTTAGTTCCTCATATTATATAGGACATATGCTGATGAGAAGAGGCAGGGAGGATAATTGCAATCACTAGCAATCTGAAAAGAATCAATTATAAGACCATAATTTTTCAGGATTTAAAAGAAACAGAAGTAGCCCTGGGGCATAGGCTATTCCTGTGGTTGAAAGGCTTTCGGCAATCACAAACAGGTTTCGCTGTAGACGCCAGACATATGTCAGGAACAGCGAGAAGGAAGAAGAGAGGGAGGAGAGTTGAGAAGCATAAGGCAAGATTTTTACAACACATTTCCAAAAGAGGTGTCCTAACATCGGATAATCCAATTTAAATTCAATGCAATTTAAATCCGTGTCGCAGATGCCCCCTGCTGGCTGTGGGAAGGCGTGAGCATTAGCAAAGAACTGAGCAAAGAGCAGATTGGTTCCAGGCTGCTTCCTTCTGAAGAAACACTACGAGGTTTCTTTCCACGGACTAAAAAGAACATGTCTGGAATAGATACCCAGGAAAGAGAAACACAAGCTTCTAAAACACTCGCTAGCCGTCAATGTCCACAGCCGAGAGTAAGACATTTGCCGGATTAGAGACCAGAGGAGAGAGGAGCTCCTCTGAGTTCCGTGCAGCTGAGAACTAATCTGAGAGGTAGAACCCAGCAGAGACTGACAGAGGGAAGAGGGCCCAGAGGGTCCCTGCGCGGGCCTATCAAGAGGGAGAATGCATTTTGCTGAAAGCTGGAACAGCTTTCTTCCTGGCTGCTCATTTAAAACTTCATATCAGTGGAGTTTGCTCCTTGTAGGTGGCTCCGAGACAGGGTAATGGATGATCTTGAAAACCCTTAGCGGGAGTATAAGAATATGCTAGTGGAAAGTCGGCTCAGTTCTGGGGCTGAAATCCTCAACTTGCCAGGATCCTCAGCATGGCCCCTAAAATCAAGATGGACTCTTAACTGCAGAGAAAGGCAGTGCCGGGTGATTGTGGTGGAAAGAATCTATCATTTTGGCATCTACCATCTACCCTATTTCTGAATTTACCTACTTCAGTTTGAACTACAGAAAATTCACTCATTGCTTGTGCTTTAACAGCATATGAAAGAGAAGTTTAGTAATAGTGTGATATCATGTTAAAACATGTATTTATTTTCTTACTTGATTTATATAATTAATATATGATACATGATGGAAAATGACTCTATGGTTAGTTAATATGAAATACTCCTCGGGTGCTCCAAATGATAAAAAGGTGAAGAAAATGCTAAGGAATATATAGTAGTAGTAGTATTAATGTGTTATGATATGACTTCAGAAATGAAAGCTCTGTTTCTAAACACAAGTGAATCATTCCCTAGCAGTGTTTTAGGCTTTCACTCATATTAGTGATTAATTACATAATAAGCCCCTTCAAACTATAAGATGGCTGAAAAGATGGAACTGACAATGTCATTTGTGTCAAATATATTCACAGAAAGCACGTTTATCTATTATACCCTTTCAACTCTTGATATGTTCTAACGTTTCCCTTCAGCAGATTGTCTTAATAACAACTCTTTTCATTTTTATGTTCAAGCTGTTACCTCAGCTACCCCAGGTTAGCTCATTTTCAGTAAGGGACCATCACAAGTAACCTGCAGTAACAGACTAGGAAGTCTCCCAGGGTTCTTGTTTAAATAAGCTGACTTAATTTCTTAGGACCATGGTGGACAGAGAAAAGCCTGTGCAGGCCGGGTGCAGTGGCCCACGCCTGTAATCCCATCACTTTGGGAGGGCAAGGCGGGCAGATCACCTGAGGTTGGGAGTTCGACACCAGCCTGACCAACATGGTGAAACCCCGTCTCTACTAAAAATACAAAATTAGCCATGAGTGGTGGTGCATGCCTGCAATCCCAGCTACTCCAGAGGCTGAGGCAGGAGAATCCCTTGAACCCAGGAGGTGGAGGTTGTGGTGAGCTGAGATCACGCCATTGCACTCCAGTCTGGGCAACAAGAGTGAAACTCAGTCTCAAAAAAAAAAAAGAAAAGAAAAAAAGAAAAAGAAAACCCTGTGCAGCCTCTCCTTTTGTTCACTTATTTATTCAACAAATTAAAAGTATGTTTACTGAATGCCTACCACATGATGTACGCTATAATATGTTTTGATATTTTCAACGAAATAAAAAAGATAAGGTCCTCTCATTGAGTTTATGTTTAAATTGGGCAAGACAGATACAAAACAAGAAATGAAAAACAATGAAATAAAAAATTTTAGCTGGTTGTAATCACTACAATATGACATGATGTATGTCATAGTTAATTCAGCTACTTGACCTAATCAAGCATTCACATCTCAACAGTGGTCAGCAAACTCTTTAGAAAGACCATGCTCCAAAGGTGGCTGCTGTAGCTGCCTCAGCTATCCCTATAGAGATCGAAATCAGATGCTTTGCCAACTAGCAGGACGCGTGCTAGAAGTGAGTGTTTACACGTAGGCTTGTTCATTAGATAATGGGCTCTCCAGTCACAATAATATTCAAGTTATTTGGACTTGTGACACTATTGTGGAAACCCCCACCCATTCCATAGAAAGGTTTTGAAAATGTAATTCACTCTTAACCCTTAGAGATGGCACCTGTGGCTTGATTCCCACAAAGTCCTCTATCCAGACATTGATGCTAAGATTTCTTGTTGCCTGATATCAACTAAAAGATATTAGAATCCCAGCTTAGAATATTATTGTATCTGAGCAAACCCTTCATACAAGGTGTAGTCAGGGCAGAAAGAACTAGGACTTTATTGAGATTATAGAATAAGTCATACAAACATTTTACATGAGCTTGTTAATAAGTATTTGTCCAAAAAGTATGGCACAGTTGGATTTCATTATGCATAGGGTGGTCTTGCTTTCATAAACCTGGCCCTACTTGTTGGGCATCCTCTTCTTCAGTCACCTGGGGGAGAAACACACTTTATCTCCCAGATCCCTGATATATCCAAGTGTGGAGGACCACATGAGGTCACCAGACTTTCATTTAATCATACAATTCCTTAATCTAGGTGCAAGGACTCCACCCATGATCACGCAGTCACCCCTCTCCACGGCAAACACGCAGAAAACAAGTGATCTGTAGCAACTCTTAAAGATAATAATAATAGCTTAAATACATATTAATGTATCGGGTGTTAATGCATATATTCCTCCACATGTAATTTTTCCTCTTTAAAGACTGTTGCCAGGCATTTCATGCTTTCTTGCCTCTGAGGGAGTTGTGTTGTGACGTCAAAAGCAAATGATAATTGACAAGAGTATCCCATTTTGGTATTTGTTTTCCAAAACCCCAAAATCACTGAGATACGCCAGCTTGTTCCCAGAGAGAAGGAGTGAAAGACTACTGTGTTTGATGAGTGGCAAAGAAAGAAACAGAAAGCCTGAGCATGGTGGCTCATGCCTGTGATCCCAGCACTTTAGGAGGCCAAGGCGGGTGGATCACCTGAGGTCAGGAATTCAAGACCAGCCTAGACAACATGGTGAACACTCCCCGCCGTCTCTTCTAAAAATACAAAAAAATTAGCCAGGCGTGGTGGTACGTGCCTGTAGTCCCAGCTACTAGGGAAGCTGAGGCACAAGAATAGCTTGAACTTGGGAGATGGAGGTTGCAGTGAACTGAGATGGTGCCACTGCACTTGGGCCTAGAAAACAAAAGGGAGACTCTGTCTCAAAAGAATTTTTAAAAAATTAAAAATTTAAAAATAAATAAATAAAAGAAGCAGAAAAATAGGGAAAAGAGAGAATCCCTGAGAAAATGTCAGAGGACAGGGATTTAGGGTTCTATAACTAATCAAATCCTCATCTTCTCTAGCCACTTATGCATTTTCAGGAGTCCAGGGAGGTGGTAGGAGCACAGAAGGGTACAACAATGTAGTACGCCTAATGAGACTTGATCCTAAAAGCACCAGGGTTCCTACCCTTAACCAAGACGATACCTAAACCCACACAAGGGGCTCTAGCTTCAAGAGATTATGAAGCTTCGAACAAGAAACTGATAAATAATGATGCATTTATAAATTTTCAAAACCCAGCCATCTATAAGCATGAAAGGCCCCTACCCCAGCACACACACATACACACACACAAAGATTGCTTAAACTTAAACAGGAAGTGTTCAGGAGAACTTACCATAAAATGGTGATGAAACCATGGAAATCGTGAACAATAAATGTGGTGAAGTTTCCATTACAGAAGAAAAGTCATCAAGAAAAGACTAGCAACCAGCTGTTTTGGATAACTAAGTCATATGACCACCTGGATCTGTCCAAGCAATATCATAAGATACTTTCCAGATCCCTATTCTATTACTACAGTCAAAAGTAACGTGTTGAATTGTGTTAAATCTTCCCCACATTTGAGAGAGACAATGTCCAACTCCCAACTGTGGCAAAAATCCTGTCTCAGATTATGTAACTGGAAGCTTGTAAAGCAAATACGATACACGTTAAAAAGACTGTTCCTAGAGAGAAAGTCAAGTGGAACATTGAACTCTTAGAAAATCCAATTAATACCAAAACTAAACTCTTGTTTTCTTAAAGCAAGAGACAGAATGACATAGTGGTAAAGGGCCTGGATATTGGAGGCAAACTGCCCCGATTCATCTTACTACATGTGTGACTTTTGGCAAGTTTTTAAACCTTACCTTGCCTTAGTTTTCTCATCTGTAAAATGAAGATAATAATGGTATCTATTTCATAAGCCTCTTGTGATTAAGTGAGTTACTATATGTGAAACACTAATATTAGTGCCCAGCACATGTACTATGGTACTCCATAAGTGGCAAGGTTTATTATTATTATTACTTACAGAAAGTCCTGTGCCAATGAAGGAAACTGTCCAGATTATTAACAGAAAAAAATGACAGCTGTCAACATAGAACGTAACATAGAGCATAACAATTGGAAATAGAGAAAAACAGAACAAAACAGTACAACAGGAAAAGATTTGCCCTTGACTAAATCCTATTATCAACTTAGTCAGTACTTTTATGGGTGATCTTGAATATGTTATTTGAGCTCTCCTGTTTTCTGCCAAAAAAGAAAAGGTAGAAAAAGAGAAAGGGAGAAAGGAAATAAGTTTAGTGAGAAAACCTCTAATAGCTCCTCCAGCTATAAAAAATTAAGATTTCAAGAGGATCACATTCAATATATTTACTATATAAATGAGAGCAATCAAGGACCTGAGGTGTTCAATGCCTTGTGAATGGCACCATGTATTCCTTTTTACTCAACCCTTCTTCCCAATATCCCATTTTTATGTAACTGTAATATTCTCCTTACTCTCATAATTTATAAATGCTCCAATCTACATTATTTAGACTTTCTTCTTCATTGCCAATAGCTAATCTGTCACAAGTGTTTTTCTGTCTTCCCAGAAAATCCTTTTATTTTTATTTTTTGAGACAGGGTCTCACTCTGTCACCCAGATTGGAGTGCAGTGGCATGATATTGGCTCACTGCAGCCTCCACCTCCTGGGCTCAACCAATTCTTCTAACTTTTGTATTAATATTTTTTGTAGAGATGGCATTTTGCCATGTTGCCCAGTCTGGTCTCAAATGCCTGAGCTCAGATGATCCACCCGCCTCGGCCTCCTCAAGTGCTGGAATTACAGGTGTGAACCGCTGCGCCCAGACAAGGAAATCCTGTTAAATGTGTCCTTGCTTCTTCATACCTATATTTACCACCCTTCTCCAGGTCTGAATTACTGTAACATCCCACCTGCCCATTTTCCTCTTCCTATTGCAGTGCCTTCAGCACTCCCTATCAGACCAGCCTTGCAGAGACAATTTCCTCCTCACCTATAATGGTTCTCTGTGTTAACCACAGTAGTTCTCAAACTTCAGTGTACACCCAAATCACTTGGAGGCCTGGTTAAAACACAGAGAGCTGGGCTCCACCCCAAAGTTTCTTTATTCCCACGTTTTTTGGGTGTACAATTGTGCGAGTTTTAACACACAGATTATTGCTACAGTTAGGATACAGAACAATTCTGTCACCCCAGAAATTCCCTCATGCTGCCCCTTTGTAATAAAGCCCTTACCCTGTTTTTTTTTTTTTTTTTTTTTTTTTTGAGACGGAGTCTCGCTCTGTTGCCCAGGCTGGAGTGCAGTGGTGTAATCTCGTCTCACTGCAAGCTGCGCCTCCCGGGTTCACGCCATTCTCCTGCCTCAGCCTCCCGAGTAGCTTGGACTACAGGTGCCCGTCACTACGCCCGGCTAATTTTTTGTATTTTTAGTAGAGACGGGGTTACACCGCGTTAGCGAGGATGGTCTCGATATCCCGACCTCGTGATCCTCCCGCCTCCGCCTCCCAAAGTGCTGGTATTACAGGCGTGAGCCACCGCGCCCGCCCCCCTGTTCTTATCCCTAGCAACCGCTGATCTGTTCTCCATCCTTATAGTTTTGTTTTTTCTCATATACATAAGATCATATGGTATGCAACCTTTGCCTCTGGCTTTTCTTCATTCAGGAGGTCTGAGGTGGGGTTTGAGGATTCACATCTCTGGTTCAGGACCACACTTTGAGAACCACTGATCTACCATATCTACTTCAAACATCACTTTCTGCCTTCTAACATCCTCAGCTGCTAACCTTATTTCCCATTATTCTCCACAACCACATGTACACCTACTCCTGTTGCCCTCCTCAGTATCTCCCAAGCACACCATCTTTTTCTCCCTCCACCTCTATGCCAGTTTAATACT
Source organism: Homo sapiens (assembly GCF_000001405.40). NCBI lineage: Eukaryota > Metazoa > Chordata > Mammalia > Primates > Hominidae > Homo > Homo sapiens. The sequence goes on from NC_000001.11 coordinate 163,181,346, forward strand.
CCAGGATCAGAACAAGTCTCACTCTTTTCTTGAAACCTCTGTAACTACTCCATCCCAGACTGCTTTCTCTCTTATCTACTATAAAATTACAAAACAGAGGCATATTTAAGGGGCCTCAGGGAGCTTTTAATTTGCATCCCCCCATTTTAAAAGTGGAAAAACTGAGATTCACAGAAATTAAAAGATGTTTCCAAGTTCTCGTGGCCAGTAAGTTACAGAGCAAAGAACAGAACACATTTCTTCTTCTCAAGTTATGGATAGCACGTTTTCACGGAATGACTCTAGCTTTTTGTAAATGTATACCTAAGAGTCCCATATGTATGTACTCCCAGTTAGATAGCAAGCTCCTTGAGGATGGGTGCCTTGTCTTACTTCCTTGGTCTCCCCAAGGAAGACCAAGGAAGGTTATTTTAAATAACCTTAAAAATAACTAAGTACCGTAAAGTTGCTTTAACTCTTAGGATGACATAGATGATAAGACCACAGCTCCGCACTGCTTGGGTTTATATTCCAACTCTTACTTACCAGCAGAGTGACATTGGACAAATTAAATTCCAACCCTTAATTTAAATTCCGACCCTTCATTTTTCTATGTAAAAATGGTGATAATAGAATTTCTAACTCATAGATATGTTGCGATGCTAAATAAGTTAATGCATTAATAGGTTTAGCATGGAACTTGGTGTATAGTATTATAAATACTCAATAAATGTTACCTATTATTATTATTGTCACTATCATATTTGTCCTATCCCTATCACCGTATCTTGCATGTATGTGTTGATTAATAATATGTTAATTGAATGGATAAATGGATAGGATAGGATAGGATAGGCTCAAGAAAGATCTATTTGACTAGCATTCAAGGTAAACTCCTTTCAGAAGATTTCCACCTCATAATAATGCAACCAATTCTGATAGCAAAGAGAAGATACACTGCTGGCCTCTTCATTGGGAACTCCTATGGAGTGACAAAGAAAGCAAGTGTGGAGACCTCCACTGCTGCCTAGTTCAGCTCAATTACATTGTATTATCACCTCCCTGGTGCTGTCATTTTACTTTAGTTTTTAAAAGAGTATTGTTTTTCCCAAGTACTGGCCACTCCCTACTCAAGGATTCCCGTGGAAATTGAGATATTTCCCATGCTTTTCTGGGCTGTCTCTGACATGCTATCCCTCAGAGTAGGTTACTGGGGGTAAGGAAGGAGACAGTGGAAGGACAAGACCAACAAGACAGAAACAGTTTATTTCTCTTTGACCTTAAATTCTCCCATCTTATTCCAAATGTTGTTGGCAGGATGGCTGGACTTTTGGCAATTCATTTTGGAAGCCAGATAATGAATAGTGGGAAAATTGTCCTCAGGTCAAGGAAGACAGGCATTTATGGTTTATTTTGAGTTCCAAAGGTGGAGGGGTCAGAAGGGATTCCCATGAGAGCTCCTCTGAACACTGCAGTCATTCAAAGTCTTTGAGTGTCTCCATGTCCTCCTGCTTTGAATTATACTGCGGGACTTTATAGACTGAAAGTTTCTTATTGTACATGGCACTAGTAACTCATTTTATATACCACAAAAATATAAATGAAAGGGGTAGTAAAAGGTATTGGAGAAGGAGGGAGGGAAAGAGGAGAAATGTAAAATTAATTGAGATCTTAATAAACATTAACATGTATTACATCACTTAATAAAACTACAGTTCCCAGAACTTTAATGTGTCCTCTCATAATACATTTACACAAAAGATACAAATTCATTACTACAAACAACAATACTTAGTCAATATTTATCTTTGCCAGCTTTTTAAAAGAGTTTGCTGAGGAAAATAACATAACAATGAGGAATAAGAGGACTGTTTCTGAAGCATAGAATTAGATCTCAAACCATTTCTTCTTTCTCCCCCCAAAATTTAACAGCCACTTATTATTCCCAAGATTTCTATTTTCAGGAACAATCTACTGATTCATGCATTCAATTCATTTATGTATTCATTTACTTGTCAGATTTTAATAGAGCAACCACCATTTGTCAGGCACTTTACTGGATGCTATGGGGTTGTTTTACAAAATTAATAAGCAATTATTCCTGACCTGAAATTGCTTTCATTTTACAAAGGAGACATGTATAGATGCTTTTATTGAGATGCAGCTGTGATATGGCAGAAAGAGCCCTTGGTTTTGAATTAGCACACCTGAAGGTAAACTCAGGATTATGGAGTGCATTTTCTGTCCTTGGGCCAGATGTTTAACTTATTCGCTGGTAAAATAATAATGTTGATAATATCTACCTTGGAAGATTATGCTAAGAATTAAATTAGATAATATCAAATACACAGACAAGTTGAGGAAAATTGAGTAAAAGTGATATAAACTACAAGAATAATTGAAAAGTTCTGTGAGAGTTTATAGAACGAAGGGATAGCTTCTCCCTGAGGGAGATCTTGCTGGGACCTTGCATGCCAGAGAAGGAAATGGTATTGGCTTGGATCCCAAAGCAGGCGCCCTCTTTCTGTCTTTCTCCCGTCTCTCCAGTGATTCCTTCCAATGTTTAATATGGAAGTTCACATTTCCCTAATAAGTTTTCTAAAAATTTCACATAAGTTTTCGAGGTACATGCAAATCACATTCCTGAAAACTTCTCCTCAGCATTCTTAGATGATTCCTTCCTTTTCCTCCCAATGAGCAATGCAGTCTGCCCTGTGGTTCTTGCACGTTGAGGACTAAAGAATAGAAACTCCCTTAAATTGTGTGGTTACTGGAATAGGAGTCTCTAAGTCAGAGATCTGGGCTTAATGGAGCAACAAAGTCTAGGAACCAAGCAAAAGGTCACCCTGTTGCCACAAGACAACAGGGTGTCTTTAGGCTGAGTACACTTTTCTAGACTGTAGACATGAACCATTTTAAACAAATAGAAATGTAATTTTATGTACTTCAAATGCAAGTCACAGGTGACAGGAGACCATCAGTTATAAAACACACCACCAAGGGAAACAAAAAGACCTGAGAACTTGGAGAAGCCACAGAGAGTGTTAGGAAGCTTTCCTGACCACCCCATCCCTCCAAAAAAAAAAAAAAAAGGGAAGAACAATGTCTGTTAAATGAAAAAGTATCTAGGTGACAGAAGAAGAGTTAGCAAGGCATAGACACAGAAATAAAAGGAGAAAGGGGAACAAGTCAGATGGCCAAAGTTATATCCCCAAATCGCCCTCCATGGTGGCAGAAGGGACTTTGCAGAAGTGATAAGTTAA